>NC_000015.10:82026874-83276874 GCF_000001405.40 Homo sapiens
CAGAAACAGCTTTCATTACCATAGATAAGACAATAGTATTCATTTCCAGTTTTGCCTCTAGGCTGTTAACTCTCTCAGTCTCTATCATAATATAGTCTAAAAAATCTAAGGCACTTGGACGTCCCATAGAACAGTACACTGATTCATTACACCAATGGCATCATGCTGATCAGACATGACCAGCAAGAGCTGGCTAGTACTCCAGAGCTCCAGAGGTCTTACAAGGTAAGACATTTGCAATCTAGAGGTGGGAGATAAACACTACAAAGATTCAGAAATCGGTCACTTTGATAATTTTTTAAGAGTCAAGAAGTCAGGCATGTTCTGGGATATTACCTCCGAAGTAAAAAACTAATTGATGTATCTTTTATTGCCTAACCTAAAGAAGAAAGGTGGGCCTCTTTGGGTTCTACATCTAGGAATACTGCTTGGGCCCACCTACCGGTCAACACAAAAGACTGACAGCTTGAAGTGGGGCCCAGGTCAGGAAAGAGCTCTGTGCAGCCCTGCCACATAGTCCAGTCTAGCAGACTGCATGATGTTGGAGGTATCCGGTGCATTAGAAGATGCCGTGGTGGAGTTTATTGCAAGGCCCATTGGAAAAATTGCAAGCAGGTCTCTGGGGTACTGGACCAATGCCACACTATCTACAGCAAAGATTTATACGCCTTTCAATAAACAGTTCCTGGTACATCATTGGACCCAGGTAGAAATGGAACACTTGATTTGGGGGCAAATGACCATGCATCCACCACAGTCCATCATGAGCTGAATTCTCCAAGTCCTGCATTGAAATAGGCTCAGCAGCAGTCTATCATAAGATGAAAATTATACCTCTAAGACTTGGTCTGAGCAGGACTGGGGCCATGAATAAACTTCATGAGCAGGTAGCCCAGAAGCTTAAGGCACTCTCAACAGTTTTTTCAACTCATCGAAGCCATATGGGTCCCATATGATCAACTGAAGGAGGAGAAAATGTCTAAGCTTGGTTACTGCTGTATCAGCTTGCTATGTAGGCATGAGCTGAAAATGGGCAGCAGCTGTATTACAGCCACTGAAAGACAGGCAAGAGGGACAAATCTTTCCCGCAGAAAAGCTGGATCCTCCTAATACACTTTGTGAGGAAGAAAAGTGGCTAAGAGGAAAACATACACAGATTCCTGAGCAGGGGCCAATGGCTGAACCAGCTGGTTAGGAACCAAAATGAAAGCATTGGAAGATTAGAGACAAGGAAGTCTGCAGTAGAGGCATGTAGATGAACATGAATATGAGAGTGGGCTCAACCTCTGGTGATATTTGAATTATAAGTTAATGCCCACCAGAAAACATCCATCATGGAAGAGAAAATAGAAAATAGACAACCAAGTAGACAAAATGATTTGGCCATTTGGCCAAAATCTAAATTTTTGTAGGGTTGATCTACCACCTCTAGATTGCAAATGTCTTACCTTGTAAGACCTCTGGAGTACTAGTCAGCTCTTGCTGGTCATGTCTGATCAGCATGATGTCATCGGTATAACGAATCAGTGTAAGGCTCTTTTTTTTTTTTTTTTTTGAGACCAAGTTTTGCTTTTGTTGCCCAGGCTGGAGTGCAGTGGCACAATCTCAGCTCACCGCAACCTCCGCCTCCTGAGTTCAAGCGATTCTCCTGCCTCAGCCTTCCTGAGTAGCTGGGATTACAGGCATGCACCACCACACCTGGTTAATTTTGTATTTTTAGTAGAGACGGGGTTTCTCCATGTTGGCCAGGCTGGTCTCAAACTCCTGACCTCAGATGATCCACCCGCCTTGTCCTCCCAAAGTGCTGGGATTACAGGCATAAGCCACTGCGCCCGGCTGTATCAGTGTAATGTTCTATGGGAGAGGAGGCAAGCCTGTCATTGGCCACCCCAGAAGTGGTATGATGGGCACATAAATGGAGAGATGGAAGCTATGCATAGGCCCAACAGCATGCATTCCCACTGACTGTGACCAGTGTAGCCACTGTCACCTCTGAATGTCCAGTCTACTAGCAACAGAGGTCAAAGCTAAGCCTTGGAAATGGCACTGTTCCTGGAGGAGACCACAGGGCCACAGAGTGACAAGTCTGCCTGTATTGGGCCCCTCCATCTTGTAAGAGACAGCTGTCCAACCTCTCTCTAGGTTTCAGGTCTCATTCCCTTCCCTAGACTGGCCCTTGCCCCACTCACAGATCCTATTAAACTACCTGGCTGGTGACTTCAGCCTTGACCCTTACTTTGGCAAATTCCCAGCCCTTCCAGTCTTAGCTTCGGAAGTATTACTGCTACTTATCCAATATTTATCCCTCTTTACCTTTTATCTTTACAGAAATAACACAGACTTTGTTCAGGATGACATTGCTTAACTATAAATGTTTGATTTTCCAACCATATGAACAGTTCTGGCCAATGAGAGATAGTCTCTGAATGAAAAGGCAGAAGCTCACCAGCAAAGTGCCTCTTTACTGGCCATCCTTGTCATTTCACTAAACTTTTCCCTCCTTCTTCATGCTTGGACTATAGACAAGAGGTCTGGGGTTGTGGCAGCCATCCTTTGACCCTGAGGCATTTAACAAATGACAGAGCAGAAAGATGTAAAGAGCTGTGGATCCTGGTTGTGTCTCTGAGAAACCAGACCAGCCCTGATCTGCTTACTTTGGGGCTGCCTGTGTGTAAGGCCAGTCAAACCCTGCTTCAGCCACTATAGGAGGTTTTCATTCATTTGATCTCTTCTATGGAGTGGAATTGCTTCGAATCTGGCTGGCACTTGGCCCTAAATAGTATTAATAGATACTGAGCTATTGAAATGAAACTTTTATGACAATAACACATTGATGTATGTGCTCCTGCAAAGGGATTTGAAATACTACTAATAATAAATGAATCTTAAACTGAAAAAAGATATGCTGGAGTCATAAACCCCAGTATCTCAGAATGCGATCTTATTTGAAGATAGGATCTTTTTACAAAGATAGTCCAGTTAAAATGAGGTCATGAGGGGTGGGTCCTAATTCGATAGGACTGATGTCCTTATAAGAAGTGGAAATCTGGGGATATACATACACAAAGAAGACAAAGTGAAGGCGGGAGAAGGCAGCCACATACAAGTCAGAGAGGCCTGGAACAGATCCTTCCCGCACAGCCCTCAGAGGAAACCAGCCCTGCTGACACCTTGATCTCAGACTTCTTGCCTCTAGAACTGAGAGACGATAAATTTCTGTTGTTTAAGCCACTCAGTTTGTGGTACTTGGCCCCCCTACCAAATGAATACAGGAGGGTGTTCTGTTCTTTGAAACTGGATATATCTCTGTATGATACAGCTAGGCAGTCTCCCAGCTCTGCCACCAATCCCACACCCACCCTAAATGTGACTTCAACAATCATCAGATATAATTCAACATTTGGAAAAATCTCAGTGACTAGACAACTGTCCAGTGGACTTGTAAGGACAGCCAGTAAATCTAAGCTTAATGAGCCATTAAGAACACTGAATAGCTGGAGAGATTCTCTGCACTTTGCCTCAGAGTTCTTAGCAAGGGGCAGGGGTTGAGTTCCTCCCTCTCGCACAGGGAGCCCATGCCTTCCTTAATTGCTTCAACTTGTGTACAGACTGCCTGTGGCCATAGAGTCCTAGCTAGGTCTTGACGCAGTAAGATAGCACCACACAATGATGTGGTTTTGCTTTTGTACTGTCCTGTGCTCTAAATCCTGCCTACTTTGCTGTTGTGAGAAGCTTCTGAGTTTAATTGATTCATTTTGGAGATTGGTCTGCATGCAAAAGTTTCAATGTTCTGATCATTAAGGAAGGATTAATTGAGTTGCCCTGGAAGGGACTTCATTGGACTAGTTTCCAAATTTAATATATGGCCTAGTTCCACCAAGAACCTGGATTATTCACTCTCTTATAGTGAGCTACTTGGCAGCCCCAACCTTACTAAGCAGAGGGCAAGATATTTAGGCAGTAAATTCAAAATTCCACTCCTTCCACCATTTACTCAGTCCCAAACTTCTCATAAATTTTCAAGTGAAATTCAAGAAAGTTTTTCTTCCTAAATGGGAAATATAGATTGGAGGTTTTCATTCATTTTGATTTCTTCTTTGGAGTGGAATTCCTAGAATCTGACTGGCACTTGGCCCTAAATGGTATTAATAGATACTGAGCTATGGAGATGAAACTTTTATGACAATAACATATTGATGTATGTGCTCATACAAAGGGATTTAAAATACTACTACTAATAAATGGATCTTAAAAGCATCCTAACAACTGTTGGTCTTTGATACTTACTTAATGCTGGCTGGATCCAGTGCAAGATACACTGCTAAGAAAATCCTAATAGTTATTTTTAAAATAATAATACATTTATTTATTCATTCTTACATGTCATTTAAATACGATTAGCAATCCTTTTTTATTCTCAGAGAAAACTCTTAGTGAGTCTGAGGATCAGATATGTCCCCAATATGTGTTCATACTGCTTAGCGTGGAATTGCATATGTTCTTTGCAGGTTTTGGCTGTGTGCAAATCGTGTGAGCGCTTTTTACAATAGAGAAAGCATTTTGGACAGATATTGAAATGAAGCTTCTCCATCATGCAGCTTTTAGAGTATTTGTCTCATGTGTTTTAACCCCTGTTCCCAATATCTTGTATTTCAGTGCTCACAGCTGAAGCACATGTCCTATTTTATGCCCTTCCTCATAACTACTGCTGATTATTTTGCATCTTGCACATCTAAATGTTCAGTTTTTCTTCCTAATTCCAATGATTCTCCTCATTTCTCAATGTCCTTTGTCCATCTTTGCTGCTCCATTTGCACTGCCTCCCAAAGGTCACTGTGGCTCCTTCTCTGACTTCCACAGTCAAGTTACACTTCATAAAAATTCTAAGCTCATTTTCAGAAGCCACAAATCTATCCTTCTTTAAAGTCTTCAAACTTTGATTGTGTAAATAAATACTCAGAAACAAGATTTCTAAAAAAAAAAACACTATTGGCCATCGTATGTTCAAAGGAGATAACAAATGTTTAACCTTATATGTTGTAGGCTTTCTAAACTTAATTTCAAAAAAAGACTAAATAAACAGTGTCAATATGTCTATAAACTCACAACGAAAATTTTCAGATCATCCAATTGTGTATTCATTGGCCGGAAACAATCATGTAAAAACCACAGCCCTGGAGCTGGGTAGCATAGAAACAAGAAGATTCAGCATTTCATGGTTGGTGACCTCAAATCTCTAAAGGGTTGTCAGGTTAAAAAAAAAAAAAAGAAAAGAAAAGAATAGAAATTTGACCTGATCTATAAAAATGAAAGTCGCTGGGCAAAGTTTTGGCTTTTCACTCCTGACAAAGATGAGCTCTCTCATAGGTAGACCAAGGCACACGAGTGATGACTTTCGTGGCCCCAAAATTCTTCAAGAAAATAGTAGATTGAGGAAGCGATCTGCGCATTGATAGAGGTGCTGTTTGAACTGGATGACATTTAAGCTTCCTTCTTTCTCCAAGATTCTGTGAGGCCATGAAGCATGCTATTTCATCCCCACTCCAATTGCTGTCTCCCTGGCCTGGTGCCCTTACCACCTCAATCTTGGGTCACTGATCTCTTTTGCAAGAAATCAGTCCTGCCTACCACCTGCAACTTCATCTTCCTAAAATGTCACTTTCCTTAAGGCCTGCTCTGTTCAAAGGCCAGTTCCCAGCCACACCAATGTAAATGCTTGTATTTATCGTTGATAAGCTCTTCCCACCCCATGAGATCATGAACTCTGCTCCAGGTAGACTGGCTTTTTTTGCTGTGTCCCCCACCCCGCCGCCCCCACATCTCACTAGTCCTCCACAGGGATCTTTACTTTTTTTTTAAATCAACACATTTCCTAGGCAGAGGAAATGTTTCAAGCAAAGGCACAAATATATAAAAACACTAGATGTATTCAGGAAATCGTAAGTAAAAGCATTTGCTCTATGACTCCCAGCTAGGTCTAACACTACATTTAGTTATCGCTTCTAACATCCTCATTCTTCTATTTTTAATAATAGTGCCCAACCCACCAAGGTTCTAAATCCGCAAATCTCCTTGTCCGTCTTCGCTCCCAGATATGGCCCCTGCCACCTAACATTGTCAATTTAATTGGGTTGAACCGTATGAAATTGCCATTACTGAAGGTAAAAATGGTCTGGTATCAGCAATTTCACATGATTCAACCTAATAGTTTTTCGAGGTCCTTAAAACTCTCTCCTCTTCTCTTCTGACCATCCCAGACACTCTTCTGCCTCTCGCCTCTCCAGCCACCTCCTGGATCAAGGCCTTCGCTCCTCACTGGCCTCCTGGCACTTTCCCAGCCCATCCAGCTCACAGGTACCAGAAAACAATATAAAACAGTGTTCTCCAATGCCTGCAAGACACACCCCAAAACTCTCAGTTGAGCCTCCCAGACTCTCTACAATCTGCCTCTGACTTGCTTTTCCAAACTTATTTTCTACTCTTCAGCTCACCCAAAATCTTCACTGGAAGAGACCCTAGAGCTCACCTAGTCTCATGGTTCCCAAACTCAGCTTCACAGCAGAATCCCCTGAGGAGCTTTTACTTTATCGGTCATTCTATCTAGCTCTCTAGCCATACATTTATTTATATATGGGTTTATCATGCCTAGCACTTAAAAATTTTTTTAATTAATAGACTTTCCTTTTTTTTTTTTTTTTTTTTTTTGAGACAGAGTCTCGCTTTGTTGCCCAGGCTGGATGCAGTGGCGCAATCTCGGCTCACCGCAACCTCTGCCTCCCTGCAACCTCTGCCTCCCAGGTTCAAGCGATTCTCCTGGCTCAGCCTCCCGAGTTGCTGAGACTACAGGCGCCCGCCACCACGCCCAGCTAATTTTCTGTATTTTTAGTAGAGATGGGATTTCACTGTGTTAGCCAGGATGATCCGCCCTCCTCGGCCTCCCAAAGTGCTGGGATTACAGGCACGAGCTACCGCGCCCGGCCAGCTTTACTTTTTAGAGCAGTTTTAGGCTTACAGCAAAATTAACCGGAAAGTACAGAGAGTTCTCACATTGCCCTACCCCATACACACAGGCAGCCTCTCTACCATCAACAACCCACATTAGGGTGCAGGCATTACAATCAATAACCAACATTGACACATCATTACCAACAAAAGAAAAATGTTTTTGAATAGGCAATACATACTTTAAAAAAAAAAAAGGATCCAAGCAGTATAAAAAGATATGCAGGGAAACGGAAGTCTCTCCAGCTCCTGATCCCTGAAGCCGCAGTCTCCCTCCCTGAGATATATTCTATGTATATGATTATACTTGTAGGTAGGTCTTCATCTACAATTTTAATACAAATGAAGCATGCCATACACCTGTAATGAACCTAAATTTTTTCCTATTTATTTATTTATTTATTTATTTATTTATTTATTTATTTTGAGACAGAGTCTCGCTCTGTCATCCAGGCTGGAGTGCAGTGGCACTCGGCTCACTGCAAGCTCCGCCTCCCAGGTTCATGCCATTCTCCTGCCTCAGCCTCCCGAGTAGCTGAGACTACAGGCACCCGCCGACACACCCGGCTAATTTTTTTTTTTTTTTTTAAGTAAAGACGGGGTTTCACCATGTTAGCCAGGATGGTCTCCATCTCTTGACCTCGTGATCTGCCCGTCTCAGCCTCCCAAAGTGCTGGGATTACAGGCGTGAGCCACCATGCCTGGCCAATTTTTTCTTTTTAATAATACATATTGTTGATCAGTGCAGGAATTAGGGGAAAATTTTTTAATGCATATTGAAGATTGTGCAATATCAATACAAATTACACTGCATCATTCTTTTTAACAGCATTTTGCCAAGTCATCTAAAGTATATATTTACGTCTTTAACTCATCATCCCCTATTGACAGATATAAGGAACTTTTTAAACTGTTGGTTTCCAGATCTCATCCCAAAATTATTGAATACGAATTTCAAGAGGTGAACCCAGAAATTTGTATTTCATACATCTTCTCTAGGTTACTCTCATGTAGGCATCTCACAAGACTAGTTTACAAAGCAATAAAATAGCTCATCCTTCTAATTTTCCAAATAAGAAAACTAGGTTTAAAAGATATAAAGCGATTTTCTCAAAGTCTCACAGCAGAGAAGTTAGAGGCAGAGTTAACTGTACAACAGGGCCCCCTGAATAGGAGGTGTGGAGGAATTAATTCATCTAGGATATACACCATAAAAATGTGACTAGGATAAGTAACCCCAAATACCCTAGTCCCGTTTATCAAGAGGTTTTAAGTGATAGTGTTCTTGCAGTACAGTCGCTGATGTTCATGATGAGGACCCTGAAGTGCCTTCTGAGTCATCAAAGGGCTAGTAAGGTAATGCCATCATGGATTTAATGAGAAGTGTGTTTTAAAGCCTACATCCATGGGTGGTAGGCTTGCATATTATCAATAAACAGCATATTAAACTTATTCATAACTCATTAAAATCACTTCTGGCTATTCCATAAAAGCAGAAGTTTTCTGTATATCTGCACAGGGAATGTTCTAGAAAGATCTTGGTTTCCAGAAATCTCTAGTCTCTACTTTAGCATTTAAGCTCAGTTTCTTCGGCTATAAAATTAGGATAATAGTACTATCCATATTATCCACTACCTCATGGGGTTGCTGTGAGACAATTTATATGAAAGGATTTTCAAAAGCATAATATCTCCTATACAAAATAAAATAATAGTATTTTATCACTTTTAAAGATATGCATCCAACAAAATGCTCTGATGGAGAAGATTTGGCCCAGGCCAAATTGACTAACACCATTCATGCATCTTGCTTTAAATTTTTAAAATTCTTTCTAACCTATGAATGTAATATAATCACAAGGTTAAAAAAAATCCAAAGGTCAAGAGAATATAAAATGAAAAGACAGTAATAATAGCATAGGTCTGGATTGAGAGACATAGACAGATAGCACTTATCACATGCCATGCATATGGTAAATGCTCCTCAGAAAAACTCTTTGAGGTAAGTTACTATTATTATCTGCATTTCATAGATGATCAAACTGAGGCACAGAGAAATTTAGTAACTTTCCCAAGTTACACAGTTAGTAAGTGTCAGAGCTGGTTTTCTGTCATCACCCCCCAAATACTAGTCTTATTCTCTAAAGATGACCACTGTTTCACAGTCAATTCCACATCTGTATGAGTTTTCTATTTCTGCACAACAAATTACCCTAAAATTTAGGGCTTAAAACAATAAGCATCTGGCCGGGTGTGGTGGCTCACGCCTGTAATCCCAGCACTTTAGGAGGCCGAGACGGGCGGATCACGAGGTCAGAAGATCAAGACCATCCTGGCTAACATGGTGAAACTCCACCTCTACTAAAAATACAAAAAATTAGCAGGGCGTGGTGGCAGGTGCCTGTACTCCCAGCTACTCGTGAGGCTGAGGCAGGAGAATGGCATGAACCCGGGAGGTGGAGCTTGCAGTGAGCCGAGATCACCCCACTGCACTCCAACCTGGGCAACAGAGTGAGACTCCGTCTGAAAAACAAACAAACAAACAACAACAACAAAAACAACAACATAAGCATCTATTAACTCACAGCTTTTATGGATCAGGAATCAGGGTGTGGCTTAGCCAGGTGCGTCTGACTTAAGATCTCTTATTAGGTTCAATCAAGATGTTGATAAGGGCGGCAGTCTCATCTGAAGATTCGTCTTGGGGAGGATCTGCTTTAGGTTCATTCCTGTGGTTGTTGGCAGGTCTCAGTTCCTCATGGTCTATTGGACTGAAAGCCTCAAGTACTCGTGGACAGAGGCAGGGGCCCTCTTCAGTTTCTCACCGCATAGATTTCTCCACACGACTGCCTCCATCCAGAGTCAGTGATGAGAGAGAAAGACAGAGGGAAAGAGAGAGATCACACCAAGACAGAAGCCACAGTATTTTTATAACCTAGTCTCAAAAGTGACATCCTCTCACTTCTGCCATATTCGGTCATTAGAAGCAAGTCACAAAGTCCAAACCATACTCAAGGGGAGAGGGTCACACAAGGAGGTAGGGATCATTGGGGGCCGTCTTAAAGATTGTGCACCATGACAGTCCTCTAGAACTTTTCTATACAAATAAAACTTTTTTTTACAGAAATTATATCCTTTGCATTTTGCCTTTACGGATATCAAAGTGATCCCCTCATTTACTAGTACAGCTAGAATTCCATGTGCAGAAGCTACATAATTTCACAAGCAAGTCCCCTATCGATGGGCATGTAGGTTATTTGAAGCAAAACACCCCTTTCACTGATTTGCTAAGTATGCACTGAACATCGCTGTGAACCAGGCTCTGTGTTGGATGGTGTTGGAGGCACAGAGATGGGGGATAAGACCCCTGCTCTGAATACATTCTCAGCCTAGAGGGAGAAAAGACAGTTAAGCAATTGTGAAAGGGCCTGGAAGATATCACTGTGGAAGGGGTATTAGGTATCAGGTAAGGGGCTGAACATGTCTGATAACTCCAGAAGTAAGGACACCATCTCACTTTGCACAGATGAGTAAACTGAGTCACAAATTTGCCATTTGTTTCACCCACACCTTCCATAAAAACATGAAAAACATGTGCTACAGTTGGAACCAGCGCTAAAGACTCATGGGGTGGGTAGCACCCATAATGCCATTTTTAGACCGTGCCCAGATCCTGCAATTCTAATACATGCCCTGAAAAATTAAGTCAATAAAATAAAATTAAAAAATCAGTCAAACAAAGACCTTGGCATTTGGGAGACCATACGATTGACTACGTTTCACTTTTCAGTCAGGGTTCTGGCATCTTTTAGTCACTGTCTAAATTACTTCATGTGACATTTTTATTGAGCTTTTTTTAAAACAGAGAATTCTGTATTCATTTTCTTCTCATCCAATGGTAATTTTTCTTTGTCCACCTGAAAAGAATACATTACAGAATAATATTTGATTGTTCACAAGACAGTCAAGGCTTTATTTAGAATTAATGTCAAAGAAATGCCCTGTGCCCATAAGGTGCTATTCATGTTCTCGGTTCTCCTCACGTGGCCTGGCCGCACCACGGCAACTCCGCCGGGCTCTATTTTTCAAGTCAGTTACACGTATTACTAAAAGGAACATCATTCTCTTAGTTGACTATTTTATGACAAATGAGTGCTTGCTTTTTCTCAAAATACCTCCTATAAAAGCCATTTTTTTCTGAAGTGGTAAAGATAGAAACATTGGATTTAGGTAGACCCAAGGTTGGAGTCCTAAGTCCAACACTTACTGACTGTGTGGCCTTAGGTAGGTAATTTAACTTCTACCTAAGTTTCCTTGTCTCTGAAATGGGTTTACTCAGACCTACCCCATAGGGTTGGACCAATGTAGAGTGCCTGGGTCAGAATGAGAGGCTCAGTAAACTATAGAAATTATCACTGACCTTCCCTGAGCCAATGTAAGTGATGCTTAACTCTTCCCACTCTCCCTTCCTGGAAAGCTGGTTGGTCTTAACACTTGGGGAAGAGATCCTTTAGCACTTTAAGCATCGCTTGTGGGCAAGGTCAGGTTTGACTAGGTCAGGGAAGGGAGGAAGCCAAAGGGGAGGCAGTGTTGAGTGTTAGAAGGGCCCTTGTTCCCTAGCCAGGGAGGGAATTACTCTTTTATGGCGAAAAAGAGTGAATGTGCCCAATGCAAATTCCCTTCCTTCCCGAGTTACCTTGCTCCAACAAAGCGTCTGGACTACTACTCCCAGCCATTGCATTGGCCAGCAGGCTCAAAACCCACTTGAGAGAAGACTTTGTTCATATTTTGTTTGTTTGTTTGAGACAGAGTCTTGCTCCGTCCCCCAGGCTGGAGTCCAGTGGCGCGATCCCGGCTCACTGCAAGCTCTGCCTCTCGAGTTCACGCCATTATCCTGCCTCAGCCTCCCGAGTAGCTGGGACTACAGGCGCCCGCCACCACGCCCAGTTAATTTTTTGTATTTTTAGTAGAGACGGGGTTTCACCGTGTTAGCCAGGATGGTCTCAATCTCCTGACCTCGTGATCCGCCCGCCTCGGCCTCCCAAAGTGCTGGGATTACAGGCGTGAGCCACCTCGCCCGGCCAAATTTGTTCATATTTCTTAGAAAGATAAGACTTAAGAGATAAGAGCTCTGCATCACTTAGTGACTGTAATTCACTGAAGATATCAGAACTTTTCCCAAGAGCCCATTTTGGTAGTATAAGGAGTACCCATGAAATAGGGAAAGGGGAAGAGATGCTAGCACAGACCCATTTGGAAATTTCTCCGTACATTTTATCTCATAGTTACAGGGAACCGAACAAAACAGAAAGAGGCCGGCTAGATCTGGAAACGGAGGTTTGATTCTGGGTAAGGGGGCTGGGACTGTGTTTTGAGTAATATTTGTTTTACTGCAAATAGGCACAGTAAAATCTCAGGGCTGCCTGCCTCATGGTTGCAGAAAGGCTCACAGGAGAGAATGGAAATGAGAGTGCTTTGAACATTCCATGTAATCATTATTATCATTCATTGGGTACAATCTACCACTCTGGTGAATAAAAAGAGTCCCTTTGTTGTGACCTCCTATGCTCAGACATCAGCCTTGACCTTGCCCACAATGTTCCTGATATAGAGCTACACTGGGTCGTGGGTAATCCTAGAACGCCTTTAGGCACGTAAATGCTGGAAGAAGTCCACCAACTTCAAGGCAATGAATGAAGGGAAGAGAAGATATATTTGCTTCGTCTACATCAGGGCTTCTCATCCCTGAGCTGGATAATTCCGTGTGTGGGGGCTGTCCTGTGCAATGTAGGATGTTTAGCGGTATCCCTAGCCTCTACCCACTAAATGTCAGTACAATTACACATTTTTGTCATAAGCAAAAATGTCTCCAGAGATTGCCAAAATGGAGGGGTGCAAAATCATCCCCTCCCCTACCTCCACTGAGAGCTATTCTACCTAAAGAAATAAAACATGGAACAGTAATTAGGGGAAAAGGTGTCCGTTAGCTGGTATTTTGTTGCTGCAGAAAGACACGTTTCAGAGGGGTGGAGAAGTAGAAAAGGAAGCTGCTCGTAGCTGGAGGACATGAATGCGGCACCGCTCATCTTTCTGGCCAGAGGACTGTCACCTCCACAGCCAGTGGTCATGTCCACGGAAGTCACCTGGGGAAGCTGGAGGATGGGACAAAAGGCTTAACTCAAACCAAAAGTGACTGCCATCTAATATTAGCATGTGCCCACATCCGCTGCTGGTAACAGAGACCTGGGCTTAGCACGGGAGACCCATGTTAGAGAGCAGACTCTCCTCTCAAGAAGCCTAATTTTATTAATAATATAGCCCCAAACTTTATGTCAACAAAGGGAACCTCTCACTATAAAGAAAAAAAAATACAGGCCATCCTAAAGTATGTTGGCAGCCTTAACATCTGATCTTTTTTCAGTTCCCAAAGTGGCACATGAACCACAAAAATATATGAATGAGTAAGGGCCCATTAGATATCAACCAATCAAGGCTTTTTTATTTTTTCCTTGCATTGTCTGTAATTATTCTGCTAAAGCAGAAAAGCAAAGTTACATGACTAAAGAAAGTTACATGCAAAAAGAATCTTGGTTCTGTTCTAGGCATTTCCAGACAGCTGAAGGAAAGGGGGACTTGGACATGGTGACATTTCCCCTTGCCAGGCCTCAGCTAACCTCCAGTCCTTGAGAGAGAAGCGAAGGGGGTAAACACTGCCTGGGAACTTTCCAGAGCTGAAGATGATGCCAGAAATTTTCCAAGCAGAGCCACTCCTTTTACTCCTCCCACCCCAAAGACCTGTCTACTGCCTTCACACACATCGTGTAAACCAACTGAATCAGGAGCTATGTAGGCAGTGACTAAATTATCAAACAGGTAAAAATTAACACAAAAGGAAGAAGGACTACCAAGATCAATTTATACTAATCTACTCTTCAGATTCACCTGCTGAGATGAAAATAAATGCCTGCCATACTCCAGTCAGATACTGTTCTCCAGGGGCAACTCAGCCAGGAAGTTTGCTGGAAATTCAGTGGCATGCTCTGGTCATTCCTAAATACTCTCTAGAAGACTGAGTTCAGGTTAAGTGACAGCACGTGGCTCCTCCCCTTGACAAAGCCCCACAGCCAGGGAGCAGGTGGAGCCTGCCAAAAGCAAACAAAAACTTCCCTCAAAGGACAACAAACACTTGACACCGGCAGCCTGTCAACACCAATTAGTCTGCCCTACAAGCAGAAGCCTATTAAGACCAGTGCTCAAATCCAGGAAGGTTCTCTGCAAGCAGAAACTGTCATCCCTTCTTCCTTCTTCGGCTTCCCCAAGGGAGTGACCTTCAGTGGAAACTCGCAACAGAGCTGAAACCAACTTCTCCCTGCCACAGAGCAGGCATAGGGCCTTAAGACCCACTATCCTCTCAGGGGCCCATGCCAGGTGGAATGATGACATTCCCTGGCCCTTTTTGCCTTCCTCACTAATAAAATCCATATTAATATTTATTTTTGATATCTTTAATTTCAATATTTTTCTTAATGTTTCAGGCAAAATGAAATGGTTTGTGGGGCTGAAAACTAAAACAGTTTTTGAATATGTTAATTTCCTTTTTTTCTAATTTTTAAAATAAATTAAACACTTTCCTGAACCCCTAAAAGTATCATGCGCCCTAGGCACTGTGACTTGTGTGTCTAATGGAGGCCCTAATTCAGTAGATACCTGCAATTTTTAGAAAAAATACCATTACCCAAGGCCACCCATCCAACCAGACACAACCCTGGCCTGTTTTGAAAATCCATTCTATTCATAATATACAAAATGTACCTGGGAATTCCATATTTCAACTTGTCAATTTAAAGTGATCCCTTACAGTTAAGATTCCAAGAGGCTTAAAAAAAAAGTCACCACACAAGATAAGATTTTCTTCAATATTTTATTTATATAGAAATACTTAAAAAATGAAGTAGCACCATTACTTAAGTTTTACCTTTATTATGTAGAACTTTAAATGTCAGAAAAATAAAACTCTTGATACAATTTCAAATCTTGTCTCAGCAAATATAATATTAGTATTTGACCATGAGGTTAAAGGCCCTTTATCATAAAATAAAATATACTTTGTTTTTTAAACTTTGCTCAGTAAAGTACATTTAAGCTCAAGTAACATCACCTACATATACATAAACAAGTGGTAAACAAATGTATTAAAATAGAAATACTAAAACTAGAGTGGTGCAACAGAATTTTTGTAACTTGCACTGAATTCTATTTATACAAATGTTAGAAAGCATCAACAGTTCTTTTTGACATGTTTATACATTTCCGTTTTTGTAATAATATAGAATAAAATATGCTTTATATCACTGAATAGAAAATATGCTGGGTGAAGCAGATCTAGAAGATTTGTCTGAACCTATAAAATCTCCATCCCAACAGAATACTGTTCAAAACATTACACATTTTATGGTTGTAATTCCGTCACAATTGTGTGATTATTAAAATAATACAGTGTTCTTTGCCATAAGGCCATACTAAAATAAAAAGATTTAACCCAGCTACAAAAAAGTTCACTGAACTTAAATTAAAATACTTGTAAACATCTTTGCAATATGAAATATAATTTTTCAAGTCAAAAAAGAATAAAATACTTCAATCTGTATTAATGCAATTTCTCTTTAAAACTTTTAAACGTTTTTAATATATAAGAGATATGTTACAGTTTCTTTAACTTTAATAAAGCTGCAGTATCCTGGTTTCACAGGAACTCCTGGCCCTTCCACGAACATTCAAAAAGGATCCACTGTGTTCTATAATAAGTATCATAGGAACCCACCCACAAAGGGGAACACACTAAACAGTCCACACATCCCATAGCACTACTATCATCTTCATCATAATTATTACTGTTCATTTTTTCCTACTTTAAGAAAATGGAAAACTTGTGGGGTTTTCTTCTTTTGGAAGCTTCCTATTAAGTACAGTGTAAAAACTATCATTACTAGAATGTCGCCGTTCCTATTATTTATAGAGCATGCATTTCAGGTGTTCAGGTTTCCCAGGCTACAGTACTCTTGATGCAGATATCCTGGCAAATTCCTTTACTTAAAAATTAAATTTTAAAAATGAGCGGATACTACAGCTTTCCAAGCTCCTCTCGGATCTCAGAGTGTTGGTGGGGCCGGGAAGGAGAAGGGAGAGGGGGGGCACCCAGGGAGGCAGGCGAGCGCTGGGGAAAGAGGGTGGGGAGGGGTTCCCCCTTCCCCCAGCACGGTGCGCACTAGCAGCGCCCGCTGCCTTTAAGAAAAGATGCGGATGGCCTGAGTGACCGCGGTGTGGCAGACCGGGCACTCGGGCTCGCTCTTCTCACAGATGCGATTGGCGCACTCCATGCAGAAGAGGTTGTGGCCACAGGGCACCAGCGCGGCAATCACTTCGCTCTCGAAGCACACGGAGCAGTCGCGGCTGCCTTTACGCCGAAGCCCGGAGGAAGAGGATGAAGAGCTGGAGGAGGAGCTGGACGAAGAGGAGGAGCCCGACGTGTCCGACGGCTGCAAGCCAGGCAGCTGTGCCCCCAGCCCGTTGGCATAAGCGGCGTAGGCCAGGCCTCCTCCACCCGGGTCGCTGCGCACCCGGCGAGCCAGGTGGTGCTCTCCCGCCCCCGGGGCCATGTGCAAGGGTGGAGACAGGCGCGGGCAGCTGGTGCCAGGGTGCAGCCGGCGGTGCACCAATAGCCCCAGGTTGGCGTTGGAGGGCGCACTGGCGCCACCCCCGGGGAAGACCACGGAGGAGGAAGAAGCAGACGAAGATGCAGAAGAAGAGCAGGAAGAAGATACCGGAGCTGCAGGTCCGCCTCCCGGGGACCGCTCGAACTGGGCCCAGATAAGTGGTGCCCCAGGTGGGGGAGCGGGAGCCGGGTCAAAAGTGGGCTGCAGCTCGGGGCAGCCGTCGGGGGATGGCACTGAGGCTTCTCCCCCCGCTGTGTAGGTGTACCCATTGCCGTTATTGTTATTGTTTCCGTTGTGCGCAAAGCTCAGGGCGGGGCTAGGGGGGCTGTAGTCCGCCAGGCGCTGGGTAGCCGCTGCGCTGCTGCTGGTCCCGCCGCCGAAATAAGAGTCTGTGGAAGCACTGCCAAGCGAGCTGGAGCTGTCGTTGCGGTAGCTAGAGAAAGGCTTGCGGCCGGGGGTGGGCGTGATGCTGGGGGTGGGCTTGCTCCAGAGGCTGCCTGGGCCGGACCCGCCGGACCCATGATGCAGATCGAAGCCCACATCGGTGCCGTTGGCGTGGAAGTCGTTCTCGTCTGTGAGCTCAATGATGCCGCCGGTACGCAGAGCAATGTGCGCCTCAATCTCCTCTCGAGCGCGATCCACGTTCTCTGGCATGCCGGTCACCTCGAACACCGGCTCCTTATCCCGGCTGGGCGTCACGATGTACGTGTGCGTCTGCTGCTGGATGCGCTTGATTGTGGCGCCTTTGGGCCCCACCACGAGCCCCACCACGCGGTAGGGTACCCGCACTTGGATGGTGGTCTGCCCGGGCAGGTTGGGCGGCCCAGGCACCGCGCCGTTGAGTGCCGTGTTCTTATTCCGGGAGGCGCGGATCATGGAGAAGTGCTCGGCAGCAGAGATGATCTCCCTCCGAGCCATGGCCACATCCTCCTTCCTGCCCGTCACAACAAAGACAGGCTCCTCCCCGCGAACTGGGGTCTTGATGTAAGTATTGGTCTTCGCCCGCAGCGCTTTGATTTTACAACCTACGAACCAGGGTGCGGAGGAGGGAGTGGGAGAGAGAGACAGACACGCCCATTATCCTGGGGTAACCGCGGGGACCGGGGACAGCCCGCGTCCAGGACAGCGAGACGGCAGGACAAGAGATGGGCGGAAAGGGGGCGTCTCCCTCACTGACCTCGGGCCGCGCCACGGGCTGGGCAGCGGATCCCACCCGCGAGGCGCTCGAGGAACAGCCCATTGGCTGCCTGGCCCTCCCCCAGTGACTGCAGTCGTCCCGAACCAAACCCGAGAATCCCAGAAAAGTCATCTGGGGAGATGCCGCTGGGATCCAGCTGGGCGCGCCGTCAGCTCTGAAGACACGGGGAAGGGGCTCGGGGAAGGCAGCTGAAGTCGCGATGCCTCAGCGCTGGTCGACTGGGGGTAGGGGGTGGGGTGTGAGTCCCGGGACCCATTGTTCCTCCTCTGGGCTCCATTCCGCTTTGCAGAAATCCAGAATCCTCCTCCCATCCTATGCTCACTCCTCCTCCTTCCTCCTCCCAAAGGACTGATCAAAGGCCCCCTCCCCCAAGCATCTTACATTTAAATTGTCTTTCTGGAGGTGGGCTGGTTGGGGGGCGTTAGGGGAGAAGGCAGTGATTTTAGCAGAAGAAAGTGCATCCCGCCAGGGCAGCGGCGCGGCTCCGGGAGACAGCCTGCCTGCACTTTCTTTGTCTGGGGCGCCGGCCCATCGCGCGGCTCTTCCTCTCTCCCCAAGGCACCCCACGCCGCGGATCCCGATACTGAACACGCCTTCCCCTCGAGGCAGTGGCCTGAGACCCTACACCACCCCCACCCACCTCCCCATCCCTCCTCGACCTACCTTGCCGCCCCACGATCTCGGCGACATGCTCAGAACTGGGTACTGGCACGCACTCGGTCATGTTCACGCTCTTCTTGCGCGGCTCGCTGTCGTACAGAGAGGCGCCCTCGTCACTGTCCAGCCCCAGCAGGGAGAGCTGGTCGAGCGCGAGCTGCAGGGCTCTTTGGTCATCCAGGGTCTCTCCCCCTCCGCTGCTGCCGCCGCCGCCGCCGCCGCTGCCGTTGCGCTCCAGGTCTGCGAACAGCGAGCTGGGCATCGCTCGGCCGTGCGCGCCGCGCCCCCGCCGGCCCTCGGCTCGGCGGCGAGAAGCTGCGGCCACAAAGGCAGCCGGGAAGCGGGTGGTCAGGGGCGGGGAGGCCGGTCGCCTGCTGAGGGCTCCGTTGCTTCTTCCTCGGTGCTGGGAGGAGTGGGTCGCTCCGTGCGGTCCGCACCGGGCAGTGGCTGCAGGAGCCCCCACCTGGGTCCCCACCCCAGACCTGCTGGCGGGTGGGGTGGGGGCAGAGCTCTAGCGGTGGCCGCGCGTGCCCCCCGAGTGCCCGGCTGGCTGGCCGCAATGCCGAGCGAAAAGCGAGCAGGCGAGCGACAGAAGCGTTTCTTTAAGGAGCCCCTCCCCGGCTCCTCCACTCCCTCCCTCCCGCCCGCCCGCCCGCCCTCACTCAGCGCTTTTTCCTCCTCTCCTCCCCGCCTCTTGACTGAGCCTCTGCAGCCAGACGACTCCGGAGGGGGACGAGGGAGGCGCAACGTCACAGGCGGGAGCTGACACCACAATGCTACTGACACTATCGCTGGGGGAGGCGATTGGCGCGCGCCAGGCCGGGGGCGGGAGGAGGCCGCGGGTTGAGCGAGCGGAGAGAGAGCGCCACCCCCCACCCCCGCGCTCGCCGCAGCCCGCCCCGTCCTCCTCCCGGCCGCGCCCCTCCCCCGCCGCCGCTAACGCCTCTCTTTGTTGTCTAATGCGGGACTGGCAGGCTCGGGACACTTGGATGTACCTATCAGCCGAGGACAATCATTGTCCCTAAGTCTCCTCCCTCGCCTGACTGAGAAAAGAAAACGCGCCCAACTCTGATGCCTGGAGCCGGGCTCTAAAAGAGCGGTCCTCAGGAAGTCCCGTTAGTGGCTCCAAATAAACCATCCGTGGAGCCAAAGCTTCCTCTGTGAGAAGAGTCTGTAGTCCGCCCAAAAGGGCGACCCGAGCCCTCCGACACGGAAAACGGGACTCCAGGTCTTGGGGCGCACGGGCAGAGTGACTCCCGGCGCGGGTTGTCCACCTGCGCGGGAGCGCACGAGACACAAAAGCACACGCCCGCCCACACTGGCAACCGCGCGCGCGCGCGCCCGCGCCTGCATTTCTGTCTCCTTGGGCAGCACTTCGCCCAACTGGCCCTGAAACTGAGGATGGGAAAGCTAAAAGCTGGCTGCCGCGCGAGCTCGGCCCGCCCGGCCGCTGGCGACCTCTGGAATGCATGGCACCAGTGTCCAGCACACGCCCGGCGCCCGGGCCGAGACCCTGCGGGTTCTGACACGCGCACGAGCGCCGCGCCGCCACCGCGGGGACGCAGGCCACAGCGCCAGCGGGCGGCGCGGGCGTGCGCGCCCGCTGTTCCCATCCCTCCCCTCCGTGCCCCGCGGCCGAGCATGCGCAGTGCGCGCGAGGAGCGGGCGGGCCCTTTAAGGCGGGCGCTGCGGAGCGCGCGCCGGCCCCGCCCGCGGCCCCGCCCCGACGGGAGGTGAGCGCTCCCTGCCCGGCCGCTCTTTGTGCGCTTCTCGGGGTGGGGGTGGCGGCAGAGGGAGGTTGCGACGGCACTTGCCGGCGAGGACGGCGAGCTGCGCCCCCTCCCGGATCTCCCAGGGACCGTCTCCGAGTGCGAGAGAGAAGGAAGGAGGATTTGAGGGGCGGGCCGGGGCGGTGCGCGCTGGTCCTCTCCGCGCGCATCCCCCTCCGCCGCCCACTAGGGCGGACGCCCCTTCGGGCCCCGCGCGCTCTGCTGTCCTTTGTTCCGGGAGCCGCCGGGCTCGCCGCGCCCTTTGCGTCCCGCTGCGGATCGTTCCGCAGAGCGGCTGGGCCCGCGGTTCATAGAGTCGCCCAAGATCCTCACAGAGGGACGTCTTCCCAAAACAATGAGGCCATGCGGCCGCAGCCGCACACGGGCTGACTGGGGAGATCTCGTGGTGCCGCGGGGCGGTCCCGGGGCTCGAAGGCAGAGGCTCCCCTAGGTGTGCCCTGCCTGACCCCGGCTACAGGAACGAGCGCTGTGGGCCTCGGTTTCTCACCCGTAAAATGAAGAAAATAATCCCCGCCTTTACCACCTCGTGGGTCGTTCGGAAGATTAAATGCGACAGTGGATGGGCGCGCGCTTACAAATCAGTAGACAGTTCCGCAAGCGCCTTTACTTTTGAGAACGCGGTGGTGCAGCTCCCTTCACCGCTTGCTTACCTGGAGCTGTCTTGGGAAAGAGGTGCTGATTATTTCCTTGGGGAAATGGGTTTAGAAGCCACTTACAGTGGTTATTTCCTCAGGATGTTTACGTCAGCTTCCCGGAGCCTGGTGTGTGTTTTTCTTAAAAAGGAATGTTCGATGGGAGGAGGCAGGTGGGAGGATGGTGCCGAGTCCTCCGTGAAAACCACCACTTAGAGCTCCAGTAGGAAATTACTGTATTCTTTTGACCCGGTTTATGGACTTGGAATCCAACTAACTTGGGAATGAGGGTTCTTGCCGAGATGGAGGGTTTTGAGTAAGGGGTCCTGGCTGGGGAGAGCCAGAGATGAGGCCCAGCCTCCCGCGCTCACGCAAGGCCTGTAAACAGAAAGCAGACTGGAAAGGCGCTTGGAGCATTTCCATCTTTTTAACACAAAGGGCTAGTTTCTCGCCTCTTAGCTCTGTTTCTTTGAAATTTCATAGCCTTCGGATTGGGCCTGCTGAGGTTTCTTTTTTTTTTCCAAGTAGAAAATATGGTGACAGTAAAGTTGTTCCTCCGCTGATAAGGAGCTGTGCACGGATAATGGGGTGTAGGGAGAGGTTGCTTCTGCTAGGGAGCTTGGCCGCTAATAGTTTCAGACCTGCCATAACTCCTTCTCCTTGCATCTACAGCGATAAGAATTCAGATGGATTAATTCTGAAACGTGTTTAAACTTAGAGGATTGGATATTTCAGAGGAGTCCCTGGGTGGCTGGGTCATTACCCGGAAGGTGAATGCAACATTTCTCCAAGGTGACATGTTTAATGTCATTCTTCCCTGCTGGATCCTGAAGGCAGGACTTGTACTTGGCTGTAACTGCCAATGTTCAATGAAATCATACATCTTCACCCACATGAAGGATAAGCTGAACCCCTTACCATAGGAATTCATGGAAAGCTGCCGATCCTGAGGTGCCCATGTTCATGTAGCCCAGGTCACCCTCCACAGAGAGGAACACTTGAGTAAAACCTATACAGAGATCCGCATGCTTTTCTGAAGACACCCACAAAAGCGAAGGCACTCTCAAGAGCATGGGAGGGTGGTGAGAGTGATAGAAGCAGTTACTATGTCTGACAGATCTAGTTTCCAGCCCCAGCTGTTCTTCAGTGTTGGCTGTCAAAAGAGGACGGCATCCAGCTTCCCACCTACCTCATAGGGTTGCTTTAGCGAGACGGATAATGATAGCAAAAGCTAACTCGTAAATTCCCAGGTACTCAGCAAATGTAGTTGGCGCTTTACTCACAGCTACTCCTTGCCTTCTCTATTTGTATACCTTACTGACTGGTCAGGATATTTTCCGACACTTGACTGCTGTTGTAAAAGTAACAATCCAGAAATTTTAATTCTCAGTTAGTGGCTTTAATAAGCCAAGATATTGTAAAACTTGCAAAGTCCGGTTCTGTTTTTCAATAGATAATACATCCTAACCCCATAGTTTCTGGATAGACTTTCCCAGGCTCCTTTAGGACCCCAGAGCTTAATTACTTTTCCTGATGCAGAACACATTCCCTAAGGACTTCTCGATGTGGCCATAATATTTTTTATTAGCACAGGAGAGAAGCTTGCAGAATGAGGTCTGGCAGTATAATAGAGAATTTCAGTTGTCATAAAATGAGAAAAAGTAAAGTTATCACACAAAAACAAGATTAATGATGAGGCAACCTTGTTTTGTTTCCAGATGTCTCAAAACTATTTTGTGCACATCTTGCTTACTTTTGCAAATTAAATAGCTTGCAAAAGAAACGGAAATCTTCCTGTGAAAACAAACACATGCTCAGTCAACTCATTTAAGATTATTGAGCACCTCCATACTGTATTATAGGCACAGAGAGAAGTATCGATTATACTGAACTGAAATGAACAAAGGTGGCAGAGGGGCAGGATAATGTCTTTTCCTTGAATACTAGTGATGTCCAAACCCAGTCACACAGAGAGATAAGTGCCCAGATAGTAGTGAGTCGGCTTAGGGTCCTAGAAGGGCTTCCCAGAGGAGGGGATACCTGAGTTGTGCTTCCAGTGAATGTGGTGTGAGAATGAATTGAGACTGGAGCCTAGCACAGTGCATAGCATCTAGCAGGAACTCCTAAATGCTTATTAAATGAGTGAGTGAGCCAAGCTGCAGCATCTTGAAGGTGTAACTTTAGGTATGTACAGGAATCGCTCAGTCTCTGGGAAGCAGCTCAAATGACACCAGCCACAATGACATGATTTTGAATAAAATTAGTAATCACAGGTGACCCTTATTAAGCACTTATTATGTGCCAATGTGCCAGGAAGTTTACAAAATGCTTTACAATACAGTATCTTGTTTAATCTTTCTAACTACTCAGAGGCAAGCACTTTTATTATCCCCACTTTACAGATGAAAATAAGTCACTTACCCAAATAAAGGCAGATTTGCCTCCAAGCAGATGAAATGAAGCTACAGGGCTCCTCACTTAACACAGACCCTTCCAAGGCCCTGGAAGAGGTCCTAGCAATATACTTACAAGATCACATGAAATCACTAAAATTTTCACAGGTAAATGTTTTATTATTTTCTTTAAGGAGAACCCCTAAAATGATACAGGCTTCGCGCCCCACAAATCTTAGATCCATTATTGTGCCCAGGGTCACACAGCTGGTATGTGGTACCCCGAGCCTGTGATCTTAACCAACGTTAAGTTCCTTCCTGTCTCTGAGCTATGCATTTTCAGCTGGAAGTTGGAAATATTTCCAGTCCTGCTTCTCACACAGGATTATAAGGATCACATGTGTGAGGGGACGTGAAAGCATCTTGATTTTTGATGTTCTCCTGTGTCTTTGTGTGGTTAAAAGTGTGTGTGACATATAACACATGTAACACACACACATTTTTAAAAATATTTTAATAATATAGGAAATGCTATCCTTATGTTGAGTGAAGAAGGAGACAATGTGTGTGTGTGCAGTGTGTATGTATGTGTTACTAAACACTTAGTAAGCATTAGAAACAGTGAATGAGTAGGCTACAAGGAATTGCATCAAAATTTTAACAATGCTTGTTTTCTTTTCCTTGTGATGGAGTCTTGCTCTGTCGCCCAGGCTGGAGTGCAGTGGCGCAATCTCTGCTCACTGCAACCTCGGCCTCCCGGGTTTAAGCAATTCTCCTGGCTCAGCCTCCCAAGTAGCTGGGATTGCAGGCACACGCCACCATGCCCAGCTAATTTTTTTTGTATTTTAGTAGAGATGAGGTTGCACCACGTTGGCCAGGCTGGTCTTGAACTCCTGACCTCAAGTGATGCGCCCGCCTTGGCCTCCCAAAGTGCTGAGATTACAGGCGTGAGCCACCGCACATGGCCAACAATGGTTATTCTTTAAGTAATGAGATCACAATTTTATTTGTATTTTACTTTTCTGTGTGGTTCAAGTTATGAACATACATCTTTATTCGATTAATTTTTAAAGTAATACGTCCTGAGTTTTAAAAATTAAATCATGCTAAAAAGCTTAATAAAATAAAACCACTCCCCAGTCCTGTCCTTGCTGTAAATAGAAGCAGAAAACAAATCTAAAGCTAATCCTAGCACACATTTATATGGGCCCTTACAAGTAGCTTGACTTCTAAAATTAAACATCACTTAGTTAATAATTGGTAATAACCATTTTGCAATATCAGAACAGAGTAAGAAAAATAGAAAGTAATTTTAAAATCTCTCAGAAATCAAGGAGACCGGAAACACAAACTTCAGGAAGAAGGTGCCATTTTTTCTTCCTGAGCAGAGATAAAATAGATCAGTGGAATTCAAATGTTTTTTACAGTTGAATCCTTTGTTTCCCAAAGTCGTAGGCTGAACTCATATCTATAAAACTGATGAAATCCATAGAAGGTTAGAATCGCAGGATGCTAGAGAGTGTGTGGTCCAACACACTCAGCTGACCGCAAGCTGAAGGCCAGAGTAGGAAATGGCTCCCCCCAACGTCAATTGCCCGTTGATATGGAGCCGGGCAGGAAGCCAGAGTGAGACATCCAGTGTGATGTGCTCTGTTGCTTTGTGATTTAAGGAAATCTGGTATTGTCCCTAGTGAACACCTTCCATGTTTCATGCTTTGGCTTTGGGGTAGTATCATGAGTCAGTATTGCTGATATCAAACCTGAGAGGTTGCTAAGAGAATCACTCCCCAAATGTAGATAGTAGACAATAAGGAAGGGGGCAGTAGTTCAGGATATTTAAAGACGGTCTCACTCACCATTCCTCTCCACTTTCCTTTCCCTGAGCTGAGGAATGCCTTTTGGTGAAGGGAATGTCTCAACGAACTATATAACCCTGCTTGGGGGAGACAGAGGAGGGACCAGCAGCCAAAGTTGTTCCACTGGGCGAATATCCTTTTTTTTTTTTTTTTTTTTGAGACAGTCTCCCTCTGTCGCCCAGGCTGGAGTGCAGTGGCGCGATCTCGTCTCACTGCAAGCTCCGCCTCCCGGGTTCACGCCATTCTCCTGCCTCAGCCTCCCGAGTAGCTGGGACTACAGGTGCCCGCCACCATGCCCAGCTAAGTTTTTGTAATTTTTTTTTTTTAGTAGAGATGGGGTTTCACTGTGTTAGCCAGGATGGTCTCCATCTCCTGACCTCGTGATCCGCCTGCCTCGGCCTCCCAAAGTGCTGGGATTACAGGCGTGAGCCACCGCGCCCAGCTACAGTGGGCGAATATTCTTAAAAGGACGTCCATACCATGGAAATAAAATAAAATGAGCAGTATGCATTAGCACATGATACCAGTCAGGCACAATGCTAAATACATGGACAACTTCTCATTTAACTCTCACACCATACCTGTAAGATATGTATTATCATTTCTGTTATATAAATTAACGTTTCTAAGATCACGTTTCTAGGAAGAATTGGAGCTAGCATTGGAATTCAGTGATTCCAGAATCCAGATTCCTGCTGACTTTCTCAAATAGAAATGTGCTCATAAAAAGACAGCCAGGACTACAAAAGGACTCAAAATCATCATATAAAATAAATAATTAACGGAACTATGACTTAGAGCTGCCTGCAGGCGGGGTGGCCCACCTCACTGCGCGCGCACGCGCGCGCGCGCGCACACACACACACACACAAACACACACACACTCCACTTAATTAGGAGACATCTGCCAAGGATGTGTGCACTGGCTGGATAGACAGGTGAATTTGGTGAGTGGTGACATTTTGAGTTTTCTTCAATTGGTCTGCTGACATTCAACTAGTCACTTAGCCTCTGAGCTTTGGTTTTCTCATCTGTAAAACAGGAATAATAGTTCCTACTTAGGTAAGTAACTCATATGGGCCCTTCTTTCCTGCCAGTGAGATGTAGATATGATCTAGTGAAATGAGGGTTTTCTTGTCAGCCTTCTTATAAAGCAGTAGAATATAGAGTGGAAAATATTTAAAATTGTTTCATCTTTACTAATACTTTATGTGATCACACCTGTTGTCATAACATTTTTTTAAAACAGCAAGAATTGCCTTTACGACCTAAAGAATTGTTGTGTCTCTATTAAACATCACCTTAAAAGTCAAGATGCTAATGCAATACAGCCACGATATTCTCACAAATAACTTTGAACTATCATCCTCTTTATTCTTATGATAAAATTATTTCTTTTCCATGCAATTTAATTAAAACAATAAAAATTATGTCAACAGTGCTGCTGAAATTTTAGCTAATAATAGAATCATTTTTATGTTCGTAAACTATATCTTATACAACTTTATTAAAATTATCCAGTTATCATTGTACTAAAATGTGTATGCAGCCATATAAAGAGTCACTGACCTTGAAAACCAAAGAAATAGCAGTTAAAGAATGCTTTCGGGTAAGCACAATTATTAGTAAACCTAGCCAAAGAGTTTAAAATATGAACCATGGTAAGTTCCACATCTCAGAAAAAAAGAAAGAAAATAGTCTGTAACCAGAAAACTTTAAGAAGCATTATAAATAGAAAGTATATAACGAAACACAGGGAAACATATGAAATCATTAAACAACCAAATAAATAAAACAAATACTAAGAAGTCAGTAATAATAGATATGAGGAGAAAATGCTCCGACTTGAAGGAGATTGATTCTCAGGTTGGATCTGCCCCACTTTGCAGAGGTTATGATCGTGGTCCCTGCAGCTAGACTGCCTGTGTTTCACTGTTCCTGGACCTGCCTTGTTTTTGTGACCTTGAGCAAGTGTCTCTTCTTTCTGTGCTCAGTTTCCTCATCTGTAAAAGAAGGGTGCTTATGGTACCTCCCTCGTTGCCGATACAGGAGACATTTGCAGATTCTAGTGGTGATGCTCACATAATTGATCAACTTTGAAAAAGAAGAAAAATGGCCAGGCACAGTGGCTCATGTTTGTAATTCTAGCACTCTGGGAGGCTGAGGTGGGTTTGAGCCCAGGAGTTCGAGACCAGCCTAGGCAACAAAGCAAGACCACTGTCTTTACAAAAAAAAAAAAAAAAAATTAGCTGGTCATGGTGGCGCACCCCTGTAATCACAGCTACTCAGGAGGCTGAGGTGGGAAGATGGCTTGAGCCCAAGAGGTTGAGGCTGTGGTGAGCTGTGATCACGCTGCTGCACTCCAGCCTGGGCAACAGAGCAAGACCTTGTTCCCTTCCCCAACCCACCCAAAATAAAAGGGAAAAACAAGAAAACTAAGCAGCCCTTGCGCTCTGCTGTATTAACTGTTATGCACCTGCAAGAATTAAAACGGTATATACTGGCATCAAAAGTTAACTAGATCATTAAAATTGACTTACAGGTTTAGAAAGAAACCCAAATTGAAAAAAAGTATTAACTATGTGACAAAGGTAGAAATGTAAATGAATGATGAGGGGAAAGATTATTCCAAAAATGATGCCGAGACAACTGGCTTTTTAGAAACATTATATTAGATTGATTTTTTTTTTTCTTAACCTCACAACAACACCGCAATAAATTCCAGGTGGGTTAAGGAATTAAGTTTCAAAAATGAAATCATAGAGAAGAATCAAATGGAATGTATGTGACTGCTTCTGTAATTGTGGAGTAGGGGAAGGGCTTTTTGAATATGGTCCTAATAGAGGAAATCATTTTGTGAAATACCTATATAAGGCCAGGCATGGTGGCTCACGTCTGTAATCCCAGCACTTTGGGAGGCCAAGGCGGGTGGATCATGAGGTCAAGAGATCGAGACCATCCTGGCCAACATGGTGAAACCCCATCTCTACTACAGATACAAAAATTAGCTGGGCGTGGTGGCACGTGTCTGTAGTCCCAGCTACTCGGGAGGCTGAGGCAGGAGAATCGCTTGAACCCGGGAGGCAGAGGTTGCAGTGAGCCAAGATAGCGCCACTGCACTCCAGCAACAGAATGAGAATCTGAAAAAACAAAACAACAACAAAAAAACACCTGGGAAACCACTGGTATCAATACACATAAACTTGGTGTGTATGTTTTAAAAGGAAATCAACTTGAACTAAAATAGTAAATGAATAATATTATAGTTAGTTCTCAGATTGAATAAGAAATATACATAATGGCCGAGTATGGTGGCTCACACTCCTAATCCCAGCACTTTGGGAGGCCGAGGCAGAAGGATCACTTGAGCCCAGGAGTTCGAGACCAGCCTGGGCGACATAGTGAGAGCTCATCTCTACAAATAAATGCAAAAATTAGCCAGGCATGGTGGTGCACATCTGTAGTCCCAGCTACTCAGGAGGCTGAAGTGGGAGAATTGCTTGAGCACAGGAGTTCGAGGCTACAGTGAGCTAGGATCACACCACTGCACTCTAGCCTGGGCAACAGAACAAGACTTTGTTGATAGATGATAGATAGATAGATAGATAGATAGATAGATAGATAGATAGATATAATGCAAGTATTTATGAGTGAGTGAATATGTCTTCATGCATGAAGTGAAAGGAGCAGGAAACAATTGTTAGTTTATAATATGCATGGAGCACTTATATTCTAGGAGTATGTTAGTTGCTCTCTTTTAATAATGTCAATAATCCAACTAAATAGGTACTATTGTTGTCTCTATTTTTGCCCTAAGGAAACAGTTTAGCTGGTAAGTGGCAGGCAGATCCATGCTGTCCAAAGTCAGGGTCCTCCCTCACTTTTCATCATCAAGGTACACTAACAGGTGAACTATAGAATTATATATGTACACACACGTGCACACACATGCCCACACATATAAATGCACAAATATACATATATATGTGTGTGTGTTCCTATTTGCCCACGTGGAATACATCTAAATATTCAAAAGTTATAAACCAAGCTATCAGCTGCTGAATAGGACTATTGCAGGAGGTTTGAACCTCTTACCCTGACAAATAGACCTTCATCATGACCTGAAAGGCCAGGTTAGAAGCTACAACTTCCAGCCTCCTGAGGTTCTGCCCTGAACCCTGGCCACACAGAGAGAGGCGGGCCTGGGTCAAGAGCCATGATTCACACCTCCCTTCATTCCCCCTACTGAACTGCAGGCTCCATCCCACAATGGGAGAGGGTCTTAGGCACATGTGTGCAGACACCACAGTTCCATCCATGGCTCATCCCCTACAAATAGTCACTCCTTGGACACCCCTTGGGCCTAGGGCATGCACACTTGTGGTGGAGACCTGCGTGAACTGTCGGGGAGAAGTCCCCACAGATGCGGAGGAAGGGGAAGGGGAGCATAGGCTTAAAGTCCCACCGGGACTTCATACTCTAGGAAGGGGCACAGCCTGAGGACAGCGACAGTGAGATCCTACAAAGCATGGGCCCAGAGCAGGGGCCTACAAATGACTTTTAACTATTTGAGTTAGAAAATAACGTAAAATAACTATTGAGACAAGGACTATTATCTCCATCTTATGTATGAGAAAAAGATCACAGGCAAACCTATATACTGTTGGGCAGGATGATTGTAAAAAAAAAAAAAAATCCTTCCACCTGGAACATTTCTTTTTTTCCGTTTTCCTTTCTCCCTTCTGTTCCTTCCTCCCTTCCTTTTCTCCATTTCTTCCTTCTTTCCACAGATATTTACAGCATGAGCTATGTGCCAGGTACTGTGTGGGCACTGGAGTTCAGGGTAATTAAGACAGAAAAGCTCTCAGGGAGTTTAGAATCCAGTGAGGAGACTAGCATTGATCACACACAAATAAATGTATAATTACAAACCAGGGCCAATGTGCTGACAGATAATCATGTTTGATTTGTTGGTTGCCTTTGATTGAAGACTCCCTGCTGAGACAGGGAGGAATGTAAATCTGTTTTTCTCCTGAAGCCGGGAGCCTTGCATATTTTCACAAACCTCCAAAATGGTTGCATTTCATACAGCTAACTGGAATTGGGTATGCTTCCTACAAGCATAGAAGCTAATTTTATTCAAACAACTCTACCACTTTATTGCTTCTGTAGAGCTTCCCTAGAAACTTCAGAGGCACGAATTCCTGCCGTGATACAAAGCCAATTGTCCAATTGTAGAAGCTGGGGGGTTTACCAGAAGACTCTGATGCCAAATGCTTATGGAAATGCAGGAGGTGGAGTGGGGGAGGATCTCCAAGCACTTACAGGAGACTCATTTTCCCCTCAGCATCCCTGCACCACAAAATAGAAGAGGCAGGGATATGATGAATGGCACTTGGTATTCCATTACTTTTCTTCCAGTTACCCTACACTAGAAGATGTCTAGTAAAACAATGCTCAAGGTGTGGGGGATGGGCAGCAGTCACTTCAGAATGAGGGCAAAAACCCAGCCGGATACTTCGGTCAGCAAAAAGCAGTGGGTTGGCACCAGCTCCTTTCAGCTGTGGCCAGTTTAATGAAGTTTGTACGCAGCTATTAGTGCTCCCCACGTGGGTTTAGGCAGGGAAGACCTAGAGGCATTTTATTTCAAAATAGGTTTGTATTGAGAATCCTAGAAGGAAAATTCACCTGTGCCCTTAACACTGGCAGTGTGCATTTTTGATTGCCTGTTGATCTTACATCTTTTCACTAATGCTTTTCCTTGTTTTCGGTAAGGAAGCAACTCCCACACAACTTTCCTTTGGAAAAGAACAATTCTACCTTTACCAGTTGGGCAAACATTCCCCAAGCGGCAAAAACAGCTACTTTCTCCCACCTCTTCTCCCCACTGCAGAGAATATCCAGCAGAGGAAACCCTTAATCGTTCATTTATATTTTAGCACACACACGTGCATGCGCACACACACGCTTTTCTGCACCTTCCCTGTTCAGGTTTGGCACAGGTGTCCCAGGCTGGAAGGCGCCCGTGGGACCTGGCACGCCCTGAGCTGAGTTTCCAGCGCCTCATGAGAGTGTCCTCTGCTGCGGGACAGACGCCCGAGGCTGCCCTAGGGATCCTGGCCACTGTGAATGAGCTGCGCTTGCCCTCTGAGGGGTTGGTTGTATGGTTGTATCCCACTCCATCCCTGCACCCTGCCGGGTAAGGAACCACCTGAATGCATTTCCTTTAAATAACCTACAAACTGCACAGTGAGTAGAGGGATTTTCTTCTTTCTTTGCCGAGTTGTGGGAAGACATCAAACACCAGAATCAGAGCCGAGAAAGGAGTGAGGAAGTGACTGAGGAAGATGCACTGTCTTGTCTCCAGAGCATCTTTTATCCAAACAGCCTACGCCTTTTTATAAACTTTTCAAGTGCTCCCAAGCAAGGAGTGAATACTAATGCTATCTGCCTGCTTGGTCAAGGCTAAGGTAGAGTAGGATAGAAACCACGCTCCCTAGAGAAGCCTCTGATGCCTCCAGGACTAACCCCTAACCCCACTCCACCCTCTCCTCCCCCTCCTACCTCTTCTCCCATCCTCCCTCTTCTCCTCCTCCCCCTGCCTATTTTCATTCCTCCTCCTCCCTCTCCTCTCCCTTCTCCCCTTCCTCCTCCCCAACTCCTCCCTCCTCTTCTCCCCTCTTCTCGTTTCCTCCTCTTCCCTCTCCTCCCTCCTCTTCCCTCTCCTCCCTCCTCTTCCTTTCTCTACTCTCCCTTCCCCCTTCTCCTTCCTCTCCTCTCTCTTCCTCTCCCTCCTCATTCCTCCACCTCCCCCTCCTCATCCTCTCCCTCTTCCCCTTCTCCTTTCCCTCCTTGTCCCCCACTCCTCCTCCTACCTCCCTCCTTCTCCTCCTCCCCCTCCTCCCTCTTGTTTTCTCCCCCTTCCCCCTTCTCCTCCCCCTCCTTCTCCTCTCCCTTCTTCTCATCCTCCTCCCCCCTTGCCCCTCCTTCTTCTTCCCCTTCTCCTTCCACTCTTCCTCCTGCTGCTTCTTCCTCCTCCCCCTCCCCTCCTCTCCTTCTCCTTTTCCTCTCCTCCTCCCCACTCCTCTTCCTCTTCCTCTTCCCCTCTCCCTCCTCCTCCCCCTCCTTTTTCCTATTATTACCATCATTTCACTATTATCATGAAGCACTTTCTAAGCTTGTGGGCTTTGTTACCACACTAGATGCATGTAACCTTCCATGGATGCCTCCATTTACCCTAAAATGAGGATGCTAATAGGGCTCACTTAAGAAAACTCCTGTTTCAATGAGTTGATTTATCTAAAGCGCCTCTCACAGTTCCTAGCATATAGAAAAACTCAATAAATGACAGTTGTTATGATCTCAACTCCTATTTTGTTTTTTTACCATGTTTTCTCGACTCCATTGGAAAGCTCTTTATGATTTTCCTTTCAAAATTCTTATCATCCTGTTAGTCTCCACGCAAATGCCACCTCCCCAATAAAGCCTCCTACCCCAGAATCAAAAGTGGCCACACTCCTTTTCACTTCCCAGCCAAGATCTTGGGTCTCTCTTGGCACCTCTTTCCTCCAACCTGATCCAATGTTCCTCGTGGATCTTCTTACCCCTCCTGCCAGGCTGCAAGTTTGTTTAGGAAATCTCTGCTACATATTTTTTCTATGTTACCTCAGAAACCACTTAACCTCTGTGTCACAGTTTTCTACTTTTGGAAAATGGGGGGCACATTAACTGCACCATGTTCAATCAAGTCAGCCTGAAAGCTAAAAATAAGATGCTGTGTGTACGCACATGACACAGTCCCTAGCAAAAAGGATGCAATCCCAAGTAGAAGATGCTCAGAAAATGCTTGTGGGGTGACTGTAACAGCAAAATGACATTCTAGTACTTCGAAATTGACATTCTAACGCTGAGTTGCATGCACTGCGTCCGGGAGGTCTAGAATTGGCCATGCACAGTGTTGCCCTGGTGAATGGGACCAGCAGATGCAAGGCCACAGATAGCCTCGACTGTTCCCACTCACAGTGGGCGAGTTTGCAGTCACACAGATGCTACTGTCCACACAGCACTGTGAGCCAGAGGGGGCCCCTTCCAACTGCAGGCCCCACTGTTCCTGAGGGAGTTGCATCTGTGGCTGGAGTCGTGCCACCATATGTCCCTCTGTCCTAGCACGTGGCCAGGGGCTTCTCCAAGCACAGGCACCACTGTCCTTCCCGCGGCACATCTGCAAGGAAACCCAATTGCCTCTCAGAGAACTGGGCCAGCTGAACTGTAAACATATTCAAGACACATCAATAGGTAAAGAAAACCAGCCATTGCAAGTCAGCCTGAAAGAAACCTCATGCCACTGTCAGACACTGACCGGCCCTGCCAGCTCTTGCTCACTGTATTTCAAAGAAACACTCTCATTACACCTTCCTCTCAGGGATGTTCATTTCTTCCAAGGTCGTTTGGACATAATTTCAAACTTGCAGAAAATTTGCAAAAATAAGAATAATATGAAGAATACGCATCCATTCTTTGTTCGTTTTGTTTTTGAGGTGGAGTCTTTCTCTGTTGCCCAGGCTGGAGTGCAGTGGAGCGACCTCGGCTCACTGCAACCTCCACTTCCTGGGTTCAAGTGATTCTCCTGCCTCAGCCTCCCAAGTAGCTGGGACTACAGGCGCATGTCACCACACCCAGCCTTTTTTTTTTTTTTTTAGTAGAGACAGGGTTTCACTGTGTTGGCCAGGCTGGTCCCAAACGCCTGACCTCAAGTGATCCGCCTGCCTCAACCTCCCAAAGTGCTGGGATTACAGGTGTGAGCTACTGTGCCCAGCCAGAATATGCATTTATTTTTCACACAGATTCATCTATTGTTAACATTAGTCCCTTTCACTTCCTCATACACAGACGTACATACAAACCACACACATGCACACACACTTATTTTCTGAGACATCCGAGTCAGTTGTGTGCATTATAGCCCTTTACCCCTAAATTCTTCAGTGTGCATTTTCTGAGAATGGAGATATTCTCTTCCAAAACTGTACTACAGTGATGAACTTTAGTAAATTCAACATTGATACAGTATTTTAACCCAGTCTGCTACTGTCCTACGCCAATGTTGTTAATAAAGTCATCATTTCTTAAATTCTCTTCCAAATTAAAAAAAAATGACAATCTCAACTAAATGGAATAAAGTCATATTTATTTTAATATCCTCAGTTTTTGAAGTAAATGAAAACACACACATAACTGACAGTGCTATAAGCAGCCCACGTAGGTTTACCTTATATCTTTTTATGTCTTTATTGTCATTAAAAAAAAAATCACCTCAGAGCCCTGTGCGTATGTGTAGGCTGGTGTCACAGGTGTTTTAACCAGGGAACACCAGCAGGTAATTAATGCCCCCAGGGAATGATTTACCTGGAGTGAGGTCTGCCAAAGCCGGTAGCAGTGATGTTATCCATTCTTTTGGCAATGGATAACTGCTAAATAATTATCCATCATTATCCACTGAGCATCTCCTGTAGGCTGGGCATTGAAGATACAAATTCGAAAAGACAGTCTCTCTCAGGCAGGGTGCGGTGGCTCACGCCTGTAATTCCAGCACTTTGGGAGGCCAAGGTGGATCATTTGAGGTCAAGAGTTCGAGACCAGCCTGGCCAACATGGTGAAACCCCACCTCTACTAAAAATACAAAAATTAGCTGGGTGTGGTGGTGGGCGCCTGTAGTCCCAGCTACTCGGGAGGCTGAGGCAGGAGAATCGTTTGAACCTGGGAGGTGGAGGTGCAGTGAGCAGAGATTGTGCCATTGCACTCCAGCCTGGGCAACAGAGCAACTCTGTCACAAAAAAAAAAAAAAAAAAAGAAAAGAAAAAAGAAAAAACACTTTCTGATTGAAGTTTGCTCACATGGCAGTTAAGAGCACAAACTCAGAAGCAAGATGAACCTGGATTGTATCACACGTAAACCATCTACTTGTAGTGAGAGCTGGGCAGGCTACTATGTTTGAGCCTCAGTTTCTTCCACTGGGAAATGGGAGTCACAGTAAAAGGTACCCTGTAGGATTGCTGCAGTGATCAAATGATGACATCTACCAAGTGCGTGTTGACTATATGAATGGTGGGGAGACAGGCACAAAAGCACACCATCGTAATACACTCAATGAGTTGCTATAATGACAGTCTAGAGTGCCTGGTCGAGGGATCCCAGGAGATAGATGGAGCCCCCGAGTCTTGCAAGTGGAGAGATGGTCTCAGAGGAGGCTTTTGAACTGAGATTTGAAAGGTGACTTATAAGCTTGCTGGCAGGAGTCTGGAAGCTGAAGGGAAGGAAGAGGAGGGAAGGGGAGGTATTTCATATTCCATAGAGAGGAAACTGCATGTGCAAAGCATGGATGACTGAGAGACTACAAATTAGTTCATTGTGACTGGACTCAGAGCTAGAGGTACAGTTCAGTAAGAGATGAGGCTGGAAAAATACTATGGCCACGATGGCACAAGTGATTTCTAGGTAAAATGCCTGCGAACAATTGCACACTAATAGAATCAACCACACCATCTTTCAGTCATGCACTACCAGGCACCGTCTACCAGCTAAGGCAAAACCACAGCAAGCTAAGCTGCCGTGTGCAGGTCTGCTCATCCTCCCTTTTCATAGCTCAAAATAGCTATTTTTCACACACACACAAATTCTGATTGTCAAATTAGTAACGCTCATTATAGATTATTTTGAAAATATAAAACAAATCTCTCTTCCCCCTTTCAATTAAGAAACTCTCACTTAGTAATAGCTTTGTTATCTGGCATGTCAAGTTAATTAAAAGGCTGGTTAGCTGCATATTAAGTCATATAACTCCCTGCAGTCGACTTTCCCTCCTAGGACGTGAGGAGAAACTGCTGCCCTATTGTCCCAGCGCCGTTTCTCAGGGGTTGCTTATTTCATTTCCGGGGAGAGAGTCCCATCCTGGCATGCAACATTGCTGGTTTTTCTAAAGGCGGTCCATTTTAAAAGCAACAGATTTTGCTGAGTAAAAACCTGAGCTTTTAAATAAGGCTCATTAGCCTTCGTGCTTAACCGGAAGCTTGAAGCGGAATCACCTGGAGAGCTTTTCCAGCTCACACAGGCAGGATCCCTTCCCCTCTCAGTAAGGCTGGTGGGTGGGGCTGGGCGTGTGTACTGGGCTACAGCTCCCCAGGTGATGCTGCTGCACACCGTGGTTAAGGACCTCTCCATCGGGGTGTTTGTTTATTTGCTTCACGCTCAGCCAAAAGGGGCCCAAGAAGAACTAGGATAGTCAAAGCCCCCAAGCTGGAGTCCGTCATTAGAGCGCCACTCACCCCATTGTTCTTTTAAATAGACCAGTCCCCCGGTGCTTTTAAAATGGCACACGTATACATATGTAACTAACCTGCACGTTGTGCACATGTACCCTAAAACTTAAAGTATAATAAAAAATAAAATACAGTTTACTCTCAAAAAGTAAGTGCTCGCTCCTTGTCTTCCAGCAACAGATTTGCTAAGGTGGCTGAAGCACAGCTTTATAATCAGGCCGCAACTCGGCTCTGTCAGCAATTAGTGAAAGCAGAACAAAGCAGAAATTTGATTCATCCAGCTTATTTGTCTTGTCAACTTTGCCTTTTTTAAAAAAAGCTTTTTTCTGATTTTTAAAATATTGCCTTATATAAATGCTGATTAACAGGTTGTGTTTCACTTTTCTAGAAGAGAGATTTTAACGGAAGCGTGTAGGTTCTCTCCAAGCACTGAAAATCGGGCTCCGTTTATAAACACTGGTTTGACGTGAAATTCTTTGAGAATGTAGCTTATGCATTGAGATAGCCGCAGCTGCTACAGATATGGCGTGGATGTCCAAAACTCTCCACATTGGTGCTAGCACAGTCCACCTCTTGGCAAAAGCGGTGTTGGGGTAGGGGGTACAGAGTAATGAGCATTTCCCTGCATATCTCTGCCCAGAGGGTCTCCGTCCCCATCAGAGCTGCAGGGATGCAGAGCTTCTTGCTCCAGACCTTGAACTCAGCCGCCTTGTCGTTCCACGTGCACGCTTCCCTATCCCTTCTCTGGATGTTTGTGAAAAACTAAGATAAAAATCACAACAGTCTTGAGAAACACCTGACTCAATTCTTACATGTTAGAAGAAAAAACAGCATTTCCCCACCTTTATGTTTTTATTGTGTTTTGTTTTATTTGTGGTTTGTGGAACAGCAAACTGTTAAATCCAGCTGTAACACACACACACACACACACACACACACACGCGCGCGAAAACATGTTGGAGGGACCCAGGAGTCTCTACCAAGGGCAGGAAATACAGCTGAGCCTTGCAAGGCACTGGAGCCACTGGCTGGAGGGAAGGAGTCATAGCTCTTGGTCTATCTGGGGCTGCCTGGTCTCTGGTGTTCTTTGCATTTCCGCTTTATTCTCTCACAGACCACCTTTCTCTGCTTATCTCCATGTAGATCCTCAGTCCAAGTGTCTGACAGAACTTGCAGTCTCTGAGTCACAATGTCTAAGTTGACTGTAGTGAACATCTGCTTTGGAGCCAAGGAGAGGGTAGGGTGGGTACCCCTGACCCACAGCTCGCTCAGTGTGGCTGCGTTGAGGGGGCAGGATTGGCTTCTCTAGCACAATTTTCCACCGCACCATTTCATCGCTGTCTTTCATAAATATTTGTATGTTTCTGTTTCCTTTGTCCTCATAGTTCATGTGGTAAGCATTGCTGGTGAAACATCTGTTGATTTTGCCTACATAGCATCCTTCTTCCAGCATCAGAACCCCTCTTTTCCTGTTGGAAATACCCTTTGCCCCACACTGCCCTGTGGTTCAGGCGAGTCCGCCGTCTTCCACTCCCCCAGCTTCCTGGCAGTTGAGTCACAGTGATTTGTTTAGAGGATGAGCATGTAACCCAGCCAGGGCCAATGAGAGGCTTAGTTAGGATTTTTGCTGAACCTATTAGGAAAGGAATGTTCTCTTTTGCTGAAGTTGCCAAATTCAAGCTTGGAGGTGCTTGTGGCCATCTTGGCTTGCCCCAAAATGAAGCCAATAGAGAAAAAAAGCTGAGTCAAGAAATAGGGGCCGGGCATGGTGGCTCACGCCTGTAATCACAGCACTTTGGGAGGCTGAGGTGGGTGGATCCCTTGAGGTTAGGAGTTCAAGACCAGCCTAGCCAACATGGTGAAACCCTATCTCTACTGAAGATACAAAAATTAGCTGGGCTTGGTGGTGCATGCCTGTAGTCCCAGCTACTCAGGAGGAGGCTGAGGCAGGAGAATTGCTTGAACCCTGGAGGCAGAGGTTGCTCTGAGCCGAGATCCTGCCACTGCACTCCAGCCTGGGTGACAGAGCAAGACTCCATCTCAAAAAACGAAAACAGAAGAAGAAATAGGAATAAATTATGGACAACATGGTGTTTGAGTAACTAAATATGAACATGTCTGAAGCAAGTGAACAGAAAGAATCTCTCTTTTGCTTAAGGTGATTTGAGTTAGATTGTTGTCCCTTGCACTGAAAAGAATCCCACCTAAAGCAGCCATGGAAAGAAGTTGCCTACATTTTTCTTCATCAGTTTCAGCCTCATCAGCCAACATTCAAAGAAAGAAAGAGCTGGACCGGCCAGTAGCCCTCAAGGAGCCCAAGGCTTCCTGGTACAGAGGAGCTCCAAGCCTCAGAGGTGAAGAGATTTGCTTAAGGCAGCTCAGCCCCTAACATTTTCACTCAGAACAAGATCACAAGTGGGAGACCCACCTACTCCATGTCTAAATATTTAAACATTACCAATCAAACTAACAAACCTTTTTTTTTTTTTTTGAAATGGAGTCTTGCTCTATCACCCAGGCTGGAGTGCAGTGACGTGATCTCAGCTCACTGCAACCTCTGCCTCCCGGGCTCAAGAGATTCTCCTGCCTCAGCCTCCCAAGTAGCTGGAATTACAGGTGCCCGTCACCACACCCAGCTAATTATTTTGTATTTTTTTTTAGTAGAGATGGGGTTTTACCATTTTGGCCAGGCTGGTCTCGAACTCCTGACCTCAGGTAATCTGCCCACCTTGGCCTCCCGAAGTGCTGGAATTACAGGCGTGAGCCACCATGCCTGGCTGAAACTAACAAAACTTTTAAAGATAACATATCCTTCTACCTTGATATATATGCACACCTTCATTTATGACCTAGAAGACTAGATCCAAGTTAAGAGTTCTCAGGCTCCTTGGAATTTTTTCCCGGAACACGTTGGCATGGGGAGAGCCAGCTGCCAGCACATGATACCACCTCCTTTCCCATCCCACTCCCTCCAGCTCCATCTTGCACTGAGAAAGTCCTCACATGCACCTGGGTGCACATCTCGGCCCACAGGTCCAAGTTCTGCTGGCCGTCTCCCCACAAAAAAGCTGCCCCTTCTTTAGCCTAAGGCTTCAGTATAGTCTGCCCTCAGGAGGATGGACCAAGCAAAGAACCTGGGCAGGTCCTAGAAATAGGCCCAGAACATTTGAGCGGGGAATCCTGGGTATCCAGAGAATGTTCTAAAATAGGGAGGCCCAGGCCTTGAGGGATACATTCCTTAGCCCGGCATTTCCCCCTAAGAAAGGAGCCACACCTGCAGGAGAGCAGATCCTTGAAAGCATGGGGCCAGAGGAGGGCCCTTGTTGCCAGAATTAAGGGCAGTTCTAGGCTGAGGTTGTTAAAACAAACTAAACGTGGCCTGAGAAGGACTGAAGGACACAAGGACTGAAATACAGAAGTACAGAGTCCTGGTTTCTACCCCACTATTGCTATTTTTGTTTGACTACAGTTTCCATATTCTACATTTATATAGAACATTTAGGATCTGGCTTACTGTTTGATTATGCAGGGGGCTACTGGGTTGCCAGGAACTTATTCTGTCAGGGAAAGGTGTTTGCACAATACTTCTGATTGCATCTCTTATGACAAGGTGAGATTCTGTGGTCCCATTGGCTGAAGACATGTTTGTATTACAAATTCATTTTGATAGGAATGGTCCTGAATAGGCACAAGGTACACACCACACACTGTAAGACAGTCCTAAGGGCCAAGTCACTTGCAGAATTGCAACTCGATTTACTTCCTAATTTCTCAAAGCACTCTGAATGATGAATATGTAAACAAAAGTCTCTTTTATCGGCTCTGCTGGGAAAATATAGGCATCTGCAGCTATTTTCAAGATATTCATGCTTCAGGATTATTACAGATATATTACTGGGGGGAATAAGAGTTTACAATGATGATAGACCTGTGGGATTCAACAAATAAAACTTGGAAGTTCATAAACCGTTTGGATGGTCTGAGTTGGAAGGTGTGACTTTTGTTTTTGCCATTGGGCAAACACTCTTGAGTCTTATTAACGTAGAATGTTCTGGGCTGCAGTGGCCCTTGGAGATGGCCAAGTGCATCTTCCCTGTTACATCTATGGCAGGCCTGGGGCCAAGGTCATCCAGTCAGCTCCCTACAGATCAAGACCAGCAGGTCTCAGGATCTCAACTACCTAGCCCACACCAAACCTGCCTTCCTAAAAAAATTCCAATGGACAGTGCTCAGAATGAGTAAATAAATAGGAAACTAGACAGCTGCTGTTTCTAAGTCCCCAGCTCTGTTACCTCCTGTAATCTGTGTAATCTGATCCTGCAGATATGCTTCCTGGTAGGACATATCCCAGGAGAGGTTCTCCCTCACTCAGCGACATCTTTTTTTTTTTTTTTTTTTTTTTTTTTGCTCTGTTGCCCAGGCTGGAGTGCAGTGGCGTGATATCGGCTCACTGCAAGCTCCGCCTCCTGGGTTCACGCCATTCTCCTGTCTCAGCCTCCGGAGTAGCTGGGACTACAGGCACCCGCCACCATGCCCGACCAATTTTTTTGTATTTTTTTTTAGTAGAGACGGGGTTTCACCATGGTCTCAATCTCCTGACCCCGTGATCCGCCCGCCTCGGCCTCCCAAAGTGCATCTCTTCTTAACAGAACCCTAATGTCCTGTTTAACACGGTAAGTTGAAAAGGACCGCATTAGCACCAAAGATAAACTACACAGAAATGCCTCTAAGGAAATAAGCACCAGCCCCTTTTCTACAGGGTTTGAGAGTACTGGGCAGCATTCTTACCCTGGAATAGCCTCTCAGAGTCAGGGCAGGCTTAAACCACTTCCAGCGTTTGAGGATTCTAATATAGTTACTTGTTTGTTTTTTGAGACGGAGTTTCGCTCTTTTTGCCCAGGCTGGAGTGCAATGACATGATCTCCGCTCACTGCAACCTCCGCCTCCCAGGTTCAAGCGATTCTCCTGCTTCAGCCTCCCGTGTAGCTGGGATTACAGGTATACGCGACCATGCCTGGCTAATTTTGTACTTTTAGTGGAGTCGGGGTTTCACCATGTTGGCCAGGCTTGTCTTGAACTCCTGACCTTAGGTGATCCGCCCACCTCAGGCTCCCAAAGTGCTGGGATTACAGGCACAAGCCACTGCAACTGGCCTTAGTATAGTTTTTGATACAAGGAAGAAATGCCAACCCAGAATTATAAAAACTATCATATCCAGGATATTAAATATTTACTTCAACCAACTATAATGCAACATATTTTTTTGGTTCCCAGATAAGCGTATGATTTATTTTTAAAATATTCAGACTGCATCAGAGTCAATACAGCTCAGTCATAACACACAAGTGTAAAAGTCCTGGTTAATTTTTTTTTTTTTCGATCTTACGGGTGGCTCTCTGTGACAGTATTCATAATCTCATTTGGAGATAACTCCAAGCCTAAACTTGAGGCTGTTTCTGAATGGCAGGTCAATTCACACAGCCCTCTATCCCCACCCCGGGCTTTTGCCCCAGTCCTAGACTCATACTGATCCCAGATCCCAGATTTGGGGTGGGTGATCTGAACTCTGACCTGTGGTATTAGCTTCTGGAGACCAACATGGTCCCTCCAGACCAGGGCTGCTGTTCTGCCAGTGGGTTTTCAGCACGTCTGTCTACAGGTACCCAGAAGTCTACTTAAAGAAAATCTTTTCTGCCCCACCATACAGAATTCAGAAACAGCCCTGGTCATTTATTAACTCACTTTCTTTCTGCTCCTACTCTTCTTACTTTTTTCTTTTATTATTTTTATTTTTTCTAGATGGAGTCTCACTCTGTCGCCCAGGCTGGAATGCAGTGGTGCAATCTCTGCTCACTGCAACCTTCACCTCCCAGGTTCAAGCAATTCTCCCGCCTCAGCCTCCCAAGTAGCTGGGACTACAGGCGTGTGCCACCATGCCTGGCTAATTTTTGTATTTTTAGAAGAGACGGGGTTTCACCATGTTGGTTAGGCTGGTCTCAAACTGCTGACCTCGTGATCTGCCCGCCTCGGCCTCCCAAAGTGCTGGGATTACAGGCATGAGCCACCGTGCCCAGCCACTCTTTTTACTCTTTTACCAAATCCATGCACCACACTCTTTCCTTCCAACCACAGTTCTTTCCTAAGCTGCTACAGAGTTGCAAGCACTTGCTAAGTAATGGAGCTAGAATCCCACCAAAAGCAGTTGGTTCTGCAGCAGCTCTCCGCCCATGGAAGGAGACAATGTGTTTGTAAAGAGATCATGGCCATGCAGTTAGGTAAGTATGGAATTTTGTGTGTGTGTGTGTGTGTGTGTGTGTGTGTGTTTTCTTAACTTTACTCTTTATCTTCCCATTAGACTCGAAGCTCCATGAGGATAAATGGCAGCTGTTTTGTTCTCTTCTGTCTCCCCACGACCTGGCTGGCCCTTAGTAGGTGCTCAGTAAATATTTATTTGTTGAATAGACCAATACTTCACAGACTTTTATATTCTGCTATTTCATTTGACATTCTAGGAACTCAAAATGTCATTAAGTATTTTTCCATAGAATTATATGATCTTTGCAGCCAGGCATGGTTGCTCACGCCTGTAATCCCAGCACTTTGGGAGGCCAAGGCGGGCGGATCACCTGAGGTCAGGAGTTCGACACCAGCCTGGCCAACATGGTGAAACCCTGTCTCTACTTAAAATACAAAAAGTAGCCTGGCATGGCAGCGGGCACCTGTAATCCCAGCTACTGGGAAGGCTGAGGCAGGAAAATTGCTTGAACCCGGAAGGTGGAAGTTGCAGTGAGCAGAGATCGTGCCATTGCACTCCAGCCTGGGGGACAACAGTGAGACTTTGTCTGAAAAAAAAAAAAAAAAAAAAAAGAATTATACGATCTTTGCACACATTAGCTTTAATGACCTCATGATGGCATTTCATTATATTTCCTCTATCAGTATTTTCCAAATGTGTCTGAAGATAAGAATAGCCTAAAGTGCCTTTTTAAAATATAGATTCCTGGGCACCATCCCAGAGGTACAGAATCAGAATTTCCCAGGGAGAGGAACTTGCATACATGGTAAGTACTTTGGGTGATTCCCATTGTCAGGAAAATCTGAGATATTCCAAAATCTAGTGATTTATCAAGGCTTACTTAATCTACTTCTGTATAGATGCTTCTTAAAAGTTTGCTTTTTAGCTTATGGAATGATTTCTTTAGGATTTATGCCACAAGTATAATTACTGGGTCAAATGCAGCAAAATGCTTTCCAACAGGACTATACGAGTTTGCGGGCTATGGGAGAGCACCTGTTTCACTCGCTTCAACAACAACAGCATTCACAACCTCTCAACCTTTGTTCTTCTTATATAACTATGTATCTACTTGCTTTCATTTGCATTGATATAAGTTCTAAGACTGGACGTTTTCTATGCTTGTATACTAAATGTATCTTCTCTTCTGAGAACTTTCTGACCCTGCTTCTTGCCTGTTTTATTCTTGGAGCCTTAATGTGTTTGTTTTCTAATATTATGAACATTTTATGTATAAGGTAGCAATTCTTTGTTTTTCATGTTTGCTGCAATATGTCCACCCTTGTTGTTGGCCTCTTCGTCTGTATTCTTTTTTGGACATGCAGAACCTACAGAGACACAGACAAACAGACACAGAAACGTGCAGAAACACACAAACGCATCTTTTCCTTTGTCACTCCTGTCACTTCCTTTGTTCCTGTATCCCTCCGTGGACAGTCTCTAAGTGTCAGGCCAGACATCAGGGCTGGAATTATGAACATGGGAGTAGAAATGGCAACACTCAGTGGCATTAAAGGCTAGAGACTGAAAGATCTCATAGGAAGAAAACCCTAAAAGAGAAGGAGTAAAAAAAAATTGAGACCCAAAAGGACTCCAACATATAGGGATTGGGGCTCAGAAACAGGGGGAGCCGGCCAAGAAGACTGAGAAAGACTGGCCAGAGAGGTAGGAGAAAAACCAGCAGCCTAGGGTATCATGGAAGTCAAGAGGGGACAGTGTGAGGAAGACGGATGTTCCAGAAAGAGTGTGTCTAGGGATAGACAAGCCTTCACTTTCTCTTCTATTTGTTCCACAGGGTTCAGTATTTAATTGTCTGATCCATCTGTAGTTTTTCTGGAGAGACCCTGTTTCTACTAAAAAATTAAAAATGAAAATAAATTAGCCAGACGTGATGGTGCATGTGTGTAGTCCCAGCTACTTGAGAGACTGAGGTAAGGGGATTGCTTGAACCCGGGAGGTCGAGGCTGCAGTGAGCTATGATTTGTGCCACTGCCCTTCACCCTGGGCAACAGAGCAAGACCCTGCCTCAAAAAAAAATTGTTGTTTCCCTAATTGTGAAAGGATGCGGTTTCCTGAACAGACACAGCTCTCTCTGCCTTTCTCTCCCATTCTCATCAGATGCTTGATCCTCACTTGAGTGCTTGAAATTAAAGTAGAACTGAGGAGAAAAAAATATTGACCATACTCATTTTTTTTACAATAAACCATTTTGGTTTTGTTTTTTGAGATAAGGTCTTACTCTGCCACCCAGGCTGGAGTGCAGTGGTGCAATCTCAGCTCACTGCAGCCTCAACCTCCCTGGGCTCAAGTGATCCTCCCACCTCAGTCCCTGTAGCTGGGACTGCAGGCACACGCCACCACATCCAGCTAATTTTTGTTTTTGTGGTAAAGATGGGGTTTCACCGTGTTACCAAGGCTGGTCTCAAACTCCTGGGCTCAAGTGATCTCATCAATCTCAGCGATCTTAGATTCTTATAAGGAACACACAACCTAGATCCCTTAGACGCACAGTTCACAATAGGGCTTGTGCTCCTATGACAATCTCATGCCACCGCTGATCTAACGGGAGGTGGCGTTCCGATGAATGTTACAGGATCCTTGGGGTGTTGTTTTCCTAGCCAGAAACCTCTGTGGCCAGTGATGTTTTTACCCAAGTTTTGCTCAGGCCTGCTGGGCCTGGCAGGCTGTACTCAGTTCACACTGCTGGCCTGGGTCCCACGCCTGCCAAGGGTGAGTCGGGTGTGGAACAGTGAGGGGTGTGTGAGCGAGCATGGGGTCCGGCCACTGCTCAGTCAGACATACTGGTGGCTGCTGTGGGGCAGGCAGCTACAGGTGCCAGCAGCGCTCTCTGCAAGGTTGTGGCTGGACCAGGTGCACTGCAAGCCACTTCCCTGGCTGGCACTGGGGAATGCAGTGGCACCCAGAAGCTTGCAGATGCCAGGAACCACAGAACCCCAAAGAGGGAGTCACGGCTCTGGCTCAGGGAGCTCCCAGGTCTGGGATCCCTGAAGGGCTGCAGCTCTTCTCTCCTTCTCTTCACCCACAATGTGGCAAGCAAGGGGCATGTTTCAGCCCTGTTTGTGTTACAGCAGCTCTTTTAGCCTCACCATTCAGTGGGTCCCGAGTTCTTGTCCTGCAACATGGAAGAATAAGGTATGTGGACAAGTGGAGGGTGAGCAAGATGAAGAGGAGCTTTACTGAGCAATAGAACAGCTCAAAGAAGACTTGCAGTGGGCAGCTCCTCTGTAGCTAGGGTGTCCTGACAAGTGTTTAGCTCCTAGCAGAGAGGGTAGCTCCTCTCTGCAGGCTGGTTGTCCTGTCCTCTGTAGTTCCCTGATGAGAGGTTATCTTCTCTCTGCAGCTGGCTATCCCAGTGTCTCTCCGTCCTTTCCTCTGCTCTGGCTGAGCCCAGGGCTTTTATGGGCCTCAGAGGGGAGGAAGTATGTACTGATTGGTCCAATGAGTGGCCATGGATGAGCCCAAAAAAGGCAGCACAAGTCCCCACTCTGGTTCACCAGACTGGCAGCTGGGCCCACAGACTTCAGACCCTCCCTGGCCTGAAGGTGGGGCCTCACCAGGACCCACCTCCTTCTGCCCAGGAACTTGTCTGCCTGCTATGCCTGGGAGGGCGGGGCTCCCATCTGCAAGAGGCCTGGGTCTGCAGCTGCCATTTGGGCAGCTGAAGTGGCACCCAGGGAGCTCCAGCCCCAACTCGGAAGAGGTGGAGCTCCCACTTGTCCCTGGTTCCCGCTGGCTTCATGGAGCACACAGCCCCACTTGCGCATTCCTGCTGCAGCCAGTATGATGGCAGCAGACACTCCAGATGACCTGCCATTACCATCAGTAATGCTTGCTTACCTGCCACTCACCTCCTGTTCGTAACAGGCCACAGACCTGTACTGGTGCATGGCCTGGGGGCTGGGGAGCCCAGCTTTAAGGAACATCTCTGATCATGACATGGGCTTAGGGAGACACAGACCTGAGGTGAGGGAGAAGGTCTGACAGGCATTTGATTCAGGTGGCCCCATGGCTTTTTGAGTAGATATGTTCTGCTTTCTTAAATGAGAGACTTCTCTAGGGACGGCTTCTCTCTTGGTGGAAAGAACAGGACTCTATCGCCACGCCAGGTGGCTGTCACAATGTGAGACTCTTCTTCTGTGCCCTGAGCTCAGACTTAGCAAGGCCAACAGATTTTGGTCAGTTTTGGGGTTTAATCACCCAACAAATGAAGCAAGTATATACCTAGGGACACCAAAAAATTCTCATAAAATAGTCGGATACTATTTTAGAAAAACATGTAGTTATCATGGAGGGAATTAGAACTCTGTTGGACTTGCTTTCACTCAGTTTTGAGTTCAACAATGTTTAATATTTTGGATTATACAGAGGGGTGGCTGGGGAAGGTACACTGTAATGTTTTCAGTATTCAGGACCTCTAAATATATTTTCCCTGCCTTGGTTAGAGCTCATGTTTCTGAAGAGGTCTTGCTCTGCTCCTCTGCCATGGTATGGAAGTAAGAATTTGAGACCAGGCACTGTAATCCCAGTGCTTCGGGAGGCCAAGGCAGGAGGATCACATGAGCCCAGGAATTTGAGGCTGCAGTGAGCTATGATCATGCCACTGACTCCAGCCTGGGCAACAGAGCTCGAGACCCTGTCTCTAAAAAAAAAATTTTAATTAAATTAAATTAAATTTAAAAAGTAAGAATTTGAATTTAAGGCTTCAGCTAATATCCTAGCTTTGCTCAGGGGATCGATAATATGTACTTTGTAGGATTTGAAGTAATCTAGGTAAGTAAAGCTTAACAATCGACATGCAGAAGCTACTCAAACAATGAAAGCTGGGTTCAATTATCACTAAATAACTAGGCCTGTAGTCTTCTTCCATTTCAGGGGTCAGCAAAGTCTTTCTGTAAAAGACCAGATAGTAAAATTTTTCAGCTTTTCAGGCCATATGATCTCCCTGTTACAACTCCTCAACTCTGCTGGTATAGTGCAGAAGCTGCCGTAGACAATACATATGCACAACTGAATGTGGCTGTGTTCCAATAAAACTTTATTTATAGATCTGGAGACTGGAATTTCATGTAAGTTTCACATTTCCCCCCACCAACCATTTAAAAATGTAAAACCCATTATTTAGATCATGGGACATATAAAAACAAGCAGTGGAATAGATTTGGCTTGAAGGCTGTTGTTTGCCACCCTCTGTTCCATGCTAAAATCAGCTCTTCCTTACCAAAGGCAATTATCAAATTTTTTTTTTTTTTTTTTTTTTTTTGAGACAGAATCTCACTGTTTCCCAGGCTGAAGTACAGTGGTGCTATCTTGGCGCACTGCAGTCTCGACCTCCCAGGCTCAAGTGATCCTCCCACCTCAGTCTCTGAGTAGCTGGAACTATAGGCATGCACCACCACACCCGGCTAATTTTTTTGTAGAGTTTTGCCATATTGCCCAGGCTGGTCTTGAACTCTTGAGTTCAAGCAATCCTCCCACCTTGGCCTTCCAAAATGATGGGATTAAAGGTGTGAGCTACTGTGCCTGGCCTTTTTCACTCTTATAAAATATAAATTAAATACCAGAGTCTTTTCATTTTTAGAACCGTGGGGACAGTCGAGTGCCCAGAAGTGCAATTGTTAATTTATTTGTGCTACCACTATCCCACATCTATGGAATATTGTTTTGATTGAGTTCCTCTGGCCCCATGGGACACTAGAAGCAGTTTGTGGGGAGAAAGGGAACACTGCCTTTTGATTTCCCAGTGTACGTGCCCAAATGGAAGCACAGAGTTTCAAAGGCTGGCTTCTCTGCTTGCCAACTGCGTGGTGCTGGACCAGCATCTCAGTGTCCAAGTCAGCCATGCTGAGGCTCCCATCTCACCAGGTTGTTGCGAGGACTCAGTGTGACATGGCCCGTTCCATACCCAGCCCATGGCAGAGCTTCACACGCGCAGCAGAGACTATCCTGGGCATCCAGAGCAAACACTGCACGCGTGGTTTCTGGGTGTGCTGGCCCCTGGAGAAGGGCTCAGGGCTGGGAGGACTCAAGGATATCTTCAGCCCACGCAGAGAGGGAGTGTGATTAGCTAAAGTGCTTTTCTGGCTTCCATGCAGCAGGTAGCAGGTTCTTATCTCCAACTCCTGAGTAGAGTTGCACAAAAAACTCCAGTCTAACCAGCCAGCTCTTACCCATTAGTTCCTGAAAAGTCCCTGCTTCTCCCCAGCCACAGGAAAGAGACAATTTTGGGAGGAAAATCTTTCAGCTGCCTGAAAGAGTTCAACCCTCTTTGAGGCAGCTGTTCTCATGTCTGCAGGTTGACTTCCGCATCTCACCTAGGGCGCACAGATGTTTGCACAGTTGCCAGAGTTCATTTACTATTATATCTACACATAAACATTATCCCATGTTATGACATGGTTGTCACATGTGCCAGTGTTGGTGGTAGCATACTACTTCTCTGAATAGCTTTATCATTGTTGTCTTAACATTTCCCTACTGTTGAACATTAGATTGGGTTTTTTTAGTGTCAAATGCAACACAGTGATACTATCTTTGTGCCCGTAGCCTTTTTATTCTGCTGAACTATTTCTTTCCTTTGGATGGACTCTAAGGAGTACTGCAGTGAGATCAGGCAGGGGGTGTCCCCCTGGCCCTCCTTGGGCTGCGTCCCTCCCACCTGGTGAGGAGTCTGCAGGCCAAGGGAACATGCCCATTGCAAATCCACGTCCTCCCTTTTAGACCATTCTCCAGGTGCCTAGGACTCCCAGAAGTCCCTGCCCACTGGCCCCATGCTCATCTCCAGGGCCTGCCCAGCCCTGGTCCCTGAGTCTCTCCTCCTGAGATCCAATCACACCACCAGTAGACACACCCGGATCTGAGGAGTGGCCACAGGCAGGGGGTAGTGAACAGAGTTTGGACGCATGGGCTAGGCTGTCCACTCACATTCACATGAGGCCCCCTCAGTGCTGGACAGACTTAGGAATTGGAAAGACAGTGGGTCTGGGGGCTAGCAACTGGCTCTCCCCATGCCGTCATGTTCCAACACAGGATGCAGAGGCATCTGAGAATTTTTAACTTGAGCCCTTCCAGGTGGTGGTGACAGTATATTTGCCAAGGCAGGAGGCTAGAACATATTTTCATTTAACAGTTTGTAACCTGATTTCTAACTTTAAACTACTTATACATATGGTATGTGAGGCTCCATTTATACCCTTGCCTGGAACCCTGCAAATCATTAAGAGGAGGTCTGGGCGAAAGGTTGTGACCATTTCTGCAGTCTCTTGCTGTGTCTATATTGCTACGTTGCTTTTCCAAATAGCTGTACTGGTTTACAGTTTATGAATGTACCGGTTTCAGCACACTCTGTCAGGCACTGGGGATCACAGTTGTTGCCGATTCAGTAGGTGTGAAATCATTTGCCAACATTGTTTGACTCTGCATTTCTTTGATCACCTGCAAGAATAATAAAAGCTACTTTTATTGAGCTCTTACTATGTATCAGGCAATCAGGCACTATGATAAGGCACTTTGCCAGTATTTTCTCATTTACTCTTCCCAGGAACCCCTTGAAGTATATATAATTAGGATTCCTATTTTAGAGATTGGAACACAGAGCTTGAAGGAATAAAGAAATTTGCCCAACATTGCAGTTAGCAATTGGGGCAGCCAGGATGAGAAACCAGGTACGTCCGACTCCAAAATCTGTGATTTTCAGTTATGTTACACATGTCTTGCATGTATCTATGTCCTAAATGTACTTACTTTTTGGTGATTGACTTTTTAAAAATTATTTTAAACTTTTAATTTTGGAATAATTTTAGATTTACAGAAGAGTTACAAAGATGGCATATATGATTCTTGTATACCCTTTATCCAGCATTGCCTACTAGTAACATCTTACACAATCATGGTACATTTGTCAAAACTAAGAAATTGTTATTGATATAATACGCCTGGGTGTGGTGGCACATGGCTGTAATCTCAGCACTTTGGGAGGCCGAGGTGGGCAGATCACAAGGTCAGGAGTTCCAGACCAGCCTGGCCATCATGGTGAAACACCGTCTCTGCTAAAAATCCAAAAATTGCCTGGGCGTGGTGGCAGGCGCCTGTAGTCCCAGCTACTCAGCAGGCTGAGGCAGGAGAATCGCTTGAACCTGGGAGGCGGAGGTTGCGGTAAGCCGAGATCACACCACTGACTCTAGCCTGGGCGACAGAGCAAGACTCCATCTCAAAAAAAAAAAAAAAAAAAAAAAAGCCTCAGACCATTTTAAACAAAACAAAGAGGGTCTCAAAATTCTCACCAACTAAAGTCACCCAGTCCCATTAGTATTCAGATCTAGCTCCAAAGTCATCCCAGCTGATCAGCACTCAGAGCCTCACTAGCTATAAATTCATTCACAACATTGACCACGTGAAATTGGTTCGCAAATTTTCATCTCAGAAACTGCATTGCACTCCTGAGTGACAGTCGCAAAGTTCCACTTCTCCAGCAGGAGACCCTCAACAACGCTCTACCGCCTTGAACCTGTGAGGGAAACTGTCTTCCCACACTATTCCCCTGAGCAAGCACAGAAAACAGAAAGCCAGGGAAGAAAGGGAAGAACCAGTCTAGGAGCATCTGGGCATCTGGATGGAAAGGGAACCCGAAGCCCCAAGAGAGCAAAGGAACTCCTCTGAAGTGAAAAGACTACACAAGGACCCATCTTCTATCTGGTCATCAAATACACGTCCACCTTCAGTGTCCAGCAGGAACGACAGACCGAACCCTTACTTCCCTTACCTGATGTCATGCTCACCTCCCTGTGCCTGAGCTCTTAGAAATTTGAAATGTGGCTGGGCGTGGTGGGTCACACCTGTAATCCCAGCACTTTGGGAGGCCGAGGTGGGCAGATCACAAGGCCAGGAGTTCCAGACCAGCCTGGCCAACATAGTGAAACACCGTCTCTGCTAAAAATACCAAAAGTAGCCGAGCGTGGTGGCATGCGCCTGTAATCCTAGCTACTGGGGAGGCTGAGGCAGGAGAATCGCTTGAACCCGGGAGGCGGAGGTTGCAGGGAGCCAAGACCGTGCCACTGCACCCCAGCCTGGGTGACAGAGCAAGAATCTGAATCTGTCTCAAAAAAAAAAAAAAAGGAAATTTGAGATGTAGTGTTCAGAATTCTCACCTGTTTAGAGCTAGCTATGCAGCTGTTTAAGATGTGGCCAAAGCTGCAAGTGAGTAAAAAGGTTTCTGAGCAGCCAAGATATTAATAAATGATATATAATTCATCCACTGAAGCTTAATACCCATATTCAAAGGCGAGCCTCCCAACCTCTCTCCCAGAGCCCATGCACTTTTGCATAACAGGCCCAGGCTGGAGTGCAGTAACGTTATCATGGCTCACTGCAGCCTCAACCTCCTGGGCTCAAGCAATCCTCCCACCTCAGCCTCCTGAGTAGCTGGGAACACAGGCACACACCACTCCCAGCTAATTTTTTTTTTTTTTTTTTTTTTTAGAGACAGGGTTTCACCGTGTTGCCCAGGCTGATCTCAAACTCCCGAGCTCAGCAGTCCACCTGCCTTGGCCTCCCAAAGTGCTGGGATTATAGGTCTGAGCCACTGCTCCCAGCCCCTTTTTAATTTTTTAATTATTATGGGCATATAATAGGTGTATATATTTATGGGGTACATTTGATTGTTTCCTTTGCTGTTCAGAAGCTTTAGAAACCTATCTTTTTGCTTCACCATTCTTATAGCATGTGGCTTTCATCTTCAAAGTCAACTCATAATCACAAAATGGCTGCTGAAATACAAGTCATCACATGTAAATTCCAGTCAGCAGGCAGGAGGAAAGGGAAACAGCAAAAAGGCATTCTTCTCAATCCCTTTCAAACAGCTCTAACAGCGCTTTAATCAATTTTGCTTACATCTCATTTGCCATCTCTCTGTGCAAGAAGAATGGGAAATGTAGCTTATTACTTCAAACCCCAACAATACAGAGGTTCTGTTGGTAAAGAAGAAAAGAAGAGGTATTGGGAAGGCAACTACTACAACCAGGCGCCATGGATGATGTAGAGTTATGTAAGACACAGCTCTGCCTTCAAGGAGCTCAGGCTTTAGGGAGAATACTTTCCTCCCAGATGGTTAAAATAACAATGATGTCTCAAGACACGCACTTTCATCTAAATGAAGAGACTCGGTAATTTAGTGCAGCTCTTTCCCAGAAGGTTCATGACTGCTGAGACTTTTGCTGAGTTTGCTTTGTTTGTTTGTTTTATTTCCATCAGAATCACATTTCTGTCTATGGAATCTGCCCAGGCGCTGCTCCCATCCAGCAGCACGTACACTCCTCATAACTCTGGGGTAGGAAATGGGAGAGTGTCTTGCTGATAGCAAGTATCTACAGCAGTTCTCAGCCAGATTTCCCTGAAAGACAAATGGCATGCAGAGGCAGAAGGCATTGTATTCCTGTCTGTCTGCCCCACCGCCCCGCCCCATAGGCTTATCCTAATCTTAGTTAGGTTGTGAGCATCCATGGCTGTGTCTCTTCTTTTGTGGCAACTTTATAAGGAGAAGAATCCTCCATGAGGGGTGTAAACCCTCTGAATGTGCATTATGTGGCTCCAACTCCACACACACAAGAGACGCATTTTTCTCTCTCTGCCATTTTGAGTAAATTTGAGGTTTCCTTAGATAAGGTGAATGTGTTACACTTTGATGGTTTTCTGTCTCAGAGGAAAGGGATGGATTTTAAGCTGGTTTCTCCTATTTCTGTCTTGGCCAGGGGTAGGAATTTCCCTTGAGTAAGACAGGAATAGAGGAAACCAGCTTAGACTCCAACCCAAACCACCTGAACAGGGGGTGAACACCTCACTTCTGGCACATTGTACCCCTGCCATCCACCTGTGCCACCTGCCCCTGATTCATCAGGGCCATCCTGTAGGTTCAGTGATAGGTGGCCCTGGAGAAAGAGTAGAGCACCACAGACTGCCTGGGGCGCATCAGTGAGAAGTGGGACCTGGGGACACAGGAGGAACATGAGCAGAGTCCAACCAGACACCCACACAACTTTGAGAATGAATCACACATCATTGCAGGTGCATCTGACCCATTTTTCATTCATTCATCTTTTACTGAGAGCGTTCCTGCTGGGCAGCAGATCAGGCATTAGACAATCAAAGTCCCTGCCTTTGTGGAGAGAGGAAGAAGTTACAAGGAGAGCGTGGTGCCCAGCTCAGTCCCTCATGCCTGTAACCCCAGTACTAGGGGAGGCCAAGGCGGGAGGATCGCTTGAGCCCAGGAGTTTAAGACCAGCCTGGACAACATAGCAAGACCCCTTCTCTGAAAAAAAAAATTTTTAATTAGCCAGGCGTGATGATGCATGCCTGTGGTCCCAACTGCTTGGGAGGCTGAGGTGGAAAGATCACTTCAGCCCAGGAGATCAAGGCTGCAGTGAGCTATGATCGCACCACTGGACTCCAGCCTGAGTGACAGAGCACAATCCTGTGTGGAAAAAAGAAAAAAAAAAGAGAGAGAGCTTGGTGGGAGCTCAAGGAGAAGCCCCACACTCAGACTGATGGTCACAGAAGCCTTTCTGGAAGAGATCTCCCAAACTGGGTTCTGAAGAATGGATGAGTCAAGCAGAGAAGGGAGAGAGGCAGAGGTTTTGTGGGTCAGTTAGATTGGAGTCACGCCTCCAACCAGCTGAGAATATATGGATCTGGTCAGGAGAGAGTTGGGGAAATGTACCAAATCCTACCTTCCTTTGCTGCACCCCATAGCTCTGCGGACAAAATGTGGTTGTCCCTGCAGTAAATACACATAAGTTTCCACTCATGAGCAGAAAGTGCCATAAGAAAGAATGAGAAGCCTTAAAAAGACAGGGGGGCATTATCTTTGGAGGTTTTCTTATCACTTACAGCAGGGAAACAAATCATTTTCATAGGTACCTCTTCAGGAAACCCTGATAGGTACTACCTGTATTTGACTCATAATAAATCAGAGGACAGGAGAGGGAAAGTGACTTTCTCAAGGTGACCCAGCCAAGTACTGACGAAGATGGGGCCAGGTTCTGGTTTTCCAATTCATGGGTCAGGCCCAACAAGGGAGTTTAACCTAGTGGTTAGTTAGTACATGGACTACGGAGTCAAGCGAATCCAGGCTTGAATCTCAGCTCTACTACTTACTGATCTCTCTGAGCCTCAGTCTTGTCTGCAAATTTGGGATAATGATTCCACCTTCACGCAGGGATGCTGTGAGGCTTGAGTGAGATAATACAAGTCTATAACACACTTCAGACTGTGCCTGGCATTTCAAACTATTCCATTATTGTTGTTGTTATTCAGTAACACACCTGGAGGGGGCCCTGTTGAACAGCTAATCTTAGGAACACAGCATGAGGACTGGGAGTTCGAGGGAGGGCCAGTCAATGGAGTGCAGACTGTGGACTGGCTTGTTTTTTTTTAACCCCGAGCATCAGAAAAGCTGAGTTCATCCTCCCTCCAAAACTGAATGCAAACCAAGTCCTGGTCCACAACTGGGGGTTGAGGGAGAATTTAAACCACCCTCTGGTGGGCCTGACTGGTACTTGTGCCAGCGTAAGACACCCATGGTGGATACAAGCCGGGCTGCTGGGTTTCGGACCCTCTGGGCTCAGTGACTCGGGACACACTTCCCAGCCCTGCTCTTCCTCCTCCCTTTCAGCACAATCCAGCCCCTCCAGGGATCAGACTCTGTGGCCCAGGAGTGGGGCAGCTTTTGGCAGGAGATCAGAGCCGTGGCCTCAGGCAGGGACGTGGACAGGAGCAGGCAGGAGGGGTCCCAGCCATGGGCGAGTGAGGTGGGAGGGAGGGTGAGAGACATCTCTCTGGGCTCTGCAGAGCCAGTGCCCAGGCAGGCCGAAGGTCTGACTCAGCCTGGCTCCTTCTTCTGGGCCCTCATCACATGTTTGTGGTCTGGACCACAGGCCCCAGCGACGACAGTGTTTGACCATGAACTACACAGCAGACAAGTCGTCCATTCCATTTCTGGTAGAGTCCTGTAGGATTTCTTGAAATCTTGTTCATGTGGTTGCTATGGACCAGACACTCTTTCAGTTCTAAAATTCAAAAGTAGCTTTTTCTTTAGAAAAAAAAAAACCGCCACAATTCAAAGTGAAATTTGTTTCTATAAAAAGGAAAAACAAATAGTGCCTTTTTAAAAAACCATAGCCCAAACTGGAACACTGAAATATGAGACTGATATGTAAATATGCATACCCTCTCATAAAAATAGGGTGGTTTTGGTTTATTTACTTTTCCCCCTTCATTTGTTGAATGTCATTGAAAATCCACCAAGAGCCATCCTGTAATGAGGAGAGTGAACGCAACACTATTCACACCTCTCCCTGTTTACAGCAGATAATTTTTTGTTTTTTTTTTTTTGAGATGAAGTCTCGCGTTGTTGCTCGGGCTGGAGTGTAGTAGCGTGATCTTGGCTCACTGCAACCTCCGCCTCTGAGGTTCAAGCGATTCTCCTGCCTCAGCCTCCCAAGTAGCTGGGATTACAGGTGCCTGCCACCACGCCTGGCTAATTTTTTTGTATTTTTAGTAGAGATGGGGTTTCACTATGTTGGCCAGGCTGGTCCCGAACTCCTGACCTCATAATCCACTTACCTCAGCCTCCTAAAGTGTTGGGATTATAGGCGTGAGCCACCATGCCTGGCCAGCAGACAATTTTTAATCCAGGGAATGGATATCGAGCTGCTTACAGGGGCATGGTTTGTTGTTGCAAAAATTATCCAGTTACCCATTCTTTATTCTCTGGTAGGGAGGTGAATTTCCAAAGTCCCAAACAGCTGAAGTGGCCTGAGGGAGACAGTGCTCCAGGATCTACCAGAGGGTTTTGAACGAGGCGCACATGGGGAAGACTTGGAGGTCTGTATCCTCCTCAAAGAGGCCCTGTGATCGTTCTTGCCCCAGGTGGAGACTGGGAACTGCCCCCTCAAAGGCGAGGCAACTGCATTGCATGGGGTTCAGGTGCTGTTCCCTGCTTCTTCTCTGTGTGGTTCTGACCTGGTTATTTAACATTTCTGAGTCTCTGTCAAATGAGAATATTGCTATCCACTCAAAGGTGTGCTGCAAGGAATAAATGAAAACATGCTTTTGCAGCCAAGGAGGAATGTGGACACTCACTGGGTTACCCATGGAGAGGAGTCAATATTCTTGGCCCTCTGGTAGTTGGGACATTCACGTTTTTTAAATCTCAAACAGATTTGAAAACAGGAGCAAGAATAACCAAGAGCAGGGGTGAAATGAAGAAAAGGGAGTATCTTGTCATGCTACCAAGAAAGAAAGTGACCACACACAGAGAGAGAGAGAGAGAGAGAGAGAGAAACAGAGATATGGGGGTATGCAAAGGTGCAATGGAGCCCATTGAAAGAACCACCCAGGGTCAAAGCAGGAACAATTTGAACAAATAAATCAACAAAGTTGCAATGGATTATAACCCAAAGCATACAATAAATACCCGTGAGTCCATACCATATAAATACCTGACTGAATAAATTAACACATTTATTAACAATTTAATAAATTTAAGAATGTGCAAGAGACAAATTCCCCATGCAGACGAATTCTACAGAACCTCTGTGGATACTCCATTCTCTAAGAGGTAGAGCATGATTCCCCACCTCGCAAGTGTGAGCTGTGTATGGGGGCTTCCTCCCAATGCATACCGCCTGGAAAGAGGGGCTAAAAGGAGTGACTTGACAGAGGAGGAACCTGACACACATTCCCTCAGCCAGACGCTCCAGGCCAGCATCCACAGTGATCAATCATGCTAATAGCATGCAGCTTCATTGCAACAGGATGAAAATGACACTTTACCTCTGCCATCTTCCTCGAAAAAACCCATAACCCCAGTACAAGCAGGAGTAAAACATCAAATACATTCCACCAGAGGGGTGGCCTACGAAATACCTGACCAGCAATCCTCAAAACTGTCAAAGTCTTCAAAAACAAGGCAAGTCTGAGAAGCTGTCACTGCCACAAGTCACCCAAGGACACCAGACGACCCAGTGTAATGTGGGATCCTGGATGGGATCCTGGAACATGAAAAGGACGTTAGGTAAAAACAAAGGAAATCTGAATAAACGGTGTGCTTCAGTTAATAATGATGTATCAATAGAACTGCATTAATTCTAACAAATGTACCATACTGGTATGTAAGATGTTAACAAGAGAAATTTGGTGAGAACACAAAGCAAGGTATATAGGAGTTGTCTTATCTGCTCAATTTTTCTGGAAATTTAAAACTGTTCTAAAAAACAACATCCATTAATTAAAAGAAGAAGGAGGAGGCGAAGGAGGGTTCATTCTTTCTTTTGACATGTCTCAATAAAGGGCTGGCCTGAGGGAGGCCGTGGACAACATGCCAGGTGAGGTGGGCTCAGACGAGGGAAGATGGGGTATCGTTATACACCTTATACACACCAAAGTTGTGGAAAGGTGGGCAGACCTCTGAGGGGAGCCAGGGAAAGGAGGCTGTGTCAGTGACCCAAGTCCACAGACTGTTTGTTTGCCTCATGTTCAACATCAACATACAAGGCGAAGCGTTTGGGGGCCGTTAAACGTAATTCAGCAAAGGAGGAAAATGTCTATGCCATTAATAACCATAATGCTCTTCTAAGGAAGGGACATCCTGTCCTATAAAGATCCTTTTGTTCAGCCAAGCACCTCCATGGATTCAGATATGCCTGGAGCCAAATTTGGAAGATAACAGGAGAGATTGGAAGAGAAGAGAGAGGAAAAATCTTGCAAAGTGGCAGAAGGCTGGGGGCTCCACAGATCAAAGGCAGTGAGAAGCCCTCCTGGGAGACTGGCTGAAAGGGTTTCTGCAACAGGACTCAAAGTGGTGGCTTTAAGTCGTTTGTGCTCAGTTCCATCACGTGAACTTACTTGGTGGCCCACAACTCATCAGTACACATTCTGCTGACATGACAGCCCAGGGCATCCCCATTTGCTGGGTTGGGAAGGGAAACAAGGCAAAGAGTTTATTTTGGTGCCTACTGGGGTAGAGATAAAGAAGCAACTGCAGGACACAGAGCAGGAAACAATAATTCAGTAGGTGAATTCACAGAAACTGGCTATTTGGTGAACGGAGATCCCCTGGGGGCCCTCTGGTACATCTTCGGAGAGAGTTGAGCCTTCCGTGTATCCTTCCTGGGAGGGTTTGCGTCGATCGAATAGAGAGCAGAGGCCAGGAGATACCAGCTGATCTGGGCTGGAGGACTCCAACTCAGTGCAAGGGGGACTGGGTCCATGTGGTCAGCATGGCTGGGTATTCTATGTTCATATGGGCCTGTGGCTTCTCTGGAGAAGATAGGAGCCTGGAACTTGCAAACACACAGCTCTCAGAACAGGCCAGGTGTGTTGGCTCACACCTGCAATCCCAGCAGTCTGGGAGGCCGAGGCAGGCAGATCACCTGAGATCAGGAGTTCAAGACCAGCCTGGCAAACATGGTGAAACCCTATCTCTACAAAAAATTAGCCACATGTGGTGGCGTGCACCTATAATCCCAGCTACTCTGGAGGCTGAGGTGGGAGAATCGCTTGAACTTGGGAGGCAGAGGTTGCAGTGAGCCGAGATCCCTCTACTGCAGTCCGGGCTGGCCGACAGAGTGAGACTCAGTCTCAAAAAAAAAAAAAAAAAAAAAAAACAACGAAAAGAACAGGCCCTGCACCTAGTAGGTCTTCAGCACACCCTAGTTCCTCTCCCACCATAACTCTGCCTAAAGAATGCACCAGCCTGGATGGGCCCAGAGAACACGGTGCCGTGCTGTTCCTGTATCTGGGTGCCTGTTTGCTGTTGCTGACAATCAGCTCTCGTGGGTAACAACTGAACACACTATTCACTAATTAACACCCCCTAGAAAACATCTGTTTTTCTTCTTTCTGGCTGATTTTTGAAAATGGAAATCACTAAGTAGCTAAACTGATCGTGTGTGTTGTGTGTGTGTTGTGTGTGTGTTGGCGGGGTGGGGAGTAGGAGAGGAGGGAGGTACCCAAGAACGACTCAATTTAAAATCCCCACCACCACCTGCACCACACTGATAACGGGCACAGGTTAGGCTTTCAGTAACTGGTGGCTATTGTTGCTGTTGTTAGGAGCCACTGGAGGGTTGGGATGGGAGATGGCAGGGGACAAACGCCAATGCTTCCATGTCGAAAGGTTTATCAGATGGGCAGCAAGAAGGACGGCAGAGAGCTCTGGGAAAGAAGGGGCCCTAGAGAATCAACAGTGGTTCAGAGGGGGTGGCGACAAGTCAAGGAGGTGGAGGAGGATCCAGGGCAGATAGGAGTGAAGATGAGATGGAAATGAGAGAGAGCCATGATTAGCGGACAGGGTCTCCAGGCAGCTGAGAAAGGGAGCATTTGTGCTGTTTGGTGCCAACCACAAAGCACAGGTGTGGTCTTACCAGCACCCAAAACAGCCCCTCGGGTCAGCACTTGGGTCACACTTCCTGAGGTTCAAAGCCCTTTTCATAGACTCTTCCCCTCCATGTACCTCTCTGTGCCTAATGACTTTTTACACATGTGGCTGCTAAGCCAGCCCCTGTCCTGGCCTGGATGCGGTTGTCAGCCTCATGGCAGCGCTCAGGCCCACCAAGGTATTTTCTAGATCCTAGCTCTGTCTTTCTGTATCTCATCCATCCAGCCCTCAGGGAATCTGTGAACTCTGTCCGCTGACAGTCAAAGAGCACCTCGTTCTCTGCAATGAGTTATTTTAAAAGATCCCCCAACTTTCAACTCCCAAGCAAAGAGGAGCCTGCCCTCCCAGGCTCATGTTGCTACTGTTCCCGAGACTGTGTGTTGCTGGGGTCAACTGCTGGTACCTGTCAGCTTGGTCCCCCTGCTCTGGGCCCGCCTCACTCAGTAAAGCTGGCTCCGGCAATCTTTTTCCATAGGGGCTGCAGCTGAGTGCTCTCCACCAACCCAGCAATCAACATCCTCACGACTCTTTCCAGGCCTTTCTTCCCTTTTCCATCCCAAAAATGAAAAGCCCTAATGGATCTTCTGGAAATTTTTTGGCTAGAGAGCTCTGCTTCCCACTTGTCCCCTGCAGAAGAAAAAAAAAAAAGCAACCCCATTAACCTTTGGGGTCAAATTGTCAGTAAGGAAAGCTCAGGCATTAGAAATACAGTGCTAGTCTCCTCCTGGCTGCAATATGTGATATCTAATATGTATCACATAGGCCGGGCACGGTGGCCACACCTGTAATCCCAGCACTTTAGGAGGCTGAGGCGGGAGGATCACTTGGGATCAGGAGTTCAAGATCAGCCCGGGCAAAATGGTGAAACCCTGTCTTACTAAAAATACAAAAAAAAATTAGCCAGGTGTGGTGGCAGGTGCCTGTAATCCCAGCTAATGGGGAGGCTGACACAGGAGAATTGCTTGAACCTGGGAGGTGGAGGCTGCAGTGTGCCGAGATGGCACCACTGCACTCCAGCCCAGGCTACAGAGCAAGACTCTGTCTCAGAAAAAAAAAAAAAAAAAAAAATATATATATATATATATGTGTGTGTGTGTGTGTGTTTGTGTGTGTGTGTGTGTGATGGATATGTAGTAATATCCGATATAATATGTAGCATATGATGTATAATACGTAACATATAATATGTAACTGTGTGTGTGTGTGTGTGCATCCGAGGAACTGGCATATACTAGGTTCTCAACAAATGTAACAAGAGTTATTTTTTAATTCAATCGAATATACTATACCACTTTTCTTTACAATAAAATTTTTCTACAACAAGAGAAATTCCAGCTCCCTGGCAGATCTATTATTATGCACTTTACTCATTGTGAGGAGTTCTTAAGTTCTAATGAGGTAAGGAAGTTCTACTTTAGTGAAAGAATGAAACTTCCTTACTGTTCACTAACCTACGTCTCAATTACCTCCCAACATGTTTGCAGCAAGTACCCTGTCGATGGTAGGCAAGAGGAAGGTGTGACCCACAAAGATCAAGGAATCTAAGCCGGCCAAGGTTTGCTTTTTTATAGCTCAACCTTCCCAACATTTAAAAGGAAGGCAAGTGGGGTCTAACCCATAGCCCACGCTGTTGGTCCTGCTCTTTGTTAGAGAATCAGTCTCACGTCCTCAATACCCTCTGTACTTTTCCAAAACCACCACCACCTGAATATATTTTTTTAGAACTTTTCTAACATTGAGCAATGGGGACACTGGGTATTGTCAGTTTTCTTAGATTTCAAAGGAAACTTTCAAGACATTCTCACAAGCGAAAAAGGGGAGGACGTGGAGGAGGTCAATGTGATTTCAATCCCATGGTTAGAAAAATTACGAAAGAGATAAGAACATAAAGGATACAGTTCTGACCATGGAGTGTCCTTCAGTCCTAATGATGGCGATGGAGGGTGGCATGGGAGTGGAATTGTCCATGGAAACACAGAGATTCTCAAGAGCATGGAGTAAGGGGCGGTGCCAGGACATCCAATCCAAGTTGCAATCTATAAGCCCGAAGCCTCGAGTCCCCTTTCCTTCAGTACCCAGATGTTCACAGGGATGTAATAGGAATGGTTCCATAATCCATGCTGGGAATACTAGGGGAAAATGCCCCAACTTCTTTGAAAACCCAAGGAGTGTCAGTCAGCAGGAACGGGTGCCAAAGAGTTGAAGAGAAAGATCCCCTACCCACCTGCCATTCTTCACTTTGGAAGGCCGATCCTGCCAGGAAGGAAGGGAAAGGACCCAGCCGAGTCCTTCTCCTGATCTTGACTCAAAAAATAAATGGAGGTTGGGCACAGAGGCTCACGCCTGTAATCCCAGCACTTTGGGAGGCTGAGGCAGGCAGATCACCTGAGGTCAGGAATTCGAGACCAGCCTGGCTGTCTCTACTAAAAATACAAAAATTAGCCGGGTGTGATGGTACAAGTCAAAAAAAAAAAAAAAAAAGAAATGGGATCCTGGAATCCTGAGTGGGGAGCAAATCTTAAACTCATGTTGCCTCCAATTGGTGCTTTGTAATCTGCTTTTGTAGCACGCATCATTGAGAACATCTCCCTATGTCCATAAATGTACGTCTACAACATGATTTTTAATTGTATGAATGTGCCATATTTTATTTAATCATTCCGCTAATACCAGACACAGATTTCCTCCTAATTTTTCACTATAATATATAGTGCTGCCAAAAGTCTGACAAAAATATCTTTGCCCATTTGTCTGATTAATTCCTTAAAAAAAACTACAAATGGAATTACTAGATAGGCACATTGATAAGACTACATTTAAAGGACCGTATTGCTAAATTTCCCTCCAGAAAAGGCGTAGCATCTTACAATTGCATCAGTGACATAGGAGAATGCCTGTTCTCCTCACATTCACTGAATGGGACTTGCCACTTAAGATAAAAATGCTTGCCCAAGTTTTTCAAAGTGTATATGCATATGTCCTTTGATATACGAACTGCTCTTTTAGGAGAGTACCCTAAGGAAACATTCATATGAGTTTACAAAGATATATGAACAAAGGCATGTAATGCAACAATGTGGTGAATAACTAGCCAGTTTCTGCTATAGAGTCCCTTTGGCTGCTGGCTAAGAGATATCCCATCTAAATCCTGTTACCTTGTCTTTATCAAGGATAGCACTAGTTTTCCCACTTCTTCATATTAGTATCGTTAGTGTCATTATTATTAGTATGTAGGTCTTAATTCTTTTCCTCACCCTCCATATTCAGATACCAAATAGCAATGTTTTCATTGAAATACCATTGGTATGCTTTGCACAGCCCTGCATTCCTGGGGCGGCCACCCTCACAGCCTTTGACCCCAGGCTCCCTTATTCAATCAATCAGACATATCACTGGCAAATCAATCTTTCTTTTTTTTTTTTTTTTTTTTTTCAGACGGAGTCTCGCTCTTTCGCCCAGGCTGGACTGCAGTGACGCTATCTCGGCTCACTGCAAGCTCCGCCCCCCGGGTTCACGCCATTCTCCTGCCTCAGCCTCCCAAGTAGCTGGGACTACAGGTGCCCGCCACTGCACCCGGCTAATTTTTTTTTTTTTTTTGTATTTTTAGTAAAGACGGGGTTTCACTGTGTTAGCCAGGATGGTCTCCATCTCCTGACCTCGTGATCTGCCTGCCTCGGCCTCCCAAAGTGCTGGGATTACAGGCGTGAGCTACCGCACCCGGCCGCAAATCAATCTTTCTTAAAAGCTGCTTGTAACACATCACATCTTGGCTCAAAAACTTTTAGAGATTCCCTATTTTTCACCATATGAAGTCACTGACCTGGTTCTCCATTAACATTACTCGGCTCTCTCTCCCTAACCCTTCCCCAGCCCTCCTTCCTCAGGCCCCAAGATTAGCATCTAAGAAGCCAGCATCCAATCTGTTAGCAAACAAACCACACCTGTGAACAACCTTGGCTCTCCCTCTCTCCCCGTCTCGTTTCCTCCCACCTCCACTCCTGGCCCTAGCCATTCTGGAAAGACCTGGAATACTTAGAGCATCTGAAGATCTGAAATGCAGGAAGGGAAGGCACTATGAAAAGCAGACATCCAATTCTGGGTGAGGCTTGACCTCCCTATCCTTGGTGCCCAAAGTTATCTTCATCCACTCAGCGTAGTTTCAGATTTCATTTCCTCACTCTGATAGTCCACCCAATTAGAAATTCATGTAGATGGGTCACAAATGTTCTTTTACATGTAAATACTTTCCAGAGGGTTAAGGTATGAAGAACTGAGAATGAAGCTCTTAGCTCAATCAGAGCTGACTTCAAACTCTAAGCAGCTATCCTGTGGACTTGGGGACTGGTGAGGGTACGCTGGGGTGCATGGTGGGCGAACAGTAAGGTTGCCTTTGCACAGCATGGAAGACCTAAGGGATATGATAGGGTGGGGGAGAGGAAGGGGCCCCCCAAAAGGGGTGGGGGAGGGGAAGGAGCCCCCCAAAAGAAAGCATAGAAAGCAAAGCAAAAGGATGCCAAAACTTATTTTGCTTACATCAAAATTTCACTTTACAGGTTAAGCATGAATCGAGGAAAGGAAACAGAAATCCTCTTCCTAGTCCTCTTTCCTCTGTTTTCTCCTCTGGGTACCAGAATTGCGACAGAGTGGGACAGCTCAGGCAGCTGCAGGTCTTGGCCAGTGCTCTTCCTCACCCAGGCCATGCAGCATCAACACAGTCACCGTAGAACTCCTCTTAAGACAAGCAAAGGAACTTTCCAACCCAGTTGAGTGCACTTTTCCCAAGTGTGTGGTAAAAAGTTAAATGACACTTTGTGAAAGGGATCCTTAAGCTACAAAAACATTTTCCCCCATCACACTAAGCACTTGGTTTTGTCCTTGTAGTTGCAAAAGGGGCTGGAGTCATTTGATGAATTCTGAATGTTGTAAGGCTGCTTTTCTGGAAGGGTAAACAGGGAACCTTTTAGATGCCAAGACCTTTTAGAATAACGACCCTTCAGAGGAAACTGAAGTGCAAAGGATTGAAGTAACCTTCCAGAAGGTACACAGCTGGTGAGACAAAGCCTGTACTGGGTCCCAAGCCTGCCTGACTCCGGACTCCCACACCCCACAGTGATACCAGAATCACCCTGAAAATGGGAAACATGCTGCAGCTGCTGTCCTGATTCCAGCCTCTGACCAGGAGAGCTGGATTGACCAGGAAGCCAATGAAGCTAAGTTTCAGGGCCCCCTGTCTGCCTAAGGCCTCTCCCAAGGCCCTGCACCAAAGTTTCTATTTGTGACTTTGTTTTCTTAGAAAAAACTCCTCAATTATGTGAATTCACCTCTGCTGACAAGTAACTCCTTAGAGGACGTGAGTTTTAGAAGGACAAGCTCCAAAAGCATCTCTAGATAGCCTCCAGAACCCTGCTGGTGTGACTCTTTTTGGAACTAGGTACAGAAAACCCCAGGCAGATGGACTGGCCTTTGGGGATTAAGGGAGATGTTCCAGAGCAGCTCAAATGATCTCTGGTGCCTGACTTTTGAACATCCAGTTTATAAACAAATCCAAAGTGGTTTCTTTCCTGTCTTCATTTGGGACCTTCTGTAGACTCCAAATCCCATTTGCATGACCCAGGCCCATCGATAACCTCCTCCCATTCAGTCCATTCTCTTGTGGGACTAGAAGCCTAAGGGGCATCTCCAGGTCAAGGAAAGGGGGCCGGGGAACGTGTAGAGGGAGGGACAGCAGGAGGAGAGAAAGATGTGTCTAAAGATCTGGAGTCAGAGATCATCATGTGTTGTGGACATTGGAACAAATTTGGTGTGAAGGAAGCTGAGACTGAGACTGGAGGGGCTGTCTTAGCCCATTTGGGCTGCAATAGCAAAAATGCCATAAACTGGATGGTTAATAAGCAACAGAAATTTCCTTTTTTTTTTTTGAGACGGAGTATCGCTCTGTTGCCCAGGCTGGAGTGCAGTGGCACCATCTCAGCTCACTTCAAGCTCTGCCTCCCAGGCTCAAGCCATTCTCCTGCCTCAGCCTCCCGAGTAGCTGGGACTACAGGTGCCCATCACCACGCCCAGCTAATATTTTTGTATTTTTAGTAGAGACGGGGTTTCACTGTGTTAGCCAGGATGGTCTCGATCTCCTGACCTCGTGATCCACCCACCTCGGCCTCCCAAAGTACTGGGATTGCAGGCGTAAGCCACCATGCCCAGCCCAGAAATTTATTTCTTACAGTTCTAAAGGCTGGAAAGTCCAAGACCAAGACACCAGCAGATTCAGTGTCTGGTGAGAGCCCACTCTCTGATTCACAGAAGGCTTCTTACTGTGTTGAAAAGGCAAGTGAGCTTTCTTGGGCCTTTTTGATAAGGGCACTAATCCTATTTGTGAGGGTGGAGTCCTCATGACCTAATTATTTCCCAAAGGCCCTACCTCTTAATACCATCACGTTGGGGTTTAGGATGTCAGCATATGAAATTTTGGGATGTGGGGCGGGGGGGTGGGGGATCCCCAGACAGCAGTCTGGCAGAGGGTAGAATATGAAGGGACTTTTACACCACGTTCAGGGGGGGTGTCAACTTTATCCCCCAAAATGAGGAGCAGCTTAAGCAAGGGAATGATATAAAGTAGTCCTCCCTTATCTGTGGTTTCAGTTACCCATGGTTCAGTGAGGTCCAACAATATTCAGTGAAAAATTCCATAAATAAACAACTGATACGTTTTGAATTGCATGCCGTTCTTAGTAGTGTGATGAAATCTCGCGCCACCCAGCTCCATCCTGCCCGGGATGTGAATCATCCTTTTGTCCATCGTATTCCTGCTGTAGACATGACTCAACCCACCCATCACTTAGCAGCCGTCTGGGTTATCAGATTGACTGTCATAGCGGCACAGTGCTTGTGTTCAAGCAACCCTTATTTTACTTCCCGATGGCCCCAAAGTGCAAGAGTAGCGACGCTGGTGATTCCGACATGCCAGAAAGAGGCTGCAAAGTGCTTCCTGTAAGCGAAAAGCTGAAAGTTCTCAATGTAATAAGGAAAGAAAAAGAAATCATATGCTGAGGTTGCTAAGATCTATGGTAAGAATGAATCTTCTGTTTGTGAAATCGTGGACAGTGTATTGTGTTACTTGTTCTGTTTTGGTGTTAGTTGTTGTTGTTACTCTCTTACTGTGCCTAATTTATAAATTAAACTTTATCCTAGGTAGGTTTGTATGTATAGGAAAAAACATGGTGTACGTAGGGTTCAGGACATCCACTGGGGGGTCTTGGAATGTATCCTCTGTGGATAAGGGAAGACTATTGTACTATTTTATTTCTCATTTGAGAAGACCACTCTGGCTACAGAATGGAGACTGTGGTTCAGTAAAGAACGTGGCCATGCCCTGCACCATGATAATGCTGGCCTACATCCAGGCAGAGGCAAGGTGATGGGAAAAGTGGATGGATTGGAGCACACTCTCACCACCGTGACCCCTGGAGTTTTTTGTGTTGAGAGGGATTCCAGGAACCAGTGTGTGGCTGGAGGGTGGCCAGTGGGGGAATTTCCACCTGCCGTCTCTACCTTCCCCTTCTCCCTTTAACCCGGGTGGCTCTACTTTGATATGTTCTGTGTGTTAGGGTACCACGCAAGTTTCTGTTTGAGAAGGAAAAGCCTATTTCTAAAAATAAGTTTGGAAAAACTATTGGTCTGGGGGAATATTCAGGAGATAGACTAGAAAGGACTTGGTGATTGTGCATGAGCAAGGGAGGGGAGGTGGGAAGAATGATAGGGGAGGAAGGGGTGCCATTCATTGAGTGGGGAAATGCTACAAGAGGATCCAGAATGGTGGGGTCGGGAGGGTGATGTGGAGTCAGTTCCAGACTTTTGCCCTGCGGGACCTCCAGAGTACACTGCCTGCTGGGCAAGGGGACCAGAGTGGGGAGAGGCCGTGGGGGGTGCTGGGGCAGGAGGATCTTGCGTGCCAGGGGGATGTGTAGTGGTAAGCTCCCTCCAGGGCCTCCTGAAGAACTCACATTTGGCCCCCAGGAGGAGTGGCCCTTGGACTCTGGCTACCAGAGGCATCCCAGCCAACTGGGAAACTTCAACAGCTTCAGGTGGATGAGAGAATGTAGTCTCCTTTCCTCTACTACCTCTACCCTCTGTCCTGACCTTGACCACTCAGAGGCAGAGGTGAGCAGAGGAGGGTAAAAGCAGAACATGCCATCTCCTTCCCCTCCCACCTCCTTCCAGCCTAGGCCAGGCAAAGACCAGGGCAAGGAGATGAGCTCTCCGTTAGATTGGAAATAAACACTGAAATCTAGACCAGATGTTTTCATACTAACAGGTACTCAGGGAGTTTTGAGATTTTCCAAGATGCCATCGAGGAACTGAAAAGTGCTGCCCAGCTGCAGTGAGGGCTTTTTAAAGGCAGTTTCATGTCTACACCCCACTGAGTTCAGACTGTCCAATGAAGCACTGACATTGTTACACATGCGTGTTGTGGACAACTTGAGAAAACACTTGTCTGCAGGAAGATGAAATTAAAATCAAGTGTGATCCTACCACCGAAAGATAAGTGTTACTGATATTTTTTGTTAATAACATTCCAGTTTTTTATGTAGTTTTGGGGTAGCTTATTATTTTCATGTGATTTCAAACTTGGAGAAAGTTTCCAAGATGAGTCCAAGGAGCTCTCATATGTTCCTCACCCAGATCCACCAACTGGCCACATTTTGTTCCATTTGCTTTATTATTCCTTCTACCTCTCTCTCTCTAAAGTATTATTATATGTTAAATATATCTTAATATAATTATAGTTATGTTAAATATATCTTAATATAGTTACAAATAATTATGTTAAATATATCTTAATATAATTATGTTAAATGATGTTATGAATATTAAAAATTATAATTTAAATAATATTCTAATATAGGCAGACATTTAGTTTCTGAACCATTTGGGACCATGCTGAAAACATCATTTTCCTTTACACCATTTTCCTTCAGTGCCAGAGGGGAACAGAGCAGTGAGAGGTTGTGGGGGGATCCTGGGCCAGGAGCATCCCCATTTCCTGGAATAAGATAGTTCTCTTAAATAACTACAGTACCAACATAGAAATCAGGAAATTTAGCATTGACACTATTAACTAATGCACAGCCCATAAACAAATCATATCAATTGTTCCAATAATTTGTGTTTGTTTGTTTGTTTTGTTTTTTTAGACGGAGTTTCACTCTTGCTGCCCAGGCTGGAGTGCAATGACTCAATCTCAGCTCACTGCAACTTCCACCTCCCAGGTTCAAGCGATTCTCCTGCCTCAGCCTCCCGAGTAGCTGGGATTACAGGCATATGCCACCACACCTGGCTAATCTTGTATTTTTAGTAGAAACAGGGTTTCTCCATGTTGGTCAGGCTGGTCTCAACCTCCTGACCTCAGGTGATCCGCCCTCCTCGGCCTCCCAAAGTGCTGGGATTACAAGCGTAAGCCACCGCGCCAGGCCCCAATAATGTTCTTTATAGCAATTTTATTTCCTGGCTGAGCATCCAGGCCAGCATCCCCCATTGCATTGACTTTTCAGGTCTCTTTAGTCTCCCTTAATCTGGAATTGTTCCTCAGTCTTTATCTTCCATGACCTTAGCATTTTTAGAGAATATAGTCCAGTTATTTTACAAGATGCCCCTCAACTGGGGGTTGTCTGACATTTCCTCATTATTAGATCCAGGTGTTGCATTTCGGGAATACAAAATCCCCAGAAGTGATGTTGTTTTCTCAGCATGTCATAGCAGGATGCAGATGAAGCGGGCCTGCCCCACCATGGGTGGTGTTAATGTTCACCACTTGGTTAAGGACAGAATTTTTTTTTTTTTTTTTTTTTTTTTTTTAGACAGGGTCTCGTTCTGTCGCCCAAGCTGGAGTGAAGTGGTGCAATCATGGCTCACTGCAGCCTCAAACTCCTGGGCTCAAGCAATCCTCCTGCCTCAGCCTCTTGAGTAGCTGGGACCACAGGCATGTGCCACCACACCTGGCTAATTTTTTGTGTGTGTGTAAAGACGGGGTTTCCCTGTATTGCCCAGGCTGGTCTTGAACTCCTGGGCTCAAGTGATCCTCCCACCTAAGCCTCCCGAAGTGCTGGGATTACCAGCATAAGCCACTGTACTCGGCTGAAGGACAGATATTTTTTAAGAAAATTCAGATCACACTGAATATGCTGTTTTATTAACTCCTTTTTCACTTACACTATTATAAAAATTTGGCTGGTTCTAAATATTCTTCTAAAGCATCATTTTTTTCTTCTTTTTTGAGACAGAGTGTCTCCCAGGCTAGAGTGAAGATTTCAGCTCAATGCAGCCTGGACCTCCTGGGCTCAAGCGAACCTTCTGGCCTCAGGCCCCCTGAGTAGCTGGGACTACAGACGTATGCCACCATGCCCTGCTAATTTTTTGTATAGACAGGGTTTCACCATGTTACTCAGGCTGTAGAAACATTTTAATAGCTGCATAATTTCCATGATGCACACCGTGTTTACTAATTATAACTCCTATGGTTTTGTCAAATTTCAACATTTTGTCAAGTTTTGCTACCATTAACAATGTCGCACAGAACATTTTTATAGATAATTCTTTATGTCCATCAGAGATTATTTCCTAAGGGTAAATTCCTAGAACTGGAATTGGCAGTTAAAGGTTACGCTTTTTTTTTTTTTTTTTTTTTTTTTTTTTTTGAGATGAGTCTCGCCCTGTTGCCCAGGCTGGAGTGCAGTGGCACGATCTCAGCTTACTGCAGCCTCCACCTCATTGGTTCAAGCAATTCTTCTGCCTCAGCCTCCCGAGTAGCTGGGACTACAGGTGCCTGCCACCATGCCCAGTTAATTTTTGTATTTTTAGTAGAGATGGGGTTTCACCATATTGGCCAGGTTGGTCTCAAACTCCTGACTTCATGATCCGCCCACCTGGGCCTCCCAAAGTGCTGGGATTACAGGTGTGAGCCACAGCCCCTGGCCCTGGTTATGCATATTTTTAAGGCTAAAAAGTGCCACTAGTAGGGCCCTGCCTCAAAAGCATTTTTCAAATTTCCGCTCCCCATCTTAGTGTGTGCAAGGGCCCATTTTGCCATCTGCCTCCCTCCAACATAGGGTTTGGTCATTTTCCAAAATCTTTTGTTGCTTTAATTTGTGTTTCTTTAATTAGAAAATTTGACTTTTTTTCCATATATTTTGAGCCATTTATGTAACTCCTTTTCTTGAGTTTCCTATTTATATCCTTCGCTTATCTTTCTGTTGAGTTTTCCTCTTTTGTTAAAACATATGTAGATTTCATGGTTACTACTGTATGAAAACTTTGTAAATTCAGCCGTGAGTTCTTTGCTGACTGAAGAGTTCTGTGCTTTTTGTTTTATTTTGTTTTAATTTCCAAATAGCATTTCCTTTATTGGATTTGTAATTAATTTTTCAAGTTATGTCTTCTAGAAAAAGAGCAGGACCTGGAAGCAGGAGAGTTGAAAGGTCAAGAGCACATGCTTTGGGGTCAGGCAGACCTGCTTCTGAGTCCTGGCTCTGCTAGGGGACTTTGGTAGGGGCGGGGGGCCCACGTCACTGGGTGTCCGTTTTCTCATCTGTAAAGTAGGAGATAATAGTAGGGTCCTGGTGAAGACTAAATGAGACACTGTGTGTAAAGGGCCTGCTGCATGGCCCTTAGTCAGCGTTGCTTGCGACGACGGTTGTTTCGTTATTGTCACTCAGTCGCCTGAGGGGAACATTCAGAGAGACTTATCGGCAGGACGTGTACAAAGAGGACAGAAGAGCAGATGCAGCCTCCAAGAATGAGCTGCTGAGGACGAGAGGTGGGTTTCTCAGGGAAGCTTGAGGGTGGGTCAGGTCCGTGGCTTGTTGTGCGGTGTCTAACATTGGCATGCTGCAATGATCCTTCTAGACGGTTAGTCACAGGACTGACACTGCTCTCAACCCTGCTAGGCTTGAAGTTAGGGTGTCTGAGTGGATACACAGTTGTCATTTTGATGGGTTCACTTTCTATGCTGCACAGATGACATTTTCCTTTGGCGACATTCAACAGCTTCTTAAGGTTCCTAGACGTAGATCTGCAGCTGTGGACTTGGAGTTTTAACCTAAGTCAATGAGCACTTATGGGCCTCTAAGTGGGGAATGAACTTGGAAAACACTGAACCTAGTGTGCAGCACATAGTAGGTACTCATCTGCAAGCTACCTCCCTTTCTCCCTCCCTCTCTCCCTCCTCACCCTCTTCCTCAGGGATGCAGCCAATGACCTGAAAGAGCGTGAGCCAACGTCTGTCCAAGCTCTGGTCCTGCTTCGTGCCTGCCCTGTGATACTGGGCAAGTTGCTCATCCCTGGACTTCTTTCTCCTCCATAAAACACGGCTTTGGGAGCAACTTGCTCTCCAAGGGCCATTCCAACTCTAACATTATAATTTTATCATATGGGATTTGGCATAATTGGTTATCTCTGAACACTTACACTTTTTTTTTTTTTTTGAGATGGATTCTTGCTCTGTTGCCCAGGCTGGAGTGCAGTGGTGCAATCTCAGCTCACTGCAAGCCCCACCTCCCGGGTTCACGCCATTCTCCTGCCTCAGCTTCCCGAGTAGCTGGGACTACAGGCGCCCTCCACCAGGCCCAGCTAATTTTTTTTTGTATTTTTAGTAGAGACAGGGTTTCACCATGTTAGCCAGGATGGTCTTGATCTCCTGACCTCGTGATCCGCCCACCTCGGCCTCCCAAAGTGCTGGAACACTTATACTTTTAAGGTATTTGTACACATACACGAAGCAAAACAAGAGGCAGGAGGTGCAAACAGCCCCACGAACAAATGGTCCAGGGTGTTTAGGAGAAACCCCGCACCTTGAACCTCTCTTCTCACCCAACCTGCTTTCCAGACCTTCCTTCCCTCCTGGCTAAATGCCCTGTAGAAGCACTAATGTGTCTATGTGCCTCTGGAAGCCAGGCTTTCCCTGGAAGCACAGCTGTAGTAGCTGACTACTCATAAGACCCTAACTATGCTGATGTTGATGGAAAGGGCTGAATTCTTTGAAGCCTCATGGTGGAAATTTAAAGAAAATAATGTGAGAGCGTCACAGACAACTGCACATTCACCACCACAAATGGTGCCATCCCAGAGACAAATATGTAATAGTTCAGAACTTGGGAAAATGGCCCAGGATCGAGCCATGCTAAGAATGGGAGCAATTTGGCTGATACATGGCTGCCCTGTGCTCCAGCAGGGGAAAAAAAAGGTTCTAATTACCCAGCCGCAATCCTGTATTTAGATGTAAAAGGGAGGAAATAGCTGAGCTCTGTTCTAGTCACAGATATGCCAAACGGGTCAAGAGAAAAGCCTTCTGCCCAGACCACTGCTGAGCCCACGGCTGGCCTGGGCCCAGGCTACTCAGCCGATGAGCTTCAGATGGACCTCCAGAAGGCCACAGCGGCCCCACTTTATCCTCTGCCTATTTTGCCAGGACATCAGCCTCAGACAATTTCCTCCTCAAAGTTTCTTCACTCTCTTTGGTGTTCTGTTTCATGCAAATCTGTTGGGGATGGGAGGAATTAAGGACAGCGAGATCAAATGACAACCCCTGCCTCCTCAGTGATTAAAAAAAATCAGAGCTCACCCATATGGCAGCGGCATTTCTGACCTGGTCCAGCATTCCTCCCTCACCCTGTGCTTTCTGAAACTCTCATGCATCTTCCGAATGTCACCTGCTGCCATGAGGTCAGCATGGACGAGGGTCAGCGTGGATCTCCAGTTCTACTAGGCTGCCAAAGTAGCAGAGACAAGCTTCAATCCGAAGATATTTACGACCTGACAAATACCCCATCTCAAGAACTTACAGAAACCTCAGCATGGACAGCCTGGAGTGAAAGGATGCTTACTTCCTAGGAAGGGCATTTCTGCTTGGGAAATGCTCAGCTGTGCCTCAGTTTCCCTTAGTCTTCCTCTGAGCTGCAGGTAATTGAGACTGAGAGGCTTTCCACACTTCCCAGAAGGGGCAGACTTGATGGTGCTTCCTATCTCCACGCAAGAGCAACTATTGTGGATCCTCACCTCCGACAGTGCTGATGGAAACACCCACAACTGCTCGCAGCGGGTCTGGGCTTTCCTAGTCAATCATTTTACTTTCAGGGCGTAGAGGTAGGAGAATGAAACAGATTGCACAGCACTGGTGAAAAGAAAAGGAGAAATTCAGGGAGGAGGAATGAGGGATCCTCTTTCTTGTGTGTGGGTGTTAGCTTGCCTCCCAACCACACTGACACTTGCTGTGCCATTGATTTGACTTTTCTCCTATCTTAACAATAACAAATCATTAAAAAATCAGTTTATCAAAATATAAAATGGAAATACATGTGCTTGTGGTATTTTCCCCTTCCCACAGCCTAGCAAAGCAAATCCCATCTCTGGTCACTGTCCCCCTGCCCTTCCTTCGTTGGGAGCTCCTGGGTCTGCCATCTTGGTTCCTGAGCTTCTTCTCTTCTGACAAAACATGATTCTGCTCGGGTTCATGTTATTCTCCTGCCTCAGCCTCCCGAGTAGCTGGGACTACAGGCGCCCGCCACCAGGCCTGGCTAATTTTTTGTATTTTTAGTAGAGACGGGATTTCACCGTGTTAGCCAGGATGGTCTCGATCTCCTGACCTCGTGATCTGCCCGCCTGGGCCTCCCAAAGTGCTGAGATTACAGGCATGAGCCACCAGGCCCGGCAAAGCTGATTTATTAAATACTTAATTGCATTTAGAAAGGAGCAGGAAAATTGTTTATAGGGGAAAAAGAAGAGATTGAGAGTGGGAGTGGGAAGAGAAGGGAGGGAGTGACAGGCCAACCGGAGTTGGGTTCAGAGAGAGTTTCTCTTTTGTGCTGAGGTGAGAAATTGAGAACGAAAGAGAGGCACTGTTTTTTTTTTTAGACGGAGTCTCGCTCTGTCACCCAGGCTGGAGGAAAGAGAGGCACTTTAAGGTGGCTTTGGGATGTGAGAGTCGTGAAGAGCCACCGTAGTAGGAAAACAGGATGTATGGGTTGTGAACCTCTCCTTCAACAGTCTGTGAGGGTTCTCAGTAAAGATGTGGAAAGAAAACTCAACCTCTGACCAATAACGCTCATCAAAAGCCACCTCCAGAAAAATCTTTAAAATGATTTCCTGGCAACCTCCCATGTCTCTGAATTCCCAGTAGGTTAAGTCCCATCTCAGTCCCTAGAGTATAATAATCTCTTCAAAAGTGACCCACGGCCTTGTGGCATTGGGCTGGGGCTGGGTTGAGCAAGGAGGCCTGCTGCCTGCATGCTCCACCAGTTCCTCATGGCCTGGGTAACACATCCAGGAGAGCTGAGCCTCCAGAAAGTGTGTCCTCAGTGAGCTTTGGAACCACTGTTAGGCAGATCAGGAATAAGAGCAACAACAGTAATAATAAAGGGCGCTTATGATGTGCTAGGCATTGGGCTAAAGGCTTTACTCTCAGATCTCAGTCCTTACAAAAGCCTGGAGGCAGGGATATTATCTCCTCTTACAATGAGGAAATTAGGGCTCAGAGATGTTGAGTGGCTTGTCCAAGTTCACCCAGCTTGTAGATGGTGACATCAGGATTCAGACATTGAACTCTCTGACTCTAGTTTCCAATTCCTTATTCATTTTGACACAGGAGCACACCCATCCCATATCTGTTTCTTGGTGTGACAGAGGAGGAGGCCCAGGCACACGCAGATTAAATCACAGTCCCACGGTTACACAATCAATGATTGGTGGAGATTGGACTAGAACCCCTGCTTCTTGGCAGTTGCAGGAATAGCCTGCGGTCTGAGGGCCCTGAGCACCCGAAGAGAGTGGCCTCCTTTGTAATCCCAGCACTTGGGGAGGCCAAGGAGGGCAGATCACGAGGTCAAGAGATTGAGACCATCCTGGCCAACATGGTGAAACCCTGTCTCTACTAAAAATACAAGAATTAGCTGGGCGCAGTGGCATGCCCCTGTAGTCCCAGCTACTTGGGAGGCTGAGGCAGGAGAATTGTTTGAACCCGGGAGGTGGAGGTTGCAGTGAGCCGAGCTCACACCACTGCCCTCCAGCCTGGTGACAGAGGGAGACTCTGTCTCAAAAAAAAAAAAAAAAAAAAAAGTGACCTCCCTGAGGGGAGAGGAGGCAGGGACCATTCTCCAAAAGGGGCATCTGTTCTATGACTGCTCTTTATGACCAAGTGGAGATTGTTAGGAGAGCACAGAAAAGAGGCTAGAGGAAGTGAGGAACTCAGAGACAGTAGAGAAAGCAGGCAGAGGATGGAAGCTGTCCTAAGTGATCAGATCCCAACCCAGCCACGCCTGGCCCCTGACTGTTTCAGGACCTGCTGTGAGAGCTCCTGAAGCTGCTGTCCTCAGGAAGTGTCACCTGAACAAATTGGCCACCAGGGAACATTACTGAAAGAGCTTGCCCAAACAGATCAATACTTAATTTCTAATGAGCAATTTTCAATTAGATCCTTGATTTGACTGATGTCTGATCATTCGCCTGTAACCACTGCAGGTCTTTTGCTCCCCTCGGTGGCCAAAATGCAGCAGATGATACAGCCATGATAACCTGAGTGTTCTATCCCATAGTCTCAGCCAAATCGAAAGGCTTAGGGCAGTGGTTCTAAACGCGGGTGAGTTTGCCCTCAAGGGGATGTTGCACAGTGTCTGGGGATATTTTTGTTTGGCACAGCCAAGGGGTGTTACTGGCACACAGCGAGTAGAGTTCAGGGATGCCACCAAACATCCTACAATGCACAGGACAGCCCCACAACAAAGAATTATCACCCCGAAATGTCCACAGTGCTGAGGTTGAGAGGCACCGCCTTAGGGCCTCCTCTGTTTGTCGATCACAGTTACCTCGGTGATCGTCTCCCTGATCGTCTCCAACCAAACGCACTCTTAGAAGCATCCCCGCTCAGGCCACACCCACACTCACATGCTCACATGCACACACACCCCTTCACAGCATTCATCACCTACAATAATGCAGACCGAACCCTGCAACTGTTTTTGTTTTGCTTTGTTTGTTTTTGAGACGGAGTCTCGCTCTGTCTGTCGCCCAGGCTGGAGTGCAGTGGCGTGATCTCGGCTCCCTGCAAGCTCCGCCTTTCCGATTGACGCCATTCTCCTGCCTCAGCCTCCCGAGTAGCTGGGACTACAGGTGCCCACCACCACGCCCAAGCTAATTATTAGCCCAGGCTAAAAAAATTAACCAGGCTAATTTTTTTGTATTTTTAGTAAAGACGGGGTTTCACCGTGTTAGCTAGGATGGTCTGTATCTCCTGACCTCGTGATCCACTCAGCTTGGCCTCCCGAAGTGCTGGGATTACAGGCATGAGCCACGGTGTCCAGCCAAACCCTGCAGCTGTTTAAGGCCCTACAACCCCTGGGCCCACATGCTTTCCAACATTTTCCCCCATTTCACTCCACTCTCTGAACTGCTGTCCCTACCCTGGTGACTCTCAAACTGGAGCATGCAAGAGAACCACCAGGAGGATTTGCGAAAAAGGCAGGTTGCTGGGCTCCATCCCCAGAGTTTTTTGATTCAGCCCAATTTGCATTTCTTCAGACGATGCTGAGGCCACTGGTCTGGGGACCAGACTTTCAGAATGGCCATCCCACAATAACTTGCCCTCTTCACCTCTGATCTTGGCCCCCAGCTGCTGCTCCTGCCTAGAGTACCTTTGTGCTCACATCTGAGTTCCATCTTTGGGGTCTGATTCTAGTGCCACCTCCTCCACTAGGTTGTCTCTGATGCCCAAGTGGAAGAAATATCTCAGCCGCTGCCCTCTCTCAGCACTGCTCACCCCTCTGTAGCCATTCTTTTCTTCTTTCATTGACAATGTATTATTATTATTATTATTATTATTATTATTATTATTATTTTGAGACAGAGTCTCACTCTGTTTCCCAGGCTGGAGTGCAATGGTGCAAGCTCGTCTCACTGCAACCTCTGCCTCCCAGGCTCAAGCCATTCTCTCACCTCAGCCTCCCAAGGAGTTGGGATTACGGGCACGTGCCACCGTGGTGGCTAATTTTTGTATTTTTAGTAGAGACAGGGTTTTACCATGTTGGCCAGGCTGATCTTGAACTCCTGACCTCAAGTGATCTGCCCTCCTTGGCCTCCCAAAGTGCTGGGATTACAGGCATGAGCCACAGCCCTCAGCCTCACTGACAATTATTTTAAATCATGCTTTACCAATCAGGCACACACACGAGGAGGATCTGGAGAGGGTTTAATGACAGGGACTATTTACAAAGGTGTGGGCAGAATTAAGGGACATTAACCAGGATGACGAAGCACCCCAGAGCTGTTAGAAGTCAAAGCTACCCTGAGGACTAGGGACAAGAAGGAGCAGGCACTAGAACCAGGAGAGGGTCACCTGACTGGAGCTGTGGCCTTGGGAAAAGAAACACAGAGGTTGCCAGGTGACAGCCTTGCAGGTAGGGAGCTGGGGGAATAACCACCCTGGCCTCGCTCTCCTCCTGCCCTCTGATGTACTGTGGGTGCCTCCCACTGGCTGAGCCCAAGAAAACAGAGGGTAGAGAAACCTCATGATGCTGCCCACACAGGCCAGCCTCCTGGGGCTCAGAGCAGGTAGAGAAGGGCACAGAGAGATCTTGTGGGGCAAACAAGGTGTCCCCAGCGCCCCACCTTCCTCCCGACTACCCAATCCTAGAGCACAGAACCTATGTCAGAATTGCCCCCGAATCCATGACAAGCCCAGGACCTTGTATCATATAACAGATTATTAATAAATATTTGAGGAATGAATCATTTATCATTAGCTGGTGTGCATGTCTGCTGATGAATTTTCAGACATTTTGTGGAATTCGGTCACTCAGAATATTCTAAGAATGTTCCCAGCACTACAGGAAAACCTGCCAGCCAAGGCCCCATGACATGGCTGGGAAAACCAGCTTGTCATATTTCCCAACTCCAAACACCAATTTCTCACTTATCTATCACTTTGTCGTTCAAAACAAACAATAGAAAGTAAGGAACAGTGATTTTCTCAGCTTTCAAGCAATCAAAGAAAACACCAAGGAAAGGAATCAACAACAGGAGTATCAATTTTTTATAAGTGAAATATAACCAAACTGAAATGAAAGGGGGAACAGTGAAACTGAAGTACTGGGAAGTTAAGCAAATTGCGCAGGTTCTTCTATCCAGAATTTAAATCCAGATCTGCTTAGTCAAATCCAATTCTCACTAGAAAATAGATAGTTAGGCCGGGCGCGGTGGCTCACGCCTGTAATCCCAGCACTTTGGGAGGCCGAGGCGGGCGGATCACGAGGTCAGGAGATCGAGACCATCCTGGCTAACACGGTGAAACCCCGTCTCTACTAAAAATACAAAAAATTAGCCGGGCGTGGTAGCGGGCGCCTGTAGTCCCAGCTACTCGGGAGGCTGAGGCAGGAGAATGGCGTGAACCCGTGAGGCGGAGCTTGCAGTGAGCCGAGATCGCGCCACTGCATTCCAGCCTGGGCGACAGAGCGAGACTCCGTCTCAAAAAAAAAAAAAAAAATAGTTAAGAGTCAAAACACGAATCACCGTAAAAACTCAGATTCAATGACTGTACAAGTGCCATTTTAACCTACAAAATGAGCAAAGCACTTTTTAATAAGTATTATGAGGAACTTCCACTGCTGAGGAGGCACTGGTGAAAGGTGTACTCCCATAGCTGGCGCCATGAAGGATGCTTTCATATACATGACTCAGAAGCACCTAGGAGTGGCTTCCTCCAAAGGATTGGAGTGAGGGTGGGGTACAGCATCCATCAGCTGACTGGGTTTATCAGAGACGGGATACAGTTCTGTTGAAGACTTGGGACTGTGTGCCTCAGGGTCTAGAGCCCAGACAGAGGGCACTGCTGCATTCAGAGCTGTTTCCTTTCCCAGAAGTCTCGCTTCATCTGCTCCCAAGCCAGGCTTTCACTGACCTGGCCATGGCTGGTCCCAGGAGTGACAGACATTGAGCAGGTGGAGTGAGGTAGCAGGGGTGGAGGAGCCACCTTGAGAGCATTACACCCCACCACAGGCTGGAGAAGTTCCCTGCCAGGAATGCCAGGCACTGCAAGGGGTCTCTAACCTTCCCCATCTGGACTTCTGGAAGCAACACAGGGGCTGAGTACATTCACTCCCTCTCTGTTATCTCCCTGCTTGATGCTGCCTCTTTTTCTTTCTTTCTTTTCTTTCTTTCTTTCTTTCTTTCTTTCTTTCTTTCTTTCTTTCTTTCTTTCTTTCTTTCTTTTCTTTCTTTTCTTTCTTTTCTTTCTTTCTTTCTTTTCTTTCTTTTTTCTTCTTTCTTTCTTTTCTTTCTTTCTTTCTTTTTCTTTCTTTCTCTTTCTTTCCTTCCTTCCTTCCTTCCTTCCTTCCTTCCTTCCTTCCTTTCCTTCCTTTCCTCCCTCCCTCCCTCCCTCCCTCCCTTCCTCCCTTCCTTCCTTCGTTCCTTCCTTCCTTCCTTTCCTTCTTGCTTTCTTGCTTTTTTGAGATGGAGTCTTGCTCGGTCACCCAGGCTGGAGTGCAGTGGCGCGATCTCAGTTCACTGCAACTTCCCCCTCCCAGGTTCAAGCAATTCTCGTGCCTCAGCCTCCCCAGCAGCTGAGACCATAGGCACGCACCATCACACCCAGCTAATTTTTGTATTTTTTAGTAGAGAAGGGGTTTCACCATGTTGGCCAGGCTGGTCTCGAACTCCTGACCTCAAATGATCTGCCCGCCTCAGCCTCCCAAAGTGCTGGAATTACAGGCGTGAGCTACCATGCCAGGCCTGTGTCACCCCTTTATTCAGCAGACTACAGTCCTGTGTTTCAATCCCACCTCTGCCACTTTCACTCTATTTGGTCTCAGGCAGGTCACTTAAACTCTCATCTCCCTCCTCTGCAAACATGAGTACCTGCCTCACAGTTCTTTTTTTTTTTTTTTTTTTTTTGAGGTGGAGTCTCGCTATGTCGCCCAGGCTGGAGTGCATGGTACGATCTCAGCTAACTACAACATCCATCTCCCGGGTTTAAGTGATTCTCCTCCCTCAGCCTCCCGAGTAGCTGGGACTACAGGCATGTGCCACCATGCCCGGCTAATTTTTGTATTTTTAGGAGAGACGGGGTTTCACCATGTTGGCCAGGCTGGTCTCAAACTCCTGACCTCAGGTGATCCACCCGCCTTGGCCTCCCAAAGTGCTGGGATTACAGGTGTGAGCCACCGCACCTGGCCCTGCCTCACAGTTCTATCATGAAACAACATACATGAAGTGTATAGCAAGGGCCTAACACATTACAGGGACTTCATAAGTATGAGTTTCCTCTCCCACCCCGTCCTTATTTTTATCCTGTCAACAAATTAGGGCGAAAGCACCTCTGTAGGTCTTCATTTTACGTGATAAGGCCCACCTTTTTGGGTCTTTAACTTCCCTCACATTTTTCTGATAGGGCCAAGTGGCTGTTGCTGGCAGCTGCTTCCAGCTCATGAAGTCAGCCAGGGGCCAGGCAGGGCAGTACGGCAGGGCTCCACCAGAGGGGAGCAGAGAGCTGGGGCTGGGGCTGGGGCTGCGCAGGTGAACCTCAGCGGCAGAAAGGAGGCAGATGTGGCACATGGGCTGGGGGAGATCTCCGGGCTCTATCATTAGAGGCTGAAGGTTTGGGGGTGTGGACTGGTGTCACTCAACTGAGGACCCCAGAGGCAAAGTCTTACATGAGGGTGAGTCTTGAGTTAAACAGGAAGTATTCCAGAGAGTCTAGGAGAAACCTTCTTTAGACAAGGGAATGATCACAATAGCTGCTATTGATTGAACGCTTTGCTCTAGTAAGGATACGATCTTGGGGGATCTTAAGTCAGTATATTTTTATCCAGGGTGATGGCTAGTGCCAAGCCGAGTAGGCCCCAGCCCTAAAGTTCTTCTAGAATGTAGAGAAGACACCCTAGCAGTCAAGGGGATTGCAGCCTAGGGAAGGGAAGGGAAGGGCATTGAGTAAGAGGAGATTCTCCCAGACGGGAAGGAGAAGTAGAAATCCTGCTATTTCCCTTTGATGGACCATGGAAGGGAGAGGGACAGAGGAGGAGAAGCAATGGCTGAGACACAGGCATCGTGGCTTCCTCAGCCAAAGTCCCAGGATGTGGTGGGGTGGGGTGAGGATGTCTTTTTTTTTTTTTTTAAAGACGGAGTCTCGCTCTGTCGCCCAGGCTGGAGTGCAGTGGTGCAATCTCCGATCATTGCAAGCTCCGCCTCCTGGGCTCACGCCATTCTCCTGCCTCAGCCTCCCCAGTAGCTGGGTCTACAGGTGCCCGCCACCAAGCCCGGCTAATTTTTTCGTCTTTTTAATAGAGACAGGGTTTCACCATGTTAGCCAGGATGGTCTCGATCTCCTGACCTCGTGATCCGCCCGCCTCGGCCTCCCAAAGGGTTACGATTACAGGCGTGAGCCACCGCGCCCGGCCTAGGATGTCTTGAGGTGACGCCACCAGTGGAGGGGCTTGTGCATGTCATCTGGGCTGGGACTCTGGGTACAGACCCCCTTGTATGGAGCTGCCATGTTTACACGGAGCAGCCAGAATCAAATGGAGACCCGACCCAGTGGGGTGGAGAGGTCTGGGTTAGAGCTCCACAGCTTTCCCTTGGCATGGAAAGGGCCAGAAGAGCCAGTGGAAGGGACCTGCCATGCTAAGGGGCGAGGTGACCCCATGATGAAGGCCACAGAGTGTTTAACTTAGTAAGGGTCAGGTGGAGGGTGCATCTGAAGCTCAGAAGGCCGAGCAGAGCAGTGAGGAGCTGGGATGGGGCAAGTCGGCAAGGGAAGAAGACAAATTTCAGGTTCATCTCCATACTCCGGGAGAGAAAAGCCAGAAGTAGCCCATGGACCAGGCGTCTCTGCCTCTACCTCCTGCACCTTCTCCAGTTCCAGCCACTCCCGTTCCCCCTTCACTGCAGCCACACCAGACTCCAGCCCTCAGTGCTGCCTTGCTGCCTTTGGCCACAGGCCTCCGCACCTCCCTTCTCTCCTCCTGTCACACTCAGCTTCCTAGATCTTCTTGGCTTGGTCATTTTCCTCTCTCTCATACTCTCTTTTATAATGCTACTCATTTTCTTTGGTTGTAACTTCTGCATTTATCTTTGCAGTTCTTTAACACCTGCTTCCTTGATAAGATTTTAAGCTCCACAGGGGCAGGGGCTGTGCCTGTTTTCTCTTATCATTGTGTGCCCAGCCCCCAGCACAGACACTGGCAAGCTGTAGATCCTCAATCAGTATTTGTTGAATGACTGGATAAATAAGTAGCGGAATAAATGAATGGATGAATGATCTGTGACAGTTTCTTTGCAGGGCAACGAATTCTCCATTCATTTTCAGATATGCGTCTAGCACCGAAGGTTGGGGAGGCCGGAACAGTAATGGTGCAGGCTCCAGCCCTCACAGAAGAGAGCTGGTCTTTCCCCATGTCATGCTTGTTCTGCCTTTACCTCAAAGTTAGGGCAGCATTTACTTTTTCAGATAAAGAAACAGGATTTCCAGGGTCTTTGAGTTTTGTTTTTACTTTTCATTATGAACATTTTCAGCATACAGGAAAAGTAAGGAGAACCGTATAATATCCTTTGGAGAGGATGTATTTTAAAATAAATTATCGGCTTGGTGAGGTGGCTTCCGCCTGTAATCCCAGCACTTTTGAGGCTGAGGTGGGTAGATTACTTGAGGTCAGAAGTTCGAGACCAGCTTGGCCAACATGGTGAAGTCCCATCTCTACAAAATTACAAAAAAATTAGCCGGGCTTGGTGGTGCACGCCTGTAATCCCAGCTACTTGGGAGGCTGAGACAGGAGAATTGCTTGCACCTGGGAGGCAGAGGCTGCAGTGAGCCAAGATCACGCCACCGCACTCCAGCCTGGGCAACAGAGCAGGACTCCAACTCAAAATAAATAAATAAATAAATAAAGTAAATTATCATTATCATGACAATTTACCCCCAAATACTTCAATTTGTACCTCTAAAAAATAAGCATACTTCCCTACTCCACTAAAATACTGTTATCACTCCTAACAAAATTAACTGCAATTTTCTTTTTTTTTCTTTTTTTTCTTTTTTTTTTGTGACAGAGTCTCACTCTGTCACCCAGGCTGAAGTGCAGTGGTGCGATCTCGTCTCACTGCAACCTCTGCCTCCTGGGTTCAAGCAATTCTCCTGTCTCAGCCTCCTGAGAAGCCAGGACTACAGGCACGTGCCACCACGTCCAGCTAATTTTTTTTATTTTTAGTAGAGACGGGGTTTCTACTAAACCGTTGTTCCAGGCTGGTCTGGAACTTCTGACCTCAGGTGACCCGCCTGCCTCAGCCTCCCAAAGTGCTGGGGTTACAGGCGTGAGCCACCGCGCCCAGTCAATTTTCTTAATATTATCTATCTTGGCTTGTTTGTGCTGCTATAACAAAATACCTGAGACTAGGTAATTTATGAAGAACAAACATTTATTTTCTCATAGCTCTGGAGGCTGGGAAGTCCAAGATCAAGGTGCCAGCAGGTTTGTGTCTGGTGAGGGCTGCTGTCTGCTTCCAAGTCCTCTGGAGTGGTGGAACGCTGCATCCTAACACAGCAGAAGGCTGAAGGGCAAAAGGGATAAACTCTCTCCATCAGACTCCTTTATAGGGGCACCTACTCCCATTCATGACTCAACCATCTCCTAAAGGCCACATCTCTTACTACTGTTGCATTGGGGATTATGTTTCAACATCAATTTTAGGGGAGACAAAAACATTCAAACCATAGTATCATCTAATACTCAGGCCCTATTCACATTTCCCCAGTGGTGTCTAAAATGTCTTCTCCAGTTGGTTTCCTGGATGCAGGATCCAATCAACATTCTCACCCAGAGCAGCGCATTTTAAAAACCATCTCAAATGTCTTAATTCAGACCATATGTTTCCCAATGTAGAACACAGAGAGAACCAGACGTCTCCCATTTACATTTCAGCAGCCTCAGTCCTTTTTCAAAACTGCCTTGTGCGGTGCGGTGAGCAGGTCCAGGAATGAACGGCCACAAAGCCTAGATATGCAGTGACGCACGGCTCTGCAGACCCTCCAGGCGCCCAAGGCAGCCACACAGAGCAGGCGACATGCAGCCACACTGCAGAGGAGCAGAGAGATGAGCCACAAAGAAAGTATTTTCTCCTTCTACATTTCCGTCCGGGAGACCTCACCACTATTCTAGATGGCGCTGCCCTCAAGCAGGGCCCAAGAGGCAACAGTGTGAGTCCAACCCTTGGAAAGCCATCCACTTGAGGGATAAAGTCCCTTCTCCATCCAGCTTTTAGTCTTCAGGCAGCTCTGCAGGCTCAGCCCTGCCCGGCCTTCTTGCTGGAGGCCTGGGGCCAGGCAGAGAGGGCTGCAGACACAGGCAGGTGCCACCATAATGTTCTGGTGTCGGGGTTGGAGCTGTTCATGACTAGCTGTGCCAGGAAAGTTTTTTGTTTTTTAACTTGATGGAAATGTTGTGGTTTTCACATTGTCTTGGGACAAACAGGAGCTTGGTTTACAGTCCCGAAGTATGTATCTGCTGAATTGTCCTTTAGTTGATTCTCTCGGGTTTCCAAGTTATGCCTTTTCCCCTTGGGCAGCCGAGGGAGCACAGCTTCTCCACTCAGCCCCTCTTTGGTTTGCTTGCCTCCACTGTCAGGAAATTCCACCTTAAGTACCCTAACCCTCTCCCTGTGATGATGGGGTTTGGACAGACTGATGGGCATAGGACTCTTCCCAGTCGCTCCCTGTGCTCCAGAAAAGCTGAAGGCAGACTGGAAACATATTAAATACCTGCAGGAGCCCCACTCACCAGGTGAGCACAGAGGCGGCCATTCACAAGGCCACGATTCCACTTCTGCCTTGGGCCGTGGTTACCATTAGGCACAGCCCCCCAGCACCTCCATGCCCTTCAGGACAGAGCACCAGGAAGCCTGTGGGAATCAAACAGGATGGGAAAGCCTCTCTGCCCCCTCCTCCCACCCCATTTAGATCCAGATACTTCCTCGTCACAGGGGGCCTGTCCTGTGCATTGCAGGATGTTTAGTAGCTCCTCAGACTGTACCCACTGGATGCCAGTGTATTTCCAGACATTGCCAAATGTCCCTGGGGGACAAAATCATCACCAGCTGAGTGCTCCTGTTCTGAGTCTTAAACAAAGGACCCATTTGTAAAGCCAGGAAAGTTCCAGGACCACTCACACCAGCTGAGTGGAGCAGTGTGGGGAGAACCTCAAGCCAGGCATTCTCAGTGTCTTGTTCTGAGGAAGGGAAATGCAGAGCAGCTGCCAGGCCAGGTCTGTCTTTAGCCCTCTGCTTCCCTCTATTCACATAGGGGAAGCTGTACCAGAGCCCTGGCTTATGATCTGAAGGAAACAATACTGTCACTGAGATAGGATTGATGGGGCATTTTCCTCCTGGAAGTGCTGATCCATGAATCATTTCCAAGCAAACCACCCATGGCATCCCCATTCCCTCTACTCTCTCCTCCTCCCTTCTTTCTTATATCCTACCACCCCCAGCTGACATCTAGCCTAGGCCTCTAACTCTGTCCACCCCTGGGCTTGACCCCACACTGGACAGCTTCTCTGGCCACAGCTAGAATAGCCATGAGTTGCACCTGCGGGCCCTCCCACCACACTTACTGCTCTGTCACCTCCTTCTCATTTCCCCAGAGGGGCTGCAGTGGGGTGAGAGCCCTGCATTAGAAAGCCAAAGGGCCTGGGTCTGAATCTGAACTTTACCAATCACCGGGCAGGAAATTCAAGTCATGCATGTAAACCCCTTAGCACAGTGCCCGGCACACAGAGCAGTTCTTACGTGTCAGAATGGGTTTCTCTCCCTCCTCCTTCCCTCTTCATCTATCTGGGATAGTGAGGCAGCCCCTTCCTTAAGGGGCACAGGAAGTACCCGCAGGATTGTGAACCTGGTTATGTCTGCAAATGCCACCCCAAGGCCACTTTCCTCCTCTCCCCAACCATTGCAGGATCCACAGCAGGCTGCATTAGGGGTTCCAGATGCAGCCAAGGACGGAGAGCCTACTCAGGAGGAGGAAGGAGTGAGAATAAAAGGACGTGGGTCTGAGGGGACCAGGGAAAAGACACAGAAGTCAAGAGAAGCGGTTCTTCTGATCAACCCGCTGGAGGAGAAGGGAGATGGTGCTGGTGGCCTTGAGAATCAAGGGCTGAGAACCCAGGCTTGGTAAGTGTGAGCACCTGAGGAGGAGAAGCCCCTGGAATAGGGGGAGGGGCCACAACACTCCAAGCCTCCCCCATGGACTCCATATCAGGGGTTAGACTGGATGACTCAAAATGGACCATTTTATACACTCTTCCCATCTTCTGTGGGTACAAGAATGGCCTTGGAGGAAGCCCTGTTGGGGCTTAGACCATATTCCCTATCCCTTCCAGCATGATGCTGGTGGGTAATACCCTGGGTATCAGAAATGGGGAGCAGTTGATTATTATTCTCACTGAGGTGAAAGTGCAGGATCTCCCAGAGGAGGTCAACATTCTCCAAAGATTAGCCCTCCTTTTGTGCCTTCTTCTTGCCTCTCCCAGTCCCTCCTGCCACCAAACCTGCTTTCCACCTCACTGAGAACATCCCGCCTTCTTGGTTCTCTGGCTTCTCCGGCCCCTCATGGCCTTATGCCTTCCTCGCTACCTGGGCCTCAACAAGCAGCCTAGACTCACTTGCCACCTCCCGCCCCACACCCTGGCTTCTATGACCACCCTGTCATCTCTGGCCTCACCCTCAGCTCCACCTGCCAAGTGCAACTTATTTAACCTCTCTGTATCTAGTTTCCTCAAATGTAAGGTGAGCACCCACGTCAGACAATTGTCAAGAGGCATTAGAATGATTGGCATATAGTAAATTATTAATTATTTTGGAGTATTGTTAAATGCTTGGTAGAGTGCCTAACGCCTAAGGGCTCAATGCATGGCAGCTGCTATTATTGTGTGAGTTCTCTCATTTGCCAAGAGCTAGAGCAGCCAGGTCTTTTGGAGCCAGCCTTCTGTGTGGACACGCAACCCATGGGGAAGACTCTCCTAAGATGACCCGAGAGAATTACAGACTTCTTGTGTTACAGCAAGTAATGCGTTTTCTGGTGTCTTCAACCCCTTCACCTGGCTGCCTCGACCATGGGTGCAGCCAAAATCTTAGAGAACCAAATTAAAAACAGAGTGAATTAAAGGAGGAATAATTACTTTCTACCCCAATTTTAAAAGTTCAACTTTATAGATAAAGATAAGGAGAGAAAAACCAATAGTCAAATAATCAATAATGCTTGCCCCTCTGTGTCTGTGTGTTTTCCAGGTGAGAACAATAATTTGTAATTATAGAAAGATTTGATCAAACATTTTCCTATTTGGTGAAAGATGGCAGCCCCAACATCATAACCTATGGGGAGGCAAAGTCTGAGGCCAAGCTGCATATGGCTGAGGCCTCACCTGGACCACTCTGGATTCCAGCATCCATGCCACCTGCCATGGTTCATGACATCCATTCCTTGGAACATTGGGGAGTAGATTCCAATTGACCAGTGTTAGGATCGGGCAACTGAGAGGCTCACAAGGGCCCTCTTTGATACGAGAACAGAAATGATGAGACATCCCAGGTCTCTCTGATGCTAGCTGTGTGAGCAAGTTTATAAACCAATCTGTGCTTTGGTTTTCCCAGCTATCAGAAGAGGTTATCTGGGAGTTACGGTGACATTTAACAGAGGCAAGCCATGTAAAAAATAAAGTGCCTAGAATGGTATAAGGGCACAGGGTAGGAGCTCAAAAACAATATTTATTATCAGTGTTACTAGTCTTATCATAAAAGAGCTGAATCGTAATGTGGCAGAGTAAATACACTTTGTGTGAGACAGGCACATATCTCAGAAAGACTCTATAATATTAGGTAACATCAGCGTGCTCTTTTCATCTCTATCCCCGCCAAAACTGTGTGAGGGTATCGGCTCTCTAAGATCTATATTTCTTGTACATGAGTAATATTAAAATCCAGAGGGAAGGTAACCAAGGGTCACTACGTTTTATTTTTATTTTTTAGATTTTTTTGAGATGGAGTTTAACTCTTGTTGCCCAGGCCCAAGTGCAATGGTGCAATCTCAGCTCACTGCAACCTCTGCCTCCTGGGTTCAAGCGATTCTCCTGCCTCAGCCTCCCGAGTAGCTGGGATTACAGGCACCCACCACTACGCCCGGCTAATTTTCTATTTCCAAGATGGGGTTTTACCATGTTGGCCAGGCTGGTCTCGAACTCCTGACCTCAAGTGATCTGCCTGCCTCCGCCTCCCAAAGTGTTGGGATTACAGGTGTGAGCCACCGTGCCTGGCTGGGTCTCTACATTTAATAAGAGTGTGTGTGTGTGTGTGTGTGTGTGTGTGTGTGTGTGTATACATATTTTCCCAAAAGTGGTAAGATTTGGAAAGTGTACCATTTGTGTAAGTTGAACTTTGCCAGGCCACACTGTCATGGGGAAACAGAAGGAATCCCATCCCTTTGCCTCCTACCCATCTGCTATTGCATGACCTTTAGTTCTTGGAAAGGGGGCCATGATTTTTGCTCAGTTCTCTCACAGTATCTTAGAGGTGAGTCCCTCAAGGTATAAAAATGGAGCTGTGTTCTCTAGAGCACACGGTGTGTTGAGACCAAGCTGTGCTCTGGGCAGGCATGGAAGAGGTGGCCTCTACTCTCTCTTGGGCTGCCCTTTGTATTAGAGGAAGGAAACTTCACTGTCTCATCTCCCAGGGGCTCAGAGATTTCATAAGACAGCTTTCCAGTGTGTGCTTGCAGCCTGCAACGAGTTCATGGAAGGTTGGGCCAGGAGACAGATCTGAAAGGCAAATCCCAGGTGAGCTCATGAGAATCAGCAAGAGAGATGGCCGGCCTGTCCCATTTCTGACTTGTTAGGTCTGAGGTGGGGCTGAGACTATGCCTTTCGGACCAACTGTCAGGTTATGCTGAGGCTGCTGATCAGGAGACTCCAGCATCTTTGGAGAACCCCTGGCCTAGGACTTTATTATTGCATCAAAGTGTCTGCCTAAGTTCTCTTTCTAGAGAAGACCTTGGGATCTGGGGCACATGTATGCAAGTCACCTTAATTACCCTCATTCTTGCAGATGCAGAGAGCTTGGTGAGGAGTCAGCAGCCAACTAAACTGGCTGCTTGAATCCTACAGCTGGTGACAGTGGAACTGGATATGGTGTGCATGTATGTGATTCTCAGAAACCAGCAAAGGAGACGGTGCATTCCAGGGAGACGCTGAGGGTGTCACCCAATAGGGATCTACAGCTGTTGATTTTCAGATGTGCTCCACAGACCCCCTGGGGGTTCCATGGACGCCACCAGGAGCAGTCGACTACTTTTGGGCCCAGGTTTGAGGGTCGTGAAACAGGGCAATTCCACTTTGACAACTTTTACACTGGAACATCCATGTTAGGTTTCTTCTGGAGAAAGCACTTTGGCTAAATCAGTCAGAATGGCCCGGAACTAGGTAGCCTCCATGTGTGCCTATTTCAGGAAAGAGCAGACATCACTCAGCTTTCCATATGGAAGGGGGTCGAGATGGCTTAAGCTGACACAGGGAAACGAGGAGGACAGGATCTTGTCTGTGCAGCCAGGCCTCCCGGGAACCTAGGGGAAGAAGAGTCACCAGGCGCCAGTGTTGGGAGTGCAGCATGGCCAAGTTGCTGGGAGGCGAAAGTGAAACGTGTTTAGGGTTAAAGGAGGCCAGAGGACTCAGCAGCAGAAGCTGAGCACACGGCTTCAGTCTAGTGACTTCACAACTCTCTCCACCTCCGCCTCCCCCGGGGGTGCTTCTCTTTTCTCCCCCTTTCTCTCTTCCAACTGGCTAATTATCACTAGACTTCCCCATTCAAATTCCTGGGAAACATGGCCAGGGCCTGTCATCAGCTTTCCTTGGTCTTTTTACTTGTGGCACAATCCTGTGGCTCAGAATGCAACCAATCCCGTGCCAGGAGAACCCTGGGGCTCCCAACCCCAGCAGAGGCTGTAGAGGTGCCACAGATTCCCTTGGAAGGGCAGCAGGTGATATAAGCAACTGGGATGTCCTGTCTGTGAGGCTTCCCAGGCATCGTGACTGACCTGCCTGAAGGCCTGGCTGGCATTGTGCTGGCCTACCTAGGACATTCAACTGTTTGCTTGCCAGGCTCTCAAGGCCTTCTTCCTCTTGATGCAGTTCCAACAATGTCCCTACCTACCACAGCCTATTTCACATGCAGATGCTGGTGCACACACCCCCTCAGCCGCTGGTTGGTAGGATCCATAAGTGATGGTGCGGGACTACATTATTATTTTATCTTATATAATCATGCACCCCATAATGACATTTTGGTCAACAATGAAGTATATACACAATGGTAGTCCCATGAGATCATAATGGAGCTAAAAAATCCCTATCATCTAGTGATGCCATAGCCATTATAACATCGCAGTCCAACACATTACCTTGTCTATGTTTGGATTCACAAATACTTGCCTTTGTGTTATAATTGCCTACAGTATTCAGTACAGTAACATGTTGTACAGGTTTGTGTCTAGGAGCAATGGGCCTATATAGCAATAGGACCATATAGCCTAGGGGTACAGCAGGCTATACCATCAAGGTTTGTCTAAGTACGTGCTATGATGTTTGTACAATGATGAAATTGCCTAAGGACGCATTTCTCGGAATGTATCCCCATTATTTAATTTTATTTAATTTAATTTAATTTTAGAGATGGAGTCTTGCTCTGTTGCCCAGGCTGGAGTGCAGTGGCGCGATCTCAGCTCACTGCAAGCTCCGCCTCCCGGGTTCGAGCCATTCTCCTGCCTCAGCCTCCTGAGTAGGTGGGACTACAGGTGCCCGCCACAATGCCCGGCTAATTTTTTGTATTTTTAGTAGAGACGGGGTTTCACTGTATTAGCCAGGATGGTCTCGATCTCCTGACCTCGTGATCCACCCGCCTCAGCCTCCCAAAGTGCTGGGATAACAGGTGTGAGCCACCGTGCCTGGCCGTATCCCCATTGTTAAGTGATGCATGACTATATGATTCTGATTACCAAAGTAATATATGTTGGATGTGCAAAAGTAAAACTGTATAGAAAAAAATTATGTAGAAAGAAAAAGTGCTCCCTAATTAAACCCATAGTCGATAAATTCAACAGGTTTGTGAATGTATCTTCAGAGTTTTTCTAGACATTTACTTACTTATTATTTTTCAGAGGTGGGGTCTCACTATGTTGCCCAGGCTAGAGTGCTGTGGCTATTCACAGGTGTGATCATAGGCACACAACCAGCCTCGAACTCCAGGCCTCAGGTGATCCTCCTACCGCAGTCTCCTGAGTAGCTGGGACTGTAGGCATGCACCACTGCACCCAGCTTCTAGGCATTTAACAATGTGTGCATATATTATAAATACATAATAAAAATGAATTCAAACAAAATATAGTTTGTAACTTGGCTTTTTACATTTCAATATATCTTTAAATTCTGTATCATTAAGTAGAGATCTTCCATCTTTCTAATGGCTATTAGTGATCCACTGTTCAAATGTATCATAGTTTAAGCAATTCTCCACTGAGAGAATTCTTCCATTTGGGAGCTATCATACAAAGCCTGGTTTGGATATATCTGTGTTGTGTACATGGTTTTGTAGGAGAGACTGCTAAAAAGATGGCTAGGTTAAAGCATATGACTATCTTACATTTTAACACATATTACTGAATTGGGCAGGGCCTCTTCCCAACGCTGCTTGTCAGAGTCAGAGAATACAGTTGCCCACAATGTCCAGCTCCTCTCTAGCTCCCTTGATATCATGTCCAGCTGTTAATCCTCACCCTGCTGCCACCTATGGATGAACTCGATGGACATCCATGTAGCCAATGCTACCACCGTATTATAAAATATAATGACAGTTGTGGGGGGTCTCCTTAGAAGGAGCTACACATATAGCAAGGAGCCAAATTAAGCTGTTCAGAACTGATGCCAAAACTCCTATCTTATATTTGCTTTGGAAATTGAGATTCCTTTTAATGGTTAAAGTTGCAGGTCTGAAAATATTTTGATCATTAAAAGTGAATCAGACTAAACTTTTCAGGGCACTGCATAGAGCAAATATGAAACCAAGAGCATGATCCCAAATACACTTTCTACAAGCTATTTTAAAATGTTAATTTGTCTCACTAAATCCTAATAACTGATTTTGAAGAGCCTGGACAGAGTCAGATCTGAGTTAGCAACCGGGCTCAGTGGGGCAAAGACTGCTGGTTAGCTAATAACCATGCTGCCCTTCTCCCCACTAATGAACTCTAAAATGGACATGTTTCCCAACTTACCTTGCCCACCGTAACCTGGGCAGCTAATGGAATGTCAATTAAAGTTGTTGGTGGGGCTTCTGGAAGACTTTACAGAGGGTTGTCTCAGCTGAAGACCTTTTTGCCCTTCCTACCCAAAATATCGAAGTAAAGTTGAGGGCTCCAGTCACCACCACAAATCACGAGCAAACTTGAGGATGGAAGCCGTCTGTAGGGCAGTGCATCAGAAAGACAGAAAGAACCTGGGTCCCTGATGACTCTGTAGTCAGTCACCCTACCAGTTTTGAACAGCCTCGCCAGATTTCTCTTATGTGAGAGGAACAAACATCTTGCTGAAGACTCGTACTTAGGTTTTTGTCCCATACAGTCGAACAGAGTTCTAAGTGATATATTTCTCTACTTACTAGGCTGTGTGACCCTAGGAAAGGTAACTCCATCTCTTTGGGCTTCAATTTCTGGAGACTGGGTAATAAACAGCGGCCACTTAGTGGGATGGCTGTGATAAATGAGAGGACATGTACTTAGGGCAGTGGTTCTCCAAGTTGGTCCCACATTAGAGTCACCTGTGGAGCTCTTAATCTCTTGATGCCCAGGCCATACCCAAAAACTCATTAAATCAGAAATTCTGGCAGTAAAATCCAGGCATCAGTGATTTTTAAAGCTCCACAGGTCATTCAAATCTGCAGCCAAATTTGAGCCACACGGGTTTAGGAGACCTCAGGTTGTTTATTGCCGAGGTGCAGGCTTGCTTGGGCTTGCCTGATGGATGGTGGGACAGGACCTAAAAAAGTCTATTTGTTGGGGATTCTGAGGGACCTTCTGGGAGAAACAGATACAATGAGAAGGTGGCAAACAATTGGCTGAGTAACAGAAGGGAGCAATAATTTTGAGTATAGCTGATACTATTTGAATCTGTCCCAAGTTGGGCTGTAAGGACACCTCTCTGGATTCTAATAGAGAGCAAGTACCAAGATGCCAATTCACTCAAAACTCCATAAATCCTTGCAACACAGAGCCCACTGCTTTGAGACTTCACCAATACAATGCAAAGGGGAAAAGACAAAAAAAAAAAAAAAAAGTCCATTTCCACAGCTCTGGCAGCAGCATGGGATAGCAAAAGCTGGTAGGGACTGGGGTGCAGTGAGAAATAGTGAAGAAGCCACAGGTTGGGGAGGGGTAGGAGCAGTGGTGCCCCTTTAGAACAGTGCCCAGAGAAAGCAGATTTGATCACGAGCCTATGTGGGACACCCTCGGGAGCCCCCTGAAATATTTGGGAGTGGGAGGAAGGGGCGGGAGGTCCTACATTAACAGGGCCATTAGGCCAGTGATCTTGTCAGACTGGCAAATTCAGGTTACATTTGAGTAGGGCTCCTTGCACATTACTTAGGAAATCTTAACCTTTTCAGAGGAGGAAATTAGCTCTCAAAGAGACAAGCCCAGAGACCAGGAGGTCTCAGACTTGACAGTACTTCTGCCTTTTTCAGAGAAAGAGTTGACCAGTGATCACCACTTTTTCTGTATCAAACTCCATTCCAAATGCTAAATCCTATTAATTTGGAACAACTGGGGGTGGGGTTGGCAATTAAAAAAATACTTCAAAGCCTCTGAAAACAGCCAAATGAATTCACCTGTAATTGACATTCTCAAAAGTGAAGTTATTTGAATAAAAGAAAATGCCTTTGAAAGAAAAAGTATATGAAATGAAGTGTATTTTCAATGATCTCACATGAAACACGTGACAGAAAAATTCCCCAGCACTGATTTTTCTAGATATTTTCTTAAAAAAAAAAAAAGATAAAAGAAGGGAGGGGGGTATAAAAACTCACAACTAGACAGCTCATAAGGTCACTTTTTTTTTGAATTAGGGCGAATAAAAAAGGAAACATCTAAATCTGATGTTCAAACAACCTTTTCCGTTTGATTCAATCCTTTCTCCTTAAAAGTACTTTTATAAGTGCCCCAGATCTCTGAGCTGGTAAAGACACTCCGTTCCTCCCTTTCTGGTCCCTACTGGGTTTGAAAGGCAAACAGCTCCTTCCTCTGTCCATCAACATTCTGCCCAGAATGAACACTATATGGATGCTCTTTAAAAAATTAAATAGACTTTTTTTTTGTGAGTTCTCTCACCTTTAGTTTGAGAATCCCAATCCTAAAATAACCGTGTATACATTCAAAAAGACTTAAGAATTTCTGTATCTACTGTGAAGTGGAAGAAAATTAATTACCCAAATGACGCCTTGCAAATTTTACTTAACATGAGACTCAAGATGAATAGTGTGCATTTTTATCTGTAAATCATGAAGTAGTTAAACATTTCAAAAAGGAAATATATTATGTAAATGTCAACTGAAATCTCAGCACTGGTTCTCAGACTGGAGCATGTGTCAGAGTTACTTGGAAGGCTTGTTAAAACACAGCTTGCTGGGCCCACACCCAGAATTTGATCTGGGAGGTCTGAGGTGAAGGCTGAGAATCTGCATGACTCACAGGCTCCCAGATGATGCCGATGTTGCTGGTCAGGGGATTGCACTTTGAGAATCCTGCTTTATAACTTGTCCAGACTACTCAGACTTTTCCCTCAGTAAGCGTGACATACTGGGAGAAGCACTGGAATGGGAGCCAGGAGACCTGTGTTTTTGATGTACTTTTACCTGACTACATGTATATTCGTAGCCTAGTCACTACACGTCTACTAGGGTTTGCTGAGCAAGGCACAGAATGGTAGGAAAATCTTTACACTCAAGGGGCTTTCAAATAAGTAGATGGGGTAAGATCCATACACAAATCACTACTACACTTATCAGAACATGTTGGATACCATAAAATAGATAAAAATAATATGGGCTTCAGATAAAGATAAGCTCAAGTTTGGTTAGCCACAGGGAAGGTGACATCCTAATGAAGATGGCACTAGAGACAGATTTTGAAAGATGAAGAGGAGACAGGACAAGGGTGTGGGGACAATGGGGAACCACCAAACATTTTTGGGCAGGCGGGTGGCATGATCAAAGGTGTTATATTGGTCAAGAATCTTCATTACTTGTGATGGACACTCATCTCAAATTGATTTAAACAAACAAAAGGGGAACTTATTGTCTCATGAAACTAAAAGTCCAGGGGTAAGGTACAGAATTCAGATGCTCAAAACAATGCTATCAGAAATTGGTCCCTCCTCATCTCTCAGCTCTACTTTCCTATGCTAGCTTCCTTCTCTAGTAGGATCATGTCATGTGACAAAGATGGCTGCCAGCAGCCCAGGTGTTTTTACTGACATAGCAGTTTTAATAAAAAACTGTGGTATGGCCAGGTGCAGTGGCTCATGCCTGTAATCCCAGCACTTTGGGAGGCCTAGGCGGGGAGTTCATCTGAGGTCAGGAGTTTGAGACCACCCTGGCCAACATGGTGAAACCCCCTCTTTACTAAAAATACAAAAATGAGCTGGGTGTGGTGGTGGGCGCCTGTAGTCCCAGCTGCTTGGGAGGCTGAGGCAGGAGAATCACTTGAACCCAGGAGGCGGAGTTTGCAATGAGCTGAGATTGCACCATTGCACTCCAGCCTGGGTGACAGAGTGAGACTCCTTCTCAAACAAAACAAAAACAAAAACAAAACAAAAACAAAAAACCAAAACTGTGGTGCTTCTTTCCCACAAGCCCTGAGGCTGACACTCACTGGACCATCTTGGGTCACATGTCCATTCCATTGATACCAAGGGACTTGAGTGACTGTCCAAGCCTGGATCACATGCAGGTGTGGTACTGTCAAACCCACGCAAACCTCATGGACTGAGTAGAGATGATAAGACTTCCCGAAAGCAAAGCAGGGTGCTGTTTCCAAAGGGTCTCCCCTCCTGCCTACTGCAAAGGAGAAAACTTAGAGTTACTGTAGATATGAATAACTCAAACCTAGGATCCAACAGGTATCGAGGGGCCCCAATTTAACAAAATGTCCCTCCCACCTCTCAAGTCCTTTGCCAATGGACTTTGTACAACTTGGCATCGGTCCCTTGGAGTCTGGTCTAGGGCAGCTCCCTGGCCCTTGTCCCCCTCTTACAGCCTCTCTTCTCTATAGCAGCAGACGTCCTGCAGGGGGAACTGTTCAGCTTGGGGGTGGGGTGGGCATGTGCGGAGGTGAGCTCCTCTAGACTAGGCTTTGAAAGCCATTACTGATATATCGGTTGCCTCCAAATGTCCAATCAGGCCAGGGCAGGGGCTGTTCATCCACTGTAGAGATTTACCCCCTCAGCCTTGAAGCCCACTGTCACCTTCCTAGAAGGCTCTGGTCCTTTCCTGTCCCTGCGGGTGCTGCTCATCAGGTTCCTCCTGCTGGGCTCAATTCACTGGGCACCAGGCTGCCTGTGCTGCCCCACGTGGTGGGTGCCCTGGGGGCTGTTCCTGAATGACTACAGCACCCACACATACTACCTTTCTATGAACTGCTTCCTCTATGGCTTCCTGGCCCTCCTGCTCTTTGAAAGGAGGGAGGGGCCACGGTGGCAGAGGTACTGAAGAGGTGGCAGGGGACTGAAAGTAAACTTTGGCTCTGGCAATGAAGGCAACAGGTGCCTCCAAGAAAGTCAGTGTGGGGAGATGGCTGTGTTGAGTGGCGTGGCTGGATGGGGAAGATGAAGATCAGTGTGTTGGTGAGCCTTTGGACAGACTGGTATTGGGGTCCAGGCTGAATGAAGAGCAAAGAAAATGAAGCCAAAAGGGGATAAAAAGGTGAGAGAAATGGTGGGCTGGCAGTTGTGGGAAGACAGGTGAGAATGAAGCACAGCAGAGTTTAAAGTTTCTAGGTCTGAGGCAAGGTAGCCGTGGGTACCTTGAGTACCAGAGTAGCGTTGGGTGCCGCTGCCAAAGCAGAGGGGAGAGAGGGAGTTGGGGGCAGGGTTGTTTCAGGAACTGGGAATGCCAGGGAGGGCCATGCAGACAAGAAATTGTTTCTTGTTCAACACTTGCTAGGTCAAGCCCACATGGTGCTGCTAAGCACTTCCCAGTAGCTCCTCTTTCAGCTGTCACCAGTAACTGCTGGGGATTCACAAGGAATGAATGAATGAAGGGCAGCCGGCAGCCCTGTGCGTATGTGGACTGGCATGGGGTGGGTGGGCTTATTTGCTTTGTTTTGAGTAGCAGGGCCACTGTCCAAAAGTCAACTGCCTTGGGGTCCTCAGGTAGCCAGTCCCACTTGCTATGCCTTGGGGACAGACAGCTCCTAACCTGACAAGGGCATTGACTACAGTGTAAAATCTGACCTCTAGGAAACGCAATGGAATAGAGTGTAGGCCATCCTCCTTCCCAGGCCTAGACTGTTCAAGACCAGCTGGACAGGAAGGCATAAAGAAAAATAGAGTAAATATACGGTTTGAATTTTTGCCACACTAGATTAACTGATTCTTTAATTGGTCTGAATTCATATACCTTCTTAGTGCATTTGCACTGCCTAATAATTGTAATAAACACAGCAACAACAATTAAATATATTGGGCACCATATACCAGGTACTGTGTCCTAACACAGATTATTTCAGTTACTCCTCCCCACAACCCCTTACATATGGGGAATTATCCCCCACCTTACATATGAGGTTATGTCAGGTTTAAAGAGATTGAGTTGCCCTGGGTTGGCTAGAAGTGACAGAACCCAGGACTCTCTGGCGTCTCAACTCTTGCTTCCTTGTACCTGATCCCATCGCTATACAGTACAACATCAGGGCTTTGTGGCTCAGCTGGAATGTTTTCCTCAAAAAGACAACAGAAATAATTCTTTGGAAAAAATTCTACAATTTGAAAATAGTGGAATTTGTAAATTAATAAATAAAAATTCAAGATCATTGATTCTGCAAAAATGTAGAAGCTGCAGCTGAGGTAAAAAGGCATTTAAAACTGCACATTAAAGGTTGATTCTTTCGATGAGATCACAGTGAAATCTGGGACAGGAGAATTAGAGCTGTTATGCCTTTTTGCCATGAACTTGAATCATACAAAATAATCTTAGGCATAGGCAGATCCAAAGACCTGGCAGAGATGTGTAAAACCCACAGGCTAAATGTAATTCCCCAAGCCAAACAATCCCAGCCCTTGAGGGTGGTGAGGGTGAGGTAGACCAAGGGAGGACCTGTGGGGCTGAATCCAATGGCTTGGCTCTCTGGAATTTCCTCAGTAAGGCCAGAAGGCCCAGAGGACCTGTGGCTGGTAAGAAATCCTATCCCCATTATTCACGATCAAGTCTCTGCGCCTCACCTCTGGCCCAGGGATGTCCAAGTTGGTAGGGCCAGGCCCTTTCTAGTGTTTCTGGGGAACCTATATTTCTGTTCCTCCCCCTCACTCCTTCTCGCCCCTCTTCTCTGGTAGGAGCTACCTTGGCTCCCTAAAGGCTACTGCAAATGGCTCTGCTTGTGACCTGAAAGACAGATGTGCTGCAGAGTGGAAAACCTTCCCACTGTTTATTCCTAAAACTAGAAGATGCCCTCTGGGTTGCAGGTTCTGTATACATAAAACAGGATCAAAAGAAGGTCTTAGTGCTTCCATGGTCTGTTTCATGCGTTCAGGCTGACATTCATAATCTTGTTTTTAAAACCTGATCTAAATTACTGTCTTTGGCCAGGTGTGGTGGCTCATGCCCGTAATCTCAGCACTTTGGGAAGCTGAGGTGGGCGGATCACTTGAGCTCAGGCATTTGAGACCAGCCTGGGAAACATGGCAAAACCCTGTCTCTGCAAGTAATATAAAAGTTAGCCGGGCATGGTGGCATACGCCTGTAGTCCCAGCTACTAGGGAGGCTGAGATGAGAGGATCACTTGAGCCTGGGAGGTCGAGGCTGCAGTAAGCTGTGATGGCACCACTGCCCTCTAGCCTGGGCGACAGAGTGAGACCTTGTCTCAATAAACAAACAAACAAACAAACAAATTCTTGTCTTTATTTTAATGAATTTTTTTTCTAGCTCAGCAAGTGTATAATGTTCTTTGCCTTAATAAGCCTGGGCAACAGAGACCTTGTCTCAATAAATAAATAAATAAATAAATAAATTCTTGTTTTTATTTTAATGAATTTTTTTCTAGCTCAGAAAGTGTATAATGTTCTTTGCCTTAATAAGAAAGGAAGAGTTTGACTACTTGACAACAGAAGACCTTCTAATTCCCAGATTTGATAATCTGTTCACCTGAAGGGCTTTGACTCCTGGGACAAGCTCACCATAGCTCTGAGCCTTATTTGGCTGTTCTAAGGTAGAATAAAAGAGATCTTTTACATCTAGGTCCCTATTCTCAGCTCCAAGTACAAAGGTTAACCTAATTTCTGAATTCCATTATTTTTCTAAACTTACTGGTCAATAAAACTGAGTCAGTCCAGATAATGATTTTGTACCTTGGACACTGGTAGCTTTACCTAAGTTCAAGGCAGAATAGAAATAAAGATGCCCCCAAGTCCTCCTCTACCATAGTGAATATTCAGCATCTACTGATAACTTCTCTGATCCTAACATGTATCAGGCAATAATCATGGGAATCCTTGTGTGATGCACTACAGCAGAGCTTGCCAAGAGGTATGACGGAATGAAAAATGGGACCGTGGGCTGTAAACTTAACTTTCGCCAGGCTCTAATGAATTTCCTTGCCCATTTCATACAACAAGTGTGAGGATCAAATACATATAAAAAGTCCCTCACCTGGAGTTCGAGACCAGCCTGGACAGCATGGTAAAACCTTGTCTCTACTAAAAAGACAAAAAATTAGCTGGGCATGGTGGCGCGCACCTATAATCCCAGCTACTCAGGAGGCTGAGGCAGAAGAACTGCCCTCTCCGGTGCCAGGCATTCTTCACAAAAGTCCCAATAGAAGGGAATTTCCCTTCCAGTCTGTGGAAAATCTGATACAGGAAAACAGGCTCTTCACAGCCTCCCAATCAGAGGGCAATGGTGATGGTCTCCATGCTACTTGCAGCTCATCCTCCAGTGGGGGCTGGAGCCCAGGCCCTTCCCAGCCTCTCCTCCCCTCACCCACCGACTCCAGGATGTCTGGGAAAAGGCATTATGTTGGTGTTGCCTATGCCTGTCCCCTGAGCAGAAGGATAGCTGCCTCTGGACCTCAATACAAATAATTCTCCAGGAGTGAGAGCCGTGGTTTTGTGGCTTCCTCAACCTAGCCTTCCTCACTGTCTCTGAAGCCTATCTATAAATGAGTGTACAAAGCCAGCCCCTCTGTAAGAACAGGAACACTCTCACTTCTACTTGTGGACTGACAACATTTTGCTTGGCTTCTACTGAATTCAACAAACAGAGGCTAGGGTTTGGACATGGCATTGGGCACAGTACAAACGTAGTCTTACTATGCTGTCACAGAAGGGGACAGGGTTTCAATGACTGAGGTCTCGTCATGAATTACACAATAAGGTAGATTATTTAGATGGTAGATTGGCTCTATCCCTTGGTCTGCCTCTTTGTGGCCACTTTCCTGCTCATTATTACCTCTCTCAAACATGGAGAAGGAAGACAGACAATCTATCAACTCGACATGTCACTTCCCCCACACTGGCACATCTGTCAGGGCCCAACAGACTGCAGAAAGTGCAACTTTTTCTCCAACTTTTTCTGGGTTATGCCTCTTTTCTCTATTAAATGCAAAATGTGCTGATCTAAGTATACATTTTATAGCACATCTGGCAGTTTGAATGATGTTATTTACAAATGCTATAAATCGAAGTGCTAGTTTTTCCTATGTTATCAAAGTTTTCAAATAAACCAATAGATGATATAACTCTCCTAAACTAACTCATATATTATTATCTGTTGAAATTAAACAGACAGTGAATTATCCAGTCACATTTTCCCCAAAGTCTAGGCCAATTAGATTTGACCAGCTATGCCAGGGCCCTGAAGATTTAGAGATAAAATGTCTACAACTAGTATTAAAAATGACCTAGTTTATTAAGAAAACCCATTAAAGTATTTCAAAAACAAAGTCTGGTCTGATAATTTTATGCTATGAAAAGGAATCCTTCTTTTAAGTGGCTATAAAAATTATTATGCAACATCAAAAAATATAAAATCTATTTTTGTCTGAACTGCATTTGCTCCTTAAATGAAGATCACCCTGAAGGAGGCAACTGAGATTTAGAAAAAATATTTACAATAAAGCCATAACCTCATGCACATTAGCTAAGTAAGGCTAAAAGGAAATAGCAAATAAAATTATAGAAATTTACCTTTTTTTAAAAAAAAAGAAAAAGGTACAGGGATAACACCCATTAACACTGATTTAAATAGGAATGATAAAATTTATGAGTGGGTGTAAAAGCAGAAGATTTACAGGCTAACTATTGAACATGATACTGTTTTGCTAGACAACACCATAAGATGGATGAGCTGTAACAGTGACTTGGTTTAACTAAAAAGCAGCTGCTCTCTCAAGTATGCGGTCTCTCCAAACAATGTTAAATGCTCTGATTCACTGATTAAATATGAAATGTTTCCACTCCGAAATTCACACATGATGTTTATGTGGAGGATGTACTCAGAATTATGACACTGTGATGACAGGCAGAGACAGTGTGAGCCCCGGAGTGGCCGCTCAGTGCAGAGGAGACTGCCCACTGTGGGTCTGCACATCACCTCCCCACCACCAAGAGGGTAGCCCTGACCACACGTCTTACTGCTGGGGGTTATACACAGGGCAGTCATAAATCATCACTGCAATATTTATAACTTCTTGCCTTGAACCAGAACCAATTAAAAACACACTTGGAAAACATGTTCTCTAACATCCTCTTTAAAATATTTATATGGATCAACTTTATTGAAAGTGAATAAACAGAGATAATGTGGCAAAAAGAAATTTTCCCAATATTAAACCCTTGATGATACTTTTAAATTCACTATAAGGAAAAGAATCCACCAGTAGTAGGTAGCTACTTATTTTTGCTGAGTGTCCTCTGCTTTTCTGCATGCTCCACAATCTTTTCTTCCACATAAAGCCCCTTCCGCTTTCGTACTGCGTTCATGTACTTCCGGGCTTGGTTCTCAGAGTCAGCCTTCTCCCCAAAGTGCAAGTATTCCTCCTCAGTAGTTGGCACCCAGAAGGGGTCACTGGGAATGATCTTGTAAAAGAAGATGACAGAATGTGCAAGGTTAGGCATTTTTAATTTCAAACCTTATTCACTGAGCTCCCCAATTTATATAGTCTTAGCTAATGAAAAAAAGTTAGGCAATGAACAGCTAAGCTTGCTAGGAATGGTAATAAGTATGAAGAATCGGCAGGGTGTGGTGGCTCACGCCTATAGTCCTAGCACTTTGGGAGCCAAGGCAGGTGGATTGCCTGAGCTCAGAAGTTCGAGACCGGCCTGGACAACATGGTGAAACCCCGTCTCTACTAAAATACAACAACAACAACAACAACAAAAATTAGCTGGGTGGGGCGGCATGTGCCTGTAGTCCCTGCTACTAGGGAGGCTGAGGCAGAAGAATCACTTGAACTCGGGAGGCAGAAGTTGCAGTGAGCTGAGATCATGCCACTGCACTCCAGCCTGGGCGACAGAGTGAGGCTCCAACTTAAAAAGAAAAAAAAAAGTATGAAGAATCATGGGAGGTGTGAACAAATGGAAGTAGATTCAACAAAACTTGTAACATACATTATTATTCTTTGCTCCTAGCGCCAGTTCATAACACTAAGGAAGAAAGAAAACTATTAATTTTTCATAATATAATTTTTAAAAGCTTTCATTTTTGCTAGGATATATCTGAATGTTAATGTCTTTGCCATCAATATTTTGCCTTTGTCCTCAACCTCAACAAAGATCAACACATGTAACTACACTCTTATTATTATTACATATATTTTTTTATTTAAGAGACAGAGTTCTGCTCTGTTGCCCAGGCTGGAGGGCAGTGGTGCAATCATACTCACTGTAGCCTCAATCTCCTGGGCTCAAGTGATCCTCCTCCCTTGACCTCCCAAGCAGCTAGGATTACAGGTGCATGCCACCATGCCCAGCTAATTTTTAATTTTTTTTCTGGAGGTGGTGGGTGCATGACATTGTGAATGGGAAAAATGCAGCAAAATGTTTATTTAAAATGTTCAAGTTTGGGGGAGGCTGAGGCAGGTGGATCATCTGAGGTCAGGAGTTTGAGACCAGCCTGACCAACATGGAGAAACCCTGTCTCTACTAAAAATACAAAAAATTAGCCAGGCTTGATGGCGCATGCCTGTAATCCCAGCTACTTGGGAGGCTGAGGCAGGAGAATCTCTTGAACCCAGGAGGTGGAGGTTGTGGTGAGCCAAGATCACACCATTGCACTCCAGCCTGGGCAACAAGAGTGAAACTCTGTCTCAAAAGAAAAAAAAAAGTTCAATTTTATGTTGTATGAATTTCACCTCAGTACATTATTTTTAAAAAGAGAGACTTAAAGAAATTTCCCTGAATACAGAATACGGCACAGAGAGATGGAGATTAAAAAAAAAGTCTCAAAGGAAAGTCAAGAGCCATCAAGTATGTATAGGGTATATCTAACAGGAGTTCTAAAACCAAAAAACAGAGAACAGGATGAGAGTCTTCAGATGGAAAAACCTCACTGAGTCTGGACCAAGATAATAAAATAATCCACCCCTTGTGACAGTGTTGAAATGCTGGAAATCTGTGGGCACCTGCATCTCCTGAGGCTCGATTCTGACCCACTAGACACTATAGAATGGGAGGTGTGAGCCACAACTGTGCTTCTTGCTCTTGAACAAAGGTTGGAAACAAAGCAGCTGCCTGTGTCCTGGTGCTGAGGCAGGTACAGAGAAAATCAGAGAGAAAAGCCAGATCTAGAGAAGAACATGAATCAGACCAACGAGACGCTTCGCATCAGCAACAGCAGTTGCTGGGACACAATGAAGTCCTTCAGAGTGCTAAGGAGCCTCAGTGTGAGCCTACACGTCTTTATCTAGTTAAATAAACCATTATCAGCGAACCAAAAAAAGCCTCTGTTGGACAGACTTTAAAACATATTACCTCTCATGGACACTCAACAAAAGAACTAGAAATATCCTTTCAAAAAAGAGTCCCCGGAAGGAAAAGGCAGACAGTAGAAGTGAGAGCAGCCAGGGGGCACAGAGGCATTATCAGCACTAGAGTAATAACTCTGGTGGGTGACAGCAAGTCTAAGGAGCGTCTCGAAGTGGGAGCCCAGTTAGAGGTTGGGCAACAAGGGGCAGAAAAGGAGACAAGGTCCAGGAATTGGGGGGGGGGGGGGGTAGGCAGAGTGGCAGACAAGGGCGAATGGATGGAATTTAGACGAGAAACGGCAGTTAAGAAGGAGGAGTGGGGAGGAAGCTCAGTCCTGTGGACTTGGTCATCTGAGGGGGTTCTTCTGGGTCAGAGGGTTTGTGCTATAATTTTGTGGGCACAACAGTCCCAGAGACTCAATTCTGATTCACCAGCCACTGGGCCTAGGATAGAAAGGCTCATTCCAGATCATTCACCAGCAAACAATGTCAACACGATACCAGTAGGGCTGAGTCAGTATGGGCTCAGGGCCTGGGCAGGAGGAAGGGAGGGAAAGTGGTTGCCACTCAAAACAGCCTGACTGGTCAAAAGCCACCCACCCAGGGTGAGGGTAGGTGTAGCTATGTAGGGGGAGCATGAGGGAGCCTGTGGTGATGGAACAATTCTGTATCTTGATTACATAAAGCTACATATGTAATACACTTTTATAGCACTAAAGACACACAAACTCCCATGAATATACAGAGCAGAAGAAAGGGAGCCTGCATCTTTGATGGTGTCCCTGAGCCATGGTACCAGCCCTACTTGCTTAAACAATTACTATTCTGGCATTATGGTTCTTGCGGCTGAAAACACTCATAATCTATCAACTGATACAGGGTTGTTGTGAAGACTGAAGAAGATATTATATGAAAGTCATATGGTAAAGCACCTGGCATATCCTAGATTTGTCTGGCTCCAAAGCCTGCCCTTTGCCATGTTTGCAGACTGCCATGAAGACTGAGTTTATCCAAACATAAATTGCACAATGGTACTAGCTAAGTCAAGTGCATTTATTATAACTGGTGAAACCTGAACAAGTGCTATGGGTGTATCAATGTCAATGTACTGTAAGAGATGTTAACATTGGGGAAGGAGGGGTGAATGGCACATAGGACCTCCTTGTACATATTTTTTGGTAACTTCCTATGGAAAAAAACTATTGTAATTTTTTTAACAAATTCTTTTTAAGACACCCGGCCACAAGTTATAATTCTCTTTTGTCTGGAGGTAAAATTCTCAACATTCATAAGAAACACAAACTGTTTTCAGAATTGGTTATTCTGCTTTGCTGGTGGGAGGACAGGGTGAGAGGGGTGGTGTCTGTTTCCTCATATGCGAGGAAACAGGCAGAGAGACTGCAATGAGCGAGAAGAACCAAGTGAGTCTGTGTGGAATCAAACCCAGAGAGTGAGGAGTCGGGGGTTGGCACTTCACTGAATCAGGAGCAGGCACTGAGGCCAGAGTGAACGTGGTGTGAGGGTCAACTGCACTGGCTCTGGAGCCAGGCAGTCTCCCTTCAATGCCAGTTCCCTACTTGCTTAGCTGTGCGATCTTGGGCAGCTTATTTCGAACCATTTATACCTGGGTTCTTCTATTTGTAAGGATGGAATGTTAAAAGTCCCAATATCATATGACTGTATGAAGACATCTTCACTACTCCTGCATCTGTGTGGACAGCCTGAAGCCACTTGCCTCAACATACCCAACAAACTCTGAGAACAGGGGAGATGGAGTAACACTCGAGTGCTCGAGGCTGGTTTTGAATTTCCTTAGTGGAGCAAAGACAAGGCTACCCTTTTATGGTTGTCCAGCTTGTGCTCTACAGAAAGGACCCTCCAGGCCACAGAGAGGGGCTTGATATCAAACTGAAGAAAAAGGTGCTTTTTTTTTTTCCCTCACTGCCTCACCCAGAATTCATCGGCCTAGAGTGAGAATGTATTTTTGCAATTCAACAGCCTGAAGGGGATGCCATTTTCTAATCATAAGAAGGCACCCAAGTGCAAACTGTTACCCTAGGCATTAAGGGAAAAGAAAGCCTAGAAGGAAAAAGCTCTGGGTGCTCCATTTCAATTTTCTGCCCAGTTTTCACGATGATTACTGCTGGCAGGTGGAAAATACCATGTCCAAAATAAGCTTGTTTGGTGCTATTGTAATCACTTCACCCGGTATGAACTTTAGCCCACCCCTCAGGGTAATCTCAGTAATAAGCGATGAATCTTGAGGTTATGCTGACATACATGTACAACAGCACTGGTTGGTAATATTTTTTCTTTCTGTGTCTGTTATTAGCTCCTTTTCTTCCTTTTTCATAGAAGGGTAAAACATAGAAAGAGAAATTATGAGATTGCTGACTTCAAAGGTTTCCTCATGGAAAAATGCCTGTAATTTTATTTTCTCTATTTTTTGAAGCACTTTCTCTCAAAAGCTCTTGATTGTAAATTATATGGTGTGGTAGAATACAAATGAAAAGAAGTGCCTTGGAGTGAGAAGCCATATCTCAACAACTGTGTTATTTCTAAACCTAACTATGGGGGAAAAACCAAGACAGCCAAAATATATCAGATCAATGACATTTAATTATAATGTAGTTTTTAAGATTTCAAAGATTTGAAGCTTTTGGGAACAGGACCACGACAGGTGGCAAGGACATGGCAGAAGGATGGTACAAAACTGGGGCAAAACTTTTCTTGAGAATATTTTTCTCTCAAGTTATTTATTTAAGAGACTTATTTTTAATAACGAGATGTAGCTAAGCCAGAAAGTAATATTTTTTAAAAAAAGTATTACATGTATAAGATCAATTTTAAGATTTTCTTTTTAAATTTCTGAAGGATAAAGGAGACGGACAACCATCAAGGCTTTCAGGTAACAAAAACTGCCTATTTGGTAAAATCTTGCTGTTTTTATACTAGTTGTCCCTAAATATCCGTTCTCTACCTTTCTTTGGTAATAGATATTTCAGGTAGGCATATAGCCACCTAGAGTCCGAAGGTGGGGGCATACTTTTCCTATAAAGAGCCAGACAGTAAATATCTTAGACTTTGCAGGCCATATATTATTTCTATCATAGCTACTTTACTCTGCTTAAAAGCAGCCATAGAAAATACATACATGATTGGGTACAGCTGTATTCCAACAAATTTTATTTATCAAAACAGACAATAGGCCATAGATCTAAAGACTACATTTCCCAGCCTCCTTCTTAGGTGGGGCCTTGTTAGATGTGGTCAGATGACTGGTTTTGGGCATTGGCATGAGGGTGAAGTGATGTGTGCAAGATTCAGTTTGTGTCCTTAAAGGGAAGGAGTATATCTTATTCTTCCTCATCCCTATTCTTATTGGCCGGAATGCAGATGTGATGCGGGAGGTAGAACGGCCACTTTGGACAATCAGTGGGAGCTAAGTGTTGAGAAAGGCAGCAAGCCAGAATGGGCCTGGGCTCCTACCACAGTGAGTCACATGTCAGCCCTAGTCTGCCTCCTTAGACTCAAAAGAGAAATAATCTCTGCCTTATTTGAGCCACTATATTTTGGGATCCCTTTATTAGAGCAGTCTTACCTGCTTCCTAACTAATATATCTGACAACTAAGAAATGAAGGGAACTTTATACATTTTTCTAAAAAAAAAAGCTTTATAAAAATCACTTTTGAGGATAAGACTGTCAAATGATGAGATTTTAAAACAAAAAATTGAATATACGAATTCAAATGAATCATTCTTCCAATAATGATGCCATTACAACAGCTCTGAATGCCTATTTGGGATCTGCATTTACAGACAATCCCAGTGATTACTTAACCTACATCCTCTTTGTTCTGATCAAACATACTATAACCCAGTTTTATGCACAAGTGTTAATCAAGGCCATCTTCATGAGATGGATGACTTCTCATCTCTAAGATATTCAGAAGCATGACTTGTGAATTCTGAAGGCAGTTTGCAGCAACAGTAACGCCAATGAAGAAAGCATTCTTCGTCTCAAGGTCATTAGGTTGAAGTGGACTGAATCTCTCTGGTTCTAAATATCATTTAGCTGTATTGCTCTGTAATCACACATCTGGTCACTAAAACCTGTGGTAGAGGATGCTGTAATGATTTTTTCATTAGAACCATCAGTAATACATTTGCACTACAGACATAGTTCTATTTTTCAGGCACTGCCTTTTAAAACCCATCCCTTATATTTCTTACTTGGTTTGTGTTCTTATGTAAAAGTTGAATGCCAAAAACCAAAACCAAAACTAAAAAGCTAGAATTTTGGATAAATGAGAAATTACTACCCACAAGCACAGGAATTAAAAAATAAATGTTTGGGGGGTACTGTTTTCTACATAATGAAATTCAGCAATATCGCATCAGATATAAGCCAGCAAAGCCATCAAAACACCATTAAGTTTTCAGAGAAATATGCAAAAGTCAAGAAAAGATTCATAGTAAATTACTGTTAAAACCTAGAGTTTGTACTGACCAAAAAAACGTAACCTAAATCATAGCATTAACCTTGGTTCTGTCAAGCATTAAGAATGTGATTTTTTTTTTTTTTTAAAGGAAAAGCAGACACAATGGTGTGCTCTGGGCTAGCAACTTCACTTGCATCAATTTAGATGATATGAACTTGCTGAATTAAAATCAAATTTGCCCTGTCCAAAGTCAATTTTTCTGAAGTGCCACCCTTCTTTACTTCACTGATTCACTTGATTATAAATTTCATTTTAAAAAGAAAATTCTCCCTCAATTATTCTCATTTTCCATTCTCTTCTAAATTTAAACTCTTCTTAAAGTGTTCTGGAAAAATGGACCCATTAGGCTAAAGAAAGTGAGAAAGATAACAGCTTAGCATTGAAGCTAAATCATGAGTTCTGCTGAAATAGAGTTTAAGAAAAAAAAACCATGGATTATCTGTGTGAAGCCCTGTGCAATGAATGCCACACCGCTGAGAGCAAGCCAAAATGAATGTGGTGTAGACTCAGAGAACGAACCACAAGGAAACAATCTTCGCATCAGCAAGGGCTGGTCAGCCACAATGTCAGGAACTAGGTTAGATATTTGACCTAGGGGTGAAGAAAACTCAGGGAGGGTCCATGATTTGTCCAAATAAATAGAAGAATATTTGAAACCAGGACTCTCTGACTCCAAAGTCAATGGTTCTTCCATTACCTTACAAGCCTCCATGGTAAAAGGGAATAATGTGAAGTTATTTCAATTCCCTGTAAACAATAACAACAAAAACTGCTTTCTTAAAACAATCTTTCTACTTATATCCTTGAGTTTACAATTTGATTCCTGACCTTAGGCTTTTTCTTGAAAAGTAAATTGTTTTTTGCACATGCCCTGCAGTTTGTTTTTACCAGCCTTTTCTCATGCGGCACCTTCTGATTGAGTGTCCTTCTTCTTAGCTGGTTAATGTCTACTTTTCCTTTACAGATATGTTCAGGACAGCTGGTCTGACCTTATCTTTGCCACTTGTTATTCTTTTTTCTCTAACTTAACAATGTGTTCACAATCTTTCCTTCTCTCCTCCCTCAGCAATGTGGATCTGTTAAGTTTTCCTTTCTGATTACAGATAAGGTTTGCCTTTTCACCTACCTTTACCTACACTGACAATGAAGGGTTCTGAGTAGCCATTTCGTTCCATTCTCATTCCACAACACCTGAAAGCCACAGAAACCTTGAATCTCCATAATGGGGACTGAAGAATATACAGTACATAATAATTTAAAGCTACCCCTTGCAAGAAGTGTAACTGTTCCCCTCTAATTACTGGAGATATTTTTTTTTCCCCTAGAAGAAAATATTCTTAAAATTTCACATTCAAAAGGTCTGTGATTTTCTTTTAAAAATCTAAAATATATATTTGGATGAAAAAAGGATTAAATTTTCAGCATCTTAAATTTTATATTGAATAAAAAGGACAAATGAGAGAGAGAGAGAGAGAGTGTATGTGTGTGTGTGTGTGTGTGTGTGTGTGTTTATTATAAACCACAGATGATCTCAGGCTCATTCAATCTGGATGAAAAAGCCATTTGCTTTCTCCTGTCCATTTGACTGAGTTGAGCCATAGGAAGGCCAAATGGCATGATCTGTGTTGTTTGCTACTCTTGGCCTCCTCTGTAGGGAATGTATCCATAGATGAGAAGGAAGGAATGAATGGGAACTTGGATTTTTACCTCCCAATGGCTGAATACTAGTTGTGGGCTGGCCAGGCCACTTGTCCTCTTCCTGATTTCATCAGCAAAACCAAAGCTTTCAGCAACAGGCAGCACAGCCTTGATGATGAACATGTCTGTCCCTTCTTTCATTTCTTCTTGAAGTACCCGACCTTCTCTCTTTGACAAGACAGCATAGACTCGACCTGTAAAACCATAAATCTTTTAAAATCATGGATCAATCATATGGCTTGAGCCACACCAAGACATGATTACCCATATACTCTGTAACAATCCATAAATGATTAAATTTGTTCTCAATAATGTTGATTTACAAAAGCAAGGAACACTTTTTAAGTGTTTATTTAAAAAGCATGAGATTTATAGAAAAATTGGAAACAAAAAATAACAAAAAGTTAAATCACCCCAAACTACACTGCTCATAGACAAACTCCACAAAACAGCATGAGAAGAAGATTTGTAAAAGGACCTTTCAATGCAGTTTCACCTATAAGCTATCTTTGGGTCTGAAATCCAATGAGATGAGTGACTGGGCTTCATAAATATTAAAATATTTGAATAATTTTGAGACCTTATTGACATGGCAATGATAATTAAGATGGCATAGGCTATTTGGGCTTAGTAGGCAAGCAACTGGCATTTTTATACCAAAAATTAAAACCACACACATATATATTTGTTCATAGTTTTCTTAAACTGGTAATATTTAAGTGGTATGAGTATTAAGTGTTTTATTCCCCTGAAAACTGATAGGTTTGGAATCTTTAAGGTCTGGTAACAATTTCTAGTGCCACAGCACAAGAATTCCACTAGCAAATTCTCTTGGATGACTCTTTCAATTCATCTTTAGGCACAATTCTGCCTCACACTCAGGAGGGAAACATCTTCCCCTCTGACTGGTGTTCTGTATGAGTGTCTCTGGGTATGCAATGTATCCTTTCAACTAGTAAGGAGAACAGACCCTGCAAAGAATAGAGATACATTGAAAATCACAGACAATCATGAAGGACTTGCTGTAACCAGCAGATACTCTCTTTAAAGCCTTCTCTTTCACCTGCTGCCTAAAAAATAATTTTAGTTACATAAGTGATCTATTGCATATATTATCCTTAAACATTTACAACACTGCTGCTAAGCAGGGCTAAAGTATCCTTTGACCACCATTGAGTCCTGGACCCTTCTCTCCTAACTGCCAAGGTGATGAGTCTGGAGTGTCTGCTACCCACTTACCTTTATTTATTTATTTTTTAAACTAGAAACTGACGACACAAAGCCAAAATGTCTGACTTCCAAACTTTTCTCTCTGATTCAGATTTCCCCCTAGTGGCGGTTATTAGGAACGGAAATAGGAAACAAATGGCAGAAAATCTATTGTGTCACAACGCCTCAAGGAAAAAACCTAAACTAAAATCTCTGATGAGCCTTCACCATGTTTAGGTTTAGCTTAAAAACAAATTAACACTCCATTCGTAATGAAAGGCACCCCCTTTCCTCTTGTCTACTTCCCCAGCTAGCTACTACATTCTCTCCTTCCTTGCTTCCTCACATCTTAAACAGGTAGCTTCTCATTTCTTCACTATGTGCTCTTTCTTTAACATCTAGCTCTCCTGGTTGCTTCAGGAAACTGCTTCCTTGAAATTTCACAATAATTTTCATGTTCCTAACCTAAATGCTTTTTTCCCCCAATTTTCATTCTCTGTGATTTCTCTGTGGTATTTGAAGCTACTGATTAATGTCTACTCTGCCTACTGTCTCCAATCTTAGTATTATTCTCCTTACACTCCTGGCCTTCTGACCATCATTCTCTTTATTTCAGTATCTCCTGAACTTCTTCTTATGAGTATTCTTTGAGGCTTCATACTCTTTGAACAAACTCTCCACTCAGCGAGACAACTAATTTATAATTTGTGTGGTTTAAATTAACTAATTTTATGCTTGGGACTCCTAAGGCCATCTCTAAGCCAGGCCTCTCCTTGGATCTCCAATACCACTTTACAATGGATGCCAGGGCATCTCTGCTGTGGAAGCCAACTTCCTTTCAAATTTAACATGTCTAAGAATATATTATCTACTTCAAAAGGCAATTCCATTCTCCCCATTCCAACTATTTCCCCCGTCATTCATACCAGAAACCTCATAGTTACAGAATCACACAACAGTGGGGTAAAAGGAAACTTGAGGGTCAAGAAGTTCTACTAAAGTAGCTGTTTAAGCTCTCCTTGTATACTCTAAAACTCATTTTCTCCCAGGGTAGCCCATTCCATCTTTGGATAACTGTAACAGCTGACAATTCTTGAGTCCCAAATATGTTCCCCTGAAGTTTCTGACCATCAGTCCTAGTTTTTATCACATGGGACAAGTTTAATCCCTCTCCCACAAATTACCCTGTAAGCTACTCAAAGACAGCTGTCTCATGTTCACTTTTCCAGGCCAATCTTGCTGTGACTAGACCTGTATTTCCTGTTTTATCGTGGCCACTCTCCTACTTGAACTACTATGATTTATTTACATCCCTCTTGGTATTTGGTACCCGGAAATGAAAAACAATACTTCAAGTATAGTCTGAAAAGGTCCCAAAACAGCAGAATGATTATTATTTTCATTAGTGATCCCTTTTAGTTATATATTATTTGTCTGAGATATATAGAAAAGAAATCTTACCATAACACCTAACATGTGTGAACTAGTAATCTTTACTCCCCTATCTCATTCGCAGAAATGTTTTAAGGGCCAGGAGAGCGGTGGCTCACGCCTATAATCCCAGCACTCTGGGAGGCCAAGGCAGGCAGATCACTTGAGGTCAAGAGTTCAAGACCAGCCTGGCCAATATGGTCTCCACATCGCCACTAACACTACAAAAATTAGTTGGGCATGGTGCTGTGTGCCTATAATCCCAGCTACTCCAGAGGCTGAGGCAGGAGAATCGCTTGGAGGAGAACTTGGGAGGTGGAGATTGCAGTGAGCTGAGATCGTGCCACTGCACTCCAACCTGGGCAATAGAGTGAGACTCGGTCTCCAAAAAAAAAAACCAAAAAAAAAAAAACAAAAAAGAAACGTTTGAAGGTAGTTTATGGAAGTAAATACAAAACAATAAAACAATAGGGGCAAAAAAGAATGAGGAAAGTGGGGCAAACAGACCACGAATAAGGGGCCAGTGGGGACAAGCTGCCTGACTGCTGCTGCATGGGTCATGCCAGCAGGCTTAGATCAATAATTGTAATTGAAACTGAATATAGTTAACATGTAATTTTGATCCATTCAATTTTAATTCCATGAAAACTATATGTTGATACTGGGGCATAGTTATGGATCACCAAGCATAGGAAAATACTATTATAAAACCTTCCAAACACACTTGGTTCTCATGATAGGTGTGTTCAATGCTTGGATGCATTCAAAGACCCTAAATGTGCCATTGTCATCACTGAGAAATTAACACAGCCATATCAATAAGAATTTCTGATCATGTGGCTCTTGACTGCAAATACTTTCATACCCTTTCCACTGGATATCTGTTCCATCATGATCACTTGTTTGTTCAGTCACTTAAATAAAGATCAGAGTTGGTTGAGTACAGCGGCTCATCACTGTAATACTAGCACTTTGGGAGGCAGAGGTGGGAGGAACGCTTGAGACCAGCCTAGGTAACAAAACAAGACCCTGTCTCTAAAAAAATTTAAAAATTAGCCAGGTGTAGTGGTGTGCAACTGCAGTCCTAGCTACTTGGGGGACTAAGGCAGGAGGATCATCTGAGCTCAGGAGTTGGAGGCTGCAGTGGACTATGATTGTGCCACTGTACTCCAGCCTGGGTGACTGGGCAGGACCCTGTGGGAGGGAGGGATGGAGGCAGGAAGGAATTGACAGAAGGAGGTACCAGAGTACCCTACTGTATGAAAGGAACCAGGGAAGAGGAATTCATCAAGGAAAAAACCAGCAACAAAAAGATTAATCAATTAAAACAGTATTGATCAGTGCTCAACTGTTAATGACTACACTATAAATATCTCAGCCTGTATTCAAGGCAGTAACCCACCCCTTCAGCTTCTCTAACTGCCAGATTCTGGAGTACACAGGGCACAGCCTCTCCAAGCCAAGGTATATCACTCACTGTCCACAGGCAAAACCATTTGAGGTTTTGCCAACTCTAAGCTCACAGTTTCTTTAACCTAGAATACTCTTAGTCCAACCCTATATTCAAATCCTTTTCATCATTCAAGGCCCATTCAAAAATTACTTGTTCCATGAAGTCTTCTCTAATACCCAAGCTCAAAAAAGTCTCTTTACCATTTGGGTGAACATTATCTGTTCTTTTATGGCCCTATGGATTCTCATATATACATTTTCTTCTTCCATAATATTAAGATTAACCTGTACATTCTACAGTCTTGAAAGCTAGAAGTTTGGTGATTAAAGGTATGTTGTTTTTTTCAGAATTTAGGAAAGGGAATAGTTGTCCACAGCAATGTTTTCTTTAACAGTAAACAATCAGGAAACAATGCAAATTTCCAATTTCAGAATAATAAGTAAACTGTATCATATCCTATTGATAAGATTACACGCAGAGGTTAAAATGAAAATTATGAATTCTAAGTAGCCAAATGAAAGCATGCCTATAAAATAAATAATAAACCTAAAAAGCAAAATATTACATTATTTCTATCATAAGGTTACAGTTATGCAAAATGTACTATTATGGACAAGGGTTGTAAAAGAAAATGGGAAATAAAGTTGGATTCCAAGGAGAAAGAGCATTCTTTCACCTTGTGATTTGTTATTGTTGGTAACACTTATGCACTAACTTTAATTAAAAACACACATACAAATAAATTGGTAGGTACTTATTCTTATACACCAGGTCACACTAACCTCTTCCTTTTGTCACAGAGCTATAAGACTGCTGAATCAGGCCAACGTGGTTGACAGGATACAGATGGGCTTCAATCAAATAGGAGATAAAGCATGCTGCAGACACAGTGGGGAACGTAGGCTGGTTGCTACTATATAGATAGATCAGCTACAAGTTTATAGATAATTGATGTTAACAGGTCAAACCCACTGTGGAAAGTTGTCCTTAGTGAGTCTGCTAGCACCTCTTACTATTATAATCAGTGACTTAAAAAAGAAGGCACAATGATCAAATCCAAAGTTGACATGAAGTTGGCTGGAAACAAACACTGTGACACAGTCAAGATAACTGGGCAAGGACCCCAGTTTTTTTTATTTTTTAGATAGAGGGTCTTGTTATGTTCCCACAGCTAGATTTGAATTCCTGGGCTCAAGCGATCTCCTGCCTCAGCCATGCAGCTGGGACTATAGGCATACGCTCGCACGCCTGGCTAGGACTTGAAATGCAAATTGTGTTAAACCAACCAAGTGTCCAGGATTTGAGAGGTCAAGCTGTTGGAGACCAACCTGGGCAACATGGTGAGACTCCGTCTCCACAAACATTAAAAAGTTAGCAGGGAATGGTGGCATGCCTGTGCTTCCTGGAGGCTGAGGTGGGAGGAGCGCTTTGAGCCTAGGAGGTTGAGGCTGTGGCAGTGAGTCATGTTTGCGCCACTGTACTCCAGCCTGGGTGACAGAGTGAGACCCTGTCTCCAAAACAAAAAAAAAAAAGGAAGGTCATGCTGAACAGCAGTTCCTATAAAACCAACTAGAAATGAGTTTACTTTAGGCTTAATAGTAGTCTTCAATGTGCTATGGTACAAAGAAAGCCAACTTAATACTAAGTTGCTGAATACAAAATTATTCCATCAATCAAAGCCCATTTCAAAGTACCATGACTTTCAAGAGACCTACTGTTTCAAATTTTGCTAATCCCAATTTCTCATAAAGCTTCCCTAGAAAACCATGTTTGTGCACTAAATAATATTGTATTTTACTTTCTAATTACTTTATATAATTAAGCTTTGTCACCTTAAGTTATGTCTCAAAGCAGGAATCACGTTTAACACAGTATTGGCACATGCAGCTCATTAAATCTTTGTTGAATTGAATTACAAAATGCTGAGGAAATGTAAAAAGAACCCTAAGTATAGAATAAGAAAAGGTTTAAAGGCTAGGCGGGTGGCTCATGCCTGTAATCACAGCACTTTGGGAGGCCAAGGAGGGAGGATCATGAGGTCAGGAGATGGAGACCATCCTGGCCAACAGGGTGAAACCCTGTCTCTACTAAAAATACAAAAATTAGCTGGGCGTGGTGGTGCGCACCTGTAGTCCCAGCTACTCTGGAAGTTAAGGCAGGAGAATTGCTTGAACCTGGGAAGCAGAGGTTGCAGTGAGCCAGGATCGTGCCACTGTACTCCAGCTGGGCAACAGAGCAAGACTCCAACTCAAAAAAGAAAAAAAAAAAAGGAAACAGCGAGGCCAGGCACGGTGGCTCACGTCTGTAATACCAGCACTTTGGGAGGCCGAGGCGGGTTGATAACTTGAGGTCGGGAGTTTGAAACCAGCCTGACCAACATGGAGAAACCCCATCTCTACTAAAAATATAAAATTAGCCGGGCGTGGTGGCACATGCCTGTAATCCCAGCTACTAGGAAGGGTGAGGCAGGAGAATAGCTTGAACCGGGAAGGTGGAGGTTGTGGTGAGCTGAGATTGCACCGTTGCACTCCAGCCTGGGCAACAAGAGCGAAACTCTGTCTCAAAAAAAAAAAAAAAAAAGTAAACAGGGACACTTATAAAGAATGTTTCTGATACGTTAAAGTACATGTGTTCCAACAATATTGGCATTTATTCCTATGTGTAAAAATAAAAGATTAAAACTATCTCATATACTCCATAAATATACCTACTACATACCTATAAAAATTAAAATTATTTTAAAATAAAAATTTAATAAATAAAAGGAAGAACTACAATAATCACAGCTGTAATTAAAACTCTTAACGAGGCTGGGCACGGTGGCTCATGCCTGTAATCCCAGCACTTTGGGAGGCCGAGCTGGGTGGATTACCTGAGGTCAGGAGTTCAAGACCAGCCTGGCCAACAAGGTGAAACCCCCATCTCTACTAAAAATACAAAAAAATAGCCGGGAGTGGTGGCGGGTTCCTGTAATCCCAGCTACTTGGGAGGCTGAGCCAGGAGAATTGCTTGAACCCCAGGGGAGCGGAGGTTGCAGTGAGCCAAGATCGTGCCATTGCTCTCCAGCCTGGGCAACGAGAGCGAAACTCCATCTCAAAAAACCAAAAAAAAAAAAAATACCCCAAAAAACTCTTAACTAGTACTGTCTAACAAAAAGAAATATTTTTAAAATGTGGTTATTACCAAAGATTTTTTAAAAATGAAGAGCAAAAAAAAAAGATTAACAGATTAGAAGGAAAAAATACAAAAAGAATTCAATGACAAGCAGGTAAAACCTCAGCAATAATCAAGCTCATTAGAGGGAAATTTCATGAGTAAAAAATGATAATAAACCACATCTTTAGAAAAGTGGATTTTAAAAGTATAGAAAGACATTTTCCTGAAATTATTTCCCCAGATAAAATGATTTTGAGATTATTTTCCTACAAAATTTCCCATTTTGACCATATGCAAGTCTATCCATTTATAGGATTTCTTGTTTTAATAATCTATGTAGAAAAAACTAACTTTTAAAAAAAGACTAAGGAAATTCATTTTGCTAAATAAAAAAGACCTGAAATCAACTTGTGCCGATTCTTGGAGAATCAAAACAACAGTCAGCAAAGTCTGAAGTCTTCTCAGAAGATCTCTAAATATCCAGACAGGAAGCAAAAGGCCTTAGGAACACAGAAGTTCTTTTCATTTCTTTCCAATTGAAGGTGTTGATTTAGAAAGAAAAAGGAAAACACAAGTGAACAGCTGACTGCATTGATAGACCCTGGACACTAGAAATTGGTTATCAATATAAAAGAGTCCCTCAAAAGCAAAGAGAAAACAGGCTTCAGAGGACATTCTCCAGTCTAAGCAAGAGGACTTCAAATCAATTCGAGAAAAAAAAAAAAAAAAAGCCAGACTGACTCTAAATGTAACTTCTTTTAAGGCAGTGGATGTGGTAGTTGGTTGGTCTCAGGGGCAAAGTATTAAGAAAGTTGACCAGTGACAATGGTAGAGACTGCATACCAACCCACATACACACAGTTGCCGCACGCAGGGTAAATAAATGGGGCTTCATAGAAGGCAGTGAGGCCCAATACAGTGACATTTGTACCTGGGTGAGGAAAGTCAAAATGATCCTTTGCTCCAGAGAGAGGTGACAAAGAACCCTGAGGGTTAAAATATATATTTCTTCCTGGAAAGTGGCAGAACTGACTGATGGCCAAGTGGGGAGTGCCAGGATAAAAATATAAGGATAGGATGACAAATGATATTTTGAGGTATTATCCTAGGGTGGCCTGGTCACATGCCGTGTCCAGGTGGTGATTTTCTAATAGAAATGAGAAAATGAACACAGAGGGGTGACTCAACAGGGGTGACTCAACACTATGCTAGGAATTCAGTCTGATAAACACCAACAGCTGATTCTGGCTTCACGTGTTGTGCTGAAAATTCATCTTCCCAGAAAACAAAGGACAAATGCCACTCCAAATGAATAATGTAGAAGAGATGGCAATCTGGGGAGAAAACAGGTGCTCCCATTATTTTGGGAGGAAATACATGTTCCCATTATCTTGAGAGCACGGATAGGCACAGACCTATGCGGGCCCTGGACTTCAGAAAGGATCATTTTGGCCAGATGTGGTGACTCACGCCTGTAATCCCAGCATTTTGGGAGGCCGAGGCGGGCGGATCACTTGAGGCCAGGAGTTTGAGAGCAGCCTTGCTAAAATAGCAAAACCCCATCTCTACTAAAAATAACAACAACAAAAAAAAAATTAGCTGGGCGTGGTGGTGCACGTGTGTAATCCCAGCTACTTGGGAGGCTGAGTCAGGAGAATTGTTTGAACCTGGGAGAAGAAGGCTGCAGTGAGCTGAGATTGTGCCACTGCAGTCCAGCTGGGGCAATAGTGAAAAAAAAAAAAAAAAAAGGAAAGATATCGTTTCAAACACATAGAGGGACAGGAAAAAAAATACAACTAACACACACCATAGGTTCTAGGATAACAGACCCTAAAATAAAATTCCTTTGCAGAGTAATGAGAGTCTAAAAGAAATCAATCATGAATGATCTCAATGACAGAAGAAGGAAGAAAGCCCCTCCTCAACCCCTATTTTAAGAGGACATGCACAGTAGAAGGAAGAAGAGGATACCAACTCAGGTGGATCAGTAGCATGTCCAAGATGCTCAAAATCAAAACAAGCTGAGTGTATGTACCAAAGTAAAAGAGCTAAAGACAGTGCAAAGAGCTTTTTCCAATACTGGTTGAATATCTCTTCTCCAAAATGAGTGGGACCAGAAGTGTTTTACATTTTTTATTTTTTTAGATTTTGGCATATTTGTATTATATACTGTTTGAGCATCCCAAATTAAAAAATAAAGGCTGGGCAGGGTGGGATTACGCCTGTAATCCCAGCACTTTGGGAGGCTGAGGCGGATGGATCATGAGGTCAGGGGTTCGAGACCAACCTGGCCAACATAGTGAAATGCCGTCTCTACTAAAAATATAAAAATTAGCCAGGTGTGGTGGCATGCGCCTGTAGTCCCAGCTATTCGGAAGGCTGAGGTGGGAGAATTGCTTGAACCCAGGAGGTGGAGGTTGCAGTGAGCTGAGACCATGCCATTGCACTCCAGCCTAGGTGACAGAGTGAGAATCCATCTCAAAAAAAAAAAAAAAAAAGTTTCAAATTTTAGATGATTTGGGATTTTGGATTTTCAGATTTGGGATACTCAACCTATACTTTCAAAATAAGGAGACATGTCTTGTCTACAACTTATAGAAACTAGTATCATGTTACAGAGGATAGCAAGAAAATAGGGGTTCGCAATACCTATGTTACCTATCTTTCTCTTCAGTGAGGAGAATGGTGAACAAACTATAGCAAGTGGAACAAGTTGAAGTGGGAGAACACTGAAGTTCACGGTAGCTCAGCAGTTGATGACTAAGTGCTTGGCCTTCTTAAATGAGTTCAAGTCTCCAGGACCAGAATTATATCTCACCATAATAAGAGAATTTGCCCTTTTGAGAAATTATGAATAGTAAGGTAGGTGCCAGACTATAGGAAAAAGGTAAATAATGACTAAACTTTTTGAGGATATAAACACTGCGTTCCATAAATTGCAGACTAGAAAGCCATATGCTAATTTTCTGTAGAATTTTAAGGAAACACTATAGACATTTGTACATGTTTATACAAGTATGAGGTAAATCTTGGGAGACAACATGGACTTTCTAATACAAAATACTAACCTAAGCTTTTTTTTTTTCTAACATGATTGGTAAGCTGATAATTGGGGGACTGTTATAGATGTAAAGGACCGTAACTTCATCGAAACATTTGATTTTCTACCTGTTGAGTTTTATTTCTCATCAGACAAGGACACATGAAAAAAATGAATAAGAAATCAATGTGTTAAGATGGTGGTGATGTGACTTCTTTTTCTTGCCATTAAAATTTTTCTCCTGTTTACTGTTGTAATGCTAATTATGTTATATAACTTAAGAAAAAAATTAAGTGTATAGACTCAGTACTCATAAGAAAAAAATTAAGTGTATAGACTCAGTACTCATACACAAATAAATATAGGAGTTCATACAACTACATGATTTCTACAGTCTAGTCAATTACCAAAAATTTGGATTCTGCTTTTTGGGGAACAGAGTGGGAAAACATAACTTTGTTTTGAAAAAAAAGAAATAGGGTTGATCTTGACTTCTCATATGAATTAATGAGAAGACGTAATTGTTAAATTTCATTAAAAGAAGAATGTTGTATTTCATGTAGGAGGTAACAGTGTAGACACAGACATGTTCTCTACTGGTTGGAGGGTATGTGAGGTGCTGTGTTCAAATATAGTTGCTTTAAGAGGGATGCTGACCAAATAAATTATGTCCAAAAGACAGCAACTGAAATGGTGAAAGGATACAGAAATCCTAACAGAAAAACAGGTGAAGGATTTGGAGTTTTTCTCCTGGATATAAAACTAGAAAACTAATGATTTATTTCAAATACATAAAAGAGTTGTTGCATGGAAGAGAGATGAATGGTGGTACAGATGATTGGAAACTAGCAGGTGACAGACATTTTGCTCAATATAGAAAAAAACACCATTAAATCACGAAGCTGGCTGTGCACTGGCCATCAATAGAAGTATTCAAATAGTGGTGGTATAAGCATTTGTCGGGGTAGGAGAGGCTGGAGAAAAGCTCTTAGGTCTTCTTCAAAGATTTGAGGGATTAAGATTTGATTTTAACTCTTACTTCCGCCTTAAGAAAGTTCTCAATGAAAATGAAAAATAGCATCTGAGAATAGTCTAGATTGGTGTTTCCCAAACAAATCTACAAATTCCATGGCTGTTAATAGGCATGCTATATTCAAATAAGGTTGAAAAGCACTGTATATGACATGCTGTATTTGGAGATTTGATTCACAATGCATACTGGCCTTAACCCAGCTATTTTTCAAATGCTGCTAATGACGCTCAGTCTCACAAAAACCTTAATGTGATGGAAGCCTAAATTTCTTTTGGGAAAAAAAACAAACAAACTTAGATTTCTGCTTTCAGGAATTAATCAGCAAAAGAACCTTCCTAAAAAGAATGTAATTAACCACATATTGACTCAAAGGGCCTCAGGGTTAGAGGAAACTTAATAATTTGGCCGATTCTCTCATCCAGGGCTCAATCCTCCTTTATATTCTCTTCACTACTGAAACAGTTCCATGATCTTGAGAGAATAAGAGAACTACTGTGTGCCAGGTGCTGTTCTGGGCACTGTATTTAAAAAAATTGTGTTATTTTAATCTTCACAATCTGTATGAATTATTATCCCCTTTCTTTACCTATGTAAAGAAACTAAGTCTCAGTGAACTAATACCAGTGAAAAGTCCAAAGAGCTACTAAGTGCCAGGGCTTCATGTCTCCTGGGATCTTAAAGGTTGCTTCTCCCAAAGAGAGAAAAATCAGGAATAGGATTTGATATAATGGTTAGCAGTGAATAAAGCCCCAAATAATTTTCTTTCTCAGAAAGAACCCAGAATTCACAAAAGCCCTTTTGTGTTATGAGTACAAGAATGTTGCCTTATTCTTTGATCATTTTCAGAACAACTTTGGTTACCCAGACTGATATGGTTATTTGCTTGAGATAAAATATGGCACAGGTTTGGATGGTAACACATATGAGCAGTTTAAACCTCATTTAGCAGACCTCTCATTACGGAAAGGATTCTATTTGTTGCAAAAGAAAAGATCTTTAGTAGTCATGTTTTTCCCCTCTCAAGATTTTAATACTTAAGATATCTGGCTTTCAAAGATCTTAGTTTGTTAGTAAATCAGAAGATGGTACAGCTTCTGCAAAACATACTAAACGAGTTTAAGATTTTTGGGTCTGCCAGGTGCAGTGGCTCACGCCTGTAATCCCAGAACTTTGGGAGGCCAAAGTGGGTGGATCACTTGAACTCAGGAGTTCGAGACCAACCTGGGCAACGTTGCGAAACTCAGTCTCTACAAAAAACACAAAAAAACTTAGCTGCACATGGTGGTGTGTGCCTGTAGTCACAACTACTTGAGAGGCTGAGGTGAGAGGATTGCTTGAGCCTGGTAGGCAGAGGTTGCAGTGAGCCGAGATTGTGCCACTGCACTCCAGCTGGGGCGACAGAATGAGACCCTGTCTCAAAAACAAGATTTTGAGTCTAGGAGACTTCACTGTTATTCAGGGCATTTCTCACTATCTTTACCTTTTCTTCCTTACCGAGAACATCACCAGTGGCCATGATGTCACATGTGTACATAGCTGCCATCAGGCGCTGAGGTTTCACTTGCAGTGCATAGCGACATGCTTCTTTCATGGTGGCAATTAGCTGTCCTGAGAAAGGTCCATAGCAGTCAGTGAGTGGAGATTCTCCTTTCTGTGATGTCCTCTTCTCAAAGGCCTCAGAGCAGCCATCTTGTAGCTCTTGGTTTTCATTTCCACCAGAACAGGTTTCATTTTCCTCCTGTCCCTCTTTTGCCAGATCACTTGCTCCTTGTTCCTCAAATTTACTTAGGTCCCATTTTTCCAGAACAAAACAGACACCCATGAGAGGCTCCTCACACATGGGGCCAGAGAGGGTTGCTAGTTGGAAGCCACTCACAATGCTATTGCCCAAATCTCGGTATCTACTGGCTTCTTTTGAAGCTTTGTCAGCTGGACCTGTCCATACTGAGTTCTGAAAATCTTCACTTTTATTGACTAGTATGTTGGGCCCACATTTTCTTGGGCCAAATGACCAGATTTGGTCAACAATGTTCCTCCATCTTCTCCCTGTTAGGTGTTGCTCCAGTTTTCCTTTGAATTCCCAAATTTTCTCTTGGGTCTTCTGATGAATCATGTGAGTATTTTCACCCTCATTCAAAGAGGATGTCAACTGCTCCATAGAACGAATCAAATCACTATTTTCTTCCAGAATCTGGGTGACTTCTTCTGGAAGGGGCATGGCTCGAACACTGAGCGTGGCAAGTTTATTGGGAGTTGTTATGGTGATTAGCCCGTCAGAGTCAACTTGGATTCCTTCAGGGATTTTGCTTTGATCTTCTTTCATTTGGTGTATGACTGCAACTTTTTGCTGTTTGCCTATTTCTTCATTGACCATGTCAACTTTTGGGGGTTTTGTGATTGTTTCTCTGAATGGAATAATAGGTTCAGATACACTGATATGAATCTTTGCAAACCTACAGACAAATTCAAGAGAAATAACAGAAGGTTAAAATCAAAATAGCATCAAAGCTCCTGTGTAGAAATTACTACACAGTGGAGATTCTGTAAAAACATAGGAACATAAAAATTATCTTACTATGAAAGATCTGCAATTTACATTATATAACATTCAAAAACTGCTTTCTTTCTGATTGAAAAGACTACTTCTAATGGGAATATACCTCCAGGGAAATCCTTGCATGTACTGGAATTTCACTTTTTTTTTTTTCATTTTCAAGATATATAAACCACCCATTTAGATAAGAATGTTTTGAGCAGAAAATAAATGTTTTAATATATGAAATATGAATGCTTTAAAACAGTATTTGCCCATCTAAGAGTGTGGAGAAGAAAAGCTCAATGATTAAAACTCTAAATAGACATAGAATCACAGAACCTCAGGATAGCTAGTCAAATCTTCACAATGTATTTGGCTTTGATAATGAGGCTTATAGCAAGGCTAGCATGATCCATGAGTTTGTCTAGAGCAGCACTTTCCAAAAGAACTTTCTGCAATGGTGGAAATGTTCTATATGTTTATTGTGATTGCTGAGCCCTTGAAATGTGGCTAGTACAGCTGAATAAATTTTTAATTTTATTTAAATTTAAATAGACACATATAGCTACTAAGCATTTGAAATGCGGCTAGTATGACTGAGGAACTAAATTTTTAATTGTATTTGATTTTAAACAGCTGCATGTGGGTAGAAGCTACTCTTCTGGACATCATAGGTCTTGAGCCCCAGTCTGCCACCAAGTTCAGAAAGCCCCTTTTCCCACATAATATCAAATTTGATATTGTTGTATATTGTATATTTACAATCTTTTTGTATATTCACAGGATATACAACAAGATGGACCCGACATTGTATGTTTTTAAAACTACTTTGATATTCAAACCTGACAAAGACAGTATATATACACAAAACTGCAGTTCAATCTTACCTAAGAATTCAGATATAAAATCTAAGATAAAATAACAAAAACTATGGATATGCAGGTGTGTGCATTAAAAAAAAACTTATTATGTATGAGGCACTGTGTTAAGTGTTTTACATGTAGTATTTCTTTAGTAGGCACTAGTACTATCTAATTTTGTAGAAGAGAAAACCAGATAAGAAAGATTAAGTAATTTCTCCAAATAGTCTGTAAGTGAAGAAGCTAGGATTCAAATTTAGGTCTGACTTCAGAATTCACACTCTCAGTCATTATGCTATACTGAAAAATGAAGTTACTCAGTACATTAAAGGAATAATTTACTACAACACTACGAAGTTTGTATTATAGGTTATATGAAAATTAATTTGTATTAGATCTGTTAATACCACATTAAAAATATCAAATAATCTATGTAGCCACTTTTAAATATGCTAAATTGGCATTCAATAAGATTCAATACCTATTCTTGATTTTAAGAAAAAAGCCACTTAAAAATCTTAGGAATAGGAAAATATTTCTAAAATTATCATTACATAGAGAAAAATATGCTCATATACTTAGAACACTCAAGAAAACCAACGGCAAAGCTTCTGAAACTACGAGAGAGAACACATCTACAACACTGCCCTCTTATTCCTGTAACATAGTCAAAAGAGCTATGAGCCACTTTAGTCCTTCTAATTCCTGAGGCTCCCAAGAAGTCTCCTGTAGTAATCATTTATATGATTAATTAAAACCACTCCAAGCTGTGGAAGGAAGTGTGTGATGGTTGCCACACTCACAAAGCACCTCAGGACCAAAGGTTCTTTAAGTCCTAGCAATGCAGAGCCTGTGATGACACTAAAAAAAGTGCGGTAGGCTCAGGCTACATCATGGCAATTTCCTGTGGCTTCCTGCTCTGATTATTACTACCTTGAGATCTGGATGCTAAGAATTCTGACAGTTTCTCTGGCCTGGAGACAATATAGTCTCCTTGTCTCCCATTCCTGGACATAATCCATTCCTGAAGATGTGTGTAGAAGTTGAAAAAGATTATATACTACCAAAAGGTAGGCTCTGTCCTATGAGAACTAAACAAATTCTATAACATTATACACATTCTTAATGTAAGCATAATTGTGAAATGTAATAGTCATATAGAACAGTGCACAAAACAAAAATCTACTGATCTATGATAACTTACCTCAAAGTGAACACCCATGTAAACTACATGGTATAGTCAAGAAACAGAACAGTCTTAGCCCTCAGAGGGCCCCAATGCCATTAAGTATGAAGGTAACTGCTATCCTGATTTTTATTGTAATAGCCTCCATTTTTTTTAAATCACCTAACCATGTAACCCCTTATACTCCACAGTTCAGTTTGGACTGCACTTCTTTTTGTTCTTTTTTAAAAACAGGGTCTTGCTCTGTCACCCAGCCTGAAGTGCAGTGGTGTGATTACAGTTCACTGCAGCCTCGAGCTCCTGGGCTCAAGCAACCCTCTTGCCTCAGCTTCCTGAGTATCTGGTATTACAGGCATGCACCACCTGCCCGATTAATTTATTTTTATTTTTTTAGAGATGAGGTCTTGCTATGTTACCCAACCTGGTGCACTATGTTTTGAACTTCATATAAATACAAACAAACACTTTTTGGGGGAAGTGAAGTGGCTTCTTCTGTTCAACATTATATTGTGAGATTCACCTATGTTTTATATAGCTGTAGTTTTGTTCACTGAGATCATTCTATAGAATTCCATTGTATGAATACGCCATTATTTATTTATTTATTTATCCATTTAAATGTTTGAGTTGTTTCCAACTTTTGGCTACTAAAATTTTGTTGCCATGAGGCCAGGTATGGTGGCTCACGTCTGTAATCCCAGCACTTTGGGAGGCCGAGGAGGTTGGATCACTTGAGGTCAAGAGTTTGAGAACAGCCTGGCCAAGATGGTGAAACACCATCTCTACTAAAAATATAAAAGTTAGCTGGGCGTGGTGGCGTGCACCTGTAGTCCCAGCTACTCAGGAGGCCGAGGCAGGAGAATTGCCTGAGCCCAGGAAGCGGAGGTTGTAGTAAGCTGAGAGTGGACCACTGCATTCCAGCCTGAGCAATGGGAGTGCCTTTTCTCAAAAAAATAAAAATAAATAAATAAATAAACTGTTGCTATGCGTATTCTTGATGCACATTTGCCTAGCTTTGTGTTGTGTATATACAGGTACAAATGGGAGTAGATTTGCCAAGCCACAGGAAGTGCCTATCTCCCATCTTAGCAGATCATACCAAATCATATTCCAAAATAGTTGTACCAATTGATATCCCCACTAGTTGTGTGGGTGAATTCTTGTTGTTCCACATCTTTGCCACCACTTGATAATATCACTTAAAAATATTTAACCACTCTAGTGGGTATGCAGAAGTATCTCACTTTGATTTTAATTTGCATTCCATCAATTAGTAATAAGTTGAATAGTCTTTCATGTTTATTGGCCTTTGGAAGCCTCTTTTATGAAGTACCTCTTCAAGTCTTTGTACAGTTTTTCTATTGGATTGCTGCTCTTCTCATTTATTTGTAGGAATTCCTTCCATATTGGGGATATAAGTCTGTTGTCTGTTACAAGTGGTATAAAGGTCTTCTCTAACCCTGCGGTCAGCCTCCTTATTATCTTAATAGTGTCTTTTGATGATCAAGGTTTTCCTTTGTCATTAGTGCTCTTAACATGCTATTAAGAAGCTTTTTGCCACCCTGAGGTCTTGAAGATATTCTCTTATACTATCTTCTAAACACTTCATGGTTTTGCCTTTTACATTTTAACCAACAACTCACCTGAAATAAATTTCTGAATACATCATGAGGTAGCGGTCTAGTTTCTGGAATCTGGTAGAAGCTTCTACAAAATCCCACATAAATGCAGCAGCAGTTATTCTATTTTTTTTGAGACAGAGTCTTGCTCTGTTGCCAGGCTACAGTGCAGTGGTGTGATCTCAGCTCACCACAGTCTCTGCCTCCTGGGTCAAGCAATTCTCCTGCCTCAGCCTCCTGAGTAGCTGGATTACAGGTGCACGCCACCACATCCAGCTAATTTTTGTATTTTTAGTAGAGAGGGAGTTTCACCATGTTGGCCAGGATGGTCTCGATCTCCTGACCTCGTGATCTGCCCGCCCTGGCCTCCCAAAGTGCTGGGATTAGAGGCGTGAGCCACCGTGCCTGGCCAGCAGCAGTTATTCTTATTCTATTATTAGTACCAGGTGTTGTTGTATAGTTACTACTACCACCGATTTTACTGTGGTATAAAGATTGAGATAAATAGTGCTTAACACAGTGACTGTTATTTAATATATGACTATATCAATCATTTATAATTATTATTTTTGTTATGATTATGATTATAGTCCCAGAAATTTTAAAAACAAAAAGAAGGAAGGCCATTACAGGGCAGTTTATAATTTTTTCTACTAGTAAGCACAGAAATGTATATTAACCATGAATATCTTTCATTTGTCTTCAAGATTGGTGAAATTTTTAGAAAATGATAAACTATGCAAAGTTGGCAAAAGTTTGAGAAGAGGCAAGTTCAAATATTTATTGCTAGTTATAATGTAAATTAGAACAGTCTTTCTTGAGGAAAATATGGATCATAATCCTTAAAAATATGCATACTTTTTGAGCTAGCTATAATACTTCCAGAAGTTTATCTTAACCAAATAATCAGAACTGTGTATATAGATATTTGTGTATATTTGAATATGCATAGAACAGTGCAGATTTATGAATCTGAATGTAATGGTGGTTATTTCTGCATGATAACTGAATGATTCTTTTTCTTCTTCTGCATTTTCCTAATTTCTGCAATAAACATACATTATCTTTGGAACAAAGAAGAAAAATGCCCGTTATAAAAATTTGGGATGCCCATTTTATAATACATATCATCTTTATAGAAAAACATAAAGATTTCCAGAAGGTTTACATTGTAAAGACCACATCAATAAGAGAAGAAGTCTATCCTAATTACATAGCCAACATTTACAAAATAATATCTTGTTTTGTTGTCCTGGTATTTTGTGTGTTTTGTGTACATGCTTAAAGTAAAATACATACACAGAAAAACATTTTATGACTTAAGCTAAAAATGCAAAATTATTCAAGTGTAGGCAGTGAATGCCATTTTTCAGTTATTAAAAAATAAGTCTACAATCGAATAACTGTTCATGTCTGAATTGAGGGCATTTCATTTTTCTCCAAAAATAAGCCGCAGTCTAAGTTCAACTGGTTTAGGAAACACTAAAACATCCCATTGATTGAGAGCTATCATTTCTCCATCGCTATCATTTTCACCTAACCTTTCTTTTAAGTCATCCAGGCATCGCTGAAGGTGGACTTCTCCTGCTGTGACTAAAACGTGCTCTCCCGTTTCCTGAATTAAAATCTGGACACAGGGATCAGCCTGGTTTAACAGTTTCATTCCTTTTACGAGCTGAGGCATTTCACCTAGGTTAACAAAACGAAATAGATTAAATATGATATAAGAACTAACACAATTCAAAGACAATGGCTCTGGCTACTGAAGGGAAAATTACATTGAAATAAACTCTTAAAACAACAATTTATTTTTCTTCCAGATAGTGTAGTGATGTGAAGAAAACTACCTTCTAGTAATTTTTTTGTACAGATAGCAAACATGACACATCCGCAAGCTTACCATCAAGACTCCCAAAGCTGATCTATATTACTTCTTCAAATACTCTGCAGATACAAGCTACCATCTTTTTACTTGTGAATTCACCTAAATCTTATAACGAATGTATACATTATATACCTAGAAATGAAACAGAGCATTTCCTCAAACATCGCCTATAAAATCAACAAATAAGCAAAAGAAACATTTAATGTGATATTCAAGAAACTGTACCAGAGCCTCATATTAAAAATAATTATTTGTGAAACTGCTTGCTAGAACTTGGGTTTTAGAATACCCTAACTAGCTACTTTATCTGGTGAGCTAAAGGCATCTTCTGCATTGTGTTCTGCATGTATTTTTCATATATAATTGCTTTTTCCTGGGAGTTGAGAGTAGGGATAGGGACTGTGACCTACATCTTGGGTTTAGCTGCTTTTTCACCCCCTTTCCACATACTCAACTGCTACTGCTCCCTCAAGGCAGGTCCAAGGAAGTCTCTTGCAGCTGCCTTAGCAGAAACCTTGGTCTTAAAGACGTTTTTATGCAGTCTTGTTTCAATTCTACATTTGAAGAAAAGACTTAGCAATTCCTCAATGCTTGGTTTTCAGCATGTCAAACAAACAAAATCACAGGAACTTTCTGCAATGCAATGATTTTCAACATGCCTTATAAAAGTCGATTAACTGGGAGCAGGAATATTAGAACTTCTATACCTATTTATTTTTGAAATAAAGTTCTAATAATAACTAACATTTCATAGCACTAACAATGTGCCAGACAAGCACTTTACATATATGAGCTCATTAACGATGAGGCGGTATGATGATTGTTCTCATTTTATAGATGAGGAAACAGGTATAGAGAAACTAATAAACTTGTGTTCAAGGTCCCAGACTAACTAAGTGGCAGAACCTGGTTTAGAAGCTGGGCAGCCAGCCAGAGAGCCCATGCTCTGCGGATGGATGTCAGCACACTTGTAGGTCAGGTGATCAAAAGCCACATATGGAATGCAAAGAATCCCAAGGGAAGACGGAAAGTGGGATTTCACTGTGTCCAGGGTTGACAGAGGCACCTTCATTTGTTCCTTTTTGGCATACTGTAATTTTTTTTTTGTCTAATTAAGTGGATTTTCAGATATTATCTAGTGTTAACTAAGCCTTCACAGAATTTTAAACCTGGCTTAAAAGGATTCCTGCAAAGATATCACTGATAATACTATAATACTAATAACATAAGCACATGGGAATAATAAAAAAAGAAATGGCAAAGCTTTTTGTCAGCTCTCCATCAAACAAATTATAAAGTAAAAACAATGGTTATCACCAAGATGAGATCCCAACAAATATTTCTGAAAAAATATATACACACTTAAATCTGTCTCTTCAAGGTAAAATAAAGGTAACAGTTTAACAATAAGAAAAGTTTTTTTTTTTTTTTCAAAAGAAATTTGAAACATGGAGACAACATTTTGAAATTAGGTGTTTGAAAATGTTGCCGCTGACAGCTATTTGGTTGCCAAAGATAACATAAATACTTCATGTATAATGTATAAAAACCTCTTACAATTTGGAAGGTGATTTTCTTAACCTGTTCTTAAAATCACCAAATGGATAGTTCAATAAAGATATAAGAATTAACAAACCTTCTAATTAGTGTAAGAAAAATGGACTGCCATCAGGAAAACTAGATGTTCACTATATACATTTTACCAAAACCTTTTAATAATTGGGAAAATGGAATACTAAAATGGATAACGTGACTTAGTAAAGGAAGCCAACGAATCATTCTTCCCTTTGGACTATGCAATTTTGTGAGGTGCCTTTTCCAGTGATAATGGTCATTAAAATCAAGTGTTTTAACAAATGGAACCTAGAAGCCGACCTTGGAATGGCTATATCACAAAGTGTTCAGGCAAGACCTTCAAAAAGAAGGAAGCATTATTGTGGTAGCCAGCCTCCAAGATGGCTCCAATCATCCTTGCCTCCTGATATTCACATTCCTGTGCAGCTCTCTCCAACAGTGAGTCATGGCTGGCCTGTGTGACCAACAGAACACTGTGGAAAGGATGATGTGTGATTCCCAAGGCTAGTTCACAAAAGGCATTATAGCTTCTGCCTTAGTGTTTTGGAATGCTGGCTGCAGCCAATCACCATGCAGGACACTCAAACAGTCATGTAGAGAGGAACTGAGATTCCCCAGCCAGCACCAACTTGTGAGCCCATGTTTGGAAGTACAGTTAAACCTTCAGATGGCTACCGCCCAAGGTGATGTATGACTACCACTACTTGAGAGACACGATGCTGAACGCTTCCAAATTCCAGACCAAGGGAACTATGAAAAATAAGTGTTGTTTCAAGCCACTAAATTTTGAAGCAATATGTTACATAGTATTAGGTAACTAAAATAATTATAAGCCACAATCACAAATCAATATTATCTATAATTATATGTACATACTGTATGTATCTTCATCAAATACAAATAAAATTAGGTATTTGATTTTCATCTTAATTTTTAAATAACTTCTATTTTGTGCTTCATAATGTATATAAAACAGCACAAAAATTCATATATCTATATAAGCATAGGTATCAAAAATTTTTTTTAACTAATATGGATAAAGGATAAAACAATTCTAGAAACAAATTACTCTGCTCAGATAAACAGGATTTCTTGGATTCCCACAAGTGAAGATCCAGCATTGTCTCTGAGGCAGTGATCTGAATTCTGACCTCACTGCTTCCTAACTGTATGGCCTTGGGCAAATTAATTAACTTCTCTAAGCTTCAGTTTCCCTCATGTGAAGATGAGAATAAAAAGAGTATCCTAATAAACAGGGCTTTTGGGAGGATTAAATGAGATAATCAATGTAAAATCCTTAGTACAGTGTGTGGCATACAGCAAGGTTCAATTATAATGAAGAAAATAATAATTGCTTTGGAACATTTGTAGTTCTCTGTGTTGAGTTTGTAGTTGACCTGTGGGCATGAAGTAGAGGGTGGCTGCCATGAGATTTTGACCCCCACTTGGGAAATTAGAGAAAGAAAAGTGGAAGAACAAATGCTCACGATTTGCTTCTCCCTGAAAGAAAAGAAGCAAACTGTTGTCTTCTGGATTAATCTAGTTGTCACAATAAAAAAAAAAGAGAGGACATGGGGATACGTGGTCTATTCAAGAAAAACAATGAATGTGTCCAGTGCCTCTCAGAGGCAGTATTACTGCAAAGTCTTTTAAGAGAGTGAAATATCCCAATAGTCGTCAGACATGTAATCTACGAATAAGGGGGTCACTGCCCCAAAATAAGGATGAGCATAAGTTACTAGGGCAAAGAGTAAACAGAAAATAAATATCCTCTGAAAGCTCATAGGAACAAGGAAGGGAAGTTTCCCCAGACATTCTGAATGTAAAATAACATGTGGACAATGTAAAAACACCAAGAAGGCAAAACAAAGAGTACAAAATTCAGACACTGAAAAATCAAATGGGGTGCTTCAGTAACACAGTCAATAAATGCAAGGTAAATCCAGTAAAAACAATATACTTAAAGGGAAGAAAATAGCAATACTCCTTTTAAAATTATGAAGAAAATTATGTGCCCCTTCTAACCATTTTAGTTTACTTTTTACAAAGTTCAGATAAATTTAATGTAAACACATGAGGAAGTACACTTTGGCCTACAAATTGATAATCCTGAATAATTCCATTTATTAGACTATCTCATTTATGGAAAGGAAAGGAACTTAATCTTACTATGAATCAGCTATAGTACAGGAAATACACTAGGTACTAGAATCCTTCATCTCATGTAGCCAGTCCTTCAAAGAAGCTGGTTCTTTAGGGTTGGGCTTTTACTTAGCTTCCATAACAGAGACCACAGACTAGCACATAACCATAACAGAGCCTTTTAAAAATTATAAATTTCTATTATTAAAATATCACATCTTAGGCCAGGCACAGTGGCTCACACCTGTAATCCCAGCACTCTAAGAGGCTGAGGTGAGAGGACTGCTTAAGCTCAGGAGTTTAGGACCAGTCTGGGTGACATGGGGAGAACCCATCTACAAATAATGAAAAAAATTAGCTGGGTATGGTGACATATGTCTGTGGTCCCAGCTACTTGGGAGGCTGAGGCAGGAGGATCTCGTGAGCCCAGGAGGTCAAGGCTGCAGTGAATCGTGATTGTGACTGAGCCACTGCACTCCGGCCTGGGTGACAGTGAGATCTTGTCTCAAACCAAATAAATAAACAAGTAAAATTATGGCTTAAATTATTTTTTCCTATTTTTAAAATGTATGTGCAAATGCAATAAACTAAGTAAGAAAGAGGATACAAATAAATAGTAGAAACATCTACGAATAAGCTATGGTTGCCAGACTCAAATATCACAACTTAAATAAAACTGAGCTTTCTTGTATGTATTTCTTAGGATTGAACACGGTAGACAGGGGTTAGAGCCAGCCTAGTGAGTAGAATAAAAGAACAAAATCACGAAAGGCCAGGATCTGAACAAGCCTAAAAGAGGAAGCATGTTTTACACAGAATGGGATAAATCCGTGTAGCAACCAAGGCACTGTGTCAGTCCACAGTGACAGCCCACAAAAAATTCCTATCTCGAGGCTGAAGGCAGATGGCTATTTACTAGGGCTGGCCCCAAAGGTCAGAGGTCCAGTCCTCCAAGTATCTGCTCTGGGGATCCAGGGATCCTTAATGGCTAGGGGTATGTCTTAGAACTTGAGACAGCAATGAGTTCAGAAGGCTTAGCTCCAGGGAGAGGAGGGATACATATGTTCAGGAGCAATGAGGCCATTGTACACCTCAACAGAAAACTACCATTTTACCATTTGTCCTTTGGTTTCCCTAAGGCATGGTCTGGAGATTCTTCACTGACAATCACTAGCACTGGAATAGCAAAGTCACAGTGATTCAGGATTAGCAATAGTCATGGGACGTGAAATACAAAAGTAAAAAAGGATTGACTAGGCAAATACCATAAGCCAAAGACTAAGGAGTTGTTATTATATGGTCAGGTATATGTGAATGTCAGGTGGCCAGCAGGAAAGGTGCAGAAAGTGGTTTCTAAACAGACGGGAAATTCTCAGTGTGCAGATAATCTGTCAAACCTAGAGGGAAGAGGCAAATGATGAATTCTGAACTAAGGAGCTTGAGATAAGATTCCAACTAAGAAGAAGTCACATAAAACATGAAATTTGGCCGGGCACTTTAGTTCACGCCTGTAATCCTAGCAGTTTGGGAGCCCGAGGCAGGCAGATGACCTGCGGTCAGGAGTTCAAGACCAGCCTGGCCAACTGGCGAAACCCCGTATCTACTAAAAATACAAAAATTAGCCAGGTGTGGTGGTGGATGCCTGCAATCCCAGCTATTCAGGAGGCTGAGGCAGGAGAATCGCTTGAACCCAGGCAGCAGAGGTTGAGTCAAGATCACACCAGTGTACTCTAGCCTGCGCAACAGAGTGAGACTCCGCCTCAAAAAAATAAATAAATAGATAAATAAACATAAGCTTTGCTAAGCTACAATCCTATGCCAGGGTTGTGGGGGATGTAGAGATGACCTTGTCTTTGCCATCAAGAAGATGCAGTCTCCCTGGACAGCAAAGGTACCTGTAACCATGGCATGTTCCTAAGACAGAAGTTAGATGCCCTTTGAAGAGTTGCTTCTACTATAGACCTCAATGAAAATTCATTATATACTGCTGAAACAAGTCATGAGGAATCAAATACTAAATACATGCATATGCTTTAAAAGTATAATAAACATATGCTTTTAAAAATAAGGTCATCTTACTTGGATGTTTTGGTTCAACAGCAACTCTCACAATAGGAGTGGCTTCGAAGTTGAGTGGTATAAATGGTGGGCAGGATGGCAGGCTACACAGTGTTGCAGATTTCAGCACAAAATCTTGAAGGCCTCCTATTCCTGTAGGAAGAAAAGATCCATACGGTCAATAAGGGATGATAAATTCTGAATTTATGTCAGAAAAACAGCAGCATCAACCCAGTATATGTATCACAGAGCCAAATGCTTCCAAAATGTTGCAAGAAATGAGGCGGACCTGCACTGTTTTTTTTTTTGTACACCTGGATACCATTTGATTGCTGTCAAAATACAGAAATTCTGCCTTTTGTTTCCCACATGTACAAATCCTATTATATCAGATTGGGCTAATGCATAGCTACTTTGACCACAGAAATGATCACTTCCAGATATATTTGTCTGAAAACACTGATTATTTCTAACACTTAGTTGGTTTTTAAAAATATATTAATTTGATGAAGATGGGTCTCTACTGAAATAATCTTCTGCCAAATCCATCTGCATATGAGTAAAGGGAATTTAGAAACTTAAAATGTGATGTTGCTATGTAGTATGTTACCCTAAGCTACCCTCCATACTCCCCCTGTTTTAGAAGAGAATCCTAGTCAACCCCTTCCCCCTGCCATACACTCACTTCAGACTTTTGGCTGATGATTGCATGAGACTCTGAAGGTTGCATATTTGTCTTTGAGCAGATGGAAGCAAAAAGAATGTCTTAGAAAGAGTGATAAGGGGCCAGGTGCAGTGGCTCACGCCTGCAATCTCAGCACTTTGGGAGGCCGAGGCCGGCGGATCACAAGGTCAGGAGATCGAGACTATCCTGGCTAACACGGTGAAACCCCGTCTCTACTAAAAATACAAAAAATTAGCCGGGCGTGGTGGTGGGCGCCTGTAGTCCCAGCTACTTGGGAGGCTGAGGCAGGTGAATTGCTTGAACCTGGGAGGCGGGGGATGCAGTGAGCCAAGATCGTGCCACTGCACTCCAGTGTGGGCGACAGAGCGAGATTCCACCTCAAAAAAAAAAAAAAAAGAGTGATAAAGAGGCATATTGAATCTCACACCCAGACTATGAGTAGACAACATTTTAGAACAAATTAAGAAACACATACAAAGGGCCAGTGCAGTGGCTCATGCCTGTAATCCCAGCACTTTGGGAAGTCAAGGAGGATCACTTGAGGTCAGGAGTTCAAGACCAGCCTGGGTAACAGAGTGAGACTTCTTGCTACAAAAAATTCAGCCAGGCATGGTGGTGCACACCTGTCTATAGTCCCAGGTACTTGAGAGGTTGAGGTGGGAGGATCGCTTAAGCACAGGAGTTCAAGACTGGGTGACAGACTGAGACCCCGTCAAAAAGGACAGGAAAGGATAGGACAGGAGAGAGAAAAAGAGAGAGAGTGAAAGAGAGAGAGCGAGAGAAACACACACACACGGGCCATTTTTGTGCTTTTGGGTTGAAGAAAGGAAACAAAGAAAATCACTTTGCTGTCCTTAGTTGACCAATTGATGTAAAGGTACAGGGTGATGGGAGGCCACCGAATCACACATCCAGACTGGTGGAGAGGAACTGAAGCAGAGGCTTCAGGTACACAAACTTGGAGGATAATTTAGAGGTTTCTTGTTGTCCGACTACACAGTATGGAAACCTCCATCTAACATCCACCTGAATATCTACGGTCTGACAGCCACTAGAATTTATCACCTCGCTACATTAACAGATAGCTCCAACTTTAAGAAAATCTTCCTTGCAGTATTCTAAAATCTGTCTTTCCCCATCTCCACACATCGTTCTTAGTGTGTGGAACCTCCAAAGGTTCACAGAAAATGTGCTTCTTTCACTTTCACCAACTACCTTTTGGATTTTGAAAGCATTTGTCAGATCCTTTTAACTCTGTTCTGCCTCACATTAGGTATCATTAGCTCCTTTAACTAATCAGCACAGGACATGATTTACAGACCTTTTGTGTGCATGGGATCCTCTTCAGACTAAAGTTTCTAGGATGTTAAATTCCTCCTGTGCCTCCAGTGTACTTCTTTGGTCAAAGTCTAAATTTCTTATTATTGTACCTCTTAGCTCAGCACACACAGTAATACCTGGCTATAGCTTCTTGTTTACATCTCCCATTGGTACTATGATGTAACAGATCTAGGTCTAAGTTTCCACTAAGTCTACTAGAAATAACATCTCCCTAGAGGCTAAGGGTTTAGGAAAACCCCATAGTAAATATTCCCTTTCAAACCTCATCCATCCTGCTTCTGACCTCTGACCAGCATGCATTTCCTTCCTACACACACAGCACATGGTTTCAATGAAAAGATAAATGCTGGTCTTTCCTCTGTATTACCAGGGATGCAGACTGCAGATGGTCAGTATATTTTAAACACTGTCTCTTTGAACTTCTGGTTTACATTTTGCTGTTCCAATTACCGAATCTACTCTTGCTATTTAGATATGCCCAGATTTGCTAACATGATTATAATTCTCCCAGAAACAAAAAGTCAAGAGACCACAATGTTCATAGCTAAGATTAGAATTTATGGAAAAAGCAATGCTCCAAAGATAGTAAAAACTTCACTACCTGTACTACATGTCAACATTTTTACTTATTTTTAAATATAATTTTAAAATCTAGGAAAGGGAGGACCATTAAGATGATCTAGATGAATCACTATAAAGTGACTTTAAAATTCCTTTTCAGAATTTCTTGATTTGCTATCAATTATTAAATGCACAACTTGTTCTTTACACAAAATACAGTCTGAAGCAACTTTTTGTTTTTAAAAATAACATCAGCAAGTACCATCTTGAAAAAGGACATTATACCCACAATCCCATCATTCTAATATTGCCACTATTTTCATTTTTATATTTCTCTTTTTTCTTCTCTATTGTCACACATAATTTACACTGTTGTAATAACCATAAACTTCTTGTCCTTCTTTTTTCTAATTAAATCATGTGATTTTCATTTCAGTCACTTTAGTGAAAATTATAACAATTAGGGACAAAGAATTTCTTCACAGAAAGCACATTTGCTAAAGCATTTTTCAACTGGAATTGGGGGATGAGAAGTATGTTCCCTCCGGGTAATCATTTCAGAATTCCCAGGGTAGGAAGAGTGATAGCACGGGGGAATAAAATTCAAAATTAGCGTGCCATTGATTTGATTTTAGTCACTATATTTATTTTCACATTTCATGGATTATAGAGGGCACCAGTATTTTTTTATGTTTATCAAAAAAGTACATGTGATTTACAAGAAATAAAAGAGAAAGCAGGTTGAGGAACATGGAGCTAAAGCAATTTACTAGATGCCAAGAATTCTAGTTTTTATAGAAACACCAGTACTTTTGTCTGATTGAAGATAAGTGATCAAACCCAAGCCCTTTATGATCCTGATTTTTCTCTATACAACAAATAAAATTAAATAAATTGGCATGTGAACTCTATGTTCACACAGACTGGAATGACAACTGGGTACATAGGTCCTTGCTAGACTGTATACTACACCCTTCAAATTCCTCATAATCAAAAACCAGTATTTTGTAAAGACTGTTGAGCCAAATTTTTTTTTCTAGGCTGTCCCAAATGTTTCCCTTTAAGAAGAATTTCAGAAAGAAATATTAAGGAGAGTATCTTTTATGATATGAGACTGAAAAAAATTGTGTGAGGCTTGAGAGATGAATTCACCTTCTGTTGAAAACTTTTTTACTATTCTTAACAACTCCCTGTTGCACAGGTTTAATCAATCTAGGATGAGGTTACACTGGCAAGCAGGAAGATGGTAAAACCATTAGTGAATACTAACACTGCTTTCTGGGGGCGAGCCTGTTAGCTGTCTGGATAGGGAACAGAATTACCATCTTCAGGCAAATTTGGATTTGTAAAGTGCTCTTTCATTGTACTGTTACAATTTAATTCTAACATTATTAGAATTTTAAAAATTTGTGGGAAAAAACGTTAGAATATGGTCTCTTAATCACCAAAGTTTTATTTCAAACTGACTTTAACATTCTTCACCCAAGAACCATCAACCTGTTCCTGTTAACCTGTTTAAGCTGAATTAATGGATCTCTTTACACCTTTGCAGTAAATGCAAGTCATATGTCATGAACATCCATACAGCCTCATGCCTGTGAGAGAACATCACTTTGGAAGAGAGATGAGGATTTTTTTTAAGTACAAGCTCCCCAGGTAGTGGGAATCTAGAGAACCCTTAGTTTTGAAAGACCATCTTCTGCTTTAGGCCCCCTTGCATTTGGATACCAAAGCAGCTCATATCCTCTGTTTCCAATTTTATGCCTTGGTTTTGTATCTTTCATCAAAACTCAAGATTCTGCACTCTTTGACTCAACTACAAAGAATAACAGGGAATCCACACGCTTTATAACTCTTGTCACCCTTTTCCAAGCCTGCTTGGCCAGCATCTCCAAAGTGGATCAGTATTGCTTAGCTAAGGTTTTCAGAAGATGGGTCAAGTCTGTCCATCATGCTAAACAAGTCCATTAAATCAACTGCCCTTTAACTTCTTGGTGTTATAGTAGGCCTTAGGGAAAAATCTTGCAACAATGACATCACTATGTCATAAATTTTTTTCTTCTCATAGGAACAGACTGAGCTAATAACAGTTTTCTGTCTGTTTGTTTTTGAGACGGAATCTCGCCCTGTTGCCCAGACTGGAGTGCTTGTGGCGCGAGGTCAGCTCACTGCAACCTCCGGCTCCTGGGGTTCCAGCGATTCTCCCATCTCAGCCTCCCAAGTAGTTGGGATTACAGGCACTTGCCACCACGCCCGGCTAATTTTTTGTATTTTCAGTAGAGATGGGGTTTCACCATGTTGGCCAGACTGGTCTTGAACTCCTGACTTCAAGTGATCCGCCCTCCTTGGCCTCCCAAAGTGCTGGGATTACAGATGTAATAATAGTTCTTACACATATTACTTCAAGATCTGTGGGCCCTTTTCTCAGAAGAGAAACTACCCAGTAAAATGAGAAGAAAAAGTAACACCTAAAGAATGAAAACTCTTTTTTCCTGGAAATATGCTGGCTTACTATCTTTGTATTTGAGAAGAGGTAGAAACTTGTCCCTCAGTGTCCTGAACAAGTTGAGTTTTATTATGTGTCACTGTAAGGTCCCAATTTATGCCCCAAGAAAGGATCCTGAGACAGCCAGACTACCATCATTCAATTAAGAACAGACTGACCCAATGGAGCTTGGTTCTCATCAAGGGAATAACGCGGTTCTCAGTGTGGGGGTCTAGGATTAAAACAGTGGAAGAAATTCCATCTGGGGCTTGGAAACAGAGTAGAATGCCTGAGTGGGGCATAGTATTTTATCATGTCTTGGTGTGTCCTAACAGGACAAAAAGAATCTACAGAGGATCTACCCAAAAAGGATCTACCCACACTCACAACTGTATCATTTTCCTGGTGAGAATGAAGCTCCATTTGGGTCAGTCTGTTCCTAATAGAATGGTGGTGGTCTGGCTTTCTTATGATCCTTTCTTGGAGCATAAATTGGGATCTTACAGAGAAATTAGAGAGAACTGAGGTAGAGCTGCTAAGTCTTGGTGGTTTTTTAGGAGCTGGGAAGAAGGGACAAGAAGGAAACAAGAATAAAATCCAGATTCCTGACATGGACAACTAGGCAGATAAGTTACTAGTTCAAAGCAGTTGTCTATTCTTCTTTTAGGTTTATAACTTTTATCATTCATATTAGTTCTTTATGTAATAAACATTTGAACTCTTTCATATTTTTTTTTCTCCAGACTATAGTTTCTCTTTTCATTTTGCTTCTATTTTTTTCTCTACAGTAACTTTTTGAGCTTTTTCCATTTGGCGTCTAAGTTTCAAAGCTCAGGAAGCTGTGCTTTCAAATAATTGATAAACAGTTATTCAACTTTCTGTTAGTCTTTCAATGAGTTCAGTTTTAACGGCAAGGACCAAAATAGGCACTTCATAGATTCCTCAATGAATGAGTGCACATAAGCACAGTTGCGGTCTTCACAGAGTTTAAAATCTGGTGAGGGACAAAGGCAAATACACAGTTAATTACGATACAATGTGACACATCTTATAATAGGAAAAGTATACTTTTTGTTCATGTGAAGACAGAAACCGAAAAGGTTATGGGCCTCCTGGAGAAAATGGCATTCAGGAGTATGGAAATAACCACACAGAGGACATGGGAAGGAGTGATGAGGTGTGGAAATGGCACCACTGGATGTCTTTTTTTTTTTTTTTTTTTTTTTTTTGAGACGGAGTCTCGCTCTGTCGCCCAGGCTGGAGTGCAGTGGCGGGATCTCGGCTCACTGCAAGCTCCGCCTCCCGGGTTCATGCCATTCTCCTGCCTCAGCCTCCCAAGTAGCTGGGACTACAGGCGCCCGCCACTACGCCCGGCTAATTTTTTGTATTTTTAGTAGAGACGGGGTTTCACCGTTTTAGCCAGGATGGTCTCGATCTCCTGACCTCGTGATCCGCCCGCCTCGGCCTCCCAAAGTGCTGGGATTACAGGCGTGAGCCACCGCGCCCGGCCCCACTGGATGTCTAAGTGAGAAACCAAGGTCATTATTGACAGCTGCAGGGTGGAGCACAAGGCACAAGTGAAAAGACTTTTCCATCCCATTCTTTTTCTTTTCTTTAGTCAACATGCATTCTTGTTATGTTCAATTTGGAATCCAAGGAACTTGAATGTTATAAAGTTCTAACCTTATGCAATAAGTGGAAGTAGTGGCAGTGGTGGTTCTAACAGTCAGAGTAGCAGTGGTTTTATTCATAGATTTGTTAATCAAATTTAAGAGCTATTTTGGAGTATGACATAAATTGCATATTTAATTTTTTTGTATATATTGTTAACTACAAGGAAAGCTGTAATAACTTCTTTATGAGGCATAAATTCATATTCAGGATCAGATCCATTTATGAGTTTTGTATCCTGTCCCATTTACCTAAATTTATATTTTATATAGTAACACATGGTTTTAAGTGATACTCCTTTAACATGTGCTGCATTCCAATTCAAATGACTTAAATAAATGGGGGAAACACACAAGATTCAGTAAGTCAGAAGCACAAAATGCTTAGTATAGTTGAAAACAATGCTGGAAATTTGTTTTAAGACAAAAAGAAAGGGGAAGAGATACGGCTTTACACAACCAGGAAATCATAACTGAATTCCTTCTACCTTTAAACCCTAAATATTTCCAATTAAAATCAGGAAACAGAGTCACTTCTGGATGAAATGGCAACTTCAGCACAGGTATACAAATGGTCCTGATTGAAATGATCAAAGAAACAGAAAACTAAAGAAAAGCTGAATGAGTAGGTGAAAACTAGAGGAGGGCACCTTGAACTGTGAGCTATTTCTGTTAGTCGTGGATCAGATTAAAGGAAAATATTAAGGGTCAGTTCATAACTCTCTTCTTGAGCAAGTGGCACAACCTCAGGGGATAAAAATAAATAGGCAGTGTAGTGACAGCGGTCTGTTAGACAACAGATCAATGGGAAAAAATGAAGAGCCCAGAAAAAGACCAACACGTGTGGGAATGTGGAAATGACGAAGGGGCAACAGTGGCAGACAGGCAGGCCTATTCGGTAAACAGCATTGAAACAATTAGCCAATGAAATGTGAAAAATGATATAATTGCATCTGCGTCATACCATCTAGAAAAAGAAATTTCATGTAGATCAAAGGCCTAAATGTGAAACATAAAACCTGAAAGCACAAATCATATGATACCATAAGACTGAAGATTTGTAAGACTCACTACATTATTTTAAAAACTTCAAAACAAAAGATACCAAACAAATATGGGAACAACAGACGCTGTGGACTACTAGAGAGTGGGGAGGGAGGTTGGATAAAAAACTACCTATCAGGTACTAAGCTTACTACCAAAGTGATAGAATCCATACTCCAAACCTCAGCATCATGCAATACTCTCATGTAACAAATCTGCACACATACCTCCTGTACTGAAAATAAAAGTTAAAATTTATATATACACACACACACACACACCCTGTAAAGATAAAAGCTACAAAGAGATGCTTTCAATGTCGAAAGGGGACAAAAAATTTTAAGTATATGTAAACAACTAGTACAGATCAATGAAAAAAGGCAACCCAATAGGAATCTAGACAAAGAATATAAATAGTCCAAGAAAAGACATTAAAAGAAAAGAAAGCCTCAGTCAAAAAACATTAAAAAAAAAAAGAATCTCATTGATAATAAGGTAAATGCAAATTAAAACCAGATACTATTTCACACCAATACAACTGGTATAAGTCTGAAGAAACCACGTGCTGGCAGTTATGTGCAGAAAAAGTAGGTCTTATGTACTGTAGACAAGAACAAAAATTGTTACAACTATGAGCGAGAATAAGCTGCATTATTCATTAAAGTATGATTAGACTGCGCAACTCACCAATGTGATTTCTAGTTGTATATCCCAGAGCAGTGTTGAGAACAGGCACAATTGTGTACCAACAGCACATCACCCACAGCCATACAACCCCTCTCTAGGTGATTTAGTGAGTGACTGGTGGGAGCGTTTCTGATTGGGGCCTACTACTGGCAGTTAGTGAGCAGGGGCCAGTGCTTTGCATGTGTGAAAATATCTTCCCGTACAAGAATTACCCTCTTTGTACAGCTTTTGAATATTCTGCTGGACAAACCTGTTCATAATAATCTGAGTTTAAATCTAATTCCATTTTAATAACAAAGACTTTTTTGTAGTTTAATATACACCGAATTTTCAGAAATGGAATTACCACGTAAATCAAAGGAAGAATGAACTTGTTCTGAAAACAAGCTGTTCAACATTTTATCGACAGTCACTCATGGCGTATGAGTCATCAATACCATATATCTGTATCAAGCTTCATCTGTGACTGTCACAGAAACATGGTGACTACAAATATCTGACTTAACTCATGTAGTCAAACTGGAACATTTATATACTAAAATGCATGTTATTTTATTGTAAATCACTTCACTTTTATTTATCCCTTACATTAAAGTATTATACTGATATTTTTGAAATTATGCAGGCAGGCAGATTATTTTATCTTTGAATTTCATTCCTGGGTAGTAAAAGTGATGTCAGAATATTTGTTATGAAAAGAAGGTAGAGTTTGACAGGGTTAAGAAGTACCCCCTAGAAAAACTCATCTATGTGCACAAGGAAAAAAATGTTCAAAAGTATTCACGGTAATGTGTTTGTCACAGCAAAAAATCGAAAGCACCCTTCAATATCCACCAACAGGAGATTGAAAAAATAAATTATAATGAATTCATACAATGGAATCAACATAGAAAAAAAATCTGTAAAACATAAAACAGTACAATAATAGCATGTTACAGAAGGTCATGAACAATATGATACTATTATGCAAAGTTTAAAAATTAAAAAAAATATATTGCTGACACCTACTGAAATTACAAACAAGTTTTAAAGCATTGGAAGACAAACTTACACAGCAAGTTTCAAGAAGTGGTACTGCTGAGGAATATGGGAGTTATTGATGGGATAAGGGACTTAGATAGCTAACATTTCACCAGGTATAAAGAAAGTTGTACAATTAAAGAAAAACATGAAAATTAGTTGAGTCTGGATGGCAGGTACATGAACGTTCATTATATTATCTATTGTCTGAAATACTTTAAAGTTTTAAAAAGTGAATGATTGTTTCAGTCAGCTCCTGGTTTTTATCTTTTTATTTCTGTAATTTGCAAATATTCTATAATTAACTTGTTTGTAAAAAAGTATATCTTTCCTCTCTTAAAATGTGTGTACTTTAAAATTACAACTTTAAATGCATAAATAAAATATATAAGAAAACATATATATGCACAGAAAAAAAGAGCTGGAGGATATATTCCAAAATGTCAATAGTGGCTACGTCTGGATAGTGGGGTTAAAGGTCATTTTCATTTTATTTTTTCTATATTTAAACAAATGGTCTCACCAAATGTACTATTTTTATGATGATAAAACAATCTTTTTTTCTTTTTAAAAAATACATTTGGGCCAGGCGCGGTGGCTCACACCTGTAATCCCAGCACTTTGGGAGGCCGAAGCAGGCGGATCACGAGGTCAGGAGATGGAGACCATCCTGGCTAACATGGTGAAACCCTGCCTCTACTAAAAATACAAAAAATTAGCCGGAGGTGGTGGCGGAAGCCTATAGTCCCAGCTACTTGGGAGGCTGAAGCAGGAGAATGGCGTGAACCCGGGAGGCGGAGTTTGCAGTGAGCCGAGTTGGTGCCACTGCACTCCAGCCTGGGTGACAGAGCGAGACTCCTCTCAAAAAAGGAAAAAAAAAACCATTTATGTCAGGGGAGAAGGGGAGAGCACGAACACAGTTCTCTCTACCACAAAGTATGCAGTAGAGCTTCCCACATTTGGGGAAATCGCAGGGGTCAGCACACCTGGAGTGTACTGAATAAGCCTCGCCCTGGGAAACCAACTTTGTGATCTTGGTATCTCCCCTACCAAGTAAGTACCTATGATGATTAAAAAAAAATGTTTAAAAATAACTAGAAGTTAAAAAAAGCCTTTTTGTTATTTCTGTGCCTTGAATGCTCACATTGTTTGAATTACCACAGGGCAATGAACCTGGGATTATACTGTAAATGGATTACATTTGCATTAATCAATTTAGACCCTAGAAACTGAAACTGTGGTCTCACCTCTGGATTGCCAGACTTGGATTTCATGGTGCCTGGTGTCCACAGAGGGAGTCTTGGATTCCTATCTGATAGGGAACTGGAATGTTTCTTGAGGTTAACCAAGGTTCTGAGAGTGAGGAGTCTTAGCCTTCAGTTTAAGAAGGCTGTGTTGAACCTTAGTCCCACTGCCAAACCCTAATCTCCAGATCTACTCACAGGCCACCGTGGAATTATATGTGGGCCTGCATCACCCGATGCCACTCCTGTGTCCTTTACCATTTGCAATGATCACTTTTCCAAAGGTTAATATTTTCTACGAAGTCAATTCAGGAATTATGGAATTTGGAGGGTCCTGTAGAATCTTACACTCTAGTACACTATGATTTCCTTGAGCGCAGGCTCTGAACAGTTGCTGAAAGAATATGTCATATGTCTTCTGTGCTTTTTAGATTTATTTCATTAAGTGTCTAGTAATGACTAATACTTATAAACTTATGCTGTGCACCACAGGGGAGACAGAGATGAAGACAGAAATCCCACATTCTATTTTCTCACATTTTCTTATTGTAAGTGCTCCTGAAGCATTTTTACAGTGCAGTCACATTATTACTGAGTATTTATTCCAATCCCAAGCTTCAAAAGCTTGGGATTTTTGAGACTATTGCCCTACGTCTGCATCTTGATGTGGCACAGGTACTGACTATGACACTGATACAGCTTACTTGAAGTAACAATATTAGGCAAAAGTAACAATATTAGAATGTTAACTAATTTTTAAGCAAATACAGATCATTTCAAGTCAAGCCAGTTATCTTTTCCAGGGCACGCATTACTTCCTGGTGAGAAGCAGCACAAGAACAGAAGCAGTTCTGTTATTGTGGACTGAAAAAATACAACCTTCACATTTTCTTTCTTACTTAGTAGATCAATGAAATAACCAGAACTACAGGTTGAATTTTTGGTATTAATACCATTTTCAATATGAATGGGGTTTTATACTACAGTAGTTATGGGTTTTAATTTTATGTTATAAAAACACAGTATTGGCCGGGTGCAGTGGCTCACGCATGTAATCCCAGCACTTTGGGAGTCATGAGTTAAAAGACCAGCCTGGCCAACATGGCAAAACCCCGTCTCTACTAAAAATACAAAAATTAGCCGGCAAGGTGGCAGGCACCTGTAATCCCAGCTACTCGGAAGGCTGAGGTGGGAGAATTGCTTGAACCCAGGAGGTTCAAGACCTGGGCAACAGAGCAAGACTACATCTTAAAAACTGAATTTTGAAGATTACTTAGAAATAAAGTAGAATATGTAATTCAATGTAAATAGGATGATATAAAAATAGAATAATAATAACTAAAATACAAACTGTAGGAATGCTAGTATTGAGATTACAAGTAATCTTTTAAAACCAAAAAATTATAATTTTTACCAGGAAAAGTTATTAGACACAAGCTACTATAATTTTTGAATTAAAGAGCTGCCATTATTGAAGATGTAAACTACACAAACTGATATTTGGCAATGGTGACACTGCAGTACAGTGGGGATGTGATAATGGTTCTAAGTCAACCAGATACCTGATTGAAAAAAATAATTGACATTGACTCCCACCTGACCTCTGTTACAAAAACCAATGTCAGACGGATTGCAGATCTAAATACAATAAGTAAAACAAAAAAAAGCTTATGGAATAACAACATAGAATATCACCATGACTTTGGAATAAGCAGATTTCTTAAACAAGACACAAAAAGCGTTAGTCGTAAAAGAAAAAATTGAAAAATATTAGATTATATTAAAACTAAGAACTTCCGTTTATCAAGAGACATCATTAGATGGCAGAAAGATAACTCGCAAAGGAGAAAATATTTGCAATACATATACCCATCCAGGGACTTTTATGCAGAATATATAAAGAATGCCTATAAATCAATACAAAAAAGGCAGAGAATCTATAAGTGGGTAAAGACTTAACAGGCATCCCACAAATCAGTAAACAACAATGGTCAATATATAAATGAAAAGGACCTTTCACTTCTCTAGTCACCAGCAAAATCTACGTAATATACTACCCCATACACACAAAAATGACTCGAATGAAAGCAAAAACAAGTATGGACAAAGATACAGAGCAACTGGAACTTTCAGATACCCCTGGTGGAAGCATAAAGTGGTACATTGACTAAGCTTGAGCATATGCCTACTCTATGACCCAATAATTTCTCTTCCATCAGAAAGCAGACACATTAACCAAAAGACATGTATAAGAATATTCAAAGTGACAATATTCATAATAGTCAAATACTGGAAATTACTTAAATATCCACCAACAGAAGAGTGGATAAATAAACTGGTAGTCACACAACACAGTAACATGAATGAGCAAATCACAACCATGTGCCATGACATGGATGAACCTCATAAACAGAATGCTAAATGAAAAATGCCCAATGCAAGAGCACATTCTATATATAAAGCTTAAAATCAGGTAAATCTAATAGGGTGAAGGGGTGCGGTGGCAGTAATTCGAAAGGAGCTTGGCTTCTGGGATGTTTGTAAGGTTCTGTTTCTGGGTCTGGGTACTAGTTACACTGGCATATGTTCAGTTTATGAAAATTCATCAAGCTGTGCATTTAAGATTTGCATACTTTTCTATGTGCATCTTATGCATCAATAAGTATACTTAAAATGTTATTTGACACAAATTACATGGGTATTTTAAGTGTTTCTGAGTCTTTTAGAGATGCTAATAACTGCAACTAATAAAAATAAACCATTTCAGAACCTTTAAAAAAGAACTGGCAGCAAAGGGGAGAGCACATGGTTCATCTCCTTGTATCTTTTTTCTCCACATCCTCTAATGACTAATAAAATGTGGCTTTCATTGCGAAGTCTTTACACTGATTCTCCTGGCCAGGTCTGTCCTCAACCAAATCACTTCCTTATTCAAGTGCGTGTAAACAGCCTCCTCCTGGCTGCATACTTCTGTCTACCCTCTGGCTCCTGACATTGTGGTTCACATGAAGTTTTTGGTCTTTTAAATACCCATTGGAAGACGCTCAAAAAGGCTCAGAAAACTGTTCCTTGATTTTGGTCTGCTTCATTTTTTGGGAAAGCAAAACAAGTCCCAGCACCACATGCTTCTCTACTGCTGCCTTTATTTATTTATTAAAAAACATCCAACACACTACCCAAAGAATTTTCAAGTGTCTCCTTCCACTTTTACCATCTACCACTGCCAAAATCTAACCACTAGCAGAGTAAAATAATCTCAGCTCACATCATGGGAAATATTTCTTTGGCTCTGAGAAAACCAGAGAGAAAGTGCTGCAAAATGTAGGTTAGGAAAATAATGTGAAAGTTATTTCAAGTTGATGATTTCCATAGTATGGAATGTGATGGTCTTGCATATGTGACTCTCTGAATAAAGACCCCAAAAATACTGTGAGGTAAGATTGTCATTTTTAATTGGCCCCAAATAGAAGAGTCATAAGGGATTTTCAGGGGAAGCCCCTTTACTCTATCAGGGATACTCAGGTGTCTTTTCTCAATAAGCATTCTTTAGATTTATCAGCAACAAACTAAAGAATTCCACTGTAATACAAAGCTAACATGCTGACAGAGCATCTTTGAAGAAGCTTTCACAAGACAGACTAATGTAAACAATTTTTTCAAGGCTTCCCAGCCTATGACTACCAGTGAAGTCTGATTAATAATAACCACCAAATCACACTGGCTCTCTGTCCACACCAGTTCATACGGGGCCTTATTTGGAATGTGTCTATCAACTAATCTGGGCATCCTAGTGGAAATTCCTCATGGGCCCACGAGCTCACACTTGCCATAGATACATGAACACTAGGGTTGTCAGGGTGCCCAAACTCTGCAGTAGTTTCTGGAGTAGTGGAAATGCTCCTTCCTTGTGCTTCACTCTCTTAGAGGGAAAAAGGCATTGTGGTGACCCAATGTCTTACAGAGGTCAGTTCTTCAGGTTTTACTCTTGCCTTCCAAAGGTCTCAATCAGCGGAGCAATAGGGCTGGGCCAAAAGGCAAATCAAGTGACAGGCAGCACATCATTCCTCCCTCTTGAGACTAAGGCTTGACTACTGGATTACCCTGTCATGCCTGGTTTCTTCTCCCTTAGGAGGAATTTCATTCCAGGAGGTATCCCAATCACTTTCAAGAGCTCATTCTACCAATTCTCTGGACATGCCCCTCCTCTGAACCCTAGAAAATAACACAGTCTATACTGAAGCTAATCCTTGGTACTTAACTGTTTGCATTACTATTCTCCATAAAGAAAATGGGCTTAGCATGGTGGCTCACACCTATAATCCCAGAATTTTGGGAGGCTGAGGAAGGAGGCCCAGGAGTTCAAGACCAGCCTGGGAAACATAGCAAGACTCTGTCTCAAAACAAATAAAAAATAAAAAAATAAAAATTACCCAGGCATGGTGGCACACGCCTGTAGTCCCAGCTACTTAGGAGACTGAGGCAGGAGGATTACTTGAGCCCAGAAGTTCGAGGTTACAGTAAACTATGATCGTGCCACCGCAATCTAGCCAGGGCAACAGAGTGAGACCCTCTCTCTAACAAATTAAATAAATAAAAAAAAGAATGGCTCATTGGATTTGGCTTAGGTAGCAGAAGAGGTGGCAATACTTCCTAGTATACTCAGGTAATGAGAAAAGCCTTCAGGGAGATATGGAAGCAGTCAGGTCTCCAGACCCAGTACCTCATCAGGTAAACAAAATCATCTCTAAAATGGTCTGTTTTAGTTAACATGAATTTTTTTTTAAAGCTTTGCAAGCAAGTTTTATAGTTTGCTTGTAAAACAGCACTGTCTCTGATTGATTTTAAAGACAGAATGACAAAAAAGTAAACCCCAACTTAGATTGCACCTACTTTACTAATGAGGAATCTGAGGGTAGCATGGGGAAAGGCTCATCCCAGACAATCCCTGGCAGTTCTGGAGAGAGCCCAGTTTTCCTGACTTCTAGACCACAGCTTTTTTTCCTCTGTACCATGTTTCCTCAGTATCTCCCAGATAAGAAGGCTATATTTTCTAAGGCTAAGTCATAATATATACTCTCCTTTCCACAATCATTGAAATCTCCTTCACAGTGGCCCTCCCTCCCTCCACTGAAAGAAAAGTAAAAATGCCAAATGTGGCTGGTAGAGAAGGAAAAGGGAGTTGGACTAACTGGTGGGGACAAAGAGGCAGGGGTCCACCCTCACTTCTATATGGCTGGGTATGCACAGAAACGGGGCGGGGGGCGGGGACATCAAGGTGGAGAGGGTGAAACAATAATTCCAAAGAGACCAGTATCTAAACCCTGAATCATCCTTACAGAAGAGCAAAAGTGCTGGGCAAATAAATACTAGGTCCCTGGTCTACAAATATCTCCCTACAGGTAAAACTGGTTTAAAACTAACATTGACTGGAACTAAGTGAGGGACTAAGTACCTTGACAATCTAAATAGAATCAGGCAAGGAAACTGTGAGAGAGTACTAACTCTATTCTATCCCAGCTTCCACACCTCTACTGATCACACTTAGGAAGACCTCAGGTGTTGCTTCAGCACCTCCAGCTATGCTATCTTCTTTTCTCTAATCTCTTAACTCTTCCCCGTCCCCACTCCCCAACTCCTACTCACTATGGCCTTACTGTCTCTCTACTCAGATACTCACCAGAATTGCTATGCTTGGCATCTAGCAGATCCTCCACAGATATTTGTTGAATGAGTGAACCCAATTTGTGTTACATATTGGTTAAAATGAAGCAGTAACTGCGATTAAACTGGCAAAAAAAAAAAAACAAAAAAAAAACAAACAAAAAAAACCAGCCAACCACCACCACAATAAAATATAGTGATTATCACTGAAACACTGCCTCAAACAGGAAAAACAATGACCATGGCAATAGACTAATTATCCATTAAAAGGGACTAGTTTTAGAAAAACATAAAATTTATTCAGCCATGAGAAATCATATGGTCAATCTGAATGTGACAACAAATTCTATGATCCAGTAGCAAAAAAACACTAAGATATATTTTGATTTTTATAAAAAGTAAAGTAGAATAAAATAACATTAATCATATAAGATCCTTCCCTCTCCCCTTTTAACATAAAAAGGTATACTTCTTGGTATACTTGGTAAGAAGATACACATGGTATACGGGTAATTTTTCTTTCTTTTTTTTTTTTAAGACAGGCTGGAGTACAGTGGTTCAATCATGGCTTACTGCAGCCCCTACCTTCCCAGGCTCAGGGGGGCCCTCTCACCTCAGCCTCCTCAGTAGCTGGCACTACAAGCTCAGGCTACTATCCTGGTTAATTTTTGTATTTTTTGTAAAGAAGGGATTTCACCATGTTATCCAGGCTGGTCTCGAACTTCTGGGCTCAAGCAATCCGTCTGCCTCGGCCTCCTGAAGTGCTGGGATTACAGGTGTGAGCCACCGCTCCTGGCCTAAATTTTTTTTTTAATTGACCAATTATCAAGAATATCAGCTAGATTCTTAAAAAGTCTTTCATAAAAAATATAGAATGGATAAAATGGTATCCCAAGTTACTTTAAGCTCTAAATACCTAGGGTCTTATGAGTCTATTAGCAAATTTCCCTTTCATTTATATATGGTACCTTCTGTAACTCAATATATGGTTTTTCCTAAATATAACTGACTGTGACAAAATGCTCTCCAGATGACCAATAAGATTGAAGTTAATTTATATTTCTGCATTTTGCATATCCAGGAAAATAATATTTAAAGCTTCTGAAAATCATTTCAAACTTTGTGACTATACTTGACATGGGATGGACAGAAAAATATCTGTTACCTGATATACATTCACTATCCTCAGTAACAACAGAGAAAAACACAACCATGTAAACACAGAGCTCTAGAAGTGGAAGGAGCTTGACAGTTTACTTGCTTTAAAACAACTTGCCTGCAATGTGGAATCTCTTTCATAATATCCCCAAGAGAAGATGGTCACTCTTCATCGGGAAAGTATGGCAGCATATTTTCCTGATGAAAAGCATGAATTCTAATTTATGTGTGTGCATGTGTGTGTGTGTGTGTGTGTGTATATATATATATGAATTCACTTATTCATCATGAACATCTCCTGCATAACAAGTTCTCTGGTAGGCCAATGAACGTGACACTGTGCCTCCATCCCTCAGGCTCTTCCCAGTTTTCCTGTGTTACATTCAAATCACGTTCCTTATTATAACACCACTGCTTCTAGTTTTACTTTCTGGCATAACACAAGCCTTTAAATTCTTGAAAGCTGGCTATCACATCTTCCCAAATACTTCTTTTTTCATAACCTCCCGCCCTCTAAAAACTTCCAGTTCCCTCCGTGCTCCATGTACAAAATTAATGAAGCATTGCATTTAGTTCAAAAAATCAGCTGTGGCTGGGCACGGTGGCTCACGCCTGTAATCCCAGCACTTACGGAGGCTGAGGCAGGCAGATCATGAGGTCAGGAGTTTGAGGCCAGCCTGGTCAACATAGCAAAACCCCATTTTTACTAAAAATACAAAAATTAGCCAGCTGTGGTGGCACACACCTGCAGTCCCAGCTGTCAGGAGGCTGAGGCACAAGAATCGCTTGAACCCAGGAGGCAGAGGTTGTAGCGAGCTGAGATCATGCCACTGCACTCTCCAGCCTAGGCGAAAGAGCAAGATTCTGTCTCAAAGAATAAACAAACAACCAACCAATTGCACAAACAGATATATTTTTAGGCAGCTATTTGTGTGGGAAAAGGTCTTCAGTTTGTGATTGACAATAGGTTTGGTGTGAGCTAATAGTCTGAAGTAGCTGCTAACTCAATCTTAGGTTTTCCTTCATGAAGCACAGGGACAGTTTATAAAGTAACAGGTTCCTTTAATGGTCACCTATATCTGAAGTATTATTCTGTTAGAAACGACAGGTTGGGCCAAAGAGGATGGCAAGATGCCTGTAAATCATATCTTACAGGCTGGGCGCGGTGGCTCATGCCTGTAATCCCAGCACTTTGGGAGGCCGAGGCGGGTGGATCACGAGATCAGGAGATCGAGACCATCCTGGCTAACACGGTGAAACCCCATCTCTACTAAAAAATACAAAAAAATTAGCCGGGCGTGGTGGTGGGCGCCTGTAGTCCCAGCTACTCGGGAGTCTGAGGCAGGAGAATGGCATGAACCTGGGAGGCAGAGCTTGCAGTGAACCGAGATCGCGCCACTGTACTCCAGCCTGGGCGACAGAGCCAGACTCCGTCTCAAAAAAAAAAAAGAATCATATTTTACAGGTATGAAGGACATGGAGCCAAAATGTGGTATGAAGTCAGAACAGTCAGCCAGTGAAGGCACCAGCGTACGAACAATCGTGAGGAAAATTAGGCATCCAACCTTATGCCAGCATTGGAGCTGCTCTGGTACTGGGGCATTTTTAGAGGGTCTGAGGTGGAAAGACAACAAGGAAGTCTGCAGGTGAAAAAGGCCAGCAAGGAGGAAGGGGAACTGGGAGGTGACAGCCCACCTGATACCGAGGTTTGCTGAGGAGATGGCAAAACCAGGGATTTGTCCAGAGAATTTTACCACAGAAGCCCTCTGGCTATATACTCAGCGGCAAAAAGTACCAATGTCTCAAATGTAGGGAGAAAGAAAAGTTGATAATCATATAATAATTTTGTCCTTAAAGTAAACTTTGTGTTCTTGAGTAACTCAAACAAAGCATTGCATATTTCAGGGTACATCTGCTTAATCTTCAAACACATGAGATAAAAATAAACTTGGCAGCAAAGTTTGTTTTTTAGCAGGCAGCTTTCTCACTCCCTCCTTTGGGATGTTAATCTCCTTATTTTGGGGGGAAATCCTTGCCTCCTCCAGATCTGGTTTCATGACACCACTTAAGGGCATCTTTCAGAATTAATAATCACTGGCCCAATTGTCCTTGCTCTGCTGAATATGTCACACTACTGCTCCACAGACAGCAACAGGGGCCAGCTGAGAACAGGTTTGGTGATAACTTGCACCACCCTCCCTAAATCTGATGGAAGGAGCTGGGAGAAATGTAATAATAAAGGTTCTAAAGATGGTCTAGCAAAATGTATTCTGTAGCTCTGAGGCACTGAATATTTAGCCATTTTGAATATTATCACTGGATTTACAATAGGCCCTTGTGTTCTCTGTTTGTGAATAGGGTCAGTTGGCAGCTAGTTAAGTTTCTTAGGGAGTTATTGAAGCCAGCATTAAAATAAAACCAAGCACAGGATTCCCTAAAAACTGCAAAGCACTGGGAAGTCTGCCTAGAACAATATCAGGTCATCTTACAAGTCCAAGAGCAGAATACTTGAGCAGTATGTATTAGTAATAGAGGGCTCACCTTTCAACAGTGGCTAGAACTGGTCATGCCTTCATGCCTGTGTCCATGGTTTTGGTTTACTTTCTACGGGGCTTCAGAACTCTGGGACCTCAGAGGTGGGTAAAGATGTGAATCAGGCTAGATAGTGGCTAAGAAAAGTGACCTAGTCTTACTAGCTGTCACTATAATCAGTGGTTAATAATTATTTTTAGCCAAAATATTTCATCATCTTTGCATCTGTTAGAAAAGTCATTATAAATGTCTATCTTTGAAAGGTCCAACTGCTATATTACTGTGCAAAAGATCTGTAGTTGAGATACACAAGATTCTGGACAGTAAACAATAGTCCTGGTACCCACAGGAAAACTGCAGAAGCATGAGGTAAGTAATAAAGCAAGTTCAAACCATGACCGGTAGCACACATTTACAGCAACCTCAGAGAGTGATTTAGAAGCATTAATTACCTCCAGGAAAGGTATTATAACAATGGAAAAGACAAAATCCTGCAATCAGGTTGACCTGTGAACCATAAGCTCAGTTGCCTGGTGGAAGTAAGCATTAATTACCACAGTGAGTCCTCTCCCTGAGGAGAAGGAACCTGTTCCTTCTACTACCGCATAAGTCACATTTCACATTAAAGCAGCACCCACCTGTACCTTCCCAGCAGGACCAACCACAAAAGTAAACTAAAAGCATAGTCTAAAATGAGATGAAGAGCAAACTGCCCAAGTTAGCATAGATATTTGCCCTACTAAATGGTTTTCTCTGGCCTTTCATGTTCATGTTATTTTGGGAATTTTCCCCCCACATTTGGAAAAGAAGTGGAAGCTAAGTAAACTGTAAGGAAGAAGATGAAACTTCCAACTCCCAAATTCCTCACAATTTGACAGATAAGGGATTATTGGATGAAATAGAGTGAAACAATCTACTATATGGTGAAAACATGTGCAATCATAAAAACAAAGAAATGTAGAGTTTCATTATTTGAGGATTTAGAGACAAGAACAACTTAGAGTAGTGTGAATAGTAAGTCCATTGTTTAGCTAATAAATAGGAGACCTTCATTTCCCCAGACTGTGCTAACATGAAGCAAATGTTTTAGTGAAGGAAAAGGAAAGAAATCTATTTTTATATCCCCTGCTACAATGGATTTTGTCTGTTAGAGACAAAGTTAAGTTTTGACTATTTACAAATGAACTCACACATACATATTACCCCAACTCAGAAGACATACAAATCCTTAGGAATGTTTCATGTGTGGCTGTGTGTGTGTGTGTGTGTGTGTGTGTGTGTGTGTGTGTGTGTGTGCGTTCCTCAATTCACGGAGTGAAAACACTGGGTCACCTACTTTCAAAACTAACAAATTAAAGTTAAAATTGTATCTCTACTCCATACCATAAACCAAGATAAAAATCTAGATGGATTAAAAAGTGACACATATGTGTGACTATTAAATAAAATTAAAATGCATATCTTCATAAATGAAAAAGTAAAAAAGAAAAAAGCCAAAAACCCAAAAACAAAAAATCCAACTTGTAAATACTTTAAAGACATTCAGAAAAAAATTTTAAAAAATTAGAACTTTTCCCATAAATTTTTACTTTTATGGCAAAAAATCAAATAAACAAAGTTAAAAAGCAAGTCAAAAATGGAAGAGAATTATCAGAACACAGATGAATAGCTTCCTATAAAAAGCTTTTACCAATAAATCAGAAAATGAATACCACAATTTAAAAACACAGCCAAAGAATACAGACAATTAAAAAAAATACAAGTGGCCAACTTACATATAAGGTAGTGTTCAACCTCTTTAATAGTAAAAGCAAATTTAAACTAAAACTCGATACCTTTAGTTACTGACATATTCAGGACTCTACTGTTGAAACAGTTTTGTAACATTTTTTCCCTAGAAAATCAAGGGGCGTATTTGCATATGGAAATTAATTAGCCTTGAAAAGTATACAGTATTTTCTTAAAATTTAAAATCTCTATGTTTATTACTTCATTCCCACTCATTCCTAACTTGCTTGTTTTCCCCTTTCCTCAGTGAGACATTTAACTATTGTACTCATCTTTTTAAATACATCTGCTATTTACTTATCAATTCTAGGGAATTTTGTTGTATAAAATTTAATTTTTGCTTTTTTCTTTACTAGTATCTTCTTTTTTTTTGTAAGGGGGGACTTGTCATTCTTTCTCTGATTACCTCAGTGGAATGAATAGTTGCTTGTTTTTTTCTTACCAAATAATAAAAGCAAAGGCTAGCTTTTTATACTCAGAGTTTTGGAATCACATCTAAAGGCTTTGATATGTTGAATTCTGACTTTTGTCAGTGTTTAAATCCATATAGGCACGCTCCTTTCCATCTTTAATTAATATCTATAATATGCAAGGGGTAAGGTCAAAAAGCAATAAGGGGGAAAGGCCATTAACATAACACAAAAATCTTCTAGCCTAAAGTACTATATTGTCTGGCTCTTTAGTAAAGCCCAACCTAAAAAGCACATCTCTTAACCATAGAAAACGGCAAAAGAATGGATGCTCTGGCAGTTAAACACTCTCTCACAAACTGAATCATTTCCAAATACCAGGTGTTCCAGTTTCACTGTGTTTTGATATTGTCAGAAAGGCTAGCCACTTTTTTTTGCTCCATTTAAGCATTCATTGCCTTTATTTTTAACATAATTAACTCGATTATAAATTTATGTGATTTAATCTTTAATAATGGCCAAGTTTAACAACTGGTTAACAAATTTCCTGAAAATTTAGCAATCTGCTCTTATGAGCCGACAGTTTTCCTTTTCCATTTCCAGACCTGAGTGTTCTATTCCACCCTTTTGGAGGTTCTAGTCCCACATGACTCAGTGTTGGTCTTGTTCCTGTATCTGTTTCTAGTCTAGAACCTTCACAGTACTTGAGTCCTCTTTGATGATCGAGGCTTGTTTTGCTCTAAATTGCAGGTCCCCTGGAACTGACATCTCAGCGCCTCAATAATTCAGGCGCTTCTTAGGTAGCCTTTTGAGCACTCCCTCACTGGAACCTCAGCCTGTAGTGATTTTAGACTAATTTCTAGAGGTATGTTGTTTGTCATTTCCTTGAACTCTGAGTAGACATTACCATGCCCTTTGGATATTTTGTTATACCTTCTTACAGAAGCTATTTTTATCCATTTTAAAGAGTAATTGAAAAAATGTTCTTTATTATACATCATCTTACAAAGGAAGTTTGCAGGGGATGATAAGCACTAGTGCTACTGTAGTGCTTTCCTACAGAGGCGGCACTTGTCAATGAGCAAAGAGGCCAACATTGTGACATATGCCTGGAGCTTCAGTTTCACTTCTTTCTAATAGCGAAAACAAATATTGTAAAATAGGCGTAATTTATCCTTAAGCTGTTTGGTTAAAGTGAAATGCAAATGTTTTAAACCAAAGGATTGCTCTACTCTGTAACTGCAAATTTAATTTCTACTTTGCTCTAAGAGTGACTTAGGAGATTGTATTTTAATATCTAGCTGATTAGAATTATTTTGAACAATTTTTTATTATTAACTTTGAGTTTTAGTTTATTTTGGTCAGAAAATAATAGCTTGTGCACATTATATTTTGGAGATTTTATTAAAACTTTTCTTGTGACCTAGTAAATTCAATTTTTAAATTTAATTTCTACTTAGAGTACAAAATTTTATATCTACCTATTAAACGAAGCTTATTGTTTGTATTATTTAAATATTCTATTTCCATATTTATCCTCTACCTAATTTACATGTCAAATTCTGGAAGGCATGTCCAAGTCTTCTAATACAATTTCTATTCTGTAAATTCTAATTTTTATTTTAATGTTTTGCTTTATATGCACAGTATCTAAAATGTCTAGAGGAGGGAATATTTGTTAAATTTTTATATTTTACTCTTTTTTACCTACTTAATCTACTTTGACTTAATCTCAGTCATATTATTCTATCATTATTCTTTGGAGCAATATACACTGAGATTTTGTCCTATATTTCACGGTAATAACTATAACAGTGAAAAAAACAGCCCTGTGTTTCCAGACTTTTAGGATACTCTGTATTTCAGTGCTACCTTACTTGGGACATAAAGACTTATGACCATTATAATTTTAGTTCCAATTGAATTTTTCTTTAATAAAATATAACTCTTTGTCCTGTTGAATGCTTTTCCTCTTGAAATTTCCTCTACCTAACACTAAATTTGTATCTTTATCTTTACAAAATTGTTTACTTTAAACAATTGTTGTCTTTATCTTTTATTTTCAAACTTTGAACTGCTTTATTTCACATGGTTCCTGCAAACAGCATGATTCTCTTGAGTTTTTTGGAGTGCCCAATATAAGCGTCATTGTCTTTTAATTAAGTTGTTAAGTTCCTTCACATTTACTGTGGTAATATATTTGGTCTTGGGTCTAGCCTACTTCCATTTTCTTATCTTTTTTCCTCTTAGTTTTTTTGTTATGTTTTGTTTTACCAAATGAAGTTTTCTTCATTCCTTTCTAGAAATCTTCACTTAATTGGAAATTACATATCTTATTTCTCTCTCTGACTAGTGAGTGCCTTAAAGAAAATCTAAATCTATCTGTCTCTACCTGTATCAAGAACAATGTTATAACCGTTGCTTCCTCGTGGGGAAAAGTTAAAAATTCAATGTGTTTTAAGTTAACTTTTCTTTTACCTTACAACCCTACTCTATCTACTTTCCAGGTCTTGTTAAAACAAAGATTCTACATTCAGATTTTTTAAAACAATGTGCCTCTTCCCTTTCAACAATTATTTTTAAAAAGACCTAAGCTTGAGAAACTATATAAACACTTAGTTGGCTTAACCTGTTCACATTAATAGTTTTGTTGTTCTCTATTCTTTCCTCTATGTTGTTTCACATTATAATTCATTTCTTGGTTAGCTGCAGTACTATTTTAAGCAGTTCTTTGTTAAAAGGAAAGGTATATCAATGGTAAAGTTTGTGAGATTTTGCAATGTTAGAGAATGTGTTTATGCTTTTTTTTTTTTTTTTGCTCATGCATCCAATCATTCTACAAATACAGTCATGCATCGCTTAACAACAGGAACACATTCTGAGAAATGCAACCTTAAGCAATTTAATCACTCTGTGAACACAGAGTATACTTACACACAAATTTAGATGGTACAGCCTACTACACACCTAGGCCAATATGGTGTGTAATGCTCCTAGACTACAAACCTATACGCCGTGTTACTGTACCGAGTACTATACACAATTTTAAGACAATGGTAAGTATTTCTGTATCTAAACACAGAAAAGTTTCAGTAAAAATAGGGTATGATAATCTTATGGGACCACCATCATATACGTAATCCTTCACTGAATGAAACACTGTTATGCAATGCATGACTGTATTTACTGAGCAAGTATCATATGCTAAATGTTTTTCTAGATACAAGAGGTACAGTAGGGAACAGCAGATAAAAATCCCTACCCATATGGAGCTTACATTCTAAGAGTCTAGAAGATTAGACAATTCATGAATCACATGTTTTTTCCTCTCAAATTCTGCAGCCAAGAAGAGATGCTTGATGTTGACTTCATTTTCTTTTCTTTAACTATTATTTTTTAAACTGGGCATCCTGCTTCAAACCATCTGGATGTTCTAGAATATTTTCTTTAGTCTTCAAATTCATATTTTTCTCTGGATTATTTCAAGGTCTAGGTTAAGGGTCTTCTTTCTCCCAATGTCTCCCCTGTACTCCAACTATGCCTGTTAGTAAGGGTGTTCTTTCAATGAGAGCCCAAGTCCTTAAAAATTCTCTCTTATTATTCTTCCCAGTATAAACACACACACACACATATACATTAGTATATACATTTATTTATATTGAATTATCTGTATCTATTTTTCATGTTTCCAGTCTTTTCACTTAAAATTTTCACTGGGCTGAGCACAGTGGCTCACGCCTGTAATCCCAGCACTTTGGTAGGCTGAGGTGGGCAGATCACCTGTGGTCAGGAGTTTGAGACCAGCCTGGCCAACATGGTGAAACCCCGTCTCTACTAAAAATACAAACATTAGGCGGAGGGGGATGGTGCGTGCCTGTAGTCCCAGCTACTTGGGAGGCTGAGGTAGGAGAACCACTTGAACCCGGGAGGCGGAGGTTGCAGTGAGCCAAGATCACGCACTCCAGCCTGGGCAACAGAGTGAGACTCTGTCTTAAAAAAAAAAAAAAAAAAATTCATGTTACTTTCCTTTGAGTTCTATCAGAATTTCTTTAGCTTTCTTCTCACTCGCTAATTCAGGTTTCTTCAGTATTGAATCTGTTCCTCACTGCGTTGTTTTAAAATTCTGTAACCATGTTTTTAATTTCCACTAACTTTTTCTGTTCTCAGTTCATTTGTTTTTCTTATCTGCTCTGATTTTAATCAATGCAATGCCCTCTTAATTTTACTTTGAGTAATAACTCATTTTTCTCAGTTTTCTCCTATTTTGTACAAGAAGTCTGTTTCAGACAGAAATATCACTTTTGTCGGTCAAATTGGTCTTTACTTTTGAATGCTACATCTTTCTATATATCCATGGATTCTTCTATGTTCATTCCAAGAGAGGGAAGTATCCATGTTTGTTTTGTGAGTCATAAAGAGTTGTGCCAGATAGTGTGTAAGTGTTCAAATCGGTGGTCTCCATAAAAAAAGGAGGATAGATTTTAGTTTTATTATAAATTTATTTGCCATGTTAGTGATCCAATAATTTGTATAAAATAGTAAGTGGCTGGCAAGTAGAATCACAATAAGGGATTTTACTTTTGTTCCAAATATATATTCCAGGTCTTGAGTAAACTAAGTGATAATACTGATTAATAGGAGCATCTATTATACATGTGTTATGTATGTGTATTATCCATAGATATATAATACATGTATATCTGGATTTATTATATGTGTATATATACAGATACATACGTATGTATGCAAATTAACTTTAATATCTACAAAACACTTAAAAATGGATATTAGATCACAAGTACAGCCTCAACAATGCCACCAAAATATATATACTGTGCAGGTATTATTTTATTCTCCAACTTTCCTTGATTTTTGTTTTTCCATCTTATTGGTATCCCTACTGTAATAAAAAAAAAAGGGGGGGGAGTTTATTTTGTCAAGTAATTGCTTAAAATTCCTTTCCATCTCCTCAGATATTTAAAGAAAACTCACAGTTTTCTTTGTCCCATCTTTTCTCCTTGGCTACTTCCCTACTTTTCCCTACAAATACTATGCATTATTCACATTGCAGTAAGTTACACCCATTCACTGTAAAAAAGAACAATACAACACACCCTGAAATCTTTGGGGCTACTAATTTCTAAAAAGGTTACTTCAAGCGTAAAGTTTTCTTTTATAAAAAAGAAAGTTTAAAGTTTCATCACTCAAATGTAGCCTATCTAAAACACCTGGAAATGATTTCAAAGTTTCAAAGTCACTATTCTGATAGGTATTACTTCCAACCTAACCATTACTGGCCTTTGAAATATAGAAGCTAAAAGCAGACTGCACGGATCAAATACTATAGATAAAAGCATTTTGAAAAGCATACGGTACTATGAAAACATAAGGTGGTAGTATTAAAAATGGATTTCGACATGAAATCCCAAACTCATTCATTTCAGTGATTCCTTAGTGCTTGGATGAGGGCAAGCACTCATCCAGTGAGTGCTTTCATCCAGATCCAGTTCAGCATCTTACTGGGATCATTTCAGGCCAGTCAGCTTTAATCAAATTACACTCTATCCATACATGATTAGAAACAAACTGAGGTTTTGGTCAAGTGCCACAGTTTTTCACTCAGGGCCATCATGCTCACTTTCTTGGAAGACACTTGGAAATTATGTGATCAAATCTGAAAGTAACTTTTCAAGAGGTGTGTGTGGTCTTTCTGACAAAGAAGAGCTTTATATTTGCGACTGAGTTAAAATCTCTGGCTGTAACTAATTAGCGATAAAATAACAACAATGAACATGGAATACAAGCTAGAAGAAATCTTAGACTCTAAAACACATGTTAACAGAGTGAAATTTATAATATCTGCTATTATATCTCGTCTATCAAATATAGCCAAGAATATGGAAGAAAAAAATTGTTAAAGATAACACCTAGTAGGAATTTTTAAAAAACATCTGCTGAGACAAAGAAGGCTGGGCATATTGTATGTAAAAGTAAAATTACAGGCCAGGCACGGTGGCTCATGCCTGTAATCCCAGCACTTTGGAGGCCGAGGTGGGCAGATCATTTGAGGTCAGGAGTTCAAGACAAGCCTGGCCAACATGGCAAAACCTCATCTCTACTAAAAATACAAAAATTAGCCAGATGTGGTGATGGGTGCTTGTAATCCCAGCTACTCGGGAGGCTGAGGCAAGAGAATTGCTTGAACCCGGGAGGCAGAGGTTGCAGTGAGCCGAGATCGCCCCACTTGCACTCCAGCCTGGGTGACAAGAGTGAAATTCCGTCTCAAAAAAAAAAAAAAAAGAGTAAAAATACAGTAAGTAAAATGAGGTGTTTTGAAAACGTATGGAACCTACCGAAATAATTAAAATATAAGCAGAGGGAGCAGATTTAGCAGTGACAAAAATTAGAATTATTCATGGATAACCAATTCTTAGTAATCATGCAGTCATAGCTCACTGCTTTATGCTTAACCAAGAGCTTTAATAAACATTACATTATTTGGGTTTCACAACACCATGAGGTGGAAAGCCCTTGTGAACTTATAAAGAGAATAGCAACAGTAATGAATTTGAAATACAACAAAAGAGAATCTGAGAAATTGCCCAGGGACAGAGATTATACACACTCATAGCACAGTGGCTCTTGACACCACGTAAGCAAGAGCTCAATACATATCTGTTGAACTGCACCAAACTGATAATACATTCAATACCACTTTTATTAAAAAAAGAAAGAAAGAAAGAAAGAAAGAGGTAGGAAAAAAAGTACAAAAGCACCTGTGAGAGGGGAGCACTACAGGAAAAACTATGGAAGGCTATAAGGTGATTTGTGATCAACGGTTATGTCAGAGAAGTGGTGGCAAAGATGAGGAGACTGTTATTTTGACACTTCTTTATTGTCTGGATTTTCACAATAAGCATATATAACTTTTGAAATTCAAATGAGTGAAACCAAAATAAAAATGTGCCAGCTAAATTTGTTAACAAAGAATAGGTATTGCTTTTAAAACAAAAAAATTCAAATTTTGTATTTTTTAAAAATGAAAGCTAAAACACCCTAGGATTTTGCTATAGTTTGTGACTACTGGATCCTGAAAATGGAACAGTTAACTTAATGATCAAATATACTTGACAGAGATCTTGGTGGAGAAAGAAATTTAGATTCCATTAATACATATTGAGCACCACCATCAGATATTAGACACTGTATTAAGCAGCTATGCAGTAACTTAGGACTTAGAAAGTACCTCAACTCAATTCATGCACATCCTTCCTTATCTATAACCAATTATATCCCCTTCCAGCTTTATAGATAAGCAACCCCTATACTTTGAACACAAAGTCAAAGATAACTATTTTCTAGTTATCAAAGGCTTCTATTCATGAGAGTCCATGGCATTATTACATTTAAGAACAGTTAACTTGTCTTTATTTTGCCTAAGCTTGGAGGCACTTAGCTAGAGTAAAATTTGGCAAAACAAAAAGATGACTCATTTTGTCAGGCACTGTAAACTGCCTATCAGAGGACAAGGTGTATTTTGCAACTTAAATTCTGAAAAAGGTCATTCTTCCCTCCTCTGGCTCGTAAGTGATTGACTGTTAGGGACTACACCTAGCTTTCTATTATATGTCTCCTTTAAATTAAGAGGACAAATCTATTATTTGGAAATACACATGGCTCAATCAATTGAATGTGCTTACAAAAATCTTCAACCTCTTTCAAGAACTCTTTACATGCCGTGCAAACTATTGTTGCATTTGGGCTCTCCCACCCAACTCGCCGCCTTCACTCTCCTCATTCTGGAAAACAGTGCTGTCGCTAACACGGTGAGCAGCCACAGTGGCTGAACCAGGCTACTCTCTGTCTGTCTTTGCTTGGCACTGGAAAATTCCTTTGTCTTTATACTTAGCAGTAGTGTAATCTTAGAGAAAGAACTTTAATTGAAGAAGACTTTACTGAAGACTCACTTGGGAGTCCCTAGGTGAGTTTAAAACAGATCATTGAAATCTTTTCCACAGCTGGGTTTGGTCAGTAGTGCCATTGGGCGGACTGGATCTTCAGCCCAAGCACAATCCCAGTTCCTTTATCGGGAGGTATCTATACCATTCTAGACTAGACCAAATTTCGCTCTTCATTTTGATAAAACCAAACTGCTTCCTAAGATTCATTCCATAAATATTTCTTGAGTATTTTGTGCAAAGCAGATTACTAAATACTGCCAGAGACACAAAAATGAATCCGGCGCCATTCTCAAAGAACTTGTAATGTCTAAGTCTTAAATTGCTAGGACACAAAGGAGAACATTTCAGTACTGACTTACATTTAAAGAATGATCTGAAAAACACAAAAAGCAGCTACTAATAGAAATAAAATAGGATATACCTTCCAAAACATGAGAATTTAAAAATGCAGAAAAGTATAGTCAAAAATGCACTTACAGAATTATTAAAATCAAAGCATAAAATAATCAAGGACAGAATATATCAGTGATAATAAGGGTGACCACATAGAACTTATCATCCGAGCTACGATTTTAAACGGTGAAAGGCGACACTATTAATAACTTCTCCAAGATGACAGGCATAAACAGGATGTCCTCAGCAACCCACGTTGTAAGGCCTCCCTAGTTATGAAAATAAATAGCTTGCTTTACTCAAAAAGATAGATGAAGTTAGTGGGTTCAAATGCTCAGCTTCTCTACTTTTCCACAAAATCTAGTAGTCAATGTTTTCGGAATCTTGTAATCAATGAGGCAAAGAAAACAAAATAGGATACACAGAAAGATTCTATGATGAATACAAAGAACAAAACTATGGATCTGCTATATTTTAAAATAAACTTAAACTTGGTAATGACTTGTGACCTTGGGAAATAATGTATTTTTATATCACGTAGCGTTCAATATCAATACATTCAAATTATTGTTATAATTTTACTAATAAACTGTCACTTTCTACCTGTTTGGGCTTTTCTTAAAGACAATTTTATATTTTAGCATAGGTTTAATGAACTTGGTTTCGGTTATAAACTTGTCTAACCTCATAAGGGGAAATTTTTCAAATGTATTATCCAAAAAACTCTGGATGTATCTGAATTATGTAGAAATCAGACTTTAATGAGCCAAACTCAAATCCAGAAAACACTCAAAGTTACTCTGAGGAGTGAAGATATTTAGAAAGACCTAAGTAAGACTAATGTTCTGTTACCCACAAACTCTTAGAGCTGTGTTTTCAGGCTGTAAACCGTGCTAGTGTATCTCATGTCTGGGCAGATTAATATATCTACTAATGAAAAACACACACCCAACCTCGTTGCCTACTCTAAACTGATGTAGGCCCTTGGGAGAAATTAATTCTTGGGGAACACAGTGAACATGAGAATCAACGAAGATGTACACAAGCTGGTGGCCACATCCTAGAAACTCAAGTTTCCTAATAAGCTGGACCTCCAGTCTCTCTTTGTGATTTGCTGTCCCTCAAGTTTCCCATATGTAACCTAGAAGCTAAACGCCAACAAACTAATGAGTAACTGTAAGAATATCTCCTAGAACTTCCACAGACTCCATTTTCCTCCTGCTCAAACTTCTATTCCATTTCTGTGCTCAGAAGCAGCACCTGGGAGGGGAGCACACAGTCATTCATTTATTCATTCCCACCCACACTTGAACATGCATCCTAGTAAAGTGCACCCAGGCTCAACATCAGAGATATGCCTAAAGAATGAGGACCCTTGCCCCAGGAGCTCCGAGACACTAACTGAAAACACAAACAATGTAAAGGAATCAATGTTCTAAGGGAGATCTATTAAAAGAAGTACAGGAACTCAAAGAAAGGAAAGAGCCAGATGTATCTGTCTGACGCAGTTGGGGAAGGCTTCCAAGAGGCGGTGACATTTAGCTGGCAATGAAGGGAGAAAGAACACTTGAGGAGAAGAGACAGCGTGTACCGAGACACAGAGGCATGAAAATCGTGGTATATTCAGGAGTGCTGAGAACTGAAGCATAGGGAGGTCAGAAGAAGCAGACAGTGAAGGGTCTCTTTCCAAACTGAGCAGAACTGACGAATCCTCACTGTCAGCTTCTCTCTTCCTTTTGAGGAGCCCAGCTATTTCTCTGCCTGTCCTTTCCAGTGGTTTTGCCCCTTACAAAGGGAAAGACCCGGGTTCTAGATCAACTCTCAAACTATCAGCTGCCCAAGCTTGGAGGAGACCCAGCCTCTCTGTGAGTCTCAGATTATTTATAGGAGAAAGGGCCTACAGAACCTATGAAACTCAAGGGTTCTATATGCAGAGTATCAAAAATCATTAGAGCATATTTTCATTTTTAATAATCATAGTAAGTGAGAAGAATCAGTAACAGTGTTTCAAATAATCTCAGCTATACAACTACACAGAAAATAAAATTATAGCTAATAAGCAATGGCTGGGATAGTGTAATTTGCTGAGCAAGTCAAAATCCTTTCAGTTTTTTAATATGCAAAATGAAGAGAAATTTACCACTAAAGTTTGTTTCAAGGCTTAAGTAAGAAAACAAACAAAACTGACTCAGTGAACACCTGGCATGCAGTTGGTACTAAATAAACGTTGGTTAAATCTAATTTGATATATCTTTCAAGTGCATTAATAATTGTGGCTTCGGCCGGGAGCGGTGGCTCTCGCCTGTAATCCCAGCACTTTGGGAGGCCAAGGCGGGCGGATCACGAGGTCAGGAGTTCGAGACCAGCCTGGCCAACATAGTGAAACCCTGTCTCTACTAAAAATACAAAAATTAGCCGGGCATGGTGGTGGGTGCCTATAATCCCAGCTACTCAGAAGGCTGAGGCAGGAGAATCGTTTCAACCCAGGAGTCAGAGATTGCAGTGAGCCGAGATTGCACCATTGCACTCCAGCTTGGGCGACAGAGCAAAACTCCAACTTAAAAAAAAAAAAAAAAAATTGTGGCATCATTGTTAGTATCAGTTAACAAAATATATGCAAATATAGTGAAACTGATTATGTAAACTGTTTAGAAAGTGAAAATTTACTATTGTCATTTTAGAAAATTGAAGGCTTGTGGTTTTGAAGAAAAACAACTATTATACAATAAATCTACTAATTGCTCATTTTGTTTAGAGCTAAAAAAAATGTTCCTCTTTCCTTTCCACCCCTATTCCCAGGGGACAGAAAATTTACCTTTGATTTCCAAGCATATCTGATTTCTTCCAGTCATTATAGAGTCAAATAATAAAACAAATTCAGATACAACAGTGAAGGAATAACAACTTTTACTTCAATTCTACACTTGAATCAATAGACTCAAATCCTTAGAAATATGATCATCAATGCAATTATGTGCTGAACTGCTAAATTAACAGTCATCTGGGAAACATAAAACAAAACTAGTGACAATGTGCTTCTAATTGCATGGGGGTTCAGGATATTAGTGATATTTTATATTCTGCTTCATTGCTCACTAAACAGCATATATTTTCATAATAATGCTTTTTTCCAACTAGAAACAACCAAAGGTGTCATAACTCAATTTCCAAGATGAAGAGAAAACAAAAATAGAGAAAATATATACAGTTGAAACAATGCCTTTAGTAGTTGGAAGAGGGGTAGGAGGGGCAAGAGAATGAAAAAAAGGGCCAAAATAAATTTAAATGCCTGCTTTGAAGTCATTCTTCAGGTTGAAACAGCAGGCTAAATCAATTTCAACTCCTCTATATTAATGATTCAGTCATCTCTAAGCCTCCAGTAATAAAAAGTGCCTGCCTGCCTGCCTACCTGCTGCCTGCCCTGCCTGCCAACCTGCCTGCCTGCCATGTGTAAGACTCTGGGCTAGGCAGGGGGATATAGTCTATAACCTACAATGAGAAGTCCTGGGTTGTGTTAACGAAACTGTAGCACAGTAAAGCACAAAATCTACTGAGCATTCATATGCCGTTAACCCTAAGGCCCTTTATAAACAGTTACAGGCTACACGTTTTACACATGGGCACTGGTGTGGACAGAGCACAGGCTCATGCATGCGCTGACATTGAAATTGCACTCTGTTTCTCTGTGATTTGATGAAAATCTGTGGGAAAGGCTGCCCCCTTGTGTTCATCTCAGTGCAGTTGTGACCCTGCTAGAGCTGGAACATTGCAGATGCCTTTTACCATCATCCCATGATGGCTTCAGAGAGGGGACTTCGGCCTGCTCAGTCTCTACCCAAAATCAAGGCCAGTGTAAACGAGAAAGTGCCAATGCTTCTGAGCTCGTTCAAGTCCAAGAAAGCCATTCTGGACCTCTCCCGAGGCACAGCCAAGTGAGCTAGTCCTCATGGATCCAATCAGGATAACTATTTTGTTTTGTTTAAAAAACAAAAAACTCCTGCTTATGAGAAGAGATCTTTGGAAGGATGGAATTCCTCTATGTCAAATGGCCTCTGGACCTCTGGCTGTCTGAATGTCACTTAAAGCAACCCACAGATAGAGAAGAGGGCACAGAGGGTACTGAAAACAGCAACGTAACTAAGAAATACAGGAAAACCCAAGACATGGACAGTGGAAAAGGTGAGGAAGGGTCCTGGAAAACCAACCAGGAGAGAAAGGAAGGCCATAGAGATTCATCTACCTCAACTTCCTTCTATGCAGATGCAGTTTCAGGTCTGGAAATTCCCACAAAGTGGCCAACTTGCCAGAGGTCCCACTGGTAAAATCCAGTGCTGTTTCTCCAACCAGAGGATGCCTTATTTACTAGTTTGCGATCAAAACTGTGAAGCACCTACAAATAATTTGGAAGACTAAGCACCCAGTATGAGAAACCTAACCTAGTGATCAATATAGAACCAAACATATAGTAAGCACAAAATAAATGTGAGTAAATGATTAGGATATAAAATTAAGCCAATAAAGATTTCACTTTTCAGAGGAAAAAATAGTTCACTGCATTAAAAAAAAACAAAACCTGCTTTTTTTCTTTTTAAAAATCTTTGGATCCTGAGAAAGGAAGGCTTATGAAAGACACCTTATATTCCTTCCTCCCTCTCTCACATCCTTCCACCTCCAAATCCCAAGTCCAAAAACAGATAAAATTAGGGAGAGGCTATGTCAATGCAGGAAAAGGTCTTATCCAAAAGCCAAAAACTTTGAAAAATGGAACTAGATTAAAGGCCACCCAGGTATATTAGAATTAACTTATGACACTAAGATAGCAGTTGGTTGCTCCAGAAGTTGAGAAAGAGAGAGAGAGAAAGAGAGAGAGATCCTGGGCTTCACAAATATCCGAGAGTAAGAAGGCCAAGGGCATAAGTCTTTGTCTCAGGGAAGACCCTCAGGCAAAAGTAGTTCTGGCTGCTGCCTTCTGGCTCAATTGGAGACAGCTAGGACTGCGGCCCGCAAAATAAGACCTTGTATGAAAATGGAAAAGGCTACTCCCTCAAAAGAAACTAGTGCTGGGATAATTTTAACTGTTTCAAATCATTTATTTGGTAATAATAAAGAAACCAGAACAACATAATGCTGGGTTTAAGCTGCAGTCCCAGCTTTAGCTCCCTAGTGAACTTATTTAAATTCACACACATGAATTTATTTCTTACTATGTATGCATGTATTATGCATAGATAGAAGTCTGGAAGAATACACCGATAACACCTGTAGGAATCAGCCCTAGGAAGGCAACTTGCTTAGCTTTTTCTATATAATTACCTTTACAGTAAAAGAGTGGTCATAATTTACTTCTGTAAATAAGATGTCTTAACATAGACATTTAATGTATCGCAGGAGATAAAATCATTTCAAGTTTATATAGAATAAATGTTTAAAAATAGCCCCCAATTATTAAAGCTAAAAGTGACAGAACCAGATTCAAAAATGAATTATTGATACCCTCAAAATCAAACAATACAGGCTTGCAAATACAGCAGAATAGAAAACAGCATCCAGAAACAAACTACAGTTGTATGGGAAACGTGGTAGTGAAACAGCGGGGAAGGAAGCAGGGGCAGGGGCAAGTTTATTTGATATACTGTGCTGGCACAACACCTATGCATCGGGAAAAAAACAAACCTGAATACCCAAGCTTATGCATTACCTGGGTCATGCCCTAGAAAGGCTTAGCCAGGCACATGAGAGTTATAGAACGTAAAACATTCAAAGAAAAACACAAGGAAGAGTACAAATGCCAAAATAAATGGTAGAAAATAAGAGAATTTTTTTAAAAAAGAGGGAAAGCAGTAGTGGAGCTTAAGTCTATACAGCACACCTATGAGAATACTATACAAAATAACAACTTTAGGCAGAGGCAATTGAGTCTTGCCTTCCCTTGGCAGCAACCTTAGCTCAGGAGACTGGAAACCGGCTCCAAGCAGCTTCTGGGGGGTAATCTTGGCTTTACAAAAGCCTGGGACAATGTTCTCCCCTCCTGTTGACTGGACCATGGCACAGAGAAAAGAACAGAAAGATACTCAGAATATTTCTGCTTCTCTTAACATCAAATGGCCTCACCTTTTTCAGTCCAGGACATACCTGGGAGCCTCCCAGAACACAGTGAGGGCAGGAAGAACCAGTTAGTTTCAGTGTACTATCTGAGCTAAACAAAAAATCCCCAGTGATAACATCATCTTGGCTCTGGGAGTTGAATAATCCGAACACATTAAAACATCACTACTCTGATATTCTTTAATAAGAAATGTTCAGACCAAGAAAGTATTTTGCTTTCACCTAAAATTCCAGTAGATTTATACTGAAAAGCCAATGTATTCACTTCTAAAGAAATATTTCTATACTTTCTATCTCCCTTATGTACTTGAGAATTTTTTTTTTAAGACAGTGTTCCACTCTGTCACCCAGGCCAGGGTGCAGTGGCACGATCACAGCTCACTGTAGCTCCAACCTCTTGGGCTCAAGCAATCTTCCACCTGGGTAGCTGAGACTACATGCAAGTGCCACCATGCCTGTTTTTTTATTTTTCTATTGTTTGTAGAAACGGGGTCCCACTATGTTGCCAAGGCTGCCTGAGAATATTTTAAACTTTGAAGAAAATAAATGATGAACACTAAATAGCTTCTGGCTGCTCATGTATTCCCTCGCCTAAGCGTATTAAGTGATTAATTGATTCATGCATTCAACCAATATACATTGAACACTCAAGAGATCTTCACCAGGAATAATTAAGTGTGAAGATTTGGGAGGCCCAGTCCTTAGGGAATTTGCAGTTAGTCCTCTCTAAATCAGCAGGTCTGGGTGTTAGGAAGGTAAAAGCTCTGTGCTCATCTACAAAGGAGAGGGGGACTTTCTTCCCTAAGCAAAGATAACTAACTCTCCTCACTCTATGTATAAAACCAGAAAAAGGCCAAGTGTTTTTTAAAAGACCATAATATATTGTGTTCCAGGGAAGAATCTACGTGCTTGCAACCCCTACTGCTCTTAACATAATTCTGGAGGTTCAGTTGAGGATTTTCCTTGTAAACGATATCTTAAAAGAATAAATATATCCTTTTATTTTAATAAAACAAATTATACTGCAATTGTGTGGGCTGCTTTGTATTTGTGAACCATTATTTTGTCAGAATATCATTTTAGAAGAACATATGCCCATTTTTATAGTTAATAACTTCTTGCAAAAAAAAAAAAAAAAAAAAAGAACTCAAACTTTCACTCTGAATCTACCCCACACAGCTAATGGCTTTGTTGAACAGGCATATGGCTTGTCAGAGAAGAATCTGGGACAATATGGTTACTACTGTTTCCTTCTCCACTTTGTCTGTAAGCTTGTATTAATACATATGCCTCCCAGTAGAAAACTCTCTCCCTCCTCCTACTTTAAGCCACAGGTTCTGCATCAGCCACTCCTCCTTCTCCAAAATGTCTACTTGCGGAGTCACACTCCAACCCGAATCTGGAGTGGGGCTCCAACATCAATGTTGACAATTCAGGAGTTTTAAGGATTCACTCCTTTTGCCTTGGTTCTCAGAAAAACTAATTCCCTCTATCACCTCTGCTATTTCAAACTTCCTCTTAAAAGCTATCAAAAAGTTTTGAATCTTTGCAACACTGAATAAGAATGGAGAGGGAAAGTCAGAGTTTCAGCAACAGACAGTGAATCTGATTTCTTTTCTACATATATTGCTGGACGACGTCTTTCAGATCAACTTCACTAGAACAAAAGAGTACTTTTCCCCCAGAAAAGTACTCTTTTCCTATTTTTTTTAGTAGCCTACTTAAATTCTTTGGATTAAAAAAAATTGCATTTAAATAAATGACATTTTTTAAAAGGGGAAAGCATTCTTTAATCTTCATAATTAAGTGCTTCACTTATCATTTTCTTTCTTTATGTGTGACTTTGGAGGTCTATTTGTTAATTATAATATTTCCCAAGGAAATCAGTGATAACAATTATGTTGCTTAATTGACATTTTGCTTTTTGATATTTTTTTGAAATGAAATAATGTGCATCATCCCACAGGATCTTCGGAGCTGCCTTCCATGATCCTCAGCTCACAAATAAGAAACCAAGGATCGGTGAGGCAGAAGAGAGGATCAGAGAGGTTGAAGAGAAGATCAGAGAGGCCTGTTGCCCAGGGCTACAAGGCTTAAAAGTTAGCTGAACTAGAATTTTAACCCAAAATATTCTATTTCCAAATTAAACACTTTTTACCTCTCTACTCAATTATATGGGATAAATTCTACAAGACACCACCAGCAAACTCAAGGAAAGATATTAATAGTGTTCCCTAATTTTTTTTTTTTTTTGAGACGGAGTCTTGCTCTGTCGTCCAGGCTGAAGTACAATGGTGCGATCTCAGTTCACTGTAACCTCCGCCTCCCGGTTTCAAGTGATTCTCCCGCCTCAGCCTCCCGAGTAGCTGGGGTTACAGGCATGTTCCACCACACCTGGCTAATTTTTGCATTTTTAGTAGAAATGAGGTTTCACCATGTTGGCCAGGCTGGTCTCTTAACTCCTGACCTTGTGATCCACCCACCTCAGTCTCCCATAATGCTGGGATTACAGGCGTGACCCACCACGCCCAGACTGTTCCCTAACTTTTTGAAGAAAAAACTCGTTAATATTTAAGATATAAAAACAGGTAAAAGAAAACTAAAACAGACAATATAGGTCCACTACTCATCTTAAGAAACAGACCTTAACTAATACTTGTGTATTTCTCCTCAGTCATGTCCTCTCTCAAGACAACCATTAACTTGTACTTACTGTTTATTTCTCTGTGCATTTATTTATTTTTTATTGCATATATATCTGTTCTTAAACAATATATGGCATGTACATGTTTTGTTTTTTGGGTTTTTTTGAGACGGAGTCTCGCTCTGTCGCCCAAGCTGGAGTGCAGTGGCGTGTGGCGCAATCTTGGCTCACTGCAACCTCTGCCTTCCGGGTTCAAGCAATTCTCTGCCTCAGCCTCCGGAGTAGGTGGGATTATAGGTGCCCACCACCACGCCCGGCAAATTTTTGTATTTTTAGTAGAGACAGGGTTTCATCATGTTGGCCAGGCTGGTCTTGAACTCCCAACCTCGTGATCCACTCACTCCCCCTTGGCCTCCCAAAGTGTTGGGATTACAGGCGTGAGCCACCGCGCCTGGCCACATGTTTTTAACCTTTATATAAGTGGTCTGCAACTTGCTTGTTTTTAAAATTAATTCTATTTGTGAGACTGACTGAAGTTGATACATATAATGTACTTCATTCATCTTCACGAATGTATAATATTCCATTGTGCACCATAATCTACTTATCTATTCTTCTGCCAATGGATATTTAGGGTGTGTCCCTTTTTCTGCTTTCATAAACAGTGCTACTATAAATATCCTTGTACTTGTCTCTTTAAGAGTGTACTTAAAGCTCCTCTAAGATACACACCTAGAAGTGGGATTGCTACATCCTGTTGTCAAGTATTTTTTCAAGTGGTTGTATCAATTTACAACAACAGTTTACAAATGTTTGAACTGCTCCATATCTGTAACACAGAACACTGTCAGATTTTAACATTTTTGTCATTTTAATGGTTATGAAAGGACATTTCACCGAGATTTTAAAATGCATTTCCTTGATTACTTCACATCTAATGTCTGCCACATGTCATGTTTCAGGTCATACTAGAAACATGTTTCTCTATCCAGTATCACCTTTCTCCTAATCATATACTTTACATTTTCTGGAAAGACCGAAAGACCTGCCAAGTCTTTATAATAACTGCCACTACTCAAAATTCATACTTACTGTTATAACTGAAAATCACCTTTCCCCCAAGCTATCTTCATAGTCTTTAAAAAATACCTTTCCTTTTGGAAATCAAAAAAAAAAAATCTACTTAACCAATTTACCCCTGTCTTACAACTTGCACTCCAATCAGACTATATCAATTTATGGGCGTAAGAGAGTATATTTCCACCTTCTTCAAAGCCCTTTTGACAATCACTTGCTTTTCTGTTGGAAAAAATCAAATCTGAACTTATCAACCAAAAGACTATTGTGTGAACCATCAAGGATATCTTCCTAACCTGCATGAAACCATATAAATGTCAAATTATTTCTCCATTCTGTCATGTGCCAAAAATACTAAGAATAGAGGTCAAATGTCTCACTATCTGTTCCTTGAGCATGACCTTTGCTTGGCTCATTACCGCCCACCTACTCTTTCCTCCTTCCTATATCTGACATTTGACCTGCTAGTGTCTTATTAGTTTAGCTAAATTCCAGGCTCTGGCCTCTCTGGCCTGCCCAGTGTTGGCATGACAACTATGCTGATAAATACTCAACTCACGAAGTATGTTTCCAGCATATCTTTGGAAGAGAATATGATCTGCAGTCTATTCATTATTATGTGCAAGTTCTAAATACAATTGTTCACTTTTTCAACTACTGTACCTGAAATAGGATTAGTAGGGCCAAAACCACAGATGGAAATGAAGAAAACTGCAACAAGCCTATCAGCTGAGTTTGCAGGAGGTGGCTCTATGGCAGGGGAGACTGTCCCCTCTTTCCCAACAGGAAGCAAGAGGACCTAATGCTTGAGAGAAGATGGTCTCACGAGCATTTCCTCCAAGCTTGTAACTAGGGAAGCCCCAAATCATGAATAGCCTATAGTCCCTCTGGCACTTTACTCAAGACAGTCTTATATTTCAATGTCTATGCAATGCTCACTGGACTACCCATCTCCACTTCTTCCCAGAACCTCATTACCGTCCAATTTAGTCAAGGTATAATCTAATGATTTGCTAGCAAATGCTCGTTGTGGCTTTTCCATGCATCTACCAGTTTTCAGAATCTTATTCTGTCCAAAACCTTCCTTCTTAACAGATGGCTATGTTTTCTACATTGTTGAGTTGGAAGAGACTATAAACCTTGTATTATTGACCATTTAAGTTTTTCATTGCATCTTTTATCTTTCCTCTTTTCCTACCTATTTTCCACTGATACAACAAGTATAATCAAACTCCAGTAAATACACACACACACACACACACAAACACACTCCTTTGACTCAACTATTCCTTCAAACTGTTAACCCATTTTGCTCCTTTCTTTAACTGACAAATTTCAACAAAAACTGTTCCAATTATCTCTCATTTCATCTTCCCTAATTATCTGGCCTCTACATTGTTAAATGTCATTTAAGAGTAAAAGAGGAATATACTCTTTGAAGATGGAGGGGAAGAGAATTCCCATCAAATAATCCTTTGTTCTTATACAATATCTATGGCAGCAATGGGCTTATTAGTAGATAAACAGTTATTAGATTATGAAGCTGTATTAATCTATGTGTTCAAAAGAACTTATATAGTCATTGCCAGTTACTTCAGACAGTGAAAATGAGAATTAACAGACACATCTTAAGTTGTAAAATAAGCATTTTATCAACCTGTATGCTAACAATCTGATCTGGGTGATAGACAAGGGGACTCCCACCTTCCCATAACCTGCTCAGCAGCTTCAAGAGCTAAAGAAATCAGTGGCTTGTCACATCTGTAAAAGGCAACTGTAATCCACTAGTCGCAAAGCATTGAATTAGAGTACACATAAAAATATGATAAAGAGAATATAGCATATCAAATAAAAGAAATTCATTCCAAATTATACTAAGATTCAGACCATAAATGATTTCCTTTGAGAAAAAAACAAACCAAATCTCAATTAGAAAATTAAAATATAAAGTCATCTATGATAAGCAGGAACCAAGACTTAAAGATGATACATAATATATTAGAAGAATTGTAGTATATAAAGAATGGGTTATTTAAGGGCAGAAGGAAAGATACAATGTAACAAGTCATCAATAAGACATCAAGAGAAAAGGAAAAAAACTCAAGTAATATGGAAACATATTAAATAACTACAGATACAGAAGTAAATATCCCATCTTAATAAATATTATTATGGGATCAAGGAAAGTTACTTAATCTTTGTGTCAATTTTCCCATCTGTGAAATGTATGTATCTCATTTGGCAGGGAATAAAGAAGATAATCACTTCCGAATATTTAGTATAATTTCTAGCACATAGTAAGCTCTAACTGATGTTAATTATTGTCATGAATATAATCAGTATTAACACTGGTCTCCATTACAAATAAACTGGATAGTCAATCTGATTACCTATGAGCATAAAGTACCAAAACTGACATAAGAAACAGTAAAAAGAACCTGAAAGGGACAATAACAATTAACAACTAACCAAATATAGCTGACTTCATGGGTGCTAATATCCAAAATTTTAGGGACCAGAAAATTGCTATGCCATTTAAACAGACTAGAGAACAATAAAAACCATCCCCTAATTTGTGATTTGTTTCATGCACCTAATATAATGCTGATATCAAAACTCCACAAATACAAATATACACAAAAAACTACAGACCAAACTTACAAATATAAACGTTTTACTAAACTACTGACAAACTGAGTTCACTGCTCAATAATATACTTGAAATACACTCACCTAATACTGTATTCCAGAAATAAAAACTGGCTTAATATTAGGAAATGTGTTAATATGATTCATGGCATAAGAGGATCCAAAATAAAACCCTCGTATGTGTCACCTGAAAGATGTAGAAAAGACCATTTGATAAATCTCATTATCTACCCACATTTTAAAAATTAACCTAGTAAACAGAAAAAGGAGGATACTTCCTTTTCATTATAAAAAACTAACCCTAATCTCAAGGTAACATATATATATATTTATGTGTGTGTATATATATATATATATATATACACACACACATATAACATATATAGATAACATGTATATATAAATTCCTCTAACTTAACAAATGAAACAAAGATTCTTATTGCACCACTATTTAACACTGTTCTGAAAGTTGCAGCAAATGCATTTAAACGAAGGCAGGGAAAGCTATATTCAAAGAAGGGATTGTCTCCAAGAGAAAAATATACAGGTTAAAAAACAGTATAGGAAGTATGATTTTTAAATTAAAAAATGCTACTGAACTGTGTACTTTTTAAAATAGTTCAGATGGTAAATTTTATGTTGTGTTTTCTTACCACAATTTTAAAAAATATGCATATATATGGACAGAAAAAGACTGATGGTTACCCCTATAGTAAGCAATAACTCTTATTTAGCTTATCTGCATTTTCAAAGTTGAGAATAATTGATTGATTGATTTTTTTTTTTTTTTTGAGAAGGAGTTTCGCTCTTGTCACCCAGGCTGGAGTGCAATGGTGCGGGCTCGGCTCACTGCAACCTCTGCCTCCCCCGGGTTCAAGGGATTCTCCTGCCTCAGCCTCCTGAGGAGCTGGGATTACAGGCACCCGCCACACACCCAGCTAATTTTCTATTTCCAGTAGAGATGGGGTTTCACCATGTTGGCCAGGCTGGTTTTGAACTCCTGACCTCAGGTGATCTGCCTGCCTCGGCCTCCCAAAGTGCTGGGATTACAGGCGTGAGCCATGGCACACAGCCTTATCTGCATTTTCAAACGGACCAGTATGATGGTTTACACTATACTGAAAGTCATCTTTTAAAAAGAACTTTAAAACATTAACTATATATAAAACTATATTAAAATAAAAAGACAAATTTCATAATAAAGAAATCGAACAAGAAAACACAAATATACAGAACTGAAAATGAGAAAGATAAAGTTTACCAGATGGAAAGAATCAAGTATTTTATGCACCAAGCCCAGTTAGTTTTGCAAGTGAACTATTTCAAAACTTTTGAAGAAAAGGTAATTCTTACGTCATATACACATTTCTCAAGAGCAGCACTATACAATACGGCAACCGCTAGCCATACATAGTTATTAAGCACTTGAAATATGGCTAGTGCAACTGATGGGTAAACTTTTAATGTTATTTGAATTCAATCTATTTAAATTTAAGTAAGTGAATGTACCTAGTGGCTACCAAATGGAGAGTGCAGCTGTAGAGGGTAAAAAAACGAAAGCTTCCCATTTTAGTATTATGATACCAAGAAACTAATGGCCATTTTAACTTATAATGCAAGAAAAGTCTGGATAAAATGCTAGTATGTTGAACCTAATAGGGGTTGAAAAGAATATGCAATGATCGAGTGCTGTTTTTTTTAACGCAGGAATTCAAGGACGCCTTAATAATCAGGAAATTAAATATAATTCATGACATCAATTACAGCAAGGAGAAAAACTCTATAACTTTGTCTTCAGATGCTAAGAATGCATCAATAAAATTCAATATCCATTCCCGATTATTAAAAAAAAAATACTTTCCCGGCACAATAAATAAGAGACACCATGAATCGACAGGCATCAGCAAACCTGAAACTAAAACACCAGAAGTATTCCCATTAAAGTCTGGAAGGAACTAGACAAAATAGCAACTGTAATTATTATTATGTACCATATTCTTATAAGCAATATGAAAATAAAAAGAAATATGACACATAACTACTAGGAAAAAAGAGAATAAAATCATTACTATCTGTAAAAGAAAAGCCATTAAAATCAGTTGAAACTCTTAAAACTAAGAAATGACTATTAGGTTTTCACTCATTAAAATAGATTATCTTCAAATGGAAATGCTGATAATAAAGTACATTTAAAAGAAATTCACTAGTAAGTGAATTTAAAACATTATAAAAGTATCACAAAGTCTTAAGAACCAAATTCTACTGAGCTTTCCCTTGAAATAAATTAAATCAAATTTGCTAGTAAAACCCTTCAAAGGTTTCTGACGCCTAGGTTACCCCACATGACTAAGGATTCACACACAGACACAGACACACACACACACACACACACACACACACACACACAGATTATCAACACTGACTTCCTATTGACCCAGCAACCAACCATGGCAGACCTAAAACCAGTTCAGAAAAAGGCTAATTAATATTTATTTTCCTCATGCTGTGAAAAGAAGAATATCATGTTTCCTCTCAGAATATGTCCTTGAACTTTTAAAGATTTAACCATATGGAAGAGATCTAAAGGAGTATATGAAAAGGCTAAAGATTTGGAATCCTAATTCAATTTCCCCTCACATTTTAATAGGAGCCTGCAGCAAATATTTATTTTTAGAGATATTCTCAGTAGGGAAAAGAACAAAACGCTATTGTGTGCTAAACATGGTGAGGTCTCTCTGGTCCCATCTATACCAACTTTATAAACATCAGGTTAGAATTAAATAACTTTAAACTTTAAATCAACTATTTCCAGACCACAAAATCTATTCTACACTTATCGGCACACATAAGTTCTCTAAGTGACTTATAGCTGAGTTCAAATGTGAAATCTGGATTTTTCAAGTGCCAATAAAAGAACTTTCCTTCGGACTTTGACTGAATAATGCTGAATTGTCCAAGAATGCCATGTAATGTTTTCATTTCCTTTTCCAACAAAAATTTTCATCTGCACTTGATAAATTTACTGACTCCGTATCATTTATGATGAAAAGCATATGGGTACCGATCATATTGGTCTCCACTATTTTCTTATTAAATAGGAATTACAACTTTTTCTCAAAGTTTAACAAAAGTAAAAAAAGATGAAGTTTACAGGTGTGCCCTGATCACTATGAACATCTCTTTATATGTGTCCTGTCATGAGTCTGTTAAAATGCAAAAGGAAACAAGAAATTATCTACGATTAGCAATGTGGTCATTTTAAAACATAGCCACAAATACTTTGACATGCCTCCCATCAAAAGGCAGAGTCAGTTCCCTCCCTTTGAACATGGGCCAGCTGCAGTGACTCACTTCTAATAAACAGAATGTGGCAGAAGTGGGGCTGAAGGCTTTGAAGGCTAGGTCATAAAAGGTGATATACCTTCCTCCTGGCTCTCCCTGTTGGGTTGCTTACCCATAAAACTTTGCCACCATGCTGTAAGGAAGCCAAGCAGCCATATGGAAAGGCCTTAGTTCTACTCCCAAACAAGGTTCCAGACAACAACTGGCATCAGCCCCGAGACATGTGCTTGAAATAGCCTCCATATGACTTTAGCCCCCAGGCTTTGGGCCATCTCAATAGACACCACGTGGGGCCAGGTGCAGTGGCTCATGCCTGTAATCCCAGCACTTTGAGGGGCAGAAGCAGGCAAATCACCTGAGGTCAGGAGTTCAAGAGCAGCCTGGCCAACATGGTGAAACCCCATCTCTACTAAAAATACAAAAATTAGCCTGGCGTGATGGTGGTTGCTTGTAATCGCAGCTACTCGTGAGGCTGAACCTGGAGAATCGTTTGAACCCAGGAGACAGAGGTTTCAGTGAGCTAAGATTGCACCATTGCACTCCAGCCTGGGCGACAAGAGGGAAACTCCATTACAAAAAAAAAAAAAAAAATAGACACCACGTGGAAGAGACAAGCTATTCCCACCAAACCATGCAAGAATGGCAGATGCTTGAAAAAATAAGAACCATCTTTATTTTAAGCCACTAGGCTTTGAGTGTTAATTATTATGCAACAACAGGTAACTGGAACACATAGATTATTTCAGCCCAATGCAGCCATCTTATTCTTTCCATTTCAAAACTACCTGAGAAGACAAATCTGTTTCAAAGAAAAAAAAAAAAATGTTGACATTCCTGGTCTCAGTCAACTCACCCTAGAAAGCCAAAAGCTGGAATCCCAGCATTTATTACCTGTGGCTGCCAGCTAGCCTTCTCTTGGGCAGTTTTCTTCTCACTCCTTAATATACCAGACTCTCGGCTGGGCGCGGTAGCTCATGTCTGTAATCCCAGCACGTTGGGAGGCCGAGGCAGGCAGATCATGAGGTCAGGAGTTCAAGACCAGCCTGGCCAACCTGGTGAAACCCCATCTCTACTAAAAATACAAAAAATTAGGTGGGCATGGTGGCACATGCCTGTAGTCTCAGCTACTCAGGAGGCTTAGGCAGAAGAATCGCTTGAACCTGGGAGGCGGAGGTTACAGTGAGCCGAGATTGTGCCAATGTACTCCAGCCAGGGTGACAGAGTGAGACTCTGTCTCAAAGAAAAAAAAAAAAATCTATATACACACACACACACACACACACACACACACACTAGACACATACTAGACACACACACACACACACACACACTAGACTCTCTGGCCTCTTCTGTCCTGTCTTAAACTTACTCCTAGCTTTGAAAAGTTGCTTTTATTAAACACCCTGGCTTATGAGACTGCTGCTACTGCTAACATACGCTACACATTTTTAATCAAGGAACAAGTAAAATTTGCCTAAAAAAGTAATTCTATGACTTTGAGGCAGGTAACCAGTTCAAGATGTTTTAATGAAGCCATTAAAATGGGTTATCAATCAACCCAAATAATCATATCAAAACATTTACTCTTCCTCCTAATAAACACTAGGGAGGGAAATATCCTAATTACTCAAATAAGGTTTTTCTTAAAGAAACACAGCCTAAATGTTAAAAGCTAGAAGCAATCGTGAAGATAATCTAGTTTAGAACTTTTTTTAAGCCACTGGGAAACTGACAAAATCCAGGGAAGATCTTCATGACTTAAGTAAAAAATGTCTACCTCACTCCATCTCCACCTAGGATGTCAACCTGCCATCATATAATGACAATTTGAAACTTCAATTCTGTTTGTATTTTACCAAAAAAATTACAAATACAATTTTGTTAGTATTTTATAGCTACAGCAATAAAATGTACTCCATGCAATGTTATTTAATGTTTTATCTTTAAAGTTTAGGATTATGACAAATCCCAGTTAGGATAAACAAAAGTATCCCTGGGAATCCATAGTCTTCTTATAAAAAATTAAAAGTGGCTGTTCTATTTCTATCATAAGAAGTATTAGTAATCATTGCCCTAGTCCAAATCATTTGGGAAAACAAGCCCAGCAAGGTTACATAACTGGCCTGAGGCCATAAAACTAGTTAGTGGCAATACTATGGCCAGAATTTTGGTATACTCATGCTTCCTAGTCATGCAGGGGACTCAACCAGATTTCAATTAATAAAAGAAAAACAATTACTATATGTTTCAATTCAAAAAGCCCCATCAAAGTGGCTGGCTGCATTTCAGTTCCTTCAATGTTACACTCAAAATCCTTCTGGTAGACTATCTTTCTCTTTAATGTAAAGAAAACAGAACCTTAATGGAGGCACCTCAGGCATCACCAGGTGAATGGAAGGCGAATGCAGCCAAGAGTGTGGACTGGCTATTCAAAAGCCATTCACAACCCCAATATCTTTTGCCTTAACTACAGAGGCTGGAAGAGTAAAACACTCAATCCCAGGGCTCCCTGGCAGCTAGAGAGGATATATGACAAAATTACAAAAATGAGCATATATACAGAAGTCACTAGAGAGGCATTTCTTTCCAAATAAAAACATTAATCCTGTTAGAAGGTCTTGACCCTTGTGCTCTCTTCCTGCGAGGAATGTGGGTATGATTCTCAGAGATATAAGGCCATCTTGCTTCTACGGGGACAAAAGCCACATGCTGAGCCACTGGCTCCCTGATGACACAGAAGAGTCATGACACCAGCCCTGGACTGTCCACCCTTGGGCTTTCTACTGAGTGAAGTTTAAGACTATGCAGTTGGTTTTCTGGTTACTTGCAGCTAAATACAATCTTAACTCTTATAGGAAATAAATCTGGCTTTTCCTCTTCAATCCATTTTTTCCCGAAGTGGTTGGTTGTCCATCAGGCTTAGTCTTATATAAGTAAATTTGGTAAACAAAGATTTAGTCACCTTCATCCTTACCCCATGTTGTGCTACCATCTCACTTTTTTAAAAGGTCAGTAAAAGACATCAAGGTATATCTCTTCTCCAAGAATAAATGAAAAATTTTAGCTTATAGTAGGTTTGTCTCCCCGTACCATATGGCAGAGCCAAGGCTGCCTTGGGAAGCAGAAGAGAGAGAAATGGTATCTCTCCTTATACACCACTTAACCTCAATCCTGGAAGGCATCTAGAAATTCAGCAACAGAAAGAAAACCAGAAACTAATGCATGCCACAGTCTCATCCTCTACTAGGGAAAGAACACAAGCACCAGGCCTTAATTAGAGAAGATCGTATAAAAACCATTCACTCAGCAGAATGCCTTTTCTTTCCCTTGAGCATCATGCTGGAGATCTTATACCTCATGTTCCATTTAATTTGAGCAATACAGTAATCTCAAGGAAGGCTTATGAACAAAAGTAGGGTGTTTTCCATTCTTCCAATGTCCTTTCTGATAAAGCTGGCTGTGGCAGCTTAATAAGATGTATCAATTGTTAAGGTTAAATGGCATTTTCCAAAGGGATGGAAGAAAATAGGTAACACCGATGAGAAGCTAAGCATTCTACAAATTTCATGCCAAAAAATTAAATAAAGAAAAGAATATATCTCTGTAGGTGAATAGCAAAATGCTTTGGCAAATTTTTGGGATTCAAGTTTATAAAATCCAGACAAACCATTAGCTATTCTGGACCAACAGACTAGGCCTTTTTTAAAAAAGTTAAACCTTTTTCTAAAAAGCGGAGAATTCCCAAACCAAGCAATCACTCAATAAATAGCTCTATAGCTGACAATGACCCTAAGGGTTCAGAATCTAACAGTACAATGGGATACAGTATTCTACAATACACTCTGGATGCAAGAGAAATTTCTTAATCTGAGTCTTTAGGGTTGCACTAGAAAACTCAAAAAGTGAATTCTGCACATGGGGGACAGAAGTCAAACAAGTGATAACATTAAGGAGATGAAGAGTAATATTTACAGATATAAACGACGATCAACTAATCTTAGCAAAGCAATATTCAAAGGATAAAAGCATGCGAAAAAAGCAATGAGTTTAAATAGACCTTTACATCAGAATAGTTTCTGACAATTTAGAACCTAATCTGTAGAACCAGAAATGCCTTAGTCATCTAGATTGACTTTATGTGAACAGGAATTTCCCCTCTCGCTCTGAAATAAATGGAACTCCAGCTTAGGCTAGAGCATTTACTAATTACTTAAGCAATACATTTTTAAAACAGAGCGACTATAATTTACAGCAAGAAACTGATCTCCATGTGAGTTACTCCAATGTACTAAGTTAAAGATACCAGAAAAAAAAATTATCAAACTAAAGAATAAAGTTATTCCCTTCAAAAATTTCACTAAATTTTCAGTGACATGTTAGATAATCTCCTAGAATGGAGTAAGGATAAAATAAACAGCATCACCCTACCTAGCACATTTCCTGGAGGTACCTCCTCTAGATATTCCAGTTCCCTTCCCATCAGAAGATACAGGTTTTCCAGAGCACAGTATGCCATGTGGGGGACTTGGGGGAGGCCATCTGGTGGAGCTGAGAAGCCTAATGGTACCTGGGCAAAGAAAAATGATGGAAGACAAGTTAGGAGGCATTTGGAAGCATTAATTGGTATTTGTAAAGTTACTTCTATTCATCAGTAAGATATGGTATAGCAACATTTCATGTAAACCTGAAATATGAACATTTGAAATGGTGTGATAAAATATGCCTCACTTTATGAATAAAATCTGAAATACTCAAACTTCTCAAATACTAAAAAATTGTCTAGATTCCCATTTAATCATAAGCTTTATGGCTAAGTAACATAAATTCTGTTGTGACCTGGTATTGTCACTTTAGCTGATCCTCACAGTCCCTTGTTATTTATGTGAACCACATCATACACCAGTTCTGGTGACTACTGTGCTATCATTTGAACACTCATTATTACTATTATCCTTTCAAGTTGTTTTATTTATAATGTTCTTCAAGTATTCAACAAGGGCTGGTGCTAGTGCCAAGTAACATATAAAAATAACTTTGGAAGGGTAGTTAGATGTGATAAAAATGCCAAAAAAAAAGGCCTAACTGCTATTATATGCTATATTGTTCATATGGAAGAGCATGCTGTGATATATTAGGAACACTAATGAGAGGACAGAGTACATTTACAGCAAAAATATACAAGTACAAGTACATTAGATTTATTAGCTCCCCATACATCATATTTATTCTTATGGAACTATTGTCTCAAATGATTCAAATTTTGCATTGTGTGAAGTCTTCAGAAATATACCCACCATATAAATGCAAGTATCCAGAAGGCATTTCAATTAACCAACCAACCAATCTTTGGTGCTCATAGGCCTGGGGTGCTGCCCTAATGCTATGAAGGGAAAAAAATGGCTGAGATACAACATAAACAAAGAGATTAACATCACAAGCATAGGGTGACCAACAAAAAGGTAGTATAGGCAAGTAAATTCATAAAGGTTCAGAGGAAGGAGAGGCCCCTGTGCTAGGGTAGACTCTAGAAATTTCATGAAAATGATGACCTTTCAGGCACATGTTACATCTAAATGTATGTGTTCTGCTAAAATGACAACTCTCAAAGTAGCTCTAAAGATGGGCTGGAGAGATAGAAAAATTATAAGAACTGAATAGAAAGAAATGGAATTATCTACACAATATGACTGTCCACTTAAAACAAGCTACGGATAAATTATAATTAGTGAGACAGCTTAGCAAGGTGGCAAAAATGCAAGATCAATATACAAAAGTTAATTATACTTCTATAATTAGGAATAGAAAATGCATAAATAGAATAGCAATAAATAGAAAATATGTGTATTTAAAATGATTTTTAGAATAGCAACAAAATCTAACAAGTGATCAAAACTCTTTATAAATAAAACTATAAAACTTCATGAAAAACATTTAAAATGACCTAAATAAATAGATAAATAAACCTAATACATTCATGGATGGAAAGATGCTGTATTATAAAATGCTGATTCATGCCAAATAGGTGTATGGACATAAAGTAATTCCAATCGAAGCCTCAACAGGGCTTTTCATAGAAGCTGACAAGCTGACCATAAACTTGATATATAGGAGCAAATAGGAACAAACAAGACACTAACAAAGAAAAACACGGTAAAGGGATTTGGTCTTTTTGATGTCAAAACATTTAAAAATGAAGACAGCACTGAATAGAGATAGTTAGAGACAACCAGAAAAAAATAAAATTAGTCCAGAAACAGACCTATGTACATAGGTAATAATCTGATTTCTGACAGAGTGGACAAAGCTAATCAGTGGATAAAGATGGACTATTCAATAATGTTGGAACAGCTGGACATTTAAATGAGGAAAAAATGAACCTGGATGCCTTCTTTGCAAACAATGAATTAAATATTTAAACATGAAAAGTAAAATATTAAAATTTAGAAGAAAACATAAGAGAGTTTTGTGACTTCAACATAGACTTAATTTCAATTTTCTTAGGATACAAAAAGCAAAACCCATAAAATAATGATAATTCGAGTACATTTACATTAATAACTTCTGCCTATTAAAAGGTACCAAATGGAAAGTAAAAACAAGTTCTACACTGGAGAAGAAATTTGCAAAATTCAAAACTGACAAGGAATTAGTATCCAGAATATACAAAGGACATCTGAAAAGCAGTATTTAAAACAATAAAGTACCATAATAGAAAAACAGGGAAATGACTCCAAGAACTATTAATATCTTCACACGAGAACACAAGATTGACCAATAAACACATTAAAAGAGTTATAAAGAAAATGTAAACTAAAACTGCAAAATACCGTAATATACCCATCAGACTGGCACAAATCAAAAGCCTAACAAAACCAAATTTTGGTGAGCATGTGGAACAACTGTAACTGTTAAACACTCCTATTGGGAGTGTAAATCAGAACTACTTTGGACAATAAATTGGAATTATCTTGTTAAGCAAGAGATTACCAAGGCAACTCCACTATAGGTATATTCCCTAGAATTTCTTGTAAAAGTGCATAAGGAGATATATACAAAAATAATCAAGGTAGCATTGATTAGATTTGAAAAAAAAAAAAAAAAAAAAAACGAAAACAGCAAATATATAGTGACCAAAACACTGTATAAATAAAATGTACATTTAAGTAAAGGAATCCTATGCCACACTGAACAATAAACGAGCTACGGGAATAGGCATTAACATAGATTAATCTCACAAAGTTAAAAAAAAAAAGGCAGGTTGTAGAATAACTACAATGAAATTCCATTTATACAAAGTTTCAAAAGCATGCAAATGTGACAATATTCTTTAGAAATACGTACACAGGTTGTAAAACTATAAAGAAAAGCAAGAGAAGGATGTGGCAGACAGACTAAAAGTGCCCCTCCCATGATGCCTGCTTCCCAGTGTTCACACCTTTGTTTAGAAATCTCCTTCTCGAGTGTGAGTGGGACCTGTGACTTGCTTCTTCTAACAAACGGAATATGGCAAAAGTGATGAGATGTCACACTGTGATTCTATACCATCATACAGGACTCTGTCTTGCTAGGAGATTCCTTCTACTCTCTTATATGGCTTGATGAAGAGGGCCTCCAAGTTGGGAAGGTCCATATGACAAGAAACTGTAGGTGGCCTCTAGGAGCTGAGGGCAGCCAAAGGCCAGAAAAAATCTGGGACTCTTAGTACTGCAGGTGCAAATATATGAATTCTATCAACAACCTTTAGTGAGCTTGGAAGCAGGTTCTTCATCAGTCAGTCCTCCAGATGAGAATGCACCCTGGCCAACATTCTGATTGTGGCTTTGTGAGACCCTAAGGAGAAGATGTGGCTAAGCCATGTCTGGTTTTCCAACCCACAGAAACTGTGGATGACAAAATGTGTAATGTTTCAAGCTGCTACATTTGTTGTAATCTGTAATATGCAGTAGCAGAAAACTAACACAAAGGATGAACACAAATTCTGGGTAGGGGTTACTTTGAAGGTAGGTCTGAAATATTTCAGGTTTTTTTTTAAGCAGTTGGAATTAGGTTTTATGGTGCTCTGGTTACTGAAATAAGAGGCCATTTGAGCTGTCAATGTATTGTATCATTCCTGCTTAAGACATGAGACACATAAGCAACTGATTTCAACCTGTAGCAAAGACACATTATGCAGAGATAAAGTGGATTGTTCATGGAATTTGTAATGCCAAATAAATCAATGTTTCACTAAATAACAATTTCTTGCTCACTTACCTTCACAAAAAAGGAAAAAATTAACTGATACTTGACCCTTACTGATAAATAGCAAACTATCAAGCCAAGATAATCACAGATTACGTAGATGTATAAAAAATCATAGATGAGTTTTTATACATATCACTTTCAGACTCCCATAAAACATAACCCTATACACACCAAGTGCTGCAATCTTTCTTGCTAAATTAGAACATGCCATAGCTCAACAAGGACTGCTTCACTGCCACGCAGCTCTGCACTCTCCAAGGATTAAACTGCTAAAACTCATGGAATAAGCATTCAAGGCAAAGAAAAACTGATGGCAGAGACTTACTTCAACTGCTACCTCCTTCTCTCTCACTTGTAGCCAAGTACCACAGCTTCCCTGGTTTATCTACAGACAGGCTGCTTCCTGCACAGAGAGGAGCATGGGTTTTTGTGCTCATGATGCTCCACGGTGCCAGCTGACAATTTCCTAGCTTACTGCTTTGTGCTGATCCAGACTGGCTGCTTGGACCTCTGGCACTGTCTTCATCCTATGACCTCTATTATTTAATTATGATATAATTATAATGTATATATCTTGCTTACTTCCAAAAATGTTCTGAGACATCTCTAGCCTGTGATCCCTGTTTCGCCCCTTGGCTCAGGCATTTTTAGATGCTGCCTGTTCACCTACTTACAGACCCTCCTGTCCAGACTCAGGGTCTGTGTGCCATGCAACTCCTGCCTATCCCCTGCTCACTGCCCACACCTTTGGCCTAAGCCAGCTAGTTTTTGGATCTTCCTATTTCTCAAAGACCGGCCATTGCCCTGGCTCCAGCATGACATCTGCTCTTATCAGTTCTTTTCTCTAACCACAAGGTGACTCTTGCCTAGAAGAGAAAAGCCTTATAATTAAACAAGGCCTGAAAATTTGGTCCACATATTGGTTTCCTAAATGCTACTAATTGAGACATATATGACAAATGTTATCAAAGCAACACAAAAGGATACACAGTCACTCAAGTGTGCCTTTCCAGAGACAAACTAAATCTACCAACAAGATAATCACCAGTCCCAACAAAATGTGAAAAGATATCAGACCCTCGAGAAACAATATATAAATATTTTACTTTCAATTCTTACCCTTCGTAAAAACTCAAGAGGACTGTATTTGGGCCCCAAGACAAAAATTTTCTTTCCTCTTCGAGCCACACCACTGAACACCCGAGCAAATGCAATAAAAGACTCTTGGTTGTTTTCTTCCTGGAGCACAGGTTTAGGGGTCATACTTTCCACCTGTTGCTCGTCACCTGACAGAAACAAAAAGATAATTAGTGCCAAGAATGCCCTCTTAATTCAAGAACTGTCTGAAATATAGAAGGAGGAGTGAATATGATATCTTTCGTCAAGTTTCAGGAAAAAAAAGAAAACAAAACAAAACAAGAATGGAAAGAATATTGATAAAAACTACGATTAAAGCTTAAAAATCTCAAGAACTAAAGGATGAGTGTCCCAAGTTAAGCAAAAAGGCAAATACTTTGCAACAGAGCCTACTTAGGAAAGCTATACCTCTTGGCTCCTCTCCTTTTGGACATGTTTCAATGGCACTCCCATCTTGGGTGGGCTCCAAGGGTGCCTGTCCCTGTGCTGCTGCAAGCTTCTCTGCATGCCTTTGTCTTGCACGCTCACGTCTCTGAGCAATTTCTTCTTGAGTGAGAGGCCTACAGGATATCACAAATATGCTGTCATCTCTCAGTTCATCCAAGTAGGGAAACAGCAAGCATTGACATGGCTGGGTAAGATGAAGATTGGTCCCAGCTCCATTCCAGGCAATTTTGTCCAAGTCCTCTCCCTGTCTGTAGCAATAAGAGAGGGCCTATCAGCCTCTCTCTAATAATGCTGTGTCCCAACTATTCTGAGCTTATGAACTGACATGCAAGAGCCCAAGTCCCCATCTGGAGCAATGTACAATAGTATGGAACCTTTCTCAGATACCTATATTCCTTCTGGAAAAGGCAAAGAACAGGAAGAAGGAAGGGAAACAGTGACAGATACTAGGGTTTGGAACGACTCTGGCAGGGAAACAAGCATAAGGCCTCAATAACTGGGGTTCAAGAGGAAGGGTTCAAGGTCAGGATGAGTACTGGCAATTCATCAGGACTAGAAGGTCAAACTGAAATATCAGCCACTGTGTTAGACCTAAGAAGTACCATCACAGAAAAGGCAGTGTGTGGGTGTGTATGTGTGGTTTTCCATGGGGGTGAGAATGAGAAGGGGTGGGGGAGGTAATTAAGCTCTTTTTCCTAAAGAACTACCCTCATGTCTGTCAGGACGCAGAGAAGGTATTTAGAGTTTTAATACTAAAAAGGTGTTGACAAAAGGGGAATACTAAGTTGAATACAAATTCTGTTTGGGAGTTTGGGTTTGGAAGGTAGAAACCAGGCCGGTAGACTGTTTCCTAGGACTTGGCTCCCTTCCCACGTAGAGGTCCTTATGAACCTACCTGCATGCTCAACCCCAACACATGAACAAGACCAAACCCTGTCCTAAGGCTGATAGATTAACAGCATCTTCTGCCCTATACTCTGGGAAGTGAACATCAAAGCACTCAGGCTAGTCCTCTGGTCCTAACTTTATGCTCCAGCTCTGGAAGCTGGACAACTCTTCATGGTCCCAACACTTTGTGCCTCTCTCCCGTGTTGTCCATCACCTTTGATATTATGATTCCTGCTTTATTTGCCAATCTCAGACTTCACACCTAACTGATAACCTTCATCCCCACTTTGCCATGCCATATTCCCCTCCTCTCTCCGTAAGCACTGGAAGCCATGCAGGTAACCATTCTCCCTACTTGTCTTCCAAATGGCCACAGACCCTTAGGGCTCCTGATGCAAAGTGGCCTAACTCCTTCTACCTTTCTATTTCACGTAAGCTAACCTGCAAGGTGACTGCTTAAATCATTGACTGTCCACTGCTATACTCTTCAGATATCCGCCTGCTGGACAAGACTTCTCTAGTCCTAGTATCCAGGACTAGACACTACTTCTGCCTTCCTTAGCACCTGTCCCTCAAAATCAATGAGTTTAGTTCCAAGAGTAGGCCCTTCCACTCACACCCACTCTGCTGCAGGTCACTGGGCTGTGCAATAGAATACAAAAATATGAGAAACAATCCTTGAGCCTGGCTTGGTCAGGTGTCTTGTTAGGCAATCAAAACTGCTGGCACTAGGGGGCCACACTACCACTGCAAGAGACAAGCTCCTCATTATAGGAAGCTCTAAATGTCAGAACTTTCAAATACAGAATGAACTCTGCTTCCTCACAATTTCTAGCCATGGCCGCAGTTCTCTCCTCCGGAGCAACATCTAACAAACCTACTTCCCTCTCCTTTCCTTTGAATCACCAGCATTCATGCCTTCCCCACCTTCCTTCTCTTCCCCAGGCTGACCATTCTAGCCGTTCCTTCAACCAATCCTTTGACAACTTTCCTTGTTTCTAGACTTTTGCTAAAAACTCATAAGAATATCTGAAAAGTGTGAATTAAAATATAAATGCAGAACACATTTTTATTATTAGAGTAGGAAGGAAAAAATACCAGAGGTACCTGCTAGCATCTAAAGAGAAATGGTCTCTTCCAACAGGTTTATCACTATGATCCAGAGACTGTTAATCACTTTACATATATTATAGCACATAATTTATCACAACAATTAAATGAAGTAGATATCGTATTCCTATTCTACATATAAGAAAAGGGAGACTGGAAACTTAAGTAACTCGACCCAAAGTCACACAGATATTAAATGGAGGAGCCATAATTCAAATCCAGATCTGTATGGCTCTGAAGTCTATGCTCATTATCACCAGGTTATGTCTTTCCTTCAAGAGGAATTAAAGATAAAATTGTCATCTTATGTAAATGTGATTTCACTTTAGTTTTAGTGAAAAAAGAAGTGTATTTGTTCACTTGCAGATTAAATCCTCATCTGTCTAAGTTCATGAAGTGATCTGGAATAATCAGCATGTACAGTCATTAAGTAAGCATCAACTGTATAGATGCCTGCTGTCTATCTATGTATCTATCCATCCATCCAGTTAACAACTACTGTGTGCCACACACTGCTGGGCACTGGGAATGATGGTAGCGGGGAACAAAGCAGATAGTAATCAGCAAGGATGTGTAAAAAGTACCCACTGTGTATCCAGCATTTGTTGAGAACAAAGAAATTTAATTACAAGAAAATGGGGCCCTACTAGTGAGGAAACAGTTGTGAGTGTTAAGTTATTTAGGCTATAGTTAAACTAACCATGGATGTTACTTCTTGAAGGGGCAATAGTTACTAATACTGAGATGAAGGAGACCAGAGGTGAGAATGTTGACCGAAGATTCAAATGTCAGGTTGGAAGGTGAATTTGAAGAAGCAAAGAAAAGAGGCAAGAACACAAGAACAGAGGAGAAAGTCCTGTAACAGTCCCACACTTCATTTACAACCACAGTGGCACTGTTGAGCAGTGAGTAAAGGTCAGTGTCTTCACTAAGTTAGGGAAAAAATTTTTTAGGCTTTGTGGGCGCCGAATCCTGTTTCCTGCCTTACTTTTCTCCCTGGCACATATCACTAATACATTGTACTCTATACTAAAGGAAAATAATACTCTGCTATTCCTGGCTTGTATGTCTAATACAATGGAGATGAAAATGCTATCAAACCAACTTCCAATGGTACATTTTCCCAAATTTAAAAAATAAAACTTAAATGAAAAAAAAAAATCAGCTAGAAGATGGAAAAGAACAAAGTAATGGTGATGACCTTGCCCAGGTATACCTGAAAACACTATATTATTATGTAACAATTGTTGAACCTGATATACTGGTTAAAAAACAATGACAAAAATAAAATCAGTAAAAAAACTTCATGGAATAGAATGGATTGCACTATCAGAAATATACTAAAATCAGAAAAGCATATGATGAATTATTAGGAAAAACATTCACAGAAAATGTAATTAACAGTAGAGGCATAATAATACTATTATTCATCAGCAAGAAATGAAGGATGGGTAGAGCTAGGAATTTTAAATGCTATAAATACATGTATTTCAAATCTTAACAGCAAGTTTTCCAATTCTCTGATATTCCCTATGATTCTACCAGAATCTCTCAGATACTCCCAATGGCCAAAAAACATCCAATATCCTACATTTGTTACTACAAGAAATTGTTACTACATGTAGCACTGAAATATTATCTGGGAGTAGCCTAGATACATAATTAGACATTCATTCATTCCATTATTCACTCACTTACTTACTCAGTTAGCCACTCATTCACCCATTCACTGACCTGTTATTCCCCCATTTGGATATTCACTCATTCATTCTTCATTTACTCACCCATCTATTCCTTTACTTATCCCCAGGACAAAAATTATTGAATACACTTAATGTCCAAATCACTAGGGAAGTACTAAAAAACAAAGCATAACCTTTCCCCTGAAGGACAAACAGAATTTTATCAGAGGAAAAGAAGCCTTCTCAGATGGAGGAACAGCACAAGTACAGATAGGACATTTGTTCAGACACTAGTATATTAGAGAAACAGAAATAAAAATCTAGTCGAAACATGGTTTGGGGTCAGGTCATGGTGGGTCAGAAATGCCACTAAGACAGGTCAAGTTTATTTCACGGGCTGATGATCTGACCTTCAGTCACTCACATATCATTTTCATGATTTCTGCTATATCTGCATATTATTATTTAATACTTATTTAAATGCACAAACATTTTTAACTCAATAAAACTTTAAAATCTCATCATGGTAAAGGCTTTATCACTTGACATACACAGGCAATACACACAAATACACATTAAAATAAATATGACAACTAATTATATTAAAACTTGTTTCCCTAAGTACCACTGAAATCATCGCCAACACTTTACACTTGAATCAAAACTGCTCAAGACAGTGAGGATCATTAAGGGTTTTTGAGCAAGAGACATATCTTCATAGCTGAGTCTTATAAAGATCACTCTAAAGAAAGAATGGCAAGTGGATCAGTGGAACTAAAGATGGGGCAGGAGAACCAGCTAGGAGGTTGCTGCAACAATATCCACAAGAGATGATCAGAATCTAAACTAGTGGGGAAAGCAGCAGAGACAGAAGGAGGGGAACACACATAAAAAACAGGAAATGTAGAAGACACAGATTCCCCAAGACTCTGGAACTTGAGGAATATCCCTCTCCTACACCTATCACACCTGTGCACACATAATACACACAGGGAAGCAGAGATCCTCATACATTCATAATCTCTACTGAGGTAGGCAGAATTAGATGAGACAAGGCAGACTTAGATTAGAACTTGCCTGACATGTTTAATAAAAGTTAATTGTTGCTACTACTGCTAACATACTCTTCAAACTTACATCACTTCAATTCAATATTCCAGAGCTGATTTCAACAACTTTCTCCTACAGAGGTATCACAAAAGGATATACTACTGTATAAATTGTATGTTACCCTGGGGGTTGGCTTGATATGAATTCTGGGTTGAGGAGGAAAAGCATTATCCGTGCCCCCCCTACCCACAGCCCAACTGCATCCCACCAAACATACACCATATTCCTAGCCCAGCCCAACTTTCCCCTTTCCCTTACCTTGGCTTATTCTGAGGCAAGGCCTTAGCATCAACTGCAAACATTTTGGAAACAAATATAATAACTGGAGCAGTGTCCTCACTTCCACATTTCATAAAAGCTAAACAAATAGGAAGTAAAAATGTCACTATTTTTCCCATTATTAAAAAAAAAAAACAGATTTTTCTGGAAAACAATTAAAATGTTTAGAACATGGATGGCATCATCAAAATACACCAGAAGTCCATAACTTTTTCCAACTATGATAAAAATTTTAATTAGAAAAGGGTAAGATTGCTAGGAAAGAATAGCAGAGCAAGAGCAAACAGTTGGCAGAAATAAGAAAAGAAAAGCAAGCAAATTTGACAGGGTGAGGGATCTCATATGAAAGCTAAAGCTATGCAATGAGGTTAACCACCTACCATAAGCACTAATACATTTTTCACTGTATCAAGTATAGAAAATAGAATTGAGGAATGTTACCAAAGGCCAACAATCAACAAGGTAGCTTGTTAATAAGATACATAAAAATCAATAGCTTTCCCAATCCCCCACAATAACAAGTTAGAAAATAAAATGGACAAAAATACTGTATTATGATATTAACAAATTCTTAGAAATAAATTAAGATTCAATACTATTAAGATACCAATTCTCCCTAAATACACAAATTTTAATGCAATTTCATATTAACATATGAACATTTTCCTTAACCTATACTGGAGGTAAAAAAACATTGATTAATGAATTTTTTTAAAACAATTCCATCACCTCACGTTAAAATAATTTATATATAAAGAATTCAACAGTAAAATACAAACAAGAAAAAAGAAAACCACAGGAAGTAAGAATCAAACATGTATCAGAAGTCTTGCCAGTGGAAGCTTTGAATGAGGAACAGAATGACATGCCCTGATTTATATCTTAAGAGGATCACTCTGTTTTGTCTGCAATAGTTGAGAAAACACTAACAGGAATCAAGAGCAGAAGCAGGGATACTAGTTGTTTCATTGTTGTTGTTGTTGTTTGTTTGTTTGTTTTTTCAGATGGAGTCTTGTTCCGTCGCCCAGGCTGGAGTGCAGTGGCGTTATCTCGGCTCACTGCAACCTCCGCCTCCCAGGTTCAAGCGATCCTCCTGCCTCAGCCTCCCGAGTAGCAGGGACTACAAGCGTGTACCACCACGCCCAGTTAGTTTTTGTATTTTTAGTAGAGACGGAGTTTCACCATGTTGGCCAGGAAGTGAAAACATTGGGAAATAGTTGAATTCTGTATTTCAAAGGAAGAATAAACAGGATTTGCTGATGGACTGGATGTTGGAGTGTGAGATAAATATAAGGGCCATAGATGACTCCAAGGTTTTTGGACTGAGTAAATGAAAAGATTGAGGTCTCCCTAACTGAGATGGGAATGACTAGGTGAGCAGGCTTGGGGATAAGATAAAAAGTCCAGTTGGGGATATGTTCAGTTGAGATGCTTCTTAGACAACACAGTGTAGAGGGAGTTCTAGATATCAGTCCAGAGTCCAGAAAACAGACATGCTCTGAAGACACATAATCGTGGGAATTATGAGTATGTAGCTGTCATTTAAAGTCTTGAGATTGGGTACAATTATCAAAAGAGGGACTACAGATAAAACAGATGAGGATCAAAGACTTGAACCTTGCTTGAGGCACCCCAAAGTTAAAAAGCCAGGGAGATGGGGAGGAATCACAAAAAGAGATATTAAGGATAAGCAGCCAGGGAGACACGAAGAAAAGCAGAAGCAAGGGAATGAAAGCAATGGAAGCCTAAAAGTCAAGGGACGAAAGTGTTTCAAGGAGGAGTGATCAATTGCGTCAAATGCTAGTGACAGATCTAGTCCTGTGAAGACTGAAAACTGGCCATTAGATTTAATGAACCGAAAGTCAATAGTGATGCCAAGAATAACAGTGTAGTGGTTTGGGGGCAGGGTTACAAAACCAATAGAACTGGAGGAAAAGAATTAGAGATAAGAAAATACGTGGAGACAAATTTCATGGAACCTACAAAGCCCAGAATGGGAGCTTCTTTTCTCACGAGGAGCATGTGTACAAGTCGCTGGTCTCACCCTACTGCCTGAGCAAAATGGCTGTAACAAGAAAACCTTTGGGGTGAGGGTGGGAGGCAAAACTGGTGAAATGGTCATTTGTGAAACTGTTCATCTGTGGAAGTGGACATTTGGCAAATTGGCCATTTAGCAAACTAGCGTTCAGCAAACTGGTCTAGAGCAGCCTGGATGGAGGACAGTCAATGACATGGTATATTCCAACAGGTCCATCTTTCCTCACCTGCTTTCAGTGCTTGAGTTTCTGGTGGAAAAGAGTCAAAAGTTTGTGATCCTGTGCACATCAGTCTCTCCACTCTCTCAGCTGTAATATCAAGGGGACTAGGAAGTTTCTGACACACCATAGCTGAAGTCTATTGTTAAGGACTGAAAACCTTGAGCCAGTGCCTCCCACCAAGGCGAAGATTCACTGTATGCACTAAATATTGAGGTAACAAAGTCTGTCCATACAGAAAATGCCTGTGCTACAAGGCAACACTGCTTTATGCATCACATCTCAAAACATGCATACAATTTCAGGGAGTTCACAAACTCCTTAAAGCTCAGAAAGGATCCTCATGACAGATACTTTAACACTGAGGCCCATGAAACAAATGAGAACAGAGCTTAGCAGGTTGGCTACAGGTGACCTTGAAATGAAACAGTTATCTAACACAAACATCTAAATCATCTACTTATATTTGAATCTTAGTGTAAACATTTTTATTTTTATAGATTACTAAACAAACACAAAAAGAATAGTCTTCCTAAAGAAGTTCACTATTAGTAATGTTAACACAAATTAGTATTAGTGTATTAATTATCAAAGTATTTAATACAGTTTCATGGTAGAACACTAAATAAGCAGAGAAGACTTATTTTGGATTGAATGTTATTTCCAGAGAATTTCTTGGTTACCATAACGCATTGTTTTTTCTAGCTTTATCAAAACTATTTCATTAAAAACCATTAGAATAAAGGATACCAAGAACAGCATGGGATATGGGTAGCCACTGACTGCAAATGGCGTTGATCTGAACTTTAGGGTCTGAATGTCGTGCCTCCCGGGCTCCAATTTTTAATCCTAAAGAAGTCACTATTTTATCAATTTTGTCTTTGTCCCTGTGGTAAACACAAGATTGGAGAGGGGAAATGTCATATGCAGATATAAACAGGCAGTGGAACCCAACATTATTTGGCATATTTTTACCCTAATGTGTTACTTTTTCAAAAAAAGCTAAAAATGATTGAAGGGAATCCTGCCGCCACACAAGGGGCCTCCCCAACCTCTACTCTTACACTTTCAAGTGAATCCTTCTTTAAGATTTCCCAGGAAGTACTTCTCCACCATCTCCTCAAGCAAGCTATACCAAGTGGTAAAGCAGTCTTACAAATAAGTGCTAACAAGTCATTATTCCATCTCAGGAATAACTTAGAAAGCAAATTTACTAAAGCAAACTTATACCAGAAAAGTTATTTCTCAACTTCCCCATTAATGATCCTAGCTATCAAGCACCTTTTCTACTTTAATAACTATTTTTTAAAAGTGGGTTTGCATAAACAAAGACCCAATGTTTCTTTCTATCCTTTCATCTCTTCTCCTCAGCACTCTATAAAATATTGCTATCCTGTCCCTCCAACATCACCCTTTAGCTGGGTTACATAGGCTTCTTTAAATTGCTTCCAAGCCCTGTAATCAACTCATCTGTAGAAGCTCTGTTCATTTTCTCAGAAAATCTCAGCTTTCTGAAATATGACTCATCAAACTGGAAAGTGAGACAAATTATACTGCCTAAAGATGCCTAAAGGTAAACAATAAGAGTCTTACTTTTTCAAAACAGCATCATACAAACTCCATATATTTTCCAGGATCAACTGTACAAATAAAGGTTTCTTTCCTTTGGCCTGTACAAAAGAACATACGGGCTTAAGTTCCTGAACATTTAATAGGCATTTATATATTCCTTCTTGACATGCTTTTATTATCAATATGTTTCATTTCTACTTGAAAATATTTATTCAAAAATAAAGTAGATGAAAGTAGTTATAAGAATGCACTAAACAGTCAATAATCCACAATCAATAATAATCCACTGTTCTTTCCTCTGGGAACCATAGACTTTACAAGTGATATGACCATTTGTGGGTCATATTACCATGGCTGCCATCAAACAAATACACACAGCACACAAGCCAAGAGCTAAAACTTCACTCTGCACATGCGGGCTCTTTCCATGGACTTCAGTCTAAAATTATGTTACAAGAAACATAAAGCATTCTTAAACATATTTCTAAAGGTTCACAAGGATAGGAAAATTTTGAAAACCCAAAAAACCCCATCATTACTCTTAACAAACTATGCAAAAAGTTAATAGCAAGAGCACCTTGAGGGGTATACTCTTCCATACACGAGATGGGATATATTAATAAATTGATACCTCCTTTCTGAAGAACTACTGGCAACAGTATTAAGAAATTAAAAGTCATTGGCTTAGAATGCTCAGTTTTAAAAAAAAGCATCATGAAGACATAAAACTTATGCACAAAGATGTCTATCATAACTCTACAATATCAAAACATTTGAAAAAACTATGTCCAATCTTAAGAGAATGATTCATAAATGATAGTGCTCTCACAAAATAAAATAACAGGGTGCTTACTGAATTATTTCATAGAATCATAACTATCCTATGAGATAAGTGCTATTATCTCAATTTTACAGATGAAATAACTGAGATAAAAGTCATAGAGCCAATAAGTGGTGGAGCCAAAATTCAAACACAGAGTCAACTCTCAAGGCATGCTCTTTCCCACTTAGCTATATTCACTCCCTTTAAAATATATTGTTTATAAAAAAGCTTTTAATGGCAAGGGAAGATGTTCATGATATGACAAAAGCAAAAGGGCAGCTACGTTGTATAAACAGCATATCTCAACTGAGGGATGTATATATCTATGTAAAAAGGATGAAAGAAATTATAAACATCTACTAGCAGTGCTGGCTTTGATTTTTTTGTTTACTGTGGCTTTATACTTGTGAATATTTTCTCAAAGCAATGTATATGATTTTCAATGAGAATAAATTTATGAAATCCTGGTTTTAACATTAAAAACACAAAGCTCCAAGAAAAGTATCCTTTGAGGGTATATGACAGCATTCCTACACCACCTCTATCTATAGAAGGGGTTTCAGGGAGCACCCACCTCTCCCGATCTACACTGCACGATGACCAGCATGCAGTGAGATAAGGCCTCAGCTGACACTAGAAAGACAGTGTGAACCATACAGGGATGTCTAGAAGAGACATCTCTTTATGGTGACAGGGACAAACAAATGCACAGCACAAAATGTGTGTCTTCAGGTGCCCAAGATCTAAGATTTTTGGTCTTCTGAAAAAAAAAGAAAAGAAAGAAAAGAAAAGGCAGTTCTTTGCTCACTATACTTAAAAGGACTAAGAATTCTGTATGAATAATACCTGTATATGGACTTGTAAGCCTTTCCCAATTATATACAGTAAAAAATCCCTCATGAACTCACCTGCATAAATTAAAGCTGAATTACATTTATTAAAGATATTACAGTATAGGTTTTCATAGGGCAAGAATATGACCAACAACCAAAAGGGACATATACCACATTACCTGATCACCCTTCATGATCTTTTTAGCCTTCATATTTATATAGTAATCTCCCCACAAGGTTTTCATAAGAACTTCCTTTTTGATGCCAATTTTTTGACTGTAGATTCTGGCGAAGTGCTCAATTCTGAAAGAAGACCAAATGTTCATGTTATTAATAACAACGATTATTGATTTCTGTGACAGGTACTGTTCAAACTTCTTTACACGTGTATTACTAAACTTAATCCAGTATCCTACAAAATTTCCTCATTTTACAGAAAAGGGTAATGAAGCAGAGATATCACACAGGGAACAAGTGAGGTGGGGATTTAAATCCAAGCGGTCTGGCTCCAAAGCCCATGTTCAGGTCTACACCAATATGAATTGTACTACATGCTATAGCTTTCTTTCTTAATTTTGCAGGTGTAAAACAAGATAAAATTAGGGACAAGAAAATGCAAGCTCCAGCTGCCTGTCACAACTATGCCAACAATAAAATTTTATTTCAGCTACTCACTGCTGTTAAGTGACAGCTGCTCACAAATGAAAGAAATTCTTGAGCCACAACCTGCCAAAACAAGATTTTTATTATCCTAGATTAATGGTAAACATACACACACTGACTTAACTCGCATCAACCCACAGAGAAAAACCACTTACCACCGTGGTCTCCAGTCACAGGAAGACAGTCAATCAACAACTAAGGGTCCTATATACAGCATCTGCATTGTCTGGATAAAGGACCTAAGAAATACCTTTTCTTTAGAGAACAATCTAGTTTAAGGTTTGAGATTAGAATTTTCAAAGTACCAGCATCTTAAAAGATGCCTGCTCAGGAAAAAAAAAAAGGATATCCCCAGTTTTTTCCACACCATACTGAAAGCCCAACCTAATGCAATCGCACAAGAAAAGGAAATAAAGGGTATACTGATTAGAAAAGAAGAAATAAAACTATCTTTGTTCACACGTGACTCTTTAATCACTCTTCCACAAATGAAGACAAGGTGAAAGGCTGAAATCCACTGGTAGAGTTCCTATGCCTCAAAAAGAAAGCAGGCTCTGCCTTGCTGCCTACTCTGTGGATCCCTAAAAAGATTCAGGCCTCCTCCTGGCTTCCGGTGTTTCAGCACACCCAGAACGGCACACAGAGCCTTACTTCCAGATGTTAAGTCAGGATACCCTTATCTCTGTGGCTTTTCATTTATAAATACCCAGTTTTGCTAGGCAGGCTGCAACCTGCCATGCAGATTTGCAAATCCAATTCAGGACCTACAGGCAGGTCCAAGGTCCACATATGGAAAGAAACAATAGGAGGCAACCACTGTGGACTGACTTCCCAGGCACTCTCCAACCTAACCTTAGAAGGGAGCCCTATTTGTTAGTAGTGATGCTCCCTGGGGCCTCAATAATACAGCTGAAGCTTTGCTCTCCATATTGGCGACTTGGGTCTATTCTTAGATGGTTAAAACCAGAGATAATGACTGAGCGATGAATACATGAAACCTGTGACATTTTCTTTCTTTTAAATTTGAATTATTTTTTCACCTGATATAGGACCAATTTTTGTATATCCTTCACTGACACTTAAATTCTGACTTTAATTATTCTATTCATATGGTTCATGTTCCTGTCTACTAACCTGTGAAAATCGCCCCCAAACCATGTGCCTACAGAGTTCTACTTATAGTTCTATTTTTGCCTCATGCACTTTGTTGTTATGATAATTGATAGTTAATCTCTTCACTAGTAAATGTGTCAATTATCTATATGAAAATGATCCTTATGCCATAATTCATTTACCATAAATCCTATTTTATTGTTAATATTGCCAAACCTCTCTTTTCATTCACATTTGGTTGACATAATCTGAGCTAAAGCTTTGGTATTTAGCCTCTGTCCATTATGCTTTAAGTTTATCTCTTTTATGTAGCAAACTTATGGATTTATTTTTTTAATAAAATTTCCTTTCTAAAAAATATCTCCTTAGTAGGGGATTTCATACATTTATTGGTATAATCATTTATTGGTACAACTGTTTTGATCAGTTAGATTTCTGGTGTGGTTTCTATTCTTCCAGGATTTTTTTTTAAATGTTGATTTGTGTTACCCAGACTGTATTATACATTATTTTATCTTTTATAATATGTCAGATAAATATCCTGCTCTTAATTCTGAAAGTGGTAAACTTAAAGATTTTTATAAATAAACACTCTAAAACCTCTATCAAAATCATAAATTATAGTAAGACATTTGCCCATTTGCTTAGGCTAGGCTCTTCTAGTCCACCATATTAAATATTCACACATGTGTACACATACGGGTACACAAATCTTTCAAAAATCTTGTTGCTTATCCTTTTCATTCTTTTTTATCCCGTAGTTACTACAAAATTTGCTTAACATCAACCCATTCGACATTACTGCTAGTGTTTTTATTTATTTTTGTCATTAGTTACAATTTTTAAACACTGACAATTTCTAGCACTTCCCCATTCTTGAATTCTATTTTAATTCATTTCCTCTACAGAGTAACTGCAAGCAAGATTCTAAGAGACCTGCAGAAAGATTTATATTCCAAGACTACTGATCTATTCATTGCCTATCTTCCTGAATGACAACTCAGTCAAGTATGAAATTACTGAGCCACACACACCCTTTTGCCCTCCAAGCTACCCAGTAGATTAATGTTAATTACAGAATTCTAATACTCAGTTACACAAAGACAAGTAAATCTATTACAAAGGGCTTTTCATTTCTCTTCTCTCCTGTCCCTCTTCTATAAGGTTGAGGACTCAGTTCTATGTATCTAAAACAAGAACTTAGATTCTTGATGCTACCCATCCAAGTCAATATGCTTCTGCTTTTCAGAGCAGACTCTCCCAGATTAACATCAATTAACAGGATAGATTTCGGGAGAAGACCTAGGTTCAGCCTCTAGTCACACTTCTTAATCCTTTCCCACTGCAGAGTTTATAGAACCATCTTGCAAATTCTGGAATGTGCTCATTTTCCACCTTTTGTGACACATGCAGCTGTCAACTTGGCCTATTCACTGACATTTTAGAGGAAAAGGGGAAGGAAAAAGTCTCTGGTGCTTTCATTTCCACCACTACTTTCCCATAAATTCACATATCAACTTGTTGAGAACAGACAGTAGCCAATCTCTAAATCTGACCTTGTCTAATACAGGGGAACATTCATTTATTGGCTGATAGTATCTAAAAATGTCAAAAGTAAGGGCTATGTAAATTACCCTTATTCTATCCATTCAACTTTCTCCCTATTCCCTGTCCTTCCACAATAAACTTCCCCCAATTTGTGTGATTTAGACTAAAATTAGCATAAAACATTGAATTACTTATGAAAATCAATGTAAGAAAGGGACAAGCCTCCCATCTTGTGGCTTATTAGCAGAATGCTCACAAATCAGGAAATCAACAAGTACGACCGTATTATATGACTGAATGAATCACTGTGAATGAATCTAAAGAAAGTCTTGAAATCATCTTAGCCCAATATTCTTGTTTTTTCAGATAAGTAAACTGAGGCCTAGAAAGGTGATAATGACAACCCATCAACCATATATGAAAAGTACAAATTCTCAGCAGGTTCACAATTTCTATTTTCATCATATATGCATTACTTCAATTTATTTAGCTCTAGTATCATCTTTCGGGCATCAAATGGACTAAGATATCTATAATTTATTACAAACAGAAAATTATGATATTATATTACACTGCCCTGCCCAAGACAAAATCTGGTCAAAGGGAAATTGGAGAACAAGTTCCTGTAAAAAGGAAAATACATTTTAAAAAACGGAGCCAGAGATTTGTTAGGCTACACCCAAGCCTTGCATTCTAGTCAGCTCCTGATCCTTTCTTTCTTTCCAATTCTAAGTCATACTGATATAAATTTCATGAAGAGACTCTGTTTTCTCCTAGTGCATCATTTCTAGTTCTATGATCCCTGCAAATTACATGCAATATCAAGCCCACAACTAAAGTTAACTACAGTTATGGTCCCACTACTATTTATCCAAACCACAGACATTTTTCTCAAAGTAATAATCTTTTAACTACATTTGGATTTTTTGATTCCACAAGTCAGAAACTGTTGCAGTTTAAAAAATGTGATCAATTACCTACTCCATTCTGAAATCCAATGTCACTGTTAACATGGCCTCAGCATGTGCAAATTCGGGAGAGGCAATAAGAAGAAATAAGGATCCTTATACCCCATAGGGAAGACACCAAGAGAAGAACCATGTCAAGAAAACACAGGCTTCAGACTCAGGCAGACTTTAATCTTAATATCAACTCTGCCTCTTAGCAGCTGAGTGATGCTGAACAAAAGTTACTTAATGTTCTTGAGACTTAGATAATAGATAGTAATATCTGTTTCAAAGGAGTGTTGTCAGAATTTGGTGAAATAATTTAAATAAAGTGAGTAACTCAATATTTAGCATATGTACATCCTCAATAAAGCTAGACTAACTTTTGCTACTGTTGGTATCAAAGTTGATATAAATATATTTGTTCATCTATGTACAAATAACTTTAAGAAGATAAACAAAAAACTGACATGAAATAAACTGAGCTAAGGAATAAGGTGGGATCCCTTTGTGGTATACATTTGAATTTACTCAAGAATAAAGTTAAAGTTAAAAATCAATTGTATATAAAATCTATAAAGAAATGCAAGACTGGCTCAATATTAAAAAACATCAATCAATGTAATATACCATATTAACAAGCTAAAGAAGAAAAATCATACAAATATATTAATTAATACAGAAAAGGTATGTGACAAAACTTGACACATTCATAATAATGACATTCAGAAAAATAAGAATATTAGGGGACTTCCTCAACTTGATAAAGGACATCTAAAAACAGCCTGCAGTCCTAACATTATTTCTAACGGTGAAAGGCTTAATGCTTTCCTCCTAAGACCAAGAACAAGGCAAGGATGCCCACTCCCATCAATGTCAGTCATATAGTGCTGGAAATTCTAGCCAGTGCAATCAGCAAAAGAGAAAACAGCATGCAGATAGAAAAGGAAAAAAATACAACAACCCCTATTTGCAGACATGATAGTCTCATAGCAAATTCCAAAATATCTACAAAGAACTGCAAGTGAGTTCAGCAAGGTGACAGTATACAAGATCAACATACAAAAATTAATTGTATTTCTATATACTAGATGAATGTGCTAACACCAAAATTAAAAATATCATTTATAATCATTCAGAAAAATGAAAAATTAAGTGTAAATCTAACTCAACATGTACAGCACTTGGATGCTGAAAACTACAAAATGCTCATAAAAGAATTTTTAAAAATTTTAAATAAAAGGAGAGGCATAGTGTTCATGGAATAGAAAAAATTCAACATAGCAAAGATGTCAAAATTCTCCCCAAATTAACAGGTTTACCAATCAATTTCCATCAAAATCCTAGCAAAATGTTTTTGCAGATATAGGTAAGATTACTATAAAATTTACATGGAAAGGCAAAGGCCTTGAACAGCAAAAGAAATTTTGAAAATTAAAAATAATGTGGACAGAAATAATCTACCTGATTTCAAGACTTATTATGCAGCTACACTAATCAAAATTATGTGGTACTGTTGGAAAGACAGACACATAGATTAAAGGAACAGAACAAAACACTCAGAAACAGACCCACACAAGTATGTCCAAGTGATTTTGACAAAGGCACAAAAGCAATTCTATGGAGAATAGATAACCTTTTCAACAAAGCGTTCTAGACTAAATGGAAATCCAAAGGCCCTCTCCTCCCACCAAAAGAAAACCTTAACCCAAGCCTCACACTTTATACAAAAATTAACTCAAAATGGGTCATGGATTAAATGTAAAAAGTAAAACCAAAACTTATAGAAAAAAATGAGAGACAATCTTTAGGATCTAGAGCTAGGCAAAGAGTTCTTCAACTTGACTCTAAAATCAAGATCCATAAAAAGAAAAAATGATAAACGAAACTTCAGCCAAATTAAAAACTTTGCGGACTTTGATGGCTGGGAGCAGTGGCTCATGCCTGTAATCCCAGCACTGTGGGAGGCCGAGGCGGATCACTTGAGGTCAGGAGTTTGAGACCAGCCTGGACAACATGGTGAAACCTGGTCTCTACTAAAAGAAACACAAAAATTAGCTGGCAGTGGTGGTGCACACCTGTAGTCCCAGCTACTCAGGAGGCTGAGGCAGGAGAATCGCTTGAACCTGGGAGGCGGAGGTTGCAGTGAGCCAAGATTGCGTCACTGCACTCCAGCCTGGGCAACAGGGCAAGACTCTGTCTCAAAAAACAAAACAAAACAAACAAAACAAAAAACAAAAAATAAACGTTGCTCATTTTGAAAGACACTGTTAGAGGATATGAAGTCAAACTACAGACTGGGAGAAAATATTTGCAAAGCACATATGAGACAAAGGACTACTGTTTAGAATAGAAAAAACTCTCAAAATTCAGGAGTACGAAGAAAACACATTAAGAAAATGGGAAAGGATGTGAAAAGACTTTTCACCCAAGAGGACCTACAGATGACAAATCAGCACATGAAAAGATGTTCAAGGTAAACCAGCTGTTAGGAAAACGCAAATTAAAACCACAATATCATATTAGTACACACCCAACAGAATTGCTAAAATGAAAACGGTGACAACACCAAACGTGAACATTTGGAGAAACTGGATCACTCACGCATGCACTGCTGGTGAGAATATAAAATGGTACAGTCCGTCTGGAAACAGTTTGGTAGTTTCTTTAAAAACTAAACATACAACTATCATATGACCCAGCAACTGCACTCCTAGGCATTTATTCCAGAGAAATGAAACTTATGTTCACACAAAAACCTACACATGAATGTTTATAGCAGCTTTACTCATAATGGCCCAAAAAGGAAAAAAAAAAAAAACACCAGATGTCCTTTAATGGGTGAATAAACTGGGGTACATCCACACCATGGAATACTACTGAGCAACAGAAAGGAACCAACTACAGTATTAATGCATGCAATAACTTGGATAAGTCTCTAGAGAATCATGCTAAGTGAAAAAAATCAATTTAAAAAATATTACATATTTTTTGGTTCCATTTCTATAACACCCTTGAAATGAGAAATTTGGAGATAAATGGTTGTCAAGGGTTAAAAAGGGTTTGAGGGTGGGAAGGAAGTAGCTGTGGCAATATAAGGGCAACGTGAAGGAGCCTTGTGGTGATAGAAATGTTTTGTATATTGACGGCAAATGGCAAAGTCCTGCTTGGTTATTGTACTACAGTTCTACAAGATGTTATCATGGATAGGAGGCAGTTACTGGGTAAAGGGCACCAGAGAACTCTCTGCATTATCTCTTACAACTATAGGTGAATCTATAATTATCTCAAAATAAAAGTTTCACTAAAAACAATCAACTGCATATAAAATCTGCAAAGAGATTTAATCAGATGCAAACAGACTTACCCAAAGCCCCACCCATCTATTGCACTGGTAAACACCACATTTCCCTGTTCTGGAGAGAAGTAAAGGTGAGAATCATCTGTGTCCTCCAAGCCAGTGCTCCAGTCATATACTTGCTCTCCTTGTTCAGAATTTGGATTCACTTGGGATTCAGTCTCCCTCTCTGCTCTTTCTTCTAGGACTTTAGAAGTAAAAAGAGTCCCTGTGAGCGCATTAATCTAGGAGAGATGGTGAAATGGCAGAGCGTCATTCAGATGCTCAGCATGCTCACGGCAGGAGAAACACTGTTTAACCTGTGTTAGGGCTAGAATCATTAGTCAGTTTGGGCTCATTAAGCATACATGAATGGAGGTGACATTCATAATCAGTGAATAACTTAGATGTATCCATTCTTCCTAAACTCAGCATAACTAAATTATAAGGTTTTTGGAAGGTTATTTTGTGATTATTATTATTAGTTTAATGTAAATGTTAATGTGTCATATCCTTAATTTGTTTCTCAGTGCTGAGGCCTAGTATCACAAAGTACTCATGATTTCCAACCCCACAATCCTAGTTTGTAACCTTAGTCCACTGCCTTGCCCATCTCTCACATCGGCTGTCTGAAATGTGCACTACCCTCTTCAGGCCCTCTTCCCAACTCCTAATCCTCAACTCTACTTTCACTCCCAAATAGGCAGTAATCTTATGTCCTACCTCAGAGAGAAAATGGAACCTATTACTCAGATTTCCTTCAAGTGCCCCACATCCCAATCTACAAGCTCACTTATGTCTGCAAATACCACTGACCTTTCTCCTGCCAATGCAGGGCAGGAGTTATTTTACCTGTTCCTAATTTTTTTCTTTTTTCTGAGGTGGAGTCTCGCTCTGTTGCCCAGGCTGGAGTGCAGTGGCGTGATCTTGGCTCACCACACGCTCTGCCTCCCGGGTTCACACCATTCTCCTGCTTCAGCCTCCCTAGTAGCTGGGACTACAGGGGCCTGCTACCACGCCCGGCTAATTTTTTGTATTTTTAGTAGAGACAGGGTTTCACCTTGTTCGACAGGATGGTCTCAATCTCCTGACCTCGTGATCCACCCGCCTCGGCCTCCCAAAGCGCTGGGATTACAGGTGTAAGCCAGCTCGCCCGGCCTACCTCTTCCTATTTCTACAACGAATGATATCCATCCATCATTCTTTTTCACTGTTCTACTTTTATTGTTTCCTGCCTTTAACAAATAAATATACTCAAGTTGCTCTCATCAACAGCTTTCCACTGTGTTGAGGAAGACATTTCAAACTCTCACGCACGGCATATCAGGTTCACTGACATCTAAATCCTATATCCTTTTTCCCATCTCTTGTAACTGTTGCAAACGATCTAATTCTTCAGCTAAAAAACAATTTGCAGTTCCTTAAATGAAACACTGTACTGTGCTTTTTCTTGCCTTTATGACTTTGCCCATCGTATTCCTTCTCTTTTGAATGTCCTTTTCCTGTCTACCTGGCAAACACCTACTTTACTTCCATCTCAAGGCTTCCATTTTAAGACTTCTAACTCATTCTTCCCTCTTGACCCAGACTGGGTTAGATGGCCCTTATCTATGCTGTTATATCACACCCAGGACTTATCTCATTGTTCTCCAAATATCTCTTTGTCTCCCCTACTATACTGTGAGCTCCTTGAAAATAGGGATTCTGACCTGTTCATCTTATATTCACAATCCCTAGTGCACAATGGACATTTGATAATTCATTTATTCAACATATATCTATGAAATATTTGCTGAATAAATAAATGAATGAATGCTTGGGTAAAATTTCCTGTAACGACAGGTAATAAAATACTACAGACAGGTAATAAAATCCTAATATGGCTTCACTTTGGAACCAAGATACAGTTTTAAACAAGAGAGCCTATTGTCCAAGCTTTATATGATGGGTGATTCCAAGAGATGGAAAAGACTACTGAGAACATGCTTTTTCTATTGCCTCTCTTGTAGAATAACAGCAACACGTATGAATCTGAAGTGGAAAAGTTCCCTTTTCTGTAGCAACGGCTCATACCCAGCTCAGTAACTTCCTTACAACTCTTCTTCGTGGCTAAATTTTTTAAATACTAAAAATTAAAATACCTGTTCTAAAATATTCTTGAGGTGAGAATAGGCCTCTTGTGGGGTGAATTTCAGTTCCACTATCAAGCGATCAATCTTATTAATCACTAAAACCGGACGGATGTTTTCAAGCCAAGCTTGTCGCAGAACTGCCTGTGTCTGATAAAAACAGAAAGAAAAATGTAAAACTCATGATTTGAAATAATTAGAGCACATTAGAAAATCGTGATTAATAACCACTCTAGACTATGCCAGTCAGACAAAGGTATTCATTAGGCATTCACAAACTATGTATACAGCGGAGTAGCAAAGAACTACACATAAGAAATCATTGTTGCCTTTATGCAACTGACAGTTAAGAAGGATAAATAAGGCCGGGCATGGTGGGTCACACCTGTATCTCAGCACTCTGGGAGGCTGAGGCAGGTGGACTGCTTGAGGCCAGGAATTCAAGACTAGCCTGGCCAACATGGCAAAATCCCGTCTGTATTAAAAGTACAGAAATTAGCCAGGCATGGTGGCACATGCCTGTAATCCCAGTTACTCTGGAGGTTGAAGCATGAAAATCACTTGAACCCAGGAGGCGGAGGTTGCAGTAAGCCAAGATCATGCCACTGCACTAAAGCCTGGGTGACAGAGCAAGACTCTGTCTCAAAACAAACAAAAACAAAAACAAAGTATGTTAAATTAAAGTCATCATCTCTAAGATCCCTTCAGAACTCTGGTGATTTAACTCCTTCACAGACTGGAACGTTACCAAATGTGAAATATAAAACCAATGTTGTGATTGTCAGTGAAATGCCTAAAGTCAGTCAGTTCCCCCTCTTTCCTCACCCTTAACCATTTAAGTATTTTCTCATCACAATCCATTACCTGTGGACAGACTCCTTCCACAGCATCTACCACAATGATGCATCCATCACAAATGCGAACAGCGGTTGATACTTCTGAGGAAAAGTCCACGTGTCCTGGAGAGTCTATCAGATTGATCAGGTACTCCTCATTACCTAAAATACAATTTGTAAACACACATTTTCAGTTGTCCAGGTACACAATGTTCTTCCTCAGGCGTTCTAGAATAAGAAAGCTGAAAGCTTCTAAGAAAAAACTGAACAAAGCTAAAGGAGTTGAAAGCTCAATCCAGAGCTACCATTCCAACTTTTCCCACTGATGGGACTACTGATTCCAAATAGCATCTATATAAAATGTTAAAGGACTTTATTATTCTAATAGTTACCACTTAAGAGCTTATTGGGAGCCAGCCACTATGATACTCACTTTTAATGTGCTAATCACATATTATTGAATCCTTACAATATCCCTATGAGATACATATTACTATTCTCCTTTTACAGGTTAGGAAATTGAAACTGAAAGAAATCAATGCCTAAGGGCCTGACAGTAAGAGCTGTTCAAAGGGCCAACAAAGCAGTTGGCCAAGTTCTTCCCTACAGTTTGTCAAAGAGCAGTGTATGAATCTGCTCAATCAAGATTTAGACTCAATTCTACAAAAACTTAAGGAGCAGTTACTATGTGCCAAGCAGTGTGCTATGTGCTCTCCCATTAATATCTCCTTCAATAGTCTCAACAGACAAATGTATTAAACTTATAGTAGGGTGATGACACATCCTGAGTTGTCTGGTTTTAGCACGGAAATTCCCACATCCTATCAAAGCCCTTAGTCCCAGGCAAACAAGAAAAAAAAAGATCATCTTAGGTTATAGAGAGTTATCACTAAACATAACTTAGTATACCATGCAGAAAATTAGTTAATACTTTAGAATTCTGTACTCATTCCCCATTATTGATAAATTTGATATAATTCTCTTTTAAAGGCAGAATAACTATTAGAATGCTCAAACATATACTTTACTTTTGCTCCTCCCCTTAACTCAGTGTTTATCAACTTGAATGCACTCAAGAATGACTACAGGGTTGAGTATCCTTTATCTGAAATCCAAAATGCTCCAATGAGCATTTCCTTTTTGTGCCATGTTGGTATTTGAAGAGTTTTGAATTTTGGAGCATTTCAGATTTTGGATTTTCAGATTTGGGATGCTCAACCTGCAATTTATGGGCCATTTAAAGGATTTTCCCCCAATATAATTTTAATGACTTCGCTTGTGCCCTAGGTGATACTGATGATAAACACCACCACAACAATAACCACAACCAGCGCTTAACATCTGTGGACTGCCTATTCATGGCTGGCATTGTTCTAAGCATAATACAGAAATTATCTGATGTTTACTTACAACAATCCCCTGTAGTAGTTACAACTATTAGCCCAATTTTATATAGCAGGTAACTAAGGCACAGAAAAGTTAAGTATTTTTCTCAAGGACATCCAGCTAGAATCCAATTCTGAGGTTGACTAAGATCACACAATTCAAAATGATAGAGCATAAGTTCAAATCCACTTAACTCCAAAGACCATACCTCTAACCACTACACTCAGAAGGCAGTAACTTTCACCTCACATGCCAAGATTCCACTGCTAATGAATTCCTAAAACACTGGGTGAAGCATTCCCAAGTGTACTGAGGCTCAGTGGGAAAGACTGCCATCAGTTAGCAACAGACTGCCTTCTTCAGTACCACTCCTCCCCGCTGCCTCCTGGTCTTTTCATGCAAACTGCTTTATGAGGAACCATTGCTCTGCTGAAACCACCAGAGAAGGCTCCAACCAGAGAAGACCATGGAGATATCCAGTGAAAATCCAAGAAGTCAAATAACCAGAGCCCTGGAGCAATGGCCCACTGGACCTCAATCGAGCCTTTCACTGTCAGATCTCACACCAGTTCTCCTAGTCAACATTTTCGATAAGTATCGTGATCTCAACCAAGTACACCAGAGAAAAAGGAGCATGTCTAGTAGTGGTCTAGGGTCCTATCATACAAAATTAAAGCTGTGAGATTCTTAGAATCACTCAGCATTTTCTCAGCCTAAGCCTTTATTCCATAGAAAAACATGCTAACGCCCTCAAAAGGTAAGAGACTGACCCAAGGTCCCAAAAGAAGCAAGCCAGAAATACACCCAGGGCTATCGAACCATCTTAGTCACTTCTCGGGTCTTAGATTCCTTCATACTTTGCAACTGGGGAAACAACACTTGCCTATTCATCTGGCTAAACTCCAGACTTTAGAGTGGGAGAACTTCAAGCACTTTTCCATCCTTTGTGATACGACCGGGACCTGATACTGAAGTTTCAGAGACTGGGTCTCCAGTCAAGTTCTTTACAGAGTCTAAAAATGCACTCGTACAGACATTTCAGGCTTCCTATACAACAGTGCTCTTACCTTTTATTGGAGTTACAGACCTTTTAGGGAATAGTCAGAAAAACGAATACCTATCTACTTATCTATGCTCCCCTAAGTACGCGTCCATTTCCAGATTCTTTGAAATTCATTCAGGAAGGGCAGGTTCAGATCTAGAGAGGAACTGAAAGCTAGAGATACACCAAGTGTTTCCACCCGACAATCTACATCCTAAAAAATAAGTGTCTGATCAAATAATATAGCTGAGAAATAAACAGCCAGCCTTGGAGCTCACATCACACATACATATTAAAGGTTCAGAGAAGCCCTGTAAAAGAAGTTTGTCCAATTCTGTTTAACCTGGAGTTTCTCAAATATATTTAATGGTGAGAAGGAGGAAATGCCATGGTCAGTTACACAGCTGACAAAGGCTTGGCTCAGCTCTGAGCCAGGCCTCCCAATTCCTCCTTCAATGCCTTTTTCATCTTAACCCTTTCCAAACAACGTTAACCTAAATTTCAAAGGTTGGGGACAGAAGTCCCATATCCATTAGAGAAAAAACGTCCCCAAGCACAGCTCTTCTGCTGTGACTTCAGCCACATTATGTCTCTTTAAAAAATGCCACTTACCACTTTTGCGTGTGTGTGATCAAATTAAAAAATACATAAACGCAGTTATAGGGGTTTACCATGGTAGATATTATTGTTATTGCCAGTATTAATTATTTAAAAAGTAGAGAATGCATAACACTTTTCAAGAGACAAAATTTTTTAAGCATGCTAAATGATCTTTCCGATTTGTAACAAAGTCCTGAAGCTATATGTTGAATTAATCCCTGCAATAGCATTCAGGGACAGAAACTTCTGCTGCTTTACTTCCCAGGCATTCCAAACTAAACGGCTTCATTTCAAGGCACAGATCTAATCAGTCAAGCAACAATCCAATCTTTTTATGTTCCAGGGGGCTGAAAAAAAAGTTGGAAGAACTGAAGTTAATTATGGGAGATATCTTCCAGACAATTTCTGCTGCTAATAGGGAGTTATGGGAAAAGAATTCCTCCCTTGCCCATGGTTTTAAAGTGCCATGGATAATTGTCTCACAGAAGGTGCACATTTGTCACTAGGACCTGCCAAAACATCTCTGTATTCAGTAAAACTTCATGTAAGGAGTTTAGTGTTCAACTTCCAAAACACTGGAAATGCTCACTAAAGCATACATAGAAAGCTGATGAGAGAAAACTTTCCATAAAATAAAAAAGAAAAACTGAAGTTATGGAAGAAGATCTGAACCTCCTGAAAGTGTCCTTTATGTGTCAGTGTATTGGTAGAGTATTTTGCCTGACAACAAAAATAACAGAAATATAGGCAGAACCTGAGTTATCTGAAGACATGTTCCTACATTCCTTATGTATGAACTTCTAACAATTATATACAAAAATTGTACCCCAACTATATATAAAGTAACCACAAGTCTCCCTCCACAGGAAATACTACTTTTTTTTGTTTTTTGTTTTTTTTAGAGACAGGGTCTCACTGAAACATTCAGGCTGGATGCAGTGGCACAATCATAGCTCACTGCAGCCTCAAATTCCTGGGCTCAAGCGATCCTCCTGCCTCAGCCTCCCAAGTAGCAGGGACTGCAGGCACACAAGGGTAACTTTTATTTTTTGTAGAGATGGGGTTTCACTGTGTTGCCGTGGCAGGTCTCAAACTCCTGTCCCTAAGTGATCCTTCTGCCTCAGTCTCCCAAAGTGCTGGGATTACAGATGTGAGCCACTGCACCTGGTTTCCTTTTATATCTTAAATCACTATTATCCTTTTATATTTTAAATCAATGTATAACATTATAAGTTATAAATCAACTAATACGACTTATTATTTGACAGAACTGTAAAGCACAATTGTAAAGCTGACACAGGTAACAGGGTAACTATCTTTATGAGAAGCCTGCCACAAGGAGAGGTGAAGGGTGGTTGACTCTGATAGTATGTGTCAAAACTGAGATGGGGTCAGGCACAGTGGCTCATACCTATAATCCAAATGCTTTGGAAGGCCAAAACAGGAAGATCACTTGAGCCAAGACCAGCCTGGACAACATGGTAAGACCATCATCTCTACAAAAAAATTTAAAAAATTAGCCAGGCATGGTGGCACATGCCTGCAGTATTAGCTACTCGGGAGGCTGAGGCAGGAGGACTGCTTGAGCCTAGGAGTTCTGGGCTGCAGTGAGCTATGATCACCACTGCACTCCAGCCTGGGTGATAGAATGAGACTCTTGTCTTAAAAAAAAAAAAAAAGTGACAGGGGTTAGGAAAATGAGAGGAAAAATGATCTAGAAACAACTATGAATAGCAAACTGATTAAGTTTTCTTTTGCTGCACAAACCCGACCCGAAGACCTCTCCAGACCTTCCTCCAACATGAAACTAGACCACGTACAGACCACTTCTGATTACATTTGGCCTCACCCGCTTTTGGTTTTTCTCAGTATGATGCCAGTCCACATCTGCCACCCAGTACTGTGGCCACACCCTGAACTCTGACATCACTGAGAACTTCTCCACCTTTCAAGGCCTGCTGCGTAGATAGTAAATCTAATAATTACACATCCACATTGTCTTGATTCCTTTGATCATTGGCAGTTTTGCTTGGAAGGGTGTAAGAACCAGAATAAGAAACCCTGGAGTAAAAAAAAGGTTGATGTTTACTTCTTATAATCTCTCTATGCTTAGCATCACCCTGGAGAGAAGGTCATAGATCAAGGACCAATTTCACACTGCTAATGCATGTCATTACTGTAAGGTGCTAGTCTCATTATCGGAGTAATTGAGAGAGTAATTGTAGGATAACTTTGACTAAGAAGGGGGAAGAGGGAAAATGCAGAGGAATGTGGGGCTGAAAGAAGGATTTATGTATTTTTTTAAGACAAGAAAGACAAGAAAGACTTGAGCATGCTTAAAAGCTGATGGATACAAGCCAGTACAGAGGGAGAGGTGGAAGATACTGAAGAAAAGATCATTAAGTCCAGAGCACAGGTTTTTGCCAGTGACAGGAGGCAAGCAAAAAATGCCCATACCATTACGTTTTGAGATACAGTGGCAAGCAGGTGAGAATTCTTCTCTTTTCTGTGAAATAGAAGGTAAGAATGTCTGCTGAGATTGTGGAGGAGGGGATGACAGGTAGGCTGAAAGAGACCAGAAGGTTTAAAATAGGTATTGGGAAGAATGAGCAAGACCTAACAGTGAGAGATGGGAAATCTGCCAGCAGTCTGGAGGACCACTTGAGAACCTAGCCCAAATGCAAGGATGAAGACGTGTAGAGAATTAGCTTTATCAAGGGTTAAAGTTTTGTTGGGAAAAATATGACAGAAGGTCAAGAACCAAAGAGACTGAAGACGCTGGCAAGACTGTCAGTGAAATGACAAATCTGGGCTGTATGAAGCAGGAAATGAATGAAGAAAGAGGCTGTGGGGAGTCAAAAAAACTAGAGAACATTATGAAGTCAAAGAATGGGTACCTCATTAATCAGGTGAAAGAAAGAGCTGGGAGAATCAAAGATTGTAGAGAAGGAAGTATTTAAGTTTGAAAGGTCGAAGATGGATAGCTCAAGGTGATGCTAAAATCCAGAAAGTATTCATGACAACAGGTAGGTGAAACGCAGAATCAATGTTGTTGAGAGGATAAGCTGTTGAAGAAGTCATTCTCAGGGATGGTGAAAAGCCACCTTAGAAGATTCAGGTAAAAAGAACAATTATGAGTCCGGGTGCCAAATTCACTAATGAACAGGAACCATCACCAGGAGCTGACAATGACTGGAAAGGTGAATAATTGGATGGTCTGAGTCTTGAAAGAAGAAGTTTGAAAACAAGGGTAGAAGAATTAACTTTTGTAATCAGATCTGGGAACAAAAAGAATGGCAATCCCATATGCTAACCCAGAGATACGTGGAACATGAATGAATGAGTAGCATTCACTTGGAAAAGGTACAAGGCAGGCAATGTCATCAGAAGACAGCCAGGCAGAAGGGGGAAACGTCAATAAAAAGACATTGAGGATGTAGCGATGTTTGTTTCTCTTGGAATGTTTTCACAGTAAGTTTTGGTAAGGAAGGGAATAATGGGAAATTGAAAGAGGGTGTCAGAATCACAGAGAAACATGGGGAAGAGACTATAAGAGAGGCCAGATCATGTGGCTTGCATCGTGGGCAGTGACTGAAGACCACAGGGACGTAGGTAGTGTTGGCCACAAGACGTGCATAACAATCCCTAGTGGAAAGGAGATAACTCAAGCCTCAGGAGGAATTAGTTGTGGCCTGACTTCCAAGAGACTAATGGTCCAAGTGAATATGCTGGAAATGTGGGTTCTAGGACTACTACCACATGCTAGAAATTACTCTGTCCTTGGGAAAGTGTCTTCACCTCTCTGAACTCCATTTTTGCACATGTGTAAAATCAGAGTAATACCCATCACAGAGTTGCTGTGAAGATTAAACAAAATCAGGCATATGAGACACCTAGCTCAGAAGTGAACTATCGTGTACCTAGTTTCTTAGGCCTGGCATCAACTGAATACTTCACAAAGTAAAGCATTCATTGTCTGACGAGAACAAAATCTACCCTTCAGTCAAATGAGGGGTAATGGAACTCTTCCCTCCCAGCCTCATTCTGGAAAGAATAAGGCAAGTTAGGACCATGGGTAAACGTTCACACAGCCAGAGGAAAAGGGAAGCTACTGCCTCTGAATAAGAGATGACTTTCTGCTACATGCTGGCCTTGTCTGTAATTAGATGGCATGAGTCAGTGTCTCCATGGCCTAGTCTTCGGAGTATAAAACCAGAGAGCCACAGAGCTGAAATCAACACATGCGTAAATCCTCCTTCTGCCCACAACCACTAACCCTATCCTAACAGAGGTATTTACAAAGTGATCAACTTGCATATGGACCTCTTTGCAGAAGACTGCTATATCCTTGGTCTCCCTGTTTGGAGGACAACCTCACTGCATATGGCTGACTCTTGGGTGAATCCCAAGTGTACCACTGAACCAGGCTATTAGCTAGACTATATGCCTAAGGTTACTAACTAAAAGCTCATAAGCTAAAGCCCACTGCAGTGTTTTCCATATGGTGTTTTACAATTTTTAAATAAGTTGGCAGCATTTTGATACTTGGAAGATTTTACCGAAAATCCTGATGCCAACTTTTCTTGAAAAAAAAAAAAAATCACTCAAACTGCCTCACTTATGCAGAGGTGTCAACACCATGTCAGGAACTAATAATATTGTACTTAATAATCACATCTGACAGGTGTTAGAATAAGTAAGCTATTTGGGGGGAGAAATAAAGTTAGATAGTTACCTCACAGTGTGTGCATACACATACAACTTGCATTAAATATAAAAATTGAAAATATAAAATAACTGGTGATGAACTGAGAGTGATTTTTATTTCATTTTTGTGTTTTACTGTATATTCTATAACACACACTAAATTTTCTATAGTAAATATAAACTTGGGCCAGGTGTGGTGGCTCACAACTGTAATACCAAAACTTTAGGAAATAGGTAGAAGGCTTGCATCCACGAGGTTGAGACCAGTCTGGGCAACATAGCAACATCCCATCGCTACAAAACATTTGAAATATATATATAAATAAATATATACATTGAAATATACATACATATATACTATATATGCAATATACCTAATATGTATGTATGCATATAAACTTGTAAATTTATTTAAAATATTTTAAAAGATGAATTAGATAAAAACTTCAAAAGTTCAGCAACAGCAATATTTGCTCAGATATAAAAAATGGCTATACAGTAGAAACGACTGCAGTATTCCTTTTGATGAATTTCAAATTATTTAACCCATGTGAATCTATTTCTCTCTTCTGTATCTGGATTCTAGGCTAAAGGATTCAAAGGCATTACATCCCCTTAGGATATTTTACAGAACGTATATTGTTAGGAATACTTCCTAACTCTTGAGATGACAAGATAAATGTATGGTATCCTTGTGGGTGGGACACAAAGAGAGGTAAGAAACAGGCAAATAACAAGATTTAATAATATGATCCCAATATTTGTAGCAAATTTTGGTCACAAACGTAAAGATAATAGAGGTTCCATTTTCTCAAAGAAAAATTAGGTTCCTGGAAAATGCTGAGATAGTGTATGACCTTGATGGTTTTCAACACCACTTCTATAATGTGCAGGATTTATCTGTTTACTTTAAACTAGAATAAGACCCTATATTTCAACCCAAATAAATATTTGAAAATACTTTTGAAAGCTCGGTAAATTAAGAGTCAGAACCACAGAAAGGGCTTAACTTGCATTTAGTACACAGATTCTCAAATAAGAGGGCATTCGAAGTGGGTGAGAAGGAGGGGAAGGCATGGTATAAATAAAAGTCACCTGTGGAGTTTCTTCAATCATCAGGTTTCCCTCTTTTTCTCCCATCTAGGTTCCCCTTCAGACGTCCCACCTTCAGAACAGGAAATACCCCATTCTGGAGAATCAGTACTAAGATACAGATAAAAACATATCTCATCTCTCAAGTGCTCTGAGAGGATATGTCCCAGTCAACATTCCTAACTTCTATCCCCATAAGGCTCTGCACTGTCAAGTGTGATGACTGCTCGGCCCAAATTCCCTTCTAGGCAGTAATCCCATGCTCACAAGAAACATGTTTGACACTTTGTGACTCCACTCCGATCACCACTGATTGGATTAGGAGGTGACTAACCAACCCAAGCGCAGCCAATCCATAGGTGCAACCTCTGTGATGGGCTGGCATGAAAAGATAAGCAGAGCCGCATCCTGCTCTTGAGCCTGTGTGCTCAGAAACACAAGAGATTGAAGCAGTAGGCAACAGAAATAAGGTGAAAACAGACAGGATAATAGGGTAAGAAGTCAGGGCAAGGTGAATGTACAAAGATGAAGACATGACAGTAGGCAAAAGCTATGAGACAGAGAAAAGACATACAGGATAATAGTGGAAATACAAACAGACACCCAAATCCAAGGACAACAGTGGAGTTCCAGAGGAAGGATCCATAAACTTTTACTGATACGGTCTCTAGAGCTATCTTGGATCCAGAATAAAAATCTGGCTCCAATTTTTATGAGACATCACTCCAATAAGACTCCTGTTTTTCCGTTTTCATGAATATTATTTCCAATATCATTTCACACATATGCTTTCAATAATCTATCCCACCCCAACCCAAGCTAGCTTAAGTCTCTGGTCTATGCAATCAAGAAAGCATACCTGGCTGGGCGCGGTGGCTCCCGACTGTAATCCCAGCACTTTGGGACACCGAGGCGGGCGGATCACCTGCGGTCAGGAGTTCAAGACCAGCCTGGCCAACATGGTGAAACCCCGCCTCTACTAAAAATACAAAAATTAGCCGGGCACGGTGGCATGCATCTGCAATCCCAGCTTCCCAGGAGGCTGAGGCAGGAGAATCGCTGGAATCCGGGAGGCAGAGGCTGCAGTGAGCTGAGATCATGCCACTGCACTCCAGCCTGGGCGACAGAGCAAGACTCCGTCTCAAAAAATAAAAAAGAAAGCGTACCTAAAACAATCTGATCTGTGAGCAGCCAAGGTCAAGGTCACAGAGCTCGATAAAATAGAGTTCAGACCATTCAGTTCCCAGGGTCCTATAGCAAATTCTCCTACAATACTACACCAGAAAGATAAATGTGAATTGGAACAGGTGAATTTTATGGTATATAAATTAAACCTTAATAAAGTGGTTAAAGGACTCAAGGGAGGGGGACTAGAGACAAAGTATAGAGCAGAACAACTAAAACTGACACCAGAGGAATCTTCAAATAAAAACAGACTAATAATCTGAGTAAGGAAGAAGGCAGCCTTCAAATCTCTTGAAGTCTATAAAACGAGATAAGAAATCAATAGACCCTTAACCTCATTCTCTGGATCACAGGATGAGAATATAACCTTTAAAATGTGAGAAGTGGTTTAAAAAAAAATGAAGCGTTAAACATTAAACATCGAGAAATCATGTGCCTAAGAGCTTCAAAACTGGTTTGGTACAACAGCCATGCCCCACACAGTACATCTTTTGGTGGCAGTGTCAAAGATATGACACTTGTGAAGGATGAACCACATGTAAGTCCATTAGGGAAATAAAATTTATCTTTATTATTTTCTTCTAATTACAAAAATATACATTTTGTGTAAAATTTTCACATACTACAAAAATAAATATTTTGAAAAGTGCAAGTTTCTCCATAATCTAGCCCCTGCAGAGAGCTACTGTTAAGGGTTTGGTATGTATCCTTCCAGACACCTTTATCTGCATATATAATATATTTTTATTACCTAAACACATTCATATCTTACAAAAATACTCTGCAATTTGTTTTCTGTCTCTGAACATACCATTTTCCCCTGTACAATAACATATATATTAAACATTTGTTTTAACAGCTGCACAGTATTTCACTGCTTGGATATATCAGTTTATTGAACCATTCTCCTATTGACATTCAGGTTGTTGTTATTTTTTTCACGAATACAAACTTTTTAGTGAATATCAGTGACATGTATCTCATATACTTACATGACTATTTCTGTCAGATAAATTCCTAGAAGTGTTACTATCAATGTAGCATCCTCATTTGAGGACAGCAAGCTGGTACTGATCACGGCAGTCTACCTTTAATCTACTCCAAATCTAACATGCAGGCCAGGCCATGAGGCAGAATAGTAAGGCTGAACCAGCTAAAGTCCTAGGGCTCCTGACTTTCCTTGTGAAGGAATCCATATAATCACCTGGTGGAGGGGGCAGGTGTGAATTGCCAGTTCTTCTGCCCTCAAACCAGTCAGAGGTTTCCATCTGCATCCAAGCCTGGACAGCCTGACTCTGACAACAGATCATGTGGAGAGGCCAGAATAAAATACGTGGAATATAAGCAAAGAAACTGAGGCATGCAATTAATTCAGAAAGACAGAAGAGGACATGAAAGATGCAAAGCTGTGTTTCGTTAAAACACAGACTGATTTACCTGTTGCATAATGTAGGGAAATGGCACTGGATTTCATAGTGATCCCTCGGATCTGTTCATCTTCTCTGCTGTCCATGTACCTTAACTGGAAAAATGCAACATATGCATCTTCACTTCCCAAAGAATTAAAATGTAACATTAAAATTTGCTAATTTAGATTTTTGTTTTAAATACTTATATTTAATTTGTTATTTTTATTTATTTTTGTAGAGACAGGGTCTTGCTATGTTGCCCACACTAGTCTTGAACTTCTAGCCTCAAGTGATCCTCCCACCGTGGCCTCCCAAAGTGCTGAGATTACAGGTGTGAACCATCATGCCCAGCCAATACTTAAATTTTAACCTATATAGAGCCTTTTTTTTTTTTGAGACAGAGTCTTATTCTGTTGCCCAGGCTGGAATGCAATGGTACAATCTCGGCTCACTGCAAACTCTACTTCCCAGGTTCAAGTGATTCTCTTGCCTCAGGCCTCCCAAACAGCTGAGATTACAGGCATGTGCTAACACACCTGGCTAATTTTTGTATTTTTAGTAGAGACAGGGTTTCGCCATGCTGGCCAGGCTGGTCTTGAGCTCCTGACCTGAGGTGATCCACCCACCTCAGTCTCCCAAAGTGCTGGCATTACGGGCATGAGCTACCGCGCCTAGCCCTCTCTCTTTTTTTTTTTTTTAAGATGATGGGGGTCTGGAGAAGTGAAGTTGATTGAGGGGAAGGGAACATGAAAAATTGAAAAACATAACCACTAGGAACCATAAATGTATTGAAATACTGCATACCCTCCCCAGAGTGTTGCTCATCCAAATATCAGCCGTGAATGATGGGGCAGGTCAAGAACAACTTACGGACAGTAGCATTTGAGGGAATTCTTTCTAAACATCAATAACATAGCCATTCTTTTCCTATTTATAAGCTGTTTGACAAATTCTGAGCAGAGACTGAAACAGAAGTCTCTAGAAGCAAGAGAAGTCTTTATTCCTTTCCCAAATTAATAGATTTTGAATACATCTTTTTTAAAAAAAGAATACAGTAGAAAATATTTGTAATATGACCATTTAGTTGATGACTTTCATAACACTGTAATACCCACCAATGAGTGTCTACATCTCATTTTCTAGGCCTTGCAGTGCATCAGTACTGACAGTGGTGTCGTTTAAATAAAGATCCCATCCCTTTCCAACTCCTTAGCCCTAAGCACCAGACTAACCTTCTCCTCCTTTCTCCAGAATGATTTTCCCTTACCCTTCCTCCATTCTCTCCACTGTCAAACTTTTGAAAAATTCTTAACCTGTCTATTTTCTCCTTTCTTTCATTCAAAAGCACCAAGAATTATCTGTTGATATGAACTGCCACATTTATTCATCCATATTAATTCTGAAATTTTCAGAAAAGCTTCCATTTCCACAGCTCTGGCAAAATCAAAGTCCTAAAAGCTATCAATGACCTCTGGCGAAACGCAATAATCATTCTCAATCCTCATTTTTCTTGATTCCAGTGCAGCATGACAGTTACCCTTTGTGTGCATGTGTGTTACGTGCATATGTGAAATTCTTCCAAGAGTCTGAAACCTCTTAATTTACCTCCATCTCTCCTTAGATCCCACTGCTGGTTTCCCTTCACCTCTCCAACCTCTCAGTCAGTCCTTCCTTCAGAAAGTCTCAGTCCCTTGTCAGTTTTCTATAATGTATGTTTTTAAGCACTGAATTGGTATGAAACGTGTAATACATAAATAACAACACAATGAACCCCTGTGTATGCACCATCCCATTTCAAAAGGAAAAAAAAAAATGTTTGTTACTTTTGAAGTACCCTGTGCCCCTGGCTTACAGGTAACCACTATCTTGAATTTTATCTTGATCATTTCCTTATTTTCTTTATAATTTTTAAAAATGAGTGTGTCACTAAGCAATATATCATTTAGAGTGGCAAGTTTTAAGCCTTCTATAAGAATCATACTTAATATATTATACTGTCACTTTTTCTCTGCTCAATATTGTTTTCCTGAGATTCAGCCACATTGACGTAATTTATTCATTTTTATTACTGTAGGACTCCACCTCACAAATCTACCAGACCCATTCGTCCATTGTAGAGAATGAAGGAAGGGTAAGGGAAAATCATTCTGGAGAAAGGAGGAGGAGGTTAGTCTGGTGCTTAGGGCTAAGGAGTTGGAAAAGGATGGGATCTTTATTTAAATGAAACCACTGTCAGTACTGATGTACTTCAAGGTCTAGAGAATGAGATGTAGACCTTCAACTGGTGGGTACTGATGGACATGGAGACTGATTCCAGTTTTTTGTAACTATTACTGAGTTGATATGAACAGTTGTGGGTCTCTTGTACACTCCCTACCAGTAGAATTTCTGAGTTATTAAATCTGCACATCCTCAACCTAACTTGATATTTCCAAATTATTTTCCAAATTGTTGGACTGATCCACAGTGGAATAGTGCGTTTCTTGATCCATAACCTCCACAGCTGATATTGCTGGACTTTATTTTCTAAGTAAGATGGGTGATAAATAGCATCTCATGGTTTTAAATTTACATTTATCCTATTATTAATGGGATTAAGTATCCTTTTGTAAGTTTTTTACTGGCCATTTAACATTCCTTTTCTGTGAATTGCCTATACAAGGCTTTTGTCCACCTTCCTACTGGTTGCAATACAGATTTATTTTGTTTTGGATAGGAGTTATTTATAGTCTCTGAATATTAGTCCTTTGTCAATTATATGTGTGTTATTAATATTTTTCACAGTTACCAGGCTTGTTTTTTCCATTTCTTTCTGGCATCTTTGATGAATATGTACTTAATTTTAAGTAGTTTATTAACCTTTTATAAAATTGTTTGCACATTTTTGTCTTAAGAAATCTTCCTTTAAGGTCATAAAAATATTAGCCCATATTATTTTCTAAAAGCTTTAGTTTTTAAATAAAAAAGCTTTTAAATAAAAATGTCTTAACTGTGCAATTTGTGTGTGGTGTTAACTAGAGGTCCAATTTTTTTTTCCACAGGGATAACCAGTTGCCCAAGAACCACTTGAAAGGTTCATCTTTTTCCCACAGATCTGAAATGCCAGCCTACTATTCTGAGCCGTCAGTCAATTTCATGCCTCAGCCGATTCCAGGCCACAGGTTACAACACATCAACACATTGATAAGTCTTGCCAGTGGGTAAGATGTATTTCCATATCTTACTCTTCTTCAGTCCCGGCTATTAATTGGTTTATTTGCTCTTCTGTATATATTTTTAAATCAGCATATCAAGTTGAAATTTTTAAAAATCTGTTGGAATTTTTACTGGAATTGCTGAATCTACAGATCAATATTTTTTAAATGTCATTTAAAAAATAGACAGCCAATACGTAAATATGGTATATCCTTCCATTTAAGTTTTCTCCAATATCTCATAGGTTTTGTTGTTATTGTTGTTGTTTTTGAAGAGATGGCGTCTTGTGCTATCCACCAGGCCGGAGTGCAGTTGCTGTCACAGCTCTTTGCAGCCTCAAACTCCTGGGTTTATGCAACTGTCCTGCCTAGCTTCCCAAGTAGCTGGGATTACAGGCATGAGCCACCATGCCCGGCACAGGTACATTTATTATGCTATTTAAATGGTTTACGTTTTTAAATTACTGTATATTACCTATTTATTGCTCACGTATACTTCTTTTCAACAGTTTTCGTATCCTGAAACCTGCCAAATTGTTACTAATATCCTAGCAATTTATCTACATTTTTGTTTTCTTCCTTTCCAAAATTCACACTTTTTATTTTTCTTTCCAGCTTTATCACTGCAACTAGAACCTCCAGTACAATCTAAAGTAGAAGTTATAACACAATGAGCAGAAGGGTGTGACAGCCATTCTTGCCTTATTCCTGGCTATGAATAGAGAAGTTTTAACACTTCATCATTAAGTTCAATCTTCATTTTAGGTTTTTTATAAATATCCCACATCAGATTACAGAAGTTCTCTTCTGTAACTACATTGCAAAGAGGTTTTATCACAATAGATGTTGAATTTTACTACATGTCTTTATATCTGTTGAAATGATCATGATTTTCTTCCTTTAATCCATTAATATAGTGAAATTACATGTTAAACCAATCTTGAATTCCTTGGGATAAACTCGATTTGGATATGAATAATCATCTTTTTATACTATGCTGAATTGTTTGTTAATGAGGATGATAATTTTTGCATCCATAATCATAAGGTTGGTATATAATTCTCCTATATTGTACTATCCTTAACAGACTTTTGGTATCAAAGTTATGCTATCTTCATATGATTTGGAGAATACTGCCGATTGTTGGGTTTTTCTCTGCTATATTTTGAAATGGTTTAAGTAGGACTGAAATTATTCTTTGAATGTTTGGCAGAACTAGAGAGTTAAACCATCTGGGTCTTTACTTTATGGAAAGATTTTTGCCAGCCAATTCAATTTCTTAAATGACTATAGAATAATTCAAGTTTCCTATTTCTTCTTGACTCCATTTTAGCAAGTTATGTTTTCCAGACATTTTTCCATTTTAGCACTTTTAAGTTTACTGGCACAGAGTTGTTCATTATATCCTATTATTACCTTATTAACTTCTGCAGCATTTTTCTTTCTGGGTATCACATATTTCTGCCTCCTCTCTTTTCTTCTTGATCATCTTGCTGGTGTTTTGTCAGTTGTGTTACTCTTCTTTAAAGTCATTCATTCAAAAATATTTATTTATATATACTATGCTTTCTATATGTCCAAAGTACAGTGAGCCACATTAGGAACATTACCAGGTCAAAAGTGTCAAATGTTCCTCAACAATGTCAATGAAAAACAAAACAAAAAAGTTTCCTAGTCAAGAGAATCAAAAATTGTCTATATTGCTAGTAATTGTTTAAATTAATAACTTTATATTTTTAGAGCACCTTTAAGTTTACAGAAAAATTGACTGAAGGTTCCCACATACTCTCTCCTCCCACCCACACAGTTTCCCCTATTATATCTATCTTGTATTAGCATATGGTGTGATACCTTTGTTACAACTGATGAACCAATATTGATGCATTATGATTAATTAAAGTCCATAGTTTACATTAGGGTTCACTCTTTGTATTTGTTAGCTGGGTTAATCTTTTCCAAAAACAAACTTCTGGCTTCACTGATCCTTTCTATAAAATGTCTGTTTACTATTTCATTAATTTATGCTTTACTATTTCCTTTCATCTACTTACTTCAGTTTTGTACTTTCTCTAAATTCTCAAGTGGGGAAAATATAAGCATTTCATTATTTCACTCAACCTAGTTTTCTTCAGCCTCCTCTAGATAGTATCTTGGGCCAGCTTCCCTCCCAACCCACACATCAATTCCCAAATCGATCTTCAAGTCTATTGGGTCTACCCTGTGGATTCAATTTTGCTTCTCCGTCTCCTCTTCTCTCTATTCTCTGTCACCTGATAAACCCTATTGATCATATCCTAAATTCATTATGGAAACGAATATATCTTTATTTTTCTACTGCCAAGTAAATTATTCCAAGCCCTTTCAACTCATAGCTACAAATAAAGATCTCTTTAATTTTATTTCCTCAAACGCTATTTTCAGGCTAGGTGTGGTGACTCACACCTGTAATTCCAGCACTTTGGGAAGTCAAGGCAGGAGGATTGCTTGAGCCCAGGAGTTCAAGATCAGCCTAGGGAACATGGCAAAACCCTGTCTCTACAAAAAATTAGCCAGGTGTGGTGGTGTGCACCTGTAGTCCCAGGTACCCAAGAGGCTGAGGTGGGAGGATCACCTGAGCCCAACAGGGCGAGGTTGCAGTGAGCCGTGCATGATCACACCACTGCACTCTAGCCTGGGCAACAGAGTGAGATCCTGTCTCAAAAACAAAAACCAAAAAACCCACTATTTTCATCACAATCCTCAGGCACAAGCAGCTTTCCTTTGATACTTAGGTTAACTTTTAAGGTCTTCTATAATCTTATTCTCCCTGCCAGTATGTTTTCTCTGTCACTAGTCTCTAGGCAAACACTCCACTCAAATAGAGCACAACACACAAATTAGCCTTTATCCGTCTTATTTCCCACTACCTGGTAGCTTTTCTGTCTTCTCCTCAAACCACTCAACTCATTCACCTACAAAGAATCTCTTGCGCTGTGAAATCTTCCACAATGGTGTATCATTTGCTTGCTGCAAAAACTCACTTTTGCACTTAGGATAAAGCAATACAAAGCAATACAGAAGTAACTATTTTTCTCCTCAGCATTTTTATCTTGCAAAATGGATTGGCAGCTTTTAGACGCAAGAATTATGTTTTATACCCTTTTGGATGGCTGAAGAACACAGAAAATGGTTCATCACATTGTTGATAGCTAATACTGAAATGCAACAAGTATTTATAAAATAATAACATACCTTGCCTGCTAGGCGGCTGGAGATGATTCCATTGCTAGATATAAGACAGTCAGCCAGAGTAGTTTTTCCTGTTAAAATAGCAACATCAATTCAAATCTATATCTTTTTTAAAAGGGGTCATGGATCATACCTATAGATTTAAAATCTGGTCATAAGAATTGGTTTAGTAAAGATTTTCTATTTACCTATGCTAGGTGACAAAAGAGATTTATTAGACTTTTGAACAGAATATCATCTGGAAGGACACAGAGGCTAGCACTCTATAATGCTGTAATCTTATCTCCAACCCTGTGGATCTACTCAACCTCATCTGAAAAGTTGTCAAGTAACTTTAGAGAACATACTCTTTTGCCATATTTCCCCATGCATGGCCTCAGCTGGAATTTGCTAAACTGTCTTAAGAAAATACTTACTTATCAAAGAAATTCAGGAACATTATCCATATCTCTTACTGTTTGTAATATAGCATGTGGAGGGCATAAACATACTGTAACAACCAATGAAACCTAGTATCCAAATCTAAACCTAGGAATCTACTTTAAAGCAAAAGAATCTTCGAATATATTTATAGTTACTTTTATTAAGCAGACTACATACAACTAAAGTCTATGAGATTTTATGTGATATAAACAGGTGATTCTGTGTAAAGAATGTCAGGGGTATGCATAATTACTACAACTGGGTTGGAGTAAGCAAAGGAGGGTTTTTTTCCTTCAAGACAAGTCTTTATTGCACTTTAGGAACTTCAGCAAAGCTATGGAATCTCTGTATTGTTCAAACCAGAGACCAATGAGTAGGAGAACTGAAGATATTTAACACTGCTATCTGTCTGCAATGTAAATATGTATTAGCATATAATCCTAGAGCATCACTTTCCTGCTACCCAGTAAAGCTGAATTTATTCTAAGTACACCAAGTATATACCTCCCTAGAAAATAATTATCAAGCAAGCAGGAACTTTGCTTTATTCACAGCAGTATCCCTAGGACCAGAACAACGCTTGTCATATAGAAGACCTTCAGAAAATACTTGTTGAATGGATGAATCCCAGGTTTTTTAGGATAGTAGCAGCTTAACATAATTTTAAACAATACATTTAAAGTAATTTGTTACACCCCACTAACTTTCCACTTGAATAAATTCATAAAGAAAAAAAAAACCCTTTTATCAGCCTTCACATTCTCAAAATGTGAGCAGTAAAATTATAAAAACTCATGGAGGCAGGGGTTACTCACTGGATTTGTACTAAAACTCATTCACAGCTGGCTTCACTTGTAAGTGATCCACTATCTGTCTTTCTGTCAGTTTCCATACTCACATTACTTCAGCTCTTCTATCAATGACAACAGCCACCTAATCTCTGACTTTGGATCCATCCTAAGCATGTCTACCAATCTAATCTTTCTCATGTTTTATTTGATTACATCATTCCTGCTCCATGTTTTCCCCCAAAGGCTCCCTACTGCCTAATAGTAGACATTAATGATCGTTTTCATGGTGAAGCGTTTACCTTCCCTCTCATTATTATCACATTTAATCCTATAGCCTATAAAGCAGGTATAGTTTTCATCCTGTTTTACAGATGCTGTATATTGAAGCTCAAAAAGGCAAGGTATGTAACTTGAAAATGGAGATCTGAACTTAGGTTGTCTAACTCCAGAGCTGGAGCACTCAACTCTTATCCCAGTTCCTAGCTGGCATGAGCAGCTCTATGAGATATGACTCAGCCTGCTTCTTCACCTCGCCAACTGGTCCTTCATCTTCAGGATGGTAAATATGTTTTATTTCATATGCCCATCCCAATCACTTTGCTGTGGTTACCTAAACTACCAAGAGGTTTGAAATCAAGAGGAGGCTTAGCATGAAGGAGCGCTATGGAGTTACAGCAGTATCTGTCAGAAGAACATACCATGGGTTAGCTATCTCTGCCTTTCCCATATACTGGGCTTTGACCACATATATTTCCCTCTCCCCTTGATGACACATTCCCACCTGTAATGATTATCTCCATTTGTCATCTTGAGCCCCCTTCAAGTGTCATCTCTAATACTAATTATGTTGTGAGGTCTTTTCCTAACCCCTCACTTCCTAATCCTCTAGTTCTCCCAACCTTAGAGTCTACTTTTTTCTCTTGTTTGTCTCATTTTGCTCTGCTCCCCGTTAAAACCTCCCCTGGGCTAGTGCCCTACTCATAAATCTCCACCTTCAGACATACTAAGCAAAATATCTTGAACTTAACAGACGTTTGATAAATATCTGATGAATTAAATAGGATCACATACCACAGACTCTAAGGACATTATGTCAAGACTACAGACATTTTATATGTAAAGCCATTTCAAAAACAAAAAATTCAAGTTCTGCTTTAAAAAACAACATGACATAATATATAGAAGAATGCTACTCACTAGGTAACCGTGTTCATTTCAAATGCTTTATAGCAAAGCAGGCTTCCCTAACATCACACAAAACTTTTAAAGAAAGAAGACTTGCTTCTTAGCAAACATCACTCTCAGCTGTCCACAGCTTCACTCCACTGAGACATACAGAGACACATCTCCCTTATTTATCAAAATAAGCCATTTAAAAAGTATTCTTACCATGGTCAACATGAGCCAAAACACAAATATTCCTGATGTTGGCAGTGTTTTTCTGGAGTTGAATCATCTTATCCAAACTGTTGAGCACCATGATTACTTATTTCCTGTGACTAAAAATTAAATATGTATTACAAATGGCCCAGAGGCTAAAGGTCGGGGCAAAAGAAAAAAATAATAATAAACGCTGGGAGGTGGCAAGCTTCTCAAACCCCTTAAACCAAGAACCCAGTGAATGTTTATTGATGAGATAGACCACCAAGGCCTAAGTCCAGTTCGAGCACTAAAGTCAGTATCCTACCACGATTACACTTAAGGAGTTTGCTCATCCTTCCGGATCCAAAGGCTGCGATGAATCACGCAGCTCGAGGGGACTGGGTGCACAGTGACACCAGTAACCCTGCCGGTGGAGGAGTACTCCAGTAAACATCTCCAGGCCAATGACCACGTACAGGAAGGGTTGCATCCAGGAGGGAGAGAAAATGCTGAAGAAGATGCTCCCTTTCTCTCTTCAGTCTTCCCCCAAGTCCCTCATTCTGACATTCTCGCTCGTCCTCGCGCGAGGTCAAATACCCAGCTTTATTCCTGCCCATGGAGCCCGAACAAAGTTTTGGGTCACGTGCTTATTATCCAAGCAGGTGCACTGCCGGTCTTTCATTCCTTTCTAAATAAAAAGGAAAAACCTCTACACTACATGCCCTTCATTTCTGCAGGGTCCCAGATTCGTTCTCTTTGAGGATCCTGGGTCCACACAGACAGGCGACCGCCCCGGCCCCAGACGGGAAGCGGCACTCCGGGGACCGAAGCTCCCAGCCCGCGCTCGGCCCCAGCCCCTGTTCCCGCCTCAGAGCCGCAGCGAGCGGGTTCCTCCGGCACCGCCCAAAGGCTGGCCTAGGAGGTTCCAGCCCCCAGCGCCAGCCCACACTCACCGGCTGCAGCAGCCCCACCAGCCCCGCTCCTTCTCTCGGGTCGCACCCACACCGAGAGCTTCCGAAAGTCCGAGAGCTCTGCGGGTCCGACACGCCCGCGCGCCAGGGGGCGGGGCCGGCTGTCGCTCGACCTTTCACCCGCACGTCTCTGACGCCGCCGGAAGCCGGCGCCGAGTCTGTCACCGGGCATCCCTCTGTTGCCTTGACTACGGCGGGCGCTGTGGGAGTGGAGAAGCTGCAAGTGCTGAGGCGCGGTGGAGGAAAGCATGGGAGCCAAGAGTATGAGGAGCTGGTGTCTGTGTCAGATTTGTAGCTGCGGGTAAGAAACGGCTGGTGTAGCGGCGGGCCCGGGCTTGGGAGCCGACCTAGGGCCTAGGTGCACGGAGCCGGCTCCTCGGGAACCCTGAGAGTGGCCGTCCCCCGGAGATGAAGGGACGAGGGCGCAGCGACATCCCCACTTATCCCGCTCCGCGAATACTCGCTCCTCACCCGCCTGCTACCCGGGGGTAAAACGTTTGTTCGTAGCCCCTGAGACTCCCAATCAAGGATGCAAAGTAAAATGCCACCCGGGCCAGGTAAGTAATATATGTGAAGCCGCGACGGGATATAACGCTGGTGAGTAGTGGGATGTGATCCGACTGGGAGAGTGCATTTCCACCCCATAATCCCCCACCACGAAGATGAGAAAGAACAGTGCTCAAGGCCCTGAGTCTGCAACCCATATCACATTTTCTTTCATCTGTAGCTTTCTGTCCTCCCAGCCAGACCATATTCCCATTCCCGTCCAGGCAGCAGTTCTTTGGGATCCGCCTGACTGAAAAGTCAGTAAGTAGTCCCTACCCTGAAATCTAGAATCCAACTGTGAGTCCTGCCTAACAACCTTCCATCACCTGTAAACACAGTCCTCTCCTTCCTCAGCTTCACTATTGACCCAGGGATTAGATCATTATTTGCTAAGTAAATATGAACGTTGTCAATCCCTGGTGTATTTGTAATCCCATTCAAAGAAAACACCTACATGTTGATGGAAAGCAGTTTTTTTAATAGTCTCATAATAAACACAGTTCATAATTATATATAGATTAAAATATCAACAAATTAACTTTGGGTGTATGAATCCTCAGACTGGTGTGCAGGAGAAAATTTTTACTTTTCTCCTAATTTATATTCAACGCAAGTTCCTTTCTCATTCAACTGTAAGGAAATTCAGTCTTCATTATGTTGAGGGCCACCATTGGAATGGCGTGATTTTACTTCTTGTTTGTTTGTTTTGGGCTGTGGTTGTTAGTTTTGTCTTTTTAAGGGTTTATTTTTATTTTTTGACAATGCAATAAATACACAAGAAGTATCATAAAAATCTAAGCAAAAATATCTATAATATTGTAAAACGCCTTCATAATTCTATCTTCCACAGATAACAAATGTTCTTTAAGACTTGTTTTACATATGCATTGATTTTTTTTTTTTTTTTTTTTTGAGACAGAGTCTGGCTCTCTTGCCAGGCTGGAGTGCAGTGGCGCAATCTCGGCTCACTGCAATCTCCGCCTCCCGGGTTCAAGCAATTCTCCTGCCTCAGCCTCTCTGAGTAGCTGGGATTACAGGCTCGTGCGACCACACCCAGCTAATTTTTGTATTTTTAGTAGAGACGGGGTTTCACCATGTTGGCCTCCATCTCCTGACCTCATGATCTGCCTGCCTCGGCTTCCCAAAGTGCTGGGATTACAGGCGTGAGCCACTGCGCCTGGCCTGCATTGATTTTTTTTTTTTTTTAACAAAAAAAGAGAATATTCTGAGCATACTATTCTACAATCCGGTTTTTTACTATTTACAATCTCACCAACTTCCAATGATCATGCATAAAGACCACCCTCATTCTCTTAAATAACTGTATACTATTAGCTTATATGATATATTGGTCAAGGTTCTTAGTTGTGGATAACGTAATCTCCTCTGGTTAGTCTAGGCAAAAAGGAATTTATTAAGGAGTATATATATAGTTCACTTGGAAGAACTTAAGAAATCATTTTCAAAATAAGCTTCCACAAAAATTTTACCACAGACCAGGACTGACAAGGGAGCCACTGCCTCTGCCATAATCAGAAAATTGCAACAGAGCTGTAGACTCCAGAATCACTCGTCTCTTCCAAGGTCAAGAAGCTGCCAAGTTAGGAAACCAGCTTGCAAATCAAGATGCCGCCTAACAACTTCTAGCTCCAATCTCTTGTTGCCTCTATTATGTTCCATGCAAGCAAAATAAATGTTGTGCCTTGACTCTCTCCTTATGTAGCTCTCTTCTGAATCAAAGTATCATGTGAATACACATAGTAGGTGAAACCTAAATTGTATGTGGAACCTTTCTGCAAGAGCATGGGAAATTCCCTATTAGCTTTTCAGCTTCTATAGTGTAAGAAGACACTAAATTGTTATGAGACACTTAATTGCTGTGCTTCCACCACATAGGGATAGACCATTATTTATTGATTGTTTTTGTAAACACCATTACAGAGGAAACAGTTTTTGGGGGTTTTTTTGTTTTTAGTTTTTTGAGACAGAGCCTTGTTCTGTCACCCAGGCTGGAGTGCAGTGGCAGGATCTTGGCTCACTGCAAGCTCCGCCTCCCAGGTTCACGCCATTTCCCTGCCTCAGCCTCCTGAGTAGCTGGGACTACAGGGTACCCGCCACCACGCCTGGCTAATTTTTTTGTATTTTTAGTAGAGACGGGGTTTCACCGTGTTAGTCAGGATGGTCTCGATCTCCTGACTTTGGGATCCGCCTGCCTTGGCCTCCCAAAGTGCTGAGATTACAGGCGTGAGCCACTGTGCCCGGCCCAGTTTTTGGTTTTTTAGTAAAGCTCTAGAATTTAGAAATTGTGAGTTTATTAGAGGTCTCTGATTAAAACGCAGTTATAACACAAAATTTTTTTAAGGTTAATCTTTCAGTTTATTTTTTGCACAGGCGACATCATTGTCCACGTGGAACCACAAGGATTTATGAAAATTCTGGGGTGTTTTGCCCTACAACTGAATATTTGGAAAAATATCCTATGTATGACAATGTTCTTCCACCTCAGAGTCTTAAAGCCAAGCAAGAAATTCGAGCATGCCATGGTAAAATGGAAGGAATAACTACATTTAAGTAAATATTTAGTAACTATTTGCTTTACTTATTTTTCTCTCAACTCTTCTGGTGTCAATAAAGTTTTCTAGCTATTTAAATTGAACTGTTCAGTTGATTTAAGTTGAACCAATCTAATAGTCAAGAGACTAGTTAAGTCACAACTTGAAAAAAAAAAACAGAAAAATGAGAATTAAGTTAGGTTGACAAAGTGTGAGAAGAAAAAAGGGATATAAAAAGTTCTATTTTTTTTTAACTTCTTAAAATATCTCATATTTATCTACTTTCCACTGTCACCACCACCTAGAGTAGGGTGTCTAATCTTTTGGCTTCCCTGGGCCACATTGGAAGAAGAATTGTCTTGGGCCACACATAAAATACAATAACACCAACCATAGCTGATGAGCTAAACAACAACAAAAAAAAAATCACAAAAAAATCTCATAATGTTTTAAGAAAGTTTACGAATTTGCATTGGGCCTCATTCGAAGCTGTCCTGGGCTGCATGCAGCCCATAGGCCGCAGGTTGGACAAGCCTGACCTAGAGGAATGCAGTCACTTTCTAAGTATAATATCTGAATCTACTCTAGTTTTTGCAGTTTGATCTGTTTTCAATACTTCAGCCTGCCCAAATAATTTTAAAATGCAAACCAAACCCTATCACTTCTCTGCTTAAGATACTCTTAAACTTTCCCATTATCTTTAATATAAACCAGAATCCTTACCAAAATCATGTAGAGGCATGGTTTGCTCACTATTTACTTCTCTAATTCATTTTCACTGTAGTGTCCTTTTCACTCTTTTATGCTCCATTCCATGGGCCATTTTTCATTTCCTTGAAAGTGCCAGGTTTCCCTTGTCTCAGAGTCTTCCAAGATACTGTTTTCCCTACCTGTAGTTTTCCTTCCCTCTCCTAGCTAATGCTCATTCAATCTATAGATCTCAACTAAATTATCACTTGAAAAAGCCTTCTCTGAGACTTTTCAGATTAGGTAAAATTCTTCTATGTAAGCTCCCAAAGCACCTTCCTGTTATTTATCATTAGATTAGTTTCAGTGTTTCATGAAAGCAGGAACTAAGTCTATTGTTATCTCAGCATTCTATTTTTAGAAAACGAATACAATGCCTACTAGCACATACTAGGTACCCAATATTTGTTCAGTGAGTGATGAACAAAAATCCTCTTAAGTCTATACTTTTCATTTGGACTTACCTTTTTTGATCTCTGTATTTTTGTCAGGTGGATTAAGTATTACATTTACTCATTATTTTATTTAAACTGTTAATGTATGTGCTGTATTCAAGGTACAATCTTAGTGTTAAGTATAAAAATGTCAAGTTTGTGAACCCCAAATATCTGAGATAGGTGTCAGTTAATTTAGAAAGTTTATTTTGCCAAGGTTGAGGGTGCATGCCAGTGACACAGCCTCAGGAGGTCCCAATAATATGTGCCCAAGGTGGTCAGAGCACAGTTTGGTTTTATACATTTTAGGGACACACACATCAGTCAACATATATGTAAGATGAATATTGGTTCTTCCGGAAAGGCGGGACAACTGGAAGCAGGGAGGGAGCTTGCAGGTCATATGTAGATAAGAGACAAATAGTTGCATTCTTTTGAGTTTCTGATGAGCCTCTCCAAAGGAAGCAATCAGATATGCATTTATCTCAGTGAGCAGAGTGGTGACTTTGAATAGAATGGGAGACAGCTTTGCCCTAAGCATTTCCCAGCTTCACTTTTCCCCTTAGCTTAATGATTTTGGGACTCCAAGATTTATCTTCCTTTCACAAGTTGAAGTTCCTGCTTTCAGGGAACTCAGACATCATATTTCTATAATTTAGGGTTTTAAAAATGCTCTGTAATAGCTTTAGATTTTGGTGTTAGTTATTTTCATTTCAGATGCAGCTCATTCTTATATAGCAAAGGTGGAGACTTTCCAACTTTTAGTCTAATATTTATATTTTTAACATTTCAGGCATTCCTTGCAGTAATAATATTTTGGTGACTCTAGTTACTAGTGTAGGGGTATGGCTCTTCCATAGATGGAAGATTTTACTTAGTCCTCAGATTTTGGTATGCAGTAGTGCCATCTAGAAGTGTTAAAATTGCAGACTCCAGAGCTCTATCTAAAAGAGCCAGTAGATAATAGAGTGGGTCTCAGGAAACTGCATTTTTAACCAGCATTGGTGGTGATTCTGTTGCCACTGATTGAGTGCAGCAGGTCAGGCACTGGACTGCTTAATGAGGATGACATGGAACATAAAACAGAGAAGGTCTTTGCTTTACTGTTGTTTATAGTCTGTGGGAAAGTCCAGAAATAAAAATATCAGCTAAATAACTAAGATAATTATGGATTATGATAAATGAGATGAAGAAATTGAATAACTGGTTGAGATTGATTAAATGGGAATGGTTGTTCTTTTTTCTTCACTTTAATTTATTAATATTTTTTTCTTGATGCCTTAATGGTTCATATTAGAGATTTGAAATAAATTTTACAATATTTGTGTTTATTGAACAAAGATTTTGCTTTTAACCAGTTCTAAATGTAGAAATTGAGAAAATTTAACCTGCCATATCTTTCTTTTAAAAGGCTTTCCAATTCTGGATTTCCCCTGTTGACTTATTCAAGTAAGCCTTAATAATTTAAAAAACAAAACAAAACAAGAAATGTCCCAAAGGTCCATATATGCCAGTAAAACTAAAATATTTGTTTATTAAAGTGTCATCTCTTCACTTAGTAAGACATCGGATCTTTTCTTTATATTTTCACTGGGAAACTAGCAGTATTTCTAAGAGTCATAATCTAGGAGCTTGAAACTCTTGCTTGACTCTCTCATGTTGGCTGTGTTGACTAGGCAGTAGAAAGTGGATTTATCTGTACAAACAAAGAAGCATTCTGTACCTTTGTATAGTACAGGAAGTGACTGTGTAAAGAGGTGTCTGAACTTGTACAAGATTTTGGATCCTTTATAGCAGTACAGTTGTAGCTCACTTAGATGACTGCCAGAGTTGGCAGGAAGCCTGCCCTGAACGAGTAGGATTCTAGACACATCAAATGTTTCAGGATATATCAGATGAATAAGACTGCATTCACCCTCTACTACTACTCCATAGAAAGCTGCTTTGGGTTTGGAGGCATACTTTCTGACACTTAAATAGTCTAACCAGAGAAACTGGGACTTCTGAGCTTACTCTTTGCTTTTCCCTTCCTGATTCTCTCACTTCCTGACTGCATTTTAGCCTATTCCCCTCTAGTTCGTATTTGGGAAGAGCAAAGAACAACTCAGATGTCTTGACAAGCAGAGGTATGTGATTTCTACTACTCTTCATCCATTAAATAAAAAATTATTAAGCATTTATTAAGCATGAAGCACTATACTAGTCACCTGGTATACAGTGGTGAACAAAAGCAGTCATGATCTCTGTGCTGACAGATATTACAATCTATTAGAAATGGCAATCAAAACATTACTCAAAATAACTCTAAAACTGCAACAGTGATAAAATCTATGAAGGACAGGCACAGGTACCTTGACAACCAGACCAAGAGTTTGACTTTATCAGGGGAATGAGAAAAATGAGTCAAAACCTGAAGGATGTCAAATTAACTGGATTAAGAGGGGGAAGGAAATGCATTCCAAGTAGAGAGAGAGAGTAGCTTGTAGCAGGAAGGAGCATGGAAAGGAGAAAATTGTCAAAGAAAGCCAGGTGGAGCAGAGAAAGCAAGAGGAAACAACGGTGAGAGTTGAGGCTAGTGAAGAAGACCAGGCAGAGCCTTTAAACCATGTTCAGTGTTGTCTATGTCCTACAGTAATAAGAAGCCATGAAGGTTTTTCTGTTTTGTTTTTTTGGTGGAGGGTGGAGGGTGGACTTGGGGAGGAAGAAAGGTAAGGAAGAGGCTAGGGAGATGAGGGCAGGAATGACTTGATCAGATTTACATGAGAAAGAATTACTTCAGGTGCCATGTGGAGAAAAGATTGGAGGGAGAACTAAAGTGGATGTGGGTAAATGAGTTTCGAAAGTTATTAAAGTGATTCAAATGAGCTGTTGCAAAAACTTTGCATATTATGGTGGTGGCAGATGTGGAGAAAAGTGGTTAGATTTGAGGGATATTTATGAGGCAAAATTGACAGTAGTTGATGATGGACTAGATAGGGGAGAGAATTGAGGTATAAAGGGTGAGTCCTAGATTTCTGACTATGCGTCTGAAAGGATGGTGATAGTGTTCACTTAAATAGAGAAAAAGCAAAAAGGACCACATTTATTGAGGGGAAATAGCGAGTTGATTTGGGACGTATTAAGTGTTGAGTTGCCATCGAATCCAATGGCATTGAATCCAAGAGACCATCATAGATACTGGTATGAAGCTCACAGAAGAGGTCCAAGCTGAGATGTAAATTTGAGGGTTATTTCGATCTAGGTAGTGATCTAAGTTGTGGGAGTAGAAGAGTTATCCTCAGGAGTGAACAGTGGATGAGAAGAAGAATGTGTAGGTAGGTCCAAGTCTTGAGGAACGCTAACATGTATTTAATGATGGAGTAGAGGTAGATGAAGCTACATAGGAAACTGGAAAGAAATAATCAGGAAGTCGGGAAGAGAAAGTTTCCTAGAAACAGACAGTGTGCACAATAATGTCAATTACTGTTGGAGAGGTCAGGTAAGATGAGGACTAAAAATGTTCGATGAATTTAATCACATGGAAGACATTGTGAACTTTAGAGCTGTATTAGGGAAGTGGCAGTGCTGGAAACCAGACTGAAATGGATTGAAGTGGGTGAGAAAACAGTTAATTAGTCTAAGAAGTTATGTTGTGAATAGAAGAATTCAGTGAGGGTTTTGGGTTTCTTTGGGGAACTTACAGACATACGCAGCAAATATTGGTTAATACAAGATAGTTTAATCACAAAATGAGTCACGTGTCAATAGAGTCCAGAAGAAAAAAGCAATCCCTGAAGTCTTGGGGTAGTAATAGTGGTGGCTACCATATTGATCTTACTATGTACGAAGCAGTCTTCAAAGCATGTGTGTATATCCTTAAAACAACTCTGTGAGATAGAAGATATTATTGTTCCATTTTATATATAAAGAAACTGGGGCATAAACAGGTTAATGAAGTTATCCAAGGTCCTGCAGCTAGTAAATGACAGAACCAGGATTTGGACCTAGGTGGCCTGATCAGTCTAAGTTTGTGGTCTTCTCCATTCCTCAGTTTTTACCTCAGTGTCTGCAGTACTACCTCTGTCACATAATGTTACATAGTACCCAGGTTGGCTGCGTTACCATCTGGCATCCATCCATGACAAGGACTTCTGGGAGATCCAAAGATTAGGAACACTCAAATCTATAATCTGAATGTGATTTATGTCTAAAGACCAGAGTTACTAATCATTTAACAATAAGCGAGAAAACAGCATGAATTCAAAAAGAAGAAAGTATGCCAAAATAGTTTGCTGGAGACTGTAAGTAAGATGAATAAGGACTTTGACAAAGTGGACTCAGGGGTAATATATTTTTTAAACTTTTCAGGTTTAGTAAATTTTACCTGAAATTTCCTTCCAGGTTAGAAAAAAAATCAATTACTTGAGGATATTATTTACTGAAGATCCGATTAACTGAGATCTATTGTAATGATGTTTTAAAAACTAGGATTTTTGATATATTTACTTTTCTCAAGATATTTAGTCACTGGATAGGACCTTATAAGAAATTCAGTTACCTCTTTCAAGTAGTTTATCAACTATTACCATTTTAATATCTTCTCAGACTTTTCCAGTAAAAAAGAAAAAAAAGCCTTGACATTTTCCATACTTCATTGAAATAATTAGGAATAAAAGAACTTGTGAGGCTATGTTTCAAATTTATATATTTCAGGTCGGATTATTGTCCTTATGAAATAGTTAAACAGCCTCGCCATGTGCCAGAAGAATATAAACCAAAACAAGGGAAGATTGATCTTGGTACTACCTACAAACGGGATTTGAATTCGTATAAAGTGCAGCCTGTGGCAATAGTCCGGCCTTTGGAGAGACAAGTTAAAAAAGGAAAATTGGACACTGTCCCAACCTATAAAGGTAACTTGCTGTTTCATACATGAAGGAGCCAAAAAACTAAAACTCACTTCCAGCTTTAACATCTAATATCAAATTATAACTTTGGTGTGCTGCCAAACTTAGCCTCCATGGCTTAGGAAAGAACATTTCTCTCTTTGGCAAAATAGTATTGTATAGTAACAAAAGAAAATAGGCCATTTGTCTGATTGAGTGGTAAAAGACCCACAATCCCATCCAAATTCATCTACTTTGTTAGTTTTCTGTCTCAAAACATGAAAAACAAAGGATGCCATTAAAGAAGCATTATGTCACATTTGTCACTTTGTGTCACATTTAGTTGGCATTGTTCTTTTCTTCCCATCCTAGAAAAAGTTGAAACTCTACCGAGAGTATTGGGATCTTTGAGGTCAAATAAATAGCAATGCTTTTCTCCATTCAAGTCCTGAACCAACCTATAAAGCAAAAGAGTTGCCAGATGGAGAAGCAAAATACTGCTTTTACACTGATAAAGGACAAAGTAGAGAATGAACTTTTCATCTGTAAGCAGACGCTTCCTGATACTGAACCTCAGAATTAGATAGGCTTATCTACCCCATGATAGACAGTGCTAGACTACCACATAGGGGTCCTGCTCCTCTAAGAATTCTGGGATGGTGGAAGGGTGAGAATACTTTCTCTTTGCAGGCAACTGACTTAGAGGAGTACAAGTTGGGCCATGTATGCTTTTCTTTCCAAAAACCTGTTTTTTTGTTGTTGTTGTTGTTTTTGGGTTTTTTTTGTGACAGAGTCTCGTTCTGTCACCCAGGCTGGAGTGCAGTGGCACGATCTTGGCCCACTGCAACCTCCACCTCCTGGGTTAAAGCAATTCTCCCACCTCAGCCTCCAAAGTAGCTGGGATTACAGGTGCACACCACCACGCCCAGCTAATTTTTTGTATTTTTAGTAGAGATGGGGTTTCACCATGTTGGCCAGGCTGGTCACGAACTCCTGACCTCAAGTGATCCACACACCTCAGCCTCCCAAAGTGCTAAGATCAAAGGCGTGAGCCACCACGCGTGGCCCAAAAACCTGATTTTAAAATACTCTAGTACTTTTGAGGAATGGGGTCTTTGTTTTTTAAACACAGGCTGTTTTTTTTTTTCAAGATGGAGTCCCACTCTGTTGCCCAGGCTGGAGTATAGTGGCGCAATCTTGGCTCACTGCAACCTCTGTCTCCTGGGTTCAAGCAAGTCTCCTGTCTCAGCCTCCTGAGTAGCTGGGATTACAGGCACCCGCCACCATGCCTAGCTAATTTTTGTACTTTTAGTAGAGATGGGGTTTCACCATGTTGGCCAGGCTGGTCTCAAACTCCTGACCTCAAGTGATGCACCCACTTCGGCCTCCCAAACTGCTGGGATTACAGATGTGAGCCCCTGCACCTGGCCTAAAAATAGGCTATTTTAGGCCTATTTTGATTTTGATTTATGATAGTAGATATTACTTTTATATCTTTTTATTAATAATGTAATTACATATATAGGATTACATTTTTCCATTGGTTATGTAAAATAGCTGAATGGATATGTCCTAATATAAAACACTTTTGTAAGAGTGATACCATCAATAATCAAAGTAATGATTCATACTTTATTTAGGTAATAGTTAAATGCCTATTTTATCTTTAAATTTCACGCCTACCCATTCAACGAGTAAGTAAAGTGCAGGATATCAATATGCTTTCATCTATCAGCCTACCTATTAGGGAGGTCAAGAAAATGTTTTTTCTGTTTTTTAAATCTTTGAGCACATAACATACTACACAAAGAACAAATTGTGAAGACTATGTGAATGGTGAAGAAGTATATTATAATTAAATGTAGCATAGAGTAATTGCTGATAAATAGATTGATATGCGTAGGAGAAAATGTACTGTGCCAAATTTGGCATAAATAATAATTGATGAAAATGAATTTGTTCTTTTTTTGTTTGTTTTTTGAGATTGAGTCTTGCTCTGTCACCCAGACTAGAGTGTAGTGGCATGATCTCAGCTCACTGCAACCTCCGCCTCCCGGGTTCAAGTAATTCTCCTGCCTCAGCCTCCTGAGTAGCTAGGATTACAGGTGTGCGCCACCACGCCTGGCTAATTTTTGTATTTTTGGTAGAGACAGAGTTTCACCATGTTGGTCAGGCTGGTCTCAAACTCCTGACCTTGTGATTCGCCCGCCTTGTCCTCCCAAAGTGCTGGGATTACAGGCATGAGCCACTATATTTGGTCTCTTATACAATCACAGTAAGATTTTCTTTTTTTCTACAAGATCCATAAGAAAAATACCAGTAATACTGTTGTCCCCGATGCTGGGAACATGTACACACAATACACGCACACACTTATACCAACACTACTAGCTTTCCATGACCTGGGTTTCCTGTAGATTCTGATACTTCCACTCCTATGGTTGTAGTTCAAGGATAAAGAATTTTGAGTTCCTCTGGCATTCTCACTACTGAACTTTCTTAGTCAACAAAGGTGATATTTTGTATTTCAGATTTTCAGGCATGAGACAACAAAAACACTAAGAGCCAAGGTTGTACTTCCACACTCTGTATGAATGTGCTGCAGGTTTTGTAGATAACCTATTTAAAAACAATTCTACAGCTGAAGAGAAGCCACAATGGGAAGATACTCTCACTGTCCTCCTTTGGGAGGCCAAGGCGGGTGAATCACAAGGTCAGGAGTTTGAGACCAGCCTGGCCAACATGGCGAAACCCCATCTCTACTAAAAATACAAAACATTAGCTAGGCATGATGATGGGTGCCTGTAATCCCAGCTACTCAGGAGGCTGAGGCAGGAGAATATCTTGAACCCGGGAGGTGGAGTTGCAGTGAGCCAAGATTGCACCACTGCACTCCAGCCTGGGCAACAGTGCGTGACTCTGTCTCAAAAAAAAAAAAAAAAAGTATTTGAAATAAATAAAAATAGAGACACAACATACCAAAACTTCTGGGATGTGGCAAAAGCAGGGTTAAGAGGAAAGTTTATAATGCTAAATGCCTACATCAAAAAGATAGAAATATCTCAAATTAACAACCTAACATTGCAACCAAAAGTACTAGCAAAATAAGAACAAACTAAACCCAAAGCTAGCAGAAGAAATAATTAAAGTCAGAGCAGAACTGAATGAAATTGAGACCCTCAAAACCATGCAAAGGATCAATGAAGCAAAAAGTTCATTTTTTGAAAAGATAAGATTGATAGACCACTAGCTAGATTAACAAAAAAAGACATCCAAATAAGCACAATCAAAAATCACAAAAGTGACATCACAATTGATCCCACAGAAATACAGAAGATCCTCAGAGAATATTATGAACTTCTCTAGGTACACAAATTAGAAAGTCTAGAGGAAATGGATAAATTCGGAAACACAAATTCCCAAGATTGAACTAGGAAGAAACAGAAATCCTGAACAGATCAATAACGAGTAAGGAAATTGAATCAGTAGTAAGAAACCTATCAACCAAAAAAAAAAAAAAAAAAAAAAAAATGCCCCAGACCAAATGGGTTCACAGCTGAATTCTACCAGACATAGAAAGAACAGCTGGTACCAATCCTAGTGAAAGTATTCCAAAAATTGAGGAAGAAGGACTCCTCCCTGACTCATTCTGTGAAACTAGTATGATCCTGATAACCAAAATCTGACAAAAACACAAAAAGAAAAAGAAAACTACAGACCATGGTCCCTGAACACAGATGCAAAAATCCTCAAAAAATACTAGCACACTAAATCCAGCAGCACATCAAAAAGTTAATTCACCACAGTCAAGTGGGTTTTATTCCTGGTATGCAAGGATGGTCCAACATATGCAAATCAATAAATGTGATTCACCACATAAACAGAGTTAAAGACAAAAATCATATGATCATCTCAGTAGATGCAGAAAAAGCATTTAATAAAATCCAACATCACTTCATGATAAAAACTCTCAACAAACTAGGCATTGAAGGAACATAACTCAAAATAGTAAGAGCCATCTATGACAAACCCACAGCCAACATCATACTGAATGGACAAAAAACCGGAAGCATTCCCTTTGAGAACTGGAACAAGACAAGGATGCCCACTGTTATCACTCATATTTAACATAATCAAGCAAGAGAAAGAAAAGGCATCCAAATAGGAAAAAAGGAAGTCGAATTATGTCTCTTCGCTGACAATGTAATTTATACATGGGAAACCCTAAAGATTCTGCCAAAAGACTCCTGGACCTAATAAATGACTTCAGCAAAGTCTCAGCATACAAAATCAATGCACAAAAATCAGTAGCATTTCTATACACCAATAATCTTCAAGCTGAGAATCAAATCAAGAACATAATCCCATTTATAATAGCCATACACACTCACAGTACCTGGGCATACATCTAATGAAGGAGGTGAAAGATCTCTACATGGAGAAGGAAACCATAGACTACACAAATGAAAAAGCATTCTATGATCATGGATAGGAAGATTCAATATCATTAAAATGTCATACTACACAAAGCAATCTGCACATTACCAATATCATTTTTTTGCAGAATTAGAGAAAAACTATTCTAAAATTTATATAGAACCCAAAAAGAGCCTGAATAGCCAAGGCAATCCTAAACAAAAAGAATAAAACCAGAGGCATTACATCTCCTGACTTCAAACTATACTACAAAGTTACAGTAACCAAAACAGCATGGTACTGGTACAAAAATAGACACATAGACCAATGGAACAGAATGGAGACCCCTGAAATTAAGCCAGACACCTAGAACCACCTGATTGTCCACAAAATTGGCAAAAATAAACAGTGGGGAAATTGTTTATCCCTATTCCATAAATGATGCTGGAAAAACTGGCTAACCATATGCAGAAGGATGAAACCATATGCAGAAGGTGCAAGAAGGATCTAGAATTTTAAAGCCAGCAAATCTGAAAACTGTGTATCTAGTAAAAATAGCCTTTAAAAATTAAAGCAAATTAACAATGTTTTCAGACAAAAAAAGAAAAAGCTGAGATACCTTCTACAAAAAGCATTAAAGGAAATTCTTCAGTTAAAAGGAAACTTATTCCAGATAGAAGCATGAAATGCAGGAAGGGATGAAGCACACAGAAAGGGTACATATGTGGGTAAATATGAAAGAATATTGACAAAGTCAAAATTACTATATTATGTTTTTACACAAATATAAAAGTAAATTATGTTAGAACAGTAGTACAAAAGGCAAGAGGATTTAAATAGAATTAAATTGCTTACAGGTTCTTCCATGCTAGAAGTGGTAAAAATATCCATTTAAGTTGGAGCCAGAAAAATCTCATAATAAGTCAAAAATTCATTTTTATTTTTAAAATATAGAAAGTTAAAATAGTAAAGTGGAATAATACAAATGCCATTTATTAATACAAAAGAAGGCAAGAAATAAGGGGTATGGGAACAAAGAAGGGAAAAGTCAAAAGCAAATAGCAATACAATCAACTTAAGCCCAGCTAGATCATTGCATTAAGTGTAAATGAACAAAATATTGTGATTAAAATTCAAAGATTGATTTTTCACACATTAAAAAGATATTATTTTAAAAAATATGCCAATAATTTACAACTTACATAAAATGGATAAATTTTTTGAAAAATACAATTTACCAAAAGTAACCCAAGAAGAAATAAAAAGTCAAAATAGCCCTATATCTATAAAGGAAATTGAATTTGTAGAATTGAAGGTGTAATTTTAAACCTCACCATAAAGAAATCCAGAATATTCAGATTCTGTGTAGGATGCAGAAGGCTAGAAAGATTATGTTGCCAACATAACAATAAGAAAAAGCCAGATAATCTACAAAATCATAAATGTTTATGAATCCTTTAGAAAGCTGAGATCACAGGTTAACCAATTAGCCTGACATCTGAGGAGAAACAACTTCCACCCAGTTGAGACAGGAGGCAAGCACTGTTTCACCCAAAGCAGGGCATGGAATGAAGACTAGCTGTTACACAAGTGAATAAAATAATTCATTACATCTTTAATTGCTAAAGACTTGAGTATGAGCTACTGCGAGAGTATAGAAGCTCTGAGAACTTCAGACACTAAAGGGAGAGTTCAAAACCACTCATAGACTCTTCCCTATGGATGTTCACTGTGTGATCATGAGAAAGATTGGGAGAAAGGCTGGAGACCACAGAAAGTTTCCTTCATAGTGCGGGCATGGAGAGAAAAATGGTTGTTTTTGCAAAAGAAAAAAAAAAGCAGGAAGCTCCATTTGAATGCCTCTAACCTACAGAGCAAAAGCATTAATCCACTGCAGGAAAGGCACCACTCTGACAACCCCAAGGAATAGGTGAAGATGTATTGCAACTTGATGAAAGACAAAGGAAAAACAAGAAGAAGAAGCAAAATAAAACCAAACCTTGAACATGAAGAAAGAACAGGAAACTGTCTTGGGACCAACAATTAGAGACCTACTACATCAAGTGAAAGGGCAGGTGCTCTGAGAGAGCCCTGCTTCTGAGACCCAGGGGCACAGGGCCTGCCTAAGATTGAAGCTGGACTGGGACAACAGAGAAACCACCACACACCCGCTTTCCATTTCTCAAACACAAGATCCTAAGCTTCAAATATACAAAGCAGCAAGAATTTATAGTACTAACATAAGAAATGTGAAAATATGCATTTGTAGTTGGAGACTTCAACACTGTCTCTAAGTAATCTATAGAACGTAGACAGGAAATGAATATGGATATAAAGACCTGAACGACACTATCAACAATGTTGTCCAAATTGACATTTGTAAAGCACTTCTGTCAACAATAACAGAATATACATTCTTTTCAAGTGCACTTGAAAGCTTCATCCAGATAAACTATATTCAGAGTCATAAAAAAAACCTTAACAAATATAAAAGACTTGCAGTCGTGCAATGTGTGTTTTTGATCATAACAGAATTAAATTAGACATCAATAATAGAAAAAAATGTGGAAAATCTCCAAATATTTGGAAATTAAACAGCAAAATCCTAAATAACTAATGGCTTTAAGCAAAAGTAACAAAAGAAATTAGAAAATATTTTGAATTTAATGAAAATGAAAATATAGTACATCAAAATCTGAGAGATGCATCTAAAGCAATGCTTTTCAGAAAATTTATAGCATTTAAGGTTCATATTAGAAAAGAAAGTCTTAAATCAATAGTCTAAACCTTCATTGCATGAAACTAGAAAAATAAGAGCAAATTAAATCCAAAGCAAAGCAGAAGGAAATAAATGAGGATAACAGCAGCAATCAATAAATTTGAAAACAGAAAAATAATAGAGAAAAACAATGAAACCAAAAATTGGTTCTATTAAAAGATAATGAAGTTAATAAATGAAAAGAGAGAAGACACCAATTACAAATATCAAGAATGAAAGAGAATAGACCTTATAGACGTTTATTTTACATTGTGGCCTCTTCTTTTTTCTTTTTCTTATTTTTGACAATTTTATCAGGTTGCCATTCATTCCATATTTGCTTCAAGAAGGAAGACATTAATATTTAGAAGGTAATATCAACAGTATTTGAAAACCACTTGAAAAGGAGAGAAGGAAATGAGGGAGAGAAAGTCAATTAAACAGAACCTTAGCCTGAGATGCCAAATTCATAATAGAAACTTTGTTGATGTGTTATTTTCTGGGGAATGTGAGTCTGAGTGAGATAATTAATTGGGGCATGCTAAGTTTTCATTTATCTGAGGGACATCCAAATAAAGATGTCTAGTAGGTGGATAAATATGTGGGTTGGTGTTTGAAGGGAGGTCTGAAGTAGGGATTCAAGTTTGGGAGTCACCACCTTACAGGTAGTATTAAAACCATGGGAGTAGATTGGTGATATGTAGATTGAAAAAGCTGAGGCCGAGGATGATGTCCCCTTACTTTCTAAAAGTAGTTTCCAATTCCTCGGTACCACAAGACACCACAGGGAGCAGTCCCAAGTACCAGGAAAAAGAACTAGCATAAGCAACTCAAGACTTTTGTCCTCAAAGAAGAACCTAGAACAGCTCACTATATTAAAATGGGGTTGGAGCTGTGTATACAAATAGTGGGCAAGTGCATGCAGGCACTTCTTGGACTTAAACCTGTTCAGAAGAGAATAAACTTTCTAACCAGATTTTAGTGGCTAGACATAAAAAGTGAGCTGAGGAAACATCTAACAAGGGCGATAGTGGAGCTGCCACATAACCAAACTGTATTGTTAGACATGGACAGCATTGTTTTCTTGTTTTTCCATAAGTATCATAAAACACTAAAAACAGATGATAATGATTATGATGTTTTAAAGATACTGCTAGAATGTTATCAAATATTCCATAACAGATAATAAATATTCCAGGCATATGAGCATAGGCATATTTATAGGGAGAAAATCAATTTTCTGCAATTATGTAGAACTTACATTCATACTATTGTATGCTATCACATCCATCTCTCAGTGTCCAAATTCTTGCTTCCATTTTGAAAACCAAAGCTGGTTTGGTGAGGGAGAAATATTCTCTTCTGTTTACTCTCTTATAATGAAAATCTTTTTTCTCTTGTGTGGTAGCAAGAATTCTCCCTATATGATTGTGTGGAACTATAAACCTTCAATAACATCTATGATTCCTTTTAGCTAGTGAAAAATAGTGTTATACTTTTATACTGTAGTTTGCAAAGAAGAGAGATTCCCTCATGGTACCTCAAGAAAAAAAAAAGACTCTGGTAAAGCTTCATGTGAACTGAAAATGGAAAGCTATCAGGTGCCCAGGGAGCTTGAAGGAAGAGCTTTTCCCTTCATCTCTGCAATAAGCTACATGATTTCTCTCACAGCATCTTCACTTCCCTTCACTCATCTGCTCTGATTGCCACTTTACTAACTGGCCACCTCTGCCTAGTTATCATTTCTGTTTCTTTACAGGTCTATTTTGAATGTAACTTCAGCTTTCCATAGCTCTTAGCTTTACCTCCTGGCATCCTTTTCAATTCTCCCATTTCTATCTCACTCATTATTTTCAATTTTAGGTTTACAAGAATAACAATGCTTGATCTAGCTCATCTTTTCTGTCAGTTTGTCTTAAAGGTCTCTGCTGGCCTAAAGGTCACCTATTCTTGAGTCAGGTACACGCTCTCATCCAGACATCAGTAACTTAATCATTTAGTCCAATACTTGGCCATTTTGGCAGAAATGGATACGCATTTTTTCTCTTCAAAGAAGATATCCACATAATAAGTTTTCAAAGTTTGACCTTTCCTGTAAATATTGCATAGACTTTAGTCCAGATTTTAGTACATTATCCTGTGTAATAAATTTCTATCTTTTATAAATTAACTTTTGGTATTTAGAAATACATATTTTGGGGTGAAGTCAATTCTATGGTATTTCCTAGCTTACTATCTTCCTCATGGAGAAATAGAAAACACAAATAATCCTTAGTTGAAATATAAACATTTCAGTTTTAGTGAAGTGTACTATCACCAACTTGTAATGGTGTTACAAGTCATCATTCTGCATACACCAGAGTGACCCAAAATGCTCCACAGTCTAGGTAAACTGCAGGAGTAAGCTTAAGGTTATTTAACTTCCAAACCCCAGATCTCTGCTCTGATGGTCACTTGAAATTCTACAATTTCAAACACCTCTGAAGACATTCAGTTAAGGCCTCTGGCCTCTAGATGGCCCTCTATCTTTTGGGAATGCCTTAAAGTCCATTTCATGAGGGAAAGTTGAAGCCAGTGATCTTTCTGGGATAGCACAAGTTACCCTGTATCTTTGCTCAAGGAATTCTTTCTGTAGGCTTCCTAGAGTATACCAGAATTAAATTTTTCTCCCCTTTGATGAGTCTCTCCAAAGCAAGGAGTAATACCTGTATTACTTTTGCCCACCCATGAAGGGCACTTGATTTTATTTCAAGCCCTGGCTTTTAGACGTACCTTAGCATTTTGTGAGTTGTAATTAAAATCCCAACCTCTTCCTAGGAATACAACCATAATCTCCTAAACTCTGTCCTCACCTCCAACACAGTCCTTTTGGCTTTCAAGAACTATCCACAATCAGGCTCAGATGTGCTTTTCCTTTGTTATGTAATCAGATGAATCTGAAAGTGGAAAGTTACATGTATTAAAGTGAGGAGATGGGTAGAGGAAGGTGGAAATGAAGAAAAAGAACGAATCTGAAAGGAATCAGAGAAACTGTATTCTGATACTATTGTTTAGATTTCTAAAGGAAATGGAAAGATGTTTGGCAATGAGAGAAGTCAGTTATGATTTTTAGAAGATGGTTGTTTTCTTCAGCATTTAAAAATGTTTTTGCTTTGTTTTAATTTTCAAGACGATTATAGAGCTTGGGACCTTCATAAAAGTGAACTTTATAAGCCAGAACAAACTTACCACCCGCCTACTGTGAAATTTGGAAATTCAACTACATTTCAGGATGATTTTGTTCCTCAGGAGATAAAGCCTAGGCAAAGCTTTAAACCCTCCTCTGTGGTCAAACGTTCTACAGCCCCTTTTAATGGTATTACAAGTCATCGCCTTGATTATATACCTCATCAGCTTGAACTCAAGTTTGAAAGGCCAAAAGAAGTTTACAAACCAACTGACCAACGCTTTGAGGATCTCACAACTCACCGGTGTGACTTTCAGGGTCTCATTGGTGAAACTGCAAAACTCTGCAGACCTGTACACACCAGAGTGACCCAGAATGCTCTGTTTGAAGGAAGCACTGAATTCCGTGAAAGTTTTCAACCATGGGAAATCCCACCACCTGAGGTCAAGAAAGTACCAGAGTATGTGCCTCCTACAGGTAGCATGCTGTTAAACAGCACAAGCCATCTTGACTATGTTCCATATCAGGCCAACCATGTTGTTCCCATCAGGCCAGTTTCTCAAAAAAGAAGTAACAATTTTCCTTTCCAAGGAAAAAGCATCATGAAAGAAGATTTTCCAGCATGGGAAAGTTGTCGTCAAGGACTTATTAAGAAGCAGCAGCAGATTCCCAACCCATCTGGAAAATTTGATGGTTTGAGCACTTTCAGATCTCACTATGTGCCACATGAATTGATCCCAACAGAGAGTTGCAAACCTTTAAATATTGCTTTTAAGAGTTCTGTTCCATTTGATGATGTAACCATGTACTCTGTAGAGTACACACCGAAAAGACAGGAAATTTGCCCAGCCAGCTATCCCTCTCCTCCAGGTTATATTTTCGACAATACAAATTCCCAAGGTCATAAATTCTTCCGCAAGATTATTCCTGCAGTGAAGGCCTTCTAATAACCAAAATGTGCTTAAAAGGAAGGTACTAGCAAGTTGTTGTTTTTCCAAGAGAAAACTCAATTTTTATAGTTAAAAAATTTATGATATAATAAATCATTTTTTATATTTTTAAACAAGAAAATTGGAAAATATATTATAAGAAATCAGAATCTTAAAACCATTTTTTATTGATATTTTAATCAAGATTGTTCTTTAATGTGCATTTCAGAAGGTTGAATAATATGCATTCCCATGAGAACTATTTTAGTATTCAACATACTGCTTAGTAGCTTGTCCCCAGTCTATTATCATTTGTAATTCTGTTTATAATTATGGCAATTGTATGGTTATTCACATACCATTTGTCATTTATCAAGCACATCAGGATTATCTAGAACAACATTGAAAATGATACATGGATTCCTCTTCCAAGGCAACAGGATTCATTATACTCAGACTTCACGGCATCTACATAGCATCCACTGAATCAAGTTTTGGTTGGTGGTATACAGACTGCTGCACTGCTCCTCACCATGTTCAAGTTAGCAAGAGGCACTGTGGTGTGGCAAGGAAAGGCTCTGTGTGCTGGGAATCGAAGGACTTGAGTTCAAGTTCTGACTAATAATTATTATTATTTTTAGAGACAGGGTCTCACTGTCACCCGTGCTGGAGTCCAGTGGCATAATCACAGCTTACTGCAGCCTCAGCCTCCTGAGCTCAAGTGATCCTCCTGCCTCAGCCTCCCAAATAGCTGGGACTACAAGGGTGTGCCACCACACCTGGCTATTTTTTTTAAACATACTTTGTAGAGACAGGTTCTTGCTGTATTAGTCAGGCTGTTCAATCTATTGGCCAGGCTGCTATTGAATCCCACCTTGGCTTCCCAAAGCACTGGGATTACAGGCATGAGCCACTATACCCAACCTGAGTTTAAGTTCTAATAATATAGATTTCTATTTGTACTACCTTAGGCAGTGACTCATATCTCTGAGCCTCAGTGTCTTTATTTGTAAAATGATGTCTGTTCTCAAAAAGAGTTTGTTTTGAGCATCAGACTGTATGGTACATTTTAATCCTTAAAGTACAAATGTGGAGGATTTTTTTTTAAAATTGCTCAATCTCTTTTTGTACTTGTTTTCTCCTTTTCAAATTAGGATAATTACTTACTCAATGCTCATTTTCTGGCCTGTAGCAAGGATTGTAAAATAACCTAATTTGCTTTGAGCTTATGAGTAGTATATACTTCTGAGAGGAGTCTTGTCCTTTAAAACTTCATGAGCACCTGAGAAATTCTTAACAGAGAATGGAAAGCTTGGAATGGGGTAAATACAGTGGTTTGAATAACAGTATTTGCAGAAAGGAAAAAGTATTATTTGCTAGGGTAGTTTTAGGAAGACTGACAGCTCTGAAGAAATCTTTAGGGTAAATGTAGGTAATTTTGCACCTAATTGCCAGGCCAAGTCACTGTTTAGAGGAAGAACCAGCCCCAGCAGGGGGCATAATCACCTGGTTCACCTCTTCCGGTGTGAAGATAAGTGATAAGGTAAAGAATGATGCCAGTAAGTATAGTAGAAACACTCTATTGCATTTATAAATGCTAAAAATTTCCGAATGAATTAAACTCTTATTGGGTGGTTTCTTTTTTTAAAAAAATTAAATAATTGCATTATGGGAGAATATGATTTATTTTAGCATAAAGTGAATTTTAGTCTTTTATGGCTTCAGAATTATTTCAAAATATACTTTATTGAAAATCAATATTTGGTTATTTTAATTGTTCAAAAGTAATTTGTTCTTTACATTTATTAGTAAAAGTATGGTGTGTGAAACTATATTTCCATGCAACATAATAAAATCAATAAAAGGAATGGATTTTCAAGAAATCATTTCTTTACCTAATTTTTTTTAAGAGAGCATTTTAATAAAGTCCTGTCTAGGTTAACCTATACATAAGTAGATGTTCTTACTTTTTAAATACAAAACAATGTAATCAGAATTAAAAAGAAGGGAATACTACAGCACTCTGTCATCCCGTCCCATATTCCAATGCTGGATATTCAAATCACTCTGTAATTTAATAGGGGTGGTCTCCTCCCTGGACAAAGGTCACCCTTAATAAGACATCTACTAGAGTTTCCAGAGGCAATTTGCCATGGGATAAGGATTGAAGATGAATAATGGCGTTTCCCCATAATCTAACACTCAGTATAACAGGTGTGAAAATAGAGATTGAAACAGAGAACAATGTAAGACATTCAGCCTAGGAGTTCAGGAAAGTCTGCCTTAGGGAGAGGATGGACAGGTGAGCTGAATCTTGGAAGATAAGTAGGAAATTGCCAGATCAAGAAAAATGGGAAGGTGGGAACAGCATAAAAATAGGTACAGAGGGACCCTCTATCTCTGTGAAAGAGTTAAAGGGACTTCCAAGCTACGTTGGTGGAAAGCTAGCAATCCCTGAGTCATTCTCCTGTTAGGCCTCCTTGAAATACTATGTGGAAACACACACAAAAAACATTTTAACAGGGCTGGAAACTAGTAATATTACTTAGCAATCTGCCAGATTCTAGAAGGAATTTCCACTATGCTAAACTTGGATAAATCTAATGAAGAAAGGAGGAAAAATTCAGAGAGAAAAGTCAGTAGGTTTCTACCCCAGTCCCATCCCATTTCCACCCTATCTCTCTGGAAACCCTTGTTGTGTAAAATAAGACCACGGACTGAAATGAGAAATAAAGGCTTTATGATTTATAAAAACTGCACAGACAATGTAAGGAGTGAACCCTAACCTACACTATGGACTTTGAGTGATAATGTGTCCATGTAAGTTCCTCAACTATAACAAATGTACCACTCTGGCTGGGTGTGTTGATAGTGGGGGAGGCTGTGCATGTGTGTGGGAGGAGGGGCGTATGGGAACTCTATATTTTCCACTCAGTTTTGCTGTGAACCTAAAACTGCTCTAAAAAAATAAAGTCTAGGCCGGGTGCAGTGGCTCACGCCTGTAATCCCAGCACTTTGGGAGGCTGAGGCGGGCGGATCATGAGGTCAGGAGATCGAGGCCATCCTGGCCAACATGGCAAAACCCCGTCCTCTACTAAAAATACAAAAAAAATTAGCCGAGTGTGGTGGCAGGCACCTGTAGTCCCAGCTACTCGGGAGGCTGAGGCAGAATGGCATGAACCCGGGAGGCGGAGCTTGCAGTGAGCCGAGATCACACCACTGCACTCCAGGCTGGGCCACAGAGCAAGACTCCGTCTCAAGAAAAATAAAAATAAAATAAAATAAAGTCTATTTTGAAAGTTTTCTTAAAAGCCCTTCAAGGCAGGAGGGAGGTGTTCACTCAGAGGCTGGGAAACCCACATCCCAGCTTCTGAATATCTCACGTTTGCAGGCTTGCCTTTATACAAAACTATAATCTAAGGCCTTCTCTGAGAATCGCTGTGTGAGAAGATCCTCATGATACTCAGGAAGCAGAGGGGAGACCTCTGAAAGTTCAACAGAGTTGAGGAAGTGAACCTTGCAATCATGAGTGAGTAACTTCAAAAACGCTGTTTAAAAACATGCTGATAACATGCTTTTGAAAGTGTTGCGGTGTCCAGTGAAACATCAGGACTCTTTCATTTTGTTAAGGCTTTCGCTTTTTTCCCCTGTCATTCAATGCTCTTTTGCATGCAAGTGCAGATTTTCACCCTGTATCACAGACACAGGACTTTCATCAATACTATCCCTCCCCAGCCTTCTCATAAACACAGCACACAGCTTGATAGATGCTCTCTAGGGTGGCCAGGGGTACTTCCCCATCCCATCCAATATCTGTGTTAAGACTTCTTTTTCTTTTCTTTTTTTTTGTTTCTTTGTTTTTTTTTGTTTGAGACGGAGTCTCGCTGTGTCACCCAGGCTGGAGTGCAGTGGTGCGATCTCAGCTCACTGCAACCTCTGCCTCTTGGGTTCAAGCAATTCTCCTGCCTCAGCCCCCCAAGTACCTGGGACTACAGGTGCATGCCACCACGCCTCACTAATTTTTGTACTGTTAGTAGAGATGGGGTTTTGCCATGTTGGCCAGGCTGGTCTAGAACTCCTGGCCTCAAGCAGTCCACCTGCCTCGGCCTCCCAAAGTGCTGGGATTACAGGCGCGAGCTACCACACCTGGCCAAGACTTCTTTAATTGTACCCATCAAGGAACTATAATGACTAAGAAGGAAATGTGGCTGGGAGGTGCTTACAGACAGTAAGCAAGCAATAGGAAAACCACACCAAACCACAAAAACATAGGTAAAAGTTCTAAACAGATACTTCACCAAAAAAGATACACAGATAGTGCATTAATTTGCTAAGAGTACTATGAAAAGTACACAAACAGGGTGGCTTAAACAATAGAAATGTATTATCTCTCAGTTCCAGAGACCACAGATCCCAAGATCAAGGTGTTGGCAGGGCTGGTTGTTCTTTGGCTTGTAGAGCTCTGCCTTTATCTTCACACAGCGTCCTCCCTGTGTGCATGCAAATTCCCCTTTTCAAATTTCCCCTTTTTATAAGGACATCAGTCACATTGTATGAAGGCCCATGCAGATAACCTCACCTTAACTTGATCTTTTGCAACGACTCCATTTTCCAATAAGATTCTAGTCATAGACACAATTCAACCCAGAAAAGATGGCGAAGAAGCACATGAAAAGATGCTTAACATCAAGTTATTATGGAAGTTCAAATTAAAAACTGAACTAAGATACCACTACATACCTACTAAAAAGGCTTAAAAAAAAATACCACCACACACACAAACCTGATAATACCACTTACTAGCAAAGGTCTGGGACAACTGGAACACTCACACATTGTTCATTAGAATGCAAAACGGTATGGCTACTTTGGAAATCAGTTTGACAGTTTCTTATAAACATGCATATATCATATAACCCAGAAAACTCACCTCTAGGTGTTCATCAAAGAGAAGTAAAAATGTAGGTTTATGCAAAAATGTGTATATGAATGTTTATAGAACTTTATCTATAGTCACCCCAAACAGGAAACAACCCAGATGTCTTTCCACTGGTAAATGAGTGAACATCTATCCATATATAAAGCCAGTTCAAGGAACAAACAACATTTTGTTGTTTCAACATTTGTTGATTCACCCAACAGCATGCATAAAACTTAAATGTATTTTAGTAAGTGAAAAAAGCTAGACCCAAAAGACTACATGTTCTATGATTCAAGTTATATAAATTTCTGGAAAAGGCAAAACTATAGGGACAGAAAATAGTAAATGATTGCTAGGGGTGGGGGTAGGAGCAATTGACTACAAAGAAGCAGGACAAAAGAATTTGGGGTGGAGTGGAACTAAGATATTGGTTGTTGAATGGAATACTATGCAGCCATAAAAAATGATGAGTTCATGTCCTTTGTAGGGACATGGATGAAGCTGGAAACCATCATTCTCAGCAAACTATTGCAAGGACAAAAAAACAAACAACCAAACACCGCATGTTCTCACTCACAGGTGGGAATTGAACAATGAGAACACATGGACACAGGAAGGGGAACAACACACACCGGGGCCTGTTGTGGGGTGGGGGGAGGGGGAAGGGATAGCATTAGGAGATATACCTAATGTTAAATGACGAGTTAATGGGTGCAGCACACCAACATGGCACATGTATACATATGTAACAAACCTGCACGTTGTGCACATGTACCCTAAAACTTAAAGTATAATAATAAAAAAGTAAATAAATAAAGTAACAAAAAAAAGAAATTGGTGGTTGATACACAACTCTGTATTTGTCAAAACCATTAGAATCCACTGAGTTAATTTCACAGTATGTAAATTATAAAAACTGTCTCCCAGGATGTGGCATTGAGAAGAAAGGAGATTACCTAAGTAACTTCGGACAAGTGTTCAGATTGGATACTATAAAGCTAAAGACAAAAATGATTGTATATAAACACTGTACTCCAGTTTGTAATTTTTTTTCTCTGACAGAGGTATGTGTTATCAATTCTAAACTATGAGTATAATAAGGTTGAACTGAAAAAATATAGTGTAAATAATGACAGCCAGGCTTCTATCAGAGAAATAAGTTACAAATAAGAAAAAGATGCAGATAGCACTATTCACAATAGCAAAGATATGGAATCAACCCAAATGCCCATCGATGATAGACTGGATAAAGAAAATGTCATACATATATACCAAGGAATACTACACAGCCATAAAAAGGAATGAGATCATGTTCTTTTCAGGGACATGGATGGAGCTGGAAGCCATTATCCTCAGCAAACTAATGCAGGAACATAAACTAAATACTACATGTTCTTACTCATAAGTGGGAGCTGAAAGATGAAAACACATGGACACAGGGAGGGGAACAACACTTACTGGGGCCTGTCAGGGGAGCGTGGTCGGGGAGAGCATTAGGGAAAAGAGCTAACGCATGCTGGGCTTAATAATTAGGTGATGAGTCGATAGGTGCAGCAAACCACCATGGCACACGTTTACTTATGTAACAAACCTGCACATTCTGCACATGTACCCTGGAACTTAAAATAAAAAGTTGCGGATTATAATGAACCCTGTGGTGCTGAAATAGTGTCCAGGGTTTCAGTATGAATTCACAGATACACAAAAAAATAGATGTGTGTGTGTGTGCATTCACAGGTTAGTATATATGCTCTGTATATATGGGCAGTTTAATCGGAGATGGAAATTGTAAGAAAGAACCAAAAAGAAATGCTATAGATTAAAAACACTGTAACAAAAATGAAGAATGCCTTTGACAGGCTTATTAGCAAACTGGATTCTGCTGAGGAAAGACATCTCTGAGCCTGAGACTATCTCATGGAAATCACCAAAACTGAAAAGGGGAAAAGAGTGAAAAAAAATACAGAGTATGCAAGAACTGTGAGACAACTGCAAAAGATGTAACATACATGTGATGGGAATTCCAGAAGCAGAAGAGAAAGAAACAGGAGAAATATTTGAAACAATAATGACTGAGAATTTCTCTCAATGTGAGACACCAAACCACAGATCCAGGAAGCTCAGAAAACATCAAGCAGGATAAATGCCCACAGAAAAACTGCATCTAGCCACCTAAGTTACAAACTATGAAAAAAAAAAATCAAAAGATGAAGAGAAAATTCTGGAGGAACCTAGAGGGAAAAGAAAACACACCTTACCTACAGAGAAGTCAAGATAAGAATTACATCCAACTTCTCAGAAATTGTATAAGCAAGAGACTGGAGTGAAATATTTAAAGTGTTGAGAGAGGGGGAAAAAAACCCCACCACCAACCTAGAATTCTATATTCTGTGAAATTACTCTTCATAAGTGAAGGAGAAATAAACACTTTCTCATACAAAAATTGAGGGAATTAGTTGCCAGTAAACATGCCTTGAAAGAAATGTTAAAGAAAAGTTCCTTGGGAAAAAGGAAAATGATACATGTCAGTAACTTGGATGTATATCAAGAAAGGAAGAGCACTGGAATAAGTTAATATAAAATGAAAATTTTATTCTTCTTATTCTTAATTTATCTAATAGATCAATTCAGATCAAACTGATCAATAGATCAAACATCATTTGTTCAAAATAATAATTAGCAATAATATATTTGATTATGTATATATTTTTTGTATATAAATGATGTGTATGTTTGTATATAAGTGAAATGAATGATAATGATACAAGGGACAGGAAGGAAGAATTAGGACAATTTTGTTATTATAAGATACTCACACTACCTGTGAAGCAGTAGAGTGTTATTTAAAAGTGCACTTAAACTAGTTGTAAACGTATTGCAAATCCTAGGGAAAACAGTACAAAAAGAAGTATAACTGATGGATATGCTAAGAAGGGAAAGAAAATGGAATCATGAAATGCTCAATTAAAGCCACAAAAGATGGAAACAGAGTGGAAGTCAAAAATAGAAACAAAAACAAGGACAACAAATAGAACACAGTAACAAATATGGTAGATATTAATCTTACTATATTGATATAATAATCACTTTGAATGTCAATGGTCAATCACCAATTAAAAGAGAGAAATTGTCAGAGTGGATCAAAAACAAAACCCAACTATACACTATATGTTGCCTACAATAAACTCACTTTAAATATAAAGATACATATAGATTAAAAGTAAATAAATAGAGGAAAAACATACCATGCTAACACTAATCAAAAGAAAGCAGGAATAGCTATATGAATTTCAGACAGAGCAGCTTCAAAGCAAGGAAATTTAGCAAGGATAAAGAAGGGCATTACAGAATGACAATGGGAATCCATTCTCCAAGAAGACATAACAATCATTAATGTGTATGTGCTAACAACAGAGAATCAAACACCCTGAGGTAAAAACTGATAGAAGTGTAGGAAACATAGATGGATCCACTATCATAGCAGGAGACTTCAACACGTCTCTATCAGAAATGGACAGATTCAGCAGGCAGAACATCAACAAGGACTTAACAAGGCCATTAATTAACTGGATATAATTGATGTCTATAGACAACTTCATCCCACAATAGCAGATTACAATTCTTCTCAAGCTTACATGGAACATTCATCAAGATAGACCACATTCTGGGCCATAAAACACACTTTAACACATTTAAAATCATAGAAATCATACAATGTCTGCTTTTATGCCACAGTGGAATTAAATTATAAATCAATAACAGAAAGGTAACAGGAAAATCCCAAAATATGTGGAAATTAAACAACTTTCTTTCTTTCTTTCCTTCCTTCCTTCATCCCTTCTTTCCTTCCTTCCCCTTCCCCTTCCTTCCTTCCTTCCTTCTTCCATCCTTCCTTCTCTCTCTCTCTTTCTCTCTCTCTTTCTTTCTCTCTCTTTCTTGTGGGATACAGTAAAAACAGTGCTATGGGGAAATGTAAGGCATTGAATACATATATTAGAAAAGAAGACAGATCTTAAATCAGGATTCTAAGTTTACACCTGAAGAAAATAGAAAAGAAGGGCAAATTAAATCCAAAGTAGGTCAGGTGCTGTGGCTCACACTTGTAATCCCAGCACTTTGGGAGGCCGAGGTAGGTGGATCACGTGAGGTCAGGAGTTCAAGAGAAGCCTGGCCAACATGGGGAAACCCAGTCTCTACTAAAAATACAAAAATTAGTTGGGCGTGGTGGCTCGCACCTGTAATCCCAGCTACTTGGGAGGCTGAGGCAGAATTGCTTGAACCCAGCAGCCAGAGGTTGCAGTGAGCCAAGATCGCGCCATTGCATTCCAGCCTGGGTGACAAGAATGAAACTCTCTCTCAAAACAAAAACAAAAACAAACAAACAAACAAAAACAAAAACAAGTCTTGGAGTTGTAGCTTCCGTGAACTGTGATCCTTGAGAAAGTTAGGAAATCCCCCACTGGGAGTGAACCTAGGAAGTAGTTCTTCCCTATCTCTGTTATTTTCATCTCCTTGACCTGGGCTCCCCTCCTTATGTTTTCTGGCCTGGATTCTCAGATGAGGAAACTGAAACTCACAAATATGCAGTGACTCAGATTATACAACTATTAAACGGCCCACTTGGGCCTGCCCTGGGTCTTGTTACTTTCAAAGCCCACGCTCTTGACAGTGCATTATTTTGTCCATCCATTGTCTCCCATTTTACAAAACACATGCCTGGGCCAAGATTAAACTTCTTGTTGCCCATTCTTACTTTTGGCTTTTCCCCACTTCTCTGAGGGTTTACCACACAGTGCCCCTACCACCAAGAGGCCCTCCTTGTCTTCACTGTTGAATTAACATATGTTAAGGGACATCTCAAATGCATCCTCCTTGATGAAACTTTTCTTCATTCCAACGCATTCATAAGGTGCCATCCCTTCCCCTTGCTTGGACCTTGTCAGCACTGTGCCAGAGTGGGGGTCTTGGGTCTACCACACCCATTTTTCTGCTTTGTTTTCTGTTTTTTTGTGGGGGTCAGAGTCTCGCTCTGTCATCCAGGCTGGAGTACAGTGGCACAGTCTCTGCTCACTGCAACCTCCACCTCCTAGGCTCAAGTGATCCTCCCACTTCAGCCTCCAGAGTAGCTGAAACTACAGGCATACACCACCACGCCTGGCTAATTTTTGTATTTTTTGTAGAGATGGGATTTCACCGTGTTGCCCAGGCTGGTCTGGAACTCCTGAGCTCAAGCAATCTGCCCTCCTCGGTCTTCCAAAGTGCTGCGATTACAGGTGTGAGCCACTGCGTCCGGCCATTTCTCCATTTGAAGGCAAGGATGGTGTCTTATCCACTGTCCTGGACTTTGGAGCACCTAGTGCCCCCTCACAGTTAGTAGCCAAGGGTCACATACCAAATGCCATGGACTAGGCAGGTAACATAAATGAGCAAACGAGGTGGGTAGGGAGACAGATTTTTCCTGAAACATGGGGCTTCTTGGCCCATCTCTTGTTTTCCCACTTTTGTTAGAGACTCAGTTCTTTACTGAGTGAAAGGAAACACAAGCATGATGGGAAAGGGAGCCTACTTGCAGCCACAGTGCTGGGAATGAATAGGGAGTGGTGGGGACTGAGGACCGGGGAGCATAGGCCCTTCCTAAAGGGAACTCACTGCTCCACCCCAGCCACTTCTGCCAGGGAGCAATTTAAGCCTGACATGGATGGATGATAAGACTTTTCAAGAAAAGCTGAAAATTGAGATTTTTGTACAAGATCATGTGATTCCTAAACATTGGCAATTGACTAAAACATTTTTCAATATTTGTGTCAGCCAAAACAAACCAAAAAATCAATAACTGATCAACACAAGCAAATCTGCACGCTGTGGTTGAGGAGTTGTAGTCCCATATGTCCTTATTAGGATGTCAGAGCAAGAAGTCACCTTAAATCATCCAGTCCGGTGGTTTCTGAATGCCAGCCTCTGAACTGGCTAGATCAGAATCCCTGGGAAGGTCTAGAAAAACACAGAAAATACACATTCTAGGGCCCCCAGAGCCCTGGATCTGTGGAACTAGAATCTCTGGGCTGGGTCCTGGGCATCTGCAGTTTTTCAGAGCTCTCCACGTACTGCTGATGACCAGCCAGGTTCACTCCCAGTGGGGGATTTCCTAACTTTCCTGAGGATCACAGCTCCCGGAGGTTCTTGGTAAAAACAGCTTCCTAGTCCCTAGTCCTAGTTTCCTGGAAATGCTGGTATAGTGAGTCTGGGATGGGGCCTGGGAATTTGTTTTTAAGAAACTCATCTGTGAGATCTGGAAAATCCTTGCACTAGTGGCCCGTTGAGGCTCAGTGATGAGGAAGACTTGCTCAGAGCCACATAGCACGTTGCCCCAGCCCATCCAACCTCCTGACTCTCAGAGAAAGCTCTTTGAGGCCGGCACTGCTGGGGCAGTTGTGAGCAGTGGGAGATGCTCTCAGCAGGGGCACAGCACTGACGTGTGCAGGGCACTCTACATGCAGTTTGGCAGGGGACAGACTGGAGGGCGGGTTTGGTTTCCGCAGCCTGCTGGGATGGAGCTTTGGGCTGGGCAGCAGCAGAAGGAATCCTGGTGGGATGTCAGCAGGGCACTCAGGCATTCATGTGAGCCCGTGGAGTCTATTGTCGTGAACAGCCAGGATCCTGGGAGCTGGGTATAAACCCAATCGAGAAACTCCAGATTGCCAAGTTCCCTAACTGTGCTCTTTAGAGCCTGGGAACTGCAGAGAGGGAAAAGAGTGGGAAAAGCATGGATGCCAGGGCTCCCCCACCCCCGGCACATGAGATTTCTTTTGAGACTAGACCTGGTGGCCAAAGAGATTTGAGAAACGTGATCTAATTCAACTCTTTCACATTAACGATGGGGAAACTGAGGCCCAGTAAGGGATGGACTGTTGAGAATATAAAGCAATGTTACTGAAGAGACTGAAACCATTTGGGGGACTTGAGTCCCAGTCTCAGCACTGCCACTCTCACTGTCACTGTGTGGCTCTAGGCCAATCTCTCCACCTCTCTGAGCCTCCCTTTGCTCTCTCACCTAGGAAGCAGTCTGGACACCCTACTGCAGGTGTCCTAACCTGGGGTCCACAGCCTAAGGGACCGTGAACTGAGGGGATCCATGAGCTTGAATGGGAAAATATTACATATTTACTTTTTGTAACCTCTCAATGAAATTTAGTATTTCCCTCAATTATGAATATTATTAGCAAATCCCAACAGCACCTGTGATTTTGTTACCAATAGAACAAACCAAATATTTTTCTATCTCATTACAGTTGTTGCATGTATCTTGAAATAAGGTTTACGTTCATCACTACTTCAAAATTTCCGTAGTTGCTGGGCATAGTGGCTCACGCCTATAATCCCAGCACTTTTGGAGGCTGAGGTGAGTGGATCACTTGAGGCCAGGAGTTCAAGACCAGCCTTTCCAACATGGCAAAACCCCATCTCTACTAAAAATACAAAAACTTGCTGGGTGTGGTGGTACGTGCCTGTAATCCCAGCTACTTGCGAGGCTAAGGGACAAGAATTGCTTGAACCTGGGAGGCAGGGGTTGCGGTGAGCCAAGATTGAGCTACTGTACTCCAGCCTGGGTGACAGAGAGAGACTCTGTCTCAAAAAAAAAAAAAAAAAAACCATAGTTGTTTAATTTGCCAGAAAATCTTGTTTAAAGTATAATTCCACACCCTACTTTTTAAATTATTTTTTGTTTTGTTATGTTTTGTTTTTGAGATAATGTCTCACTCTATCACCTAGGCTGGAGTGCAGTGGCATCATCATGGCTCACTGCAGCCTCGACCTCCTGGGCTCAAGAGAGCCTCCCATCTCAACATTCCAAGTAGTTGGGACTACAGGTGTGCACCATCATGCCTGGCTAATTTTGTATGTGTGTGTGTGTGTGTGTGTGTCTGTGTAGCGACAAGGTCCCATTATGTTGCCCAGTTGGTCTTGAACTCCTAGGCTCAAGTGATCCTCCCCCCTTGTTCTCCCAAAGTTCTGGGATTACAAGTATGAACAACCTTGCCTGGTCTTAAATTATTTTGATAACTGTATTTCAATATAATCAATTTCCTTGGTACTCCTGTGCATTTATTTTATTTATTTTATTTATTTTTTATGGCAGGGTCTCCCTCTGTCACCCAGGCTGGAGTGCAGTGATGCGATCTCGGCTCACTACAACCTCCACCTCCCAGGTTCAAGCGATTCTCCTGCCTCGGTCTCCTGAGTAGCTGGGATTACAGGCATGTGCCACCACGCCTGGCTAATTTTTGTGTTTTTAGTAGAGACAGGGTTTCACCATGTTGGCCAAGCTGGTCTCAAACTCCTGACCTCAAGTGATTTGCCTGCCTCGGCCTCCCAAAGTGCTAAGATTACAGGCGTGAGCCACCGGGCCCAACCACTCCTATGTATTTTATTTTCTGCATTTCAAAATATTGTTCTGAGAAGGAGTTTGTGGCAAAAAAGGATAAGAATCCAGGCCTTATTGGGAAATCCTAGAGGACAGAGCAACAGAGAGGGGTTTTTAAACTGCAAGGGCCTGAGCAGAGGTCTGCCAATTTTTTCCATCCCTGGAACCTTTCTTTAAATGAATTCTTCCATGTAAAAGAAAGAAACCAGAGCCACTCTGTTGAAGTGGCAGTTAGGGGCCAGGCAGCCCCACTGGGGTGGTCTTTCTCTGTCTCCCCATTCCAGGAGGCCTGGAGACACTTGCAGAATGCTCACGCACCTGAGAGCACATTTTTAAATCCATCAGGCTAATAATAATCATAACAATCATAATTGCCATCATATTCAACCAGTGGTTCAGGCACTGCTAAATGTGGAGTAGCTCACCTGGTTTAATCCTCACAGCAGCATCAAGAGTGTAAGTGCTGTGGTTATCCACATTCTACAGAGTCATTCAACAAATACCAAAAAAGGACTAAGTTCTGGACACTTCCTCTGACACTTAAATCTTCAACAAAGAATATAAAGGGCCAAGTGTCGTGGCTCACACATGTAATCCCAGCACTTTAGGAGGCTGAGGTGGGAGGATTGCTTGAGGCCAGGAGTTCAAGACCAGCCTGGGCAACATAGCAAGACTCCCATCTCCACACACACACAAAAAAATTATCCAGGACCAGCTGCAGTGGCTCACACCTGTAATCCCAGCACTTTGGGAGGCCGAGGTAGAAGGATCACTTGAGCCCAGGAGTTTGTTTGAGACCAGCCTGGGCAACATAGTGAGACCCCATCTCTATTTTAAAAAAACTAAAAATAAAAACATATTAGCCAAGTGTGGTGGCACCCACCTGTAGTCCCAGTCCCTCCCTACTTGGGAGGCTGAGATGGGAGGATGGCTTGAGCTCAGGAGTTGGAGGCTGCAGAGACCTATGATTGCACACCTGCACTCCTGTCTGGGCGACAGACCAAGACCCTGTTTCCAAAAAAGCTGGGGGCAAAGAATATAAAGATTTTTGCCTTCCTAGACTACATTGGGAGGGGAGGGAGAAAACAAATAAATAGAAAAAATAATGAAAATGCTAAGTGATATGGTATGTCAGAAGTGCTATGGGGAAAAATAAAGCAAGGAAGAGGGATACGGAGAGCCAGGGAGTTGCAATTTTAAAATAAAGTCATTATAGGAGGCCTCATTGAGAAGGAGACATTTGAGCAAGAACTCAAAAGTGAGTGGTTTAGCCACGTGGAAAACAGAGGGAAGAGTGTTGCAGGTGTAGGGAACAGCAATGCAAAATCCTGAAGCAGCAGCATGTCTGGCCTGTGGAGGAACTGCAAGGAGGCCAGTGGGCGGAGTGGAGGGAACTAAGAAGGTGTAGCTGGAAATGAGATTGGACAGGTCACCTTGCCTAGCGTCTCATACAGGCCAGAACTTTGTCTTTTGCTCGAGTGAGATGGGCACCATTGCAGGATTTTGAGCAGAGAAGGACCATGATCAGGCTGGTTTTGAATGACTCTGGCTGCTATATTGAAAACATGAGGGGAGGGGCACCTGGGGTAGGCAATAGTGGAAACAGAGAGACCTGTTAAGAAGTTACCGCAGCAATCCAGGCCGGGCAGCAGTGGCTCACGCCTGTAATTCCAGCACTTTGGGAGGCTGAGGCCAGCATATCCCCTGAGCTCAGGAATCTGAGACCAGCCTGGCTAACATGGTGAAATCCTGTGTCCACTAAAAATACAAAAATTAGCTGGGCGTGGTGGTGCGTGCTTCTAGTCCCAGCTACTCCTGAGGTGGGAGAATCGCTCAAACCCAGGAGGCGGAGGTTCCAGTGGGCCGAGATCGCGCCACGCACTCTAGCCTGGGCGACAGAGCGAGACTATCTCAAAACAACCAACCAAAAACCCAAAATACAAACAACAACAACAAAAGGAGTTACTGCAACAATCCAGATGGAGAAACTGAGGCACGGAAAGATGAAATAGCAGAGTTAGTAGATAGCCCAGCGAGGATTTGAATCCAGATACTCTGACTCCAGCAGCCCCCTCTTGGCCGCTCCCCTCTGGTCCCTGGCCACCAGCAAGGACCCCGGTCTGCCCTGGGCCTAAGGCCTTTGTGGTTCCCTCCCTGCAGGAAGTGTAACCGAGGGCCGGGCGGCACCGGATATCGTGCACCAGGTTCGCGTGGACGCTGGGGGGTCCTTCCTGTCCTGTGAGCTGCGGCCCCGCGCACTGCGCAAGCGGGATGTATCTGTGCGCCGAGACGCGCCCGCCTTCTACCCGCTGCAATACCGCAGGCGCGAGCTGCGCTTCAACCTGACCGCCAATCAGCACCTGCTGGCGCCCGGCTTTGTGAGCGAGATGCCGCGGCGCGGCGCCCTGGGTCGCGCGCACATCCGGGCCCACACCCCCGCCTGCCACCTGCTTGGCGAGGTGCAGGACTCCGAGCTCGAGGGTGGCCTGGCGGCCATCAGCGCCTGCGACGGCCTGGTGAGTGAGCTGGGACATGTATACTTGGGGCAGTCTCGGGTGGTGGGATGTGGAGATTGGCTCTAGCCTTGCCACGCACTTGTCTGGTGGCTTTGCCCAGTGCACTTTTTCTCTGCCAGCCTCGGTATTCACGCCTGTAAAGTGGGAGTGACAACGCAGGCCTCGTTCATCTCTAGGACAACAGTTCTCAAAGTTTAATGTGAAAGCCGGGTGGTGGTGCACCTGTAGTCCCAGCTATTTGGGAGGCTGAGGCGAAAGGATCACTTGAGCCCAGGAGTTAAAGGATGTAGGACGTAGGGTGTGATCATGGCGCTTAGCTGGAGACACAGCGAGACCCCAGGCACTAAAAAAAAAAAAAAAAAAGAAAGAAAGAAAGAGAAAAGAAAAGAAAAGTTTAATATGAGCTCAAATCACCTGCAGGCCCTGTTTAAACAGAATTTTTGCAGGGTAGGTCTGGAATGGCGCCCAAACACTTGGATTTCTGAAAACGTCTCAGGTAATATTGAAGATGCAGGTCCAGAGATCCCATTTTGAGAACCTCTGTTTGACTGGACTAAGTAACTGAAAAAGCAGTTGACTTCTCTTCCTTGGGGCATCAGTTATGACTGTTCCTTCACAGGTCCCTTTAGGCTGCTTTTCTCCAGGAAAGCCACCCCTCACCCTGTAGCCATTCTGCAGGGTGTGGTGAGGAACCCCTTTCAGCCCCTCTGCTCGGATCAGAGCTCCGGGAAAAGCAGGCCTCAGCTTCCTGGTTTCGACTGGCTGAAGGGTGGTGCTGGCTACTGCAGCCCTAATTGCTCCCTGATTGGGTGCTGATTAGAGCAGCTTCCACTCCAGGCAGAGTAGGGCCCCTTTCTGTTCGTGTTCAGGTGACCAGCCCCACTCTCCCAGCTCTGGAGGGTGGGGGTTTGGGAGGAGTAGGGGATGTGTGCACACTCTCAGCGTCCACTGTTCCCAGGAGGCCCTCAGCTTAGATTGCTCAGGCAAAAACCATGGGCTGTGGCCGCACAGGGCCTAATGACAGGGCAGCCCACAACGCAAGCTGCACAACGTCTGGACCTTTGAAGGCCCATCTGCCCTGCACAGTATTCCCATTTATGGAGCCTGTGCCTGTCCCTTAATGTACAATTGATCTTGTTGAGCCTGTGCCACAGCTGTGCACATGGGGCATCATTCCCATTTCACAGATGAGGAAACAGGCTCAGAGGGGAACTTGCCCAGGCTCACCTAGTCATTCAGTGAGTGGTGGGCGGGAGGGGGGGACTTCGCATTCATACCCAGGTCTCCAGACCCAAGAGCTGATGCACTCTCCAGCCCTCCCTCCAGGCCCCCTGGTCCTGTGTGACTCAAGGGGCAGAATTGGTGCCTATGAGGGGAAGTCCGAGGGATGTAAAACCTTCTTTCCTGTTGGAGCCCTGAGCTTCCTCAGGAGGTAGTGGGCATCATAGATGCTTCCTGGGGCCCCTCCCCTCCCTGGACTCTGAATGTTGGCGGACATGTCCAAGACACTCCTGCCAGCTTCCCTTCTCTGGGCAGCCCTGGGCCCAGAGAACAGGGTGTCCTGGTGGCCGTGGGCATCTCCGCCACTCGGGTGTGGGTGTGGATGCTTTTGGAGTGATTCATTACCTTAGGGAGATAGAGGGAAGGTCAGAAGCCCTGGCCAGCTGGGAGGGAGCACAGTGCTGGAAATGGCTGGCCTGCAGAGAAGACGCAGAATAGCCTGGAGGCCTGGGCACAAGCTGCCCTGCTCAGGACAGCTGTCTGGGACTTTGGAAGACACCATTTTGTCAGATTTGGGTGCAGACCCGTTTTCCTCTCCTAATAGGGTGGGTGTGTGGGGCAGCATCCCCAGGGGCGGAGGCTTCTGAGCTCCGCTTTGAAGGTTTGGCTGTGTGTGAAATGGCAGAGAAGGGCTTTCCAGATGGAGGCTACAGAGTGAGCAAAGGCCCAGCAGGCGGAAAGTGCAGGGTGTCTGTGGGCAGTCACAGATGATGTGGGCAGTGGGGGCTCAGCTGAGCAGGATGGGCCTCTGGGACGTGCAGGAAGAGCAGCTGAGGGCCAGCCCTCCCTGTGTGACCCTGGTGCTTCTTCCCTAGAAAGGTGTGTTCCTGCTCTCCAACAAGGACTACTTCATTCAGCCCCTGGACGGTGCCCCAGCCTGGCCCAGCCATGCCCAGCCCCATGTGGTGTACAAGCATCCGGCCCCGGAGAGGCTGGCACAGCGGGGTGATTCCAGTGCTCCAAGTACCTGTGGGGTGCAAGGTATGCTCTTCTACTCCCAGTTCTCAGGCAGGTGCTAGGCCTGGGGACATGAAGGGGCCTTTCTAGAAGCCCCTCGTAACATGCCCATGCTCGGTGTCCCTTAGACCAGAGGATACAGACAGACAGACGGATACATCACTATAGCGTGTGCCCTTAATTGTGCCACAAGACTGTGTCCTCTGCCTTTCAGGCCTGTCCCAGTCAGTCCCCTAGACTGACCTCCCTCTCTCCATCTCACCTACTTCTCCCACCTTGGGGCTCAACCTCCCTCTTGCTCCCTCCCCACCAAGCCTATGGCACCTGGCTCTGCCAGCCATTCTCCCTCCAGTGTCCAGACCAGGTGAGCCATGCCCAGCTCCAACAGGGCCATTAGCCAGGAACCTCCCTCCCCATGCCACCCTGCTCCCACCCTAGAATAACTAACCTCTATTATTGGGACCTGGAGTGTGGTACCCAGTGCCTCCTCTGCAGAGCAGCAGTAGTGCCGGCCAGTCCAGGTGAAGAGCTGCCTGCTAAGGGTTGCTGGGATTTGGGGAATGCTTGGCTGGCATGCCAATCTCAGGCTGCCCACAGCTCTGGTACTCCATTTGCTGGAGCACATATCCACAGAGGCATGCTTCTTGGCCTCATTTTCCCCAGCTTCATAGATGTGCTTCCTCTTCTGATCTGGAGCAGCCTGGGTCAGGGGAGCAGGCTCAGTAGGGCAAGCTGGGCTGGGTCTTGGCCAGCCTCCCCAGGCTGGGGTTTAGAGGGTGGGGTCAGGGGTCAGTGTTGAGATGCACTAAGCCCCCAGGGTGGGAGGAAGTGACACGGGGAGATAGGGGCCCAGTAGCCAGCTTTGTCAAGCCCAGGAGTTCCCCTCCCATGGACACAGTACTTTACTGCGTTTATATCCACCATTTCATTTACCCTTTGAGGTCCCCCCATGAGGCAGATCAACTTATTCCTATTTTTAGTCAGGGAATCTCAAGATCAAAGAAAGAAAGTGGTCAGGCAGAGCCACACAGCACAGGTTTGGGGCAGAGCCAGGAGGGGAATTCAGGCCCCTCGCCTCTGATCCCTGTGTGGTTCCCAGTGCCCCAGAGAACTCGCTGAGGAGAAGCCCTGGAGACGTGTGCCCTGGGCCAGGATGGGCCAGAAGGATGGGGAACAGATGTTCCCTCAGGATCAGATGTTTATTTAAGACTGACTTGTTGAGAGCCATCGCTCTACCTGGGATAAGGTGATGGATGTGGAAGAGCATGATTCTGCATGTGGGGACTCTGTCTCATTGTAGCATTTCCCAAGGAATATTTCAGGGAGTGTGTTCCAAAGAATGCCAGTAGTGCACTGTGAAAAAAAAAGATGCTGCTGTTGAATAAGTTTGGCCACACAGGGTTAAAAAAAGTAAAACGGGCCAGGCATGGTGGTGCACACCTGTAGTCCCAGCTACTTGAGGGGCTGAGGTGGGAGGATTGCTTGAGCCCAGGAGGTCGAGGCTGCAGCGGCTGCAGTGAGCTGAGATCATGCAACTGCACTCCATATGGATGACAAAGTGAGACACTGTCTCGAAAAAAAAAAAAAAAAAAAAAAGGTAAAACAGACTTCGTTACTACAGGACTTCTCAGAGCCCTCAAAGTAAATATTCATTGAGAATCCCCAACAGAATAGGCAGGCAGCATTCCCCAAATTTAGGAAATAAGCAGGGGCTTTGAAGCAGTGAAACCTGGGTTCTGAGCCCAGCTTCACCCTCTCTTTGAGCTTCAGTTACTTCATTTGTAAAATGAGGATAATTGTGCCTACCTCAGAAGTAAGATTAAATGAGATAATGCATGCTAAGCCCCCAGCACAGGGACTGTACATGTTAGGCTCGATCAAGGTTGGCTGTGGCTATTTTTTTGGCTGCTGCAGTATCTGACCCACAGCCACCTTCAGGACAGCCTCATCTTTCTTTACCAACGCCACCTACAGACCCCAATTTATCAGTGTTCTCCCTGTGCTAGACTCAGATCTGAGTCCTAGAGCTTGGGTGGGTTTGTCCCAAGGATAGCAAGACAGGTCCCTTTTCACCCTATTTTCTTTTTTTTTTTTTTTTTTTTTGAGATGGAGTCTCACTCTGTCCCCCAGGTCGGAGTGCAGTGGCGTGATCTCAGCTCACTGCAACCTCCGCCTTCTGGTTCAAGCGATTTTCCTGCCTCAGCCTCCTGAGCAGCTGGGACTACAGGCGCATGCCACCACACTCAGCTAATTTTTTTGTATTTTTAGTAGAGATGGGGTTTCTCCATGTTAACCAGGCTGGTCTCGAGCTCCTGACCTCGTGATTTGCCCACCTCAGCCTCCCAAAGTGCCGAGATTACAGGTATGAGCCACCGTGCTCAGCCAGTTTCACCCCATTTTCACCCCCAATTCTGTTCTTACTCTCTGAGGCCACAAGCCCTTTTCGAGGGGCTCTTGTCACACTTTCAGCTCACCAGGAGCCTGTGGTTATCTGTAACCTCCAGATCTTACCTTCACAAACACTGCACACCTCTGGCATGCTCTCCAGACCTGCAGCAGAACAGGGCTGGGCTTCCCTGGATATCATTTATCCAGTTGAAACACCCCACATTGACCTTGGGCCATTAACCAATGTTACTTGGTTGAGTTGATCAGCCAATTAAGACCCTGCCTCCCTCCAACATCTCCCAATGCCTGTATTACCCCCATAGCTCCTGGGAGACAGTGAGGTTATATATGCTGAGGGAAGGCCTTTGTGGTGGCACTAAGCTGCCCCTAGCCCTGACTCAGAATATAGCTTGGGTCAGTCCTCAGGCAGGCAGAGCAGACCCTCAGGGGCTTCTGGTCCTCTGGAGCCACTTTGCTGGGGACTGATACCAAGCTTACCTGTCTGTGGTCTAGGAAAGATTTGTGGTCTGGGAAGGGGCGTCGGAGGCCTCTTGTCCTCTGTAGGTTCTGCTGCTGCCACATTGGGGCAGTGCGTGTGAGGTGTGGGGACACTCATGCATTGGTGCATGTGCATTGCCTATCCGCTGTGCAGCCTGTGTGCACCCGTGTGAGCGTCCCTGTGTGTGAGCACAGGTGTGCATTGCCCTGGGTGGGTGGGTGGCTTGGGGTGGGCATTGGCTGCTTGTATCCTTCATCCTGGTGACAGCCTGACCCCCTCATCTCTTGGGCAGGTGGCTGGCCTGTTTCACGACCCCAGCATTGGGAACCCCATCCACATGACCATTGTGCTCCTGGTCCTTCTGGAAGATGAGGAGGTGAGCGGTCATGTGGTCCCACGCTGCCTGGCAATGGCTTCGGCTGCCAGAGCCCTCCTGCCCCATGACCTGTGCTGCTCTGTATGGAAGGGCACAGTGAAGGCCTCCTTGGACTGGACTGTGTCCCCTGCCACTCCCTGGTTCCTGACTGACCCTCTCTCAGGTCCCAGGTCTCCTGCAGGAGGTTCCTACAGGAGGGGTGGTCAGGCCGGAAGCTGGACTGGTGCCTGCGGGCCTCCCACTGCCCTGCTGGGCCTCTGTCTCCTGCCTTTGTATGGGGGAGAATTGGGCCTGACCTTCTTGGAACTCAGGGGAGGCATGAGCAGTCACTCTCTCTGCCCCCAGGAGGACCTAAAGATCATGCACCATGCAGACAACACCCTGAAGAGCTTCTGCAAGTGGCAGAAAAGCATCAACATGAAGGGAGACGCCCACCCCCTGCAGCATGACACTGCCATCCTGCTCATCAGGTACTGCAGCTGCAGGAGGGTGGGAGCCTGCATCTCAGGGAGGTGCTTCCCAGCCCTAGGGAAGAAGCCCTGGTGGAGGAGGGGGCCGTGCTGTCAGGGAGCCCCATTTTGAGGAGAGTTTGCGCACCTTTGGCCCAAGGCTGGATTCTGTCCGCACTTAGGGAGGTCTTTTTATTTTGAAATAATTGTGGATTCTCACACTCTTGTCAAAAATAATAGAGAGAGGGCCTGTATAGCCTTCATCCATTTCCCCCGGTGGTAACATCTTGCATGACTACAGCACAGTATCCCAATCAGGAAACTGACACTGATACCATCCACAGACTTACTCAGGTCTCATCGGTTCCACATGTACTTCCCTGTGTGTGTGTGTGTGTGTGTGTGTGTGTGTGTGTGTATTCAGTTCTGTGCAGTTTCATCACTGTGGGTTCACCTACCCACCCCCACAGTCTAGATACAGATCTGTCCCATCAGAAGGATGTCTCGTGCTACCCGTTTATAGTCACAGCCACCTTCCTCCCTCCTCCCCTAACCTCCGGCAACTGCTGATCTGTCCAGAGGCAGTTATTTTCCCTCTGCTGGACTCTGGCAGCTTCTGTCAGTGCCCCTGCTGGATAGTAACCAAAATTATTCTGTGCAGGTCTGTGTTCCTGAGGGCCAAAGAGATGCCCAGTGGCTTGTGTGTGAATGAGAATACCTCCTTCCCAAGTGGCCACTGTGCTGGCCTCATGTCACAGAATGGTGGGAAGGACATCCTTTTCACTTGGGATCAACTGGGGGTGACCCTTCCCTGGCCTTAACTCAGGTGGGCCTGGCACTCGCTAGGTTAGCCTGAAGGCCGCTTCTCTGCCTGTGCAGGAAGGACCTGTGTGCAGCCATGAACTGGCCCTGTGAGACCCTGGGCTTGTCCCATGTGGTGGGCATGTGCCAGCTGCACCGTAGCTGCAACATCAAGGAGGACATGGGCCTGCCGCTGACCTTCACTGTGATGGCCCCTGCAAGCTCACTGGCCTCAAGAACAGTCTTGAGCACAGGTACCGTGCCTGCCCCTATTGCTACACTGAGAGTCGAGATTCACCCTCCCAGCCTGAGAGCACTGGGTATCCAGCCTGTGGGTCACAAAGTCCAGGGGAAAGGAAGCTCTCTGGAGAAGAAGCCCCGACTGTCTGGCCATGTGCTGCCCCTGCACTGTGCCCTCCCCACAACCAGGCTTCCCTGTTAAACAGGAGAGAGTCCTGCCTGGGCATCTCTGGGACTGGCCTGGAGGGAGTCTTATTTAAAGGGGAGTTGTGATGGGCTGGAAAGTCATTGTAGGTCTTTGGCTGTCCCTCCCCATTGCCCTCAGTGCTGTATTTTTTACTCTCGATCCCTGTCCCTGTTCCTGTTTGCTCTGTGGCCTGGGCCAGTGCCTGCCCTCTCTGGGCCTCTGTGTGCTTCCCATAGATTGAGGGGTTTGGATTCAGTGATGTCCAAGGCTCCCTCTATCTGACACCGCTGCCTAAGGCTCCTGTCTTCACAGGCCTCCAGCCACCTGTGCCCTGGCTGTTGAGCTGGCGAATATGGCAGCATCTTAGATTGTCTAGAAAGCCATCAAAGGCAGGCTCCCAGAGGGTTCTGTGGGTCAAAGCTGTTGGGGTCATCCATTCAGATGTCCGGGTTTTGTGGGTGATGGCCGTGCCTGCAGGACCTTGAAGCTGCTTATGGCTGCAGAAAGAACAGCCTGCCGCAGTACTACAATTTCCTGGCTGTGTTACCCTGGCTAGTTCCTTAGACTCTCTGAGCCTTCCTGAGGGTAATAATGAGAACTGAGTGAGACTGTGTTTCTGAAAGTGCTTAGCATGGCCCCGGCACATAGTAGATGCTCAGGAAATAATTTTTCTCATGTCCTTCCCAAGGATGGTCTCTGGAGACCTTTCTGTGATACAGCAGCTCAGATGCCTTAACTCAAGTGCACAGCCTTGGGACAAGGACCTGTGAGTGGGAACCGCTGTCAGACTGTTCTTGAGGCCAGTGAGCTTGCAGGGGCCATCACGGGCCCACATCTGTGCCACCTGATTTGCCATTGCTGGCCAGTCCCCGGGCTGGAGCAGGGCTGCTCTGGGTCCCTGGCCCTCATTTCAGGCTCAGGCCGGAGTAGGAGCCCTTGGGATACTAGCTGTCATACCCTCATTTTACATTAAAGAAACTGAGGCTCAGCGAGAGAATGTGACTTTCTCAAGGCTGTGGCCATTGAGTGGCACAACCAGCCCTGGGAACTAGGACTATGCACCTTGTGGTTCTCCAGGGTAGGGCAGGCTAGAAGCCTCCCGCCGGCTTACCCGCCCTTGGGGCCTGTGCTCTCACACAGTTTTGGCATTCAGCATGATGGAAGCAGCAATGACTGTGAACCCATTGGAAACAGCCTTTCATCATGTTTCCACAGCTCCCGTACGACGCCGCTCCCCTCACCTGGTCCTGCTGCAGCTGCCAGTACATCACCAGGTTCCTTGAGTAAGTCCCTCCCCCAGCCCTGAGCCCCTACGCCTTGATCCATGAGATCAAGGTCTAATGGGGGAGATGCAGACAGTCACACTGCAGGGTCGGGGTAGAGGGAAGCAGAGGGGCAAGGTCTCGATCCATGAGGTCAAGGTCTACTAGGAAAGATGCAGACAGTCATACTGCAGGGCCGTGGTAGAGGGAAGCAGAAGGGCAAGGTCTTGATCTGTGAGGTCAAGGTCTAATGGGGGAGATGCAGACAGTCATACTGCAGGGCCAGGGTAGAAGGAAGCAGAGGGGCATCTGGCAAAAATGTGCTGGCATCCCAAATGTCCTCCTGGAAGGGACACTTGAGCTTGAACTTGGAGAAGGAGTGAGAATTCACACATGTGCAGAAGGGAGAAGAATGGCGTTCCTGGTAGAGGAAGCCTGAGAAAGGCCTGCAGCGGTAAAGGAGTGGGAGAGCTTTCAGGGAACGGCAGAACCGTAAAGGAGTGGGAGAGCTTTCAGGGAACGGCAGAACCCTGAGCGAGGCTATGGGAGCCAAGGCTGCGTAGGAAATAAGGCTGGAGGAGGCGAGGGCCAGCCACAGTGTCCAGTGAGAGGCAGGAAGAAGGGGCCACTAAGGGAACTGAAATACAAAGCTTTCTCCTTTTTTTCATGTTCTCTTCACTTGTTCTGATGTTCTTGTTGTTGTTGTTTGTTTGTTTTTTGAGACAGAGTCTCACTCTATTGCCCAGGCTGGAGTGCCATGGTGCAATCTCGGCTCACTGCAACCTCTGCCTCCCAGGTTCAAGCGATTCTCCTGCCTCAGACTCCTGAGTAGCTGGAACTACAGGCATGTGCCACAATGCCTGGTTAATTTTTATATTTTTAGTAGAGACGGGGTTTTGTCATGTTGGCCAGACTGGTCTTGAACTCCTGACCTCAGGTGATCTGCCCACCTCGGCCTCCCAGAGTGCTGGAATTACAGGCGTGAGCCACCATGCCCAGCCTGTTCTGCTGGTTTTGTTTTGCTTTGTTTTGCTTTTTAATTTGCTATTTAATGTTGTTCTAAGTAAGAAAAAGTTTTACATTTAAATTATTAGCATAAATTTTACCATTCATCTTTATTTTGTGCAGTGCCAGTTTTAAATGCAAATGTAAGAGTACAGTTGACCCAGAACAACTTGGGGGTCAGGGGTGCTGACCTCTGTGCAACTGAAAATCCATGTATAACTTTGACTCGCCCAAAACTACTAATAGCCTACTGTTGACTGGAAGCCTTACTGATAACATAAACAGTTAATACATATTTTGTATGTTATATATAATATATACTATATTCTTACAATAAAGTAAGCTAGAGAAAAGCAAATGTTATTGAAATCATAAGGAAGAGGAAATACGTTCACTGTTAATTAAGTGGAAGTGGATCATCATAAAGATCTCCATCCTCATCCTCTTCATGTTGAGTACGCTGAGGAGGGAGGAGAAAGGCAGGGGGTGATCTTCTTGTCTTGGGGTGGCAGAGGTGGAAAAAAATCCACACATAAGTGGACCCCGTTGTTCAAAAGTCAGCTGTATTAACTTGTATGCAGGGTAACCAAAATTACACAATTCGTCTTTTGTAGCTGATATTTACTAGATGATGAGATAGAATAAAACTATCTCAATTGGTTTGATCTCACTCCTTGATATGTGCACATTCTACCCAGGCTCTCTACCTTTTCTTACCGATGAAGATGGAAAGACTGAAAGGAGAAGGAACTATGGGGTTCTCTTTCCTCCCATGTCTTCATTTTCTGCATAGCAGTTGGCTAATACAGGGGTGTTAACATGGGAGAGAAAGGATGATGGGGCTTCTTGGTCATTGTCTTCTTTCTGCATTTGAAGTAATGGTTCAAATGGAAAATGCAGCCTCTGGGCCTGTCAGTGCCCCCTGTCCCTTACTCAGTTGTTGACATAACATGTTTATCTTCTAATTGCTTTGAGTCTCACCGAACTCCTACACATTATAGATTCTGACATGGACCAAAGTAAATGTTAGATGCAAGTGGGGCAGCAAGGAATGGTGGACACAGACACTGCCTGTGTCTCCTCTGTTCAGACACAGGCTTCTTTGTCCCATCAGACCTTGCTTACTGGCCAGGCGCAGTGGCTCACGCCTGTAATCCCAGCACTTTGTGAGGCCGAGGTGGGTGGATCACCTGAGGTCAGGAGTTTTAGACCAGCCTGGCCAACATGGTGAAACCCCCTCTCTACTAAAAATATAAAAAATTAGCTGGGTGTGGTGGCGGATGCCTGTAATCCCAGCTACTCAGGAGCCTGAGGCAGGAGAATTGCTTGAACCCGGGAGGTGGAGGCTGCAGTGAGCCAAGATTGAGCTGCTGCACTCCAGCCTGGGCAACAAGAGCAAAAAAACTCTGTCTCAAAAAAAAAAAAAAAGAATAGAAGATGGCAACAGCAGAGCATTGCATACCTGCCCCACTTCTCCCCACCCTCCATTGCTTTTTGCTAGGCAAACACCTTCAAACTTAACACTTTTAGCTCTTTCTTGTGTTTACTTTCCTATTTCCGAAAAGCACTGCTAGACTCTCATTTATTGATTTTCCAGTTTAGATATTATCTAGAAGGTTGGGATTTAGCACCCTTGCATCACTTCCTATACGTACATTTGTCCCCTCACCTTTCATCCCAATTTAGTGTTAACATACTTGGATTAAGTCCATATTCTGCATTTTCATTATTATGGCTGTAAATCTTGATGGCTGAACTAAGTGTTGTAATAAGATGGCATTTCTTTTTTTTAATTTATTTTTTATTTTGAGAGTGTCTCATTCTGTTGCCCTGGCTGGAGTACAGTGGTGCAATCTCGGCTCATACTGCAGCCTCCACCTCCCAGGTTCAAGCTATTCTCATGCCTCAGCCTCCCAAGTAGCTGGGATTACAGGCACCTGCCACCACGCCCAGCATATGTTTGTATTTTTAGTAGAGGCGGGATTTCTGTGTTGGCCAGGTTGGTCTCAAACTCCTGACCTCAAGTGATTCGCCACCTTAGCCTCCCAAAGTGCTAGGATTACAGGCGTGAGCCACTGTGCCCCATCTAGACGGCATTTCTTTGTAAGAACAAGCTTTTATTTGCTTGGTTTTCATTGCTTCTCCAGGCCTTCCAGATCCTTTAACAGTTTTATAAGATGTCTCTTAATCCAGTTTTCCCAAAGGTAATCTCTACCAGATAATCCAGCCGTTCCCTTCTTTCCTGGACCCTCCTCCCAACTTCCCTCTGTCCTCCAGTTTAGACTGGATGCTTTCTATGCCTGCCCCAAAATATTCATGGAGGGTCCTGTTTCTCGGATCCCATGCTACTTTTTTTTATGGGCAGGTACCTTTTTTTTTTTAATTTGTTTTGGTGGAGCACATCCTCAAGTAGCTTTCTGAGAAAGAGCGCATGGAGGTAAATGGTTTGCCTGTCTCAAAGTGTCTTTATTCTTCCCTCACATCTGATTGATATTTTGATTTGATATCAACTTCTGGGTTGGAAGTGACTCTTCCTCAGAATGTTGAAGGCATTTTTCTGTTGTCTTCTAGTTTCCAACATTGCTCTGAAGAGGTCCCATACCATTTGGATTTGAATGTGACCTTTTAAAAAATCTGGAAGCTTTTAGGACTCTTTCTCTTTCTCTCTCTCTTTTTGGTGATTTTAAATTTTAAATATATGCCTTGGTCTATTTTAATTTGAGGGAGCACTCATTGGACTGTTTTAATCTAGAAACTTGTGCCCTTCAGTGATTGAACTGTTGGTGTATTATTGATTTGATAACTTTCTTACATTTTCTCTTTCTGGAACCCTTAATATTCAGCTATTCTCTCACTTTCTTATTTTTAAACATTTTACACTTCTTCATCTCTTTCTCTTTTCTTTTCTATCCTCCCTCTCTCCCTTCTCTCTCTTTCACTCCCTTCCTCTCTCCCTCCCTCCCTCCCTCCTTCCCTCCTCCCTCCCTCCCTCCCTCCCTCCCTCCCTTCCTTCCTTCCTTCCGTCCTTCCTTCCCTCCTTCCTTCCTTCCTTCCTTCCTTTTGAGTCTCGCTTTGTTGCCCAGGCTGGAGTGCAGTGCCACAATCATGGCTCACTGCAGCCTCGAGCTCCCAGGCACAAATGATCCTCCTGCCTCAGCATCCCAAGTAGCTGGGACTACAGGTGTATGCCACCACACTCAGCTAATTTTTTAATTTTTCTGTAGAGATGGGGTTTTGCCATGCTGCTTAGGCTGGACTTGAACTCCTGGAATCCTCTCTCAGTCTCCCATAGTTCTGGGATTACAAGCGTTAGCCACCGTGCCTAGCCATCTCTATTTTCTAGGAGGTATCTGACTCTACTTTACAATCCCTCTATTAAATTTTTGATTTTTTTCATTGTACTTTTAATTTCTTGAACTTTCTCACTCACTAAATACACATTGCGTGTCTCATATCTGAAATACTTGGGACCAGAAGTGTTTTAGATTTTGGATTTTTTTTTTTTATTATTTTGGAGTATTTCCATTATACTTACCAGTTCAGAATCCCCAGTCTGAAAGTCCAAAATCTGAAGTGCTCCAAAGAGAATTTCCTCTGAGCATCATGTTAGTGCCCAAAAGTTTTGGATTTTGGAGCATTTGGATTTTGGGATTGGAGATACTCAACCTGTGCACCTTTTGATCCTATTCCTGTTTTGTGGGTACAGTGTGTTCTCTTATCTCTGTGAGGTTATTACTTACACGGATTTGACTTTTTTCTTCTGTTCCCTGAAATGTTTTTATTTCCTTTGGGTTATTTAAAAAAATATATTTGTTTCATGTTAACAGTTTTCTTGGCCAGGCATGGTGGCTCACGCCTGTAATCCCAGCACTTTGGGAGGCCGAGGCAGGCAGATCTCTTGAGGTCAGGAGTTCGAGACCAGCCTGACCAACATGGTGAAATCCTGTCTCTACTAAAAAAAATACAAAAAATTAGCTGGGCATGGTGGCTCATGCCTGTAATTGCAGCTACTCAGGAGGCTGAGGCAGGAGAATCGCTTGAACCCGGGAGGGAAAGGCTGCAGTGAACCAAGATTCTGCCACTGTACTCCAGCCTGGGCAAAAGAGAGAGACTCTGTCTCAAAGAAAAGTTTTCTTAAAATGCATTGGCTGTATTTCATATATAGCAAGGAGATGCAGAGACACTAATTGGGCAGTTTGTGGACTTGGGCAGGACTTTTCCAAGTCACTGCTGAAGGACTGGTTCAGATGGGGCTATTTTGGGGAGATCCTCTAATGTCACTATCTGAGGTCATTTTTCTGAGTGATTCAGTTTCCTGAGAGGAATCCTCTCGACTTTTCCTGGGAGAGTGTATGTCTGGCTGCAGCATTCCAGCATCCAAGTGGGAAAGGGGCTTGGCGTGTTTCTTACCCTTCAATGTGTAGACTTTTGCTTGTCCCCTTTTCTCTGTAGGTCCTTCTGCCTTGGGCCTTCATGTGTGTCCACCGTTCCTGGGCCAGAGCCTCCTGGTTCACCCTCTCCAGGAAGTGATCCCTGGCCCTCTGCTGGGTGGCAGGTGGCCGTCACTTGGCTACTCAGGGTTGGGGAGGGGATCTAGGGTCTGATCGGTTCTTACAGACTTTCAGCCCTACTGTCTTCAGCCCTCCTGGCCGTAAGGCCCTGAGGAGTCCCTGCAAACTCAGTTCCTGAGCCTTTTCGGGCTTCTGCTTCTGGGTGGTTCCCCCCTGCAGGAATCTGACTCTCAGCTTTCATCACTCTAGCAAGTCAGCTACTGCCTGGCCATCTGCTTCCCAGCTTCCAGAATCTTGTTGACATCCTTCATTACTCATCATCACCCCTTATGGATTTATGCCTTGTTTATTTCCTCTACTGTCATTATAGTGGAGTCTTGGAAGGAAGCAGCGATAAATCTGTCTGCTCAATGTGCCATGTTTTTCTAGAAGTCCACTCACTGTGGGGCTTAAGCAGGGATGTGACCAGGTCCATTAGGGATGTAAGAGCAAGGATACTGGCCTCCAGTGGAAGAGGGATTACTGGGGTGGGGGGTGGGATTGGAAGCAGAGAAGAGTTTTGTTTGGTGGTTAAGAACCTAGACTGGCCTGTCCAAGAGGGTTGACCTGAAGAACTCTAAGAACCTTTCTGGGCTGACAGGTGCTTTATGGGACCTTGGGGAGAGGTCACAGCATTTCGCCAGTGTCAACTTGGACCTGGGTGGGGAGGAGGGGAGGCCCTGGTCCCTGGTTTCCTCAAAGCCAGCATTTCTACAGGGAGAGAGGCAGGCTAGGTAACATGTGGGGTCCTTCACTTCACCCCATGGACACCCCATGCAGTGACTCCATGACCAGATCCCAGGGGTGGCCAGGGGAGCGGGCCCACATGTCTCTCCTGTCAGTGGTGGGCAGCTCTTTGCAGTCTTGAGGTGAGAGTGAAGCTTCTGACTGGAGTCACCTACTGTCTGCTTTGACCTCTTGTGGGACTGCCCAGCCCTGCTATAGTTAGCTTAAGGAGGGGCGTGGAGGGGAAGGGCTGATGGTTTGGGGGATCCGGGTGTGTCGGCAGTGCAGAGAACCTGGCAGTCAGCCTGCCAGAGGAAGGAAGGGCTGGCTGACGGCCACCTTGAGTTTCTGACTCCCAAGACAGCACCTGGGCCTGATTCTGGCAGTGGATTCTGTGAGGGTCACCTTATGCTCCCAACTTCTCCCAACATCCAGGGTGGGCTGAGAGGTTGTTGCGGCTTCAGCTGCCCAGCAGCAGGCCTGCAGGAGCCACATGTGCAGCGAGTCAGCACTGGGGCAGCCAGGAAACAAAAGGGCTCGGCTGCAGCCCAGGGACTGTTGGTGCCGGGATGAGGCGCATTGGACCCCTCAGCCCCTGGGTCAGAGGACCCCCTGGCTGGGATGGGTGAGCCCCCAGTCTACCTCCTCGAGCCACGGAATGATGGCGGGAAGGAGGGAGCCCAGGGCCAGCTGACCCCACCACCCCCGGCTGACACTCTGCCCCGGGTGCAGGCCCAGGGAGGCTCAGGGAGCCCCAAGCCGCAGGAGAACTTGGGACACTCCTTTCTCCCTGCCAGGCCTCGCTGCCATGGTTTTGAACTTGTATGTGGGGTGAAGTATTTGAGGCCAGGCTCGCAGTTGAATGGGAGGAGCCCTGCACTGGGGGTAGCCCAGTGAGTAGACACAGCCTGGTGCAGGCAGCCTGGGCCTGGCTCCAGGTCCTGGCCATCACGTCCCTCTTGCGCGACCCGGGACAAGTGACGTATGGGCCCTGAGTGCATGAGGGAAGATGATGGTAGAGTCTGCCCAGGATGTTGTGAGGAGCAAATGAGAGGGTATGCCCCCAGCACCCTGGACCAGTCTGGCACGTGGTCATCTTGGGCACTAGGACTGCATCCAGCAGCTGCTCATCTGCCAACGCCCATGTTAGAGGATCTGTTTCCAGCCATGATGGGCAGTCTGAGTGATTCCAGGAGGATTCCAGGGTTCTCAGTAGAAGTCTGGTCACCTTGGCTTTCTTCTCTGCAGCTCTGGGCAGAGTCAGGGGCCTGTCACTGGCCAGGGGACTTAGGAGACCACACAGACCACCCACCCCACCCTGGGTCTCCCAGCTGCCAGGCCCCCTCCTCTGAAATCTGGGCTTCGGGATTCCATGGTCTGATCCACCCTCCTAGCCTCTCTCCACACCTGTCTTCAGCACTCTTGGCCCTGTTTCCTGACCCTTTCGTGTTCTCCCAGCCTCTCCACATCTCGGAGTGTCTCTTTCTCTCCCTGCTGGACTCCAGGATCCATCACCTTTGCCCTTCTTCCCTGTGCGACCCCCTGCCTGTCCCAATCAGGACTGTATGCTCATCCCAGCCATCTGGCCTGGCACCACCTACCCTGAGTCCACCCAGACTGGAGAACTGGAGGGATTTTGCCTCCCCATCTCCCCTGCCTGGCTAGAGGCCCCAGGTCCCATGGGTCCTGCCTCCTTCCATGCTTCTGCCCAAGTCGTGGCTGCCTGGGTCATCCCCAGCCCCGCATGTCTGCATGGCTCAATTCTCCCCAGCCACTGCTGCCCCGCAGAGGGCCCCAAACCTTCCTCCAGGACAGCAATGAGCTGTGGGTGGGCTGGTCAGCATGCCAGGGCACTCCTGCTGCTAAGCCGTTGTAGTGGCCGCCTAAGGTCCAGCAGGTACAGCAGGCTGGTCACTGGTCCCAGAAGCAGTAGCATGCCTGAGGGCTGTACAGAGTGAGGCAGGGGCAGAAGCAGGTGCCAGCTGGGCCTGGGCCGCCCTCCCCAGGGCCCCGGACTCCACGCTCGCTGCCTCGTGGTGGTCTGGGCAGCCTTGTCTTCGCCACACCGCAGCAGCAGGAGCGTGTGGTGGACACAGATGGCACCTGCTCGTGTCTGCCAGTTTCCCCGCCACCGCTGCCAGGGAATGCCAGCTGGAGGAAGGCAGGAGTAGATAGGGTATGACAGAGGCTGGAGGCCAGCCCTGTTGGGGAGTGGGGGAAACAGGGGACAGGCACGGATGCCCTAGGCTCTCTCCCAGGGGAGGGGCTGCTTTCCAGACCTTGCCCTTCCACAGATGACCCGAGGTCTCTGCCTGGGTGGGGCCGTCGGAGGCTCTGTTGTGTCAACTGTGATGTGATATTCTCCGGATCCTTGTCGGGCCTGGCTCCAGGGTCTGGGCTCAGACACGGAGGCTGCAGGGTCGGAGAGCAGGGCCACATGAAGGTTTGGCGGTCCAGGAGGCCTTCTGAGGGAAGGGCCCTGGCAGCGTGTGCAGAGGCCTGGGATTGGGGTTGGGGTTGTTTAGCCAGCTGGAGTGCCCAGGAGGTGAGATGAGATTGGCTGGGAGGGCCTGTGCTACTGGCTGCAGGTGGAGGATCGGCTGAGCCGAGCGGGGAGGCTGGAGTTTCCTACAGTTGTAGGGCTCTGTGCCCCCTCCCACCTCTCCTCCTCTCCTGGCCCCACCGAGGCTTCTCCGATGGGTCTCACAGGCTGCGCCCCCCTCCATCCTCCCGTCCCATCTCTAGCCATGGGTGGAGCCTGTGCCTGGATGACCCGCCTGCCAAGGACATCATTGACTTCCCATCAGTGCTGCCTGGGGTCCTCTATGATGTGAGCCACCAGTGCCACCTCCAGTATGGGGCCTACTCTGCCTTCTGCGAGGACATGGATGTGAGTGGGGCCGGTGTGGGTGTGGGGGTGTGGGGACCCGACAGGAGGGCTTAGGGGACAGCTTTCACCAGCCTGTGGATGCCAGCTTGGGAGCAACCTCGCCTGGGCTGGGCTACGCCCCTGAGTGACACTGTGAGACGTCAAGTGGCCTGTGGGAGAGGCCAGGGATGGGCGGCCACAGACCCAGCTCTGAATTCTGGGTCAACCATGGACCGACTGTGACCCCTCGGGCAAGTCCCTTCGCCTCTCTGGAGCTGGCTCATAAGAGGGAAAAGGAACCCCTGTGGGGAGGGTCTATTTATCCTGGCGAAGATCGCCTGAAGTGATCTTCTAACAGGAGTGTTTCCAGAGGAGGCGCTGGGCCGGGAGAGGTGTGGACAGCTGAGGACCACTCTGAGCAGTGCAGCCCCGGGCGCCCCACACCACCACGTGGTCTGGGGAGGAAGGTGGGAGCAGACACACAAGAAGGGACCTCTGGGGGTCTGTGGGCCCCTGCCATGTGGAGGGGTGCCCAGGGACCCTTGGGGACAGGGAGGGGGGCAGGGTGGGTGGCGGCACTGGGGAGGGGGTGAGGCTATGGCCCATGCCCTCCTCCTCGCAGAATGTCTGCCACACACTCTGGTGCTCTGTGGGGACCACCTGTCACTCCAAGCTGGATGCAGCCGTGGACGGCATCCGGTGTGGGGAGAATAAGGTAGGCGATGTTCCCAGTCCCGGCAGTGGATGTGTGAGAGGCCAGACCTCCTGCTGTGACCGGGCCCTGGAGTCAGCCCCGGCTCACAGAGAGCCCCATGCCCTCTGCAGCCCAAGCCCCCGTCTGCAAAGTGGAGGCATTGGGGCCAGGGCTTGATTCCATGATTCTCCAGGGTGTCTTCAGCTGAGTCAGCACGTGGGCTGTTTTACTCCCTGCTCAGCGCCTCCATGTGGCCTGGGTCACAGATGATTGTGATGATTGCGAGGGGGCCTCTCTCACCTTCCATCCTTCCCCTCTGTGCCTTTTGCAGCATTCTCACACACCTTGTTCTCACTAGGGTGAGGATGACTGATAGGCTTGGGGGTGGGGTGGCTCTACCTCCGTCTGTCTCGGTAGTGGTGTCTCAATGGGGAGTGCATACCTGTGGGCTTCCAGCCCGAGGCCATGGATGGTGGCTGGTCTGGCTGGAGCGCCTGGTCCATCTGCTCACGGAGCTGTGGCGTGGGCATACAGAGAGCCAAGCAGCAGTGCATGCAGCCTATGTGAGTGTGGGGCCCAGGGTGCCCTGGGCAATGGGACAGAGGGACCCAGGCAGTCAGCCGATTGCAGGAGCTTGGCTCTGTGCCAGCCCCTGGCTCTTAGAAGTGTCCTCATAATGGTCAGTCTGAGTGTCCAGGCCACCTTGAGTCACTTTCAAGGAGTGTTCTGAGGGCTGACAGGGTCCCCACTGCTGACCCCTTTGCAGAAAGGGGGACACTGAGGCCCAGAGACTGGAGAGACTCAGCAGAGGCCACGTGGCAAAGCAGCTGCTGGCTGGAAGGAGGCAGGAGAGGGCAGTGGGGAAGAGCATGGGCCCTGGACCTTAGATGGCTCAGGGTTCGAATCCCCTCTTCACCCCTTCTCTGGGCCTCCGTTTCCCCACCTGTATAATAGCAGTGCCCATCCAGTAAAGTTGTAGTCAGGGGCAAATGCAGTTTATGCAGGCCAGCCCCTCAGCCCTGCAGCTCATCTGTAGTGGGCACTCAGCAGGAGGGGCTTGGTGGCCTCAGAGGCACAACAAGGGCCTGAGATGAGATGGAGCAGCTGGGAGGATGGGACAGCACTGAAGGGGTGGCCTGAGGTGAGTGACTTCACCTCTCTGGATCTCTGTTTCCCCATCTAAATGGGGGGGCGCAGGGGGTGTGAAGATCTGGTGAGAAGCAGAGGCCAGTGGTACTGTAGACCGAGGCACTACCCGGCTGATCTTCACTTCAGGAGGCCACCCGGGGCAGGCATGGGGTTCACAGTCGGCCCCACCCAGGGCCCTGCGCTTACCCAAGACTGGCCTGTGCCCCTCCCTGCCTCCTGGCCTCCAGGTCTGAGCTGAGTGGAGGCCAGCGACCCTGGCCTAAATGTGGAGGATTTCAGGAGCTGTGCTCCATCATACCTTTCAGCTGGCTGGGGCCCTGGGCGCTTCCTTTAGACCCAGGCTGGGGGTACTGCCACCAGGAGGAAGGCTGAGGACTCAAGGGCTCGTTAGGATGCTGGTGTCATGGGCTGGAGACTCGGATTAGTCCCTCCAGCCAGTGCCAGTCATGCCTGCAGCTTGTCCCAGCTTCTCAACAGCCCTCTGCAGGGGCAGCCCCAACCCCACTTTATACATGAGGAAACTGAGGCCCAGAGGGTGGCCGAAGACTTGTCCACGATCACACAGCAGGTTGGGGGCAGAGCTCAGGCTTCCTGCTGCCACCTCCCCACAGGTCCCTACAGACAGGGAGGGTGTGTCTGGGCCACAGGGTGGGCAACCCAAGGGAGGGAAGCAGCGTGCACAAAGCTGGGCAGCAGGGATCTTGGGGTGTGGGTGCAGGAGGAAGCTGCTTGCTCTGGGCTGTGGCCATGCAGTAGCACTCACTGGGCCCTCACTGGGGTCCACCCCGGTTCTCCCCACAGGCCCAGATACAAAGGCAGATACTGTGTGGGTAAGCGGAAGCGCTTCCGCCTCTGCAACCTGCAGGCCTGCCCCGCTGGCCGCCCCTCCTTCCGCCACGTCCAGTGCAGCCACTTTGACGCTATGCTCTACGAGGGCCAGCTGCACACATGGGTGCCCATGGTCAATGACGGTGAGTGCTGCCTCCCATGGAAACATTGAGACTCAGAGGGCGGCGAGCGGGGTGTGGGTCCAAGGTTACCCTGTGATGCAAGCAGGAGACCCAGTCTCCACCCCAAGCCTGGGCCACTCCCACTGTCCCCTGGGGCTGCTGCTCGCCCCTAGCTCCCCAGTCTGCAGCCTTGCAGATAGCTACCAGCCCAGCCGGAGCCTCCAGCATGTTTGTGCTGCTTGGGAGCCTCCAGCCTGCCATGGATGTGTGTCACGGAGGGGTCTTCCTGGTGGCCTCCATACTCCCGCTCCAGCTGTTGCTGATGACTCTTCTACTTGGGCCCCCAGTGAACCCCTGTGAGCTGCACTGCCGGCCCGCGAATGAGTACTTTGCCAAGAAGCTGCGGGACGCCGTGGTTGATGGCACCCCCTGCTACCAGGTCCGAGCCAGCCGGGACCTCTGCATCAATGGCATCTGTAAGGTGTGCCTGGTTAGGAAGAGGCTCTCCCAGCACTGCCTGCCCCCAGCCCCACTGGCGGGCCCCAGGTTCTCTCCTGGTCCTCCTCGGGCCACCCTCCCCATGCTCTACCATTGGGCTTCCCAGCCCCTACCCTCTATGACCTCTAAGGCAAAGCCCCTACCACGCCTCCTGGCACTGGGGACCCCCCCCAGTCAGGCCTCGCCCCACTGCGTCTCCTTGGATGCCTGCACCAGCACCGCCCCAGCCAGGAAACCGGAGCCCAGGCAGTGGCTTGACCTCTTGCTGGCTGGCTGACCCCAGGCAGTGGCTTGACCTCTTGCTGGCTGGCTGACCCCAGGCAGTGGTTTGCTCCCTGATAGAGGGGTTAAATGAGGTGGCACAGGTGACATGAAGGGCTCTGAGCCCCGAAGAGTAGGCCTCAGTGTTTGGTAACAATTTATATTCTTATTTTTAATAACAACGATGGCCTCTCCTCTTTACCCATGTCTCCAGCCACCTACTTGTCCTTGCTTCTTGCCCTCTAAACCACTGGGGTATCAAGGCCTGGGCTCCGAGGAGGACCAGGAGGGAGGTGCCAACCCCCAGTGCCTTTGACGTTGAAATTCCCTGCACGCGCTGCTCAGGAGCCCGTGGCGTGTCAGATCCCCTGCCTGCCCGCAGGCTTTGCAGAACTCTTCCCTTCTCTTGTCTCTTGTGATGCTCATGACATGCCTTTAAGGGAGGGGTGGGTCTCCCTGTCTCACATCTGAGGAAACTGAGGCTCAGGGAGGTAGAGAAGTTCACCTGGGTCAGAGGCACAGCTGGGGTGGGGCAGGGCCAGAGAGAGGCCTCCCGACCCCCACTCCCAGCTTTCTTCTCCTGACCCTGGCTGGCCCCCGGGGCTGGGGCCACAGAGGGCTGGCCGCCAGCACCAGGGGCCTCCCCTCCTCGTGTGTTGCAGAACGTGGGGCTGTGACTTTGAGATTGACTCTGGCACTATGGAGGACCGCTGTGGCGTGTGCCACGGCAACGGCTCCACCTGCCACACCGTGAGTGGGACCTTCGAGGAGGCCGAGGGCCTGGGTATGGGGTGGGACCACTGTGGGGAGGGGTGTGCTCTTCACCTGGTGGCCCCTTCCCCATCTCCCCCGGGCCCCTGTCCTTGGCCTCGTGGCCCCCACCCAGCCTAGAGATGGCTAAGCAGGGAGGGCTTGCTGGGGTGGATTCTTGCAGGAGTCAGGGGACCCCTGGCCCACACGCAGAGACCTGTCCCCATGGGGAGTCTTCCTGTCCCAGAGACCCCAGGCAGGGCCACCCCGACTTGTGTGTGGCCCCTGGGCCTTTCAAAGAATGGTCGTCTCCTCCTGAATCTTCTGAGACCCCCAGCTCCATGCCCTCACCTCTGGTCTGTTTTGCACATGTTGCTGAAGTACTGACTGTGTGCTAGGTGATGAGGACATGCAGGTGAAGCGCTCAGTCCTGAAGGGGGACAGAACCTTCTGGTGTGATCAGTGCAGTGGAGGGAGGCCCAGAGGGCTGTGGGAGCACTGAGGAAGAAGGTCCTGGCCTGGGGAAGTCAGGGAAGGTTTCCTGCAGGAGGCGGAAGTTGAGCTGAATCATAAAACTCAGAAGAGATGGAAGGGGCATTCCAAATGGAGGAAAGAGCTTGCGCCAGAGCCCTGGAGGCAAGAAGGGAAGGCAGGGCCAGCTATGGGGCCTTGAGTGCCAGGCTGAGAAGCTTAGATTTCATCCCAGAGATGCAGTGCAGTGTGGTGGATAAAGCACTGGCCCTGGAGGCTGCTTATATTGCAGCAGGACGCTCATGCACGTTACTCTCCCTGTCTGCCTCACTTTGCTCATCTGTAAAATGGGGTTAACAATAGTACCATGCTATAGGGCCATTACCCATGAGCTTACACATGTGAAGTGCTGAGAGTAGTGCCCGGCACGTGATGGGTGTGATGGAAGTGAATGAATAAAAGCAGGCTGCGTGGGGATGAGGAGGGTGTCCCAGGAGAAAGGCCTGGGCACTTTGGTTTTTTTTAGAAAGAGAATGCCAGCCGGCCCTTAGAGTAGGGGATGGATCCAGCCTTATGATGAGACCAGTTTAGGTCCCCAAGAGAGGAGTGACGGGGCATGGCCACGGGGTCAGGATTTGTGGCACCTCCGCAAGGTTTTGGTGACCCATGACAGATCCGAGCAATTTGGGGAGCTCAGACTTTAAAGCTAATGGCGAAATCTTTGGCATCAGCAGGCGGAGGCAAGTGGGGAGAGATGTGAGGGGAGCAGGTGGGGATAAGCAAGCTTCTCACCCCAGGCACAACCCTTGCCTGACAGGGTATGTGGACGTGGGGCTGATCCCAGCCAGCACACGTGAGGTCCGCATCCAGGAGGTGGCTGAGGCTGCCAACTTCCTGGCACTGCAGAGCGAGGACCCGGAGAAGTACTTCCTCAATGGTGGCTGGACCATCCAGTAGAACGGGGACTACCAGGTGGCAGGGACCACCGTCACATACGCACGCAGGGGCAACTGGGAGAACCTCACGTCCCCGGGTCCCACCAAGGAGCCTGTCTGGATCCAGGTGCCTGCCTCCCGAGGCCCAGGCGTGGGGAGCAGAGGTGGAGTCCCCAGGCCCAGCACCTCCCATGGTAGGTCTCGTCCTGGAGGAGTGAGCCCTGGGTTAGTCACAGAGCCTGGCTCTGAGCCAGACCCTCCTGCTGAGGCCTCTACCTCGGTTTCCCCATCTTTAAGATGGCCCAACTGTGTAGCTGCAGTTCACAGAGGTGGCTGGGGTCAGCTCCTTTAAGACTGGGTGGATGGAGAAGACACCTCGTGCTCACGGGCCCCCGCCTGCCCACCCAGCTGCTGTTCCAGGAGAGCAACCCTGGGGTGCACTACGAGTACACCATCCACAGGGAGGCAGGTGGCCATGGCGAGGTCCCGCCGCCCGAGTTCTCCTGGCACTGTGGGCCCTGGACCAAGTGTACAGTCACCTGTGGCAGAGGTGAGAAGTGGGGCAGGCACAGCCCCGCCAGCAGGGGCTTCATCTCTGGACAGGGACACCGGCTTCAGCTCCCAGCTCACTGCTGGGCCACCATGGGTTTAGAAGTTTGCTTCTCTGAGCCTCAGTTCCCCATCTGTGAGATGAGGCTAGCAACCGCCCCATGTCCCAGGCCCACTGGGAGGGTAAATGGATGAGGCAGGTGGGTGCTGGCTCGCGGCGTGTGCTCAGTGTGCTGCAGCTCTTGGCGTTCTCCCTCCAGTGGACACAGCTCCCCCTTGATTTTGTCCTTGCTCAGCTCCGGCAGGTTTTGTGCCTGCATTTCTGCTGCGTCCCGGAGACCAGCCCAGGCCCCTCACCACATGACTTATTTCCCTGAACTATTTATGAAAAGTAGGGCAATTTCATTAACTCCGACTCTTCCTCCCCATATTTCCCTCAGTCTCCCCCCATGCTCCTCAGTCTCCCCTCTCTGTCTCTTTGTCTCCTCCCCACTGCTCCTCAGTCTCCCCTCTGCCCCTCCGTCTCCTCCCATACTCCTCAGTCTCCCCCCATGCCTCTCAGTCTCCCCCCATACCCCTCGGTCTGCCCCCATACCCCTCGGTCTCCCCCCAATATCCCTCAGTTTCCCTCCGGCCCTCCAGTACCCCCGCCACGCCCCTCAGTCTTCCTCCCCCGGCTCGGTCTCCCCCGCCATTCCTTGGTCTCCCCCCAGCCCCCCAGTCCCCCCCGATGCCCCTTGGTCTTCCTCCCCCTGCTCGGTCTGCCCTGCTGTTCCTCGATCTCCCCACACCTCAGTCTCCCCCTTTGTCTCTTAGTCCTCCCCTTTCCCCCTCAGTCTTCCCATCGTTGACACTCAGTATCCTCAGGGTCTCAGAATCGGGAATCTGATATACAGACGTTTGAGCATTCCTTCAAATGCTATTATGATGACAAAGTGAAAATGGAGAACTGGGCAGTTACCTTCCAAAGCTAGGAAACCCATTTTATCTAATACAGCTGTCTTTATTTTATTTTATTTTGTTTTATTTTATTTTATTTGAGATGGAGTCTCACTCTGTCGCCCAGGCTGGAGTGCAGTGGCGCGATCTTGGCTCACTGCAGCCTCCGCCTCCCAGGTTCCAGCAATTCTCCTTCCTCAGCCTCCCGAGTAGCTGGGATTTACAGGCACGCACCACCATGCCTGGCTAATTTTTTATTAGTGGTAGAGATGGGGTTTCACCATGTTGGCCAGGCTGGTCTTGAACTGCTGACCTCAGGTGATTCGCCCGCCTTGGCCTCCCATAGTGCTGGGATTACAGGCGTGAGCCACTGTGCCTGGCCTAATACAGGTGTCTTTAATTGGACAAACGTGAAAACCAACAAATACATTTGCAGCACTAGACATTTGGGGAATTGCCTTTCAGCAAATTGGCTGCTTCGCAGGTGGACCACTTAGGAGCGTCTGCAGAGGCAAGTGCCCTGTGGTGGCTGGAAGAGACAGGGGTTCTTTGTCTCAGGCAGGAAGTCCCAGGTGCACAGTCCAAGCTGGCGGGACCTGGAGCTGACTGGCCCTCAGCCACACCATCCTTGCCATAGCAGCCTCCCCTCCACTCCTGCTTGCCACAGATGGTGTCCTCCCTTCCAGGGCTCTTGCAGTGTTCTAGGCAAGAAGGAGAGAGGAAAGGGCTGACTCCCAGCGAGGGACTTGTGCCTTTTTCTCCTGAGCCAGGACTGTGTCCCAGACCCCCCTAGTTGCAAGGGAGCGGCAGTGGGGTGTGTTTTCAGCAGGTCCCACTGCTGCCTTGAACAAAATCAGACTCTGTTGGTGAGGAAAGAGGGGGATGGATGTGGGACTGGCAGCTCAGGGGAGGGACAACTTACTCTCGGGACCACGGGGCAGGGGGTGGAGCAGAGAAGGCAGAGCCACCAGCAGACGGGGTCCTGCAGCTGGGCCTCAACAGGCAGTATGGAAGTGAGTGTCCAAGGTGAGGAACGTGGCTGTGCAAAGTCCCCAGGTTGGACAGTGGCAGAGAATGTAAAGGACTGGAGCAGTGCCAAGGCTGGTGTGGGGATGGAGAGCAGGGGCTGTCCATTGATGCCCCATTTCTTGTCCAGACATTCTCTGATCCATTGGGAAGGGTGTGGATGGTGGGACCGTGTGTCAGTGGTCCCTGGACACACTGGGCCCTGAAGGCTCAGGCAGCGGCTCCTCTAGCCATGAGCTCTTCAGTGAGGCTGACTTCATCCTGCGCCACCTGGCCCCATGCCCTTCACCCGCCTCATCACCCAAGCCAATCCCAGGAAGGAGCAGAGGGAGCTGGTCTTTCATTCTCTTCCCAAGGCTGAAGCCCCAGACCCCGGTCACCCCTCACTCCAGCCTGGGCCACCCTGGACACTTATGGTCCTCCTCTTTGGGTCCCTGGATGTGGAAATAGGCCTCAGGTCACATTCAGTTTCCCTGAGGGGAAGGTGGCAGGAGCCACGGCTGGGTTTGCATGCTAGCAGCAGCTGGCATGGATCGAGCTCCTAGGATGTGCCGGGCACGGGCCGAGCCTGCACATGCAAGAACACATGCAGTCCTCCCTCCAGGACATGGAGGAGGCAGGATTGTTGCTCCCACTTCACAGAGGAGGACGCTGAGGTTCAGAGAGGCCAAATGAGCTGCCCAGGCATCTCAGCTAGGATGCAGAGGGTCTGGGCACCCAACCCACTAAACCTCCACACTCTGCCACCCCTCCAGGGGCAGTCAGAGGGGAAGCTACATAGGAGAGGGGGTGGGTGAGAACCAGGAGGACAGCAAGGAGGCGACGGTGGAGGTCTGCCTTCATCCTGACATGGGCAGTAAGGCATCCTGACATGGGCAGTAAGGCGCTGTTCTGGGAGGGTTCTGGCAGAGAGGGTGTCTTTGGGTCTTGGGCGGTGGGCACCTGGGTGCCAGTCCCAGGCTGAACGCCATGGCCCCTAGGTGTGCAGAGGCAGAGTGTGTACTGCTCGGAGCGGCAGGCAGGGCCCGTGGACGAGGAGCACTGTGACCCCCTGGGCCGGCCCGATGACTGCCAGAGGAAGTGCAGCCAGCAGCCCTGCCCTGCCAGGTGAGCCCGCCCCCATCCCCTACCAACTCCCCACCCCCAGGCATCCTGGGTCTGCCACAGGCCCCTACATCTGGGTCCCCAGAGGCCCCAGGGAGGAGCAGAGGGAGCTGGGCTTTCATTCTCTTCCCAAGGCTGAAGCCCCAACCCCCGGTCACCTCTCACCCCAGCCTGGGCCAGCCTGGACACCTATGGTCCTCCTCTTTGGGTCCCTGGATGTGGAAATAGGCCTCAGGTCATGCTCAGTTTCCCTGAGGGGAAGGTGGCAGGAGTGGAGGGGCTGTGCCTTGTCACCAGACTTTGAGGGCAGGACACTTACCTGAGCTTGGAGCTCTGGAGAATCATCCACTGGCTTCTGGCACTGCCCAAACCCCGAGGGCCTGGAAACCCAGCCTGGCCCTCCCTGCTGGTGAGCCTGTCAATGCCACCTGTCTGATGCCATACTGATGACACCTGTGTGCCCTCAGCAGGTGGTGGGCAGGTGAGTGGCAGCTGTGCTCCAGCTCCTGCGGGCCTGGGGGCCTCTCCTGCCAGGCTGTGCTCTGCATCCGCAGCGTGGGGCTGGATGAGCAGAGCGCCCTGAAGCCACCCGCCTGTGAACACCTTCCCCGGCCCCCTACTGAAACCCCTTGCAACCACCATGTGCCCTGTCCGGCCACGTAGGCTGTGGGGAACTGGTCTCAGGTGAGTGTGGGATGGGAAGGTGCCCGCCTCCAGCCCCACCCTTGGTCTTCAGCTACAGGGAGGCAGACAGCCTTCCTGGAGACCTTGTGGGTGGGAGGGAACCTGGGCATTCCAGGGTCCAGCCCCTGACTCTAAAGCCTCAGGGATCAGGAAGCCCCTGGCAAGCATGGCCACAGTCATGGCCTTGAGCTGGGAAGGGCCAGAGAGGGCTGGCTGGGGTCTCTGCCACTCTGACATCAGGCAGTGGACAGGTTACCCAGCCTTGCCCCAGCGTCCCCTGGCAGCCTGCCTCCCAGGCTAAGCCCCTCACCCTGGCTTCCCCTGCAGTGCTCAGTGACATATGAGGAAGGGACTCAGCACCGAAATGTCCTCTGCATCAGTGACACCGGTGTCCCCTGTGACGAGGCCCAGCAGCCAGCCAGCGAAGTCACCTGCTCTCTGCCACCCTGTTGGTGGCCCCTGGACACACTGGGCCCTGAAGGCTCAGGCAGCGGCTCCTCCAGCCACGAGCTCTTCAACGAGGCTGACTTCATCCCGCGCCACCTGGCCCCACGCCCTTCACCCGCCTCATCACCCAAGCCAGGCACCATGGGCAACGCCATTGAGGAGGAGGCTCCAAAGCTGGACCTGCCGGGGCCCGTGTTTGTGGACGACTTCTACTACGACTACAATTTCATCAGCTTCCACGAGGATCTGTCCTTACGGGCCCTCTGAGGAGCCCGATCTAGACCTGGCGGGGACAGGGGATCGGACGCCCCCACCACACAGCCGTCCTGCTGCGCCCTCCACGGGTAGCCCTGTGCCTGCCACAGAGCCTCCTGCAGCCAAGGAGGAAGGGGCAACGGGACCTTGGTCCCCGAGCCCTTGGCCTAGCCAGGCTGGCCGCTCCCCACCCCCACCCTCAGAGCAGACCCCTGGGAACCCTTTGATCAATTTCCTGCCTGAGGAAGACACCCCCATAGGGGCCCCAGATCTTGGGCTCCCCAGCCTGCCCTGGCCCAGGGTTTCCACTGATGGCCTGCAGACGCCTGCCGCCCCTGAGAGCCAAAATGATTTCCCAGTTGGCAAGGACAGCCAGAGCCAGCTGCCCTCTCCATGGCAGGACAGGACCAACGAGGTTTTCAAATGATGAGGGACCCAAGGGCTGCGGAGCACCCCACCTGCCCCCGAGACCCAGCCCCACGCTGCCCACTTTGTACCCGGTCAGCAGCACCCACTCCTCTCCTAGTCCTGACGTGGCGGAGCTGTGGACAGGAGGGACAGTAGCCTGGGAGTCAGCTCTGGAGGGTGGCCTGGGGCCTGTGGATAGTGAACTGTGGCCCACTGTTAGGGTGGCTTCTCTCCCTCCTCCTCCCATAGCCCCTTTGCCAGAGATGAAGGGCAAGGACAGTCCCCTGCAGCCGGGGACTCCCACCTTCCCAACCCCAGGACCAGGCTTATGGGACCTTCAGACTGTGGCAGTGTGGGGGACCTTCCTCCCCACAACCCTGACTGACCTCGGGCACACGCCTGAGCCTGCCCTGAACCCAGGACCCAAGGGTCAGCCTGAGTCCCTCAGCCCTGAGGTGCCCCTGAGCTCTAGGCTGCTGTCCATGCCAGCTTGGGACAGCCCCGCCAACAGCCACAGAGCCCCTGAGACCCAGCCACTGCCTCCCAGCCTGGCTGAAGCGGGGCCCCCCACGGACCCGTTGGTTGTCAGGAACGCCGGCTGACAAGTGGGAAACTGGAGCGAGGCAAGTGGTGTGGGCTGGGTGGGCAGGGAGTTTGCGCAGGACCTTGGTGACTATTTCCTCATCTGAAAATGAGCAGAGTGGGACGCAGGCGCCGTCTGTCTCGCCTTCCTTGGGGCGGGGGTTCCCAGGATTAGGGGAATGAGGGGACCTGGGGCCCATTCCTGGGCAGCACAGGGGGCCTCAGGGAAGGCAGGGGCAGGCACACTCTGGCAGCACAGCATGCCCCAGGATGGAGCTGGCTCAGACAGCTGTGCAGTGGGGAGGGTCCCTGTGTGGCCACCAGGCCCAGTCCTGCCCAGCAGGCAGCAGCTTCCCTGAGGCTCTGTCTGGCTCCTCCAGGCTGGACTCAGCCCACTGCTACCTGGCTCTGCCCTCAGTGGCTCCACCCTCCTTTGGCAGTGACCTGCAGACGTCTGAGCTGCATGAAAGAAGCTGGCTAGTGCCCCCTCCCTGGGTCCCCAGATGGTCACTGCAGGAGAAGCAAGCTTCTGTTCAGATTCCTAATTTTGGGGTGGGAAGGGGCAGGCTGAGGCCCACAGGGCTTGTTTTGCGCGGGGATAGGCAGCGATTTGGCTGCTGGTACCAGGACCCAGCCTTCCTTCCCTGGTGCCTCTGGGAAGCGACGAGGCTGGTCAGGATAGCTGGTCAGGGGTGCCCACAGGGTCTCCTCCCCCGAACCTCTGCACCAATGACACTGGCACACAGGCCCTTTGTCCCATGTGAGCAGGGACGGCTGGTTGCTGGGGGGATTTGACTTTTCATTCTCATGGTCTTCCTGGGAGGTGGGTGAAGGAGCCTATTTTGCAAATAAGGAAACTGAGGCCCAGAAGAGGGCCCCTGTCTTGCTGAGGTCTTGCTAGCCTAGGTGGGTAGTTTCCTGGCTGTGGAGGCCTGGCGAGGATGGGCTCTGCCTGGCTTTCACGGGTCTGTGCCCCGCAGTGCTCCACCACCTGTGGCCTGGGTGCCCTCTGGAGGCCGGTGTGCTGTAGCTCCAGCCGGGATGAGGACTGCGACCCCGCTGGCCGGCCCCAGCCTGCCCGCCGCTGCCACCTGTGGCCCTGTGCCACCTGGCACTCAGGCAACTGGAGTAAGGTGCATGAGGATGGAGCCAGGACAGGCATCCCCAGGGCATGGGATGGAGCCCTGGTTCCCCACGGCCTGTGTTCCGAGAGCGGCAGGGAAGGGGAGGGCTCCAGGCTGCATGTCTATGTGCCTGATCGCACCGGATTCCGAATCTCTTGGGAGTCATCTCATCTTTGTCTGGCTTGGCCTGTCTCCTTTCCTCTGTATCTTTGACCCCATCTGGACTTGTTCCTCCCTTTCTCTGTCTGTCCCAGCCCATGGCAGCCCCTGGCCATGCCACCTTTTGCCTGGGGCCTGCCAGCCTTGGCCTCTCGCTGGGGCTCTTCAGGGATTTGCCCCCGGCTGGGGCGTGGGTCTGATGCCTTTCCTGCCACACGCCTCACGGGGTCACGCCTGTGGGCCTGCACGTGGGGATGTGTCCACACAAGTCTCTCGGTCCCCAGTGCTCCCACAGCTGTGGCAGAGGTTCCTCAGTGTGGGACATGCAGCATGTGGACACATGGGACCTCTGGCCACTGTGGCCCTTCCATTGTCAGCCTGGACCTGCCAAGCTGCCTGTGCACTGGCCCTGCGGGGCCCAGCCCTGCCTCAGCTGGTACATGTCTTCCTGGAGGGAGGTGAGGCCTGGGCGTTGAGTTGGGGGGAGGGGACACCCTCAGACCCTGGCTGTGCCCTGACTCCTTCCCTGCCCACCCAGTGCTCCAAGGCCTGTGGCGGTGGTGAGCAGCAGCGTCTGGTGACCTGCCCAGAGCCAGACCTCTGCGAGGAGGCACTGAGACCCAACACCACCCGGCCCTGCAACACCCACCCCTGCACACAGTGGGTGGTGGGGCCCTGGGGCCAGGTGAGCCAGGCTGCGGGGGGGAGCAGGGAGCAAGTGCTTGGTAGCGCCTGGTCAGTCCTGGGTTGGGTGAAGGAGCTGTGGAGTGTGTGCTGTGAGCCAGGCTGTCTGTGGCCCCTGCACATGCAGCAGTCACTGGACAAAGCCCTGCCATGCTGGTGCTCACACCTGACAGGGAGAAACAGACAAGGAAAGGGCATGTGTGCTGTGATGTCAGGGAAGGCCTTCCGAGGAGGGGTCTGGGGTTGAGACCCGAGGGAGGAGTCAGTGATGCCAAGGACAGGGATCGAGGGGGGACAGCAGGTGTGAAGTCTGAGGCAGGAATGATGAGCTTGGGGAGATCAGGGAGCCCAGCAAAGGCCAGCGGCAGAAGGGGGCAGAAGAGGGGCCTCGTATGGGCAGGACACCTTCTGCTGGGCCTGTTTGGAACTGAGGGGTTCAGAAATCTCAGATTTGGGCCCTGAGCTGGGTCCGGGAGTCAGCTGGGCCAGCGTTTGAGTCTGTCCGACTGGCTGCTGAGTGACTCTGGGCAGGTTGCTTTGCTTTGCTGGGTCAGTTTTCTCATCTGTAAAATTGGGACGCTTTGGGAGAGGAGGGTCAGGAGGATTAAATGGAGGAACGCAACAAAGCACAGGGCCGGGCACAGCACGACACTGGCACAGACTCAGCACATGTTTAGGGCTTTCAGACCTGCACCTGTTAACAACAAAGCCTGGCGGGCTGGGCCCCGGCTGTGAAATTGTCTCCACCCCTCCTGCCCATGGGCTGCGGCAGGTCCTCTGCCCTGTCCCTCGGGCACAGCGGTGTCTCGCCCACATCTCTGCCCACTGCTGCATCAGGGCTCCATCCCGGGGCCCCTGCCCAGGCCTCTCAGTCATGTCCCGTGTGAGGGGCTCACTGCCCTGCCGCCCCAAGGGCTGTCCCATGGTTCTCATGCCCCTTCCCTCTGCAGCAGCCGATCCCACAAGTGAGAGTGGGGTTCCAGCACCAAGTGGGCTCTAGGAATGGGAACAGGTCCTCCAGGAGGCACTGAGAGGGCGGCTGGGAGCAAGGGCAGGCCAGTCAGGCACAGGGCGCAGGGACGGCTTCCCAGAGGAGGTGTCCCTGCCCCCACTGCTAGGGCTGGCCCTGGAGACACTCATTCCTCCCCTGCTCCCCCCAGTGCTCAGGCCCCTGTGGTGGTGGCATCCAGTGGTCACACACTGGTCAAGTGTGTCAACACCCAGACGGGGCTACCCGAGGAAGACAGTGACCAGTGTGGCCACGAGGCCTGGCCTTGTGAGCTCCCGGCTGTGTGGCACCGAGGATTGTGAGCCCGTCGAGCCTCCCCGTGAGTCCCCCGACCCCAAGCTCTCTGCTGAAGTGAGGTGGGGCGGGAAGGGTGATGGGGAAATTGGGTCTTCAAACCATTGCACCCACGGCACCGGCTGGCTCCATCTGTAGTCTGGGCTCAGGAGCCACTGAAAATCCTGATGCCACAGGATCCCATGCTGGAGGCTTGGCTGTGCTGGGAGTCAGTCAAGAGAAGTCCCAGCTACACAACATCCTGCAGGCAGCTTTCTGACCTCCAGTGAGTAGAGAGAGTGGCCTTGGCCCCTGATTTGCTGTGTGAACCTGGGTAAGCTCTTTCCCCTCTGGGTCTCAGTCTTCCCATAGTGAGACCAGGGATGTCCCTGAAGCTGTGTGAAAACTGGGCCTGGGTGAGTCCCTGTCCCCTCCCCAGCCCTAGCCTGTCCATTCCCTGGCCAGAGGACTGCCTAGAGTGAGCAATGGAACCACAGGAAGGGCCTCCCTTCCAGGGTCCTGCTAATCCCAGTGGTGGGGGGTTTCCTGGCCAGCTGGGTCCTGGTGGAAGGGCCTGAGCTAGAGGTGGTTCTGGATATCCCAACCCCCCACCTCCAACACACACACACACACACTCACACACTTCCTGCAGCCCCAGCTGCTCTCAGCAGTGCTGAGGGCAGGAAATGGGGTGGCCCTGGAGTGTCACCTGGGCTCCCCTCACCAGCTGTGTGGCCTTGGGCTCCATTTCCCTCTCAGGGCCTTCATGTGCTGAATAAAGGGGCTGCCAAGCCCCATCCTTGCATAAGTGAGGTCTGGGCATGAAGGGCACAGCACTGCGTGGGGATCCAGGTGGTGCTCAGGGAAGGCGGCTTTTTCCCCTCCCGCAAAGCCACTGTCATCCCCCATTGCAAGGTCAGGGAGAGGGCCTGGGGCTGACCCTGCCAGTCTAAGGAATCCAGGAGCTGTGGCCTGAAGAGCTGCGGCCCCTGTGCTATTGGCTGTCTGCCCCCTGACCCTAGGACAGAGTCCTCAGCCACGGCCCTCAAACTGGCATTCGGGGCCCCCTGCAGTCTCCCCAGTCTGCCTTCTCCCCTTATCCAATGCGCCTTCTCTACCTGCGCTGGCTCCTGGGCAGCCCTCATTTGGGCTCAGAGTGGCCCCTGCCATGCCTCGCTGCCATGCCTTGCTACCCTGCCTCTGGCAGGGGTGGCCTTCCTGCCACAAACCCCATTACCTCAAGGCCAAGTGGCAGTGCCCCCACCCTGTCCTGCCTGCCCTCAGCACGCACCCAGCCAGCATCTCAGAGCACTCCTGTGTGCTGCCTGAGCTGGGTGCTGGCATCACATCTCTCGCCTTCATGGCTAGAGCTGGCCACAGGGAGTGGGGTGGTTATGATCCCAGGGGATGAGGACCAGATGGAGCAGAGAACAGGAACTGAGGCCCCTGGGGGCCTAGAACCAAGGACAGATGGCCCAGGAGGCTCTGGGCTTGTAAGGTCTCCCAGGGGCGGGTATGAGTGGGCTGCAGGGAGTGGGCTATGGGGGCTGGTTAGGTGGCTGAACTAGAAGCTGTCCTAAGTGAGGAGTTTTCTGCCACCAGTGAACAGTGGAGGGGCAGCTGGGAAGGTGTCTTGGACTTTGAGACCTGGAATTCCCAGGATGTTTTGCTGGTCTGTGGGACAGTTGGCGGGACGGGGGAAAGCCAGGAAACTCCAGAGTGTGCGGTCGCTGCAGTGACACAGCATGGCCACATCCATTTGCTGTGGAGGTGGGGTTGACAGAGGAGGGAACCAAGGCCCAAGAGGTGAAGCAGCTTGTCTGAGGTCACCCCGGGCGACCAGGATGCAGGCCTGCAGATGTGCACTTTGGAGCTCTGCCTGGAGCTGGGGTGGAGGAGCCTGCCTGCTGCCTCGTGCCCTCTGCCGGGCCTGAGGGATGTCCCTGGCACAGGGCTGGCTGCTGTCCTCCTGCTCTTCCTCCCCAGGGAGGTCTGCTGGAGTAAGCAGGGCCCAGGCGGCAGGTGGGGGCTGTCAGCAGTGGCAGTGGCATCAGGAGCAAGGCCAGGAGGCTGGAAACAAGCCACTTCCCAAAATAGCTCTGATAACCACGGGGCAGGAGGGCCCAGCCAAGCCTCAGCCCTGACAACCACAGCCTGCAGCCGGCCTCCCTCCCCACTGGGCCTGGGCTTAGTCCCTGGTTTCCGCTGACAGCCTGTAGGGCCCACTCTCTCTAGGCTTCGTGGCCCACCTGGGAAATGGGAGGCTGGCCTGGGAGATGCGACCTGTGACTCAGAACCCGAGGCTGAGTACAGCCCCTGTGGCTGGAGGTGGTCACGGAGGCCTGGCAGGACAGATGCACTGGGGCAGGGGGCGGTGGCGGGAGTCGGGGGCAGAGGCCACTGCAGGCTGGCAGGAGGCCCCGGGACCGCAGTTCTGTGCCAGGATCTGTCGGGGAACACCAGGGGTGAGCAAGGATGGAGATGGGGTGGCAAGGCGTCGCCCTGGGCAGGCTCTTTAACAGGCATGTGAGGGGGTCAGGGTGCGGTCTCAGGACCTTTCCTCCAGAAACCTCAGCCCAGCAGCGCCCGTTCTCGAGTCCTGGGGTCGGCCGTGAGTAGGTGGGACAGAGACACCAACAGTTGGAGACCTGCAAGTCCAGTTTGGGAGCCGCTCCAGAAACTGGGGCTCTCTGCTTGGTGGGGAGCTGCTGGAGCCTCCTTGAGGTGGTTGGGGTGGGGAGCCAGGTTCTGGGTACCCCAAACCACTGGTTCTGATGCCTCTCTGCCCCCCCACTCCAGGCTGTGAGCGGGACCGCCTGTCCTTCGGGTTCTGTGAGACACTGCGCCTACTGGGCCGCTGCCAGCTGCCCACCGTCTGCACCCAGTGCTGCCGCTCGTGCTCTCCGCCCAGCCACGGCTCCCCCTCCCGAGGCCATCAGCGGGTCACCCGCCACTGACGGTGCCAGGATGCACAGACCGACCGACAGACCTCAGTGCCCACCACGGGCTGTGGCGGAGCTCCCGCCCCCTACGCCCTAATGGTGCTAACCCCCTCTCACTACCCAGCGGCAGGCTGGGGAGCTCCTCCCCCTCGAAAAAGGTATTTTTTTATTCTAACAGTTTGTGTAACATTTATTATGATTTTACATAAATGAGCATCTACCATACTAAAGCACAGTGTGACTTCATCTTGGATTTGGGGAATCTTAAAAGTGAGAAACTCTTCCCCCGACCCCTCTGCCCAAAACTCCACCGCTGCAGCACCTCGGCAGGCGCGGCTTTTCACCTGCTCCTCTGGGGCAGATCTGCAGGGGGCAGCGTAGCAAACGAGTCCCTGAGAGCATGGCATCTGGTGAGGCACGGAAGGCCTCGGAAGCCAGAGGGCTGCTGCCCAGGGAGGCCTGTCTGCAGAGGGTGGGGTTCTGGGGGCAGGAAGGTCTTCTGGGCAGGGGCACAGCTTGGCCCTTACTTGCTGCCTGCCTTCAGCTCAGGCTCCCAGCCTTCCCTGGGGCCCCACTCTGTGGTCCTCAGAGACCTGTTCCACAGGGATTGAGCCCACCTTGTCACTTGCAGGGACTGCCCCCTGGAGTGGTGGGGACTGGGGCCCCCATGGGCACCTCCCTGGCTCTGTCTGTTCTATCTGTTGACTCTTCTGCAAAAAGCGGGCAGAGAGGGGAAGAGCAGGCTGGCCAATTTTGCCCTACTGTGTCCCCACGTGTCCCTTCATCTCTGTGCCCAGAGATAGGGCTGGGCTAATTGCCACTGCCTTGGGTTGGCCCCTTTCCCACCACCAGCCCAAGCAACAGGTTCCTACCATGCTGATCTATGGTCCAGCACCTGGCACCTGCCTACCCACAGCCCCTTCCCCTCCCATAAAATCTAGTCCCATGGAGCCAGACAGTAGTGCCCACAGCAGGGAACAGATGGGCATGAAGGTGCTTTGAAGAGGGTCCTGGCCTGACCAGGGGCGGGAGGCTGGAGAAGGGGCGGACACTGTCCTCCCAGGCCCAGGCCCAGCCCTGGATCCGACCCTGGCCTCTGGCTGTGAGCCTTAGACTCAGCCGTTGACAATTTCCTCCTCAGCCCTCCCCCTGGAAGGTGTTACGCCCCTTCTACAGGTGGGGGACACTAAGGTTCAGAGAGGCCACCCTGCAGCCTACAGGGGTCACCTCTCACATTCTACTCTCCAGCGTATGACAACCCTGGACGAAAGGCAAATGTAGCCCTGGAGCCTGCATGTGGCAGCCGCGGCCACTCAGGGCTGGGTGTATGCTGGGGATGGAGAGGACACCACTGAAAATCACTCCTGGCTGGGCGCGGTGGCTCACACCTGTAATCCCAGCACTTTGGGAGGCTGAGGTGGGCGGATCACCTAAGGTCAGGAGTTTGAAACCAGCCTGGCCAATGTGGTGAAACCCCATCTCTACTAAAAATACAAAAATTAGCCGGGTGCAGTGGTGGGCACCTGTAATCCCAGCTACTTGGGAGGCTGAGGAAGAAGAATCGCTTGAACCTGGGAGGCAGAGGTTGCAGTGAACTGAGATCACGCCTTTGCACTCCAGCCTAGGCGACAGAGGGAGGAGACTGTGTCTCAAAGAAAAGAAAAGAAAAGAAAAAAAATTACTCCTTAGGGACTGAGACCAAGAAAGAGCATCAGAGGCTGAACCCCTTGGTGAAGAGCGTCTGTCCCAGGACTTGGAAGGGAGGGAGGGGAATGTGGCCAGGGGGGCTGCCTGCAGGTGTCTGTCCTGCTGCTCCTCAAATCAACATGCTCACCTCATTTCACACCAACACGCCCCATTCTCAGAGGAGGAGCCCAAGGCCCTAAGAGGAAGTAACTGGCCCAAGGACACATGCCCTAGTGACACAGGCCCATCCTAGGCGCCGACTGCCCACCTCCAAGTTCCAGGCCACTCTGAGCAGGTGAAAGAGGGAGAGGGCCCCAAGCAGGCCCCAGCTATGGCTTTGCACAGAGAGGGCAGCCTGCCAGAGTTCACGCAGGAAAGCAAGTTGCTGGGAAGGCTAGCGTGAGTCCCAGCCCCGCTGTGCTGACCGAGGGTGGAGGAGCGTCAGACGTGCTTCCTGTCTGTCTGCAGCAGCCAGGCTGGCCCAGCAAGACCTGGGGACCCACGCTCTGAGTCATGGGTTCCCAGGCCTTAGTCAGAACTGCCCCTGGTGGCAGTCCCTTCCAAGGGGTAAGGAGCAGGGCCTGTCGACTTGCTCCTGACCCACACACTGAACCAGTCCCTAGGAACATCATCCTGGGCATGCCATACCTGTCGTGCAGTCTCAGTCATGCTGCCAGGGCAGGTATCCAGCTCCCAGCCTGGGAGTGCTGAGAGCCAAATCCACTGCAAAGCAGGGCTGATAGTCAGGGCCCCACCTCATCTATCTGTCGGCAATCCAGTGGTATCTAGGTGAGAGTCCCATACACACGGTCATCCCACAACACACTCCACACTCCACAGGCCAGGCGGGGACACACAGCCCCCTTCCCTCCCTCCCAGGTACCACCATAGCTGCTAGTGTGTGACCGAAGGCAGGGTCCCTGGCCCCCGCTGAATCACTATCGCCGACCAGCAGGCTCACACACCTTGGCCTGTTGCTCCTAGGGGTCGCCTGTGCTATTCAGCCAAGGGGACCACAGTGCCTGCTGGCCCAGCTGAGCTCCGCCTAGCGAGCCCACCTGCCTCTCCTGCCATGGACTCTCCCTCTTCTGCTTTTCCCAGCAGGAAGGGCCCAGCCTCACCTATGCAACCTGCAGCCCCACGCCCGCCAACCAGTTGAGGCTCCCCTCTTAGACTTATAAGTCTATGGCCAGTGGCATCCAGCTACCTGCCCTCCCTGCCTTCCCCAGGGTCCCTTCAGAGGACCCTGGGATTTTGGACCACCCAGAGGGGCCTCTGGCACTCACTCCAGTCATCCATCCCTTATAGCTTCACCATTTTTGGTTCAAGCAGTGTTCCCTTTCTATCAGGCCTGGTGGCTGTTGGGTGGGGCTCCCCAAGCAAGAGGTGGCCCTGGGCCGTGAGTTGGAAGACAGGGTGACCAGAGAAGAGAGAAGCCCGAGGGGGCTGAGCATTCATCTGAACTATGGGTGGACTGCCTGGGTGCCATGAAAGAGGCCAGCGTGTGTGGGGTGGGGAGGGCCGCCGCAGTCCCCAGGCACTACCTATGAAGCTCCGGCTTCTCCCTCCATCTTCCTCCCCTTTCTCTTCCAGCCCCTCTTTTCCAGGAACCTTGCCATGCCCACACCTACGCCCTCCCCTCCCCGGCCCTCCACAGCTGCTGCAGCGCACCCATACTCTGCACTTGCCTCACCAGCTCTGGCTTTTCTCTAACCCGTTTTCTCTCTGCTTTCTCTCCAACTGCCAGCTGATTGGGTCAGGCAAGTCCATCCCATCCGGGGAGCCCCAGGCCCCACTTCGACCTCTAAACAGATTCCTCCTCTTCTCAGAGACCTCCCTTTCCAAGCCTGCCTGGGTGGGTGTCCTGTGACTTGACAGTGGCTCCCCCAGCCCCAAAGCCAGCCCCCTTCTTCTGTGACTTAGTCTGTTGTAGTGGTGAGCTGACACATCCAGGTGTGACCGTTGCTGAAAACTTGTGCCCCCTCTGTGGTATGCCCCTGCCCTGTTCTATAAATAGCTATAAATTATCATATATATACACATACACAAACTCACACACACACACACATATATATATATACACATATACATGTGGTCGACTGCCTCGCCTCTAGCACTGGGAATCAGTCCCCGTGCTGTGCTTGTGGAGTCTTGTAGCCCAGCAAGAGGAAGCTGTCTCCTGACATCGCCCCTCCAAAGTGCACCACCTCCAGTGAGCTTCCGGGACATGCGCGGCCTATGGACAGCCAGCCCCCGCCATCCCTCCCGCCCTTCTGGCCAAGCATGGCGGTGCTGTGCAGGCAGCTGTGTGGCCTGACAGTCTCTACCAGTCCTGCTGTCCCTCGGCTGAGAAACCCATTTCTGAATGACAGAGAATGTGTCCTCTGCTGGCTGTGTTCTCTATGGAGCTCAGGGGAGGGAAGAGGCCAAGCCATTTTTAGGGTGCTGTTGGCAGCAGTGAAAAGGTCACACCCTTTTCAAGGGACACTTTTCCTGGAAAGTCCCTGGAGCTTAGCTGGCTCTTATTCTGTGAAGCCGGCTCTGGCCAGTAGGGCACAGGGCCCTGAACTCAGCCTGGAAGGAGCCTGTGGGGCAGCCGGCACTCTGGAGGGACAGACAGGCCACCCGGTGCAGACAGGAGAGGGAGGCAGGGGGACGGAATGGAAGATACGTGGGGTGGATGGAAGTCAGTGCCCTTGGGCACTGGTATCTGTCTTCCTGACCACAGCTAGATCAGGCTTCTCAACCTGTTGGCTCTCAGGGCCGGACTATACTCCAGAGGCGCCATGGCAGTCCTCGTGAAATCCACCAGGTATCACCAGGCAGCATACAGGTAACAGGCCTGGAAGATTCCCCACAGCCCAGCTGGACATGCTGAGACACTCTGGGGCTCCTCATTGAGTGGGAAAAACTGCAGGACCCAGTGAGGGAAACAGGAACATGCCAGGCCGAGCAGTATGGCTAAATCCATTTATTCCAAAATCAAAAGCGAACCAAAACAAAAACAAAAAAACAAAACAAAACAAAAAAGGGGTCCCATCACCAGGGAGCCATGACGCCATCCCCACCCCCATCATCGCTCCTATGCTAACAACGAATAAGTTTCCCAGCCGTGAATAATTATAAGAACCTCTTCCTCATATGCCAGCTGCAACCTCCGCTAGGTACAATACAGAATGTTACACAGCTACAGTATGTACACGGGGGAAGGGGGGCCACCCCCAGCAGCCTGTGCCCTGGCCTGGTCTACAGTTAACTCCACTGTCCCGCCTCAGCTGCCTCTCTGAGTAAGAAGATGGGAGCCCCCTTGAGGGAAAAGTTGCTTTGGTGAGAGTAAGAAGGCCGTCAGACCTCCTCCAAACAAACCAACTCCACCAACCTCTGGCTCTTAAATAACATCATCATCCAGAAATGTAAGGACTCAGCCTTGGTCAAGGTGGTAAAGGGTCTGTTTGTCTCCCTCCATTAGACAAGGGTCTTGTCTTGCTACCCTAATGGTAAAGGGCTGACTGGGGAGGGGTTGTAGGGACATGGTGGGGGTGAAGACTCCAGACCCACTTCTCCAGGCTTATGCTGACAGGGGCCTGCTTTTATTTATTTTTATTTTTATCCCATGATGTTTTTTTAAATCCCGTAACTTCTTTTTCAGAACTTTTTAAAAAAACTTTTCATAAAACTTTTTTTTTTTACTTTTTTCCCACATCTTTTTTTGCCACAACTTTTCCACAGTATTTTTTATCCCGTAACTTTTTCATCCCACAACTTTAATTCCTGTAATTTTTTAGTTTGTGTTCTTTTAATAAACACACTTACATGGTTACAATTTTGTAAGAATAAAAACCGATTATCTCATGCCAAGCATGCCCAGCATTTGCACAGTCTCAATACCTTTAATACTATAGTTTTCAAGACACACAAAATTTTTAGGCAAAACAGCACCTTGAAACAATCTAATAATTTATTACATTACAGTAGCATCACAGAAGCAGTCAATAATGCCACTTTAGACAAAAATCAGTATTTCCATCATGCATTCTGTGTATAAGAATTCATAAATCGGTAAAAGTCGTTCTAAGAAAACTTGGCAAATACAGCTTTGGACTGGAATTGGCATTTCTTTCTCTACTTTTCCTTCCCCTAGATTCTTTGTTTTAAGCTACAGTATTCGTATTTTAAAATGTTTTAAATTATTTTAAGACATTAATTTAACAGTTACATTTTTGAATAGTTATTTGAAAGTGACTGTAAGATAAAGTTTTAGAGAATCTATTTTGGATAGGGTTGATTTACATTTTCACATTTTCTAAAAATCAGCTTTGGTTTTAGAACTGATTGTTTTTCATTTCAGGAAAACCTATCAGGTTTAATCTATTACTTTAAAAATAATTATCATATATTGCAGTCTTTAAATAGGTATTTTGATTCTTTACTTCCTACAGAAATTCAAATTTATTCAGTCAAACTCACATTTTAAAATTCTCTCTTTCTGCTGAACTCTAACCTTCTAATATTGCCTTCTAAGCAAATTGAAAGCTGCCTTATACTGAATGAGGAAGAGAACAAATACTTGGCTGAATGAGGTACTGCAAGAGACTGCATGCACTTTGAAGAAAGACTTGAGTTATTGTCATAGGATTTCCATTCTCTTTAGCTTTTTCTTAAACATATGACAAAATACCTACACAGAGAGTGGTATTTGAGTTAATATAGTACATTTATTTTTCAGACTGACATTCAGCTTAAATATGCCAGTATGTGATTTAATCCACAGGTACCTGATGAACACATTATTGTCAGATTGGTTACAGTTGCTAAACGCTATCTGAAGGTCATTCCTAGTCATTTATACGTGTCAGGGTAAAAGTGAAGCGATTTGAACTATAAAAATACCTTTGAAATAATTTATCAATGTATTAGATAAGCTCAGTTTCAGAATGATAAACAAAAACTGTTAGACCAAATAACGTGGCTAATTAACAGTGGTACGATTTCTAGCCCGAGGGTTTAAAATGGAGTTAAAGTAAGTGTCTTTAAACTGAACTCAAAGAATGCAAAAGCGGCAAGTTCAGACAAGGCAAGAACAGGACCTTTAGTCCATTTTAAGCCATAAATATTACACAAAATATGCCTCTAACTGAAACTGAGAGGTATAAAAACATATTTCACTCTTCGTAAAGAACTTTGTGAGGAAATATAACTCTGTGATTGTATAGACACTTTCCTCATGACACTTTGACAGTCACAAACAGTAGATTGCGCTGCAGTTTGTAAACATTTTACGTTGCATAAACTGCTCCTTGATTTTCAAATGTAGTATAATACTGTCTACTAAAACTCCTTTTTGTTTCAACTAAGTACTCTCACATATATTAGTTTATAATAATGTTTGTTATTATTTTTAAAGTGTTCTCCATTCAAGGAAAAGAAGTAAATTCCTATGTCAGATGGTTGAAGACTAGCTATTAGCCAGAGAGGTCTAGATGGTAAAATCCATCTTCTAGCCTCAGATAAGCTCCATGAACACAGAGGAATGCCAGGTGTCACACAGCTTTCCTTCACTCGAATTCATTCTTGACTAGAGCCTGTATATGCCTGTTCCAGGGGCATTTAAACTCTTAAAGGATTTCTTCTGATCTTTACTAAATACATTAAGGAGAACGCCAACCAGTGCCCTTTTGTGTACTGGGACATGTAGTCATGTGATTAAAACAGGGAACATGAACTCTGACTTTAAAATGTATTGTAGATATAAATGCTCTCAGCTAGAAAAGGTTTTCCACATCCACAGTCATGATGGGAGCCTTTCATTCCTCAGAAATAATCCCTTTTCAGGTCATCAAAAAAGAGTACAACTGCCACAGCTCATGAGGCAGTATCTTCATGAGCCCAGAGCACATACAAATCCTAAGGGAACTACCGTAGTACAGCGCTCATTCTTGGCACCGGAACAAATGAAACATATTCTATCCTGCACACACCTGCCAAAGCAGGCCACTTTCCTCTTCTGGGAGATTTAAAAACCTCCCCAAAATGTTATTACTCCCATCCCCAATACACAGAAAAAGGGGGAAAGGCTGTTTCCAGTGCTCCACCTTTAAACAACTGTAAATGTCAGTACTCACAGTGGCATATTACAAAGTAATAGACCGCGCACTTGAGGGCAAACCACATATTGAGCTAATGAAGAGCTCACTGTGATTAGGATTCGATCAAACATAACAGCAGAACATAAGGAAATTTTATCTGAATTCCGTAATGAATATACAGGCTGTACTAACATTAAAAAAGCATGGCAGCCTATCCCAAACCAGCAAGAACAGTTGTGTGCATACAGTGGGTCTTTGTGTGTTTGAACTCCCACCACATAAGGGCAAACTCGATATGCATGCTAACGTCCTATAATTATCAAATTAAAAAAATGCTAAAAGATGCCAGAGTGAACATGAGAGAAAGACCCACTCTCATTTAACTTTTTACAAATAAATTTAAATTATAAATTAGAAACACAAATAAATTTAAACTATAAATTAGAAACACAAATAAATTTAAATTATAAATTAGAAACACAAATAAATTTAAACTATAAATTAGAAACACAAATAAACATAAGTGGCTCTAACATTCAAATGAAGTAAATGAATTGTGTAGGATATTAACCCCTTAAATGTTTTGTTTTTTTTTTTTTCAATTTCTTGACCCGCTCTTAGATGATGGTGATGTTTAGCTCCCTGTTCTCCGCAGCCCGAAAAGAATGGCATGCAGCCTCTTCTGCTCCTCCTGCCGCCTCTCCTGTACCAACAGCTTCTCCACTCAAGCCTGGGTGCTCCTGGGGAGTCCTGCATTAGAGGAAGCAGCTGCTGGATCTGCTGTGCAGTGGGGTTGTCATGGGGGAGAACCCTCCCTGTCCTCTCCCGGTGCAGCCTCCATGCTATCAGTGAGGCTCAGCTCACTAAGATCTTCAGAGAGAGGGAGGGGGTGGGAATCTGGGCACAGTGCGAGCCTCCCCTGCTCCTGCCTGCCCACCCCGCCTGAGGGCTCTACTCACCACCCTGCTTGTCCGCACATCCAAGCTCCTTGTGGGACTGGGGCTCCAGGTACTGGTCTGGCTGCTGCTGCAGACTCGGAGCCTCTTGGCTCTTCAGCTCCACCTGCCGGAAGACCCTGGGCATGAGGACATGTGGTGGCTGGCTTCCAGATTCCTGGCCCATTAATAGGGTAGCGAGGGCACTGTGGGGCTCTGTGGCCTGCCCAGGCCCCTGGCCCCTTGCTCCAGGCCTAAGAGACTGTCTCCCTTGCCTAGAACCCCATGCCTCCTTCCCTAGCATCAAATCTCACGTCCTTTTTCCCAGCATGTAAACTGTAGGCCACAGACTGGTGGAAAAGCAGGCGGAGCCAACCACCATCTGCTAAGTGTGCTACATGCCTAATGTTTCCACGTATTATCTCATTTAATCCTCAGCACCTCTGCAAGGAAAAGGCTAACTTCCTTTTGAAGTTAAAGAAACAGAGACTTAGAGATGCAAAGTAGTTGAATTATGACCAGTGGAACCGAGGCCGGAATCCAGTTTGAATCTAAGGAGTCTTTTTTGTTTTTCTGTTTTGTTTTGTTTTGAGAGAGTGTCACTCTGTGTCCCAGGCTGCAGTGCAGTGGTGCAATCTCAGCTCACTGCAACCTTCATCTCCCGGGCTCAAGTGATTCTCGTGTCTCAGCCTCCTGAGTAGCTGGGATTACAGGCATGCACCACCAGGCCCGGCTAATTATTATTATTATTTTTAATTTTAGCAGAGATGAGCTTTCACCATGTTGGCCATGTTGGTCTCAAACTCCTGACCTCAAGTGATTGTCCTGCCTCAGCCTCCCAAAGTGCTGGGATTGCAGGCGTGAGCCACCACACCCGACATAAGGAGCCTCTTATACCACTGTCTCTTCCTCTGTGATTGGGGGGCTCCATGCCTCTAGCTGGGATGATGATGATGTCCAGACCTGGGAGGGCCCCAGGGCTACCCACCTCTAAAAGTCAGAGGGCAGGAAGCAAGAAACAGTCATAGGACTGCCCCGGAGGGTGCTGGGGTCACCTGTCCCCAGGCTGCAGCTGCCTGTGGCCTGGCACCTCCCCTCCCCAGAGGCTGGTGCCCGCCTCCCACATCTTCTTGGATGGGTCGGAGGTTACAGTCTCTTTCAGCTCACCCGACTTCTCCAGCTCCTTTACTTGCTGCTCCAACTGCAGTGTGCTCTTGTTCTCGTTGTTCTGGACAGAGAGAAGCAATCAGTGGCCACCCACTAAAACTGGAGACCCCAGAACTTAGTGTCTGCCTCCCATGGCACCGGGAAGGGTGGAGGCAGGTTAGAAAAATATCCCCTCTCTCCCACAGCCATCAGAGCAGGGCTCTGGCTCACAGATGCCTTTAGAAGTACCATTTCATGTGAAGGCTACAATGCCCCATTTTACAGGTGGGGAAACAAAGGCCTTGAGGGCTAGGGAAGAGGGCAGCCTCCCCAGGTGGGGCAACGTACCAGCTCCTCGAAGCCGCTGCGTGGCTCGGCCCGCTGCTCGTACAGGGCTTCCCACCCCAGCTCCAGCATCCTCTCCAGCTCCCGCAGCCTCTCCAGCTCCCGCAGCCTCTCCAGCTCCCGCAGAGTCTCCTGCTGCCACAGCCTCTCATCCTGTTGCCGAAGCCTCTCCTGCTCCAGGAGCTCCTCCACCTCGTCCAGCAGCCTCTCCCTCTCCAGCAGCCTCTCCTGCTCCTCCTGCCGCCTCTCCTGTTCTAACAGCTTCTCCACCTCTTCCAGCAGCCTCTCCTGCCCTGGCAGCTTCTCCTGTTCACACAGCCTCTCCTCCTGTTCACATAGCCTCTCCTCCTGTTCACATAGCCTCTCCTCCTGTTCACGTAGCCTCTCCTCCTGTTCACACAGCCTCTCCTCCTGTTCACATAGCCTCTCCTCCTGTTCACGTAGCCTCTCCTCCTGTTCACGTAGCCTCTCCTCCTGTTCACACAGCCTCTCCTCCTGTTCACGTAGCCTCTCCTCCTGTTCACACAGCCTCTCCTCCTGTTCACGTAGCCTCTCCTCCTGTTCACACAGCCTCTCCTCCTGTTCACGTAGCCTCTCCTCCTGTTCACACAGCCTCTCCTCCTGTTCATGTAGCCTCTCCTCCTGTTCATGTAGCCTCTCCTCCTGTTCACGTAGCCTCTCCTCCTGTCTCCTGTTCAGGAGACTCAACATCTGATTGTTTTCCACCTCAGCCTGGAGCTGTCTTCCCACACTCTCTAGCTCCTTCCTTAGGTGGTTGGTCTCATCTTGTAGCTGCTCCACCTTAGATGGCCCTGCTGGGGGCTCTGGGGCCAGGGGTTCAGCTGAGAAAGCAAGCAGAGAATAAGGGCCTCTGGATTCTCAAAAAAAAAAAAAAAATCCTCCCTTTGGTGCACAGCTCCTCCTCTCAGGCTTCCCAAACTTGGCCTCACTGCTAATGACTCCTCACACCCGGATGGTAGACAATCTTCCAAGTCACTTTCAGATAGAGAGCACTGTGGGTGGCTGACAATGGGCACTCCTCCCTCTTTACTGATGGGGACACTGAGGCTCATGGAGATGACAAGACTTGTCCTCCCCTGGCACAGACCTCTTTCCCTCTGCCTCAAAGCCCTTCCATCCACCCACCTCCCTGGGGCATTCTAAGTCACCCCCACAGCCCTCTAATGCCAGTCCAGCTGCCAGGTCATGCCAGCCCCATCTTACCCGTCTGGTTTTTGAGTTTGAACAAGCTCCTCCCAAGCTTCTGTACCAGATGTATCTCATGCTTCTTCTCCTCCTTAGATGTGCGAACCTGCCCAAAGCAAAGGGGGAAAAGGGCCCTGGAGGGAGGGGCTGGTGAACGTCCAGAGACAGAGTTTGAGAAAGGCCCACCCCCCTTCTGCCAGTTTGTGATTTAGAAACGTGCATTCATTCAACAAACATTTACTGAGCATCTACAGGCCAGGTACAGTTCTTCATAGCAGAGATATAAAACAGCAAAGGACAGACAGGAGCCCTTGGCCCTGAGGTTTCCATTCTAGGGGCCTTTAAATCTCTGACTTTCAGAGCTAACCAAGACCTTTGATACTCTCTACCTCCTCCAGAAACACGAGCATAAAGAGGAGAGATGGCTTGTCCAGACTCAAAAAGCAAATTAGGGACTGAGGCAGGGCAGAAATATGGACCCCTGACAACCAGTCAGGCTAGTGCTTCCCAGAGAGGTGACAACCCCAGGGCATGTGTGGCAAGGACTAGAGCAGGGGTGTCTGGAGAAGAGAGAGTCAGCAAAGAGGGCAGTGCAGAAGACCCATGCTGCATGTTCTGTGCTCTGGGGTCCCTCCAGGTGAGACCTGGGTGCCCAGCTCCCCATTTGCCCTTGGCATCAGGGGCCCCTAGCCCCTTTCTTCAGGGCCCCAAGAGGAAACTGGAGTCCAGGATTGACCAGCTGTAATCAGGGGACCCCACTGGACTCTTACCAGTGAATTGATGTTTTCAGTGAGTTGACTGATTATTGCGGAGCTTGAATCCAGGGCCACTGCTAGTTCTTGGTACTGGCTCTGAGGTGCATGCAGAGAGAAGGAGTTGGAGGAAGATTGTGGCGAGGGGTAGAGAGAATAATCATTAGGGCTGGTGGGGGTGTGTGGGCTGCCTCAGCTGGCAGAGGGGCAACAAGCCCCTGCTGTGGGAGGAGGTTGGAGGGCTGGCCTGCAGGGTCACTGCACCTCGGCCCAGGGCCTCTTACCTCCAGATCCTGCAGGGTAGTAGAGGATGCACGGCCCTCCCCGTAGATACCTGTTGCTGACTGCAAGAGATGAGAGTGCACATGGAGATGTTCTGTCCCCCCCTCACTGTCTAAGCCCTCTGACTTCCTTTCTTCCCCCATCAACTGGCAAAAGCTTCTTTTCTGCCTATCTTGGACCCTTTTCCCCATAACTCCTTTGTGCCAACTTCTCTCGTGGTTCTTATCTCCCCACCATCCCACCCTGGGGCCCTTTCAGTGACTCCTAAAGGGACAGCCTGATGGCAAGTGGCTCTTCTCATTGGCCTGGCTTCCCCTTGAGACTGGGGATGAGGAAAATCAAACAGCAACGACCATTTCCTCAGTGTCCTGGGTGTTTGCAGCAGGCCATGTACTAAGGATTCACATAAAAGCAACAATAACGAATCTCATTTAAACTTCACAAATGGAAGTCAAAAAATACCACCTCTATTATACAGATGTGAAAAGAGAGGCCCAAAGACCTCAAGCAACTTGCCCTAAATCATATGCTAATCAATCCCTAATCAATTCTTAGCAGACGGAGAGGCAGGATTCAAATCCAGAATTCTTAACCAGTACCCAACAGTCCATCTACAATCTTAACAATTACCCTCTACTGCCCCTTGGGCCCCCTGTCCCCAGGAGCCTGGCCCGCCGAGACTCACATCCCCAGGTGAGTGGTAACCACCAGAAGTGGCTGTGTCAGGGCTACTGCCATTGACTTTCTTTTTCCTGTTAGCTCCTGCTGGAATGCCAGGGCTCTTCCTCTGCCAATATGCTTTTAACTGTGGGAAAGAAGAGCAGTAACACTCATGAGAATGATCAGCCCCTACAGCCACATCCTCCTTTACAGTTTTGACAAAATACCCTTATATACCATCTGATGTAATGCCACCAACAACCGTACAAGGTGTTGTCACAATCAGTGACTGAGAGGGATTCATATCATGGATAGAAAAAAAAAAAAAGAAAGATCAAAAAAGGCAATACTGGAACTTAAACTCAGTCCTCTGACTCCACGCTCTGGGGTTTTGCCATGAATCAGCAGCTTCCAGGGACCAAAACCAGGGGCAGAGGTAGAAAAGCACACATTAAGCAGGCAGGAACTGTAGGCCGTGTGGTTTAGAGTCATACATCCTCACAGGTCTGCTAGCGTGAAGAAGCGTACCAGTACCTCTCACACTTTCATATCAATGTGTCCTCATGGCAGAAGGCAGCTTTTCTATTAAATCTGGGAATTTATCAGAAAGAGGACAACCCAAGCCTCATTTCAGAGCAAAGTCTGGTATACGCTTGGAAACCTATGTGTCTGTCATCCCCAAGTACATTAATGCATTTTCTCAAGAGAATCAAGGGAAAATGATGCTTCAGAAAGATGTCCCGCATTTATCCTGTGGCACTCAAAGTACCCCAGGTTGAGACGATATGAGGAAGATTCAAGCTGTCAAGTTCAGTTTCCCAAGATCTATTCCACAGAAGATGAGCAAATCTCACTTCAGAGGCCACTGACTGAAGGGCAGTCTGGTCCCAGAACCGTGGAGAACTCAGAAAAAAATGTTAAAGTCTCTCTGGAAAGTAGAAGCCTGGGAAAAAACCAAACCAAACCCATTCTCCCATTGCCACCCAGAGATACTGTGAACATTTTGAGCTCACAGGGGAAGTGTAGGCTTTTCCCACTGTCAATGTCTATGTTAAGGGAGTAAGGCAGCCTGAAACCTCTTGCTCCTAGGTCCCATAGTCTCCACTCCCCTTCCAGCTGGAAATTTGTGCTGCAACCAGAGGAACCAGAAATGGGGTGAGAAAACTTAGGGGACTGGGTTGTAAGATCAAAGGCTGGTCTTGCAGCAGTAATGACAGTTCCTAGGGGCACTGTGACATCATTGCATTCCACTCCTCCCAGGGGAGGGGACCACATCAGCGCGATGCCCGAGTCGCTGCTCCACGATGGGGGAGGGAAACACACGGTTTCGACCCAGGTCCTCAGAGACGCCAGCCCAAGAAGCCTAGGGAGGTCGAGCTTGGGGCAGCAGGAGGGGAGGGCAGAGTCTGCAGTAGGGAGCCCCGGGAGTCACCAGCCCAAAGCCACCCAGGGATGACTGGTGAGGGCAGGGCCTGGGGCTGGGGGACCCAGGTCCTGGGAGACGCAAGCCCAAAGAGCCCAGGGAGGTTGGGCTTGGGGTGGCAGGAGGTGAGGGCTGATTATGGAGCAGGGAGCCCCAGGAGTCACCTGCCCAAAGTCACCCTGGGGTGATTGGCAAGGGCAGGGACTGGGCTGCTTGCTGAAGGGGTGGGGCTGACTGACTAGGCTTTGGTTGGGGGAGCCCAGAGGGGCTGGGGTTGGGGGGCCCCATCTGGTATGCCTCAGGAGTGGTATGGACTCTGGCACAGGTCTTGTCATCGGAGGGGATCTGTGGCTGGGTTGGGGGCCATGACCTGGTGTGTTTTACCTTTTTCTTGGCTGCGGCCAATTTCCCCTGTTGTGTTTTTTCTGACATCGCGGGGTGGGGAGGGAGGCGGGGTTGGGGCCACATCAGCGAAATACCAGTGAGCACTGCTCAATGCCTCCAGTCACCTACCAGGCAGCTGTGCAACTGAGCCACAGGTGGCGTAACCAGGGCACCAATGGAACGCAGAATAGGGGCGTGGCCTTAATGCTCCAAGCCCATTGGTCAGTGAGAAAGATGAAAGGGAAAGGAGGCGTGGCCAGGCGCAGCATGTCCAGAGGGACCTGTGGCATCATAAGGAAAGCTGCCCATGCAACCGCTGTCCCCGCCCACTCAGAGAAAGGGGAGGGGCCGCCCACTCTGGGAGAGGGGAAGGGCTGGGTTTTGCTTTAAAACTTTTAAAACTGTAAAAAATAAACTTTAAAAAATATATGTGTATATACTTTATATATATGTGTGTCTGTGTGTGTGTATCTATGTGTTCCTCCAGAGCTGTCTTCATTATGCAGCTTCTGTGCAAAGTCTGTGATTTTGGCCTATATTTTTCATCTTCAAATGGAGTACAAGAATTACCAGTATTACCTTAACTGAGATATAGATCCTATAAAAATGGAAAATCCATAGCATGCTTGATGATTAATGAAGCCGACTATAGTATCCGACATTCCAATAAGACAAAATAATCACAACAATTTCTCTTTTTTGGAAAAATGTTTGTCTTATTCTCCTACATTATTGTTAAGATTTCTTTTAAAAACAAGAAACATGTCTAATATCTTTAAAAACACAAAGCTTTTGGGCCGGGTGCGGTGGCTCACGCCTGTAATGCCATCACTTTGGGAGGCCGAGGTGGGTGGATTGCCTGAGGTCAGGAGTTCGAGACCAGCCTGGCCAACATGATGAAACCCTGTCTCTACTAAAAATACAAAAACTAGCCAGGCGTGGTTGCGGGTGCCTGTAATCCCAGCTATTTGGGAGGCTGAGGCAGGAGAATCACTGGAACCCAGGAGATGGAGGTTGCAGTGAGCCAAGCTCACGCCACTGCACTCCAGCCTGGGCGACAGAGCAAGACTCCATCTCAAAAGAAATAAAATAAAATACAAAATAAGTAAGAACACAAAGCTTTCAATTTAATAACCACTTAAAGCTCTTTACTGGTTTAAGAGAATTACAAGGCCCATTTTTCTAGAATCACCTGGCCTCTCTAAGCCTTGCAAATGAAGCTGAATTTCTCACTTGATACTTGGCTATCACTTGCAGTCATGAAAACCAAGAATTTGTTATGTCACTGTGTATTGCTTGTTACCTGAAATCCACACTAGGCTGGGATCAAGGGTTGAATCTTTCATGATTTTCTCCATAACCTGTGTGCTTCTTATCCCACACCAAACTAAGCTTTTTTTCTAGAGCTCTGCAACTTACAGTTAGTATATGAGAGCAGTTCTCAAAAATGTAGTCTCTGGACTAGCAGCTCCAGCAGCACCTGGGAACTTCTTATAAATACACATCCTCCGGCCCCACCCTGGACCTGATGAATCAGAAACTCTGGAGTAGGGCTCAGCAATCTGTGCTGCAGTAATCCCTCCAGGTGTTCAAGAACCTCTGGCATACAGCAGGTAGAAAAATGTGTTTCCTTCTGTAGGTCCAAAACCAGGGATACTATATGTTCTGTCTCTATATGAAACAATGACGTGCAATTAAAAGACATAAATCTCCTTCCTGCTCCCACCTTCCAGCCAATGAGTTTTATTTTTATGAGTTAAATAAGAAAACAATCAGAGATTTCGTCTAAATCGCATATTTACAGGTATCAGTTCTCATCCAGCCTGATCTTATCCAATATCATTTATATTCTCTTACATGTGAAGTTTTAGAGAAGGATCTTCACAATGTAAGACTCAGGCACACTAGGAGTTCTGTAATAAAACACCAAGTAGATCAGAATGTCCAAACTTACTGGAGAAGAAAAGTGGAATCATTGGCTATATTTTCAAATGGCAATAAACAGGAAATTAAAGTTTTGAATTTTTTTTCACCTTCATCCTTCCACGTTAATAGAATTAAGCCAAAATACTTGTCTTCCAAAGCCTCTAGCCAGGCAAAATTTTACTATATTACTTCTTGCTTTTCAATGGCTATAAAGCAGACTCCTGGTAGGCACATTTGGTATACCTGCAAAGATGAAGAACTAAACAGTTCCATCTGTTCAATACTGAAACAAAAGTCCTGCCAACCTCGGATGGTGAGTGTAATACTTCAGCACTAGCACCAAAGCCTCAAATATGAAAAGATACCAAGAACACCACTAGCAAACAAAACTAAACTCTCGGCTGGGAGCTCTAGTTCATGCCGTAATCCCAGCACTTTGGCAAGCAAAGGTGGGAGGATTACTTGAAGCCAGGAATTCAAGACCAGCCTTGGCAGCATAGTGAATTCACACCTCTACAGAAAGTTTTTAAAATTAGCTGGGTGTGGCAGCACACTTCCCGGGGCTGCTGTGCCATTGCTGGAAACTTCTCTATGGAGAGTACCAAGTACTTCTACCTGTAGCATTTTCCCTGGCTGGAATCCTGCAATTATCACAGTAGCCTGAGATCCAAGAAGGCAGGGCAGGAGCATCCTGTCCCCTTCCCAGCAGGTGCAAGGGAGGCTGGGGGGTGAGGCACAAGCCAGTGGGAGGGTGAGGAGCAGGAGGGATGCATGGTGAGCCTCTGTTGACTGCTTGCTGCCTCAGCTGGAAGGTCAGGACCCAATGTCTATTACAGGTTAAATTACAGAAGTATTTCAGATTTTGGATTTTTTTCAGATTTTGGAATTCGAAAATCTGAAATCCAAAATGCTCCAATGAGCATTTCCTTTGAATCTGGCCTTCGAACATCATGTCGGCACTCAAACAGTTTTGGATTTTGAAGCATTTCAGATTTTGGATTTTCAGATGAGGGATGCTGTATTATCTTCTGAATGAGGCCACTCATTCAGGAAAGCCCAGAGCTTGGGGACGTGGAGCTGCAGACCAAAGAGGTGATTTCTGTAGTGGCTTTCAGTGCGGAAGGGCCCACAAAGCGGTTTAAAGCAAGCCACAAAATAGGAAACCCAATATTTAGCTAATGGAACTCTGATAAAACCTGCTCAAGATGTCTGTCTCTACTAATTCAGATGGAGCCAAGCCAAAGCATCATTATTATTTTAAAAAGGCACCAATCCCTCTGCAAAAGCACTGAATTATATCATGATACAATCATCAATTGTACCATGAATCACCATCAGCGGTGGTCTTTTAGGGATATGAAGAAGGGGTTTTCACAATACATCGCATGACACACCATCTTCCAAATCTCTAAACATTTCTCTCCACAGCCCAGTCCTCTCCATAGTTGTCCAAATCCCTCCCTCTTTTCTCTTGTTGTCTCCAAAACTCAAAACCATGCTCTGACTTTCTATATCCTGCCCTCCCCTTCTAGGACCACGTGGGAAGTCCCCTGCTTCCCCAGGGTGTCCCCTCCTCCCCTTCTGGGATCAGTCATCTTTCCTCAAATGGACCAGTTCGGCCTCTCTTAGTTTCTCCAACTCTGCATCTCAACCTTTCTCCCTTCACTACACAATAATGTCCAGGAGGCAAAGAGCCCACAAACCTGGGAACCTCCCTTTCCAGAAGGGAGGAGAGAGGTGACTACAAATATTTGGTTATGATTTTCTTCCCTGCCACGCCTGTTTTCATGGGCAGTGCTGAGCCCCAGTCCTGGCAGAGCTCAGAACCAGGCTCTCATGAGCTGGGGCAAGTGGGGCCTAGGGAACCTCTGGGTTGAGGACCTTGCACCCCACTCTGCAGCTGCCCTGCTGATTTGGCTCATGCAACCTCTCCTCCTGGGCTCAAGCGATCCTTCTACATCGGTCTCCCAAGTAGCTGGGATTTGGGCTACCACGTTTGGCTAATTTTTGTATCTTTTAGTACAGATGGGGTTTCACCTGTAGCCCAGGCTGGTCTCGAACTCCTGGGCTCTAGTGATCTACCCTCCTCAGCCTCCCAAAGTGCTGGGATTACAGGTGTGAGCCACTGCGCCCGGCCTTGTGCCAGCTTTTAAATATCAACAAGGACAGATTAGAGAACAGTGGAAGAGGGTGAGCAGCATGATGAGGTGATACAGAAATAATTTCACATGAAGAACTGGGCATGCTTGGCCTTTTTTTTTTTTTTTTTTTTTTTAAGCCATTCTGGGTTGGGTGCTGAGGCTCACACCTGTAAGCCTGTAATCCCAGCACTTTGGGAGGCCGAGGTGGGTGGATCACCTGAAGTCAGGAGTTCGAGACCAGCCTGGCCAACATAGTGAAACCCTGTCTCTACTAAAAATACAAAAAATTAGCTGGAATTGGTGGCATGTGCCTGTAATTCCAGCTACTCGGGCAGCTGAGGCAGGAGAATCGCTTGAACCTGGGAGGCGGAGGTTGCAGTGAGCTGATATCGTGCCATTGCACTCCAGCCTGGGCAACAAGAGTGAAACTCTGCCTCAAAAAAAAAAAAAAAAAAGGAAAGAAAGAAAAGAAAATATATCTATGCACCAGAGCTCAACACGAGGTTAGGAGCATTTCTGAGATTTGGAGCTATTCAACCATGGAAGTTCCTGGCACATACATCAGGTATTCACAATACCCTTTCTCAGGTGTTTGGTCACTGCTAGTGAGCCTGCCTGGATCAGTGTTTCCCAAATGGCAGTCATTTGCATCTTTGCATTTTTTTTGGGGGGTGGGGGGGTTGTGGGGGTATATTCCATACCAGATTTTTAAAAAATTGACATTAAAAATACATGTATAAAATGTGTAAAGTGCACTAATCTAAAGTGCACTGGATGTATTTTTTATTGATGTACATACTTTTGTTATCCATCACCCAGGTCAAAATACAGAATCAGCACCACAGAGGGTTCCCTCCTCCTCCTTCCCAGCCAATAATCTTCTCCTCCTACCTAACCAACTGTTCTTACTTCAAGCACTGTCAACTAGTATTTTACATTCTTGAACTGCATATAAAGTGTCTCAAGTTTCACTTAACACTTTTCTTGAAATACACTTGTTTTTTGCCACTTTTTATTTGACCTAAGAAGTAACATTAATGAAACAATGATTTGACGTGATAGGCATTTCCCTCCTAATGAGCACTAAAACACTTAACTATTTGAAAAAAGAAGTTTCTCCGTGTACCAACTAATATATTCTCCTCGGCCGCCGTTGGTACACGGACCACATTTTGTTTCTCAAAGCAATCCGATGATTTCTGAGGTCCTTTGCAGCTTGAACACGGAACGACTGTGGTGATCGAGTAGCCAAAAGTTCACGGAATGCACTGTCACAATTGTGATTCCGCCATAGCGCCGTGCATCCATCCAACACTTGTTTAATACCTATATTTAATACCTAATACCTTAGACTGTCCTAGGCTGTGGACACACAAGACTAAACCCCACTTCCTGAGTTGAAGTGGGGGAAATAGAGGAGTAAATCATTTCACGATGTGTGGTTAAATGCTACAGCTCAGGTAACCACGAGCACACAGAGAAAGGGCAGTTTCTAGAAACAGGGCGGAGAGGAGACCGTGAGTGGGCATTTCCCAGAGCAGTCTCTGCCAGCCACCCTGCTGTGATCACTTTGCCACAGAGCAGCCCCGGCGGTCAACCTCAGCCTCCCTTAGCAACCTGAGCGCCCCGCCCAGGTGCCTTACTATTGGTCTCGTGGAGCGGGATGGGCAGCTCTGCCGTGCAATCCCAGCTCGCAGCCCTTGCTCCGCGTGTACTCACGGGAGGACTCGCAGACGTTACTGCCCTCTTGCGTGCCCCGGCCACCCCCGGGCGGCTTGTAGCCGGTGCGCGGGGTGGCTGGGGCTACGTGCAGAGCTGTCGCGGAGCCGGAGCAGCAGCGGTGAAGGCCCTCGGCTCGGCCGAGACCGCCGTGCCCATTGCTCGCCTCGGTTGCCGCCGCTTTAGCCGCAGCCGCTGCTGCCGCCGCCGGGGGAGAGGCAGCCTATTGTCTTTCTCCGCGGCGAAGGTGAGGAGCTGTCTCGGCTCGGCCCGCGGGGGAGCCCCGGGAGCCGCACGGTGAGAGCGCAACTTAGTTGGCGGAGTTGGGGGAAGTTTTGTGATTTGAGGAGGGGTCGGGGTGCGGAGCGCGGCCCGTCCCCTGCGGCCGCTCGGTGGGGCGGGCCCCAGAGGAGGGTCGGGGGCTGCGCGGGGCTTCAGGGGCGGGCGGCACGGATGGGTAGCCGGGCGGCGCGGGGACCTCAGCTTTGCGGACCCCTCCTCCCTGCGCATCACCCTTCTCCCGCATTGTCTGCTTGGGGCTCGGCGCGCCTCCCACTCCGCAGCCCAACTTGGGGGCCGTCGCCGCTTTCCGGATGGGGGGCGCGCCCGGCGGCGGATGGCCCCGAACCCTTGCCCCGGGTCCCCGGGTTGGCGCCGCTGGGGCGGACTCACTCCTCCCCTGGGGCGGGCGGCCGCGGTGTGGAGTCCGCGCCGCGAACAAGTGCTGCGGGCGCGAGGGAGCGGTTCCCCGGGGCCGACGCGGACGGTAAACCTGTCCGGCGGCGCCCGCCTGCTGGGGCCTCTCCGCTGTTTCTCGCGGGCGCGGCCCGGCTGAAACTGCGACCGTCGGAGGCGAGCGGCCCTCTGGGACCCGTGCAGCCGGTCCACCTTGCAGCTATACTTTGAGACTAAACAATTTTTTTTTTTTTGCAAAGGCAAACCGGTATGTGAAGTTGAAAAAATCAAAAACCCTCAAATTTTCCTTCTTTTTTTTTTTTTTTTTTTAAATCAAGAAAGGGGGTAGATAGGTTTGTTTTGTTTTGGAAATAGTTTTTATAGCAGAGTGATACCGTCACATTTAATGATCCTACTGTGAATTCAAGAATTCACGATGAAAGTTGGATTGAGCGGTATTTTGGTGTTCATTCTTTGCTGATACTCATTAATGAAGTTAGTTGGAGAATTTATTGCTTCAGTACAGTAAAAACCAGTGTGCCTTTTTTTTTGTTACTACTCCCCCCTCCCCGCATTGTTTTATTTTTCGAAGAAGCACTTTATTCAGTTTTTCTAAGCCACGGGATTGCCCAGATGAGGACCAACGGTGCAGTTCTTGAAAGGTCATTATTGGCAAGTTTGTGAGGGAGCTAAGATGAGTTGAGATAAACCAGTGTTACTGTTCTTGTATTCTGTCGTGGACTCTTGGGGATTTGCAGGCTGCATTAAGTACAAGTCTGGTCCAGTTTTGGGTGCACGTATTCCACTGAATTTGGTTCGTCTGGCTTATTATATGAACATGATTCTGTTTCACTTCCCCAGATGGAACTAGCTTAAATGTCTATCATTTATAGTGACAAATGATCAAAATGGCTAGAGTGTCATTTATTAACTTCAGTTGTAGTCCTTTACCTTACCTTCTGCTAAATGAAAAAGAAAAATTTGACAAATACTGTGTGCGTCATTTTGCTCTGAGTGATTTCTCGTGCTAAGTGAGTCCTGTGGAGAAGCGTTCCTGGGCTTTTCTGGTTTGGTGGGCCTTGTGTTATAAAACCAATTTTCTTCACCTGATGAAGCTAAAGACAAATTTTCTTCAGGCACAGGCATTGCCCTTTTAAACTACAGAGCCACTTGTAGGATTCACAATACTCACTCAATGGCTTCCCTTCCTGGCAGTGTGGTTTTGTGTGTGTGTGTGATTGTGGGGAAGGAGGCTGACAGAGGTTGGAAGGGATTGTCAGGGAGGGACATCATGTAAGCAAGTACTAACAACATAACGTGACGAGGGCACCAGTTGCTTTCCTTCTGTGGGCGGTGATGGCATGTTATACTGTAGGTACTATTGTTGTAGGATTTCTCACAGTTCGTTTGCCTTGACTAAATGGTAACTGCACACATACTATACTATAAATGGACTCCTCCTCTAGTCCTTTAACTCCTTGAGGGCTGTGATAGACCTTATTTAACTTTGTATCCTCTTTGCCAGTGGTCTTAACATAGTGCAGGCACGGTATGTGTTTGAATTGGGTAAATTACTTTTACTGCCTAGTGGTAGCTGGTGTACACAGGAGAGGGCCACCAACTCTGGGGACTTGTCCAAAATGACAGTTCACTTGCAGATCTCTGATGAAATTTACTTTAAAAGGATTTCTAACCTTTTTTTTAATCTGTCGGTTATTTTTTGAAAAGAAGTGGGGCTTAACTAGTGCTCTAAGGATTTTAACAAGAGATTCCGATTTAGAAATCTGTCCCCCCTTTTGGTGAAATTCTTATTTTTTTTAGAGTCAGAATCTTCACTGTTGCCCAGTTGTCTCCCCGGGACCCAAGCCGTCTTCCCACCTCAGCCTCCCACAGTACTGGAATTACAGGCGTGAGCCACCCCACCCAGCTGGTGAAATTATTAAAATTGTAGTGAAAACTCTGCCTCCATTGTGAAATTGGAAAAAAATTAGAAATTTTAGAAAAAAGTACGCCCTTTGGAGCTAGGTAGAGTTCAGATCCCCACATTTCCATTGAGTAGTTGCATAGCCTCTCAGAGCTTCAGCTTCCTACTCCTTAAGGGTTAGTAACATGCTTTGCAGTGTTGTTAGGAATCAGTGAAACTGTGTGAGATACTTAACTGCAGTATCTAACATGGAGTAGGTAGCTATTTCCTGGTAGCTGTAATGATAATAATTTTGATACGTTTTTACATGACTTAAGCATTCTGAAAAGTCTGATGCTTCTGAGTATGGAGGCTTAGCTATTTCTTTCATAAAGAAGGGGCCCTGAGACTTGTGAGTCTTATCCAAATGCATTTCTTCAAAGGTGTCAGATGAACTGAAGGATAATGGAAACAATAGCAAATTTATCTTCTCAGTCACCTGTGAGTCTTCCTTTGAGAGTGGGACTTGCAGAGTACTTGGTAGGGTAGAGCTCTTTGTGACTATGCTATTTAGGAAATGGTGAGAGATGGATTGTTTTCAGTACATCAGTCATAAGAGGATATGAGTGAGTTCCAACTTTCCTTATTTTACCTTAGTCTTGACAAATAACAAGTATGGATTATGTCTGTATTTCTCCGACTTGTTTAAGGTAGAACTGGACTGGGTGTTAACAGTGTTAGTTCAGTAGAGACATGAGCAAATCACTCACTTCCCCTTCAAGATAACACTTTAAAGGTGCCACCATTTGCAGAAGAAAGCAGTGATTTAAAGCAGCTATACTAGCACAGTTTAGAATACTTACACTAGCTGATGGAGTAGATACATTCTAGAAATATTTACCTGTAGTGGGAGTTGAACAGTGAGAACACACGGACACAGGGAGGGGGGAACATCACACACTGGGGCCTGTTGGGGGTTGGGGGGCTAGGGGAGGGATAGCATTAGGAGAAATACCTAGTGTAGATGACGAGTTGATGGGTGCAGCAAACCACCATGGCACGTGTGTACCTATGCAACAAACCTGCACGTTCTGCACATATACCCCAGAACTTAAAGTATAATAATAAGAAAGAAAAATAAATATTTACCTGTTAAGGACATTTCTGTGTATTTTATTCCATCTTTCCAATAGTTTTCTTATGAAGAGATTATAGTAAACCTTTGAACTTAACAGATTGAGGGTAAACCTTTAAAAAATATATTTGGTCACACTTACAGACTGAGGGTAAAAACATTCCTGACAAAGCTAGGCGAAGACACTTGGACTTTTTTTTTTTTTTGAGACGGAGTCTCGCTCTGTCACCCAGGCTGGAGTGCAGTAGCACGATCTTGGCTCACTGCAACCTCTGCTTCCCCGGTTGAAGCGAATCTTCTGCCTCTCCCGAGTAGCTGGGACTACAGGCACACGCCACCATGCGTGACTAATTTTTTATTTTTAGTAGAGATGGGGTTTCACCATATTGACCAGGCTGGTCTTGAACTCCTGACCTTGTGATCCACCCGCCTCAGCCTCCTAAAGTGCTGGGATTACAGGCATGAGCCACTGCACCCGGCTGAAACTTGGACTTTTGATGTTTCCTTCTTTTAAAGTTAACATCTAGCACTTGAATAGACTTGGTTATTACTGATGGGGACAGGCATCCATTTGGAAGTAGCTTCCCTCTCTCTCTCTTTCCCAGGTTAGGCTGTCTTACTGCTGTAAATGGGGAGAGAAGAGAAAGCCGTGGGTGGAAGAAAGTGTTTCATGGCCTGGTGCGGTGGCTCATGCCTGTAATCCCAGCACTTTGGGAGGCCGAGGCGGGTGGATCACTTGAGTTCAGGAGTTCAAGACCAGCCTGGCCAACATGGTGAAACCCCGTTTCTACTAAAAACAGAAAAATTAGCTGGGCATGGTGGCGGGCACCTGTAATCCCAGCTACTTGGGAGGCTGAGGCAGGAGAATCACTTGAACCCAGGAGATGGAGGTTGCAGTGAGCCGAGATTGCACCACTTCACTCCAGCCTGGTCGACAGAGCGAGACCTTGTCTCAAAAAAAAAAAAAAAAAAAAAAGTGTCCCACTCAGTTGCCCAGGCTGAAACGCAGTGGCAGGATCACTGCTCACTGCAGCCTTGAACCAAGCGATTATCCCACCTCAGCCTCCCAAGTAGCTGGGATCACATGCATGCACCGCCATGCCTGGCTAATTTTTTTATTTTTGTAGAGACAGGGTCTCTCTATGTTGCCCAGCCTGGTCTCAAACTCCCGGGATGAAGCAATCCTCCCACCATGGTCTCCCAAAGTGTAGGGCTTACAGGCGTGAGAGCCTGCTGGGGTTTTTGATTGACATTGCATTGAAACTGGAAATCAGTTAGGAGGCAACTGACATTTTAATAATGAGCCATGAACATGGTATATCTATTTATTTAGACCTTCTTAGATTTTTCGTCAGTGTTTTGTAGTTTTTAGCAGTTGGATCTTGCTTGTATTTTGAAATCTTACACATTTATTTCATGTTTGTGGTACTGTTGTGAATGATACTTCTCAATTTCCAGTTGGTGATTGCTAGTATATAGGAAGGTGATTTTATGTTATATGCTGACCTTGGATTCTACAACCTTGCTAAACTCATTTTTAGTACTAGAAGCTTTTTTGTAGATTTTTGGAATTTTGTGCATAGACAGTAATGTCACTGGCAAATAAGGGCAGTTTAATTTCTTTGTTTTCACTTTGTATACTTTTATTTCCTTTTTTTTTTTTGAGATGGAGTTTCTCTCTTGTTGCCCAGGCTGGAGTGCAATGGCGTGATCTAGGCTCGCTGCAACCTCTGCCTCCTGGGTTCAAGCGATTCTCGTGCTTCAGCCTCCCCAGTAGTTGGCATTACAGGCGCCCGCCACCACGCCTGGCTAATTTTTGTATTTTTAGTAGAAATAGGGTTTCACCATGTTGGCCAGGATGGTCTCAAACTCCTGACCTCAGGTGATCTCCCCGCCTCGGCCTCCCAAAATGCTGGGATTATAGGTGTGAGCCACCGCTTCCGGCCTAAGAGGACACAGTTTCTTTGGCTTATTAAGAGGTATTTGGTTAGTGTTAGACCGGGGGTTGGTACATTATAGCTTGCTGACTGGATGTACCATGCTGCCTCTTTTTATAAATGAAGTTTTATTGGAACACAGCCACACCCATTCATTTACATATTGTTTAACAGAGACCATATGACCTACAGACCCTAAAATATTTACCACTTTGCGCTTCGCAGGCATTTTGCTGGCTACTGCTGTGGACACCAATTTTAATTTAGGTAGATAAACTTTTTTGTAGCTTCTGAGGTTTTGCATTAATTTGCTCAGGCATATAGGTTGGTGGAAGTGCTTTCTGTTCCTTCTCCCAAACCAATCACACAGCCATATAACTTCATGCCTGAGTTTCTGTGTGGTCCTCTATAGTGAGTGAGTTTTTACATACTTCTTTGCAGCAGCATGAATTTCAAAAATCTCAACGCTTTTGCTCTTGCTAATCTTTGTAAACTTTGTACACCCAGTGCTGGTACATTCTGATGATAGTGCCCACACTGCACTCTATGAAGAAAAGACTGATGATTGTTTATATTAAAATGCAGGAAGAGAATTGTAGCGGCAACTTTTGCTTCTCTAATCAGCAGCATCATAAGAGACTTACTATGTGTGGGCAATGGGGGAGAACGTTAATTTATACATTGAGATAGTTGTATTAAAATTGAGTGACTCTTACTGTGACATAAAGTGAATGTGTCTCTTATACAGCAGAAAACTATTAAATTTGTTTTTTCTCAGCAGTATAAAATAAAGTGGAAAATGTGGGAAGAACACAAATCCTTAACTTCTGTGCTTCTGCTTATTTCACACCCCTCAAATTTCTGATTCCTTTCAACTGTAGCTGGCTTTACTACTGAGTGGTGAAATTGCTGAACATACTTAAAACTACATCATTTAAGACTTTGAATTTTGACATCTCCTCCTCTTCACAGTCTTTCAAATACTAGGCAACCTGTAGGGTTCCACTGTGTCTGTCATGTGTTGTCCCTGTGTTACATGAAAGCAGCCCCAGTGAACTTGTGAATTTGCTCAGTCATTTCACTGGCTACTGGGTGAGGAAGAAGTAGGATTTTCTCTCTTAAAATTCCTTGGTGAAATCATTGGATGGGCACGGTGTGTTTCTTTAATTTTCCTTTTGGTCAAAAATCTGACAAAGCAAAGACTTTCAGTTCTTGGTCTTTCAATAGGTTTAGTTTTTAAGTGTGTCTACTCTGACCAAAAATTGCCTTCCTGTAATATGCTCCTTCCTTTAGAACACAGTTCTTAAGTAGAGTTTGTTTGTTTAAATGTATAAAAATAAGTTAATGCATTCTATGCAGCGAGGTTTTGCATCAGAACCCTGAGTTCTCAATGTGGCAGGTTTAAGTGTCTAGAACACCTTTTACCTGTTTTTTCTATTACTTGCTTTTTTATTTTTGGGGTAAATGATATCTTTCTCAGGGAGGCCTTCCCTCAGCACCATGTTTAAGAGGGCATCTCCCTCATTTGCTATTCCTTCTTCTGTTTTATTTTGCTATATGGAATTTGCTACTATGTGAAAACTATTTTAATGTTTTATTTACCTGTGTTACCCCTAGAATAATATCTATGAAGGTAGGGATTTTTATCTGTTCCTTCTGTGCCTACAGAGTGTTGAGGAGTATGGTGTCTGGCACGTTGTAGGTGCACAGTGACAGCTGAATTAATAACGTCAGGGAGAGTTTGTAGGATGGGGCTCAAGGTGTAGGGCAAGTCAGTTTTTAGATTTGAGGTTATTAGCAGGAGACGATGTGGGGGGAAAACACATGTTTTAATGTCAGACTGGGTTTGAATCTGGTCTCTCCAACTTACCCTTTGACCTTGGTGTTAAATAATTTAACCTTTGAAAGATCAACTTTTTCACTAGTGAAACGGGAAATAGTATCTTTTTAATGGGGATTAAATGTAATATCAAATATAATGCTCTGTAAATGTTAGTTTTGTCTTTCCCCTTGTGTGCCAGCATTGTGGAAGTCTGAAAGCAACCTGAATTTACCAGTCTGTTTCTGGAGCCTTCTGGGGTCATTACTTTGATTACTTTTGACAGATACATTCTTTTCAGCAGCCTGCATTGCCAGCATAACAATGACCTGTCCCTTTGACCAGTGTGGGGGACAGACACTTTGTCATCCCTCTTTTAATCCGTGTATCAGAACAACTCCTACAAGTTCTGGCTTTGAAACATGTTTAGAGGAGTTTATAATTCCGAACAGTTCAGATGACATCAGCCCTTTCTTAGAGTCCTCTGAGTTTGCTCAGCTTCCTCATTCCAGTGTGGCGGGAACCATTCAGTTAAATTGATGTTTGTGGTCTTTACACATAGTCATCCTAAGTTTCTTGCAAATCATGAGCTATCAGAGGGCTACTAAGTCACTAGTTTGTCTCTGTAGATTTCTCTAATCCAAGCTTGTCCAACCGCGGCCTGCAGGCTGCATGCAGCCTGTGAAGGCTTTGAATGTGGCCCAATACAAATTCGTAAACGTTCTTAAAACATTGGCCGGGCACGGTGGCTCACACCTGTAATCCCAGCACTTTGGGAGGCCGAGGTGGGTGGATCACCTGAGGTCAGGAGTTTGAGACCAGCCTGGCCAACATGGTGAAACCCCGTCTCTACTAAAAATACGAAAATTAGCTGGGCATGGTGGCACACGCCTATCATCCCAGCTACTCGGGAGGCTGAGGCAGGAGAATGGCTTGAACCCAGGAGGCAGAGGTTGCAGTGAGCCAAGATGGTGCCACTGCACTCCGGCCTGGGTGACAGAGTGAGGCTCCACATCACAACAAACAAAAAATTATGAGATTTTCCTTTTTTGCAATTTTTTTAAAGCTTAGCAGCTATTATTAGTGTTCGTGTATTTTATGTGTGGCACAAGACAATTCTTCTTCCAGCGTGGCCCAGGGAAGCCAGAAGATTGGATCCCGCTTCTTTAAGTTTTATGGATTAACAAGGGGTTAATTCCTGTATCAGTTTCACTGATGTTTCTTCTGCTTGATGCAGGAACACTTGACAAGTTAGTTAAGGTAGATTGGTCCATAAATTTATAGGTTCTTTCATTCCCATGTCCTAGGCAAGTCTGAGCAGGACCTGGAAAGCTGATTAAAAGGCCAGTGAGCACAGTGAGCTTAATTGTAAATTAAATGGATATTTAATACATTAAGAAGGCACTCAAGCCTTTCAATCTTTCATTTTCATCCATGCTTGCTATTTGAATCTGATGGGCTTGATATTGACCTTGTTCTTCTTGTAAAAATGTTGGTTATTGCTGCCTTTCTCAAGCTTGGTTTTCAGTGTGGATTTCTGCAGATAATTTTTGCACCTAAAAGTACAAAGTCATTAAGTGAAGGCAGTCAGGAAGGAAAGAGTGCCCTGAGCCAGGAGGTCTGTTACAGCACATGGGGTGGGCAAGAAAATGAATGGACATGGGCATGGAGGTGGTTCAGTCAGTGTGGGAAGGCCACCTGCTTGTCAGCTTTCTACTGCGTTGTCCAGCAGAACACGTTGAAGCTTGGGGCCTGCAACTCGTGTAGAGATGATTGCATTTAGGAGGCTGAGGTAGATTTTTTCCCTCTTAAGTGTGTGCTCACTGCTTTTTGGCGAAGTCTTGACCCGAGACATACACAGCTTGATCTGTGAGGATTTTAACATCGAGATGGTTCTGTTATTTGAGTTAGGCATGGCTAGGCTACCAAGGCATTGCTTTTCAGTCCAAACATTTGGTCATTTCAATTTATTGTTAGTGAGGTTTTTGCGATTTGTTAGAACACAGAGTTTGGGATTTTGTCTGTTTTTTGCATGTGTGAACGACACTTGATATTGTTGTTTATATTGCTGGTTAGTATGTGCCTTCATTTACCTATTGTGAGTAAGAAACTTCCTCAGATCAAATTATAGTGAAGTCGCTTGGTTCTGTTTCTCTGACTCTTAAGAGGATGAGATCACTTTATACACAAACTCAAGCTGTTTGGTAAAGGACCTACCATTCTGAGCATTCATAGCCTAGATGAAGTCCTGGTCCAATCACCAAGTTAAACTTTTAAAAAACATGCTGTTCTTAATGTTCAGGAATTCAACCCTGGAAGCCTTCTCTAAATCTTAATGAGAGTTTTATGAGAATTCATTTAGTGAAAATATCTATCAGGGAATCCGGCTATTAACTTTGAGGAGGGTCATGCCTTTTAGTGGTTAGAGAGGCAAGCTGTAGCCTCCCTTCTCAGAGAAGGGGAATTGAGGAAGAGGGTTCTAGTGGTCCCTTGCAATCCTCCCCTCACTTTCCAGGTTCCCTAGTAAGACCGGAAGAAGTCCCTGAGTAAACAGCATTTTGTGAGTTTGAGGGACTATGTAAAAATGTAAGTGAACATACAATGGTTTTGCTTTGATAACTGTTTTAAATATCCTGTTGGTTGTTGAAACTTCTGTGACGGTGAAGCCTTTTTTGTCTTTATTTTTCAATCGGAAGATCTTTCTTCCCCACTTGAAAAGATTGAGTCTGGGGTCAATCCCTGACCCCGCTTCCTTCCTAAATCTCTTAGTGTATAGCATACAGCTGGGCATATGGTAATCTCAGGCACGGGATTGTACTCATAGAGCTATGCTTGACACCTAGGTCTTTAGATGGCTTCTATATTTTTGATGACAACTTTTAATTTTATTCTCATTTATTCCATTTCTGTTTCAGTGTCCTGGGTCATGAAACTTAATCCACAACAAGCTCCCTTATATGCGAGTAAATCATACGATTTCTTTTCATTTTGTATTTATTTGTTCTGTTTACTTGTTATAATAAGCCACACTCTCACATGATAGATCCTCAAGGAAAATTTTAACCATATGTGCATGAATATATTGGTGTAAGACACTTCAGAAATTGAGTTTGATTTAGTAAGTACTAAATGGCTAATCTGTGCATGGAACTGAAAACAAATAATACCTGTAAGACTTGAGAGTTAATTTAGTCAGGGCGATAGTATGCACGTATGAAACAAATTGTCCTGCCAAACAGTACTGTAGCTTCTTATTTTTTACCTGCAGTGCATTCCTGTAAAAGTAGTGTGGAGATCCTCCTACTGCCACTGTGATTTACGTTATGTTGCCACTAGGTGGCACTATGTCATTGGCAAGAGTGCTGTGTTCTTTAGGACTCTGGGTGAAAGCTGATATATCATCTCCCTGAAGTGAGGGACTTTGAAGATAAAATTGATAAATGATTGAATCAAGGCTGGAAAAGGTAGGCTGTAGGCGACTATTCTTCATTATTGTAAGAGTGAATTAATTGAATTTGGGTGGTGAAAAGTACCCGTTTGATGAGAAGCCAGCTTAGGGTTGTGGATGGTTAGAGCTGTGAGAGGCCAGTAGATGCTGGGTTGCTATGCTCTGGAGAGGGTGAGAAAATATATTTGTAATAGGACTTGATTCCAGCCTTCAAGAATATGGATCATTTATTTGGACAAAACGTCCCCAGAATTAGTTGAAGACAAAAGGCAAATGGTCAGGAATGGGAGGCAGTGAACATAGTGTTGGATGAATAGTGGGGGGATGGTCAGTGGAAACTCTGGCCCACCCAAGTTTGTGTCAGGTAATAATGGGAGATAAGCCTGAAAAGGTGGATAAAGCTCAATTGTGAAGGAAGACAAAGGTGTGAGGATTTGGTTTTGTGACCACCGAGGAGCCATTGATGGTGTTTAATTTAAGGATGCTTTTCCTTTTATGCGTTTGTACATAAAAACATAAATGTACTTAACCATTCTGTATTAATAATAGTCATTTACCTTTCCAACATAAAATGTTCATGTAACTTCTGCATAGCTGATTTTTACGTTAAATGTAACATGTAAAGAAATATATGTGTGTTTTTAGAAGACGTCTTATGTGCTCATTTTCTTTCTAGATTACTTGGAGATAATTTATGTTTACCAGTGGTTTTGCATGTGAACTGGGTACCTTGGGTTATTTATTATTATTATTATTATTATTTAGAAAACGGGTCTCGCACTGTCATCCTTGTTGGAGTGCAGTGGAGCGATCATAGCTCGCTGCAGCCTTGAAGTCCTGGGCTCTAAGCAGTCCTGCTTCAGCCTCCCGAGTAACTGGGAGTACAGGCGCATGCCACCATGCCGAGCTAAATCCTCCCTTTTAAAGTGTGTGATTCTTTGGTTTTTCGTGTGTATACAGTTTTGTAATTGCCATTGTCTGACCAGAACATTTTCATCACCCCCCAAAAAAAGTGCCATATCCATTAGCAGTCACTCACCATTCCCTGCTCCTCTCAGGCTGTGGCAACCACTTGTATACTTCCTGTCTTTATTGATATACCTATTCTGGAAAGTTCATATATATGTATGATATATATGATGTATATATGATGTATATATGATGTATGTGGTATATATATGATAGATATCATATGATATCATATATATCATGATATATATATCATATGATATCATATATATCATGATATATATATCATATGATATCATATATATCATATGATATATATCATATGATATCATATATAATATATCTATCATATCTATCATATATATCTACCATATGATATCATATATCTCATGATATCATATATCTCATGATATATATCATATATATCTCATATATCATATGATATATGATATATAATTTTTGTAAATATATATGATATATCATATATATTTGATATATATGATATATATGAAAAATATATATCATATATGATATATAATTTTATATATTTATATATAGAAATTTATATATATAAAGTTATATATAATATATAATTATATATATATAAAAGTTCATGTATATATAAAATCATGCAATACACGGCCTTTTGTGACTGGCTTCTTTAATTTAGCATAGTGTTTTCAAGATTCACTCATGTTAGAACATGAATCAGTACCTTGTTCTTTTTATTAATGAATGACAGTCCAATGACTGGTTACATCACATTTTACTTATCCATTCACCAGTTGATGGGCAGTTGAGTTGTTTCCACTTTTGGTCTATTATGCATAATGCTGCTGTGAACAGCAAGTTCTGGTGAAGACATATGTTTTCATTTCTCTTGGGTATATACCTAAGAGTAGAATTGCTTGGGTGTATGATAACTGTGTTTAACATTTTGAGAAATTGGAAAACTGTTTTCCACAGTGGCTGCACCGTTTTACATTCCTACCAGCAGTGTATAAGGACTTCAGTGTTTCCATGTGCTTGCCAACACATGTTATCTGACTTTCTGATCTATAGCCACCCTAATGGGCGTGAAGTGATACCTCATTGTGGTTTTGATTGCATTTCCCAAATGGCAAATGATTTTGAGCATCTTTTTATGTGCTTATTGGCTGTTTTTCCGTATCTTTGGAGAAATGCCTATTCACATCCTTTGCCTGTTTTTAAATTGGGTTGTCTTATTGAACTGTAAGGGTTCTTTGCATATTCTGACTACAGGTCCCTTATCAGATACATGATTTGCAAAAATTATCTCTCATTCTGTGGGTTGTCATTTCACTTCCTTGATGCTATCCTTTCAAGCAAAATTTTCAGTTTTGATAATGTTCTGTTGTTGATTTTTTTTTGGCATCATATCTAAGAACAATTCTTTGCCTAACCCAGAGTCACAGAGATTTACTCCTATGTTTTCTTCTAGAAATTTTATAGGTTTAGCTCTTACATTTAGGTATGTAATGTGAGAGTTCATTTTTGTGTGTTTTGTAAGGGAAGAGTCCAACTTTTTTCTTTTGCATGTGGATCTCTAGATGTTCCAGAAGCATTTGTTGAAAAGACTATTCTTTCCCCAATTGAATTGTCTTGGGCATCGTTGTTGAAATTGATCATAAATGTGAGGAATTTTTTCTGGATGCTGAATTTGATTCCTTTCATTTAGGTTGTCTTTGATTTCTTTCAACAGTGTTTTGTAGTGTTCATTGTATAAACTTGGTACTTTCTTGAAATTTGTTGCTTATGATTTTATTCATTTTGATGCGATTGTTAATTTTGTTATCTTAATTGTTCAGTTTTTGATTGTTCATTGATTATATATAGAAATACTATTGATTTTTGCATACCGGTCTCTGAAACTGTAGCCTTGTTTCAGAGGTCAATTATAGACTATAATCTGGCTTGTTTGTTTGGCAACAGCTCTTAAGTGGATGCCTTAGGATTTTCTATGTACAGGATGAAGTAGTTGGAGATCGTTTTCTTCCTTTCCAATCTGGATGCCTTTTATTTCTTTTTCTTGCCTAATCGCCCTGAGAAGCATCTCTGGTACAACATTGAATGGAAGTGGTGAGCACAAACATCCTTGTCTTGCTACTGATCTTAAAGAGAAAGCATCCAAGCTTTCCCCATTAAGTATGATGTTGTTAGGTGTGGGTTTTTCACAGGTACCTTTTGTTAGATGAGGACGTTCCCTTCTATTCCTACTTTGACCATTTTTATGATGAAAACGTGTTGGATTTTGTCAGGTGATTGAAGATGCTACACTGCTGGCTTAGAACATGGAGGAAGGAGCCTATGAGCCACAGAATGCAGCTCTAGAAGCTGGAAATAGCAAAAGAACACTTTCTCCACATAGAGACTCTAGAAGGAACACAGCCCTGCTGGCACTTTGATTTTTAAACAAGTGAAAGTCATTTTGGACTTTTGACTTCCAGAAATGATAACATGATAATAAATTTGTGTTGTCTTAAGCCACTGAGTTTGTGATAATTTGTTGTTAACAGCAATAGGAAACTAATAGAGTAGTAGTTTGGGGAAATTAGTGATAAAGGATAATTGGGTAGGAGAGGATAAATGTAGTTAGGTCAGTTTGAGTTCTCTGTGTGTTTCACTGTGTGTGTTTTGTAACATTTTAGTTTTTCCTAAAACCAAAGGATTAATTGACCTTCAAAAGGCAGCTACTTTTTGATTTTAGTCCGTAACCTTTTATCAAATCAGTATTTTCCCCAAATAGGGTTGACAAGAAGCATTCTAAATTATCTCCTAATAAGTTGTTTTGACTTCAGATATTGAAATTGCAGGCCCGTCTCCCACCCGTCTCTGTTTTCTCACCTTTTTTGTACGTTTTATAATAAGCCTTACATTGAAGTGTATGTGTCTGTCTGTCTCTCCCTCCTTCCCCCACCCCCTCCCTCTCCTTCCCCACTCTGTGTGTGTGTGTGTGTGTGTGTGTGTGTGTGTGTGTAATTACAAAGAAGTTGTAAAGGCCTTTTAAAGTAGTTATGATGTGATTTCCCCTCCTTTTAAAAAATAAAATATGTTAAGCATAAGTATTAACATCTTAGAGGGCAGGTAGGTGGAGACTTTGACTTTCTACTTTATCTTTGAATCGCTTAAGTGTTTACAGTGAGCGTGTTATTTTTATGGTACATAGTAATTTTTGATGAAAACATTTTGAAGGCTGAAAAGACTGTCCTGTCTTTTGAAAATAAACCCATCTTTTTGTGCTAATTAACACCGGAGGCCAGCTAAAGCTTTATAATAAAATATTGCATTCAAAATACCTATGAAAGTGGCTAGTTGAAGACTATAATTTGCTTTGAAACGTAGCTTGAAATGGAAATACATTTCTAATAATGAAAGGTGTTGCTTTAGTAATAAATGAAAATAAAATATCCCATTATTATCCCTTCATAGAAAACAAATACAACCCTAAATGACATTTTAATTAACCAGTGATTTTCCTCTAAAGCTGAGATTTGTTTTTTTAATATGTAGGTAGGATTGGCAAATAGTGTACAGAAATCTGGACATCCTTTGAAGATAATTGTTGGGGTGGAATGGGGGCATAGAGTACTGTTTTATTGTGTTCATTTTTATTAATGAAACTGAATTTAGACCAAGCAGTGATTTCAAAGTGGAGGATGGAACAGGATGTTTAGTAGGTTTTGTAGACTGTTTTTGTAAAAGGCTTTGGTGCAGAACCTTTCATAACATGAAATATTTTTTCAGCATGTCTGTTATTTACTTTTAGAATTCAGAGCAAGGGTTCTTGTTTGAAGAACTACAAACCTTTATTGACTCCAGATTTGACTCAGCTCTTTTATATTTTCTTTCTCACTGATAAGGGAAGGTACTTTATAAAGTAGATTTGTCATTAAAAAAGAAAAAAAGACTACATTTACCTGGTCAGAAGTTCTTTTGGGTTTAAAGAAAAAGATTGCAGCCCAGGTTGCAACAAATGGTCTGACAGTTATAATATGTTCCACCTTTCTTTTTTTTTTTTTTTTTTTGTTTTGAAATAGAGTCTCACTCTTTTGTCCAGGCTGAAGTGCAGTGGCACAATCACAGCTTAGTGCAGCCTTGACCTCCCAGGCTCAAGTGATCCTTCTACCTCAGCCTCACAAGTAGCACTCACCATCATGGTGGCTAATTTTTTTTTTTTTTTTTTTTTTGGAGAGACGGTGTCTCCCTATGTTTCCCAGGCTGGTCTCGAACTCCTGGGCTAAGTGATCCTTCTGCCTCCACAAAGTGTTGGGATTACAGGTGTGAGCCACCACGCCTAGCCTCAACAAAAATTGAACTATGTACTGTAGCCACCCTCAACAGTGATAAACTTTTGGCAAATCTTATTTCATTTATACTCCACTTTGGATTATTTTGAAGCAGATTCCAGACAGATCACTTCATCTGTAAATATTTCTGTTTGTATCTCTTGAAAGTAAAGACTCTTTTAACCATGGATGAGTGTTTTGATCAAATCAACATGGCTTGTTCATGTCGATACCATTTGCTCAGAGGGGAAAGATTAAGGGAAAAATGGGGTTGGATTTCAAATGCCAGGACCTGTCTACTGGGTTTGTGATTTGTTATTCTCTAAAGTTGTAGCTCTTAAAACAAAGAAAGGAGTGAGTTTGGCCTATTCATTAACTTTTCCTCTTTAGACAGTTCAAATGTTTATTGAGTTCTTCTACAAGCCAGGCACTGCCTTCTTCTTGCTTACCAAGAAGCATTTTTATGCGGTTTCTCTAATGTTTGGGTGAATGGGACCTCATTAAGTTGTTTTTCACACAGGTGCGTGCTCGTTCCTGAAGAGCCCTGTCCAGGTGCTCTGCCTGCTTTTCCTTTCAGGCTTCTGTATCAGCTGCTGTTTCCCTATAGAATGTGCCCTGAACTCCACCCCTTAACCCTACCCAATTTGTCTTTACATGTCTGACCATCCATGAAGGCTCTTCTGGGTCATATTCAGTTCATGTTGATATTTCCCCTTCCTCCCCTCTTTAGTCCTTACTATTTTTGCTTTGGTCATGTTGTCTTGTGCTATATTCTGTAAGCCTGTTCAATTTCTTTATGGTGGCAGGGGAAAATATTTTATAATTATGCTTTGTGCTTTTTATCTTCCACTCAATAAATGCTTGGTAAATATTTGTTTCATTGAGTATATGACACTAGTCTAGCTATATTGTGCTTGAACAAAAATCTTTTTTTTTTTTTTCCAAATCAATAGGTCTTTTATTGCATCATTTAAATATCACAAGTAGGTCTTAAGTGTCATCTGGCATCTTCTTTCTGTAGCCAGGTAACTCTTAGATCTTATTCATCAGCCTGCTGAACAGTTCCTTTTTCAGAGACATAGATACCATCCAAAAATTTCCTGATATCCTTGTTTTTAACTGTTGTGGCTTGCTGAATCAAAGCCGCTGAATTTGAAACAAGCTCAATGTCATTTCCTTCAAGGATTAATTCATCTTTCTGGGCTTGAGATACTGAACAAGCAACACCTGGTCTCATCCGAACCCTGCGGATGTATTTTTCACCCAAGAAATTTCGGATTTCAACAAGAGACCCATTCTCCTGGATAACAACGTTGATGGGGAAGTGAGCATACACAGACCTCATCTTGTAACGGAAGCCCAGTGTAACACCCTTGATCATGTTCTGTACATGACTACAAATAGTCCGAACGGTAGCCAGTTCCTTTCTGTTACCCCACCATTTGTCAACCCGGAGCCTCTTTTTTTTCTTTCCAAGAAGGCTGAGTTCTACATTGATGTGATTGAAGTCCCTCCGCAGGGTTCCTCTGGGGCCCTTCACGATAACTGTGCGTCCCTTCAGAGTAATGTCGACATTTTCTGGAATGTCGACAGTCTGATTGCTGAGAATAGTCTTCATTCTCGCAGTAGACGCAGCAAAGAAAGCGAACAAAAATCTTAACTGCCTTGTAAGTTAACTGCTAAGAATTTGTCAAAAGTGCAGAGATAACATCAAGAGCTTGTCATGGATAGTACAAAAAGGTCTCTAAGGGCTTGATGGAAGTCTGTAAATTGACTTCCTATGAAAGAGAGTGTAAGAAGTGAAAAAAAGCAAAACAGAGTAGATGTTTTACTCTGTTTGCCAAGGGATTTGTGCTATTTTTTTTTCCTGTTTTATAAATTTGTCCTAATCTTAAATAATGAAGGGAAAAGAGCACTCTTTTTCAACCTCAAGGAATCCTTTTTATACTTCTTTTCTATGAAGCCATGTTATGAAAGATTGTTATACCAACTTAAGTATAGTTTTTCCATCTTCAGTAACAGACGTGATTGCCATCTAGTTACTGGTTCTGATCACCCCAAAATGCAAAGCAGCTTGTTCTAATAACTTATGCAGGCCTATTGGGAGCTAGTATATGGCTTTGAGTCCTTTTGAAGTATTTAACATAATTTGGCAATTCCATTACTCCTTTTATGGACTTCTTGGCATCTGTGAACTCTTGGTAGGGAATCACTGTTTTAGAATGAAAAATATCTCCCAGGAAGTAAATTAGCCAGTAAACAAATGAAACTTCATTTTTTATATGACTTGTAGAGCCTAAATTATTACTCTTTCTGCATAAGTGGCTGCTTTCTAGGCTGCTTTTAGCGAGATTGTTAGAAACAAATGATCGGTGCTGTGAGGAAGAAGCAGCACTCAGGCAAAAAAGTTTTCTCAGCAAGACAATTTGCTTCTGCAAGTATGCTGCTTGCATTAGTCATGATTGCAAGAGCACACCAAACGGGGTGGAGCAGGGGTTCTTATCCCTAACACAGCCCCTGCCTCTGTGTCATTCCAACATGGGCTGGGGTAGGACTGCACAATCTTAGCTGACTCAGTTGGATATTGTGAATATTTTCTCTAATAAGAAAGGGAGGGGGAATGTGAGTTACAGGTTGGGACTGGTAGGAAGAGTTGCTTACAAGGCAGGTTACTAAGCAGGTAACTAAGCTGGTAAGTAGGTTCGAGAAGGTACAGGGAAATTGTTCTTAGGAACAAAGAACAAGGAAGTTGAACAAGTTAAACCTTTGAAGAGGAACTTACTGTACCTAACAATTCCCCCCTCTTAATTTTTGTAATTCTTCCTCTTCAAACTTTTTTAGCATGTCTTTGCTTTGCTGTTCTGCTTGGTTTTCTAGAAGGAAAAGCTTATCTGAATAGGGTGGAGGAGAGTTAGGAGAGGTTTTGGTAAGTTCTGTGTCTATGAGTCTTTGCAGTAGTCCACGAATGTATGGTATGATACAGCATCCAACAAGAATAAGCACACTTATAACGATTGCAAGAGAAGTAAATATTGAGGACGTTAAGTCTTTCCATTTTCCAGACCATTTCTCCATTAAACTTGTAAAGGGATCATTTATTCCAGAATTGCTTGCTAACTCATTGGATAAGGAGGTTAGGCCCTGCAAAGCTTTTGTTACTGTTCCGTCAGGGGCTGTGTTATTAGGAATAAAAGTACATCATTGGACTCCAATCATGACACAGACACCACCTTTTTCTGCTAGCATCGTATCTAGGGCTATCCTGTTTTCCCAGACTATTTGGTTAGTGGGACCTAATTGGTCGGCTGTTCCCTTAATAGCATGTCTTGTGTAGTTAACAAACCTTTGTTGGTTGTAATAAATGTAGTTTATCCACTCTACATTTTTATTTACAGTTGACCACCAAAACAGCACAGATTCAAATCCTGCAGCTGTTTGATTTCGGGCCTTAAATTTATCTGCTACTCCTCGTGGAACTCCAATAGCCCCTATATAAATGTGGGAGTCAAAGGACCCATGAAGGGCACTTCTTCTCTTATGATTTTCTCTTCTATTATGTTAATGGAATGCTAGGGTGAAAGGGATGGCCAGTTGGACTAGAGCAAAAGTACTACTACAGTTACTTGGTGGAGTGTCCAGTAAGGGTCCACCACAATACCACCATACGTATGCTCGAGGATGAACAAGGGCAGACTGACTGGTAAGCTCTTGGGAACGTTTAAGTTCACCACATCCCTTTAGGTCTCCATGAAATGCCAAGTTTTCCCCTTGTTGTGAGAGACCCGAGGTAAAAATTGGTGTCAGTAGACGGAGGCTGGATGGCTCTCAGGGGCTGACCTGCAGGGTGTTGGACTTCAGGGAATAGCAGAGAGAGAACTTGGCAGGATTCATTACCCCAGGCTGTGGGGTCTTGGAGAAGAGCTACCATACAGCTCATGCCCAGTTGGCTGGAAGACCATCCGAGTGGAAAGGGGACAACCTGGGCCTCTGGCTTACTGTGCACACAAGTCTAACAATTGCTTTTGTTTAGAGTGCGGACAGAATATTTAATCCATTCTAACCAAGCATTTGCATCTTGGTACCCTGTCTCAATTGCTATGGTTGGTTTCAAATTTTTAACTTCTACAATGGCTACCTTGATTTTATCCTTGGTTGAAGGAAGAACAGTGGTTTCGTTTGGAGAGAGTGTAGAAGGAGGTGGAGGAGGTGAGAAAGTAATGAAACACATTTCAAAGGATTCTATAAGATGTGTCCCTGCTATTTTGGCTCCCATGCCGTATAAGCGACTTAAAGTAGGTTTAGGGTTGGCAGAAGTGGGGATAAGAATAGAAATTTGCACTGGATTACATTGGTTATACTGGCAGTTGGGGGGCGGGGGATGTTTCCTTTAACAAAGCAAACATGGTTTTAGGGACTTACTGTTGACAAGGTCCAGCCCTGATGTTCAGTTGTCCACATAATATCATTCCAGCTATGGCAGGCCTGTTTCCCTAAATTTCTTAAGGAACAAGAGTCGTAACGGGGGAGTCTTTTGTCTGAAAGGGGCAGAGATACTTCTCTGAGGCTGAGAGTTGCTTTTGACTTTGGAGATCTCCACAGGGTATAACAAGGCAAGCATCAAAGGTAATAGTTTGGGGTGAGCTCGACCTAGTTACATTAATAACGAGAGGACTAGCAATAGAAGGGGAAAAGAAATACAGCATAAGAGGATCAAGCCCGTTTTAGCTTTAACTTGGTTGGAGTTGGCCCTGAAATAGCTGTCCATGATTCTGGAGTGGGTGGTGCTCTTTTGACTCAGGTATGGTGAGTCCATTCTTTTTTGGTGGTGTGGAAGACTGTCTCAGTCATTAGAAACACTGGATAAGGATAAAGTCCCTCCCAGGTGGGCTTGAGCTTCCCTTCTTTCTAACCTTTGATGAGAATGTGGTCTCTGTCCGGGCTGGTGGTGGTGAACTGGAAATTCAAGGGGTGGTGTATGTGCCAAGAGGCCTTTAGTCCTAAGGAAAGAGAAAGTGGAGGATAGACCAAGTATATAGTTCTTGAGAAACAGATCTTTTGTTTCGAACGAGGAATGTCAGCAGTGGAGTGTAGATAAGGCAACTCATAGAGCATTTCATAAGGAGGTAAGCCGACATCTTTCCTAGGGGCAGTTTGGAATCTTCACAAGGCCATGGGGAGGCATTTAGTCCATGGCAACCGAGTCTCTAGGACTAATTTGGTTAGGTGGTTTTTCAGAGTCTGATTCATTCTTTCTACTCTTCCTGATGAAGGTGGGTGCCAGGGGTTATGGTAGTCCCATGTTATATCTAGTACTTGGGCTAGTTTCTTAAGAACATGTGCAGTGAAATGAGTCCCATTGTCTGAATCAACATTTTCTATTAATCCAAACCTGGGTATAATATTTTCAACTAATGCCTTGAGTACATTACTAGCAGTTGCACTTGAAAAGGGAATAGTTTATACCCAATGAGTAAGGTGATCTATCACTAATAAATATTTTAAGTGACCAATTGGGGGCATTTCGGTGTAATCAATTTGGACACTTTGGAACAGCCTTAATCCTGGATTTCTCCCTCCAACAGGTGGTTTTCTGAGGATCTGCTTATTAGTCTTCTTACATACTAGGCAACTATCTGTAACTTGTCTTGCCAAAATATAAATTCCTATATATCTGTAGACCCCGAGGACTGCATCACACGTAGCTTGAGGTCCCTAATGAGTCCCGTGATGCAGATGAGAGAGAATTTCCCTCATGAGGGGTTTGGATAACATTTCTCTTTGGTCTGGTGACACCCATTTCCCTTCTGAATTTTCTTTGGCTCCTATTTTTGTTAATTTTTCCTTTTCAGCGGGAGAAAAGATGGGGACTGCAGTCGAGGGAGGAAGGCAAGGGGCTAAGTGAAAAACAGGCATTTTCAGAGGAAACGGCAGTGTGTTTGGCTATTTGATCTGCTAGGTTATTCCTTCCGCTTTGAAAAGAAAGACCTTTCTGATGTCCTGGAACATGGACAATAGCTATTCTGGCAGCTGCAGGTTATCTAATTCTTGGATGATTAATTCTTTGTGGCGCAGGTCTTGGCCTTTGCTATTAATAAGACCTCGTTCAGTCCAAATTTTTCCAAAGGTGTGAGCTACCCCAAAGGCGTACTTGGAATTAGTATAAATAGTCCCTTCTTGGTTTTGCAAGTGCTTTAAGGCTTGATTTAATGCAAACAATTCACATGTTTGGGCAGACCAATTATTTGGCAGTCTTCTGGACTCTGCTTCTTCAAGTGCCTCCCCATCTACGACTGAGTACCTATTATGCCTTTTTCCTTCAATTACTTGGGAAGAGCCATCTATAAGTCCTGCCCCGTTTTGTAAAGGGTCTCTCTTAAATCAGGCCTAACTTGTGTATGATAATTAAATCTAAACACTTATGCTCAGGTCTCTTTAGATTTGGATCTCCAGTCAGGAAACCTCTGGGTTAAGTGAATTATCATTAGTGTTAAATCATCTCTTTCTAACAGGATAGCTTCATACTTTAAAATTCTCAAGTCAGTAAGCCACCTTCTTGGCTTTTAATTTAAGATGGTTCTAACCTGTTGGGGCATGCTTACAGCTAACTTTCCCCCAAAGGTTAGTTTTCTGCTTTCTTTAGTTAAGAAGGTGATAGCTGCAATGAATTGAAACATTCAGGCCATCCACAGGTTACTGGATCTAAAACTTTTGATAGGAGATCCATGGGTTGCTGGTGACCTCTGTGTTCTTGGGTAAGGACACCTAAAGCTACCCCCTTATTTATGTTAACAGAAAGGTGAAATGGCTTTTCTAGGGAAGGCAAAGCTAAAACAGAGGCAGTTATAAGCAGATGTTTTAGCTCCTCAACCTGGTGGAGTTCTTCAGAAGTCCACAGGAGAGGGTTAGGCTTTTCTTGGGTGAGTTTTAGGTAGAGAGGCTTTGTGACTAGGGCATATTAGTCAGTCTATAAGTGGCAATATCCGGCTATCCCTAGGAATTTTCTGAGTTCTTGTTTAGTCTTAGGCAAAGGTATGGATACAATCCCTTCAACCCTCTCAGGCCCTATCCTTCGTTTGCCGTTACTTATAAAGTGTCCTAGGTATTTAACTTCAGGCTCTATGAATTGAAGCTTTCTCTTTGAAACCCATAGTCCCTCTCCTTACAAATGGTTAAGGATATGGATGGAGAGAGCAGATACCTTTTCTATAGCTTAACCGGATATTAATAAGTCATCTACGTACTGGAGCAGACATATACATTTTGGGGTATAAACTTGTTCTAACACTTGTTCTAGAATTTGACCAAAGAGATTAGGGGAATCTGTGAAGCCTTGGGGTAGAACTGTCTATCGATACTGTTGCTGTCATCCATAGTGGGGATCTTCCCATTCAAAAGCAAAAATGTCTCAGCTGTCCTCATCCAAGGAACATGCTCAAAAGGCATCTTTTAAACCTATTACTGTAAACCATTGATGTTCATATGGAATTTTACTGAGAATGGTTTAAGGATTAGGGACAACAGGATGGGTAGTCTAGACTGTCTGGTTGATGGCCCAGAGGTCTTACGCTAGTCAATATGACCTATCTGGTTTCTTCACAGGCAGTATTGGGGTGTTATAAGGAGACATAGAGGGTTCAAGGAGCCCATCCTTGATGAGGCTTTCAATTATAGGTTTCAGGCTTATTCTGCCTTCTAAAGGAATAGGGTATTGCTTTCTTCTTACTATTTCTCCATGGGTTTTTAACTTTATATGTATAGGGGGCATTTGGAGTTTTCCCCAATTTCCTTCCCTTGCCCAAACATCAGGATGAATGTATGTTTTCTTCTGCAGTGGTGAGCAGGTTTAATGAAGTGTAGAATCCTTCTGAGCCAATACGTAAACCTATACCTAATTTTAACATTAAGTCTCTTCCTAATAGATTAGTTCCTGGAATTAACAAAAATTCAACATTAGCTGAGCAGTTTTTACATCTAATTTCTGTTTCTTCTAAAATTTTTAGTTTGATTCCCTCTCCTTTTACCCCTGAGACTACAAGCTCCTCTGAGGACCAGGTTATACTGTGGGGAAGGTAACAAACAGGAGCAGGCTGCTCCTGAGTCTACTAAAAAGGTCGTAAGCTCAGATTTGGGTCCCACTTGTAAATTTATCAAGGGCTCTTGGTGGGTGGGATTCAAGGTAAAAGAGAGAGAGCCCCTAACCCCCTATTCCTCCTCAAAGGTCGTAAGTGGGACGACTTCTCTTTCTGATTTTAATTCGGGACAATACCTCTTGAAGTGGCCTACTTTCTCACAATTGAAGCATTGATTCTGTCTCATTTATTTTTGGGTTTCTCGGCTTTGCCTCCTTACGTTCTTTATATGGCTTAGGAAGTGGGGGCCTAGGATCTTTATAGGTTTTGGCTCTCGGGAGGCTTTGTTTGGGAGTGTGTGGGTCTCCGGGTAACAGAGAGTAATACTGGTGTGTTTTATCCTTTGGGGCCCCCTGTTGGAAGGTGGATAACATAGTTTTCATTTTTTCTTTTTGCTTCTCCTCATCCCTCCTTACACACACTTTTTGAGCTTCTCTAAGAAGTTCATTCATGGGACGGTCGTTCCAATTTTCTATCTTTTGTAATTTCCTTGTGATATCTGGCTGTTAGTAACAAAATGAAGCTTTAACATTCACTGCCTAAGAGGATCTTCTAAATCTAGAACAGCATATTTTCTCATTTGTTCTTTCAAGCTGTCTAAAAGTTTGATAGGCCCTTCATCTTTCCTTTGTTGTATGTCGAATGCTCGAGTAAGATTTTGGGTTTGGAGTACTGACTCCTGAATCCCTTTTATTATCATTTCCCTAAGTTCCTGCATATCCTCTTCAGTGGGCTGTGTTATTATTGTCCCACCGGGGGTCTTGGTTGGGGAATTTTTGATCTGCTGCATGAATGTGTTTTGGCCAGGAGGGTGTTCATGTTCCCAGGCTACCATAGCAGCTCTACAGATGATGCTTCTTTCTTCCCCTGAGAAAAGGATGCCTAGGATGGACATTAACTCAGCCCAAGTATATATAACTGTGGTCCTAGAAATTGGTTAATTTGATCTGCTGTTCCACAGGAGTTGTCTAATAGTGCGGCTTGAACTCTGTTTTTAGGTTTTGGACCTCCCAGCTGGTTAAAGGAGCATTTACAAAGCGAATACTTCCTCCTCCTAGGGACACCTGTCTTAAGGGGAAGAGAGGTGGAGCTAATTCTCCCGAGGTAGAGGGGAAGGGGAAGTTCTGAATATCCCTTTTACATTGCTCTATCTCACATTGAAATCCTTTCAGGGAAGAGTACTTAGGGTGGTAGTGAGCAGGCTCTTGGGACGATTCCCAGGAGGCAGGGTTATACAGAGGGGGAACAATGTGGGTAGGAAAAGGGTCTGGGACAACTGCCTCTGCTTGAGGGGGAGGGAGGTTAGGTTTAGGGGTATTGGACGGAGGAAGGTGGTGGAGGAGGTTCCATGTGTTGGTGAGCTGTCTAGGAACAGGGACCTTATCTTTCTCAGAGGAGTTAATTTCTGACTTGCTTTTCAGGATTGATTCCTGAGTCCAAATGAAACAACAATATTTTATCATTTGCTGCTTTTTCTTGTATTGAGTCCTTTCATTCTCTTTCCAATATTTTAGCATAAGCCGTAGGGGACTATCAGGAGGAATGTTATTGTCAACTTGTACAAAGGAAAGAAACAAACCTTGATTCAGGAGCCTAGGACTTTTTCTTTGGTTTGCCCTCCTGGGACAGATTACCGTTCCAAATTGAATTTGTGGAGGAGCGTTGGGAAATATCAGAACTGTCATATTAAGCACCTCAGTGGTACTTTTAATAGAGGAGTTATTCAGAAATTATATTAGGCAGATAGAGAGGGTAAGGAGGCCTCAGTAAGGCTTTCCCTTTTAATAGAAACAACTCCAGAAACATTTCTTTTTCTTTTCTTTTTATCTTTTTTTTGGAGACGGAGTCTCGCTCTGTCGCCCAGGCTGAAGTGCAGTGGTGCGATCTCAGCTCACTGCAGCCTCTGCCTCCCAGGTTCAAGTGAATCTCCTGCCTCAGCCTCCTGAGTAGCTGGGACTACAGGCTGCCAAGCTTTGATATGCAAATGCCAGCGCTTAGAAACTGTGTCCATTCAACATGGAGATTCCCACCCTCTTCTTCTAGTCACCACCTCAAGGTGACACCTCCAGATGACCCCACGTGTGCAGGACAACATGGTGACCTACATTTGCATATTAAAAGGCTAGGGTGGGAGGGCCACGTTTTTCTCGGGCTGCATGAATGACCTGCCTGGTCAAACCAATACCCTGGTCCCTGTGCAAATCAGACACCACCTCCTCCAGCCTCCCAATATAACCGAGTACTGTTCTGCCACACACGGGGCTTTTTCTCTGTTCGGAGCCCCCCTTTTTCTGTACCGCAGGGAGCCTTTCTTCTTTCTTGCCTATTAAACTTTCTGTTCCTTAAAACCACTCCTGTGTGTCCATATCGTTTAACTGACGTGACACAAAGGACCCCGATGTTTCTCCAGTCATCAGAGCCATATCACTTTGAGTCCAGAGGAATTATTGTTTTCATTTATCTGAATTTATAATATAGAGTCAAATTCCTAGTGGTTATCCTCTCTCATCCCCATTTTTATAGCCTTCCTTGAAAGGAACAGGTATATGAAGAGGAGACAGGTTTCCCTTTTGTGAATAGTATATCCCTTAGTATCTTGATTTTTTTTGGTGGGAGTCGGGGGAGTTAAACTTACTTAGACCTGGTAAAGGGCAGTATTTGATAAATGTCAGCTAGTTTAGGGTTAGGGAATTGAGTTGAATGGAGATAGTCACTGCCAAATGTAAAGCATGACTGGAGAGCCAGAGTGATGAAGCCAGGGTCCCTTTCTCCAGATCCTTTGTAACAGTGTTATGTGATCTCTTCTAGAAGATCGTGCTGAAAGATAATGCCAACTCAGAACCTAGGAAACCATCCAGTGGGTTTCTGCAGCTTAGGTGTTTCAAATCCTCATCAGCAGGTTCGTTTTCTCTGCCTCAGTTTGCTTACAATGATGTTCTCAGTAGCTGTAATTGCTGTCTGTCTTTGAATACTTAAGCATTTTATTTTAGCTCACAGGGGTATGTATGCATTTTTCTTTTACCAAGTGTTAGAACTTTGACTCTGCTTTTGTGGGCTCTGGGTTAGCAACTTGGTTGTTTAGTTGTAAAATGATTAGCAGGGAAAACCGTGTGTGTGTGTGTGTGTGTGTGTGTGTGTGTGTGTGTGTGTGTGTGTATTTTAAGTTTCTTTTGTTGTCAGAGCACTTCGAATTTTATGTGGAAATTCTGTCAGTTTACTTGATTCTCCACCCCACAGTTATTGAACAGGAAAGTGTGAAGGTAACGCGTCCCATAACCAGCCTTCAGAAGAATTACAGCTGCTGTATCTCTGAACTTTCAAGAAGTTTGTGCATCAATTTTCAAAAAATTATGAAATCCCTGAAGATAGCTGTGTTCTACATTTGGAAAGATACAAAAACTGAACCTTCTAGCAGGCCGTTTTGCTTGCTGGTGCTTGAGATAGAGCCACACACTGGTCTCAGTGGATTTGTGGAGAAAAGTAGGTACAGAAAGTTATTTCTAAATAAGACCAAAAAATCCTTTTCTTAAGCAGTGACAGGTAAAGAGGTTGTCTTGGCTAACCTTGAATTGTGTTGCCCTTGATAGAGACAGTTTTATGATGGGGATGGTAGTGATGATAAACTTGTTGGAAATTTGTCCACTTATGGTAACCTTTGTGGTAGCTGTCACAGACAACTTCATCCTCACAGGCCCTAAAATTACTATAAAACTAATAGAATGGAGGAGAAACAAAGGACCTGAATAATTAGATGCTTGGATAATTGTTCTGTGTTTTCATAACAAGTGAAAAAGAGCAGTGTTAGAAGTACTTAAACATTCCATGTAAGGAACACTGCCTGAATTTATATTGTGATTTTAGAGCATCATTCACTGTTTAAAAACAGGCATATTCTAGGTAATATTTTAAAGACAAATAGAAAACTTACCTTTTCAAGATGGATATAAAGCTTAACCTTATCAAAATTACAAAATGTAAAGCATACGATTGAAAAATATTAATGCATAGGTTTAAATATTGGTCATCATTTTAGATGTCTTTCAAAGTAGGTTGTCTCTTAAATATTAAACTGAACAAACATTGAACTTGTTGTAGAGTTTGTGCTCAAGGTTAAGTTTCCTGGGGTGATGGATATTTGATAATATGGATAACAAAAAGTTCTTATTTTAAGAAATTTAGAAAATTTTTAGGCAAAGCTAGAAAATAATACCAATAATTCTACCACTCAGAATGTACCACTATCAGAATTTTGTATCTTTCAGTCATCTGCTCATCTCTTTTCTCCTTTGCTTGTATGTGTTCCCTCTCCCTTAAAAAAATCAGATTTTTTATTATAATCTGCATTTTCACTCAACAATATTGTAGATCTGTGTCATAAGTTATTCCTCTACAGTGCCTTCAGTTATTGTGTGCTTTGTGTTGGATAACTATACCATCTAGTCTTTCATGTTTCCTGGTACTGACTACATAAGGGTGAGAGAGAGAGAGAGAGAGAGAGAGAGAGAGAGTGTGTGTGTGTGTGTGTGTGTGTATTTTTTTTCTACCTTAACTAATGCTTTGGACATCAACAGGTAGAGCTAAATCCTTGAAACCTTCCAAGTGGTGGCTTTCAGTTATTGCTGAATTGGTTTTTAGAGATGGAACAAATTATATTGTATGGAAACTTTTTTTTTTTTTTTTTGAGACAAAGTCTCACCTTGTCGCCCAGGCTGGAGAGCAATGGCATGATCTTGGCTCACTGCAATCTCTGCCTCCCAGGTTCAAGTGATTCTCTTGCCTCAGCCTCCCGAGTAGTTGGGATTACAGGTGCTTGCCACCATGCCCGGCTAATTTTTGTCTTTTTACTAGAGATGGGGTTTCATCATGTTGGCCAGGCTTGTCTCGAACTCCTGACCTCAGGTGATCCACTCACCTTGGCCTCCTAAACTACTGGGATTACAGGCATAAGCCACCATACCCAGCCTTTTTTTCTTCTAGGTACCAGCTTTTATTTATCAGATTGGTATAAATGTTAGAAAGCGTGCAATGAAATGGGCATTTTCACAGTCGTGGCAGAAAGTATAATTATCTTTGACTTTCTAGAAAGCAGTCTGGCATTCTAGAAACTTGCCTAACCTCTTCCCATTTAGGCAAGATGAATTCTCACTACCCGTAGGTGGCCAACCTTGTCCTTGTGATTCCGTATCTTCCAGAAAGAGAGGTCTAGTCTCAGGGAAAACCCAGATTTTCTTGGCTTAGCCCACCTGACAGCTAATCACTGGAAATGAGGTGGGCCGGTAGAGTCCTTTGGTCAGGTTTTGTGTCAAGAGAGGAATGTGGAAAGATGGGAGGGAGGTAGCAAAACTGGCCTCAATGGAACTATGTAAGTTAACATAGAATGACAAAGGAATGTTTCTTCCAGGGAAGAAATTCTAGGGAAGGAAGAAAGTGGAGGGGAAGGCAGCAGTTCTCAAAGTTTTGGGGTCAGGATTCCTTTACACTCTTAAAAGTATATTGAGGGCCCAAGGAGCTTTTCTGTATATAGGTTATATCTATTGGTATTTATCACTAAAAATTAAATCAGAAATACTTAAAATATTCCTTAAAAGCTCACCAAATTTTGTTATAAATGCTTTTATGAAAAGAAAATTTCTAAACCCAAAGTAGTACAATCTTACACCTTTTGCAAATTTCGTTGATGTTTGATATGTCATTTGCACCTGCATTCAATTTATTGTGTGATATTTGCTTGAAAAAATGTGAACAAAGAACAATCTCATACAGATAGGCATTTTAGATCCTTATGGATATTTTTTATTTTTTATTTTTTTTTATTTTTGAGATGGGGTCTTTCTCTGTCTCCCAGGCTGGAATGCAGTGCTATGATCACGGCTCACTGGAGCCTCATTCTCTGGGGACTCAGGTGCTCCTCCCACCTCAGCCTCCAGAGTAGCTGGGACTACAGGTGTGTACTACTCCACCTAGCTAATTTTTTGTATTTTTTGTAGATACAGGGTTTTGCCATAGGTATTCAAATAGAAAGTTTTGTTTTTGTTTTAGTATATAAAGAAATATAACTTTCCATGTTGAAAAAATTTTAAAAACCTTTTTTTAAATTATAAAACTCATAAGCAACCATTGTTGAGAAAATTAGTAAAGTACAGAAAAAAGAAAAAAATTAAAGTCTCCCATAATTTCTTTACCTAATATAACCACTATTGACAGTTGACATGATGGCCATTTTCTACCAGTATATGTTTTTTCTTTGCTGGTAAAATACATAACCCTTACATATATGTTTAAATAGTTGAGGTCGTATTCTCCATAGGTTTATATTCTTTTTTTTTTTTTTTTTTTGACGCGGAGTCTCACTTTGTCGCCCAGGCTGGAATGCAGTGGCGTGATCTCAGCTCACTGGAAGCTCCACCTCCTGGGTTCACACCATTCTCCTGCCTCAGCCTCCCCAGTAGCTGGGACTACAGGCGCCCGCCACCATTCCCGGCTAATTTTTTGTATTTTTTAGTAGAGATGGGGTTTCACCATGTTAGCCAGGATGGTCTGGATCTCCTGACCGCGTGATCTGCCCACCTTGGCCTCCCAAAGTGCTGGGATTACAGGCGTGAGCCACTGTGCCCAGCCCTTTTATATTCTTTTAAAAAGTATTTACTGTATTTTCCCATGATGTCATAGTCTTTATAGAAAAATAACAATCATTATTTTCAGTTGACATGATTGTTTACCTAAAAATATCCAAAGGAACCAACTGAAAAAAAACAATTTTTAAGATTACTGGTTAAAAGTTCTTTTATATAAAAATCAATAGCCTTCCCCAATGTTAGCTATAATCACATAGAACATATAGTGATGAAGTATTTTTTCAGGTATTTCAGCAAAAATTAAATACCTAGGAATAAACTTAGATGTGCAGGGCTTTTATCAAGGACATGACAAAATTTTGCTGAGAGGAATGAAAGATTTGCATTCTATGTTCCTGAATGAGCAGATTTCATGTTATAAATATGTTATCACCATGTCTTCATATTAATTTATAAATGTAATTTCTGCTGGGCACAGTGGCTCATACCTGTAATCTGAACAGTTTGGGAAGCTGAAGTGGGTAGATGACAATTAGCTGGGTGTCTGTGGCACACACTTGTTCCAACTACTTCTGAGGCCGAGGTGGGAGGATCACTTGAGCCTGGGAGGCAGAGGTTGCAGTGAGCCGAGATCTGCCTCTGAACTCCAGCCTAGGTGACAGAATAAGACCCTGTCTCAAAAAAAAAAAAAAAAACACACAGGAAAAAAAAGGGTGTATATATATACACATTTTATATTTCATATATATATTTATATATAAATTTTGTATATATATGTATATATACAAATTTCAGTAGAAATTCCAGCAGATTTATTTTTGGCATTTGACAAAATGACTCTAAAATTTGTTTAGAAGAGTAAATAATAAAAATTAATAAAGTATAGACTCTTTCAACCAGATATTAAATAAAATATTGTGGACTAGCCCTGGGCCAGACAGATAAAGGCAATGAAAGTTTAGAACCAGAGTCATGCAAATGAGAATTTAGTGTAAGGAAAAGGTGGTGCTTTAACTTAGTAGTGAAAAGACAGATTATTCTGTAAATAGTTTTAGGAGAACTGGCCATTTGAGGAAGTTTGAGTCTTAACTCCAATTTTTGTCAAAATAAGTTGTAGTTGGTTTAAACACATCTATTCTTAAAAATTAGAACAGAAGAACATCGATTTGAAGATATTTTAAGAGTTAAGGCTGAGGCTGGGCACAGTGGTTCACGCCTGTAATCCCAGCACTTTCAAGGCCAAGTTGGGAGGATTGCTTGAGCCCAGGAGTTTGAGATCAGCCTGGGCAACATAGCAAGACTCTCTCTCTCTAGATATAGATATACATATAAATATACATATAGAGATACAAAAAAAGAGTTAAGTTTTGTATGGAGAGCCATGAAGATAAGAGGTGAAAATTAAAGGCTTGATGGACACATGTTTACATCTCCAGCAAGGGGGTTGATGGGAAAGACTGATAGACATAGCTCCATTACTGCTACCTCCTTTTAGGAAGTTGCTTCTGAATATCTAAAGATAACAGTTTTATAATAGCAGAAATGAGGTTTTTTTCAGTGTCTAAAACATTACATGAAATACATACATACATAAACATGTTCAAAAGTTAAATGAAGTAGGATATAAAATTGGGCCTAGTGTTTAAAACAATAAATATATTTACATGAAGGAGAAAACAACTCACTTCCCACTCTTACAGCCTCTGCCAGTTTATCATAGCCTAGTTTCTTGAGAGAATAAGCTACATGTCTTCACCTTTTTTCACTGAACTCATTATAATCTGGATTCTGCCTTCATCTTTGCGCTAAAATTTATCTCCTCGTTTCCAAATCCAGTGGCTCCCCTCTTAGTCCACAAATTGACTCCTCTGCAGTATTTTGTTAATGTTGATTGTTCCTTTGTTGAAACATTCCTCCGTTCTTAATGTCCACCAGCAAAGAGTTGGTTAAATAAAAATTATAGTGTACAGTTTTATAATAGAATATTCTGTTATAGACCAAAAAAAATGCAGCCAGTCTTTCCATAAAAGCATGTGCAAACTTCTAAGATGTATTAAGTAAAAAAGTAAGGCATAAAATATTGTGTATAATCTGACCTCTTTAGTATACAGTGTAAAAAAATCTATGTCTGTGCTAGTTTATACTTACTTTTTTCTCCCCTGGTGGATACAGGAAATTGTGAGTAGTAGAACACAATTAAAAAAGACTGTGTGGCTTCTGTGCCAGGACCTGTGATAGTTGATAGTTGGGTATAAAAGACAAAAAAGGCATGTCCCTGTCCTCTGGGAAGGGACATGATAGTCGAATGGGACTTTTATCAGATTGTTTTCTCCTGTTTTGATCTTATCACCCTGCCTTGGTCTCCTCCGATCTCTTCTTCCTTGTCCTACTTCTTTCTTCTCTTCTCATTCTGTGCTTTCTCTGAGTAATCTTTGACTCCCATTACTTAAGTCATGACCTGTGTTCCAGGGACTCCTAAATTTGTATTCATCTCCGGAGTTTCAAACCCATATATCTGTCTGTATATCATATATGTTAGGGAATCTCACTTGGAGTGACATGGGTGTTCAAAATGATGGTATTTAAATTTTCATGTATTCACCTCCTAGCACTCTATCAGCCCCATCATGTGTCCCATCAGTAATTGTCCTTGTCATTGTGAGTGGGACAAAATGAAATAATCAAACTAGTCACCCATGCCTCAACCTGGGAACTGTCTTAGCGTTCTTTTATATGCTACTGTTCTCTGACCTCCCCCCCAAAGTACGTTTCTAAGACCTGTCCTTCTAAATGTCTCTTACTATTTTCCCTGTGATCTCAGTTTCTTCTTCCCATCCCTCAAATGCTTTTTGTGTGTGTGTGGTGGGGGAAGAGAGTAAAATTGAAATTCGTGGAAAATGTACTACCCTGTCTTTCTTCCTTTCTTTCTTTCTCTCTTTCTCTCTCTCTCTCTTTCTTTCTTTCAATGAAGTCTCGCTCTTGTCGCCCAGGCTGGAGTACAATGGCACAATCTCGGCTCACTGCAACCTCCATCTCCTGGGTTCAAGTGATTCTCCTGCCTCAACCTCCTGAGTAGCTGGGATTACAGGCACCTGCCACCATGCCCAGCTAATTTTTGTATTTTTAGTAGAGATGAGGTTTCATCATGTTCACCAGGCTGGTCTCGAACTCCTGGCCACTACCCTGTCTTTCTTGTTGCTTGGTATGACTCCACTACCCTGCTCCCTCTCTCCCCCTGCAGCGGGATAATTTAGGAATCAGAGAGACTGAAGGGTTGAGGAGGATATATATTATTATTATTTAGGTGCACCGGCCCAGTCAAATTTAACATCTAAAGGACTGAGCCCTGAACAAAGAGTCAGGTTACCTTTTAAACATTTTATCGGGTCGGGGGAGATCTGTGCAGGGGGAGGCATATTACAGAAGCAAGAAACAAAGACAGTTATTCAGTTGAGACATGCATTACATTATTTCTTACTTTTCAAGGAAAAACCTGTTTTTCGACTGAGTTTATCTGTCTAGTGACCTTGCAGCTGCACAGCTAGAGAATCAGGGTCTTCACAATGCCTGGGAGACGAGGAGAGATAAGGTTCACTAGCCTCAGAAAAACAGACAGTTAATTTTTAAAGGACTCCACCTCTTTTTCTTTCTTAGGGGGAATTGGGTTTTTTTTTTTTTTTATAACTGAGTTTTTGCTTACACATTCTTTTTATTATTATTATTATACTTTAAGTTCTAGGGTACATTTGCATAACGTTCAGGTTTGTTACATATGTATACATGTGCCATGTTGGTGTCCTGCACCCATTAACTCATCATTTACATTAGGTATACCTCCCCCCTCCCCCCCACCCCACAACAGGTCCCCGTGTGTGATGTTCCCCATCCTGTGTCCAAGTGTTTTCATTGTTCAATTCTGACCTATGAGTGAGAACATGCAGTGTTTGGTTTTCTGTCCTTGAGATAGTTTGCTCAGAATGATGGTTTCCAGCTTCACCCATGTCCCTACAAAGGACATGAATTCATCCTTATGGCTGCATGGTATTCCATGGTGTATATGTGCCACATTTTCTTAATCCAGTCTATCATTGATGGACATTTGGGTTGGTTCCAAGTCTTTGCTTTTGTGAATGGTGCCGCGATAAACATACGTGTGCATATGTGTTTATAGCAGCATGATTTATAATCCTTTGGGTATATACCCAGTAATGGGATGGCTGGGTCAAACGGTATTTCTAGTTCTAGATCCTCGAGGAATCACCACACTGTCTTCCACGATGGCTGAACTAGTTTACAGCCCCACCAACAGTGTAAAAGTGTTCCTATTTCTCCACATCCTCTCCAGCACCTGTTGTTTCCTGACTTTTTAATGGTTGCCATTCTAACTGGTCTGAGATGGTGTCTCATTGTAGTTTTGATTTGCATTTCTCTGATGGCCAGTGATGATGAGTGTTTTTTCATGTGTCTGTTGGCTGCATAAATGTCTTCTTTTGAGAAGTGTCTGTTCATATCCTTCACCCACTTGTTGATGGGGTTGCTTGATTTTTTTCTTGTAAATTTGTTTTAAGTTCTTTGTAGATTCTGGATATTAGCCTTTTGTCAGAGGGGTAGATTGCAAAAATTTTCTCCCATTCTGTAGGTTGCCTGTTCACTCTGATGGTAGTTTCACATTCTTTAATTTCTTTTAATTCCTGTTTCACCCCAGCACTCCTGTAGCCCCTTCTGTGCCAGAGGTCAGAGTGTCCAGGTCTGTGTCCAGATCACCCTGCCTCATCTTCATTATATACTTAGCACAAAACAGAGCACATTGGGTGCATAATGAATCCACACTAGGCCTTGGCTTCCTTTTAAGCATGAGGATTTTTGGTGTATCCTAATTTACGGTTCAACCTTCCTGTTTCCACTTGCTTCATTGTTCACTTTGGGAAGGCTTATTCTTTGCTTCGTTAACCCATTCTAATCCTGTGTCTTCTTACTTTGTCCTTTGTAAACCTGCTTCTTTCTCTTCATCTCTTTTCTTGGTCAGAGACACCCAGAAAATTGTTCCTGACCAAGTGAAGTGAGTTGCCTTATTAGATCCCATTTGAGTCACCTTATACATTAAAAAACATTTTAAACAATGAAAACCACATTTGTGCACATAGTTTACCTTGTTTATTTCCTTAAACATGCTTACAACACAATTTGGACGTAAACAGGGAAATTTACAGTTATTCTTTGCAGTTTCCTAGTGAATGATTATTTTTTAGACAGACACTTAAGAGCCTACTAAGTATCAAGTGTTTCACAGGTTTCATTTAATCTTTACTATTCTGGGAAAGTTTTCATTTCTTTGTTTTACAGATGAGTAGACTCAAACTCAAGGAATTAGATATGATATCCAAGGTCATCTAGATTTCCAGGCTCTGTCTGCTGGATCACATTTGCTTTTGTACTTTTAACTATGACTGGAATATATAATTTTATAATCCATGTGTAACAACACTGCCTGTGTGTGGTTTTTTTTCTTTTTTTTTTTTGGGTGGCCTCATTAATGCAGTAATGTTCTCTTGTTTGAAGTTGTAAGTTTCTAAGAAAACAAGGTAGCAGTGCGAAATTGGACAATGTCTGGAACTTCCTTCCTCTGCCTTTATTCTTGTCGTTCCATTAGGTATCAGTTGTAGTGATTATAGCCCAAGCCATAGTAACTTTCTTAAACTAGAGGCTCCTGAAAATATTTCAAAGAGTTTTTTTAAAAATCTGTAAGCTGCAGTTGAGCAGTTACAAACTTTTTTATTTCCTACTAGATTGATTGCAGTAGTCATAACATTATTGCTGTCTTCTAAGGGCTCTTTAACATAATGCTTATTTACTGAAATGTGTTTTGTAGCTTCATCAGCAATTGAAGTGGTTGATATGTGGACTCTGCAGGTTATATAACCTTCCTAAGCACCTGGATGTTGAGATGCCAGATCAACCACTACCCATGGGTCAGCTAAAGTAAAAATTCTCTAGTGTTCAAGAGCTAAAATAAATTGTCTCAAACAAAAGTCAAACTAGGATGATTTTTTAAAAATTATTCAACTTATTTAGAAGTTAGTTTTTCTGTACCTGTTAAATTGTTTGTTCTGTTTTAGATACTAAAAATAACCTTTTCATTCTTTGGAGCTGCTGGTATTTAGTATGGCAGGCAAACAATTGCCCTTTTCCCTAACAGCAGCTTTTTGTTGTGAATATTCCTGGTGTCCATAAATGTTCTTGCTTTTTTCATTGCTTGTCTTTGCTCATTGACTTGCCTTTACCTAGAAATGCCGTCTCCTTAAGTCTGTCTATGCTTCTTAAGGACTTGCCCAAATGTTATCTCCTGCAAGCAACAGAAATCTCCACTAGCTCACCACTACCCCTAACTTCTTCCTGGATTTACCTATTTAGGCATCAGCTATTGACTTTTTAGTATAATATGTGAGAATTTAGCTCTTATACCACCCACTTTCCCTTCCTCTTTAGTCATATAAGTAATCACTAATTATCATTAGGACTTTGTAAAGCCAAGTTTTGTAGAATATTTAGGATAGGATATTTCTTTCCTTGGTGTTGCTTTTTGTTTTGCAGTGTCTTCCTCATAACAGTAATTTTTAATTTAAAAAATTCTGTTGTAGCCCTTTCTGTGAGATCTCCTTCTCTTCCAAAGCCTTTGGCTCCTCTGTGCCCATTTTGGCAGGTTGTTCTTCGGGTTGGCTGTGCACATGTCATCTTGAGGTTTTTCTCATCTGCTCGCCTAGAGTACATCCATTGTTTCCTGGATCCCATGTCATCTTCTTTGGCTTTCCCTTTGTCATTTTACCTGACTATGTCCTCAAGTAAAACCCTAAGAAAGCATGGAGTGGTATATTTTCTGATCTCTAGCTTCTGAAAAAATACAATCCAGTGTTTGGGTTTTGGAGCCAGTCTGAGATAGGTTTGAATCTTGGTTCTACTACTTATTAGCTGTATGCCCTTGGGCAGATTCCCTAATTGCTCTATGCATCAATTTCCATTTGCAAAATGGGGGAACCAGTAATAGTATTAGTACCTATGTTTCTAGGGAGCTGTGAGGATTAAATGAGTTGGTACATGTAAACCATTTAGAACAGTGCCTGGTGCTTAGCCCATCCCCATCACTATTCACTTTTGTCATAGTCTACCCTCACACTTGATTGATAGTTTGGTTGATTATGTATTTCTAGGTTGAGGATAATTTTACCTTAGAATTTCAAAGTCTGTGCTGTTGTCTTCTAACCAGTCATGGTGGTGAGGCCTCATGTCACCCTGAGTTTCACTCATTCATGCATGACTTTCTCTCTGGAAGCTTTTAGGAGTTTGTCTTTTCCTTGGTGAGCTGAAATAGCACAACATTGTACTTAGTGTGTGTCTTTTTTCATTCACTGTGCTGGGTACACCAAATGGATAGGCCTATGGATCGTCTCTTTCAAAGTTGGAATCTTGAATCTTGTCATATTTTTGTTAACTTTCTCCTTTCCATTTTATTTGTTCATTTTGAAGTGTCTGTTAATTGGATTTTAGTCCTCTTGTTTGAGTCTTGTATCTCACGTCATTTCTAATTTTTTTTAAATTTTAAGTTCTGGAATATTTTTCTTATTTTTTGACTTTTAGGAAATTTTATTTGGACAGTCATAACTTTAAGTTTTGTTTTGGTTATTTATTGTTGCTTAACCAATTTTCCCAAAACTTAATGGCATAAAACTACACATTTGTCTATCTGTCACTACTGTATGGGCTAACTGGGGGTAGCTGGACAGTTTTTCTGCTGGTCTCATTTGGCATCTCTCACTGTGCGGTTAGACGGTGTCAGAGACTGGTCATCTGGATGCTCAGCTGCAGTGGAATGTCTGAGACGGCTGCTTCACCCACAGGTCTGCTGCCTTGGTGTTTCTTCTTGTGGCCTTCTCCTCTGCATAGCGTCTCATCCTCTCAGGCCTCTTTGTGTGGTTTCTCTTTCTCCAAGAGGATAGTCAGTACTTATTTTGGCTACTAGAAGCACAGAAGTGGAGCTGCCAGGTGTTCTTAAGGCTTAGACCTGGAACAGGTCCAGTGTCATTTCTACCAAATTCTATAGGTTAAAGTGAGTCTTGAGGCCAACCCAGATTCACTGTGGGATGGGCCTGTCCAGGGACATGATAACAGGAGGTTAGGCTCATTGGGGACCAACTCCCAAGATGAACCCTGAGTTCTAAGAACTTTTTCTTCTCTGATTATTCCATATTCATATTCTAATTTTGTTTTATTCATGTAATATATTCACAAGTGTCCTTATGAAGTGATTTTGATGCTCTTTTGTCTTCTCCCTAGCATCTCTTTGTTCTTTAATAAATTTTTTTCTTAGTTTATTTTGGTCTTATTTTTCTTTTTAAAACCTTTCCTTAAATATCTATTCTATGTTGCTTATCATTTGTAGTCTTTTTTTTTTTTTTTGAGACGGAGTTTCGCTCTTGTTGCCCAGGATGGAGTGCGATGGCGTGATCTTGGCTCACCGCAACCTTTGCCTCCTGGGGTCAAGCGATTCTCCTGCCTCAGCCTCCTGAGTAGCTGGGATTACAGGCATGTGCCACCACACCTGGCTAATTTTTGTATTTTTAGTACAGAAGGGGTTTCTCCATGTTGGTCAGGCTGGTTTCGAATTCCTGACCTCAGGTGATCCACCCACCTCGGCCTCCCAAAGTGCTGGGATTAAAGGCGTGAGCCACTGTGCCTGGCCTGTATTCTTTTTTTTTTTTAAATTCCCTTTTTTGTTCATTCATATTTGAGAGAGGTACTGAAAGACTGGGAGGCTGGGTGTGGTGGCTCACACCTACAATCTCAGTGCTTTCGGAGATTGACGTGGGAGGATCACTTGAGCCCAGGAGCTCAAGAGTAGTTTGGGCAATATTATGAGACCCCATCTTTACAAAAAATAAATTAAAAAAAAAAAAGCCAGGTGTGGTGACACCCACCTGTAGTCCCAGCTACTTGGGAGGCTGAGGCAGGAGGATCGCTTGAGCCCAGGATGTTGAGGCTAAAGTGAGTTGTGATCATGCTGCTGCATTCCTGCATTCCAGCCTGGGTGAAAGAGCAAGATCCTTTCTCAAATAAATAAATAAATAAAATAAATAAATACAAATAAAAAAATAAAGAATTGATTGGGAGTTCTGCATGGCGAAGACTTGGCAACTGATAGCTTTTAGGGGGGAATGTATGCTGATTCCTAATTGTTATCCTCTACCCCTCTATCTTATCTCCCAGTGCAATCATAAATGATGGCTGGAACTACTCCATTCCTCTGGAGGTGAAATCTACATTCTCTTGTCTGAGGTAGATATGTTTGCTTGGGTTCTGCTTAAGGAGATGGAGGAGAGCAGTGTGTTTCAGGGCCTGGAAAAGGTGTTCTCTATATAGGCTTTTGGTTAATCTCTGTTTTCAGTCTTGCCTGTCAGTCCCACTCTCGGGGGTACCTGGTGTCTGAGTCTAGAACCTTTCCAGGTTGCTGTGGGACAAATTAGCTTCCTTGTTTTTGGTATCCCCCAACCTCCACTTTTGTTTGCTTGCTCCATTAATTAACCATTTTCCATTTACTGTCATTTTCTAATGGAGGTGAATTCTCTTCTGTGGGTAACCCCATTTCTTTTTTTTGTAATTGTTTGTTTATATATTGTTTATTCTTCACTGTATTTCTAGTGGAGCCTCAGGACAAAGAGCAGATGGTGGAAATATGTGTTCAGTGTTCAGTTTTTTTCTGTAAGACATCTGCAACTTGTGTTTTTCACTGAATATCACGTGGACTTAATGCATATAGAGCTACCTTGTTTTTCTTGATTGTGCCTACAATTCTATGGAGAAATATAATTTGTGAATTACCTGATGAAATTTTCCTAATTTTGAATCATCCTTGCATTCCTATAATAAACACTGTTAGAATGGCTATGGTAATATTTTATTTTTGCATTTTTACTTCTTTATAAAATAAGATTATAGTTTTGTTTGTTTCTTTTAAGGCTCTTATTTCAGTATCAAGGGTATGCAGGGCTAACTCGGGAAGCTTTACATCTTTTTTCTAAGACCTAGGATGTAGATCTAGTTTACACAGTAATTTTCAACTGCAGGAATATTTTGCCTCCCATGGGACATTTGGAAATATCTGGAGACATTTTTGTGGTCACAACTGGTCACGGTCGGGAGGTCTTATTGGCATTCCGTGGGTAGAGGGGATGTTACTAAATGTCCCACAACACACCAGGAGAACCCTCACAAAGAATTGTCTGGCCCAAGATATCAATATTGCTGAGGCTGACAAACCCTGGTTTAAATAAATGTCCAATTTGGAGGATGAGTCTGTCTTTTTCCTTCTTCTGCGTATTGGTCTCCAGATTTTCCATTTCTTCAGTTAGTTTTCGTAACTGTAGATTCTTAAAAGAAATGAACACTTCTCCCATACTTCTAAGGTGTTGTAAAGATGTGTAAAGTTTTCACTTTTTGCATCATATTCACATGTGGCTATATGCCCTTTTGTCTTCAAAGTTTTCTTTATCTTGATCACTTATCAGAGGCGTGACTGTTTTATTATCTTAGTCTTTTGAAAGAATCCTCCCTTAGTTTTATTTTTTAAATTTAGTGGGTTGTTTTCACATTTTCCTTGTGTCTTAATTATTTCCCCTTTTTGTTTATTTTGCTTTTTCTAGTTTAGTGGATCAATGTAATTTAAACTGCTTTTTAAACAAACCTGTAATGGTATACATTTTCTTTGGGTGCTGTTTGACTTTATTGCACAAGTTTTAAAATCTATTTTCTAAATAGTTTGTATTTTCCAAGTCATTTTATTGCATCCTCTGTTCACATTGCTCTTACTATTAAAACTTTTTATTTGCCCGGCATGGTGGCTTATGCCTGTAATCCCAGCACTTTGGGAGGCCAAGGCAGGTGAATGACCTGAGATTGGGAGTTCGAGACCAGCCTGATCAACATGGAGAGAGCCCGTCTCTACTAAAAGTACAAAAATTAGCTGGGCATGGTGGTGCATGCCTGTAATCCCAGCTACTTGGGAGGCTGAGGCAGGAGAATCGCTTGAACCCAGGAGACAGAGGTTGCAGTGAGCTGAGATCACGCCACTGCACTCCAGCCTGGGCAACAAGAGTGAAATTCCACCTCAAAAAAAAAAAAAAAAAAAAAAAGACATGTATTGAAATTATGTAAAACATAAGCTTAGTGTAACATATAGTTAGAGCGAGTACTTGGGAACTAATACCTAGCCAGCACCAAGGTGAAGAGAAGGCACATTGCTTGCACTACAGAAACCTTCTGCAGGCTGCTTCCTGATCACCATGCCTCTGTACGCTCATCTTGCCTTATATTTCTCTAGTGTTATCACTCATATATGCATCCTTCAACAATACGGTGTAGTGTTGCCTATTGTTTGAACTTTTGAAAATCATACTATATGTATTTTTTCATATCTTTGTTGTGCTCAACATTGTGTGTGAAATTTGTTCCCATTGTGTGTAGTTATAGTTCTTTTGCATTGCTGTATTTACTCCATTGTTTGAATATACCATACCATTTATCCCCTTGACTAGATACAGACATGTGGGTTGTTTCCAGTGTTATTAGGAACAGTGATTGCTGCTGTGGTCATTCTTGTCTGTATTTCATGGTATCCTTGTGCCAGCATTTCTCTGGGGCACATACTTAGGAGTTGGATGACTGAGGCATGAGGATCAATTTCTTCTTTTACCCAAGAGTTATCTAGAAAAAAAAAGCATTTTCAGGTGGCTTTTGAGGTGTTTTTAGTGCATCAGTGTGGTCAGAGAATATGGCCTGTGACCTTTCAGCGAGATTATCAGCAATCATTTAGACTTCACTATTGGTGTTACTGTTGCCTTTGCTTATTGCTACTTCTTGTATCATGTCTCCTGCTCCCTGCCCCTCGAGTATATCCCTGAATAATATCCTGGGTTTTTGTTTTTTTTTTTTTCCTAGAAAGGGTTTGTGGGGATGTGTATGGAGTGTGTTCCATGAACTTGCTGTCTGTTATCATTTGTTCAACAAATATTTGACTCTGTATAAAGTACTCCATCCATATCAGTGTGGAGAATCCAGAGGCAAACATACACAGATACGCTTCCTGTCTTGACGGAGCTAGATATAGAATTCTGAGGTCATAATTGAGTTTCTTTCCAGGTCTTTATACTTTTATGTTCTGATATTTATTGTTGTAGATGAAAAGTCTGATGCCTATCTGATTCTTAGTTCTTTCTGATAGTTAGTATGATTTTCTGTGTAACTGTAAAGTGTGGGGGTTTTACTTCTTTTTTTTTTTTTGAGACAAGAATCTCGCTCTGTCAGCCAGGCTGGAGTGCAGTGGTGCGATCTTGGATCACTGCAACCTCCACCTCTCAGGTTCAAATGATACTCCCGCCTCAGCCTCCTGAGTAGCTGGGATTACAGGCATGTACCACCATGCCCAACTAAATTTTGTATTATTAGTAGAGATAGGGTTTCACCATGTTAGCCAGGATGGTCTCGATCTGCTGACCTCGTGATCCACCCGCCTTGATCTCTCAAAGTGCTGGAATTACAGATGTGAGCCACCTTAATGTTTTGCTGAGTCACGTCATTGTGTCCTGGCCCTTCTGCAACTGGTGTGTTGTTTTGTTTTTTTTTTTTTTTTTTTGGTTTAGAGGTCTTATTTTTACCTCCTAGAATTGTCTTTTGCATAGTAATCTGTTTTGTATTTTGTGGATACAGTATCTTCTCAATTACTGCTAAAGATTCCAATTAGGTTTTAAAATTCTGCTTGTTTCCTTCATTAGCAGTGCTTCAGGTCATTCGTGCTTCTTTGACTTGGCACCTTCCTTTCAGGTTGCTAATTTTCTTCAACTCTCTGATAATACATGGTTATCTGTTCATTTATAGATGAGGTATACCTTTGATCAGTATGAGTTGTTATGAGTGTCTTCAGAATTGTTACTCTTTTCTGCTGTGGCCTCCCCCTCCTGGTTTGCAGACCTGTGCTCTTCCTGTGGCATGAGGGTGGGGAGGTGCTGGCCAGTGAGCTTTCCAGATTTTGAGCTAAAAGGAAGAGGCAGAGTCTGTTATAAGATTTTGCTGCTGCATTGAGTTATATTAAAAAAACATTCTGTCTTTTCTCTCTGGTTTTGTCACTGATAGTGAGAGACCATCAAGACAGGCTTCCTATTACCAGAGTGATCCTTACCAACTATAGTTGGGACAAGTACAGTGAGGAATGATCCTTCAAACAAAAGTGGTCCCTCCATTATTTGGATTGGGTTTGTGGCTTTCTCGAGCCCAGCAGTCTGATTCCATCTGCTTTGTATCTTCTAGCATGTCCTTATAGTTTTGGTTCACTAAGGGTATTCTTTTTGTATTTGTTGTTTTGCTGCTGCTGCAGCCGACTTACTCTCTTTTATAAAATTCTGTCATTTCAGTGGGGTTTTAGAAAGAGGACCAGGTCACATCTTGAAATGAAATTAATCTTAGGATTTCACAGCCCTAACTCACTTTTTGTTTTGATTAAATTACTTCCCCTTTTTGACGGGATAGGGGCTCAGCTTTCTCATGTGTAAAATGAAGGCTAGTAACTGGGCTAGTGGTGACAGACCCAGATGCATGTGAGAATCACCTCAGAGAGATTTTGCAAAAGAGATTCTTTGGGTAGGCTTTGAAATTAGCATTTCAAAAATGCTCTTTCAACCATTGATGCAACCAAATTTTTTGGGACTTTGAGGCTAGGTATATATTCTTTAGATACCCAGAATAATTGGCTTTGGAATATAAGAATTTAGGGAAATGAAGAAGGGGTGAATTACATTTTGGAAGCTTCTGCTTAGATACTGCTGAGACCTTTGTTGGTCTTGATTTCTGGATCCTAGTTTCTAGATCTTTTACATATTCTGAGTTCTAATCTGAACTGGCCTTTATGGTTAAAGCTGCATATATATACTGTGTCCTGGCCAGGAAGCTTGTCTTTTGACCTTTGCCCGAACTGGGTACGAAAGCCCCTCCTAAAAATTCATTAGATTCATTTCTGAACTTGATAATTGTAATTTGTGTTAATTGGTAAATTGTGTCTTGTAGAGAGATATTCGATAGTAAATTACATGTTTTTAAAAAGACAATTTGCTTTATAGTGAGGTGGTAATCAATTCATAACTCTTAGTTTTGGGGAGCGTCTATTGTAAGTAACACATCTGACCTCTTAAAATGTAAGGAAATTGAATTTATGTAATGATTCAGGCTTTTCAAAGTTAAAAAGGTAGCTGTTTTGAGGAACTGATAGTTTGGAATATTTATTTTAAACAAAATAAGCCTTTGATCTTATGCACATAGCCGTACAAGTAAAATGTTTTCTTATTTTAAATTAGATTATGTTTTAGAATTTTTTTCAGTTTTGCTTTATATTTGACTGATTGCTTTTCTTTATTCCTAAGGCATCCATTAAGTTGAATTGTTCAAAATTGTTTCATTTTTAAAAGCTGAGAACTGTTGTTTGTCAAATCAAAGTTGGATTTAAAAATGCATATTTTAATTTTAATAAGCTCTTTGGTAGTGGGACTGCAGTGACAGATGGTTGGGAGTTTGTCCCTAAAGCTGTGACACCAATCTTCTAATGTGCATATTTGTTCTGTGTAGTTCTGGCAGATTCTTTCTCTATTTCAGAATGGGACAACAGAAGAAGTGACTTCAAAAGAAGACGAAGAGGAAGAGATGGATGAAGTGGGTATTTTATATAAGAATAACATTATGGCCAGGCGAGGTGACTCATGCCTGTAACCCCAGCACTATGGGAGGCCATGGTGGGTGGATCACCTGAGGACAGGAGTTTGAGACCAGCCTGGCCAACATGGCGAAACTCTGTCTCTATTAAAAGTACAAAAATTAGCCGGGCATGGTGGTAGGCACATGTAATCTCAGCTACTCCGGAGGCTGAGGCAGGAGAATTGCTTGAATCCAGGAGGTGGAGGTTGCAGTGAGCCAAGATCGTGCCACTGCACTCCTGCCTGAGTGACGAGCAAGACTCTTGTCTCAAAAAAAAAACCAAAAAAAATCATAAAATATCTTCAGTTTTGGACATTTGAGTAATTCTCTAATCTCCTTTATAAATAACTATTAATATGGAATAATTGAAAGCACGTCGTATTTGGAATGGAATGTAATTTATAAATTCTGGCTTTACCTCTAACTCATGATATGCCTTCGGGCAAATTGTTTTATCTGAATTCTTGGATTTGATTTTCTGGAAAACAAAAGCTCTTAACTTTTAGCACTAAAATTATATTTAATACTAATCAGTACTTAACCTGTATTTGGTTATTTTTTGGAAGAGAAACTACTGAGTTTAAAAAATTTTATGTTTGCATAAAAGGAGAATTTCAGAATATTTTAGAGACTACTTGCCAGAAGTAGTGAAACTGTCTCTTGCTGAAAAATCATTCAAAGAAATTTGTCTTAGTCTGTTTTATAGTATTGTAACAGAATAACAGAGAGTGAGTAATTTATGAAGAACAGTCATTTATTTTCTGACAGTTCTGGAGTCTGGGAAATCCAAGATGAAAATATCAACATTTGGTGTCTCAGGACCTTCTTGTTTCATCCTCACATGGTAGCAGGCAGAAGGGCAGGAGAGCAAGCTAGTCCAATGTGTGAAGCCTCATTCATAAGGGCCTTAATCCCATGAAGGAGAAAGGAGCCCTCTTGGCCTAATCATCTCTTAAAAGTCCTACCTCTTAATATCATCACATTGGCAACACTTGAATTTTGGAGGGAATACATTCAAACAGTAGCAAATTTAGTAGAGCAAATTCCAAAGACATTGAGCCTAGGCCAGCTGTCAGTCATGGGTATAATTTTAGATGTTTTCAGGCTCTGAAGCTTTGCACTTAAATTTGAACTTCAGAACAAAGATCTGTGTCTCTGCATTGACCAAATAGAATGTATGTGAATTCCATGGTGTTGATTGTTTTAAAAGATTTTTTTCTGTTTGGGGTCTTATAATTAATTTAGGCTTTCATTTTCTTGGTTTGGAAATTATTAATCTAAAATGTACTTTAGAGTGCTTCGGAACTAAAAAGGTAGTGTTGTAGGCTTGTTTTTGTTTGTTTTTTGAGACAGGGTTTCACTGTCACCCAGGCTGGAGTGCAGTAGCGCCGGCATGGCTCACTGTAACCTTGAACTCCTGGGTTCAAGCGATCCTCCTGAGTAGCTGGGACTACAGGCCGGTGCCCCACGTCCAGCTAATTTTTTTTTATTTTTTTGTAGAGTTTGAGTCTCACTCTGTTGCCCAGGCTGGTCTTGAACTCCTGGCCTCAAGTGATCCACCACCTCGGCCTCCCAAAGTGCTGGGATTACAGGTGTGTGCCACTGTGCCTGGCTGTAGGCTTGTTTTATGAGTCTGGGAGTAAAATACTTCTTAAAATTGTCCAATTAGGATGAGAGTCTGTTTTAATGTTTTTATGCAGTTTAGCTTAGGTGGAATAAACTGCATGAAAACATTAAACCTTTTCCATGGGTCAGGCAGCCATTGTACTAAAGTTCATGAACCCTTTCATTTTCCCTTGACAAGATAATAAACAAGGGACCGCAACTTTGAGGGAAATCTAGAAAGGTAGGAGACTGGACTTTGGAGTTGTCAGATTAGGACAGGTGAAAAGCAGATATTCTAGGCTCCTAAAATAATGTGGGAACAGGCCCAGAGCAACTTTGGACATGGTGTGTTTGGGTGCATTGGATGCTTTTCTTTTGAGAAGGAAGGTTGATGTGTTGAAGTCATGGAAAGCAAGATTGTCCAGAAAAGACAGATGGACAGAAGTCTTGAATTTGAGACAGGCATGTTTCTATTTGGTATGTTTGTTGATAAGAAGGCCTTAAGCAGGGAATCGTGTGCTGAGAATATTGTTTTAGAAAGATATGTTGAATTCTGTTTGGGATGTGCTGATTAATACTTAGGTGGAGAAGTTTTGTGGATGGGAACATGACTGAGGTTGAAGGTACAGGTGGAAATACAGGCCAAAGGCATTTGTGAGCATTGTGGGAAAACAAGTGTGGGTGGAAGATCAGGGCTGAAAGGTGCACACAGGGAGAAGGGAGCTCCATGAAGTACATGGGCAGAGTTTGAGTGAAGGTAGTCAGTAATCTGGTCTAGAAATTGGTGAATTAAGCGGCTTGGGAAAAAAGTCGAGATAAATATAAACTACCCCTTTAGAGATTTTGGCAATTGAAGTAGAAATATAAGGTAATTGAAAAAAGTTAGGATTTAAACAATTCTGCATATATTTGCGTATGTGTAAGAACAGATAGTATGGGAAGGGAGGGAGCAGAATGATGTGAATAAAGATGTTGTTCTGCAGGGTATTATTCAAATTCTTTTGAAATTATTATTAGTTTTTGAGATAGGGTCGCTGTCACCCAGGGTGGAGTGCAGTGGCATGATCATAGCTTACTGCAGCCTCGAACTCCCGGGACCAAACAGTGCTTCTATTTCAGCCTCCTGAGCACCTGAGATCAAATTCTTTTTCTAACTTATTTTTAAGTTATTAACATCAATAGGTGCTTACTACATAAAACCATAAACTTGGAAATCAGGGGAAAGCACCAAATGTCTCCAGAGATAACAACTAAAATTAATTGAAATTAACATTTCAATGTAAGTTGTTCTGGTCTTTTTCTGTGCTTATTTCAGCATAATTGAAATTCTCTCTATTCCTTTGTGTAATCCATTTTTCATTTCAAAGTTTTTCGATACAGGAGAAATTATGCCGTGTTGATATTTCAGTGGCTGCTTAATAGTTCATGGAATTGAGTTAACTGTTTTGCTATTTTTGCACATGCAGATTTTGTGTTTGTTTTTGTGGTTGCAAGGTTGAAATAGGTATTCTTATGCCTAAATTTGTGTTTACCTCTTAGACTAGTTTCTTGTAATACAATTCTAGAAGTCGAGTTTCTGGAACAAACTATGAACAGTTAAGGTTCTTGACACCTGCTGCTAAACTGTTTCAAAGGTTCCTCTTAGGAGATTTAAAAGATGGCTTGGCCAGGCGTGGTGTCTCACGCCGGTAATCCCAGCACTTTGGGAGGCTGAGGTGGGCAGATCACTTGACGTCATAAGTTTGAGACCAGCCTGGCCAACATGTTGAAACCCTGTCTCTACTAAAAATACAAAGAAATTAGCTGGGCGTGGTGGTGTACGTCTGTAATCCCAGCTACTCAGGAGACTGAGGCATGAGAATCACTTGAACCTGGGAGGCAGAGGTTGCAGTGAGCAGAGATCGCGCCACTATACTCCTGCCTGAGTGACAGAGTGAGACTCTATCTTACAAAAATAAAATAAAATAAATAAAGAAGTAAATAAATAAATGATGGCTTATTTCATAATAGTTGTGACTTTGTAAAGCTTTTAAATCTGCTTTCCCCAGAGTCTAGCTTTTAAATAAAATACAGGATATAAAAGGTGGGAGCCTCTTGAATGGAATGTGGGGGCTTTTTCTTTCTCCCCATAGGATAGATATATTCTGTTTCCTGTCCCCCACCAAGTCAAGAATAATTTAAGTTTTGGCATAAGAAACTGCTGAAGGAAAGTGGGTTGAATCGGCTAATATTTTTCTTCTTTTTGCAGGATATAGAAGACTTAGATCACTATGAGATGAAAGAAGAGCCTATTAGTGAGAAGAAGTTGGAGGATGAAGGAACTGAAAAAGAAAATTGGGCAATATTAGAGAAAATTAGGAAGACTGAAAGGCAAGGCCATTTAAATGTGTAAGTGTGTATAAATATCTGGACTTTTTGGTTAAGTAATTATAGTTAATACCAGGCAATTCATGAACATGCCGATGTCAGCTGCTCTCCTCCTCCATTCCTGCCTTAGTGGTGGATTCAGTCATGTGTTTATTGGTTTTGAGACAGGGTCTTGCTCTGTCGCCTGGGCTAGAGAGCAGTAGCACAATCATAGTTCACTGTAGCCTTTATCTCCCAGGCTGCAGTGGTCCTCCTACCTCAGCCTCCCAAGTGTCTCAGATTATAGTCATGTGCCACCACACCAGGCTAATTTTTTTGATTTTTAGTAAAGATGAGGTCTCACTGTGTTGACCATGCTGGTCTTGAACACCTGAGTTCAAGCAGTCCTGCTACCTTGGCCTGCCCAAGTGCTGGGATTACAGACATGAGCCACCATGCCTAGCCATGCTCATATGCTTTGTTGCCGAAGGTTATCTTTCTCATCTATGAATAGCCACGTTTTACCCTGTTCATCTGCTCTTCACATCCTGGAACCACCTGCTGATCCCTGTATATGCCCCTTTCCAGCTTGTCTATGCTGTGTTCTCTGCTTACCTTCTTTCTGTGGCATCTGTAAATTCAAGTTCATTCTTTCCTACAAAACACAACTCAAATTATTTCTCCTTCATGAAGCTGACTTTGACCCATCCTGCTCTGACCAAACCAAAAGTAATGTTTCTCTTTTGACTTAACATCTCTTTTATGTGAAGCGGCAGGATGGGAAAGGAACACTGAGTTTGGTGACAGACACACCTTTTATGGTTTCACTTTGCTCAACCCTAAAATATGGAGAGACAGTACATATCTTTTGGATGGTTGCTATGAAAAATAAATTAAAATGATGCATGTATATACATAAAATGCTTAGACAGAGTAGGGAAACATCAAATGATTGTCTGAACAGTTACTGCTTCCTGCCTTGTATTAGAGCTATTTACCAACTCCACAACATCCGAGGACCAGTTACTTTGTCTTGGGCACAGGTTCTCCAAAACAGGGAATGAATTGTTAGGCAAGCAAATGCCAGATGTTGAAATCAGATAACTCTCCCTCCTTCAATCTTATTTGTATATTAATTTAATTGGTAATTTTTCATACAGCAAAGAAATTTAGTTAATCTCCATATCTTGATTATTTAAAAAACTAAGATTGTAGCATTTGAATTAATGTTACTGTACTTCCTGTGTCTTGTGATCAATTCCAGTTTGAGTTATCTTCAAAACAAGTAAAAATTATAATTTTGCATGACCGATACTATACTAAATACTTTATACTAATAAAGATCTTTTCATTTAGTCATCATAGCCACTGTGTGAAATAGGTGCTGTTTATACTTTAGAGATATGAAAAACTTTTCATATTTTATAGATATGAAATGAGTTCAGGTTTACATAGCTAGGAGGTAATATTTTTATAAACTTGATTTTTTTCCCCCTTCAAAGTCTAGTGCAGTCTTTAAAACCTCTAGTTTCACATGACCAAAAAGTAGTTCCATTTCTGTTTAGTCTTAGGATAAGATATGGATGTGTTTTCATCTTTAGAGAAGTCCCTGCACTGAAAAACTGAAACCAGTTGCATGTAGGCACACGTGGTTCTCAGTGTCTTAATGTGTGAACTAGACCATCTGTGTAATATTCTTGCTTGTAGTCTTATGAATGGAAGCCTATTTTACTTAATATTGTGTCACCTTGAGTATTTTCAAAAATTGCTGGGGTTTGGAATAGACTCATACTGAATTCTATGCTATCGTGGAGTCCATGGTTATCTGAACATGTTGGCTAGAGTTTTTTAGGTGATAAGAAAAAGGAAATGAACCAGACTTGTGTCTAGTTTTATATTCTCTTGAAACTTCATAATGCTTCATTTAATTGTCTTTTTTTTTTTTTTTTTTTTTTTACTTCTTAAATTGTTGAGTGGTGATCCATTTTTATTGTAATCTTTCTCTTTTTTCTTTTTTTTTTCTTTTGAGATGGAGTCTTGCTCTGTGGCCCAGGCCAGAGTTCAGTGGCACCATCTCAGCTCACTACTACCTCCACCTCCCAGGTTCAAGTGATTATCTTGCCTCAACTTCCCGAGTAGCTGGGACTACAGGCACATGCAACCATGCCCGGCCAACTTTTGTATTTTTTAAATCAGAGATGGGGTTTCATGCTGATGACCAGGCTGGTTTCAAACTCTTGGCCTCAAGTGATCCACCTGCCTCGGCCTCCCAAAGTGCTGGGATTATAGGTGTGAACCACTGTGCCTGGCTACTGTAATCTTTTAGAGCAGGTTGAAATACCTTAAATCTTTAAATTAGTTGGCTCAGTAGACCCTGGTAAACAGCGGCTTTTGTGTTTCCGGCTGAAGTGTCTGGGTCAGTGCAAGCTTGCAAGCTTCAGATAGACTTATACATATACAGGGCTCAGGGACATATACAGATCACAGAGTTATAAGACAGGTAAGGATCTCTAAATCCCTTCTCTTATTGTTCTTTTGTTCTTTTCTGTTGTCAGATTATAAATGTCATTTCTTAAAGCTGGACAGAAATGGAAATGTTTACTAGCTTTATTTTGTGAAACTCAAATGCAATCAAGTTCCAAAAGATGTAGGGGGTAAGATAGGATGAGTTTGCTTGTTTTTGGATTTAAAGAAATTGTTTTTATAGGTCCGTTGGAATTTTTTTGGTCATCCTCCTGATAGAGTGAACATTTACATGATTTTTATCTTCTGGCAAAAAGCTTGAGCAATATTGCTTGATAAGTAAATAAGAGTAATACATTTCATTATACAGAGAATGATTGCCAAGTTGATTTTTGTGATTTTTCCCCCCAGTTTTGAAAGCAACATAATCAACTCTTATTGTGGAGGTAGTTATGTTATTACTTTAAAAATATATAGGTGGAGTACACCTGTTGTCCTAGCTACTAGAGGTGGTGGGAAGCTGAGGCAGGAAGATCTTTTGAGCTTGGGGAAGTCAAGGCTGCAGTGAGCTGTGATTGCACCATTATATTCCAGCCTGGGTGACAGAGTGAGACACCCTGTATCATAAAACAAAAACAAGGGGGAGTGGAGGGTGGGATACATATTGTATATGTATATATAGGACAGTTGTAGAAAAATACCGATTTTTTAGTGATTTAACTTTTGACGGTTCCGTCCATGGCAAATTTTTCTCCTTGAACACCTTGGCTAATAATACAAGTTTAGGAAAGCATATTAAACTGTGTTTGAATTCTTGAGAAAATTATATACATATGACTGTTTTCCTTTAGAATGACTCCAAACTCTGAACCCCCTTATTAGATTAGATTTAGGGTATTGTGATCCCTTTGGGACATTTATTCTAAAGGAGCTGGAAACTATAGTGGCCTCTATTTTTCCTGGGGATATAGAGCAGCTTAAGATCTCCTCTTTCTGGAACTTATCCTAGGTGCTCTATTTTAGCTTTCAGATTGGTTCATTTTTGAGTTAGTTAAAATAATAATAATAATAATAATCTTTTTGTTTGAATTGTTTTTTGTTTTGGAATTCTCAAGGTTGACCCTGATAGTCCTTTGCACAGTGATCTTTAGATCTTAAAAAGAAGCGATAGGAGACATTTTGCTTATCTTTCAAGGTAAGAAAATGGTTATGAGACTCTATATCCTTCTAATGGGGGTGTGTATTTGTACAAGTGTTTTGGAAAACGGTTTGGGAAAGTGGAAGATACTCACACCCTATGGTTCAGGAATCTCGTGGATATATACTCCACAAGAAATGAGTACATAGGTGCCAGGAGACACAGGAATGTTCAGAGCAGCATCGTTTATAATAGCCCCAAACAGAAAATAACCCAAATGTTCATTCCAATAAAATGGAGAATTGTGGTATTCATAAAATGGCTTACAGTCATGTGGGACAAGATGAGCGAATCTTGAACACTATGTTAAGCAAAAGAGACCAGACCCCCAAAACCTATTTTGTACAATTTCCTCTATATAGAGTTCAAAAATAGGCAAAACTAATGTTGGTTAGGGCATACATTCTTAGCGGAGGCAATATCGCCTGCAGTGGAGTGAAAATTGGTCCTTAGAGTGAAAGAAAATCTGACCTATTATACTGGTCTGCTGCCCTCCAAACGGCCATAGAACATAAATGAAAAGAAAACTGAGAAACACTTCTTTATGGGTTCATACTTGGGCAGTAAAACTATCAAGAAAAAAGAGGTGATTAGACACAGGGTAGAGTAAGGAGTCCATCTAGGTGGGAGGTAGGGAGGTGTGAACTGAAAGGTACATCTGTGGGCTTCTTGGATACTGGCTGTAATATATTTCTGGACCAGGTTGGTGGTTACATGGGCAAATAATTTAAAATAACTTGTTAAGGTCTACCTTAAGGTATCTTTTGTGTACTTTTCTGAATGTGTTATATTTAATAAAGTACTTTTAAGATACCAAAAATAAAGGTTACAAAAGAATAACAATGGAATCTAGAAAAAATGTTAATGATCTAATATGGAATCTAGACAAGATGTAATGGCTTAAAATCTATGGCTATATGAAGTATTTTGATGAAAAAAACAAAGACATAAAGGAATACTTTGTTGTACTTACTCTAAGGATGGTAGTAGTTTTCTAAAAGCTTACTTAGCTTTTTCATGTGTATATTTTTCCTTGGGGATATATCTTATGATTGAACTTTCTTGAAATGACCCTAATGTTAGTATTTTCTCTCAATTTTGTTATCATAGAAACTGTTGTGGTTGTCAACTGGGTTGTCTTCCTAAAGTATGAATCCAGTATAGGCTGAAGTTGCTAATGGCTACTTCTTTACGGATTCATATGGGTGAACGAATGAAGCACTCAGGCCTACAACAAAAAACACACACACACACAAAAAACAGGAAGATACCATTTTTAAAAAAAAACATTAAATCATATGAACATATGCACAACACCAAACTTTAAAGAAATAGAACCTTTGGCTGGGCATGGTGGCTCACGCCTGTAATCCCAGCACTTGGGAGGCCAAGGCAGGTGGATCACCTGAGGACAGGAGTTTGAGACCAGCCCAGCCAAGATGGTGAAACCCCATCTCTACTAAAAATACAAAAATTAGCCAGGCGTGGTGGCAGGTGCCTGTAATCCCAGCTACTTGGGAGGCTGAGGTGGGAGAATCACTTGAACCTAGGAGGCAGAGGTTGCAGTGAGCCAAGATTGCACCATTGCACTCAACAGCCTGGGTGACTAGAGTGAAACTCCATCTCAAAAAATAAAAATAAAAAAGAAATAGAACCTTATCAGTACCTGTAGCACCCTCTGTGCCCCTCCCTTGTCATGTCCTCTTTGGGAGGTATCTTGAAGGGAATGTGACATCTTGGCCAGGAAACTGGAGGATTTGTGACTGCAGGTGGTGTTTTCATTATTTTTTCCTGCTGTAGTTAGAACTTCAGGGAGGGGATGATCTGGGAGGTAAATGGCTGAAATGCTATTGGATTTGTGTTTGTGGCCCATGGCTCCTGATACCAGAAAGAAGGGCCTTTTCTGGGGTTGGAGTATTTCTTAAGACGCCTGGGAAGAATGTGATTGCCTTGAGCTAACTGACCTTCTGAAGAGGACCTTAAACTGAATTGCCAAGTTATTAGTATTGGGATTCACAGACTTTGGAGAATAGCAGGTATGACTCAGAAAGATTTACAGGAAAGAGCCAGAACAATATGTTTATGGCCTCTGATGTCCGCAGTGACAACTTGAGAGTCGTGAATAATAAGCAAAATTGAACTTGAGATAAAGTATAACACAAAGATGGGAGTGACTGCAGGAGGGAATGCGCCCTGGTCAGCAACTTGGTAAATCCAACTTGCTGTACTTTTAAGGAAGTCGTTTTCAGATGTTACAGGCAACATCAGAGTTACTGAATTGAATTCTGAGGTAGTACTTTAAGAAAGGTCTACTTAGATAAGGTTAGGTTCATTTAGAGAATAATAGCCAGGATTGGGAAGAGATTCTTTTCCATGTCCTAGGATAGCTGGTGAAATTATGGATTTGGAGAGGAAAACATGGGGGTTCTGGTTCATGATAGATTGTCTTCAACTATTTGAAGGAGTATGTATATGGAAGCATTAGTTTTTATTTGTTTTTGGTGAAGACAGGGCATAAAACTAGAACTAATAAGTCAAATTACAAAGAGGTGATTTTCAACTCAATGTAAGGAAGTGACTTGTAACTATTTAGACCCATCTGGTGATGTAGTCTTTGAAAACTAGAATGTTCTTCATCTTTAAGAATAACTTAGAAGGCTGAGATGTTAAATGGGAAGTCAGATAACTTCATGAGATCCTTGTAGAGCCTGAGAGTCTCGTTCTGAGTTAAAATATACTAAGGTAACTCAAACTTAATTTTACCAGTCACCCTCAACCTTTATTTTCCCCTCCCTGAAGAACTCTTTTTATTTCTGTAAAATCTTGATTCCTGAGTTCCAGGGTACAGAGCTTATGGAATAGAGTCCCCAGGTTTTGATGTAGGATCCTCTTTCTCCTGTCTGAAAATATCCTTTAGTATTTCCCTTAGTGTGAGTCTGCAGATAGAAAAAATCCTTATTTTTTATTTCATTATTAAAGAGTATCTTCATTGAGCGTAAGTCTCTAGATTGGCAGTTTCCATCTTTCAGCACCTTGCAGATATCATTCTGTTATGCTAGCTTCCATTGTTTCTCCTGAAGTGTTTATGGTGGTTAAATCTTGTGAAGTCTTTGATCAGTTCTGGAAAATTCTCCACAACCATATCTTCAGCTCTTGCTTCTGTCCCATTCTTTTTTTTCTTACAGGGCTCTACATATATGATAAACTTTTCAATATATTGTCTTATTTTCTCAATTTTCTACCTTTTTGTCTTTCTGACCTTTTTCCGGTTTACTGAATCTGTCTTCTGCTAGGTTACTGCTGTGGTTAAGCTTATCCATTATGTTATTAATTTCAGTTTTGGTAGTTCTAAATTGCAGAATTTCATATGGTTCATTTTATAATTTGCATTTCTCTGCCAGGTTTTCAGTCTTGTCCTGTCTTTCCTTGTCTTTCAGCAGAGTTATTTTGAAGTGTGTCTGCTAACTCTGTTATCTCAATCCCTTGTGGTTTTGTGTCTGTTGTTTGCTTCTCTTGTTTTCTGTTATGTCATCTTTAAGTCTCATGTGGCTTTTTATTTTTAGTGATAGACATTATATATGAAAAATTGCAGAGCTAATTTGAAGCCTTGGATGATATTCTTCTCCAGAGAGGATTTACATTTCCCCTGCTAGGGTCTTGGAAATTCACAATCAGGGATTGAGACGATTAAAGCTGGCCATCATTCCCTGTTGGGGCATTTTGCAGTTTGTTCTTCAGATTCCCAACCTAAGGAGTGGGAGACTTAGCAGGGCCTCTCCTCAGTGGATGCTGAGCTCCAATGTTTAACTCCCTGTGAGCTCTGTGAGGCTGTGAGTTCTAGCTCAGCTTGTTAACCTCTTCTTCTCTGCTGTCATTGGAAGAAAACCCAAGGGGGAGAAAAGAAGACCCTGTTCTCTGCTATTCCCTTTTCTCAGCCCTGTAATCATTACATTTTGTCCATCTTTCTAGTTCTCAGTGAGAGGATTGATCTAAGTTACCTACTCTATCATTATTGGAATGGTTCCTTTATATAGTTCTAGTGAAGTGAAACCCCTTCATATGTTTCATAAGTTTACCATAACACTGTTCTGTTTGGGCCTCATTTTAACTTCATTTTTATTTGCTTTGGTTTTCATTTCATTTTTTCTGTACTAATTTTACTTTTATGACTCTCACCCATTATCTGATAATAAATGTACATATTCTTTTATAGACTTTTAAAATCTTCTAAATGGTATATAGTATTAACGATGTTCTTAAAATTAATTAAACTTGCTTATTTGCTTTTTAGGATAACTTTCCATTTGAGCCTCCATTTGTTTGAGTGGTATTACCTGTTCTCTCAGGAGCATAAGTTTAAGTGATTACTTTAAATGTTTTTTTTTTTTTTTTTTTTTTTTTAGTTTAAAAAAATTTTTTGTAGAGATGAGGTCTCACTATGTTGCTCTGGCTGTTCTTGAACTCCTGGGCTCAAGTGATCCTCCCACCTTGCCCTCCCAAGGTGCTGGGATGACAGGCATGAGCTGCTGTGCCTGGGCTACGTTTTTTTTTTTAATATAGCGTGCACCAGAATCATTTGGAGAGCTAGTCCCAGGGTTTCTGATTAAGTAGGCCTGTGGTGTTGCCTGAGCATTTACGTTTTTAAGAAGTTCCCAGGTGAAACTGATACTGTTGTTCTGGGGCCTACATCTGGAACCACTGGTTATAAAGCATTATGTTGTTGATAGGTAGAGATTTTAGTGTTATATATATGCATATATACACATATATACACACACACACATATTTATACATACACACACACATATATATATTCATACATACTTTTTTATCATAAAAACCAAAGGTTTTTCAAATGTAAATTGTGATTGAAGGTTTAGAGAATGTTATGATTACAGAGTGGTCCCCCCACATACCTGTAATCCTAATTAGTACTTCTAGGAATAATCATGGGAAATCCCATGGACCTATGGAGCTGGCTAATTACTTCTAGAGGTGATAGTTGCAGTGTAGTAGAATCAAATGGTAATTGTCATGCAGTTTTACTGAAATTTGTATTGCTTCTTTTTTGTGATTGGAAGTCTTACAGAAGTGGGGAAAAGATCACAGTTTGCTAGGTTAGTTATGAAATGTTCTGTAGACCCTCAAAGTATGAGCAATTTAAAGTAACTTGAGGATTTTCAAACACTCAGCTGACTAATTCCATTATGTGACATAATCCACATTATGGTGATTAAAATCTAAATATCTCCAGCCCTTACTTTGATCATTTCTATGGTTGAGATAGTAATAGTTGCATTTAGGGTAAAAATATGAGTGACTACTTCACACTTCAGAACTTTCTCCAGAAGAGCTTTGTTGCTACAGTTATTTTTAGTTGTATTTGCTTTACATACTTATGTATGTGTTTTGGGGGCTAAGATCCTGTTAAGAATCATTCTGCATAATCAGAATACATATTAACTGTGGTGCTGATACTACGGAATAGTTGTCTGGACATGATATCCATGTGTAAAAGTTCAGAGAAACAAGAAGTGTGGGTTTAAAAAAAAAAAAACCTTAGTATTACATGTGGATGTGCTGAGCTCATTTTGAGTTTCCCCACACAGTAAAGGAATATTGGTTTTATTATTTAATTACTTAATTTTATTGAGACAGGGTCTTTGTCTGTTGCCCCAGGCTGGAGTGAGTGGTGCAATCACAGCTCACTGCAACCTCTGCCTCCCGGGCTCAAGCCATCCTGCCACCTCAGCCTCCTGAGAAGCTGGGACTGCAGGCATATGCCAGCACACCAAGCTAATTTTTGTATTTTTGATAGAGACAGGGTTTCACCATGTTGCTCATGTTGGTCTCGAACTCCCAGGCTAAAGCGATCCACCCCACTGAGACTGACAAAGTATTAGGATTATGGGTCTGAGCCACTTTGCCCAGCCCAATGTTGTTTGTTAAAATTTTTTATTTATTTACTTATCTTTTGCTTTTCTGTTTTAATTTTTAAATTTCTATTTTTTCAATATTGTGTTTTAAGAGTCTACTTACCCGACGCCTGCAGCCTAATCTTTGCCATATCTTCCCAAATGTTCTGTGAGTGCTAATATAGTGGTATGGTAATAGATATTTGTTTTGTGGGGATTGCAAGGTTTTGGGGAACCAGGTTCAAAATGTCTTTTACCAAAGGACTTCTTGGAGCCTTAATGCCATTTTCTGTTTTTCCCAAATTTGTTTATTAGTGTTCCTGACAGCATCTCAGAGGATGGTGTCCTCTGGCTTACTCTCTGGGAAATGCTGCTCTGTTGGAAATCCGGAGTTCTGAGTGATCCCCATGCGTTTTCTGCTGCAGAGCAGGACATGCTGAAGTGATTCCTTCGTGAGCAGATGTTAGAGGTCTCCCTTTGACAGCTTGTTACAAAGTTGATCACGAATATACTATTACGGTGAGTGGAAGTCCCAGGTTGGGTGTGAAGCAGAGTTGTTTAGAATTGTGTACTATTTTGTTACCTTTAAAGCTTCTCTAGGCTGTTTTGGTTTTGGCAGTAAAATTGCTATAAAAAGTACTTCTCTTGGCATACAACCTAATGGTCAGTTTTGGAAGTTCAGTGTTAAGTAACCCAGCCAAATACTTACGTATACAAAATAAACACAAGACTGAAAAATAGTAAATGTTTAACCTTTGCTCACTACAGCAGGCTTTTTACTAGCCACCAAGCCATAGTTCTTTTGTTTTTCATAGTTGAATGTTAAAATGTCTTTTTAATGAAGCCCTTACTGATTGGGGAGAAAGGACATAAGTATTGTGCTTTAGTTTTATGTGCTGGTTTATAAAATTGTGTATGTTGACTCAATATCCCCATAAGCATAGGGAAAGGAAAACGGGTCATGTTTTGTTCAGAATCTTATTTGAGAAAAAAAAAGATCAAAGAAAAGATTTGGATAAAAATCTGCAAATTCAGGATAAATGTATGAAAACATTTTAAAATGTGATTATGAAATAGACCAGTATAGCTTTTCAACATTTTGTTGTAAGAATCCCAAGAATGTAAGTTTATGATCTTAGTATACCACCTAGAATCGAGACAAATACATGAAGTTATGAATCATGCCATTTTCAGTTTTAAAATCTGTTACATAGTTTCTTCATTGATTCTTTTTTGCCACAGTGTGTTATGGTCCTCATTATTTGGATGAATAATTTGAATAATAAGTCAGCTTGTGACTTAGCCAAATAAATCTTCTGATTCCTAGTAAAGTGTTTTTCATTATACGAAATGCCAGCTATGTAAGAGGAGATTAAAAGTACTAAGAACTGTAAGTACTCCATTGATTATCATATGCTAACCATGGGCCAGGCACGGTGGCACACACCTATAATCCCAGCACTTTGGGAGGCTGAGGCGGGTGGATCACTTGAGGTCAGGAGTTCAAGACCAGCCTGGCCAAGATGGTGAAACCCCTGTCTCTACCAAAAATACAAAAAATTTGCCAGATGTGGTGGTGCATACTGGTAATCCCAGCTACTCAGGAGGCTGAGTCAGGAGAATCGCTTGAACTCGGGAGGCAGAGGTTGCAGTGAGCTGAGATCGTGCCACTGCGCTCCAGCCTGGGTGACAAAGATAAACTCCATCTGAACAAAAAAGAAAAAGAAAAGCTAAGCATGGACTTAATTTCTCTGAGATTTAAAGCTGCAAAGAGTTGCTCTTCATGAAGTAGATGGGATCTCAGCTGGGCAGTGAAATGTGAGTGGGGTTTGGTCAGCTGGTGGAGGTTGCAGGAAAATTATTTACATAGGTGAAGAGTAAGCGCAATCAGGTATCTAGGAAAGAATGAGGGGTTCAGAGTATACGAAACCAATTTGAGCTATAACACAAGGAGGGTAGGATTCATGTAGAAGAGTTGTAGGAAATATTGCTGATGTAATATTTTGTACTCAAACAGTTCTGTGGATTGGTGACAGATTTTTTTTTTCAGGTAAGTAAACTATTACCCCTGGATATTCATCTTTCTGTGTAGCTGGTTGAGAAACAGGGGAGTAACAGTAAAGAAACTGTTTTAGAATAAATCTGGTGACAGCAGAAGAGAATATGAGACACATTGTGCTCACAGAGCCTAGAAGAGTGTGACAGTAGTTGAGGGCACCGCTGTTGTCTTAGAGTGAAGTGAGGAGAACCTACATTGGTGTGGTAGTCATGGGAGTGGAAGGAGGAATGAAATGTGAAAGCCCATTGGAGGCAGAATCAAAATGCCTTGGTCTTAATAGTCAACTATTAAGGAGAAATTATTGGCTGACTTAGGAAGAAGTGAAAAATGTGAAATACCAATAAAACACCAGGCTTGTGATTTTAGTCAGGGTAAAGCTTAAGCATTGTGTGATTCTAGATAGATTACTGAGGAGTTTTGTTCCATTTATTTTATGTCCATATCTTTGAGCTATGATTCTATCCTTTATTTCTTGACATACCCAAACATTTTTTAAACTATTGTGATACAGCTTTTATATGATAAGTCTCACTCTTTGAAGTGTACAGTTTGGTGGTTTTTAGTATATTCAGAGTTATGCAGCCATTACCACTACCTAATTTCAGAACCTTTTCTTCTCCCCAGAAAGAAACCCCATGCCCATTAGCAGTCACTCTGTATACTCGTCTCCCCCACCGTTGATCCTGGCGACCTCTGATCTAATTTCTGTCTCTGTAGATTTGCCTATCCTGGACATTTCATATAAATAGAATCATACAAAATGTGGCATTTTGTAATTGACTTTTCTTTGAAGTGATTATAAAGCAAATGCCTGAAGAGGCCAAGCTTAGGATAGTGTTTGCTGTACAGCTTTGACAACTGAATTTTTTTTAAGTTGAAAATATTACTGTGTCTGTATATGTGGCATATTATCCTTAGATGACCGTTACTTCAATTATTAGAATTTTTTTCCCTAGTATTCTTGAACTGTCTCAATATTCAGTAGGAACCCTTTGGAGACAAAGAGCAGTAAGAATTTGGAACACATATTGACGAAATGAATGTCATTTAATACAGTAGTAGAGTCGACCACTTTTAGGTGTCAGTGCTGCTGGAAGTGTATATTAAGGAAAAGTTTACTTATCTTACTTATGTAGTGAAGGTACTAGAACTACTTCTGTCTTCTGTTTAGATTTCAACAAACATTTGCATAGGTATTATGCAGTTGTACAAATGTACTGTCTTTTGACCTGAAAATGCAAAAACTTTCTTCCTACTTTCTGAGACTCTGCAACCTTAAAGGAAGAGTGGGGTACTTTAAAGGAAAGGTGGTGTTGGTTGGATAATGGGTGACAATGTCTGCCATATACTTCCTTTTCCCAAAACAAGTTCCTGTCTACCATCAGCATCTCCAAAATTTGAAGATCAAGTGTGGTGTTAACTCATTAACTAAATGACTAGACTTTGAGCAGTTGTGGAACCAAAATCTGAGTGAGTGCCTGGATGTTCTAATTCTGTTAAATCAATGAGTGCACATTATATACAATACTCTCTTAGCCCAGTGGCAGATTTAAGGAGTGAGAGAGAGATTTCAAATGTTTCAGAAATCAAATACACAAAGAATAAAAATTTGTAATCCCATGATTCTTTACCTGAGTTTAATTTTTCGGAGAGTTTTTCTTTTAGATTTTCTTTTCCTTCCATTAAACTTTCACTTTGAAAGCTCCCAGGGTTTGGGCAAAGCAAGTGGGAAAGACACTTGCTTGGATTCTCCAGGGCAAGGGAGTTAAAGAGGGCTTCTTTCCCTCATTTTATTATTGAATAATGTCATGAAAACAATTATTAAGGTGAATGGTCTACAGTAGAAGTTTTTAGATGCCTTCTCTGCAAAATAATTTGGTTTAGTCAATGCAAGGATGCCTTTGGTTAGCTGGAATGGAAGATGCGCAGGCTAGAGTGGTCTTGGCAAGTCTTCTGGGGGGAAATACAGCATTTGGAAGGGTAGGAAGCAGAAGGAATCTCAAGCAAGGGAAAGGTGTGGGCAGAGCCCCGGAGGACAGAACCGTTTGTGGTGGACTTGGTGTCCACATAGATCTAATCAGTGGTCTTAGCTTTTGTGCTTTCAAAATTACCACAGTTTTTGTTCTAAAACTATCATTCCCTTGATTTTACTTTAGGCATGCTATCTGTGTATTTTGAAATTTAAAATAACATTAAAGGAGAAATGAAATTATTTTGTTTGAGAAAGAATTAAAAGGTTAAAACATCTTGATCTAAATAATTTTCTAATGGGAGATTTGGTACATCCCCAGAAGTTGTCTTTGGTTCAGAGAACAGTCTTCAGACCTAGAAAGGACTTGAGGAGTCCCAGAGAGGAGCCACATGGTGTGAACCATTCGATTCTCACAACAGAATGGATAAGAACAATTTCAACCATGAAACCGTGCAGATGTTCATATTTTGAATAGGGTAAGATCGGTGCCATTGTCAGAGGAAAAACTCCTGGCCATCACAGGTTGGGAGAGAAAGTTTCCATTGTAAAGAACACTCAAATGCCATTTAAGGAAATGGGTTCTTCTGCCCTGATTCTTTGGAATATTTAGGGCCACGTTTTTAGTTTTTGACATCATAAAAATTTCAAAGTATTCTGTTCTGATTGCCATTTCAAACAATTGACTGGAATTTCAGAGCAATTTCATAAGAGTAATACCATTAGAATTTTTAAATTACCTATAATCCTATATGCCTAACAAGTATGTTCATGCTTACGTGTTCTCTTCTTGTCTTTACTGTGTGCATACTTTCTTAATAATGCCACATGGAAATTGTTTAAGCAGGAATACTTCTCAAGATAATTTTGTATGTTTCCTTTTTTCTTTTTAAGGTATGTATTGGGTGGAGGAGCATTATGTATGGAACCTCTGGTGATTATTTTATTATTATACTCAATTTTCACCCTCAATAGAGTGTTTTGATTATGTAAGTTAGATCGTAAGTAGACGGTTCTCTTAAAGACATTTTAGTGTTTTTTTTTTTTTTCGTAGCTCCTACTTTCAAGAATGAAAAAGGTATCCCAGCAGTTTGGGAGGCTGAGGCAGGCGGATCACGAGGTCAAGAGATCGAGACCATCCTGGCTAACACGGTGAAACCCCGTCTCTACTAAAAAATACAAAAAAAATAGCCGGGCGTGATGGCGGGTGACTGTAGTCCCAGCTACCCGGGAGGCTGAGGCAGGAGAATTGTGTGAACCCGGGAGGCAGAGCTTGCAGTGAGCTGAGATGGTGCCACCGCACTCCAGCCTGGGTGACAGAGCAAGACTCCATCTCAAAAAAACAAAACAAAACAAAACAAAAAAAACAGAATGAAAAAGGCAAACCAGTAAAATAACATTGTGCTTGGTGCTGAATTTATGCTAGGATAGGCGTTAACAGTGACCTTTATTTAAGGTTTTAATTTGTTCATGTTGGGCACTTAGAACATTGGTTTGTTGTTTTTTTGTGAGATTCTGGAAACGTTCCAATTTTACCTTTTCCCCTTGACTCCAGACTTTTTAACACTGGTCTGCTACTGTTAAGTTATATGCCATTTGGTTAGGCCTTCTCAAGTGGGAACCAGGAACGCTGCTGTGTTCTAGAGATGTTTTGTTCTTCCTGTAGGGCTGAAGCAGTGCCTACTCGATAGAATCAGTCATCATGCAAATAAAAGCCACCTGAGTCAAAGGCAAAGCCAGAGTGCAGCTTGGAGCAAAGAAGGTAATTTTATTAAGAATTTTACATAAACCATAAGATATATTTTATGCTACTTTGTGAGCCTTCTTCCTATCTTAATTCTTTTTGAGAGAATTCATTTCATTTTCATTTGGTTTGTTTTCTTTTTGTTACAAAGATGATCTATAGAACATATAGAAGTATAAGAAAATTAAAGTTACTAACTGATAATCACTTAATGATTTAGTATCTGATTGTTTAGTCTTTGTTATATTTACTGTAGAGAAACATGTCTACAGTTGTAAATTTATTATTGTTATGTATACCATAGTAAAAGTTATATGTACTTTGAAGTTTTGCAAAATTGAGTTCATGTTATAAAATTAATTCCTGATGAACTTTTATGTGCTAGGCACTAGTCTTTTTATTTACTTATTTTTACTTTTTTTGTTTCCCTCTGTGCCTATGCTTACCAAGTCTTTTTATTTTTTACTTTTTATTAGCTCTTTCAGTCCTCTTAATAACTTTAAAAGAGGGTATTATTAATATCTGCATTTTATGGATGAGGCAACTGAAGGTAGGTAACTTGTCCAAAGTCACAGGTGGCAGAGCAAGGATTGGAACCAGACAGTCTGACTGCCCTAGGCCCAACCAAGAGGAGCTGAGAGCAAGCCACGGGGCAGAAGGATGTTGGAGGCTGGTTTTCTGTTCAGTTAACATGAAATGCAGGCTGTAACCGTAATTCCAGGACATTACTGAGAAAGCCTTCCAAAGCCAGAGGGGTTTTTTTTGTTTTGTTTTGTTTTGTTTTCCATGACCATGACTTTTGAGCAAAAATTTGGTTTTGTTTAAAGGCAATATGGTGCTCTAAGAAACTTCCACTCACACTTATGGAGGGAATGGTAGTTGAGCTAAATAGTGAAATGCTGTAGCACACAGCCTTTAGGGCAGCTTCTGACCTATTTCTATGGTCAGGAAAGACACCTATCTTTGCCTGCTGCCCACAGCCTCTAGTTATTCACCTTCAGAATTTCCTAGTCTGTGATCACATTCAGATGAGAGATCCGTTTTGTTTTTTCCAGGGTAGCAGGAAGTGAGTCACCACCTATGCTAAGCAGTCTAGTCTTCTGTGTATAAATGAGCAAGGGTGGGGAGCCAGATCTGAGAACCTTGTGTAATGCTGAGATGCTCCAAGAGAATCCAAGAGGATGTCAGGATTATGCATGGTGGTAAAGTGGTCTCATGTTAGTTGTACCCACAGCTCTCATCAGAAGCAGACACAGATACTTTTTGTAGGAAAACATCTCTAACTTAAGCCTGTAGGATTCCCAAAGATTAAAAGCAGGCAAATATGAATTCAGTCAAATCATAGCATTCAAGTAGTCTCAACCCAACATATTTGAGAATTGTTAGAAACAATGAATATGTTTCCCAAAGACTAGGTTTTGGAATTATCAGATACAGAACACAGACTTCAAATATTAGAATTGTGAGAAAATAGTTACATGTCAAACCTAATATAAAAGAAAGATGGACTCATTAAATTGAGCAACAGAAAGGCCACCAGGAATGAGGAGGAGGACCTGAAAAGAAAATGGATGAACTAGAACTTACAGAAATAAAATATATAGCTGGGTCTGGTGGCTCACACCTGTAATCCCAGCACTGTTTGGGAGGCCGAGGTGGGAGGATGGTATGAGCCCAGGAGTTGGGGAGACAAGCCTGGGCAACATGGTGAGAACTCGTTTCTGTAAAAAATACCCCAACACCACCAAAAAAAAAAAAAAAAAAAAAGTAGCTGGGTATGGGGCACGTGTCTGTAGTCACAGCTAGTCAGGAGGCTGAGGAGGGAGGATCACTTGAGCTCAGGAGGCAAGGGCTGCACGTGCATGCCACTGCAGTCCAGCCTGGGTGACAGAGTGAGACTCCGTCTCAGAATAAAATGAAATAAAGAAATAAAAAATGTAATTGTTGAAATAAAAAACTCAGTGGATGGATTAGACATCAGAAGAAAGAATTAGTTGGTTAGACAATTATCTCCCAAAAGTGAGTCAGTATGTTACACAGAGAGACATGAGGATAGATGATAGGGCAGAAGTTGGTGGGGTTGTAGGGGGAGGGAGATCAGAATGAGGTCTAAAATATGTCTTAGTGGAATCCCAGGAGGAGATATTAAAATTATATTAGAAAGTGAGAGAAATAGAAGTTCTAAAGGCAATAGAAGGAAGTCCACATAAATCAGTCACAACAAATGTAAATGGACTAAAGTTACCAGTTAGGTGGAACTAATAAAAGAATATCCAGCTGTTTTAATCCATCATATTTAAAATATAAGGATATGAGAAGATTGAAAGTTTTTATAAAGGAGAGAGAGTAATGAAGATATGGCAGTATACATTAACCAAAAACAAGTGATGGAGCTTCAGTATCAAAAAAGGATTTTGGAACAGAAAGCATTAGTAAGAAACTTGATGCTGACTGTTAATTAGGAGGATGTAGCAATTTTCATATTTTATGTACCTGTCAAAATAGCCTCAAAATGCAGGAGAAAAACTGATAAAACCACAGGGAGAAATTGACAAGTCTGCCAGCATATTTGGAGATTTCACCATACCCTGCTTACCATAAGTAAGTTACACAGAATGCCCATATGTAGATTTGAATAACCAGTGAATGGACATGGTGTAATGGACAAATATAGGCCTTTGTACCCAATAATTAGATATTCTATATTCTTCTCAAGCATATGTGGACTGTGGGAGAAACATTAATTATATATTAATTCGTAAAGCAAGTCAGAAGATTTAAAAACAATTGGTACCATCCACACCATATAATTTATAATTTAAATATGAAGCAATTAAGGTTAGAAGGCAATAATGAAGAGATTAACAAAAAGCTACATGAATTTGGAAATTAAACACCCTTGTAATTCATGGTATAAAAAACTCAATACAATTTTAGAATGCTTAGAATTGAACCATAGTTAAAATATGAAACTTCTCTCTGTTCCTGTCTCTCTCCCTCTCCCTCTCTCTTCCTATCTGGAACATTCAAGAAGCTAATCTTTTTCAATGAAGAACACCCCAAATACTGAAAAGTAGGAAAAAGACAGATGGCATTTCATGGTAATCCCTTCCCCCAAGAGTGTAGAATGTTTCTTTAGCTTCTTTGATAGTTTGTTTACTTATTTATTAAGTACTTACTATAAACCAGACTCTGCTTTAATTTGTGATGAACAACCTAGAGATTAAGTCCTGCCCTATGGATTTTATATTAGAGTGAGAAAAACAGATAGCTAAGTCTGGAGCTCAGGGGTGAGGCCCAGGTTGGAATTATAGATTCACTTGACCAAGGTGAAACCTGGTGTGCCCCCTCCTACTTCACATCCCCAGACATACTTCTGGAACATTTCTGTTCTATTCTTGTGTATAAACTCTTCCTTTTGAGCCTCTCTCCATTAATGCATGTCAACCTCTACTTGTCTTTTGTTGATTTTGAGGCCACTTGCCCATATAACTTGGAGGATATTGAAGAAGAATCATACCGACCTGGTTCTGCTACCTACCAGCTGAGTTACTTTGGTCAAGCTCTTGGACTTCTGAGGCTGTTTCCTAATTTCAAAAGTGGGTATATGATGTGTTAGGCCCTGGTGGGTTGCAAGGAAGAGGTACACACATACCACCTTTGATGATGAGGGCCGAATGTTAACTTGGATGGAAAGTCATCCAAACAGCGATATTGTCTCTGGCCCTAGTAATTTCAAAACCTCACAGAATATTAATTTAGCAGTATTTAGGATAGGGTTTGAGCTCTGAAGACCTACAGTATGGTTATTTGTTCATATGGCTGTTTTCCATACTAGACCATGAACTCCATGAGGGCAGGGTCTACAGTTTCATCTTTCTCTCCTAGGCACTCAGTTCAGTGCCTGATACATAATAATAGAGGCACAAATGTTTTAAGAGTTGAGGAATTTTCAACTCTTTCTGAAAGAATAGGAAGATATAAAGGCTTCTCAGAGACGGTATTATTTAAGCTGATTTTGTTTTTGTTTTTGAGATGAAGTCTTGCTCTCTCGCCCAAGATGGAGTGCAATGGCGTGATCTCAGCTCACTGCAACCTCTGCTTACCAGGTTCAAGTGATTCTTCTGCCTCAGTCTCCCGAGTAGCTGGGATTACAGGCATCCACCACCACACCCAGCTATTTTTTGTATTTTTAGTAAAGACGAGGTTTCACCATGTTGGCCAGGCTAGTCTCAAACTACTGATCTGAGGTGATCCGCCCACCTTGGCCTCCCAGAGTGCTGGGATTATAGGCATGAGCCACCATGCCCGGCTTATTTAAGCTGATTCTTTAAGGGTAAGTAGAAATTTTTTCCAGGTGAATAAAACCTTGAGCTATTATTCCAAGCAGAGACCAGTAGGTGCAAAGACACAGGGATATAGAGATGTTGAAGTTTACCAAACACTGCTAGATTAAAAAAACAAAAAGGAAACTATCAAAATCAAAAATTAAAATTAAAAATCACCTATAATACAAGCTATGAATGGGCTTGGCCAGAGGTCAGATCGCAACTGAGTTAACTATGACCGTAGACACTCAGTAATCGATGGAAGTTTTAGGGAAAACACATAACATTCTCAGGTTGTTGGCAGAGTATCTGGAACAATTTACAAATACGGGCATTGAATTCTGGGAATAATTACACTGTAGTGATATCATTTCCTTCTCTGCGTATGAAGCATGTATGTATTGCACACTGTTCAAGGTGCTGAAAATCAGACTCTTCTCGAGCAATCAAGGGAGATGGATGGGTGAGCAACTGATTATCATGTGACAAGTGAGGTAACAGAGATATGACTAAGATGGTATCTAAACAAGAAGAAAGGAATTATTCATAATATATGGAGTTCTGGGGAAATATTTCTCAAATGAAGCCGGCCGGGCCGGATGGCTCCCACTTGTAATACCGGCACTTTGGGAGGTGGAAGTGGGAGGATCCAGGAGGATCTAGGAGTTCAAGACCAGCCTGGTCAACAGAGCAAAGCCCTGCCTGTTTCTATATTTGAAAAAAAATAAGTAAATTTTTTTAATGAAATGATATTTGAGCACTCTGGAGCACCATACAAATATAGGACAGACTGAAGGAATGTACCTGGCTTGAGTTAACATTTATTGAAATTTTATATTGCAAAAATAGTACATATTCACTGTTTTGAAACTAGAAAGAATTGATAGGCAAGGAGGGCTGTCTACAAAGCACTCCATAGATCCACCATACTGAGACAATGCTTAATGCTTTGATGGATTTATTGTATACTATCTATGCATATGCATGTATTATATACATACATGTGCATGGTTAAATAGAAATATTTCTCCTTGGTGTTAATCCATTTATTGTTATGCAGTAAATCCCCAAAGAGCACATTTGCTTTGCCCAAGGGAGTCTTTTGCTACATACTGCTGTACATAATGAAAACTAAAAAATTGGCTAACTTTTCAGCCTTGTGACCTTGTGGTGATTCAAATAGAGGCTTCATCAAAGGCAGATTCAGAAATGAACTTGGTATGTGGGTGGTTATGCTTGGCATTATTGTTTGTAATAGTATGATAGGGATGACTTCAGTGTCCACCAACAGGGAACTGGTTAAGTAAACTGTGGTACATCCAAACGATGAATACTGTGCGGTTGTAAAGAAGAATGACAAAGACCTCTGTACTCATGTAGAAGAACTCACATATATTGTGTGTGTTTTAAGAGGAACAAGGAATGGTATAGTATGTATGGTATGCTACTTTTTGTGTTGAGAGAGAAGAGTAGAATAAGAATATACGTGTGTATTTGCAAACATAAATTCTGAAATGATATATAAGAAACCAATTAAAAGTGTTTGGCTGTAGAAGGAGAATAAGACTGTGAATGGGATTTGGCCACATACTTTTATAGGTAGTTATATTTAAAAATTTTCTGAACCATGTGTTTGTACACATGACCTTTTTAAAAATAAGTGAATGAAGGAATGAAGTAGGATTATGAGAAAGAGATAAGAACAAATGATCTAAGGGGCTGCCCATCTTTTTAGTACCCAGTGAATATTAATATATAACAATAGCAGCAAAAATTGGAAGAGTAGCCCCAGGAGGGTAGGGAGTCAGCCTTTCCTTTGTCTTTTCCTCAATTTCATATATTAAACAAAATAATCTGAGAACGATAAAACAATTTGAAATAAAAAATGTCTCCAGATCTCTTAAAAGGAAGCTGGGGCAGCTTTCTGTAGCGCACTTCCCAAAAATGGGCTGATTTACCTCAAGAGGCAGGGATTCTAGCCTACATGGGATACATACAGGAGAAAACAAAATCAGAAAAAGAAAAGATATTTAAATATAAATAAATGAAAATAACAATTCTCCCTCATTATAAAGGAAATCATTCTTTTTGTAATAATTTGGATGACAAATATTAAGAAAAATCTTTAATTTGCCACTCAAAACATTGTGGTTTGTTGCTTTTTATACGTTTTTATGCACATAAACCTTTTAAAAAGTAGAATCGTAGTATGTAGTCTTTTGTCACTTACTATATTTTGGGCATATTTCTGTGGCAGTAAATATATCCTGGCATCATCATTTTTAATAGCTGGATGTATATTAAGTTAATCACTGCCACCCCAGAGGTGAATTTTCTTATACACACATTTTAATGGGCTCGAGCAAACATTTTTGGACTGAATTCATAGAAGTAGAATTTCTGGAGGAAAATAATTTTTAGGGTTTTTAATAGAAATTTTCAAATCATTCTCCAGGAAAAGTGACTCAGGTTATACTCCCACCAACAAGGACAGAGCTCCAGGTTCCCCTTTCCATTTGTCATCTTTCCTGCCTTTATACAGAAAATCTCATTGTTTTCATGACATTTCTTTGATTTCTTGTGCTTTTGAATCTTTGTATATGCCACTGGCCATTTTTATTCTTGTGAGAAGTGCCAGTTTCTCCATTGCCCATTTTCGGTTGAAAATCATTTGTTTTTTTTTCTCAGTAATTTTAAAGATTTCTTTATAGTCTAAGGATACAAGCCTTTTATCTGTCATTGAGGTGACAAAACTTTCTCCCAGTAAGTAATTTGTCATTTCATTTTTTCTTCTTTTCTTTTTCCTTTCCTTTCCCTTTCTTTCTTTTCCTTGTTTCTTTCTTTCTTCTTCTTCCTTCCTTGCTTTCCTTTTCTTTCTTGCTTTCCATTCTTACTTTCTTTTCTTTTCCCTCCCTCCCTCCCTCTCTTTCTTTCCTCTTTCTTTTTCTTTCTCTCTTTTTCTTTCTTCTTTCCCTCTCTCTCTTTCTTCCTTTCCTTTCTTTCTCTTTATTCCCTCCCTCCCTCCTTCTTCCCTTTTTTTTCTTTCTTTCTTTCACTAGCCAAGCTCCAAAGTCACATTTCACTTAATTTTTATCCTGCCAAATTTGAAAGCCTTTTAACTTCGTGATTTTAGTGTAAACAGGAGCAGGAGAAAATGTAATTATCTAAGTCTCGCTGTGTCACCCAGACTGGAGTGCAGTGCCATAATCATAGCTACTGCAGCCTTGAACTCCTCGCCTCAAGCAATTTTCCCACCTCAGCCTGCCAAGTAGCTAGGACTACAGCTGTGTGCCACCACACCCAGCTAATGTTCAAAAATTTTTGTGGAGATGTGAATTCTTTATGCTGCCCAGGCTAGTCTTGAACTCCTGACTTCAAGTAATCCTCCCACCTCGGCTTGCCAAAGTGCTGGGATTACAGGTGTCAGCTCCTGCTCCTGACTGAGAGTTTAGTTTTGTTTGCTAGTGGTGTTCTTGGTATCTTTTCATATTTGAGGTTTTGGGCTAGTGCTGAAGTATTACACTCACCATTCGAGGTCTACAGGACTTTTGGTTTAATATTGAACAGATGGAACTGTTTAGTTCTGCATCTTTGCAGGTATACAGAATGTGCCTACCAGGAATCTGCTTTATATCCATTGAAAGCAAGAAATAATACAGTAAAACTTTGCCTGGCTAGAGGCTTTGAAAGAATGGCGTATTCTGGTTTAATTCTATTACTTTGGAAGTATAAAGGTGAAAAAAATTCAAAACTTAAATTTCCTGTTGAATGCAATTTGAAAATATAGCCAATGATTCCACTTTTCTTCTCTAGTAAGGTTGGACATTCTGATCTACTTGGTGTTTTATTATAGAACTGCTAGTGTGCGTGAGTCTTACATTGTGAAGATACTTTTTTAAAACTTGAGATGTAAGAGGATGTAAACGGTTTTGTAGGAGATCAGGCTGGATGAGAACGGACACTTGTAAACATACTTTTTAGACTAAATCTCTGATTGCCGCTTGTTTTTCTTATGGAACTCATACAAATAAAACACATTGGATGGAGGGTGCGAGTAGGAAGGAGATTCTTGTCTTTTAATTGCATGTCATTGTTTCATAACAAGGCAGAACATATGGTAACCCTGGCTTTGGACCTACAGAAGGAAACACATTTTTCTACCTGCTGTATGCCAGAGGTTCTTGAACACTTGGAGGGATTACTGCAGCACAGATTGCTGAACCCTACTCCAGAGTTTCTGATTCACCAGGTCCAGGGTGGGGCCTGAGAATTTGCACTTATAAAAAGGTCTCAGGTGCTGCTGGTGCTGCTAGTCCATAGACTACATTTTGAGAACCACTCTTGTCTATTAAGTGTAAATTGTAGAACTCTAGAAAAAAGCTTAGTTCAGTCTGGGATAAGAAGCACACAGGTTATGGAGAAAAATCATGAAAGATTCAACCCTTGATCCCAGCCTAGTGTGGATTTCAGGTAACAAGCAGTACACAGTGACATAACACAATTCTTGGTTTTCATGATTGCAAGTCATAGCCAGGTATCAAGTGAGAAATTCAGTTTCATTTGCAAGGCCTAGAGTGGCCTGGTGATTCTAGAAAAATGGGCCTTGTATTTGTTTTAAACCAGTAAAGAGCTTTAAGTGCTTATTAAATTGTAAGTTTTGTGTTCCTACTTATTTTGTATCTTATTTTATTTTATTTTATTTCTTTTGAGATGGAGTCTTGCTCTGTCACCCAGGCTGGAGTGCAGTGGCATGAGCTTGGCTCACTGCAACCTCCATCTCCTGGGTTCAAGTGATTCTCCTGCCTCAGCCTCCCAAATAGCTGGGATTACAAGCACCCACCACCACACCTGGTTAGTTTTTGTATTTTTAGTAGAGACAGGGTTTCTTCATGTTGGCCAGGCTGGTCTCGAACTCCTGACCTCAGGTCATCCACCCACCTCGGCCTCCCAAAGTGATGGCATTACAGGGGTGAGCCACCGCACCTGGCCCAAAAGCTTTGTGTTTTTAAAGATATTAGACATGTTTCTTGTTTTTAAAAGAAATCTTAACAATAATGTAGGAGAATAAGACAAACATTTTTCCAAAAAAGAGAAATTGTTGTGATTATTCTCTGTTATTGGAATGTCGGATACTATAGTCAGCTTCATTAATCATCAAGAATGCTATGGATTTTCCATTTTTATAGGGTCTATATCTCAGTTAAGGTAATACTTGTAATTCTTGTGCTCCATTTGAAGATGAAAAATATAGGCCAAAATCATAGACTTTGCATAGAAGCTGCATAATGAAGACAGCTCTGGAGGAACACATAGATACACACAGACACACATATATAAAGTATATACACATATATTTTTTAAAGTTTATTTTTAACAGTTTTAAAGCTTTTAAAGCAAAAGCCAGCCCCTCCCCTCTCCCAGAGTGGGCGGCCTCTCCCCTCTCTCTGAGTGGGCGGGGACAGCGGTTGCATGGGCAGCTTTCCTTATGATGCTACAGGTCCCTCTGGACATGCTGCGCCTGGCCACGCCTCCTTTCCCTTTCATCTTTCTCACTGACCAATGGGCTTGGAACATTAAGGCCACGCCCCTATTCTGCGTTCCATTGGTGCCCTGGTTACGCCACCTGTGGCTCAGTTGCACAGCTGCCTGGTAGGTGACTGGAGGCATTGAGCAGTGCTCACTGGTATTTCGCTGATGTGGCCCCAACCCCGCCTCCCTCCCCACCCCGCGATGTCAGAAAAAACACAACAGGGGAAATTGGCCGCAGCCAAGAAAAAGGTAAAACACACCAGGTCATGGCCCCCAACCCAGCCACAGATCCCCTCCGATGACAAGACCGGTGCCAGAGTCCATACCACTCCTGAGGCATACCAGATGGGGCCCCCCAACCCCAGCCCCTCTGGGCTCCCCCAACCAAAGCCTAGTCAGTCAGCCCCACCCCTTCAGCAAGCAGCCCAGTCCCTGCCCTTGCCAATCACCCCAGGGTGACTTTGGGCAGGTGACTCCTGGGGCTCCCTGCTCCATAATCAGCCCTCACCTCCTGCCACCCCAAGCCCAACCTCCCTGGGCTCTTTGGGCTTGCGTCTCCCAGGACCTGGGTCCCCCAGCCCCAGGCCCTGCCCTCACCAGTCATCCCTGGGTGGCTTTGGGCTGGTGACTCCCGGGGCTCCCTACTGCAGACTCTGCCCTCCCCTCCTGCTGCCCCAAGCTCGACCTCCCTAGGCTTCTTGGGCTGGCGTCTCTGAGGACCTGGGTCGAAACCGTGTGTTTCCCTCCCCCATCGTGGAGCAGCGACTCGGGCATCGCGCTGATGTGGTCCCCTCCCCTGGGAGGAGTGGAATGCAATGATGTCACAGTGCCCCTAGGAACTGTCATTACTGCTGCAAGACCGGCCTTTGATCTTACAACCCAGTCCCCTAAGTTTTCTCACCCCATTTCTGGTTCCTCTGGTTGCAGCACAAATTTCCAGCTGGAAGGGGAGTGGAGACTATGGGACCTAGGAGCAAGAGGTTTCAGGCTGCCTTACTCCCTTAACATAGACATTGACAGTGGGAAAAGCCTACACTTCCCCTGTGAGCTCAAAATGTTCACAGTATCTCTGGGTGGCAATGGGAGAATGGGTTTGGTTTGGTTTTTTCCCAGGCTTCTACTTTCCAGAGAGACTTTAACATTTTTTTCTGAGTTCTCCACGGTTCTGGGACCAGACTGCCCTTCAGTCAGTGGCCTCTGAAGTGAGATTTGCTCATCTTCTGTGGAATAGATCTTGGGAAACTGAACTTGACAGCTTGAATCTTCCTCATATCGTCTCAACCTGGGGTACTTTGAGTGCCACAGGATAAATGCGGGACATCTTTCTGAAGCATCATTTTCCCTTGATTCTCTTGAGAAAATGCATTAATGTACTTAGGGATGACAGACACATAGGTTTCCAAGCGTATACCAGACTTCGCTCTGAAATGAGGCTTGGGTTGTCCTCTTTCTGATAAATTCCCAGATTTAATAGAAAAGCTGCCTTCTGCCATGAGGACACATTGATATGAAAGTGTGAGAGGTACTGGTACGCTTCTTCACGCTAGCAGACCTGTGAGGATGTATGACTCTAAACCACACGGCCTACAGTTCCTGCCTGCTTAATGTGTGCTTTTCTACCTCTGCCCCTGGTTTTGGTCCCTGGAAGCTGCTGATTCATGGCAAAACCCCAGAGCTTGGAGTCAGAGGACTGAGTTTAAGTTCCAGTATTGCCTTTTTTGATCTTTCTTTTTTTTTTTTTCTATCCATGATATCAATCCCTCTCAGTCACTAAGTGATTGTGACAACACCTTGTACAGTTGTTGGTGGCATTACATCAGATGGTATATAAGGGTATTTTGTCAAAACTGTAAAGGAGGATGTGGCTGTAGGGGCTGATCATTCTCATGAGTGTTACTGCTCTTCTTTCCCACAGTTAAAAGCATATTGGCAGAGGAAGAGCCCTGGCATTCCAGCAGGAGCTAACAGGAAAAAGAAAATCAATGGCAGTAGCCCTGACACATTCACTTCTGGTGGTTACCACTCACCTGGGGATGTGAGTCTCGGCGGGCCAGGCTCCTGGGGACAGGGAGCCCAAGGGGCAGTAGAGGGTAATTGTTAAGATTGTAGATGGACTGTTGGGTACTGGTTAAGAATTCTGGATTTGAATCCTGCCTCTCCGTCTGCTAAGAATTGATTAGGGATTGATTAGCATATGATTTAGGGCAAGTTGCTTGAGGTCTTTGGGCCTCTCTTTTCACATCTGTATAATAGAGGTGGTATTTTTTGACTTCCATTTGTGAAGTTTAAATGAGATTCGTTATTGTTGCTTTTATGTGAATCCTTAGTACATGGCCTGCTGCAAACACCCAGGACACCGAGGAAATGGTCGTTGCTGTTTGATTTTCCTCATCCCCAGTCTCAAGGGGAAGCCAGGCCAATGAGAAGAGCCACTTGCCATCAGGCTGTCCCTTTAGGAGTCACTGAAAGGGCCCCAGGGTGGGATGGTGGGGAGATAAGAACCACGAGAGAAGTTGGCACAAAGGAGTTATGGGAAAAAGGTTCCAAGATAGGCAGAAAAGAAGCTTTTGCCAGTTGATGGGGGAAGAAAGGAAGTCAGAGGGCTTAGACAGTGAGGGGGGACAGAACATCTCCATGTGCACTCTCATCTCTTGGAGTCAGCAACAGGTATCTACGGGGAGGGCCGTGCATCCTCTACTACCCTGCAGGATCTGGAGGTAAGAGGCCCTGGGCCGAGGTGCAGTGACCCTGCAGGCCAGCCCTCCAACCTCCTCCCACAGCAGGGGCTTGTTGCCCCTCTGCCAGCTGAGGCAGCCCACACACCCCCACCAGCCCTAATGATTATTCTCTCTACCCCTCCCCACAATCTTTCTCCAACTCCTTCTCTCTGCATGCACCTCAGAGCCAGTACCAAGAACTAGCAGTAGCCCTGGATTCAAGCTCCGCAATAATCAGTCAACTCACTGAAAACATCAATTCACTGGTAAGAGTCCAGTGGGGTCCCCTGATTACAGCTGGTCAATCCTGGACTCCAGTTTCCTCTTGGGGCCCTGAAGAAAGGGGCTAGGGGCCCCTGATGCCAAGGGCAAATGGGGAGCTGGGCACCCAGGTCTCACCTGGAGGGACCCCAGAGCACAGAACATGCAGCATGGCTCTTCTGCACTGCCCTCTTTGCTGACTCTCTCTTCTCCAGACACCCCTGCTCTAGTCCTTGCCACACATGCCCTGGGGTTGTCACCTCTCTGGGAAGCACTAGCCTGACTGGTTGTCAGAGGTCCATATTCCTGCCCTGCCTCAGTCCCTAATTTGCTTTTTGAGTCTGGACAAGCCATCTCTCCTCTTTATGCTCGTGTTTCTGGAGGAGGTAGAGAGTATCAAAGGTCTCGGTTAGCTCTGAAAGTCAGAGATTTAAAGGCCCCTAGAATGGAAAGCTCAGGGCGAAGGGCTCCTGTCTGTCCTTTGCTGTTTTATATCTCTGCTATGAAGAACTGTACCTGGCCTGTACATGCTCAGTAAATGTTTGTTGAATGAATGCACGTTTCTAAATCACAAACTGGCAGAAGGGGGGTGGGCCTTTCTCAAACTCTGTCTCTGGACGTTCACCAGCCCCTCCCTCCAGTACCCTTTTCCCCCTTTGCTTTGGGCAGGTTCGCACATCTAAGGAGGAGAAGAAGCATGAGATACATCTGGTACAGAAGCTTGGGAGGAGCTTGTTCAAACTCAAAAACCAGACGGGTAAGATGGGGCTGGCATGACCTGGCAGCTGGACTGGCATTAGAGGGCTGTGGGGGTGACTTAGAATGCCCCAGGGAGGTGGGTGGATGGAAGGGCTTTGAGGCAGAGGGAAAGAGGTCTGTGCCAGGGGAGGACAAGTCTTGTCATCTCCATGAGCCTCAGTGTCCCCATCAGTAAAGAGGGAGGAGTGCCCATTGTCAGCCACCCACAGTGCTCTCTATCTGAAAGTGACTTGGAAGATTGTCTACCATCCGGGTGTGAGGAGTCATTAGCAGTGAGGCCAAGTTTGGGAAGCCTGAGAGGAGGAGCTGTGCACCAAAGGGAGGATTTTTTTTTTTTTTTTTTGAGAATCCAGAGGCCCTTATTCTCTGCTTGCTTTCTCAGCTGAACCCCTGGCCCCACAGCCCCCAGCAGGGCCATCTAAGATGGAGCAGCTACAAGATGAGACCAACCACCTAAGGAAGGAGCTAGAGAGTGTGGGAAGACAGCTCCAGGCTGAGGTGGAAAACAATCAGATGTTGAGTCTCCTGAACAGGAGACAGGAGGAGAGGCTACGTGAACAGGAGGAGAGGCTACGTGAACAGGAGGAGAGGCTGTGTGAACAGGAGGAGAGGCTGTGTGAACAGGAGGAGAGGCTACGTGAACAGGAGGAGAGGCTGTGTGAACAGGAGAAGCTGCCAGGGCAGGAGAGGCTGCTGGAAGAGGTGGAGAAGCTGTTAGAACAGGAGAGGCGGCAGGAGGAGCAGGAGAGGCTGCTGGAGAGGGAGAGGCTGCTGGACGAGGTGGAGGAGCTCCTGGAGCAGGAGAGGCTTCGGCAACAGGATGAGAGGCTGTGGCAGCAGGAGACTCTGCGGGAGCTGGAGAGGCTGCGGGAGCTGGAGAGGATGCTGGAGCTGGGGTGGGAAGCCCTGTACGAGCAGCGGGCCGAGCCACGCAGCGGCTTCGAGGAGCTGGTGCGTTGCCCCACCTGGGGAGGCTGCCCTCTTCCCTAGCCCTCAAGGCCTTTGTTTCCCCACCTGTAAAATGGGGCATTGTAGCCTTCACATGAAATGGTACTTCTAAAGGCATCTGTGAGCCAGAGCCCTGCTCTGATGGCTGTGGGAGAGAGGGGATATTTTTCTAACCTGCCTCCACCCTTCCCGGTGCCATGGGAGGCAGACACTAAGTTCTGGGGTCTCCAGTTTTAGTGGGTGGCCACTGATTGCTTCTTTCTGTCCAGAACAACGAGAACAAGAGCACACTGCAGTTGGAGCAGCAAGTAAAGGAGCTGGAGAAGTCGGGTGAGCTGAAAGAGACTGTAACCTCCGACCCATCCAAGAAGATGTGGGAGGCGGGCACCAGCCTCTGGGGAGGGGAGGTGCCAGGCCACAGGCAGCTGCAGCCTGGGGACAGGTGACCCCAGCACCCTCCGGGGCAGTCCTATGACTGTTTCTTGCTTCCTGCCCTCTGACTTTTAGAGGTGGGTAGCCCTGGGGTCCTCCCAGGTCTGGACATCATCATCCCAGCTAGAGGCATGGAGCCCCCCAATCACAGAGGAAGAGACAGTGGTATAAGAGGCTCCTTATGTCGGGTGTGGTGGCTCATGCCTGCAATCCCAGCACTTTGGGAGGCTGAGGCAGGACAATCACTTGAGGTCAGGAGTTTGAGACCAACATGGCCAACATGGTGAAAGCTCATCTCTACTAAAATTAAAAATAATAATAATAATTAGCCAGGCCTGGTGGTGCATGCCTGTAATCCCAGCTACTCAGGAGGCTGAGACACGAGAATCACTTGAGCCCGGGAGATGAAGGTTGCAGTGAGCTGAGATTGCACCACTGCACTGCAGCCTGGGACACAGAGTGACACTCTCTCAAAACAAAACAAAACAGAAAAACAAAAAAGCCTCCTTAGATTCAAACTGGATTCCGGCCTCGGTTCCACTGGTCATAATTCAACTACTTTGCATCTCTAAGTCTCTGTTTCTTTAACTTCAAAAGGAAGTTAGCCTTTTCCTTGCAGAGGTGCTGAGGATTAAATGAGGTAATACGTGGAAACATTAGGCATGTAGCACACTTAGCAGATGGTGGTTGGCTCCGCCTGCTTTTCCACCAGTCTGTGGCCTACAGTTTACATGCTGGGAAAAAGGACGTGAGATTTGATGCTAGGGAAGGAGGCATGGGGTTCTAAGCAAGGGAGACAGTCTCTTAGGCCTGGAGCAAGGGGCCAGGGGCCTGGGCAGGCCACAGAGCCCCACAGTGCCCTCGCTACCCTATTAATGGGCCAGGAATCTGGAAGCCAGCCACCACATGTCCTCATGCCCAGGGTCTTCCGGCAGGTGGAGCTGAAGAGCCAAGAGGCTCCGAGTCTGCAGCAGCAGCCAGACCAGTAGCTGGAGCCCCAGTCCCACAAGGAGCTTGGATGTGCGGACAAGCAGGGTGGTGAGTAGAGCCCTCAGGCGGGGTGGGCAGGCAGGAGCAGGGGAGGCTCGCACTGTGCCCAGATTCCCACCCCCTCCCTCTCTCTGAAGATCTTAGTGAGCTGAGCCTCACTGATAGCATGGAGGCTGCACCGGGAGAGGACAGGGAGGGTTCTCCCCCATGACAACCCCACTGCACAGCAGATCCAGCAGCTGCTTCCTCTAATGCAGGACTCCCCAGGAGCACCCAGGCTTGAGTGGAGAAGCTGTTGGTACAGGAGAGGCGGCAGGAGGAGCAGGAGAGGCTGCATGCCATTCTTTTCGGGCTGCCGAGAACAGGGAGCTAAACATCACCATCATCTAAGAGCGGGTCAAGAAATTGAAAAAAAAAAACAAAACATTTAAGGGGTTAATATCCTACACAATTCATTTACTTCATTTGAATGTTAGAGCCACTTATGTTTGTGTTTCTAATTTATAGTTTAAATTTATTTGTGTTTCTAATTTATAGTTTAAATTTATTTGTTTCTAATTTATAGTTTAAATTTATTTGTGTTTCTAATTTATAGTTTAAATTTATTTTTGTTTCTAATTTATAATTTAAATTTATTTGTAAAAAGTTAAATGAGAGTGGGTCTTTCTCTCATGTTCACTCTGGCATCTTTTAGCATTTCTTTAATTTGATAATTATAGGACGTTAGCATGCATATCGAGTTTGCCCTTATGTGGTGGGAGTTCAAACACACAAAGACCCACTGTATGCACACAACTGTTCTTGCTGGTTTGGGATAGGCTGCCATGCTTTTTTAATGTTAGTACAGCCTGTATATTCATTACGGAATTCAGATAAAATTTCCTTATGTTCTGCTGTTATGTTTGATCGAATCCTAATCACAGTGAGCTCTTCATTAGCTCAATATGTGGTTTGCCCTCTGGAAACAGCCTTTCCCCCTTTTTCTGTGTATTGGGGATGGGAGTAATAACATTTTGGGGAGGTTTTTAAATCTCCCAGAAGAGGAAAGTGGCCTGCTTTGGCAGGTGTGTGCAGGATAGAATATGTTTCATTTGTTCCGGTGCCAAGAATGAGCGCTGTACTACGGTAGTTCCCTTAGGATTTGTATGTGCTCTAGGCTCATGAAGATACTGCCTCATGAGCTGTGGCAGTTGTACTCTTTTTTGATGACCTGAAAAGGGATTATTTCTGAGGAATGAAAGGCTCCCATCATGACTGTGGATGTGGAAAACCTTTTCTAGCTGAGAGCATTTATATCTACAATACATTTTAAAGTCAGAGTTCATGTTCCCTGTTTTAATCACATGACTACATGTCCCAGTACACAAAAGGGCACTGGTTGGCGTTCTCCTTAATGTATTTAGTAAAGATCAGAAGAAATCCTTTAAGAGTTTAAATGCCCCTGGAACAGGCATATACAGGCTCTAGTCAAGAATGAATTCGAGTGAAGGAAAGCTGTGTGACACCTGGCATTCCTCTGTGTTCATGGAGCTTATTTGAGGCTAGAAGATGGATTTTACCATCTAGACCTCTCTGGCTAATAGCTAGTCTTCAACCATCTGACATAGGAATTTACTTCTTTTCCTTGAATGGAGAACACTTTAAAAATAATAACAAACATTATTATAAACTAATATATGTGAGAGTACTTAGTTGAAACAAAAAGGAGTTTTAGTAGACAGTATTATACTACATTTGAAAATCAAGGAGCAGTTTATGCAACGTAAAACGTTTACAAACTGCAGCACAATCTACTGTTCGTGAATGTCAAAGTGTCATGAGGAAAGTGTCTATACAATCACAGAGTTATATTTCCTCACAAAGTTCTTTACAAAGAGTGAAATATGTTTTTATACCTCTCAGTTTCAGTTAGAGGCATATTTTGTGTAATATTTATGGCTTAAAATGGACTAAAGGTCCTGTTCTTGCCTTGTCTGAACTTGCCGCTTTTGCATTCTTTGAGTTCAGTTTAAAGACAGTTACTTTAAGCCCATTTTAAACCCTCAGGCTAGAAATCGTACCACTGTTAATTAGCCACATTATTTGGTCTAACAGTTTATCATTCTGAAACTGAGCTTACCTAATACATTGATAAATTATTTCAAAGGTATTTTTATAGTTCAAATCGCTTCACTTTTACCCTGACACGTATAAATGACTAGGAATGACCTTCAGATAGCATTTAGCAACTGTAACCAATCTGACAATAATGTGTTCATCAGGTACCTGTGGATTAAATCACATACTGGCATATTTAAGCTGAATGTCAGTCTGAAAAATAAATGTACTATATTAACTCAAATACCACTCTCTGTGTAGGTATTTTGTCATATGTTTAAGAAAAAGCTAAAGAGAATGGAAATCCTATGACAATAACTATGACAATAACTATGACAAGTCTTTCTTCAAAGTGCATGCAGTCTTTTGCAGTACCTCATTCAGCCAAGTATTTGTTCTCTACCTCATTCAGTATAAGGCAGCCTTTAATTTGCTTAGAAGGCAACATTAGAAGGTTAGAGTTCAGCAGGAACATAGAATTTTAAAATGTGACTTCAACTGAATAAATTTGAATTTCTGTAGGGAGTAAAGAATCAAAACACCTATTTAAAGACTGCAAAATATGATAATTATTTTTAAAGTAATTGATTAAACCTGGTAGGTTTTCCCAAAATGAAAAACAATCAGTTCTAAAACCAAAGCTGATTTTTAGAAAATGTGAAAATGTAAATCAACCCTATCCATAATAGATTCTCTAAAACTTTATCTTACAGTCACTTTCAAATAACTATTCAAAAATGTAACTGCTATATTAACGTCTTAAAATAATTTAAAACATTTTAAAATATGAATACTGTAGTTTAAAACAAAGAATCTAGGGGAAGGAAAAGTAGACAAAGAAATGCCAATTCCAGTCCAAAGCTGTATTTGCCAAGTTTTCTTAGAATGACTTTTACCGATTTATGAATTCTTATACACAGAATGCATAATGGAAATACTGATTTTTGTCTAAAGTGGCATTATTGACTGCTGCTGTGATGCTACTATAATGTAATACATTATTAAATTGTTTCAAGGTGCTGTTTTGCCTAAAAATTTTGTGTGTCTTGAAAACTATAGTACTGGGTATTGAGACTCTGCAAATTCTCGGCATGCTTGGCATGAGGTAATCGGTTTTTATTCTTACAAAATTGTAACTATGTAAGTGTGTTTATTAAAAGAACACAAACTAAAAAAGTTAACAGGAATTAAAGTTGTGGGATGAAAAAGTTACAGGATAAAAAAATACTGTGGAAAAGTGGCAAAAAAAAGTTGTGGAAAAAAAGTAAAAAAAAAGTTTTATGAAAAGTTATTTTAAAAAGTTATGAAAAATTAGTTACAGGATTTAAAAAAAGTCATGGGATAAAAATAAAAATAAATAAAAGCAGGCCCCTGTCAGCATAAGCCTGGAGAAGTGGGTCTGGAGTCTTCACCCCCACCATGTCCCTACAGCCCCTCCCCAGTCAGCCCTTTACCATTAGGGTAGCAAGACAAGACCCTTGTCTAATGGAGGGAGACAAACAGACCCTTTACCACCTTGACCAAGGCTGAGTCCTTACATTTCTGGATGATGATGTTTGTTATTTAAGAGCCAGAGGTTGGTGGAGTTGGTTTGTTTGGAGGAGGTCTGATGGCCTTCTTACTCTCACCAAAGCAACTTTTCCCTCAGGGGGGCTCCCATCTTCTTACTCAGAGAGGCAGCTGAGGCGGGACAGTGGAGTTAACTGTAGACCAGGCCAGGGCACAGGCTGCTGGGGGTGGCCCCCCTTCCCCCGTGTACATACTGTAGCTGTGTAACATTCTGTATTGTACCTAGCGGAGGTTGCAGCTGGCATATGAGGAAGAGGTTCTTATAATTATTCGCGGCTGGGAAACTTATTTATTGCTAGCATAGGAGCGAGGAAGGAGGCGGGGATGGGGTCATGGCTCCCTGGTGATGGGACTCCTGTTTTTTTTTTTTTTTTTGCTTTTGATTTTGGAATAAATGGATTTAGCCATACTGCTCGGCCTGGTATGTTCCCATTTCCCTCACTGGGTCCTGCAGTTTGTCCCACTGAATGAGGAGCCCCAGAGTGTCTCAGCATGTCCAGCTGGGCTGTTGGGGACCTTCCAGGCCTGTTACCTGTATGCTGCCTGGTGACACCTGGTGGATTTCATGGGGACTGCCATGGCGCCTACGGAGTACACTCTGGCCCTGACAGCCAACTGGTTGAGAAGCCTGATCTAGCTGTGGCAGGGAAGACAGATACCAGTGCCCAAGGGCACTGACTTCCATCCACCCCAGGTGTCTTCCGTTCTGTCCCCCTGCCTCCCTCTCCTGTCTGCACCGGGTGGCCTGTCTGTCCCTCCAGAGTGCCGGCTGCCCCGCAGGTTCCCTCCAGGCTGAGTTCAGGGCCCTGTCCCCTAGTGGCCAGAGCCGGCTTCACAGGGTAAGAGCCAGCTAAGCTCCAGGGACTTTCCAGGAAAAGTGTCCCTTGAAAAGGGTGTGACCTTTTCACTGCTCCCAACAGCACCCTAAAAATGGCTTGGCCTTTTCCCTCCCCTGAGCTCCATAGAGAACACAGCCAGCAGAGGACACATTCTCTGTCATCCAGAAATGGGTTTCTCAGCCGAGGGACAGCAGGACTGGTAGAGACTGTCAGGCCACACAGCTGCCTGCACAGCACCGCCATGCTTGGCCAGAAGGGCGGGAGGGATGGCGGGGGCTGGCTGTCCACAGGCCGCGCATGTCCCGGAAGCTCACTGGAGGTGGTGCACTTTGGAGGGGCGATGTCAGGAGACAGCTTCCTCTTGCTGGGCTACAAGACTCCACAAACACAGCACGGGGACTGATTCCCAGTGCTAGAGGCGAGGCAGTTGGCCACGTATATATATGTATATATGTGTGTGTGTGTGTGTGTGTGAGAGAGAGAATTTATAGCTATTTATAGAACAGGGCAGGGGCATACCACAGAGGGGGCACAAGTTTCAGCAACGGTCAAACCTGGACGTGTCAGCTCACCACTACAACAGACTAAGTCACAGAAGAAGGGGGCTGGCTTTGGGGCTGGGGGAGCCACTGTCAAGTCACAGGACACCCACCCAGGCAGGCTTGGAAAGGGAGGTCTCTGAGAAGAGGAGGAATCTGTTTAGAGGTCGAAGTGGGGCCTGGGGCTCCCCGGATGGGATGGACTTGCCTGACCCAATCAGCTGGCAGTTGGAGAGAAAGCAGAGAGAAAACGGGTTAGAGAAAAGCCAGAGCTGGTGAGGCAAGTGCAGAGTATGGGTGCGCTGCAGCAGCTGTGGAGGGCCGGGGAGGGGAGGGCGTAGGTGTGGGCATGGCAAGGTTCCTGGAAAAGAGGGGCTGGAAGAGAAAGGGGAGGAAGATGGAGGGAGAAGCCGGAGCTTCATAGGTAGTGCCTGGGGACTGCGGCGGCCCTCCCCACCCCACACACGCTGGCCTCTTTCATGGCACCCAGGCAGTCCACCCATAGTTCAGATGAATGCTCAGCCCCCTCGGGCTTCTCTCTTCTCTGGTCACCCTGTCTTCCAACTCACGGCCCAGGGCCACCTCTTGCTTGGAGAGCCCCATCCAACAGCCACCAGACCTGATAGAGAAGGAACACTGATTGAACCAAAATGGTGGAGCTATAAGGGATGGCTGGCTGGAGTGAATGCCAGAGGCCCCTCTGGGCCATCAGAAAGCCCAGGGTCCTCTGAGGGACCCTGGGGAAGGCAGGGAGGGCAGGTAGCCAGATGCCATTGGCCATAGACTTCTAAGTCTAACAGGGCAGCCTCAACTGGTTGGCGGGGGGCTGCAGGTTACATAGGTGAGGCTGGGCCCTTCCTGCTGGGAAAAGCAGAAGAGGGAGACTCCACGGCAGGAAAGGGAAGTGAGCTCTCTAGGTGGAGCTCAGCTGGGCCAGCAGCACTATTGGCTGAATAGCACAGGCGACCCCTAGAAGCAACAGGCCAAGGTGCGTGAGCCTGCTGGCCAGCAGTAGTGCTTCAGCAGGGGCCAGGGACCCTGCCTTCAGTCGCACGCTAGCAGCTATCATGGTACCTGGGAGGGAGGGAAGGGGGCTGTGTGTCCTTCCATGGCCTATGAAGTGTGTTGTGGGATGACCGCGTGTATAGGACTCTCAGGCTTTTATCCTAGATCACCACTGGATTGCTGACAGATAGAGGACGTGGGACCGTGACTATCACCCCTAATCTGCAGTGGATTTGGCTCTTGGCACTCCCAGGCTGGGAGCTGGATACCTGCCCTGGCAGCATGACTCAGACTGCATGACAGGTACGGCGTGCCCAGGATGATGTGCCCAGGCCTCTGGCCGCCTGAGTCCAGCCCCCCACACAACCCCCTCCAAGCTCCCAGCCCCTACACCATAAACCATGAGCTCTGTGCCCTCTCTGATGGTTCCACATCTGCCACCTTCGGCATGGAGCCTGTTGTAAGAGCCCCCAGGCTCAGCCATGGAGACCTTGAGCAGTGGCACTGAGTCCCGTGGCTCACAGGGAGCAAAGTGAGACAGCCAGCAGCACAAGGACAGAAAGAGGAAAGAGCAAGTCTGCAGCTCCAGAAGGGAGGGGCAGGGAGCCTGGCTCTGAGGCTCCAGGTATGCCCCCTGTGTGGAGCTGGGGCAGCGGGGCAGGCAGACCATTCATGCAGCAGGCAGTGAGGCATGTACCTACCATGGCTGACGCTCCTCAGGGGCCACTGATAGTGATTCTGAAAGACAGCTTCAAATCACATGGCAGGTCACATGCATGGGTGGGGCAGGCCTGGGGGTGGGGGACACACGCACACGCCAGATTGTGCACACACATGCTGTGAGGCCCCACGGCCCACATGCACACGCTAACACACATGCCCACAAACAACACGCATACGTCGCCCTCCCCGCCACCTCCCAATGCCCAGCACCCTCACCGGCCGGCACGTGCCACATGGATCTGGGGCGTGCAGCCACACGGCACGCTGAAGCACATGCGTGGGCAGAGTCACAACACAGATGCTCACCCGCACACAGAGGCATTTGCACCAGCTCCCTGCACACTCGTGCCTGGCGTGCTCAGAGGACCACCCATGCTGCTCACGGAGACAGGGCTTGCTCACTAATGTCCGGCTGTCATTTCTCCACCTCAGAGCCTTCCATGGCTCCCTACTGCCTACAGCGTTGAATCCCAACAAGTCATACTCTTTGGACTTTGAAGGTTCTCCACCCTGTGCCCCACCCTCCCCACAGAGCTCTTCCTCATTCTGTCTCTGTTCCCTGCTTTGGCCAGTGGCTATCCGCGATGTGACCCACACTACACCTCTGCCCACACTGCAGCTCTTTACCCAGTTACCCTCCAGTTCCTCACCATGTATGCCTACCTCAGTCATGCCCCAGACTGCATTGAAGCCAGGCTGCCTTGAAGAAGCTCTCCCAGACTGCCCTTTTCCCCAAGGCAGGGTCATGATTTACCAAAGGTTTCGTGTGTGTTAGCAAGACTGGAGTCGGAGCAGGCATCAAACTTTACATCCCATATGTCACACCTCACCATAGATCTGGGTGCCAAATAGCCTGAAGAGTCTGAACTCACGCTGGAAGTTAGCAAAGTGCTCCTACAGCCGCATCTGCAGTTAACATAGTATCCCTATGGCCACTGTCTCCCTTGATCCCCACAGCCATCCTAGGAGAAAGGCAGAACGTCATTTGCTAGAAGGGATGCTGAGGCTCTGGGAGGGAAAGGGACTTGCCTAAAGCCCCAGGGTGAAGCAGCATCTCTGGACTCTCATAGACAGCCTAGAGCTGCCAGCATTCCCTTAGGATCTGTGCCCTCGGGCCTGGCTTAATTTTTTCCTCTGCAAAGAGCCATCTGTAGGGCCAGAGGCTGGCAAAGCCTGACTCATTACTGGACGCCAGTTCCTTTGCCTGACTTTCAGTGATTTCTACCTTACCCTGGGGTTTTATGTTGCTTGTCTCAACACTGTCACTTCTCATTCCTCCACAAGTTGAATTGCTCACTCCAGCCACTTGAAGCATGCTCTTCTTAACACAGTTAGCTCTAGGCACATGGTTGGTGCTAAAAAGGAAAAAAAAAAGAAGAGCATTATGTCAATTTCATTGATTAACAAAAGCGATGGCTCCACTGCAAAGCAAAGTTGATACTCCTGGGCCTCTGAGTTCAAGAGCCTTTTAGACAAATGGCTCTGAGCTAAAACATGATCATGCATGCATATGCATCTGTCTTGGTCTGATGAGATAATCTGGATACTTGCTTGTTATCCTTGAGCATTTTCCTGCCTCATTAATGTATGTGTAGCCACCACAATAATAATCATAGCTAATAATGGCTACAGCTGAGGGCTTTCCTGAACCAGGCAGTGGTTTTAAAAACTTTAACCCCTAAAGCTGAGGACTTTCCTAAGCTAGATAGTGGCTTTGAAAACTTTAAAGTTTTCACATAGACTGTCATTGAATAATTTCTGTTTTTCAGATCAAGAAACTGAGACTTACTATCATATTTGGGATTAAGCTAAAAAAAAAAAAGAAAAGAAAAGAAACAGAGGCTGAACGCTGTCAAGTATTTCACAGCCAGCAGGAAATCGGAACTTGAACCCAGGCAGTCTAGCCCTGGGATCCTTTCCCCTTACCCATTATCCAGTGTTGGCTACACAAAACTAATGAGTACATATTTTCAACTATAGTTTAAGTGGGTGACATATTTTTCACTATATTTTATGTAGGTGACTTTCAGTTTGGGGGTATTCTACTTACACAATCTATTGAGCTGGATATTAACTGAGAGCAAACAGAAACTAATGAACTCTGAAAAACATAAAACATGAGCAACATGACGTCACTGCAAGAGACAAAACAGCACATAGCCTTCTTGTGACTGTATTTTGCTGACAGTCCATGAGCTGATAGCCTGAACTCAGCAGTGCTGTTCCCTTGGGAGACACACACACACACACACACACACACACACACACACACACACACACACGAGTTGGTGGTTTTCTGCCCCCCACCCCCACCCCAACACACACACGAGTTGGTGGTTGTGCTGCCCGGAGCCTCCAGTCCGCGAGTGTGAAGAACGGACCAGATGGGTCCAGCAGTGCTGGGTCAAGGCGAGGAGGGGGCAGCCGGAAGCGCGCGCATGCTCTGGACTCCTGCAGCCGCCGAAACGGGTGCGCAGGGGGCGCGCGGGTTGAGGGGTGAGGGGCGACGGGTGTGAGGGGCGAGAGGGACGGGAGCGGGGTAGGGGCAGCCCTTTCCCAGGCGGTAGCGGGGACTGTGGTGCTGTTGCCCTTTTAAGCTGCGGCTTGACAGGAGCAGCGTCTCCTGTCGGTGGAGTCTGTTACAAGGGGAGCAGCCGCCCAGGCCGCCACACAGCTCCCCGCAGAGGCCTCGGTGCCCCTTGCCATTTTCCAGCCCTACTCCGAATAGAGTTGAGGCAGCAGGGAGAGGCGGAGCTGGGAGAGCGCCGCCGAGAGGTCCCGCGGGTGGTTGCGGCCGTGACAGCGGCTCCCGACGGGCTCACCTTCCGCGCCCCTCCCGCCAGAGGTGAGAGTAAAATGTCCGTGTGAGGGTTCAAGGCCAAGCTGAGGTTGTTGGCCTCTATCTTCCACAAGAACCAGGAGCCCCCGCCGCAGCTCACGCTCCACTGCAACATCACGGTGAGGCGCCCAGTGGCGGCCTCACGGGGCAGGGCGAGGGCGGAGAGGAGGCGCCCAGAGTCCCGGGACAAAGGGGAGCCTGCCCGGGAGAGGCCCCGGTTCCCCAGGCGGGGCGAGCGCGCCCCTTTCTCCCGCGTCTGGCCCGCCCCGCTGTGTGAGGCTTGCGTGGGAGGAGGGGGAGGGCGCGTCTCTCTGGCTCCTTGCCGCGGGGCTGGCTTGGGGGCTGCCGGCACCTCTCGCCCCAGTCGCTGCGCCCTGAGGTGGGAGCCCGCGTCGCCCGCAGACCTTTTGGGGCCCATGATCGCCCTCAGTCAGCTAGCCTGCTCCCCTGGACCGCGACGGGGCGTGGCAGGGCGGCTCCCGCTGTTGTTTGAGCCCAGTGAGGGAAGGGGAAAGGCCTTTAAGATTTTCGGTTTTTTGGCCGGGCGCAGTGCTCATTCCTGTAATCCCAGCACTATGGGAGACTGAGGCAGCTGGATCTCCTGAGGTCAGGAGTTCTAGACCAGCCTGGCCAACATGGTAAAACCCTGTCTCTACTAAAAATACAAAAATTAGCCGGGCATGGTGGCAGGCGCTTCTTGAGATGGAGTCTCACTCTGTCGCCCAGGCTGGAGTGCAGTGGAGCGATCTCGGCATACTGCAGCCTCCATCTCTTGACAGTCTGTGGGTTCAAGCGATTCTCCTGCCTCAGCCTCCCGAGTAGCTGGGATTACGGGCGCCCGCCACCACGCCTGGCTAAGTTTTGTGTTGTTTAGTAGAGATGGGGTTTCATCATGTTGGCCAGGCTGGTCTCGAACTCCTGACCTCAAATGACCCATCTCTGTCTCCCAGAGTTCTGGGATTACAGGCCTGAGCCACCGCGCCCAGATCCAAGGCCCTTAAGCTTAAATGCCTCGTTCTTCAGTCAGGTTTTCCTTGTTCCCGCATGTTCAGCCAATCGTGTTTAAGGAGAAACTAACAATGAAAACGGACTCGTTGATGGAGGAAAAGTTGGAATGCAGCCTCTGGTGCTGTTTGAGCGATCCCTCTACCCCGGGTCGCTGCTGTGTTCTGGAAAGGCGCATTGTACCCTGGATGCAGCAGGTAAGAGTCCTGTCCAGGTGCTCTGCCCGCTTTTCCTTTCAGGCTTCTGTATCAGCTGTTTTTCCCCTGTAGAATGTGCCCCTGACAGCCACCCCCTAACCCTACCCAATTTGTCTTTACGTGTCTGACCATCAAGGCTCTTCTGGGTCATATTTAATTCATGCTGATATTTCCCCTTCCTCCCCTCTTTAGTCCTATTTTTGCTTTGGTTATGTTATGCTATATTCTGTAAGGCTTTAAAAAAATTTTTATGGTGGCAGGGGAGAATGTTTTATAATTATGCTTTGTGCTTTTTATCTTCCACTCAATAAATGCTTGGTAAATATTTGTTTTATTGAATGTATGACCCTATTCTAGCTATATTGTGCTTGAACAAAAACCTTAACTGCCTAGTAAGTTAACTGCTAAGAATTTGTCAGAAGTGCAGACATAACATCAAGAACTTGTCATGGATAGTACAAAAACGTCTCTTAAGGGCTTGGTGGAAGCCTGTAAATTGACTTCCTATGAAAGAGAGTGTAAGAAGTGAAAATGTAAAGCATGACTGGAGAGCCAGAGTGATGAAGCCAGGGTCCCTTTCTCCAGATCCTTTGTAACAGTGTTATGTGATCTCTTCTAGAAGATCGTTCTGAAAGATAATGCCAACTCGGAACCTAGGAAACCATCCAGTGGGTTTCTGCAGCTTAGGTGTTTCAAATCCTCATCAGCACGTTTGTTTTCTCTGCCTCAGTTTGCTTACAATGATGTTCTCAGTAGCTACAATTGCTGTCCTTGAATACGTAAGCATTTTTTTTTAGGTGACAGGGATATATGTGCATTTTTATTTTACCAAGTGTTAGAATTTTGACTCTGCTTTTGTGGGCTCTGGGTTAGCTACTTGGTTGTTGTAAAATGATTAGCAGGGAAAGCTGTGTGTGTGTGTGTGTGTGTGTGTGTGTGTAAGTTTTTGTTGTCAGAGGACTTAGAATTTTATTTTATATGGTAATTCTGTCAATTTACTTTATTCTCCACCCCACATTTATTGAACAGCAAATTATGAAAGTAATGTGTCCCATAAGCAGCCTTCAGAAGAATTACAACTGCTGTATATCTGAAATTCTTTTTTTTATTTTTTATTTTGAGATGGAGTCTCACTCTATCACCCAAGCTGGAGTACAGTGGTGCAATCTTGGCTCACTGGAACCTCTGCTGCCCAGGTTCAAGCAATTCTCCTGCCTCAGCCTCCTGAGTAGCTGGGATTACAGGCACCTGCCACCGCACCTGGCTAATTTTTGTAGCTTTAGTAGAGACAGGTTTCACCATGTTGGCCAGGCTGGTCTTGAATTCCTGACCTCGTGATCTGCCTGCCTCAGCCTCCCAAAGTGCTGGGATTACAGGTGTGAGCTACCGCACCTGGCTGAACTTTCAAGAAGAAGTTTGTGCATCAGTTTTCAAAAAATTATGATATCAAAAGATAGCTGTGCCCTACATTTGGAAAGATACAAAAACTGAACATACTGGCAGGCAGTTTTGCTTGCTGGTGCTTGAGATAGAGGCACACATTGGTCTCAGTGGAATTATGGAGAAAAATAGATAAAGTTATTTCTAAATAAGACCAAAAAATCCTTTTCTTAAGCAGTGACAGGTAAAGAGGTTGTCTTGACTAACCTTGAATTGTGTTGCCCTTGATTGAGACAGTTTTATGGTGGGATGGTAGTGGTGATAAACTTGCTGGAAATTTGTCTGCTTATAGTAACCTTTGTGGTAGCTGTCACAGACAACTTCATCCTCACAGGCCTTGAAATTAGTATAAAACTAACAGAATGGAGGAGAAACAAAGGACCTGAATAATTAGATGCTTAGATAATTGTTCCGTGTTTTCATAACTGGTGAAAAAGAGCAGTATTAGAAGCACTTACACATTCTATAGAAGGAACACTGCCTGAATTTATATTGCGATTTTTGAGCACCATTAACTGTATAAAAACAGGCATATTGTAGGTAATATTTTAAAGACAAACAGAAAATTTATCTTTTCAAGATGGATCTAAAACTTATCAAAATTACAAAATTTAAAACGTGATTGAAAAATATTAATGCATAGGTTTAAATATTGGTCATTTTAAATGTCTTTCAAAATAGATTGTCTCTTAAATATTCAACTGAACAAACTTTGAACATGTTGTAGAGTTTGTGCCAAAGGTTAAATTTCCTGGGGTGATGGATATTTTGTAATATGGAAAACAAAACCTTCTTATTTTAAGAAATTTAGAAAACTTTTAGGCAAAACTAGAAAATATTACCTATGTAATTCTACCACTCAGAAGGTGCCACTGTCAGAAATTTGTATCTTTCCAGTCATCTGCTCACCTCTTTTCTCCTGTGCTTGTATATGTTTCCTCTCCCTTAAAAATCAGATATTTGTTTGTAATCTGCTTTTTCACTCAACAGTATTGTAGATCCATGTTATAACTTACTCCTCTACATTGCCTTCAGTTATTGTGTGCTTTCTGTTGGATGACTTTACCATGTAGTCAGTCATGTTTTCTGGTACTGAATACATACGGGTATGTGTGTGTGTGCGTGCGCGTGTGTGCGTATTTTTTTGTAACTTAACTAATGCTTTAGACATCAGTAGGTAGACGTAAATCCTTGAAACCTTCCACGTGGTGACTTTCAGTTCTCATTGCTGAATTTGTTTCCAGAGATGGAAGAAATTATATTGTATGGGAACTTTTTTTTTCTTTTTTTTTTTTTTTTTTTTTGAGATGAAGTCTTGTTCTTGTCACCCAGGCTGGAGTGCAATGGCGTGATCTCACTGCAACCTCCACCTCCTGGGTTCAAGCAATTCTCCTGCCTCAGCCTCCCGAGTAGCTGAGATTACAGGCGCATGCCACCATGCCTGGCTAATTTTTGTATTTTTAGTAGAAACGGAGTTTCACCATGTTGGCCAGGCTGGTCTTGAACTCCTGACCTCAGGTGATTTGCCCACTTCAGCCTCCCAAAGTGTTGGGAATACAGGTGTGAGCCACTGTGCCCAGCCTTTTTTTCATCTCAGTACCAGCTTTTATTTATCAGATTGGTAAAAATGTTAGAAAGTGTGCAATGAAATGGGCATTCTTACAGTCATGGCAAAAAATATAATTATCTTTGACTTTCTAGAAAGTAGTTTGGCTTTCTAGAAACTTGTTTGAATTCTCCCTGTTTAGGCAGGATGAATTCTCACTACCCCAAGGTGGCCAACCTTGTCCCTGTGATTCCATCTCTCCCAGAAAGAGAGGTCTAGTCTCAGGGAAAACCCAGATTTGTTTGGCTTAGCCCATCTGACAGCTAATCACTGGAAATGGGGTGGGCTGGTAGAATGCTTTGGTCAGGTTTTGTGTTGAGAGAGAGGTGGAAAGATGGGAGGGAGGTAGCAAAACTTGCCTCAGTGGAACTATGTAAGTTAATATAGAATGGCAAAGGGATGTTTCTTCCAAGGAAGAAATTCTAGAGAAGGAAGAAAGTGGAGGGGAAGGCAGCAGTTCTCCAAGTTTTGGGGTCAGGATTCCTTTACACTCTTAAAAATACATTGAGGTCCCAAGGAGCTTTGGTTTATGTAGGGTATATCTATTGGTATTTATCACTAGAAATTAAATCAGAAATATTTAAAATATTGTTTAAAAGCTCACCACATATTGTTATAAATGCTTTTATGAAAAGAAAATTTCTAAACCCAAAGTAGTACAGTCTTACATCTTTTGCAAATTATTTTGATGTTTGATATGTCATTTGCATGATGTTTGATATGTCATTAGCAAATTGATATGTCAGTTTGCTTCTGCATTCAATTTATTGTGTGATATTTTCTTGAAAAAATGTGAACAAAGGCCAATCTCATACAGATAACCATTTTAGATCATTGTGGATATATATATTTTTTTGAGATGAGGTCTTGCCCTGTTGCCCAGGCTGGAAGGTAGTGGTGTGATCACAGCTCACTGCAGCCTCAGTCTCCAGGGACTAAGGTGATCCTCCCACCTCAGCCTCCAGAGTAGCTGGGACTACAGGTGTGTACCACCATACTTGGCTAACTTTTTGTATTTTTTGTAGAGACAGGGTTTTGCCATGTTGCCTAGGCTTCTTTTTTGATACTCCATCAAATCTTGGTTTTTCTTGAACTTTGGATCTTCCACCCTTGCATGATATTACAACATCGTGCATTGGTCACTTATAAAACAGTGGTTCACTAAGATCTTCTACATGTTGATACATTTGTACAGTATCAAAATACATTCATCAGTACCACCATCAATCTCATCAGAATACTTTTGGAAAGCGATGGTGGGCATAAGTTTTCTAAAATTCTAATTTTTTGTTCAAAAGCTTGAATTTTATTAGTAATTTTGTTATTGAATTTTATTATAGCCTGTCTGTTGTTTTCCTTGAAATGACAGAATCTCATGTTTTGAGAAAATATCTGCCAGAAATGCGAGTTAAAATAACATTTTTTGTCAGTCAGCCTTTCAAGTAAAAATGGTATTCCATTAAAGTGGTTAATTCACTTCATGACTTAGTCACTCAAGGGTTTTTCCTCAGGCAGCCTGTAGGAATGCTCATGTATACTTCCCATTTCATCACTTGAAATATTAAAAAGATATATTCAATGATTTAGATATAGTAAAATATTCACTGCTTCATCATAGACATTCTTTTTTTTTTTTTTTAATTTTCGAGACAGGGCCTTGTTCTGTCACCCAGGCTGGAGTGCAGTAGCGTGATCACAGCTCACTGCAGCCTCAACTTTCTGGGTTCAGTCAATCCTCCTGCCTCAGCCTTCCAAGACGCTGGGACTACAGGCATGCAGCCACTGTGTTCAGCTAATTTTTGTATTTTTTGTAAAGATGAGGTTTCACCAGGTTGCCCAGGCAGGTCTTGAACTCCCGGGCTCAAGGGATCCCCCTGCCTGGGCCTTCCAAAGTGCTGGAATTACAGACATGAGCCAAAATTCCCAAACTTATCATAGACATTCTTAAATGAAACTGACCTTTTGTTGCCCTTCCTTTTTATTTTTATTTTTGGAGATGGAGTTTTGCTCTGTTGCCCAGTCTGGAGTTACATAGGTGCAATTTCAGCTCAAGGCAACCTCTGCCTCCCAGGTTCAAGTGATTCTCCTGCCTCAGCCTCCTAAGTATTTGGTAATACAGGCATGCACCACCACACCGAGCTAATTTTTGTATTTTTAGTAGAGATGGGGTTTCACCATGTTGGCCAAGCTCGTCTCAAACTCCTGACCTTAAGTGATCCATCTACCTCAGCCTCCCGAAGCACTGGGATTACTGGTGTAGGCCACCATGTCCCACCCACCCTTCCTTTTTAAACCTTTCCTGTGCATAATGAAGAATACCATGACTACTAGTAGTTTGGTGTTACTGCTTTTGTTTGTGCTAAAGTACCAGCATTTTTACCCACCATTGTATTTGCACACTTACAGCAAATGTCACCATGTTAGTATTCCTGTCAAAATAGTTTGGACTTGGGGGTCTGAGGGCCGCACTTTGGGAACCATTGAAATAGGTACTTAGACGTACTAGATATCATATCTTTTCATCTACAAGGTTTTTAAAAACTTGATTTCAGTTAATTTTTTTTTGTAATTTTTAAAATATGGTTTTGAGGGGTTTCAGTCCAGAGCAACAACACGTATTTTATTTTGCTTATGCTGAAGTTTACTAGAAAATACTAACCTAACAGAATGAAGTCCTAAATCTAATTGAAATTTCCTTAGCCAAAAGTAAAAAAAAACGAAAATTAAAAGTGTAAAAATAGTCCATATGGTGTATTCTCAGTGTATGCTGAAGAATTTATAGAAGAAAATGCAATACTGAGGAACTGGTGTTCTTTAAGAATAGGGTTGGCTGGGCGCAGTGGCTCATGCCTGTAATCCCAACACTTTGGGAGGCCGAGGTGGGTGGATCATCTGAGATTAGGGGTTCGAGACCAGCCTGACCAACATAGAGAAACCCCGTCTCTACTAAAAATACAAAATTAGTGGGGCATGATGGCACATGCCTGTAATCCCAGCTACTCAGGAAGGCTGAGGCAGGAGAATTGCTTGAACCTGGGAGGTGGAGGTTGTGATGAGCTGAGATCGTGCCACTGCGCTCCAGCCTGGGCAACAAGAGCGAAACTCGGTCTCAAAAAAGAAAAAAAAGAATAGGAGTAATTCTGAAGAGTTTCTTTTAGCCTGTAAAGAGATTTGGAACACAGTAAGAGAGGAATGAGAAGAATGAGAATAGTAAAATAAACCATTATTGAAGAGATATACTGTTAATGATGTCCTCCATCAATACAACTTGTTTTTCTTTTTGTTTGTTTGTTTTTTGAGATGGAGTCTTGCTCTATCGCCAGCCTGGAGTGCAGTGGACATCTCGGCCCACTGAAACCTCTGCCTCCTGGGTTCAAGTGATTCCCCTGCCTCAGCCTCCTGAGTAGCTGGGACTACAGGCACCCGCCAGCGCGCCCAGCTAATTTTTTTGTATTTTTTTAGTAGAGATGGGGTTTCTCCGTGTTAGCCAGGACGGTCTCGATCTCCTGACCTCGTGATCCGCCCACCTCGGCCTCCCAAAGTGCTGAGATTAGAGGCGCGAGCCACCGTGCCCGGCCCATCTTGCTTTTCTTAAAAAGGAACCTTCAGTAAATATTTGGTTTCTGTGGCTTCAGCTTTAACTCAGATTACAGTTTTCAAAGCAGTGTTGCCTAAAGTTGTTTGTGCAAAATTGTTTTCTGTGACTTGAACCTAGTTATTCTGAAACTAATATATAATAATAATGGTTTTTCCCCAATTTATAATAGAGAACAGTACAAAGTAACAGCGGGAACGTCTGTTAGTGGGTGAAAGCACATAATGCATAGTTCATTAGCTTTTTTAAAAAATCACATGTAATTGTGTTACAAAAATATATGTATAGTAATGGCATTTACTTGGTATTACTTGGTTTGTGTGATAGAATAAAATATTAGAATTTTATGGTGTTTGAGTTAGTTATCTATTGCTCTGTAACAAATTGAGCAGCTTAAAATAACAAACATTATCTCAGTTTCTGTGGGTCAGGATTCTGTCCAGTTTACCTTGGGTTCACTGGCTTGGCCTCTCACCAGGCAGTGAAGGTGTTGGTGGTGGCTGTGATCATCCCAAGGCAGGATAGGGAGAGAATCTGTCTCCAAGCTCAGGTTGGCAGGATTCATCTCAGAGGCTGCTGGACTGGGCCTCCGTTTCTAGATGGCTATTGGTCAGAGGCTTTTTACAATACCTTGTCACGTGGGCCTCTCCATAGGGCACCTCATCACATGGCAACTGGCTTCCATCAGAGGGAGCAATGGAAAGAGCAGGAGAAGGGTGACTAAGGCAGGCATCGTAGTCTCCTTGTAGCCTCACCTCAGAAGCGATGTTACTTTTGCTGTATTCTCTTTGTTAGAAGTGAGTCACTAGGTCCAGGGGTGGAATTTTACAAGGGTGTGAATGGCAGGAGGTGAGGGTGATCAGGGCCATTTAAAGGCTGCCTACCAGTGTTGAAGAAAGTTGTTGACTTCTATGAGCTGTAGCAGCAGACAGTGCTATGCAAGGAGAATGGCTGTCTCAGAAGTCCAGCTCCTCACATGGGTTTAAACGTGTTGCCTTTTCCCCCATACATTTTGTTTAAATCCATGGTCATCTTGCCATTTAGTGGTGTGGTTTAATTGCATATTTGGGTTAGTCTGTATGTAAACATTTAACATAGGTGTCTCTGGGTTAAACAGGAATCCTATTCATCTTCTTCACCGATATGGTCTGTGGACTCTGATGAGCCAAATCTGACATCAGTTCTGGAACGTCTAGAAGATACTAAGGACAACAGTTCGGTAAGGAAAGAAACCAAGCTATTTTCTCTTTTCCTCATGAACATTATATTTAGAAATTAAATGTTAAATGATAATATTATATAAAAACATGATTAATAACTATAATCTTAGAGGAATTAAAGTCTGGGTATTTTAAGTCCTCCAAATCTTATTTACTACCTGGTTTCTCTTTATTATTTCCCACATGTATAATCTTAGTTTAGATTAGCAATTCGGGATCTCTTTTTCCCTGAATTCTAACCATTAAGCCAAGCAAGCATTTTGGGTGGAGACCACTAGCCAAGGTGGGAAGTAGAAAGAAGACCAAGGTGGAAGTGAAGGGAGAGATGGGGAGAATGACACCAGAACTAGTGGGAGGGAATTGCCTTTTCTTTCAAGGGTCTGTAAGTCTGCAGTAAAAGTCAAAGGTATTCAAATAGGAAGTTTTGTTTTTGTCTTTAGTATATAAAGAAGCATAACTTTCCATTTTGCAAAAACTTTAGAAATCTTTTTTCTTGATTATAAAACTTATAAGCAACCATTATTGAGAAGATTAGTAAAATATAAAAAAATAAAAATCTCACATAATTTCTCTACCTAATATAAGTACTGTTGACATGATAGCTAGTTTCTATCAGTATGTATTGCTTCTTTGTTATCAAAGTACTTATACCCTTACAGATATGTTTAAATAGTTGAGGTCATATTCTATAAATATCTATAAATAGCTGGGTGCTGTGGCTCACACCTGTAATCCCAGCACTTTGGGAGGCCGAGGCAGGCAGATCACAAGGTCAGGAGTTTGAGACCAGCCTGGCCAATATGGTGAAACCTCATCTCTACTAAAAATACAAAAATTAGCCCGGTGTGGTGGCAGGTGACTGTAGTCCCAGCTACTCGGCAGGCTGAGGCAGGAGAATTGCTTGAACCCAGGAGGCAGAGGTTTCAGTGAGTCGAGATCGCACCACTGAGGTCCAGCCTGGGTGGCAGAGCAAGACTCCATCTAAATAAATAAATTATGTATACACACACATACACACACCCTCATATATATATACACACATATGTGTGTGTATATACACACACACACACACACACACATACACCTACACATGACCGATTGCCTCGCCTCTAGCATTGGGAATCAGTCACCGTGCTGTCCTTGTGGAGTCTTGTGGCCCAACAAGAGGAAGCTCTCCCCTGACATTGCCCCTCCAAAGTGCGCCACTTCCAGTGCGCCCCACTGTCATGCCCGGCCTGTGGACAGCCAGACCCTGCCATCCCTCCCACCCCCGACCAAGCATGGGGGTGCTCTGTAGGTAGCTGTGTGGCCTGACAGTCTCTACCAGTCCTGCTGTCCCTCAGCTGAGAATCAAACCCATTTCTGGATGACAGGGAATGTGTCTTCTGCTGGCTGTGTTCTCTGTGGAGCTCAGGGGAGGGAAAAGGCCAAGCTATTTCTAGGGTGCTGTCAGGACCGATGAAAAGGTCACACCCTTTCCAAGAGACACTTTTCCTGGAAAGCCCCTGGAGCTTAGCTGGCTCTTATCCTGTGATAAGCCAGAGGCTCTGGGGGGTGAGGGAGCAGAAACCCTCCTCACCCCAGCCAACGGGGACCTGTATACCTCTGCCAGTCTCTCACTTGGCCTTGCTGCTGTCCTCTGAGACTGCCTGTTCCTCCCTCTCTGTGACTCTACACCACCATCACCTCCTCCAGGAAGTCCTCTGGATTGACTCCTAGCTTATTACATCTTTATTGTGCAGACCCTCTCCATTCAAAGCCCCTCTTCAACTGCCCCCCGCCCACTACCTCCAAGACAGAGATTCTGGGTTCTTGCAACTGCAGCCCCTCAGAGAGTGTAAGAGGGGCAGAAAAAGGAGATCAGGAGGTGAGGGAAGCAGCGCTGTCAGAGTTTCCAAAGCCCCGGCCAGCAAGGCCTCAGAGGCCTCTGTTGGAGTGGGGGCCTCCCTGGCTATGCGCTCCAGCTGCACAAGGCAGCCTCTGTGAGCCTCTCCCACTCAGCCCTACAGGAAGCAGCAGGGCCCAGCCTCAATGGACCCATTCAGACCCCAGCGCTCCGGAAAGTACCTCTGCTTCCTGCCACCATTCCACTCTGGCCAAACAGGCTCTACTCTCTTCTGATGGGAGGAGGCCGCAGGCAGGTGGTTCAGTGGTTAGGGCCAACCATCTACTTCAGTTCCTGTCTGGCCCAGATCTCTGACCTTGACCATGCCCTAGTGGGTGTATGTATACCTTTAGTGCAAGGGTGGTGTGACAGTTAATACTGAGTGTCAACTTGATTGGGTTGAAGGCTGCAAAGTATTGACCTACTGGAAGTGTCTGTGAGGGCATTGTAAAAGGAGATAAACATTTGAGTCAGTGGGCTGGGGAAGGCAGACCCACCTTTAATACTGGTGGGTACCATCTTTCTAATCAGCTGCTAGCGAATATAAAGCAGGCAGAAAAACATGAAAAGGTAAGATTGGCCTAGCTTCCCAGCCTACATCTTTCTCCCATGCTGGACACTTCCTGCCCTCTAACATCGGACTCCAGGTTCTTCAGTTTTGAGACTCGGATTGGCTCTCCTTGCTCCTCAAACTTGCAGACAGCCTATTGTGGGACCTTGTGATTGTGTAAGTTAATACTTCATAAACTCCCCTTTATATATCTATCTATATCTATATCTATTATCTATATCTATATCTATATCTATTATCTATATCTATATCTATATCTATATCTATATCTATATCTATATCTATATCTGTCTATATCTCCTATTAGTTCTGTCCCTCTAGGGAACCCTGATTAACACAGGTGGGTAGGCACAGGGAGATGTGCCCCCTTCCCCGTGGGTGCTGGGTAGGTAAATGTTTCGCAAAGGGCTTTGTTGGGGAGAGGGAACCCTGATTTTCAGTATTTGCCTCTTTTCCTGGTATAAATATTCCCACTGTGGGCAGTATCACCTGCCTCTCAAAATTCCTGAAAATTCAACAGTTGGCTCCTGGCAGCTGCTGTGAGCCGTTCCAGCCGGTGACTGTGGTGGCTCCATTCTGCAGGGCCATGTGCCCCCACCCCTTGTGCTATGGCCTCCCTCACTTTAGTGTGCTGTGTTTTGCTCTTAGGAATCAATGTCTTTGCAGATAAGGCACCCCAGTAGCTGGCCGCCACCTGCAGTTCCCTGGTCTGTCTCTTGCTGGCACCAAGCTGTGCTGTGCCTGCTGAGACTGCTGGGCCACCCCCGTGCAGATGGTCTGCGGGGCTTGCTTGATTCCCTTAGCTTCCCAGCCAAGGTGCTGGTGTTGCCAGCAGTGCTGGCAGGAGGAGGGGATAACTAGAGGGGATTTAACTCAACCCGAGGGGCTCTTACGGGATCTTTCCTGGATATCCCTCCAGGTGGGACTGGCTGCCCTGAGGGTATACAAACCTCCAACTCCTCCAATGGCTGAAGCTACTTCCTCGAGCAGATGGCAGCTGGCTCAGGCTGGCTAGGGACCAGTGCATGTGAGGTCGGTGCTGGATCACCCCATCAAGGCCATCAGCCTGTGCTTGTTCTTGGGGTTTGAGGGAAACCCAACAGGGATGAATCACAGTTTTTAACCTGTGTTTGTCTGCCCCCCAGCCCTGGACATCTGCAGGCAAAGTTAAAGTTATATTTGGCTCTTATCACCGCAAAAGGCATAGACCAGAAATTATGGCATCGGGTTGGAAGTCAGGGAGGCTAATTTGGGGAAACTGCCTGGAGGAAGCAGCAACTCAAAAGAGGAGGAGTCCCAGTGTGGGACAGAACAGGCCCTGCATAAGAACCACTAATCCCAGGCAAGCCCAGACATGGCCTTCTGCCTGGGGAGGCCCTCTTTGGCCTGCTCAGCAGACCCTCAGCCCCTTCTAGGCCCTGTCTTCAGCCTCAGACTGAGTGGTGGCCTGGGGAGGTTGGGAGCTGAGCTGTTCTCATCCCTGGTTCCTTGGCCACGGTGGAAACAATGGGGCCGGATCTGACTGCTCAGCGGGGACTGTGAATAGCTCTCTAGCAGGAAGCAACAGCAGGGGTAGTGGAGGAAGTGTGGGCCCACTTTGGTTTGACACTGCATATGGTCCCCATCTGGCCTGAGAGCCTTTACTCCTTGGCAAACTCAGGCCAATAAGCTCCTGCCCCCACCCTCAATGGCAGCTGGAAGAATGGCCTGAGGGAGAAGCAGGGATAGGTGGGCTGCACTGACATCACCCCCAGATCCCAGCCGTGGCCCCAGCCAACCCATGGAGGTGGGGCATGGCACGGCAGGTGCTGCACAGGAGCCCAAGCACAAGGGCACTTAGGAGAAGGAATCTGAGCAGGGATCAATCTGGCCTGGTGGTGATTCTCCAGAAACTCCATTCCTCAGGGCTGTGACCACCAAGCCAGGTGATCAGGCCAGTGATGTTTCCCTTTGGGCCAGGTCGGGGAGCCAGACCTGGGAGGGAGACTCCTCTGGGGCCCAGGGGAGGTGAGTCAGAGCTGGCAGAGGCCTCTGGCTCCAGGAACCTCCAAGGAGGAGACCTGAGTTGCTGGGAATTTCTGGGTCTGACCTCCTGCCAAGTCAAGGTCTGGGCTGGACACAAGGTGAGGCTGTGCCTTCTGGTGCCAGGACCAAGGAAATGCTGGGATCTGGGCAGTGCTCAGAGGCAGCACCGTATGGCAGAACCATGAGGGTGCACCAGCACGGACCCCTTTCTGCAACCCACCCATCCCTCCCTGCAGCACCTCGCCTCCTCCAGGCAAGAATCTGAGCCTTGACCACAGCTCCCTCTCTCACACAGCTTCCTTCTTTGGTTAGAACCACCCGGAGGTGACTGTGGCCATGGCTCTGACTGACATAGACCTGCAGCTGCAGTTCTCCATGTCCCAACCCGAAGCCCTCCTTCTCCTGGCAGCAGGCCCAGCTGACCACCTCCTGCTGCAGCTCTACTCTGGACACCTGCAGGTGAGTGACGTCCCCCTGGGATTGGGGCGAGATTCCTTGTCTAGCTTTGAGTGAACCCCAGCTGGCTGTTGACCTTGTGTAAGTCACTTTTCTTGGGGTCTCAAGTTCTCCACTGTGGGATGGGCAGCAGCAGCTCAGAAATGGTAAATCCTTCATGAACTGGCTCTGCCCACCGGCTCCTTCCAACCATGTTTCCCACCACAAGCCCTCACTGGCCCTTTGTGCTCTGACTGCACTGAACTGCTTTCAGTTCCTGGCCATCTTATGGTCACTTGCTGCCAGGCCTTTGGTCATCACACTCCTCCTGCCAGGTGTGTGACCCACCCATTCCCTGTACCTGCCGAACTCTAGTCTCTCCTTGAAGTTTCAGTGTGGGCATCCCCTCCTCCTCGGCGAGACCCCCTCCTGGGCCCCCATGACCCCTGCGCATCCTGGTGGCACTGCACCAATTTATCTGCAGCACCACTGTCTGTCCATGAGAGTAACAGCACCAGTACTGCCTCAGCTTCATTTTTCCATTTCATCCTTCAAGACACCACAAGCTTTATTATCAAGGAGTCTTGTGGCTCCTACTTGAGTCTTACCCCATACCAGGAAGAGTTTAAGAACCCAGGGTCTTAGTCCAAATTTGGGGCAGGCTGGGTGCAGTGGCTTATGCCTATAATCCCACCACTTTGGGAGACCAAGGTGGAAAGATCACTTGAGCCTAGGAGTTCAAGACTGGCCTGAGCCACACAATGAGACCCCATCTCTATTTTAGAAGGAAAAAAAAAACAAATTAACAAATTTGGGGCAGCCATCTCTTTCCACACCCCAGTGGGAAGAGGACTAGGGCTTGGTCAGTCTGCTGCTGTCATTGCTGCTCATTGCCACAAGGTGTCACTGTTGAACACCTATGTGGTGCAGTCTGGTGCTGATGGCTGTTGAGCTCTGCAGGTAGTGATGCCACATCCCTACAGAGATGCACCATACCAGGACTCCAAGATCATGGTTCTTAGTGTTCTGCCTCTGCAGTTCCCATACTCTGCCATCACCTATTCTAGCATCTGGGAGCACCATACCAGAGCCATTTCTTGTGTCAATGTCATGGTGACAGAACTATGTCCTTCATCTCTCCTTGAGATATTCCTCCACCACAGGTCAGGCAGCTTTTTTTTTTTTTTTTTTCCCCAGAACACAGAGCATCTGCCTGGGCTCCCTGTCCCTGAACAGTTAGCCTGGCTTCCTTCAGTGACCTTGAGAAACTTTGCCAAACTTAGGGGGACTGATCAACGGATTCTCAGTTACCCATTATTCCAGGGGTGAAATCTAGATTCCAAGACAATATTTCTGGTGCTTTTCACTCAAGGAAAGAGGAGGAGAATTTAAAAATACAGGTTGGGTTTCTAGAAGAGCATCTTGCTATATGTCAGTTCCTTGTGGGCAAGGACCACATCTGATTCACACCAGGGTCCCCAGAGCCCATCCAGGCCTGGCCCAGAGTTTCCTTTGGTGAGTGTTTGGAGGATGAATAAAGAGATGGCAGGAAGGCAAGAGGAGTGGCACCAGAGGCCCTTGTCCTAGGTTTTCTGCTCTGGGGCCCCCTGTGGGGAACCCACTGTGCTTTTATAAGGGAAATGATGGATTCAAAGTGCTGCCCCCCATCTCCCATTCCCCGTCTCTCCTCAGGTCAGGCTTGTCCTGGGCCAGGAGGAGCTGAGGCTGCAGACCCCAGCAGAAATTCTACTGAGTGGCTCCGTCCCCCACACCACAGTTCTGACTGTCTCAGAGGACTGGCCCACATTGTCAGTCAATGGGTTTCTGAATGCCTCCTCCGTAGTCCTGGGAGCCCCCCTAGAAGTCCCCTATGGGCTCTTTGTTGGGAGCACTGGGAGACTTGGCCTGCCCTACCTGAGGGGAACCAGCCATCCCCTGAGGGGTTGCCTCCATGCAGCCGCTCTCAATGGCTGCAGACTCCTCCAGCCTCTGACCCCCAATAAGCATGAGGGCTGTGCTGAAGAGTTTTCTGCCAATGATGATGTGGCCCTGGGCTTCTCTGGGTCCCACTCTCTGGCTGCCTTGCCTGCCTGGGGCACTCAGGATGAAGGAACCCTGGAGTTTACACTCACCACACAGAGCTGGCAGGCACCCTTGGCCTTCCAGGCAGCAGGCTGGCATGGGGACTTCATCCATGTGGACATATTTGAGGGCCACCTGTGGTCCATGGTTGAGAAGGGCCAGGGTACTGTATTGCTCCTCAACAGTGTGCCTGTGACTGACGCACAGCCCCACAAGGTCAGCATCCACATCAACATTCACCAGCTAGAAATCTCCATGGACCAGTACCCCACACGAACTGAGGAGTCCTCAGCTACCTGGAGCCACGTGACAGTCTCCTTCTTGGGGAGCTGGTTGCAGAGGCCTCTCATCACCTCCAGGAACACCGCTCAGGCCTGACACCAGGGGCTGCCAATGCCTCCCTGCTGGGCTGGCTGCATGGAAGACCTCAGTGTCAATGGCTAGAGGCAGGGGCTGTGGGAAGCCTTGCTGACGCACAACATGGTGGCTGGCTGCAGACTGGAGGAGGTAGACAATGCCTATGGCCATTATGAAGCTTTCTCCACCCTGGCTCCCAAGGCTTGGCTGTCCGTGGAGCTAGCTGAGCCATGCGTGCCTGAGCCAGGGCTACCTCCTGTCTTTGCCAATTTCATCCAGCTGCTATCAGCGCAGTGGTGGTGACCGAGGGTGGCACAGCCTGGCTTGAGTGGTGGCATGTGCAGCCCATGCTGGCACTGATGGAGGCTGAACTGCGTAAATCCCAGGTGCTGTTCAGCGTGACCTGAGGGGCACACTACAGCGAGCTCGAGCTGGATGTCCTGGGTGCCCAGGCATGAAAAATGTTCACCCTCCTGGACGTGGTGAACTGCAAGGCCCGCTTCATCCACGATGGCCCTGAGGACACCTCTGACCAGCTGGTGCTGGAGGTGTCAGTGATGGCTTGGTTGCCCATGCCCTCATGCCTGTGGAGGGGCCAAACAGACCTCCTGCCCATCCAGGTCAACCCTGTCAATGACCCACCCCACATCATCTTCCCACATGGCAGCCTTATGGTGATCCTGGAACACACACAGAAGCCTCTGGGGCCTGAGGTTCTCCAGGCCTATGACCTGGACTCTGCCTGTGAGGGCCTCGCCTTCCAGCTCCTTGGCACCCCCTCTGGCCTCCCCGTGGAGCACCGAGACCAGCCTGGGGAGCCGGTGACTGAGTTCTCCTGCTGGGAGTTGGAGGCCGGCAGCCTAGTCTATGTCCACTGTGGTGGCCCTACACAGGACTTGACATTCCGGGTCAGCAATGGACTGCAGGCCAGCCCCCCGGCCATGCTGAAGGTGGTGGCTGTCCAGCTGGCCATACAAATCCACCGCAGCACAGGGCTGCATCTGGCCCAGGGCTCTGCCATGCCCATCTTGCCTACCAACCTGTTGGTGGAGACCAGCGCCGTGGGGCAGGATGTGACCGTGCTGTTCCGTGTCACCGGAGGCCTGCCGTTCAGGGAGCTGCAGAAGCAGGGGGCTGGTGGGGTGGAGGATGCTGAGTGGTGGGTCACACAGGCGTTCCACCAGCAGGATGTGGAGCAGGGCCACGTGAGGTACCTGAGCACTGACCCACAGCACTACACCGAGGACACCGTGGAGAACCTGGATCTGCAGGTGCAGGTGAGCTGGGAAATCCTGAGCAATCTGTCCTTCCTAGTGACCATCCAGAGAGCCACTGTGTGGATGCTGCAGCTGGAGCCACTGCACACTCAGAACACCCAGCAGGAGGCCCTCACCACAGCCCACCTGGAGGCCACCCTGGAGGAGGCAGGCCCAAGCCCCCCAACCTTCCACTGTGAGGTGGTTCAGGCTCCCAGGAAAGGCAACTTTCAACTACAGGGCACGATGCTGTCAGACGGTCAGGGCTTCACCCAGGATGACGTACAGGCTGCAGAGGTGACCTATGGGGCCATGGCACGTGCCTCAGTGGCAGTGGAGGACACCTTCTGTTTCCATGTCACAGCTCCACCATATTTCTCCCCACTCTGTACCTTCTCCATCCATATTGGCGGTGACCCAGACATGCCTGTCCTCGTGGTGCCCGAGGGTGGTGGGTGTGTCCTCTCTGCTGACCAGCTCTTCATCAAGAGTCTCAACAGTGCCAGGTACCTCTATGAGGTCATGGAGCAGCCCCGCCATGGGAGGTTGACTTGGCGTGGGACACAGGACAAGATCACTATGGTGACATCCTTCACCAATGGAGACCTGATGCATGGCCAGCTGGTCTAGCAGCATGATGACTCCGAGATCACAGAAGATGATATCCCATTTCCTGCTGCCATCAGGACCAGAGCAGTGGTGACGTGGCCTGGGAGGAGGTATGGGGTGTCTTCTGAGTGGCCATCCAGCCTGTGAATGACCACGCCCCTATGCAGACCATCAGCTGCGTCTTCCACGTGGCCTGGGGTAGGTGGCGGCTGCTGACTACAGACAACATGGCCTTCAGCAATGCTGATTCGGGCTTTGCTGAGGCCCAGCTGGTGCTGACCCACCAGGACCTCCTCTCTGGCAGTATCATGGCCACGGATGAGCCCATGCAGCCCATCTGCCGCTTCATCCAGGAGGGGCCTCAGGAAGAGGCGAGTCCTGTTCACACACTCAGGCTGACCACGGCTGGATCCCGCTGCAGGTGTCCGATGGGCAGCACCAGGCCATCACGGTGCTGGAGGTGCAGGCCTTGGAGCCTTACCTCTGTGTGGCCAATGGCTCCGGCCTCATGGTTCCTCAAGGAGGCCAGGGTACCATCAACATGGCCGAGCTCCACCTGGGCACCAACCTCAACATCTGCAGTAGGGATGAGGCCCACTACCACGTCACAGACAGCCCTCACTGGGGACAGTTGCTCCAAGCCACTCAGCCAGCCACAGCCTTCTCTCAGCAGGACCTGCTGGTTGGGGCTGTTTTCTATGGCCACAATGGCAGCCTCAGCTCCCGCAACACCCTGGCCTTCTCAATGGATGTGGGACCAGTGCACACAGATGCCACCCTACAAGTGACCATTGCCCTAGAGGGCCCAGTAGCCCCACTGAAGCTGGCCCAGCACAAGGAGATCTACATCTTCCAGGGAGAGGCAGCTGAGATCAGAAGGGACCAGCTGGAGGTGAGGAGCTGGAGGTGGTGAGCGGGGTGTGGACCAGGTAGAGGGCCTTCCTCCCAGCCTCCATGCCGGGAACACATGTGACTTGGGCTGTACCTGTGGTGGTCCCAGCTTGCGTGTGTGCACGTGCCTCAGATGTGCTCCCATATATGTTGTGTTCCCAAGAGTTTCTGGGGAGCTTGCTGTACACCCATCCTCCTGGGAGTGGTGTGTGCCTCTAGAGCTGGTGTCCACTCATGTCCATGGCATGGCTGAGCATGCAGATTCCTGGACGCCACCCAGCCCTACAGAATCTCTGAAGTGGAGCCCGAGAATCTGCATTGCAGTCAGTTCCCTGGGAGGGCATCACGGGTCCTGAACTTTTGGGATTGCTGGCCGTGGAGACAGGCCGCTGCCTCTCAGACCCCTGTGTACCCCGCTCTCTTCTCAGAGCCCAGACCAGGACCAGGAGGGTCTGTCAAGGGCTTCTGCTCACCCAGGAACCCCACAGAGCAGCCACGGGCCTTCCAGAGATCTGACATGCCCTGTGACCTCAGGCCAGTCCTTGCCCGCTCTCAGCCTTACTCTTCCACACTGCTTATTTCGGAGACCCTTCTGGTCTGCATCTGGAGCTTGGGGCCCATGGTGAGCCAGCAGATCTGGCATCAGGAAGGCCTCATGGGAGGAGGCAGTGTTTGGGCCGGGCTCTGAAGAGTACAGGCCATTAGGAGCAGAGAATGGGGAGTGGTATTCCACGCAAAAGGAACATTCCGGCCGAAGGCACAAAACAGGAATGTGAGTTTGGAGGCAGTTTAGCCTCTTGTGGATGGCCCATCAGGTGAGGGAGCCCATGTGGCCTTTGGGGTGTGAGCTCTGTAGGGCCTGTGCTGGGGGTGCCTGTGCCTCTAGGAGGGGTGGGGTGGGGTGGGGCAGGGCACCCTCTGATGGTCCTGGGTGGTAATAGCAGGGGTTGGGGAGGATGCTGCCAGCAAACCAGCCACAGGCCTGAACAGATCCTGAGCAGGGGGCCTGTGTGCGTGTGCACACACGCATGTGTACCTGTACCTGTGTGACTGCGTCAGCATCTGATGAACTCATATGTCTGTGTCACTGAGTCTGGGGACATGTGATTATGCACCTCCCTGAGGGAGTGCATCTCAAGCTGTTGACCGACACCCCGTAACCATGTGTGGGGTGGGTATTAACATGTGACCAGCTGGGGCAACCCAGTGAAACCCCATCTCTACACAAAACATTTAAAAATTAGCCAGGCATGGTGGCACATGACTGTGGTCCCAGCTACTTGGGAGGCTGAGCCCTTGAGCCTAGGACGTTGAGGCTGCAGGGAGCTGTGATCACACCACAGCACTCCAGCCTGGGTGACAGAGTGAGACCCTGTCTCAAAAAAACAAAAAATGTGACCAGCTGCATGTCTGGCTGCTGTGTGTGTGAACCCACATGTGTGTGTGTCACTAAATGAGCAGTGGTATCTGGGGAAATAAGTGGAGCAAGATCAAGGCTGTTCTGGCTGCTTAGGGCCACAGTGGGCCCCTCTGAGACCCCTCTGCATTCCCTTGTGAGTCCTCATGACCTCTGTTAACCAGGTAGCCCAGGAGGCAGTGCCGCCAGCAGACATCGTTTTCTCAGTGAAGAGCCCACCGAGTGCCGGCTACCTGGTGATGGTGCTGCGTGGCATCTTGGCAGATGAGCCACCCAGCCTGGACCCCGTGCAGAGCTTCTCCCAAGAGGCAGTGGACACAGGCAGGATCCTCTACCTGCACTCCCGCCCTGAGGCCCGGAGCCATGCCTTCTCGCTGGATGTGGCCTCGGCCTGGGTGCTCCCCTTGAGGACGTCACGTGGAGCTGGAGGTGCTGCCTGCTGTCATCCCCACTGGGGGCACAAAACTTCAGCAGTAGAGGGGGCACAGTCGCAGCTGCACCCTGGCCCCTCCACTGCTCCGCGTTGCCAGGTCCTACTTCCCCACTCTCCCGGGCCTTGGCCTGCAGGTGCTGGAGCCACCCCGGCATGGGGCCCTGCAGAAGGAGGATGGGCCTCAAGCCAGGACCCTCAGCACCTTCTGCTGGAGAGAGGTACGGCTGTGAGAGAGGCCCAGGGGCTGCAGCCCAGCTCTGGGGGCAGAGTGGAGGGAGCCCCGGGGACTCCCAGTCCAGGGGTTATACAGAGAGGAGACAGGGAGTCACATTTCAGAAAGACCTATGCTTTAGATGCTGTATCTCGGGCTGGGCGCTGTGGCTCATGCCTGTAATTCCAGGACTTTGGGAGGCCGAGGTGGGCAGATCAGGAGGTCAGGAGATCAAGACCATCCTGGCTAACACGGTGAAACCCTGTTTCTACTAAAAATACAAAAAATTAGCCGGGTGTGGTGGCCCGCACCTGTAGTCCCAGCTACTCAGGAGGCTGAGGCAGGAGAATCGCTTGAATCTGGGAGGCAGAGGTTGCAGTGAGCCGAGATCACACCACTGCACTCCAGCCTGGGCAACAGAGCGAGAGACTCTGTCTCAAAATAAAATAAAATATCCCCTTTCTTCCTCACAACTCCTCTGGGAACCAGAACTTATGGTCCCCATTTTCCACCAATGGAAGCTGAGGCCCTAAAAGGGTCAGTCTCTTCCTGCACCCAAAGGCAGAACATGAAGGGTACTGCTGGGGCCTGACTGCCAGCCCTGGGCCTGCCCCTAGGTGGAAGAGCATCTGATCCAGTACCTGCACGATGGGAGCAAGACACTGACGGTTTTGTCCTGATGGCTAATGCCTCTGAGATGGACCGCCAGAGCCATCCTGTGGCCTTCACTGTCACCATCCTGCCTGTCAATGGCCAACCCCCGACCTCATACAAACTCAGGCCTGCAGGTGAGCATATTCCTGGGACCACCCCCCATGTCTGCTTTGAGAAAGAGGCCAATGTCCCCTACTTCCCGGCACAGATCTCCCCCCCTCTGAGCCTCAGTTTCCTCCTCTGCAAAATGAGGACACTACTGTGTGCCTCACGCAGTTGTTGGAAGGAGAGATGTGAGATTGTGCTGAAATAGAACACAGGTGGGAGGTTTTGTTATTGGACATTTGCAAGTACGGTAGGCAGACTTCTGAGCAGCCATGGGTGGCTCTGCTGTTCCTTCTCCTGTGGCTTAGGACCAGAACACCTGAAAGAATCACTTACAAGCCCTTAAGGGCTGGCGTCAGGGTGGGACCGTTAAGCTTCCCACCTTCACCCCAGCAAGTGGAGGCCTCAGCTTGGCTTCCCAAACTCCTGCCCCTTGTCCACAGCAGAGCAGGGCCCCCATTTGGCAAAGGTGGAAGTTGAGGCCCAGAGATGGGATGGAACTTCTCCATGATTGCAAAAGTAGTTCTGGTGGAACAGAAAGGGCATGGCTTTACTAAGCCCACGTGGCAGGGCTTTGAACCCCAGCTTCTGGGGCGCGTCCTCCCCAGTCAGCAGAAGCCACTGAAGGTTCCGCAAGAGGGCTGACTTGGGCTGTCTCTGACATGGGGCACCGGGGGGCTTTGGTGGTCTAGGATGTGCCTGTAGGGGGTGGCCTCATGGTGCGGACGCCACAGAAGAGTGGGACACAGCACCCTGGAACCACAGGCTGGGATGGCTGTGTGGCAGTGCGGCCACCAGGTGGTGCCATCTACCCGTGTTTGTTCCGGGAGCCCAGTGATGGGGCCCTGCCTCCCACAGTATGGCCCCTCTTGCCAAGGCTCGGCCTGAGGGCTCCCTGCGGCCAGGGGAGGAAGCCCAGGAATGCCAGAGGGCTGTTTTCTGGGCATGTGAGTCCCACTGCAGCACTGCCCACAAGTAATTGACCCAGCAAGAGTGGTACCAGGACCTCAGGAACGGGTGCCTGTTCTGCTTGCTAGTGGGAGGCCTGAAAAGGGGCCCCCTTTGCCCAACACGAGGAGGGCCCGTAACTGCTCTGGAAGCACCTGGGCCCATCCCAGCACTGCTTCTGTGCTGCAGGACAGTGCCAACCATCAGGCTTCAGCTCTCTGCGCCTCCCACCCCTCCCTTAGCTGGAAGGAGTGCTCGTTTCTAAAATCACTGTTCCCACCTGTGCCCAGCCCCTGCCAGGCACACATGGAGGGTCTGAAAGGAGACTGCTGCCCCACCAGTGAGCTAGATTAAGGAGCACTGTTGGTCAGCGCTGGGGGTTTCTGGGGGTGAGAACTTGGTGACGGTAAGAGCTAGGGCCTTCCTGGGTTGGGTACACAAGCTGGTCTTGAGGGACACACAGGACTAGGACAGATGAAGAGCAGGGATGCTGGGCCTGGAGGGTGGCCTTCCCTGGGGTGACAGGGAAGGTGAATGCAGGGAGGCCATTTGTGCAGGGGAGCCACAGCAGCGCCAGCCTTGATGCCACCTGAGGGCCTGAGCCTCAGTGGGGTTGGAGCCCTGGTGGCAGCCCAGGGCCGGGGAGGAAGGGGTGGGTAAGTGTGGCAGGGCAGAACCTTCACAGGCCTGTGTCCCCAGATGTGGGAGGGGGCCACCGTGCCCATCCCTACAGAGGCTCTGAGGAGCACGGATGGTTACTCTGGGCCCAAGGACCTGGTGTACACCATTAAGCAGCCCAGCAATGGGTGGGTAGTGCAGTGGGCGGTGCCGGGCACTGAGGTGCGCAGCTTCATGCAGACCCAGCTGGATGGTGGGCTCGTGCTGTTCTCACACAGAGGTGGGTGCTGAGGGCCGAGCCCCAGGTTTCTGCTGCCCACGGGGGCACCCTGAGGTGGGGAGCCAGTTCAGGCCAGCTGGACCCAACACCCTTGTCCCCAGGGGCCCTGGACGGAGGCATCCACTTTGGCCTCTCTGACAGTGAACATACTTCCTCCAGACACTTAGCTTCTGAGTGACGGCCCAGAAGCAAGTGCTTCACTCGCTGGAGGGCAGCCGGACACTGACTGCCCAGGTGGGTGTGCTGATTGTGGGCGTTCCTGGGTGCGGGGGGCTGGGGCAGAGCTGAGGGTGGCATGCCAGGGTCACACTGCCTCTCTGCAGCCACAGGCCTCGGCCTGGATCACAAAGGCTGATGGCCCCTTTTGCCTCTGGCAGAGTCCGTCCAGCCACTCAGCAGCCAGAGCCTCAGAGCCAGCAGGCACCGACCCCCAGCTCCTGCTCTACCATGTGGTGCGGGGCCTCCAGCTAGGCCGGCTCTTCCACGCCCAGCATGACAGCACAGGGGAGGACCTGGTGAACTTCACTCAGGCAGAGGTAAGGGCCCCACTCTGCAGCCACCACTCAGATGCGCCCAGCCTCAGGTGGCCACTGTGCCATGGACATCATGTGGACATGGGCACCAGCTCCAGCATCACCGGCAGCAGACACTCCCAGGCCTGCCATGGTCCAGGACCTGGTGTCCTGCCCTCTAGGAGTCATCAGGCTGGCAGGGCAAGTTCATGTTCCCAGAAGGAGGGAGAAGAATGCAGGAAGTCGGGGATACAGGGCCCCAGAGCAGGGCTGGGGTCTTGGGGTGTGGCTTCCCGAAGGAAGCTAGAGCTGGACCCAAGGGTCTGGAGAGGGAGAACCATGTAGGGGCACTAGTGGCACCCCAGCAGCTGGTGAGGGGCAGTGCTTGGTGGGGGATGGAGTCGGAGGTGAAGCAGCTGCTGGGGCCTGTGGGCAGAGGTGTGAGCCTCGGGCTCAGATCAGGTGCCAGCCAGAGGAAGAGTGGATCCTAGGAGCAGATGAGCTGATGAAAGGCAGCTGAGTCGGCCAAAAGGGGGAAGCCACTGTTCATCTGTCCTGGTGGCTTCAGAGAAGAACTAGAGCTCTCAGCCATGGGTAGTGGCAGACTCTCTGTGGTAACTGTGCCATGGGGGCCAGCCCACTCATGGTTTAAATGAACACCTCTCCCCAAAGGCAGAATGGGAGTTGTTCCATAGCAGAGCAGGGCAGGGCAGGGCAGACTCTTGTGGGCCGCCCTGGGCAGGCAGCACACCTGATGCTCCCATCAGGAGGCTGCGTGAGCATCTGGACCCAGCACATGATCACAGTGAGTTCTCGGCAGGGAGCGGTCTTGTGGGGCGCAGAGCTGACTCTGTCACTCAGGAGCCACGGCACGCAGCACTGCCCCAAGTACCTCCAGAGGGGATCCCTGTCAGCCCTTGAAAATGGCAGAGCCCACCCCAGCCCCCTTTTCAAGCTCCCTTGCTTCGGCAAGGACCTCCTGAGCCTGGCGCTCTCCCTCCTGAGAGGTGCAGATGGTACTCAGCAAGTGCAAAGCCGAGGTTTCTTGGGCCTCTCACATCAGCACCTCCCAGACCTCGGTTCTGTATTTCCCTGGAGCTCCACTCCTGCTATGGTGCCCTTCCCACAATGAGATATTCATCAGGCTGGTGTCTACAGCTGCTGCGTACCCTCAGTTGCTGGGAGCCTTTGTCAAGAATGCCCAGGAATGAGGAGGGCACAGGACCCAGACCATCAGCAACCCTCTTGCACTCTATAGTCCCATGTTACTCAGAGCTTCCCCATGCTCCAGCAAGATGAAGGACTAGATTGAATGGGCACCAGGCTGGCAGTGCCACCCAGGAAAGCTGGGAAGAGGCTACATGGGCTACCTGGCCCACTCAGGGAGGAGGGCAGGACTGGGTATTGTCTTGACAGCAACCCTGTCCCACAACACTGAACTGGGCAGGGAAGGGGTCAGGTGTCCTCATTTTTCAGATAAGAAAACTGAAGCTCCCAGAGGGCAGGTAAATGTATTCAGAGCACATGGCGAGTAAGAGGCAAATCTTCTGCCAGCAAGTCCAGGATTTTTTTCACCAGAGGACATTGCTTGGTCCCCAGAGCTCAGGACCCTGTGTTTTGTCTCACTCCCACCCACAGAGCTCCTGTATCCAGGCATCAACTCCAACTCCCACTCCTGGAGGCCGAGGCAGGAGGATCACTTGAGCCCAGGAGTTCGAGACCAGCCTGGGCCACATAGTGAGACCTTGTCTCCACACAAAAATTTTAAAAATAGCTGGGCTTGGTGGTGGCATGTGCCTGTAGTCCTAGCTCCTCGAGAGGCTGACGTTGGAGGATCACTTTGAGCCCAGGAGGTGGAGGCTGCAGTGAGCAGTCATCACTGTACTCCAGCCTGGTGACAGAGCGAGACCCTATCACCGCCCCCCGCCCCACCAAAAAAAAACTGAGTAGACAGGTGTCCTCTTGGCATGATAAGTCTTAAGTCCCCTCCCAGATCTGTGACATTTGACAGGTGTCTTTTCCTCTGGACCTCGGTGTCCCCATCTGAGTGAGAAAAGGCAGTGGGGAGGTGGATCTTCCAGTCGAAGCGGTATAGAAGCCCGTGTGAAAAGCCATACTCCAAGGGGCTCCAAGTCCAGCGCACAGTCCCAGAAGGGCCCAGCAAGGCAGCCAGGGCGGCACAGGCACCAGGTCCCAACCTTCTTCCCTGTTTGCCCACTCTCAGACCCCGGAGTTCATCATCTCGGAGCTGCTGGCCAATATGTACTCATGTGGGAACCAGAACACACTGATGGAGGAGTTGGCAGAGCAGGCACAGCAGCACGACGAGATGCTGCACATGCACCACGCGCTGAAGGAGGCGCTCAGCATCATCGGTGACATCAACAGGACCACTGTCACCATGCCCATGCCCCCGCCCGTGGACGACACCTGGTTGTCAGAGCATCCCTGACGAACACAGGTACCAAAGACTGCCCCCCACGGCCCCAAAATCCCCCACCCGGGATGCCCAGAGGAGTGCCCTGGGGGCAAGTGGCACACCCCCTCACCGGGGTGGCTCCCACCTGGAGTGACGGGGGGAGCTTGACAAGGAGCACTGGCTGCGGGGGGGGGGGGGGTGTGGAGCTGGGATGTTCTCGCTGCTGGGGGCGGGGCTTAAGCTCTGGCAACTGCCTTGGGGTGTGGCCGGCACTGCGCTGGGGCGGGGTCGCCCATCTCTCCCCTCCCTGTGCCTCCCAGGTCGCCCAAGTCCAGCGTCAGGATGCCCAGGCCCTGCCATGTCCCTAGCCCGGCCTGGGTGGCAGGGCCCAGCTCCTGGGCGGCAGGACCCAGCTCCTGGGCTTCCTCCTGCCGGGTCCGCCCTTGGGGAAGCGTGCCCCATACCCTCCAGGCCAGAGGCTTCCCCTGATCCCTTTGGGCCCTACCCCCCTGGTGCTCTCGTGCCCCAGCCGGGGTCCCCAGGTAAGTAGGGGCTGAATGCGGCTGAAGAGGCCGCTGGACAGGCGTGGCCAGGAAGGAAATGGGACTGGATTCCAGAGCACCACATCTGGCCGCCAGAACTGGCCGTCTCCATCCAAGGCACTGGGACCATGGGTGCCGGAGCCACGTGTGGCCGAGGGCTGGCAGAGCCTGCCCCCCAGGGATCACTGAGTCCTGGAGGTGGTCGTTTTTGAGGAGGGGGCTGTGGGGCTCGTCCCACCTGCCGCCTTCTGTCCAGCACTTGCATGACACTTCCCTCTATTTTCACTCTTGGCGGCTGCCCACACTTTGCATTTCTCTTCCTTTCTTCTCGCTGTCCTCCATCCTCCATTCCGTCCAACTCCTAGCCCAGTCCCGGGGGCGCCTACTTCAGGTCTGAGAGTCTGAACTCCGAGATGCTCTGGGTGTGTGGATTTCCTTCAGCTACCCTGATGTCCCCACTTCCAAGTCCTGACTCCTTTGAGCCATCCCAGGGGGTGTCCGGCCACTGGACCACAGGAGCAGAGGCGAGTCTGTGACTGTGTGACCAGCAAGGTGTGTGATGTGTGCGTGAGCGAGCACACGAGTGTAAAGAATGGCACCCAGACCTGAGCTAGGACAGAGGGAGCCTGGGGGCCACAGGCAAGCTCATTTCTTCTCCACACCCCTCCCCGCCCGACCCTGTCTAAACTAATGGGGTAGTGGTAGCCGCGAGGGCAGGGATGGGAGTGGCTGAAGCCTACTTCACTCCCAAAGATTTCTAAGGAAAATGGTTCTACTGCATCCTTTGGCTGGGCCTTGTTGACCCGTGACCCTCTTTCAAGAACATTCACTCTGATTTCCAGTGTGCCGTCTCCACTGGCCACGTTCTCTAAGGAAGAACAATAGCATCTGTTTTTGTTTCCAAATGGCTGGAGAGTGGGGCTGTGGGACCAGCGCCCATATATAAAAATGAAGCAGGGATTGGGGCTTGCCCTGTGATGTGCTGTTGACCAAGTTAGAGGGGTATAGGCAAGCAGCAAAGTATTGGGCAAGATCACTGGACTGGGAGTCCAGAGATGCTGCTTCACCCTGGGGCTTTAGGCAAGTCCCTTTCCCTCCCAGAGCCTCAGCATCCCTTTTAGCAAATTATGACATTCTGCCTTTCTCCTAGGATGGCTGTGGGGATCAAGGGAGACAGTGGCCATAGGGATGCTATGTTAACCGCAGATGCGGCTGTAGGAGCACTTTGCTAACTGCCAACGTGAGTTCAGACTCTTCAGGCTATTTGGCACCCAGGTCTATGGTGAGGTGTGACATATGGGATGTAAAGTTTGATGCCTGCTCTGACTCCAGTCTTGCTAACACACACACGAAACCTTTGGCAAATCATGACCCTGCCTTGGGGAAAAGGGCAGTCTGGGAGAGCTTCTTCAAGGCAGCCTGGCTTCAATGCAGTCCGGGGCATGACTGAGATAGGCATACGTTGTGAGGAACTGGAGGGTAACTGGGTAAAGAGCTGCAGTGTGGGCAGAGGTGTAGTGTGGGTCACATTGAGGATAGCCACTGGCCAAAGCAGGGAACAGAGACAGAATGAGGAAGAGCTCTGTGGGGAGGGTGGGGCACAGGGTGGAGAACCTTCAAAGTCCAAAGAGTATGACTTGTTGGGATTCAACGCTGTAGGCAGTAGGGAGCCATGGAAGGCTCTTAGGTGGAGAAATGACAGCCGGACATTAGTGAGCAAGCCCTGTCTCCCTGAGCAGGATGGGTGGTCCTCTGAGCACGCCAGGCACGAGTGTGCAGGGAGCTGGTGCAAATGCCTCTGTGTGCAGGTGAGCATCTGTGTTGTGACTCTGCCCACGCATGTGCTTCAGTGTGCCGAGTGGCTGCACGCCCCAGATCCATGCGGCACGTGCCGGCTGGTGAGGGTGTTGGGCACCGGGAGGTGGCGGAGAGGGCGACGTATGCGTGTTGTTTGTGGGCATGTGTTAGAGTGTGCATGCGGGCCGTGGGGCCTCACAGCATGTGTGTGCACAATCTGGCGTGTGCGTGTGTCCGCCACCCCCAGGCCTGCCCCACCCATGCATGGGACCTGCCATGTGATTTGATGCTGTCTTTCAGAATCACTATCAGTGGCCCCTGAGGAGCATCAGCCATGGTAGGTACATGCCTCACTGCCTGCTGCATGAATGGTCTGCCCGCCCCGCTGCCCCAGCTCCACACAGGGGGCATACCTGGAGCCTCAGAGCCAGGCTGCCTGCCCCTCCCTTCTAGAGCTGCAGACTTGCTCTTTCCTCTTTCTGTCCTTGTGCTGCTGGCTGTCTCACTTCCCTCCCTGCCAGCCACAGGACTCAGTGCCACTGCTCAAGGTCTCCATGGCTGAGCCTGGGGGCTCTTACAACAGGCTCCATGCCGAAGGTGGCAGATGTGGAACCATCAGAGAGGGCACAGAGCTCATGGTTTATGGTGTAGGGGCTGGGAGCTTGGAGGGGGTTGTGTGGGGGGCTGGACTCAGGCGGCCAGAGGCCTGGGCACATCATCCTGGGCACGCCGTACCTGTCATGCAGTCTGAGTCATGCTGCCAGGGCAGGTATCCAGCTCCCAGCCTGGGAGTGCCGAGAGCCAAATCCACTGCAGATTAGGGGTGATAGTCACGGTCCCACGTCCTCTATCTGTCAGCAATCCAGTGGTGATCTAGGATAAAAGCCTGAGAGTCCTATACACACGGTTATCCCACAACACACTTCATAGGCCATGCAAGGACACACAGCCCCCTTCCCTCCCTCCCAGGTACCATCACAGCTGCTAGCATGTGACTGAAGGCTGGGTCCCTGGCCAGCACTACTGAAGCACTACTGCCAGCCAGCAGGCTCACGGACCTTGGCCTGTTGCTCCTAGGGGTCACCTGTGCTATTCAGCCAAGGAGACCACAGTGCTTGCTGGCCCAGCTGAGCTCCGCCTAGCGAGCCCACCTGCCTTTCCTGCCACGGAGTCTCCCTCTTCTGCTTTTCCCAGCAGGAAGGGCCCAGCCTCACCTATGCAACCTGCAGCCCCCCGCCAACCAGTTGAGGTTCCCCTCTTAGACTTATAAGTCTATGGGCAGTGGCATCTAGCTACCTGCCCTCCCTGCCTTCCCCAGGGTCCCTTCAGTGGACCCTGGGCTTTCTGACTGCCCAGAGAGGGGCCTCTGGCGCTCACTCCAGCCAGCCATCCCTTACAGCTTCACCATTTTGGTTCAAGCAGTGTTCCTTCTGTCAGGCTTGGTGGCTGTTGGGTGGGGCTCCCCAAGCAAGAGGTGGCCCTGGGCCAGTGGGTTGGAAGATGGGGTGACCACAGAAGAGGGAAGCCGGGGGAGTTGAGCATTGGTCTGAACTGTGGGTGGACTGCCTGGGTGCCATGAGAGAGGCCAGTGTGTGTGGGGTGGGGAGGACTGCCACAGCCCCCAGGCACTACCTATGAAGCTCCGGCTTCTCCCTCCATCTTCCTCCCCTTTCCCTTCCAGCCCCTCTTTTCCAGGAACCTTGCCACGCCCACACCTACGCCTTCCCCTTCCCGGCTCTCAGATGATGGTGGTGTTTATCTCCCTGTTCTTGGGAGCCCAAAAAGAATGGCATGCAGGGGTTGCTGCCCATGCCTGGGTGCTCCTGGGGAGTCCTGCATTACAGGAAGCAGCTGCTGGATCTGCTGTGCAGTGGGGTTGTCGTGGGGAGAACCCTCCCTGTCCTCTCCTGGTGCAGCCTCCACGCTATCAGTGAGGCTCACCTCACAAAGATCTTCAGAGAGAGGGAGGGGGGGTGGGAATCTGAGCACAGTGTGAGCCTCCCCTGCTCCTGCCTGCCCACCCCGCCTGAGGGCTCTACTCACCACCCTGCTCGTCAGCACACCCAAGCTCCTGGGCTATTGGGGCTCCTAGAGTGGGCTCATCAGCAGGGTTCTGGGCAATGGTCAGAATTTGCCATGCCCCTCCTTGTGGTCTCCCACAAGCTGCAACACCTGCCCCGCAGCTCCTGCAGGTTCACCTGGAGGAAGGGGTGTTAGCTGCCATGCCGGTGCCAGCACGCACGTTCACACCCACCCCCACCCTCCCCCACCGAGATGTTGCACACCCTACCTTCATCTCCTCCTGGTCCTGGGCCAGCCTGACGATGTCCTCCTCTCCCAGTGCTGCGTCTCTGACACTGCCCCCTGGCTGATGTACTTTCCTGCAGGAGGACATGGCTCAGATGCTGGGGCCCCTCGGACGGCCTGGCAGCTCCCCCCAGCGGTGCCCTAGCCTCTCACTCCCTATGGTGTCTGTCTGTCCTGAGAGGTGGATGAATTGAAGCTCTAGTTTCTCTACCCGCTCCTTCAGGTCCACCTTCTCCTTCCATAAAGTCGCTGTGGAGCCAAAATAATGGGGTCACATGTCAGGAGTCACCTGCCTTGTCCTGCCCCCCCGCCCCCCTTGTTGGCCCATGCCAGGACCTACTCACCTGCAGCTTCTCCATGGCCCCCTGCAGGGCCCGGTGGGTCTCCCCAAACACAGACTCACCCCCACTCTCTGGGGCTGGGGCCGCTACCTCTGGCTTTTTCTGGGACGAGGCCACTGGGTGAGCCAGGGGCTGGCAGCACACCCTTTGTTCCTCCTGGGCATTGGCTCCAGCGGAGTTGAAAAATGCCACCTGAAGACAAGAGGTGAGTATTCTTGTAGGGGTATACACATAACAACTGGGGCAGGCAGATGGAGCATAGCCCCTTCCTTTCGGGCCTCACAGAGTGCACCTGTTGGTCACAGGTGAAATGGTGTCTGACCACTGGCTCCCAGAAGCAGAGAAAGTCCACAGAAGTCAGAAGGCGGGGAAACCAAGAACATAAGGGGGTTTCGGAGGGACCACAGAGGAAGGTGGCAAAGTAGGGGCAGGGAAAGTCAGGCTCACCATGGCCTCCCGGCTCTCCAGGTCCCCTGGGATGTTCGGCATGGGCCGAAGCGCCTCCTGCTCACTGTCCAGATGTCCTCCTCCATCTCCTGTGGGGGGTGGCCAGAGGGGTCCTCAGACAACCCAACAAGGGAGGTACAGTGGGCCCGCCTCTGCCCCCACACTCACTGTGTAACCTTGAGCCAGCCCCTCCCCAGAGGGGAATGAGCTGTTCTTTATTTTGAATTTTAAGAACCAAGATCTTGCTATATTGCCCAGGCACAGTCCCACTACCGATTGGTGCAGGAATTCTGACCTGCTCCCTTTCTGACCTGAGCCAGTTCTCCCATCCTTAGGCAAGCCGATGACCTGTTCCCAGGAGGTCACCATACTGATACTGAACTTAGTGCGGACACCTTGTCGGCATAATGACCGACACAAAATGCTTAAAAGGTAACCTGACTCTTTGTTCAGGGCTCAGTCCTTTAGATGTTAATCTGACTGGGCCGGTGCACCTAAATAATATATATCCTCCTCAGTCTCTCTGATTCCTAAATTATGCTGCTGTACGGGGAGAGAGGCAGCAGGGTAGTGGAGTCATACCAAGCAACAAGACAGGGTAGTGGCCAGGCATGGTGGCTCACACCTGTAATCCCAGCAATTTGGGAGGCCAAGGCGGGTGGATCACCTGAGGTCAGGAGTTCGAGACCAGCCTGGCCAACATGATGAAACCCCATCTCTACTAAAAACACAAAAATTAGCTGGGCATGGTGGCAGGTGCCTGTAATCCCAGCTACTCAGGAGGCTGAGGCAGGAGAATTGCTTGAACCCAGGAGATGGAAGTTGCAGTAAGCCAAGATTGTGCCATTGCACTCCAGCCAGGGGGACAAGAGGGAGACTTCACCTCGAAAGACAGACAGACAGGCTAGTACGTTTTCCACAAATTTCAATTTTACTCTCTTCCCCCACCACACACACACACACAAAGCATTTGAGGGATGGGAGGAAGAAACTGAGATCACAGGGAAAATTGTAAGAGACATTCAGAAGGACAGGTCTTAGAAATTTACTAGTTTGGGGGGGAGGTCAGAACAGGTGTATATAAAAGAATATTAAGACAGTTCCCAGGTTTAGGCATATGTGACTAGATAGAGTGCTAGGAGATGGATACGTGAAAATTTAAATATCATCATTTTGAACACCCATGTCACTCCAAGTGAGATTCCCTAAATATATGATATACAGACAGATATATGGGTTTGAAACTCTGGAGATGAATACAAATTTAGGAGTCCCTGGAACACAGGTCATGACTTAAGTAATGGGAGTCAAAGATTACTCAGAGAAAGCACAGAATGAGAAGAGAAGAAGTAGGACAAGGAAGAAGAGATCGGAGGAGACCAAGAAAGGGTGATAAGATCAAAACAGGAGAAAAGAATCCGACAGAAGTCTCATTTGATTATCATGTCCCTTCCCAGAGGACAGGGACATGTCTTTTTTGTCTTTTATACCCAATTATCACAGGTCCTGGTGCAGCAGACACACAGTTTTTTTTTTTTTTAATTGTGTTGTACTATTCACAGTTTCCTGTATTCACCAGGGGAGAAAAAAGTAAGTATAAAGAAGCACAGACACAGATGTTTTTACACTGTGTACTAAAGGGGTCAGATTATACACAATATTTTATGCCTTACTTTTTTACTTAATATATCTTAGAAGTTTGCACGTGCTCTTATGGAAAGACTGGCTGCATTTTTTGGTCCACAACAGAACAACAGAATATTATAAAACGGTACACTATAATTTTTATTTAACCAACTCTTTATTGGTGGACATTAAGAATGGAGGAATGTTTCAACAAAGGAACAATCAACAGTATCAAAATACTGCAGAGGGGTCAATTTGGGGACTAAGAGGGGAGCCACTGGATTTGACAACTAGGAGATAAATTTTAGTGCAACGATGAAGGCAGAATCCAGAGTATAATGAGCTCAGTGAAAAAAGGTGAAGACATGTAGCTTATTCTCTCAAGAAACTAGGCTATGATAAACTGGCAGAGGCTCTAAGAGTGGGAGGTGAGTTGTTTTCTCCTTCATGTAAATATATTTACCTTTTAAACACTAGGCCCAATTTTATATCCTATTTCATTTAACTTTATGAACATATTTATGTATGTATGCATGTATGTATGTATCTCATGTGGTGTTTTAGACACTGAAAAATAACTCATTTCTATTATAAAACTGATATCTTTAGATGTTCAGAAGCAACTTCCTAAAAGGAGGTAGCAGTAATGGAGCTATGTCTATCATTCTTTCCCATCAACCCCCTTGATGGAGATGTAAACATGTGTCCATCAAGCCTTTAATTTTTACCTCTTATCTTCATGGCTCTCCATATAAAACTTAACTCTTTTTTTTTTCTATTTGTATATGTATATTTATATGTATATCTATATCGAGAGAGAGAGAGAGAGAAAGAGTCTTGCTATGTTGCCCAGGCTGATCTCAAACTCCTGGGCTCAAGCAATCCTCCCACCTTGGCCTCGCAAAGTGCTGGGATTACAGGCGTGAACCACTGTGCCCAGCCTCAGCCTTAACTCTTAAAATATCTTCAAACCAATATTCTTCTGTTCTAATTTTTAAGAATAGATGTGTTTAAACCAACTAACTTATTTTGACAAAAATTGGAGTTAAGACTCAGACTTCCTCAAATAGTTCTCCTAAAACCATTTACAGAATAATCTATCTTTTCAGTATTAAGTTAAAATACCACCTTTTCCTTATACTAAATTCTCGTTTGCATGACTCTGGTTCTAAACTTCCATTGCCTTTATCTGTCTGGCCCAGGGATAGTCCACAATATTTTATTTACTATCTGGTTGAAAGAGTCTATACTTTATTAATTTTTATTACTTATTCTTCTAAACAAATTTTAGAGTCGTTTTGTCAAGTGTCAAAAATAAATCTGCCAGAATTTGTACTGAAATTTGTGTGTGTGTGTGTATATATATAATACACACACACTATATATAAAATATAAAATGTATATATACAATTTATATATATAAATATTTATAAAATATGAAATATATATATATACACACACACTTTTCTAGTTTTTTTTTTTTTTTTTTTTTTTTTTTTGAGACAGGGTCTCACTCTGTCACCTAGGCTGGAGTTCAGAGGCATGATCTCGGCTCACTGCAACCTCTGCCTCCCAGGCTCAAGTGCTCCTCCCACCTCAGCCTCAGAAGTAGTTGGAAATACAAGTGTGTGCCACAGACACCCAGCTAATTGTCATCTACCCGCCTCAGCTTCCCAAACTGTTTGGATTACAGGTATGAGCCACTGTGCCCAGCAGAAATTACATTTACAAATTAATATGAAGACATGGTGATAACTAACATATTTATAACATGAAATCTGCTCATCCAGGAACATAGAATGCAAATCTTTCATTCCACTCAGCAAAATTTTGTCCTGTCCTTGATAAAAGTCCTGCACATCTAAGTTTATTCCTAGGTATTTAATTTTTGCTGAAATACCTGAAAAAATACTTCATCACTATATCTTCTATGTGATTATAGCTAACATTGGGGAAGGCTATTGATTTTTATATAAAAGAACTTTTAACCAGTAATCTTAAAAATTGTTTTTTCTCAGTTGGTTCCTTTGGATATTTTTAGGTAAACAATCATGTCAACTGAAAATAATGATTATTTTTCTATAAAGACTATGACATCACAGGAAAATACAGTAAATACTTTTTAAAAGAATATAAAAGGGCCAGGCACAGTGGCTCACGCCTGTAATCCCAGCACTTTGGGAGGCCAAGGTGGGCAGACCATGAGGTCAGGAGATCGAGACCATCCTGGCTAACACGGTGGAACCCCATCTCTACTAAAAAATACAAAAAATTAGCCGGGAATGGTGGCGGGCGCCTGTAGTCCCAGCTACTGGGGAGGCTGAGGCAGGAGAATGGTGGGAACCCAGGAGGTGGAGCTTGCAGTGAGCCGAGACCACGGCACTGCACTCCAGCCTGGGTGACAGAGCAAGACTCTGTCTCAAAAAAAAAAAAAAAAAAAAAAAAAAAAATATATATATATATATATATAAAAAACTATAGAGAATATGACCTCAACTATTAAGCATATGTGTAAGGGTTATGTATTTTAATAGCAAAGAAAAAATATATACTGGTAGAAAATGACCATCATGTCAACAGTCAATAGTGGTTATATTAGATAGAGAAATTATGGGAGACTTTAATTTTTTTCTTTTATCTTTTCTGTACTTTACCAATTTTCTCAACAATGGTTGCTTATGAGTTTTAAAATTAAAAAAAGGTTTTAAAAATTTTTCCAACATGGAAAGTTATATTTCTTTATATACTAAAACAAAAACAAAACTTTCTATTTGAATACCTATGGCAAAACCCTATCTCTACAAAAAATACAAAAAATTAGCAAGGTGGGGTAGTACACACCTGTAGTCCCAGCTACTCTAGAGGCTGAGGTGGGAGGATCACCTGAGTCCCCAGAGAATGAGGCTCCAGTGAGCCGTGATCATAGCACTGCATTCCAGCCTGGGAGACAGAGAAAGACCCCATCTCAAAAAAAAAAAAAAAAGAAAGAAAGAAAAAAGAAATATCCACAATGATCTGAAATGCCTATCTGTATGAGACTGTCCTTTGTTCACATTTTTTCAAGCAAATATCACACAATAAATTGAATGCAGGTACAAATGACATATCAAACATCAAAGAAATTTGCAAAAGATGTAAGACTGTACTACCTTGGGTTTAGAAATTTTCTTATCATAAAAGCATTTATAACAATATTTTGTGAGCTTTTAAGGAATATTTTAAGTATTTCTGATTTAATTTCTAGTGATAAATACCAATAGATATAACCCACATACACAAAAGCTCCTTGGGCCCTCAATATACTTTTAAGAGTGTAAAGGAATCCTGACCCCAAAACTTTGAGAACTGCTGCCTTCCCCTCTACTTTATTCCTTCCCTAGAATTTCTTCCTTGGAAGAAACATTCCTTTGCCATTCTATGTTAACTTACATAGTTCCATTGAGGCCAGTTTTGCTACCTCTCTCCCATCTTTCCACATCCCTCTCTTGACACAAAACCTGACCAAAGGACTCTACCGGCCCGCCCCATTTCCAGTGATTAGCTGTCAGGTGGGCTAAGCCAAGAAAATCTGGGTTTTCCCTGAGACTAGACCTCTCTTTCTGGGAGATACGGAATCACAGGGACAAGGCTGGCCCTGTCAGAATTCATCTTGTCTAAATGGGAAGAGGTTAGGCAAGTTTCTAGAATGCCAGACTGCTTTCTAGAAAGTCAAAGATAATTATACTTTCTGCCACGACTGTGAAAATGCCCATTTCATTGCACGCTTTCTAACATTTATACCAATCTGATAAATAAAAGCTGGTACCTAGAAGAAAAAAAGGCTGGGTATGGTGGCTCATGCCTGTAATCCCAGTACTTTGGGAGACCAAGGTGAGTGGATCACCTGAGGTCAGGAGTTCGAGACAAGCCTGGCCAACATGATGAAACCCCATCTCTAGTAAAAACACAAACATTAGCCGGGCATGGTGGCAGGCCCCTGTAATCCCAACTACTCGGGAGGCTGAGGCAAGAGGATCACTTGAACCTGGGAGGTGGAGGTTTTAGTGAGCCAAGATCATGCCATTGCCCTCCAGCCTGGGTGACAAGCTGAGACTTTGTCTCAAAAAAAAAAAAAAAAAAAAAGTTTCCATACAATATAATTTGTTCCATCTCTAAAAACCAATTCAGCAATAACTGAAAGCCACCACTTGGAAGGTTTCAAGGATTTAGCTCTACCTGTTGATGATGTCCAAAGCATTAGTTAAGGTAGAAAAAAAATACACACACACACACACACACACACACACACACACACACTCACCCCTATGTAGTCAGTACCAGGAAACACGAAAGACTAGATGGTACAGTCATCCAACACAAAGCACACAATAACTGAAGGCACTGTAGAGGAGTAACTTATGACACAGATCTACAATATTGAGTGAAAATGCAGATTACAAAAAAAAAATCTGATTTTTTAAGGGAGAGGGAACACATACAAGCAAAGGAGAAAAGAGATGAGCAGATGACTGAAAGATACAAAATTCTGATAGTGGTACATTCTGAGTGGTAGAATTATCAGTATTATTTTCTAGTTTTGCCTAAAAATTTTCTAAATTTCTTAAGAACTTTTTGTTATCCATATTATCAAATATCCATCACCCCAGGAAACTTAACCTTGAGCACAAACTCTACAACAAGTTCAATGTTTGTTCAGTTTAATATTTAAGAGACAACCTATTTTGAAAGACATCTAAAATGATGACCAATATTTAAACCTATGCATTAATATTTTTCAATCATATCCTTCACATTTTGTAATTTTGATAAGGTTAAGCTTTAGATCCATCTTGAAAAGATAAGCTTTCTGTTTGTCTTTAAAATATGACCCACAATATGCCTGTTTTTAAACAGTGAATGATGCTCTAAAATCACAATATAAATTCAGGCAGTGCTCCTTACATGGAAAGTTTAAGTACTTCTAACACTGCTCTTTTTCACTTGTTATGAAAACACAGAACAATTATCTAAGCATCTAATTATTCAGGTCCTTTGTTTCTCCTCCAATCTATTAGTTTTATAGTAATTTTAGGGCCTGTGAGGATGAAGCTGTCTGTGACAGCTACCACAAAGGTTACTATAGGTGGACAAATTTCAAACAAGTTTATCACCACTACCATCCCCACCATAAAACTGTCTCAATCAAGGGCAACACAATTCAATATTAGCCAAGACAACCTCTTTACCTGTCACTGCTTAAGAAAAGGATTTTTGGTCTTATTTAGAAATAACTTTCCGTACCTATTTTTCTCCATAAATCCACTGAGACCAATGTGTGGCTCTATCGCAAGCACCAGCAAGCAAAACTGCCTGCTAGAAGGTTCAGTTTTTGTATCTTTCCAAATGTAGAACACAGCTATCTTCAAGGATTTCATAATTTTTTGAAAATTGATGCACAAACTTCTTGAAAGTTCAGAGACACAGCAGCTGTAATTATTCTGAAGGCTGGTTACGGGACACATTACCTTCATACTTTGCTGTTTAAGAAATGTGGGGTGGAGAATCAAGTAAACTGATAGAATTTCCATATAAAATTCTAAGTGCTCTGAGAACAAAAGAAACTTAAAATACACACACACACACACACACACACACACACACACACGGTTTTCCCTACTAATCATTTTACAACTAAACAACCAAGTTGCTAAACCAGAGCCCACAAAAGCAGAGTCAAAGTTCTAACACTTGGTAAAAGAAAAATGCACACATACCCCTGTGAGCTAAAAAAAAAAATGCTTAAGTATTCAAAGACAGCAATTACAGCTACTGAGAACATCACTGTAAGCAAACTGAGGCAGAGAAAACAAACGTGCTGATGAGGATTTGAACCACCTAAGCTGCAGAAACCCACTGGATGGTTTCCTAGGTTCCGAGTTGGCATTATCTTTCAGAACAATCTTCTAGAAGAGATCACATAACACTGTTACAAAGGATCTGGAGAAAGGGACCCTGGCTTCATCACTGTGGCTCTCCAGTCATGCTTTACATTTGGCAGTGACTATCTCCATTCAACTCAATTCCCTAACCCTAAACTAGCTGACATTTATCAAATACTGCCCTTTACCAGGTCTAAGTAAGTTTAACTCCCCCCACCCCCACCAAAAAAAAATCAAGATACTAAGGGATATACTATTCACAAAAGGGAAACCTGTCTCCTCTTCATATACCTGTTCCTTTCAAGGAAGGGTATAAAAATGGGGATGAGGGAGGATAACCACTAGGAATTTGACCCTATATTATAAATTGGTCAGATAAATGAAAATAATTCCTCTGGACTCAAAGTGATATGGCTCTGAAAATGGGAGAAACATCGGGGTCCTTTGTCTCACGCCAGTTAAACGACATGGACACACAGGAGTGGTTTTAAGGAACAGAAAGTTTAATAGGCAAGAAAGAAGAAAGGCTCCCTGCGGTACAGAAAAAGGGGGGTCTGAACAGAGAAAAAGCCCCGTGTGTGGCAGAACAGTACTCGGTTATATTGGGAGGCTGGAGGAGGTGGTGTCTGATTTGCACAGGGCCCAGGGCATTGGTTTGACCAGGCAGGTCATTCATGTAGCCCGAGAAAAACGTGGCCCTCCCACCCTAGCCTTTTAATATGCAAATGTAGGTCACCATGTTGTCCTGCACACATGGGGTCATCTGGAGGTGTCACCTTGAGGTGGTGACTAGAAGAAGAGGGTGGGAATCTCCATGTTGAATGGACACAGTTTCTAAGCGCTGGCATTTGCATATCAAAGCTTGGCAGCCTGTAGTCCCAGCTACTCAGGAGGCTGAGGCAGGAGATTCACTTGAACCTGGGAGGCAGAGGCTGCAGTGAGCTGAGATCACACCACTGCACTCCAGCCTGGGTGACAGAGCGAGATTCCGTCTCCAAAAAAAAGATAAAAAGAAAAGAAAAAGAAATGTTTCTGGAGTTGTTTCTATTAAAAGGGAAAGCCTTACTGAGGCCTCCTTACCCTCTCTATCTGCCTAGTATAATTTCTGAATAACTCCTCTATTAAAAGTACCACTGAGGTGCTTAATATGACATTTCTGATATTTCCCAATGCTCCTCCACAAATTCAATTTGGAAAGGTAATCTGTTCCAGGAGGGCAAACCAAAGAAAAAGTCCTAGGCTCCTGAGTCAAGGCTTGTTTCTTTCCTTTGTACAAGCTGACTACTTTTTAATCATAGTAAAAATGAGAAAAATGCAAGATGAAGTTAACAGCATTGCTTTATTTCCCATGAAAAGCTGTTATAAAGCATTCTCAAAATAAACTGTTATTCAGCCACAAATGACACCATCACTTTTTTATTCATAGGGCACAGTATCGCTGCCAAAGAGCTTTCCTCTATATGCTCTCTTGCAGGGCAAAAAATATTATCTATGTTATACAGAAACACAGTAAAAAAAGTGATTTACTTAAGGTCCTAACTACTAAATAAAAGCTAAACTACTCACTTCCTCCTAGATTCAGAGAGAGCTCCAACATTTTCTAAAATGTGGTATCTTGTTGTTGGGGTAGGCACTTTTTGGCAATAATGAATAGACATTTAATTAGCCAATCAAAAAAACTTATTAGGTACAGTAAGTTCCTCTTCAAAGGTTTAACCTGTTCAACTTCCTTGTTCTTTGTTCCTAAGAACAATTTCCCTGTACCTTCTCACCCCTATTTACCTGCTTAGTTATCTGCTCAGTTACCTGCCTTGTAAACAACTCTTCCCGTCAGTCCCAACCTGTAACTCACATTCCCTCTCCCTTCCTTATTAGGGAGAATATTCGCGATAGCAAATCAAGTCTGCTTAGATTGTGTAGTCCGACTCCAGCCCATGTGGAAATGATAGAGAGGTAGGGACTGCGTTAGGGATATAAACTCCTGCTCTATCCTGCTCGGTGTGCTCTTGCATTCGTGACTAATGCAAACAGCAGTCTTTTGCAGAAGTAAGTTGTCTTGCTGAGAAAACTTTTTTTCCTGAGTGCTGGTTCTTCCTTGCAGCACTGATCATTTGTTTCTTTTTTCTTTCTTTTTTTTTTTTTTTTTTTTTTTTGAGACAGAGTTTCGCTCTGTTGCCCAGGGTGGAGCACAGTGGCTTGATCTCAGCTCACTGCAAGCTCCACCTCCCAGGTTCACGCCATTCTCCTGCCTCAGCCTCCTGAGTAGCTGGGACTACAGGCACCCACCATTGCGCCCAGCTAATTTTTTTGTGTTTTTTTTTTTTTTTAGTAGAGACGGCATTTCACCATGTTAGCCAGGATGGTCTCGATCTCCTGACTTCATGATCCGCCCACCTCGGCCTCCCAAAGTGCTGGGATTACAGGGGCGAGCCACTGTGCCCAGCCTGATCATTTGTTTCTAACAATCTGGGGGCTCGTCTGGAATTCCCATTCTCCTCTGAGAAAAGGGTCTCCAGTCACCAATAGTGAGGAGAAGCATCCCACTGCCTCACTGAGGTGGCCTCATGGTGAGGGATCAGGACCCACCCAGTGTGATGAATAAACCCGGACTCTCAGCAGTCTGGAAAGGAACAGACCAACAACTTAAGAGAAAAGGATCCTCACATACCATGGTGACCAGGTAACTATGTGCACAGACCAACGTAAGAAACATCACAAGAGCGACAAAGTATTTTCTTGGTGGTTGGGATATCTTGGAGATTGAAAGTGTGTGTTGAGACTCACAATTGAGTGCAAAGCAAGTGTTCAGTCCAGATCTGCAGTTCTGTGGTCACCTTATACAGCTTAAGGTAGCCCTTCTGTAAAGGAGTCTGGGTCAGGGGTTTCTACTGAAACAGCCATTGCTAAGAGGAAACCAACGTTCCCATGAGGGAAGCAGCCAGAGAAGGATGAAGCGAAAGGAGAAAAGTGCAAGAAACCTCCAGCAGGGGGGTTGAGCCTCGGAAAGGAAAGGGAAAGGAAAGGGAAAGGGAAAGGGAAAGGAAAGGAAAGGGAAAGGAAAGGAAAGGAAAGGGAAAGGAAAGGAAAGGGAAAGGAAAGGAAAGGGAAAGGGAAGGGAAAGGGAAGGGAAAGAGAAGGGAAAGGAAAGGGAAGGGAAGGGAAGGGAAGGGAAGGGAAGGAAAGGAAAGGTGAGAAATCTCCAGTAGGAGAGGTTGAGCCTTATACAAACCTCTCGTAACTGGGAAGAAATTTCTAGTAGGGGAAATTGAGCCTCACCCCAATCCCTTTTCAAGATGGGAAATACCTCAAGTAATGCAGGGGAGAAAAAGGATAAAGCTAGCAACAATAACATTCCTCCTGATAGTCCCCTAGGGCTTATGCTAAAATATTGAAAAGAGAGTGAAAGGACTAAATACAAGAAAAAGCAGCAAATGATAAAATATTGTTGTTTCATTTGGACTCAGGAATCAATCCTGAAAAGCAAGTCAGAAATTAACTCCTCTGAGAAAGATAAGGTCCCTGTTCCTAGACAGCTCACCAACACATGGAACTTCCTCCACCACCTTCCCCCGTCCAATATCCCTAACCTCCTTCTCCCTCAAGCAGAAGCAGTTGTCCCAGACCCTTCTCCTACCCACATTGTTCCCCCTCTTTATAACCCTGCCTCTTGGGAATTGTCCCAACAGCCTGCTCACTATCACCCTAAGTACTCTTCCCTGAAAGGACTTCAGTGTGAGATAGAGCAATGTAAAAGGGATATTCAGAACTTCCCCTTCCCCTCTACCTCGGGAGAATTAGCTCCACCTCTCTTCCCCTGAAGAGAGGTGTCCCTACGAGGAGGAGGTATTCACTTTGTAAATGCTCCTTTAACCAGCTCGGAGGTCCAAAACCTAAAAACAGAGTTCAAGCCACACTATTAGACAACTCCAGTGGAATAGCAGATCGAATTAACCAATTTCTAGGACCACAGTTATATATACTTGGGCTGAGTTAATGTCCATCCTAGGCATCCTTTTCTCAGGGGAAGAAAGAAGCATCATCTGTAGAGCTGCTATGGTACCCTGGGAACATGAACACCCTCCTGGCCAAAACATTCATGCAGCGGATCAAAAATTCCCCAACCAAGACCCCTGCTGGGACAATAATAACGCAGCCCACTGAAGAGGATACGCAAGAACTTAGGGAAATGATAATAAAAGGGATTCGGGAGTCAGTACTCCGAACCCAAAATCTTACTCGAGCATTCGACATACAACAAAGGAAAGATGAAGGGCCTATCGAACTTTTAGACAGGTTGAAAGAACAAATGAGAAAATATGCTGGCCTAGATTTAGAAGATCCTCTTAGGCAGTGAATGTTAAAGCTTCATTTTGTTACTAACAGCCAGATATCACAAGGAAATTACAAAAGATAGGAAATTGGAAGGACCATCCCACGAACGAGCTTCTTAGAGAAGCTCAGAAAGTGTGTGTAAGGAGGGATGAGGAGAAGCAAAAAGAAAAAATGAAAATTATGTTATCCACCTTCCAACAGGGGGCCCCAAAGGATAAAACACACCAGTATTACTCTCTGTTACCCAGAGACCCACACACTCCCAAACAAAGCCTCCCGAGAGCCAAAACCTATAAAGATCCTAGGCCCCCACTTCCTAAGCCATATAAAGAACATAAGGAGACAAAGCCGAGAAACCCAAAAATAGAGAGAAGAGACAGAATCAATGCTTCAATTGTGAGAAAGTAGGCCACTTCAAGAGGTATTGTCCCAAATTAAAATCAGAAAGAGAAGTCGTCCCACTTACGACCTTTGAGGAGGAATAGGGGGGTTAGGGGCTCTGTCTCTTTTACCTTGAATCCCACCAAGAGCCCTTGATAAATTTAGAAGTGGAACCCAAATCCGAGCTTATGACCTTTTTAGTAGACTCAGGAGCAGCCTGCTCCTCTGTTTGTTACCTTCCCCCACAATATAACCTGGTCCTCAGAGGAGCTTGTAGTCTCAGGGGTAAAAGGAGAGGGAATCAAACTAAAAATTTTAAAAGAAACAGAAATTAGATGTAAAAACTGCTCAGCTAATGTTGAATTTTTGTTAATTTCAGAGGCAGGAACTAATCTATTAGGAAGAAACTTAATGTTAAAATTAGGTATAGGTTTACGTATTGGCTCAGAAGGATTCTACACTTCATTAAACCTGCTCACCACTGCAGAAGAAACATACATTCATCCTGATGTTTGGGCAAGGGAAGGAAATTGGGGAAAACTCCAAATTCCCCCTATACATATAAAGTTAAAAACCCCTGGAGAAATAGTAAGAAGAAAGCAATATCCTATTCCTTTAGAAGGCAGAATAGGCCTGAAACCTGTAATTGAAAGCCTCATCAAGGATGGGCTCCTTGAACCCTGTATGTCCCCTTATAACACCCCAATACTGCCTGTGAAGAAACCAGATAGGTCATGTCGACTAGCATAAGACCTCTGGGCCATCAACCAGACAGTCTAGACTACCCATCCTGTTGTCCCTAATCCTTAAACCATTCTCAGTAAAATTCCATATGAACATCAATGGTTTACAGTAATAGGTTTAAAAGATGCCTTTTGAGCATGCTCCTTGGATGAGGACAGCTGAGACATTTTTGCTTTCGAATGGGAAGATCCCCATTCTGGATGACAGCAACAGTATCGATAGACAGTTCTACCCCAGGGCTTCACAGATTCCCCTAATCTCTTTGGTCAAATTCTAGAACAAGTGTTAGAACAAGTTTATACCCCAAAATGTATATGTCTGCTCCAGTACGTAGATGACTTATTAATATCCGGTTAGGCTATAGAAAAGGTATCTGCTTTCTCCGTCCATATCCTTAACCATTTGTAAGGAGAGGGGCTATGGGTTTCAAAGAGAAAGCTTCAATTCATAGAGCCTGAAGTTAAATACCTAGGACACTTAATAAGTAACGGCAAACGAAGGATAGGGCCTGAGAGGGTTGAAAGGATTGTATCCATACCTTTGCTTAAGACTAAACAAGAACTCAGAAAATTCCTAGGGATAGCTGGATATTGCCGCTTATGGATTGACTCATATGCCCTTGTCATAAAGCCTCTCTACCTAAAAATCACCCAAGAAAAGCCTGACCCTCTCCTCTGGACTTCTGAAGAACTCCACCAGGTTGAGGAGCTAAAACATCTGCTTATAACTGCCTCTGTTTTAGCTTTGCCTTCCCTAGAAAAGCCATTTCACCTTTCTGTTAACATAAATAAGGGGGTAGCTTTAGGGGTCCTTACCCAAGAACACGGAGGTCACCAGCAACCCATGGATCTCCTATCAAAAGTTTTAGATCCAGTAACCTGTGGATGGCCTGAATGTTTCAATCCATTGCAGCTACCGCCTTGTTAACTAAAGAAAGCAGAAAACTAACCTTTGGGGGAAAGTTAGTTGTAAACATGCCCCATCAGGTTAGAGCCATCTTAAATTAAAAGGCAGGAAGGTGGCTTACTGACTTGAGAATTTTAAAGTATGAAGCTATCCTGTTAGAAAGAGATGATTTAACACTAACCACTGATAATTCACTTAACCCAGAGGTTTCCTGACTGGAGATCCAAATCTAAAGAGACCTGAGCATGAGTGTTTAGATTTAATGATCATACAAAAGTTAGGCCTGATTTAAGAGAGACCCCTTACAAAACGGGGCAGGGCTTCTTTATAGATGGCTCTTCCCAAGTAATTGAAGGAAAAAGGCATAATAGGTACTCAGTAGTAGATGGGGAGGCACTTGAAGAAGTAGAGTCAGGAAGCCTGCCAAATAATTGGTCTGCCCAAACATGTGAATGAATTGTTTGCATTAAATCAAGCCTTAAAGCACTTGCAAAACCAAGAACGGACTATTTATACTGATTCCAAGTATGCCTTTGGGGTAGCTCACACCTTTGGAAAAATTTGGACTGAACGAGATCTTATTAATAGCAAAGGCCAAGACCTGGGCCACAAAGAATTAATCACCCAAGTATTAGATAACCTGCAGCTGCCAGAATAGCTATTGTCCATGTTCCAGGACATCAGAAAAGTCTTTCTTTTCAAAGCGGAAGGAATAACCTAGCAGATCAAATAGCCAAACACACTGCCGTTTCCTCTGAAAATGTCTGTTTTTCACTTAGCCCCTTGCCTTCCTCCCTCGACTGCAGTCCCCATCTTTTCTCCCGCTGAAAAGGAAAAATTAATAAAAATAGGAGCCAAAGAAAATTCAGAAGGGAAATGGGTGTCACCAGACCAAAGAGAAATGTTATCCAAACCCCTCATGAGGGAAATTCTCTCCCATCTGCATCAAGGGACTCATTAGGGACCTCAAGCTAAGTGTGATGCAGTCCTCGGGGTCTACAGATGTATAGGAATTTATATTTTGGCAAGACAAGTTACAGATAGTTGCCTAGTATGTAAGAAGACTAATAAGCAGATCCTCAGAAAACCACCTGTTGGAGGGAGAAATCCAGGATTAAGGCTGTTCCAAAGTGTCCAAATTGATTATGCCGAAATGCCCCCAATTGGTCACTTAAAATATTTATTAGTGATAGATCACCTTACTCATTGGGTAGAAGCTATTCCCTTTTCAAGTGCAACTGCTAGTAATGTACTCAAGGCATTAGTTGAAAATATTATACCCAGGTTTGGATTAATAGAAAATGCTGATTCAGACAATAGGACTCATTTCACTGCACATGTTCTTAAGAAACTAGCCCAAGTACTAGATATAACATGGGACTACCATAACCCCTGGCACCCACCTTCATCAGGAAGAGTAGAAAGAATGAATCAGACTCTGAAAAACCACCTAACCAAATTAGTCCTAGAGACTCGGTTGCCATGGACTAAATGCCTCCCCATGGTCTTGTGAAGATTCCAAACTGCCCCTAGGAAAGATGTCGGCTCACCTCCTTATGAAATGCTGTATGAGTTGCCTTATCTACACTCCACTGCTGACATTCCTCGTTCGAAACAAAAGATCTGTTTCTCAAGAACTATATACTTGGTCTATCCTCCACTTTCTCTTTCCTTAGGACTAAAGGCCTCTTGGCACATACACCACCCCTTGAATTTCCAGTTCACCACCACCAGCCCGGACAGTGACCACATTCTCATCAAAGGTCAGAAAGAAAGGAAGCTCAAGCCCACCTGGGAGGGACATTATCTAGTGTTTCTAATGACTGAGACAGCCGTCCACACCACTGAAAAAGAATGGACTCACCATACCTGAGTCAAAAGAGCACCACCCACTCCAGAATCATGGACAGCTATTTCAGGGCCAATTCCAACCAAGTTAAAGCTAAAACGGGTTTGATCCTCTTATGCTATATTTCTTTTCCCCTTCTATTGCTAGTCCTCTCGTTATTAATGTAACTAGGTCGAGCTCACCCCAAACTATTACCTTTGATGCTTGCCTTGTTATATCCTGTGGAGATCTCCAAAGTCAAAAGCAACTCTCAGCCTCAGAGAAGTATCTCCGTCCCTTTCAGACAAAAGCCTCCCCCATTACGACTCTTGTTCCTTAAGAAATGTAGGGAAACAGGCCTGCCACAGCTGGAATGATATTATGTGGACAACTGAACATCAGGGCTTTGTCAACAGGCAGTTGTAAGTCTCTAAAACCATGTTTGCTTTGTTAAAGGAAACATTCCCCACCCCCTGACTGCCAGTATAACCAATGTAATCCAGTGCAAATTTCTATTCTTATCCCCACTTCTGCCAACCCTAAACCTACTTTAAGTCGCTTATACGGCATAGGAGCCAAAATAGCAGGGACACATCTTATAGAATCCTTTGAAATGCATTTCATTACTTTCTCACCTCCTCCACCTCCTTCTACACTCTCTCTCAACGAAACCGCTGTTCTTCCTTCAACCAAGGATAAAATCAAGGTAAGCCATTGTAGAAGTTAAAAATTTGAAACAAACCATAGCAACTGAGACAGGGTACCAAGATGCAAATGCTTGGTTAGAATGGATTAAATATTCTGTCCGCACTCTAAACAAAAGCAACTGTTACACTTGTGCGCACAGTAGGCCAGAGGCCCAGGTTGTCCCCTTTCCACTCGGATGGTCTTCCAGCCAACTGGGCATGAGCTGTATGGTAGCTCTTCTCCAAGACCCCACAGCCTGGGGTAATGAATCTTGCCAAGCTCTCTCTCTGCTATTCCCTAAAGTCCAACACCCTGCAGGTCAGTCCCTGAGGGCCATCCAGCCTCCATCTATTGACACCAATTTTTACCTCGGGTCTCTCACAACAAGGGGAAAACTTGGCATTTCATGAAGACCTAAAGGGATGCGGTGAACTTAAACTCTCCCAAGAGCTTACCAGTCAGTCTGCCCTTGTTCATCCTCGAGCATACGTATGGTGGTATTGTGGTGGACCCTTACTGGACACTCTGCCAAGCAACTGGAGTGGTACTTGTGCTCTAGTCCAACTGGCCATCCCTTTCACCCTAGCATTCCATTAACATAATAGAAGAGAAAATCAGAAGAGAAGAAGTGACCTTCATGGGTCCTTTGACTCCCACGTTTATAAAGATGCTACTGGAGTTCCACGAGGGGTACCAGATAAATTTAAGGCCCGAAATCAAACAGCTTCAGGATTTGAATCTGTGCTGTTTTGGTGGTCAACTGTAAATAAAAATGTAGATCGGATAAACTACATTTATTACAACCAACAAAGGTTTGTTAACTACACAAGACATGCCATTAAGGGAACAGCCTCCCAATTAGGTCCCATTAACTAAATAGTCTGGGAAAACAGGATAGCCCTAGATACGATGCTAGCAGAAAAAGGTGGTGTCTGTGTCATGATTGGAGTCCAATGATGTACTTTTATTCCTAATAACACAGCCCCTGACGGAACAGTAACAAAAGCTTTGCAGGACCTAACCTCCTTATCCAATGAGTTAGCAAGCAATTCTGGAATAAATGATCCCTTTACAAGTTTAATGGAGAAATGGTCTGGAAAATGGAAAGGCTTAATGTCCTCAATATTTACTTCTCTTGCAATCGTTATAGGTGTGCTTATTCTTGTTGGATGCTGTATCATACCATACATTTGTGGACTACTGCAAAGACTCATAGACACAGAACTTACCAAAACCTCTCTTAGCTCTCCTCCACCCTATTCAGATAAGCTTTTCCTTCTAGAAAACCAAGCAGAACAGCAAAGCAAAGACATGCTAAAAAAGTTTGAAGAGGAAGAATTACAAAAATTAAGAGGGGGGAATTGTTAGGTACAGTAAGTTCCTCTTCAAAGGTTTAACTTGTTCAACTTCCTTGTTCTCTGTTCCTAAGAACAATTTCCCTGTACCTTCTCGACCCTACTTACCAGCTTAGTTACCTGCTTAGTAACCTGCCTTGTAAACAACTCTTCCTACCAGCCCCAATCTGTAACTCACATTCCCCCTCCCTTTCTTATTAGAGAAAATATTCACAATATCCAGCTGAGTCAGCTAAGATTGTGCAGTCCTACCCCAGCCCATGTTGGAATGACACAGAGGTAGGGAGTGCATTAGGGATAAGAACCCCTGCTCCACCCCGTTTGGTGTGCTCTTGCAATCATGACTAATGCAAGCAGCATACTTGCAGAAGCAAATTGTCTTGCTGAGAAAACTTTTTTGCCTGAGTGCTGCTTCTTCCTCACAGCACCGATCATTTGTTTCTAACAATCTCGCTAAAAGCAGCCTAGAAAGCAGCCACTTATGCAGAAAGAGTAATAATTTATGCTCTACAAGTCATATAAAAAATGAAGTTTCATTTGTTTACCGGCTAATTTACTTCCTGGGAGACATTTTTCATTCTAAAACAGTGATTCCCTACCAAGAGTTCATAGATGCCAAGAAGTCCATAAAAGGCGTAATGGAATTGCCAAATTATGTTAAATACTTCAAAAGGACTCAAAGCCATATACTAGTTCCCAATAGGCCTGCACAAGTTATTAGAACAAGCTGCTTTGCATTCTTGTGTGATCAGAACCAGTAACTAGATGGCAATCAGGTCTGTTACTGAAGATGGAAAAACTATACTTAAGTTTGTATAACAATCTTTCATAACATGGCTTCACAGAAAAGAAGTATAAAAAGGATTCCTTGGTTGAAAAAGAGTGCTCTTTTCCCTTCATTATTTAAGATTAGGACAAATTTATAAAACAGGAAAAAAATAGCACAAATCCCTTGGCAAACAGAGTAAAACATCTACTCTGTTTTGCTTTTTTTCACTTCTTACACTCTCTTTCATAGGAAGTCAATTTACAGACTTCCATCAAGCCCTTAGAGACCTTTTTGTACTATCCATGACAAGCTCTTGATGTTATCTCTGCACTTTTGACAAATTCTTAGCAGTTAACTTACAAGGCAGTTAAGATTTTTGTTCAAGCACAATATAGCTAGAATAGGCTCATACATTCAATAAAACAAATATTTACCAAGCATTTATTGAGTGGAAGATAAAAAGCACAAAGCATAATTATAAAATATTTTCCCCTGCCACCATAAAAAAATTAAACAGGCTTACAGAATACAGTGTAAGAAAACATGACCAAAGCAAAAATAGTAAGGACTAAAGAAGGGAGGAAGGGGAAATATCAACATGGACTGAATATGACCCAAAAGAGCCTTGATGGATGGTCAGACATGTAAAGGCAAATTGGTTAGGGTTAAGGGGTGGAGGTCAGGGCACGTTCTATAGGGAAACGGCAGCTGATACAGAAGCCTGAAAGGAAAAGCGGGCAGAGCACCTGGACAGGCCTCTTCAGGAACGAGCACGCACGTGCGTGAAAAACAACTTAGTGAGGTACCGTTCACCCAAACATTAGAGAAACCGCGTAAAAATGCTTCTTGGTAAGCATGAAGAAGGCAGGGCTCGCCCTGTAGAAGAACTCAATAAACATTTGAACTGTCTAAAGAGTAAAAGTTAATGAATAGGCCAAACTCACTCCTTTCTTTGTTTTAAGAGCTACAACTTTAGAGAATAACAAATCACAAACCCAGTAGACAGGTCCTGGCATTTCAAATCCAACCCCATTTTTCCCTTAATCTTTCCCCTCTGAGCAAATGGTATCGACATGAACAAGCCATGTTGATTTGATCAAGACACTCATCCATGGTTAAAAGAGTCTTTACCTTCAAGAGATACAAACAGAAATATTGACAGATGAAGTGATCTGTCTGGAATCTGCTTCAAAATAATCCAAAGTGGAGTATAAATGAAATAAGATTAGCCAAAAGTTTATCATTGTTGAGGGTGGCTACAGTACATAGTTCAACTTTTGTTGAGGCCAGGCATGGTGGCTCACACCTGTAATCCCAACACTTTGTGAAGTGGAGGCAGAAGGATCACTTAGCCCAGGAGTTCGAGACCAGCCCGGGAAACACAGGGAGACACCGTCTCTCCAAAAAAAAAAAAAAAAAAAAAAAATTAGCCACCATGATGGTGAGTGCTACTTGTGAGGCTGAGGTAGAAGGATCACTTGAGCCTGGGAGGTCAAGGCTGCACTAAGCTGTGATTGTGCCACTGCACTTCAGCCTGGACAAAAGAGTGAGACTCTGTCTCAAAACAAAAAACAAAAAAAAAAAAAAAAGAAAGATGGAACATATTATAACTGTCAGACCATTTGTTGCAACCTGGGCTGCAATCTTTTTCTTTAAACCCAAAAGAACTTCTGACCAGGTAAATGTAGTCTTTTTTTCTTTTTTAATGACAAATCTACTTTATAAAGTACCTTCCCTTATCAGTGAGAAAGAAAATATAAAAGAGCTGAGTCAAATCTGGAGTCAATAAAGGTTTGTAGTTCTTCAAACAAGAACCCTTGCTCTGAATTCTAAAAGTAAATAACAGACATGCTGAAAAAATATTTCATTTTATGAAAGGTTCTGCACCAAAGCCTTTTACAAAAACAGTCTACAAAACCTACTAAACATCCTGTTCCATCTTCCACTTTGAAATCACTGCTTGGTCTAAATTCAGTTTCATTAATAAAAATGAACACAATAAAACAGTACTCTATGCCCCCATTCCACCCCAACAATTATCTTCAAAGGATGTCCAGATTTCTGTACGCTATTTGCCAATCCTACCTACATATTAAAAAAACAAATCTCAGCTTTAGAGGAAAATCACTGGTTAATTAAAATGTCATTTAGGGTTGTATTTGTTTTCTATGAAGGGATAATAATGGGATATTTTATTTTCATTTATTACTAAAGCAACACCTTTCATTATTAGAAATGTATTTCCATTTCAAGCTACGTTTCAAAGCAAATTATATTCTTCAACTAGCCACTTTCATAGGTATTTTGAATGCATTATTTTATTATAAAGCCTTGGCTGGCCTCCAGTGTTAATTAGCACAAAAAGATGGGTTTATTTTCAAAAGACAGGACATTCTTTTCAGCCTTCAAAATGTTTTCATCAAAAATTACTATGTACCATAAAAATAACACGCTCACTGTAAACATTTAAGCGATTCAAAGATAAAGTAGAAAGTCAAAGTCTCCACCTACCTGCCCTCTAAGATGTTAATACTTATGCTTAACATATTTTATTTTTTAAAAGGAGGGGAAATCACATCATAACTACTTTAAAAGGCCTTTACAACTTCTTTGTAATTACACACACACACACACACACACACACACACACACACACACACAGAGTGGGGAAGGAGAGGGAGGGGGTGGGGGAAGGAGGGAGGGACAGACAGACACATACACTTCAATGTAAGGCTTATTATAAAACGTACAAAAAAGGTGAGAAAACAGAGATGGGTGGGAGACGGGCCTGCAATTTCAATATCTGAAGTCAAAACAACTTATTAGGAGATAATTTAGAATGCTTCCTGTCAACCCTATTTGGGGAAAATATTGATTTGATAAAAGGTTACGGACTGAAATCAAAAAGTAGCTGCCTTTTGAAGGTCAATTAATCCTTTGGTTTTAGGAAAAACTAAAATGTTACAAAACACACACAGTGAAACACACAGAGAACTCAAACTGACCTAACTACATTTATCCTCTCCTTCCCAATTATCCTTTATCACTAATTTCCCCAAACTACTACTCTATTAGTTTCCTATTGCTGTTAACAACAAATTATCACAAACTCAGTGGCTTAAGACAACACAAATTTATTATCATGTTATCATTTCTGGAAGTCAAAAGTCCAAAATGACTTTCACTTGTTTAAAAATCAAAGTGCCAGCAGGGCTGTGTTCCTTCTAGAGTCTCTATGTGGAGAAAGTGTTCTTTTGCTATTTCCAGCTTCTAGAGCTGCATTCTGTGGCTCATGGGCTCCTTCCTCCATGTTCTAAGCCAGCAGTGTAGCATCTTCAATCACCTGACAAAATCCAACACGTTTTCATCATAAAAATGGTCAAAGTAGGAATAGAAGGGAACGTCCTCATCTAACAAAAGGTACCTGTGAAAAACCCACACCTAACAACATCATACTTAATGGGGAAAGCTTGGATGCTTTCTCTTTCAGATCAGTAGCAAGACAAGGATGTTTGTGCTCACCACTTCTATTCAATGTTGTACCAGAGATGCTTCTCAGGGCGATTAGGCAAGAAAAAGAAATAAAAGGCATCCAGATTGGAAAGGAAGAAAACGATCTCCAACTACTTCATCCTGTACATAGAAAATCCTAAGGCATCCACTTAAGAGCTGTTGCCAAACAAACAAGCCAGATTATAGTCTATAATTGACCTCTGAAACAAGGCTACAGTTTCAGAGACCGGTATGCAAAAATCAATAGTATTTCTATATATAATCAATGAACAATCAAAAACTGAACAATTAAGATAACAAAATTAACAATCGCATCAAAATGAATAAAATCATAAGCAACAAATTTCAAGAAAGTACCAAGTTTATACAATGAACACTACAAAACACTGTTGAAAGAAATCAAAGACAACCTAAATGAAAGGAATCAAATTCAGCATCCAGAAAAAATTCCTCACATTTATGATCAATTTCAACAACGATGCCCAAGACAATTCAATTGGGGAAAGAACAGTCTTTTCAACAAATGCTTCTGGAACATCTAGAGATCCACATGCAAAAGAAAAAAGTTGGACTCTTCCCTTACAAAACACACAAAAATGAACTCTCACATTACATACCTAAATGTAAGAGCTAAACCTATAAAATTTCTAGAAGAAAACATAGGAGTAAATCTCTGTGACTCTGGGTTAGGCAAAGAATTGTTCTTAGATATGATGCCAAAAAAAAATCAACAACAGAACATTATCAAAACTGAAAATTTTGCTTGAAAGGATAGCATCAAGGAAGTGAAATGACAACCCACAGAATGAGAGATAATTTTTGCAAATCATGTATCTGATAAGGGACCTGTAGTCAGAATATGCAAAGAACCCTTACAATTCAATAAGACAACCCAATTTAAAAACAGGCAAAGGATGTGAATAGGCATTTCTCCAAAGATACGGAAAAACGGCCAATAAGCACATAAAAAGATGCTCAAAATCATTTGCCATTTGGGAAATGCAATCAAAACCACAATGAGGTATCACTTCACGCCCATTAGGGTGGCTATAGATCAGAAAGTCAGATAACATGTGTTGGCAAGCACGTGGAAACACTGAAGTCCTTACACACTGCTGGTAGGAATGTAAAATGGTGCAGCCACTGTGGAAAACAGTTTTCCAATTTCTCAAAATGTTAAACACAGTTATCATACACCCAAGCAATTCTACTCTTAGGTATATACCCAAGAGAAATGAAAACATATGTCTTCACCAGAACTTGCTGTTCACAGCAGCATTATGCATAATAGACCAAAAGTGGAAACAACTCAACTGCCCATCAACTGGTGAATGGATAAGTAAAATGTGATGTAACCAGTCATTGGACTGTCATTCATTAATAAAAAGAACAAGGTACTGATTCATGTTCTAACATGAGTGAATCTTGAAAACACTATGCTAAATTAAAGAAGCCAGTCACAAAAGGCCGTGTATTGCATGATTTTATATATACATGAACTTTTATATATATATAATTATATATATTATATATAATTTTATATATATAAATTTCTATATATAAATATATAAAATCATATATCATATATGATATATATTTTTTCATATACATCATATATATTTACAAAAATTATATATCATATATCATATGATATATGATATATATCATGATATATATGATATATGATATATATCATATGAGATATATGATATCATGAGATATATGATATCATATGATATATATGATATAGATATCATATGATATATATATAATATGATATATATGATAGATATATTATATATGATATATATGATAGATATCATATTATATATGATAGATATGATAGATATCATATTATATATGATAGATATGATAGATATCATATTATATATGATAGATATGATAGATATCATATTATATATGATAGATATGATAGATATCATATTATATATGATATCATATATATACCACATACATCATATATACATCATATATACATCATATATATCATACATATATATGAACTTTCCAGAATAGGTATATCAATAAAGACAGGAAGTATACAAGTGGTTGCCACAGCCTGAGAGGAGCAGGGAATGGTGAGTGACTGCTAATGGATATGGCACTTTTTTTGGGGGGTGATGAAAATGTTCTGGTCAGACAATGGCAATTACAAAACTGTATACACACGAAAAACCAAAGAATCACACACTTTAAAAGGGAGGATTTAGCTCGGCATGGTGGCATGCGCCTGTACTCCCAGTTACTCGGGAGGCTGAAGCAGGACTGCTTAGAGCCCAGGACTTCAAGGCTGCAGCGAGCTATGATCGCTCCACTGCACTCCAACAAGGATGACAGTGCGAGACCCGTTTTCTAAATAATAATAATAATAATAATAAATAACCCAAGGTACCCAGTTCACATGCAAAACCACTGGTAAACATAAATTATCTCCAAGTAATCTAGAAAGAAAATGAGCACATAAGACGTCTTCTAAAAACACACATATATTTCTTTACATGTTACATTTAACGTAAAAATCAGCTATGCAGAAGTTACATGAACATTTTATGTTGGAAAGGTAAATGACTATTATTAATACAGAATGGTTAAGTACATTTATGTTTTTATGTACAAACGCATAAAAGGAAAAGCATCCTTAAAATAAACACCATCAATGGCTCCTCGGTGGTCACAAAACAAAATCCTCACACCTTTGTCTTCCTTCACAATTGAGCTTTATCCACCTTTTCAGGCTTATCTCCCATTATTACCTGACACAAACTTGGGTGGGCCAGAGTTTCCACTGACCATCCCCCGACTATTCATCCAACACTATGTTCACTGCCTCCCATTCCTGACCATTTGCCTTTTGTCTTCAACTAATTCTGGGGACGTTTTGTCCAAATAAATGATCCATATTCTTGAAGGCTGGAATCAAGTCCTATTACAAATATATTTTCTCACCCTCTCCAGAGCATAGCAACCCAGCATCTACTGGCCTCTCACAGCTCTAACCATCCACAACCCTAAGCTGGCTTCTCATCAAACGGGTACTTTTCACCACCCAAATTCAATTAATTCACTCTTACAATAATGAAGAATAGTCGCCTACAGCCTACCTTTTCCAGCCTTGATTCAATCATTTATCAATTTTATCTTCAAAGTCCCTCACTTCAGGGAGATGATATATCAGCTTTCACCCAGAGTCCTAAAGAAAACAGCACTCTTGCCAATGACATAGTGCCACCTAGTGGCAACATAACGTAAATCACAGTGGCAGTAGGAGGATCTCCACACTACTTTTACAGGAATGCACTGCAGGTAAAAAATAAGAAGCTACAGTACTGTTTGGCAGGACAATTTGTTTCATACGTGCATACTATCGCCCTGACTAAATTAACTCTCAAGTCTTACAGGTATTATTTGTTTTCAGTTCCATGCACAGATTAGCCATTTAGTACTTACTAAATCAAACTCAATTTCTGAAGTGTCTTACACCAATATATTCATGCACATATGGTTAAAATTTTCCTTGAGGATCTATCATGTGAGAGTGTGGCTTATTATAACAAGTAAACAGAACAAATAAATACAAAATGAAAAGAAATCGTATGATTTACTCGCATATAAGGGAGCTTGTTGTGGATTAAGTTTCATGACCCAGGACACTGAAACAGAAATGGAATAAATGAGAATAAAATTAAAAGTTGTCATCAAAAATATAGAAGCCATCTAAAGACCTAGGTGTCAAGCATAGCTCTATGAGTACAATCCCGTGCCTGAGATTACCATATGCCCAGCTGTATGCTATACACTAAGAGATTTAGGAAGGAAGCGGGGTCAGGGATTGACCCCAGACTCCATCTTTTCAAGTGGGGAAGAAAGATCTTCCGATTGAAAAATAAAGGCAAAAAAGGCTTCACCGTCACAGAAGTTTCAACAACCAACAGGATATTTAAAACAGTTATCAAAGCAAAACCATTGTATGTTCACTTACATTTTTACATAGTCCCTCAAACTCACAAAATGCTGTTTACTCAGGGACTTCTTCCGGTCTTACTAGGGAGCCTGGAAAGTGAGGGGAGGATTGCAAGGGACCACTAGAACCCTCTTCCTCAATTCCCCTTCTCTGAGAAGGGAGGCTACAGCTTGCCTCTCTAACCACTAAAAGGCATGACCCTCCTCAAAGTTAATAGCCGGATTCCCTGATAGATATTTTCACTAAATGAATTCTCATAAAACTCTCACTAAGATTTAGAGAAGGCTTCCAGGGTTGAATTCCTGAACATTAAGAACAGCATGTTTTTTAAAAGTTTAACTTGGTGATTGGACCAGGACTTCATCTAGGCTATGAATGCTCAGAATGGTAGGTCCTTTACCAAACAGCTTGAGTTTGTGTATAAAGTGATCTCATCCTCTTAAGAGTCAGAGAAACAGAACCAAGCGACTTCACTATAATTTGATCTGAGGAAGTTTCTTACTCACAATAGGTAAATGAAGGCACATACTAACCAGCAATATAAACAACAATATCAAGTGTCGTTCACACATGCAAAAAACAGACAAAATCCCAAACTCTGTGTTCTAACAAATCGCAAAAACCTCACTAACAATAAATTGAAATGACCAAATGTTTGGACTGAAAAGCAATGCCTTGGTAGCCTAGCCATGCCTAACTCAAATAACAGAACCATCTCGATGTTAAAATCCTCACAGATCAAGCTGTGTATGTCTCGGGTCAAGACTTCGCCAAAAAGCAGTGAGCACACACTTAAGAGGGAAAAAATCTACCTCAGCCTCCTAAATGCAATCATCTCTACACGAGTTGCAGGCCCCAAGCTTCAACGTGTTCTGCTGGACAACGCAGTAGAAAGCTGACAAGCAGGTGGCCTTCCCACACTGACTGAACCACCTCCATGCCCATGTCCATTCATTTTCTTGCCCACCCCATGTGCTATAACAGACCTCCTGGCTCAGGGCACTCTTTCCTTCCTGACTGCCTTCACTTAATGACTTTGTACTTTTAGGTGCAAAAATTATCTGCAGAAATCCACACTGAAAACCAAGCTTGAGAAAGGCAGCAATAACCAACATTTTTACAAGAAGAACAAGGTCAATATCAAGCCCATCAGATTCAAATAGCAAGCATGGATGAAAATGAAAGATTGAAAGGCTTGAGTGCCTTCTTAATGTATTAAATATCCATTTAATTTACAATTAAGCTCACTGTGCTCACTGGCCTTTTAATCAGCTTTCCAGGTCCTGCTCAGACTTGCCTAGGACATGGGAATGAAAGAACCTATACATTTATGGACCAATCTACCTTAACTAACTTGTCAAGTGTTCCTGCATCAAGCAGAAGAAACATCAGTGAAACTGATACAGGAATTAACCCCTTGTTAATCCATAAAACTTAAAGGAGCGGGATCCAATCTTCTGGCTTCCCTGGGCCACGCTGGAAGAAGAATTGTCTTGCGCCACACATAAAATACACGAACACTAATAATAGCTGCTAAGCTTTAAAAAAATTGCAAAAAAGGAAAATCTCATAATTTTTTGTTTGTTGTGAGGTGGAGCCTCACTCTGTCACCCAGGCCGGAGTGCAGTGGCACCATCTTGGCTCACTGCAACCTCTGCCTCCTGGGTTCAAGCCATTCTCCTGCCTCAGCCTCCCGAGTAGCTGGGATGATAGGCGTGTGCCACCATGCCCAGCTAATTTTCGTATTTTTAGTAGAGACGGGGTTTCACCATGTTGGCCAGGCTGGTCTCAAACTCCTGACCTCAGGTGATCCACCCACCTCGGCCTCCCAAAGTGCTGGGATTACAGGTGTGAGCCACCGTGCCCGGCCAATGTTTTAAGAACGTTTACGAATTTGTATTGGGCCACATTCAAAGCCTTCACAGGCTGCATGCAGCCTGCAGGCCGCGGTTGGACAAGCTTGGATTAGAGAAATCTACAGAGACAAACTAGTGACTTAGTAGCCCTCTGATAGCTCATGATTTGCAAGAAACTTAGGATGACTATGTGTAAAGACCACAAACATCAATTTAACTGAATGGTTCCCGCCACACTGGAATGAGGAAGCTGAGCAAACTCAGAGGACTCTAAGAAAGGGCTGATGTCATCTGAACTGTTCGGAATTATAAACTCCTCTAAACATGTTTCAAAGCCAGAACTTGTAGGAGTTGTTCTGATACACGGATTAAAAGAGGGATGACAAAGTGTCTGTCCCCCACACTGGTCAAAGGGACAGGTCATTGTTATGCTGGCAATGCAGGCTGCTGAAAAGAATGTATCTGTCAAAAGTAATCAAAGTAATGACCCCAGAAGGCTCCAGAAACAGACTGGTAAATTCAGGTTGCTTTCAGACTTCCACAATGCTGGCACACAAGGGGAAAGACAAAACTAACATTTACAGAGCATTATATTTGATATTACATTTAATCCCCATTAAAAAGATACTATTTCCCGTTTCACTAGTGAAAAAGTTGATCTTTCAAAGGTTAAATTATTTAACACCAAGGTCAAAGGGTAAGTTGGAGAGACCAGATTCAAACCCAGTCTGACATTAAAACATGTGTTTTCCCCCCACATCGTCTCCTGCTAATAACCTCAAATCTAAAAACTGACTTGCCCTACACCTTGAGCCCCATCCTACAAACTCTCCCTGACGTTATTAATTCAGCTGTCACTGTGCACCTACAACGTGCCAGACACCATACTCCTCAACACTCTGTAGGCACAGAAGGAACAGATAAAAATCCCTACCTTCATAGATATTATTCTAGGGGTAACACAGGTAAATAAAACATTAAAATAGTTTTCACATAGTAGCAAATTCCATATAGCAAAATAAAACAGAAGAAGGAATAGCAAATGAGGGAGATGCCCTCTTAAACATGGTGCTGAGGGAAGGCCTCCCTGAGAAAGATATCATTTACCCCAAATATAAAAAAGCAAGTAATAGAAAAAACAGGTAAAAGGTGTTCTAGACACTTAAACCTGCCACATTGAGAACTCAGGGTTCTGATGCAAAACCTCGCTGCATAGAATGCATTAACTTATTTTTATACATTTAAACAAACAAACTCTACTTAAGAACTGTGTTCTAAAGGAAGGAGCATATTACAGGAAGGCAATTTTTGGTCAGAGTAGACACACTTAAAAACTAAACCTATTGAAAGACCAAGAACAACTGAAAGTCTTTGCTTTGTCAGATTTTTGACCAAAAGGAAAATTAAAGAAACACACCGTGCCCATCCAATGATTTCACCAAGGAATTTTAAGAGAGAAAATCCTACTTCTTCCTCACCCAGTAGCCAGTGAAATGACTGAGCAAATTCACAAGTTCACTGGGGCTGCTTTCATGTAACACAGGGACAACACATGACAGACACAGTGGAACCCTACAGGTTGCCTAGTATTTGAAAGACTGTGAAGAGGAGGAGATGTCAAAATTCAAAGTCTTAAATGATGTAGTTTTAAGTATGTTCAGCAATTTCACCACTCAGTAGTAAAGCCAGCTACAGTTGAAAGGAATCAGAAATTTGAGGGGTGTGAAATAAGCAGAAGCACAGAAGTTAAGGATTTGTATTCTTCCCACATTTTCCACTTTATTTTATACTGCTGAGAAAAAACAAATTTAATAGTTTTCTGCTGTATAAGAGAGACACATTCACTTTATGTCACAGTAAGAGTCACTCAATTTTAATACAACTATCTCAATGTATAAATTAACATTCTCCCCCCTGCCCACACATAGTAAGTCTCTTATGATGTTGCTGATTAGAGAAGCAAAAGTTGCCGCTACAATTCTCTTCCTGCATTTTAATATAAACAATCATCAGTCTTTTCTTCATAGAGTGCAGTGTGGGCACTATCATCAGAATGTACCAGCACTGGGTGTGCAAAGTTTACAAAGATTAGCAAGAGCAAAAGTGTTGAGATTTTTGAAATTCATGCTGCTGCAAAGAAGTATGTAAAAACTCACTCACCATAGAGGACCACACAGAAACTCAGGCATGAAGTTATATGGCTGTGTGAGTGGTTTGGGAGAAGGAACGGAAAGCACTTCCACCAACCTATATGCCTGAGCAAATTAATGCAAAACCTCAGAAGCTACAAAAAAGTTTATCTACCTAAATTAAAATTGGTGTCCACAGCAGTAGCCAGCAAAATGCCTGCGAAGCGCAAAGTGGTAAATATTTTAGGGTCTGTAGGTCATATGGTCTCTGTTAAACAATATGTAAATGAATGGGTGTGGCTGTGTTCCAATAAAACTTCATTTATAAAAAGAGGCAGCATGGTACATCCAGTCAGCAAGCTATAATGTACCAACCCCCGGTCTAACACTAACCAAATACCTCTTAATAAGCCAAAGAAACTGTGTCCTCTTAGGCCGGAAGCGGTGGCTCACACCTATAATCCCAGCATTTTGGGAGGCCGAGGCGGGGAGATCACCTGAGGTCAGGAGTTTGAGACCATCCTGGCCAACATGGTGAAACCCTATTTCTACTAAAAATACAAAAATTAGCCAGGCGTGCTGGCGGGCGCCTGTAATGCCAACTACTGGGGAGGCTGAAGCACGAGAATCGCTTGAACCCAGGAGGCAGAGGTTGCAGCGAGCCTAGATCACGCCATTGCACTCCAGCCTGGGCAACAAGAGAGAAACTCCGTCTCAAAAAAAAAAAAGGAAATAAAAGTATACAAAGTGAAAACAAAGAAATTAAACTGCCCTTATTTGCCAGTGACATTACTGTCTATGCACAAAATTCCAAAAATCTACAAAAAAGCTTCTAGTACTAAAAATGAGTTTAGCAAGGTTGTAGAATCCAAGGTCAGCATATAACATAAAATCACCTTCCTATATACTAGCAATCACCAACTGGAAATTGAGAAGTATCATTCACAACAGTACCACAAACATGAAATAAATGTGTAAGATTTCAAAATACAAGCAAGATCCAACTGCTAAAAACTACAAAACACTGACGAAAAATCTAAGAAGGTCTAAATAAATAGATATACCATGTTCATGGCTCATTATTAAAATGTCAGTTGCCTCCTAACTGATTTCCAGTTTCAATGCAATGTCAATCAAAAACCCCAGCAGGCTCTCACGCCTGTAAGCCCTACACTTTGGGAGACCATGGTGGGAGGATTGCTTCATCCCGGGAGTTTGAGACCAGGCTGGGCAACATAGAGAGACCCTGTCTCTACAAAAATAAAAAAATTAGCCAGGCATGGCGGTGCATGCATGTGATCCCAGCTACTTGGGAGGCTGAGGTGGGATAATCGCTTGGTTCAAGGCTGCAGTGAGCAGTGATCCTGCCACTGCGTTTCAGCCTGGGCAACTGAGTGGGACACTTTTTTTTTTTTTTTTTTTTTTTGAGACAAGGTCTCGCTCTGTCGACCAGGCTGGAGTGAAGTGGTGCAATCTCGGCTCACTGCAACCTCCATCTCCTGGGTTCAAGTGATTCTCCTGCCTCAGCCTCCCAAGTAGCTGGGATTACAGGTGCCCGCCACCATGCCCAGCTAATTTTTCTGTTTTTAGTAGAAACGGGGTTTCACCATGTTGGCCAGGCTGGTCTTGAACTCCTGAACTCAAGTGATCCACCCGCCTCGGCCTCCCAAAGTGCTGGGATTACAGGCATGAGCCACCGCACCAGGCCATGAAACACTTTCTTCCACCCACGGCTTTCTCTTCTCTCCCCATTTACAGCAGTAAGACAGCCTAACCTGGGAAAGAGAGAGAGAGGGAAGCTACTTCCAAATGGATGCCTGTCCCCATCAGTAATAACCAAGTCTATTCAAGTGCTAGATGTTAACTTTAAAAGAAGGAAACATCAAAAGTCCAAGTTTCAGCCGGGTGCAGTGGCTCATGCCTGTAATCCCAGCACTTTAGGAGGCTGAGGCGGGTGGATCACAAGGTCAGGAGTTCAAGACCAGCCTGGTCAATATGGTGAAACCCCGTCTCTACTAAAAATAAAAAATTAGTCAGGCATGGTGGCGTGTGCCTGTAGTCCCAGCTACTCGGGAGAGGCAGAAGATTCGCTTCAACCGGGGAAGCAGAGGTTGCAGTGAGCCAAGATCGTACTACTGCACTCCAGCCTGGGTGACAGAGCGAGACTCCGTCTCAAAAAAAAAAAAAAGTCCAAGTGTCTTCGCCTAGCTTTGTCAGGAATGTTTTTACCCTCAGTCTGTAAGTGTGACCAAATATATTTTTTAAAGGTTTACCCTCAATCTGTTAAGTTCAAAGGTTTACTATAATCTCTTCATAAGAAAACTATTGGAAAGATGGAATAAAATACACAGAAATGTCCTTAACAGGTAAATATTTATTTTTCTTTCTTATTATTATACTTTAAGTTCTGGGGTATATGTGCAGAACGTGCAGGTTTGTTGCATAGGTACACACGTGCCATGGTGGTTTGCTGCACCCATCAACTCGTCATCTACACTAGGTATTTCTCCTAATGCTATCCCTCCCCTAGCCCCCCAACCCCCAACAGGCCCCAGTGTGTGATGTTCCCCCCTCCCTGTGTCCGTGTGTTCTCACTGTTCAACTCCCACTACAGGTAAATATTTCTAGAATGTATCTACTCCATCAGCTAGTGTAAGTATTCTAAACTGTGCTAGTATAGCTGCTTTAAATCCTGCTTTCTTCTGCAAATGGTGGCACCTTTAAAGTGTTATCTTGAAGGGGAAGTGAGTGATTTGCTCATGTCTCTACTGAACTAACACTGTTAACACCCAGTCCAGTTCTACCTTAAACAAGTCGGAGAAATACAGACATAATCCATACTTGTTATTTGTCAAGACTAAGGTAAAATAAGGAAAGTTGGAACTCACTCATATCCTCTTATGACTGATGTACTGAAAACAATCCATCTCTCACCATTTCCTAAATAGCATAGTCACAAAGAGCTCTACCCTACCAAGTACTCTGCAAGTCCCACTCTCAAAGGAAGACTCACAGGTGACTGAGAAGATAAATTTGCTATTGTTTCCATTATCCTTCAGTTCATCTGACACCTTTGAAGAAATGCATTTGGATAAGACTCACAAGTCTCAGGGCCCCTTCTTTATGAAAGAAATAGCTAAGCCTCCATACTCAGAAGCATCAGACTTTTCAGAATGCTTAAGTCATGTAAAAACGTATCAAAATTATTATCATTACAGCTACCAGGAAATAGCTACCTACTCCATGTTAGATACTGCAGTTAAGTATCTCACACAGTTTCACTGATTTCTAACAACACTGCAAAGCATGTTACTAACCCTTAAGGAGTAGGAAGCTGAAGCTCTGAGAGGCTATGCAACTACTCAATGGAAATGTGGGGATGTGAACTCTACCTAGCTCCAAAGGGCGTACTTTTTTCTAAAATTTCTAATTTTTTTCCAATTTCACAATGGAGGCAGAGTTTTCACTACAATTTTAATAATTTCACCAGCTGGGTGGGGTGGCTCACGCCTGTAATTCCAGTACTGTGGGAGGCTGAGGTGGGAAGACGGCTTGGGTCCCGGGGAGACAACTGGGCAACAGTGAAGATTCTGACTCTAAAAAAAATAAGAATTTCACCAAAAGGGGGGACAGATTTCTAAATCGGAATCTCTTGTTAAAATCCTTAGAGCACTAGTTAAGCCCCACTTCTTTTCAAAAAATAACCGACAGATTAAAAAAAAGGTTAGAAATCCTTTTAAAGTAAATTTCATCAGAGATCTGCAAGTGAATTGTCATTTTGGACAAGTCCCCAGAGTTGGTGGCCCTCTCCTGTGTACACCAGCTACCACTAGGCAGTAAAAGTAATTTACCCAATTCAAACACATACCGTGCCTGCACTATGTTAAGACCACTGGCAAAGAGGGTACAAAGTTAAATAAGGTCTATCACAGCCCTCAAGGAGTTAAAGGACTAGAGGAGGAGTCCATTTATAGTATAGTATGTGTGCAGTTACCATTTAGTCAAGGCAAACGAACTGTGAGAAATCCTACAACAATAGTACCTACAGTATAACATGCCATCACCGCCCACAGAAGGAAAGCAACTGGTGCCCTCGTCACGTTATGTTGTTAGTACTTGCTTACATGATGTCCCTCCCTGACAATCCCTTCCAACCTCTGTCAGCCTCCTTCCCCACAATCACACACACACACAAAACCACACTGCCAGGAAGGGAAGCCATTGAGTGAGTATTGTGAATCCTACAAGTGGCTCTGTAGTTTAAAAGGGCAATGCCTGTGCCTGAAGAAAATTTGTCTTTAGCTTCATCAGGTGAAGAAAATTGGTTTTATAACACAAGGCCCACCAAACCAGAAAAGCCCAGGAACGCTTCTCCACAGGACTCACTTAGCACGAGAAATCACTCAGAGCAAAATGACGCACACAGTATTTGTCAAATTTTTCTTTTTCATTTAGCAGAAGGTAAGGTAAAAGACTACAACTGAAGTTAATAAATGACACTCTAGCCATTTTGATCATTTGTCACTATAAATGATAGACATTTAAGCTAGTTCCATCTGGGGAAGTGAAACAGAATCATGTTCATATAATAAGCCAGACGAACCAAATTCAGTGGAATACGTGCACCCAAAACTGGACCAGACTTGTACTTAATGCAGCCTGCAAATCCCCAAGAGTCCACGACAGAATACAAGAACAGTAACACTGGTTTATCTCAACTCATCTTAGCTCCCTCACAAACTTGCCAATAATGACCTTTCAAGAACTGCACCGTTGGTCCTCATCTGGGCAATCCCGTGGCTTAGAAAAACTGAATAAAGTGCTTCTTCGAAAAATAAAACAATGCGGGGAGGGGGGAGTAGTAACAAAAAAAAAGGCACACTGGTTTTTACTGTACTGAAGCAATAAATTCTCCAACGAACTTCATTAATGAGTATCAGCAAAGAATGAACACCAAAATACCGCTCAATCCAACTTTCATCGTGAATTCTTGAATTCACAGTAGGATCATTAAATGTGACGGTATCACTCTGCTATAAAAACTATTTCCAAAACAAAACAAACCTATCTACCCCCTTTCTTGATTTAAAAAAAAAAAAAAGAAAAAAGAAGGAAAATTTGAGGGTTTTTGCTTTTTTCAACTTCACACACCGGTTTGCCTTTGCAAAAAAAAAAAAAAAAAAATGTTTAGTCTCAAAGTATAGCTGCAAGGTGGACCGGCTGCACGGGTCCCAGAGGGCCGCTCGCCTCCGACGGTCGCAGTTTCAGCCGGGCCGCGCCCGCGAGAAACAGCGGAGAGGCCCCAGCAGGCGGGCGCCGCCGGACAGGTTTACCGTCCGCGTCGGCCCCGGGGAACCGCTCCCTCGCGCCCGCAGCACTTGTTCGCGGCGCGGACTCCACACCGCGGCCGCCCGCCCCAGGGGAGGAGTGAGTCCGCCCCAGCGGCGCCAACCCGGGGACCCGGGGCAAGGGTTCGGGGCCATCCGCCGCCGGGCGCGCCCCCCATCCGGAAAGCGGCGACGGCCCCCAAGTTGGGCTGCGGAGTGGGAGGCGCGCCGAGCCCCAAGCAGACAATGCGGGAGAAGGGTGATGCGCAGGGAGGAGGGGTCCGCAAAGCTGAGGTCCCCGCGCCGCCCGGCTACCCATCCGTGCCGCCCGCCCCTGAAGCCCCGCGCAGCCCCCGACCCTCCTCTGGGGCCCGCCCCACCGAGCGGCCGCAGGGGACGGGCCGCGCTCCGCACCCCGACCCCTCCTCAAATCACAAAACTTCCCCCAACTCCGCCAACTAAGTTGCGCTCTCACCGTGCGGCTCCCGGGGCTCCCCCGCGGGCCGAGCCGAGACAGCTCCTCACCTTCGCCGCGGAGAAAGACAATAGGCTGCCTCTCCCCCGGCGGCGGCAGCAGCGGCTGCGGCTAAAGCGGCGGCAACCGAGGCGAGCAGTGGGCACGGCGGTCTCGGCCGAGCCGAGGGGCTTCACCGCTGCTGTTCCGGCTCCGCGACAGCTCTGCACGTAGCCCCAGCCACCCCGCGCACCGGCTACAAGCCGCCCGGGGGTGGCCGGGGCACGCAAGAGGGCAGTAACGTCTGCGAGTCCTCCCGTGAGTACACGCGGAGCAAGGGCTGCGAGCTGGGATTGCACGGCAGAGCTGCCCATCCCGCTCCACGAGACCAATAGTAAGGCACCTGGGCGGGGCGCTCAGGTTGCTAAGGGAGGCTGAGGTTGACCGCCGGGGCTGCTCTGTGGCAAAGTGATCACAGCAGGGTGGCTGGCAGAGACTGCTCTGGGAAATGCCCACTCACGGTCTCCTCTCCGCCCTGTTTCTAGAAACTGCCCTTTCTCTGTGTGCTCGTGGTTACCTGAGCTGTAGCATTTAACCACACATCGTGAAATGATTTACTCCTCTATTTCCCCCACTTCAACTCAGGAAGTGGGGTTTAGTCTTCTGTGTCCACAGCCTAGGACAGTCTAAGGTATTAGGTATTAAATATAGGTATTAAACAAGTGTTGGATGGATGCACGGCGCTATGGCGGAATCACAATTGTGACAGTGCATTCCGTGAACTTTTGGCTACTCGATCACCACAGTCGTTCCGTGTTCAAGCTGCAAAGGACCTCAGAAATCATCGGATTGCTTTGAGAAACAAAATGTGGTCCGTGTACCAACGGCGGCCGAGGAGAATATATTAGCTGGTACACGGAGAAACTTCTTTTTTCAAATAGTTAAGTGTTTTAGTGCTCATTAGGAGGGAAATGCCTATCACGTCAAATCATTGTTTCATTAATGTTACTTCTTAGGTCAAATAAAAAGTGGCAAAAAACAAGTGTATTTCAAGAAAAGTGTTAAGTGAAACTTGAGACACTTTATATGCAGTTCAAGAATGTAAAATAGTAGTTGACAGTGATTGAAGTAAGAACAGTTGGTTAGGTAGGAGGAGAAGATTATTGGCTGGGAAGGAGGAGGAGGGAACCCTCTGTGGTGCTGATTCTGTATTTTGACCTGGGTGATGGATAACAAAAGTATGTACATCAATAAAAAATACATCCAGTGCACTTTAGATTAGTGCACTTTACACATTTTATACATGTATTTTTAATGTCAATTTTTAAAAAATCTGGTATGGTATATACCCCCACAACCCCCCCCCCCCAAAAAAAATGCAAAGATGCAAATGACTGCCATTTGGGAAACACTGATCCAGGCAGGCTCACTAGCAGTGACCAAACACCTGAGAAAGGGTATTGTGAATACCTGATGTATGTGCCAGGAACTTCCATGGTTGAATAGCTCCAAATCTCAGAAATGCTCCTAACCTAGTGTTGAGCTCTGGTGCATAGATATATTTTCTTTTCTTTCTTTCTTTTTTTTTTTTTTTTTTTGAGGCAGAGTTTCACTCTTGTTGCCCAGGCTGGAGTGCAATGGCACGATATCAGCTCACTGCAACCTCCGCCTCCCAGGTTCAAGCGATTCTCCTGCCTCAGCTGCCCGAGTAGCTGGAATTACAGGCACATGCCACCAATTCCAGCTAATTTTTTGTATTTTTAGTAGAGACAGGGTTTCACCATGTTGGCCAGGCTGGTCTCAAACTCCTGACTTCAGGTGATCCACCCACCTCGGCCTCCCAAAGTGCTGGGATTACAGGCTTACAGGTGTGAGCCTCAGCATCCAACCCAGAATAGCTTAAAAAAAAAAAAAAGCCAGGCATGCCCAGTTCTTCATGTGAAATTATTTCTGTATCACCTCATCATGCTGCTCACCCTCTTCCACTGTTCTCTAATTTGTCCTTGTTGATATTTAAAAGCTGGCACAAGGCCGGGCGCAGTGGCTCACACCTGTAATCCCAGCACTTTGGGAGGCTGAGGAGGGTAGATCACTAGAGCCCAGGAGTTCGAGACCAGCCTGGGCTACAGGTGAAACCCCATCTGTACTAAAAGATACAAAAATTAGCCAAACGTGGTAGCCCAAATCCCAGCTACTTGGGAGACCGATGTAGAAGGATCGCTTGAGCCCAGGAGGAGAGGTTGCATGAGCCAAATCAGCAGGGCAGCTGCAGAGTGGGGTGCAAGGTCCTCAACCCAGAGGTTCCCTAGGCCCCACTTGCCCCAGCTCATGAGAGCCTGGTTCTGAGCTCTGCCAGGACCGGGGCTCAGCACTGCCCATGAAAACAGGCGTGGCAGGGAAGAAAATCATAACCAAATATTTGTAGTCATTCCAGAACCTCCCTTCTGGAAAGGGAGGTTCCCAGGTTTGTGGGCTCTTTGCCTCCTGGACATTATTGTGTAGTGAAGGGAGAAAGGTTGAGATGCAGAGTTGGAGAAACTAAGAGAGGCCGAACTGGTCCATTTGAGGAAAGATGACTGATCCCAGAAGGGGAGGAGGGGACACCCTGGGGAAGCAGGGGGCTTCCCAGGTGGTCCAAGAAGGGGAGGGCGGGATATAGAAAGTCAGAGCATGGTTTTGAGTTTTGGAGACAACAAGAGAAAAGAGGGAGGGATTTGGACAACTATGGAGAGGACTGGGCTGTGGAGAGAAATGTTTAGAGATTTGGAAGATGGTGTGTCATGCGATGTATTGTGAAAACCCCTTCTTCATATCCCTAAAAGACCACCGCTGATGGTGATTCATGGTACAATTGATGATTGTATCATGATATAATTCAGTGCTTTTGCAGAGGGATTGGTGCCTTTTTAAAATAATAATGATGCTTTGGCTTGGCTCCATCTGAATTAGTAGAGACAGACATCTTGAGCAGGTTTTATCAGAGTTCCATTAGCTAAATATTGGGTTTCCTATTTTGTGGCTTGCTTTAAACCACTTTGTAGGCCCTTCCGCACTGAAAGCCACTACAGAAATCACCTCTTTGGTCTGCAGCTCCACGTCCCCAAGCTCTGGGCTTTCCTGAATGAGTGGCCTCATTCAGAAGATAATACAGCATCCCTCATCCGAAAATCCAAAATCTGAAATGCTTCAAAATCCAAAACTGTTTGAGTGCCGACATGATGTTCGAAGGCCAGATTCAAAGGAAATGCTCATTGGAGCATTTTGGATTTCAGATTTTCGAATTCCAAAATCTGAAAAAAATCCAAAATCTGAAATACTTCTGTAATTTAACCTGTAATAGACATTTGGTCCTGACCTTCCAGCTGAGGCAGCAAGCAGTCAACAGAGGCTCACCATGCATCCCTCCTGCTCCTCACCCTCCCACGGGCTTGTGCCTCACCCCCCAGCCTCCCTTGCACCTGCTGGGGAGGGGACAGGATGCTCCTGCTCTGCCTTCTTGGATCTCGGGCTACTGTGATAATTGCAGGATTCCAGCCAGGGAAAATGCTACAGGTAGAAGTACTTGGTACTCTCCATAGAGAAGTTTCCAGCAATGGCACATCTGCCCCAGGAAGTGTGCTGCCACACCCAGCTAATTTTAAAAACTTTCTGTAGAGGTGTGAATTCACTATGCTGCCAAGGCTGGTCTTGAATTCCTGACTTCAAGTAATCCTCCCACCTTTGCTTGCCAAAGTGCTGGGATTACGGCATGAACTAGAGCTCCCAGCCGAGAGTTTAGTTTTGTTTGCTAGTGGTGTTCTTGGTATCTTTTCATATTTGAGGCTTTGGTGCTAGTGCTGAAGTATTACACTCACCATCCGAGGTTTGCAGGACTTTTGTTTCAGTATTGAACAGATGGAACTGTTTAGTTCTTCATCTTTGCAGGTATACCAAATGTGCCTACCAGGAGTCTGCTTTATAGCCATTGAAAAGCAAGAAGTAATATAGTAAAATTTTGCCTGGCTAGAGGCTTTGGAAGACAAGTATTTTGGCTTAATTCTATTAACGTGGAAGGATGAAGGTGAAAAAAATTCAAAACTTTAATATCCTGTTTATTGCAATTTGAAAATATAGCCAATGATTCCACTTTTCTTCTCCAGTAAGTTTGGACATTCTGATCTACTTGGTGTTTTATTACAGAACTGCTAGTGTGCCTGAGTCTTACATTGTGAAGATCCTTCTCTAAAACTTCACATGTAAGAGAATATAAATGATATTGGATAAGATCAGGCTGGATGAGAACTGATACCTGTAAATATGCGATTTAGACGAAATCTCTGATTGTTTTCTTATTTAACTCATAAAAATAAAACACATTGGCTGGAAGGTGGGAGCAGGAAGGAGATTTATGTCTTTTAATTGCACGTCATTGTTTCATATAGAGAAAACATATAGTATCCCTGGTTTTGGACCTACAGAAGGAAACACATTTTTCTACCTGCTGTATGCCAGAGGTTCTTGAACACCTGGAGGGATTACTGCAGCACAGATTGCTGAGCCCTACTCCAGAGTTTCTGATTCATCAGGTCCAGGGTGGGGCCGGAGGATGTGTATTTATAAGAAGTTCCCAGGTGCTGCTGGAGCTGCTAGTCCAGAGACTACATTTTTGAGAACTGCTCTCATATACTAACTGTAAGTTGCAGAGCTCTAGAAAAAAAGCTTAGTTTGGTGTGGGATAAGAAGCACACAGGTTATGGAGAAAATCATGAAAGATTCAACCCTTGATCCCAGCCTAGTGTGGATTTCAGGTAACAAGCAATACACAGTGACATAACAAATTCTTGGTTTTCATGACTGCAAGTGATAGCCAAGTATCAAGTGAGAAATTCAGCTTCATTTGCAAGGCTTAGAGAGGCCAGGTGATTCTAGAAAAATGGGCCTTGTATTTCTCTTAAACCAGTAAAGAGCTTTAAGTGGTTATTAAATTGAAAGCTTTGTGTTCTTACTTATTTTGTATTTTATTTTATTTCTTTTGAGATGGAGTCTTGCTCTGTCGCCCAGGCTGGAGTGCAGTGGCGTGAGCTTGGCTCACTGCAACCTCCATCTCCTGGGTTCCAGTGATTCTCCTGCCTCAGCCTCCCAAATAGCTGGGATTACAGGCACCCGCAACCACGCCTGGCTAGTTTTTGTATTTTTAGTAGAGACAGGGTTTCTTCATGTTGGCCAGGCTGGTCTCGAACTCCTGACCTCAGGCAATCCACCCACCTCGGCCTCCCAAAGTGATGGCATTACAGGCGTGAGCCACCGCACCCGGCCCAAAAGCTTTGTGTTTTTAAAGATATTAGACATGTTTCTTGTTTTTAAAAGAAATCTTAACAATAATGTAGGAGAATAAGACAAACATTTTTCCAAAAAAGAGAAATTGTTGTGATTATTTTGTCTTATTGGAATGTTGGATACTATAGTCGGCTTCATTAATCATCAAGCATGCTATGGATTTTCCATTTTTATAGGATCTATATCTCAGTTAAGGTAATACTGGTAATTCTTGTACTCCATTTGAAGATGAAAAATATAGGCCAAAATCACAGACTTTGCACAGAAGCTGCATAATGAAGACAGCTCTGGAGGAACACATAGATACACACACACAGACACACATATATATAAAGTATATACACATATATTTTTTAAAGTTTATTTTTTACAGTTTTAAAAGTTTTAAAGCAAAACCCAGCCCTTCCCCTCTCCCAGAGTGGGCGGCCCCTCCCCTTTCTCTGAGTGGGCGGGGACAGCGGTTGCATGGGCAGCTTTCCTTATGATGCCACAGGTCCCTCTGGACATGCTGCTGCCTGGCCACGCCTCCTTTCCCTTTCATCTTTCTCACTGACCAATGGGCTTGGAGCATTAAGGCCACGCCCCTATTCTGCGTTCCATTGGTGCCCTGGTTACGCCACCTGTGGCTCAGTTGCACAGCTGCCTGGTAGGTGACTGGAGGCATTGAGCAGTGTGCTCACTGGTATTTCGCTGATGTGGCCCCAACCCCGCCTCCCTCCCCACCCCGCGATGTCAGAAAAAACACAACAGGGGAAATTGGCCGCAGCCAAGAAAAAGGTAAAACACACCAGGTCATGGCCCCCAACCCAGCCACAGATCCCCTCCGATGACAAGACCGGTGCCAGAGTCCATACCACTCCTGAGGCATACCAGATGGGGCCCCCCAACCCCAGCCCCTCTGGGCTCCCCCAACCAAAGCCTAGTCAGTCAGCCCCACCCCTTCAGCAAGCAGCCCAGTCCCTGCCCTTGCCAATCACCCCAGGGTGACTTTGGGCAGGTGACTCCTGGGGCTCCCTGCTCCATAATCAGCCCTCACCTCCTGCCACCCCAAGCCCAACCTCCCTGGGCTCTTTGGGCTTGCGTCTCCCAGGACCTGGGTCCCCCAGCCCCAGGCCCTGCCCTCACCAGTCATCCCTGGGTGGCTTTGGGCTGGTGACTCCCGGGGCTCCCTACTGCAGACTCTGCCCTCCCCTCCTGCTGCCCCAAGCTCGACCTCCCTAGGCTTCTTGGGCTGGCGTCTCTGAGGACCTGGGTCGAAACCGTGTGTTTCCCTCCCCCATCGTGGAGCAGCGACTCGGACATCGCGCTGATGTGGTCCCCTCCCCTGGGAGGAGTGGAATGCAATGATGTCACAGTGCCCCTAGGAACTGTCATTACTGCTGCAAGACCGGCCTTTGATCTTACAACCCAGTCCCCTAAGTTTTCTCACCCCATTTCTGGTTCCTCTGGTTGCAGCACAAATTTCCAGCTGGAAGGGGAGTGGAGACTATGGGACCTAGGAGCAAGAGGTTTCAGGCTGCCTTACTCCCTCAACATAGACATTGACAGTGGGAAAAATCCTACACTTCCCCTGTGAGCTCAAAATGTTCACAGTATCTCTGGGTGGCAATGGGAGAATGGGTTTGGTTTGGTTTTTTCCCAGGCTTCTACTTTCCAGAGAGACTTTAACATTTTTTTCTGAGTTCTCCACGGTTCTGGGACCAGACTGCCCTTCAGTCAGTGGCCTCTGAAGTGAGATTTGCTCATCTTCTGTGGAATAGATCTTGGGAAACTGAACTTGACAGCTTGAATCTTCCTCATATCGTCTCAACCTGGGGTACTTTGAGTGCCACAGGATAAATGTGGGACATCTTTCTGAAGCATCATTTTCCCTTGATTCTCTTGAGAAAATGCATTAATGTACTTAGGGATGACAGACACATAGGTTTCCAAGCGTACACCAGACTTCGCTCTGAAATGAGGCTTGGGTTGTCCTCTTTCTGATAAATTCCCAGATTTAATAGAAAAGCTGCCTTCTGCCATGAGGACACATTGATATGAAAGTGTGAGAGGTACTGGTACGCTTCTTCACGCTAGCAGACCTGTGAGGATGTATGACTCTAAACCACACGGCCTACAGTTCCTGCCTGCTTAATGTTTACTTTTCTACCTCTGCCCCTGGTTTTGGTCCCTGGAAGCTGCTGATTCATGGCAAAACCCCAGAGCTTGGAGTCAGAGGACTGAGTTTAAGTTCCAGTATTGCCTTTTTTGATCTTTCTTTTTTTTTTTTCTATCCATGATATCAATCCCTCTCAGTCACTAAGTGATTGTGACAACACCTTGTACAGTTGTTGGTGGCATTACATCAGATGGTATATAAGGGTATTTTGTCAAAACTGTAAAGGAGGATGTGGCTGTAGGGGCTGATCATTCTCATGAGTGTTACCGCTCTTCTTTCCCACAGTTAAAAGCATATTGGCAGAGGAAGAGCCCTGGCATTCCAGCAGGAGCTAACAGGAAAAAGAAAATCAATGGCAGTAGCCCTGACACAGCCACTTCTGGTGGTTACCACTCACCTGGGGATGTGAGTCTCGGCGGGCCAGGGTCCTGGCGACAGGGGGCCCAAGGGGCAGTAGAGGGTAATTGTTAAGATTGTAGATGGACTGTTGGGTACTGGTTAAGAATTCTGGATTTGAATCCTGCCTCTCCATCTGCTAAGAATTGATTAGGGATTGATTAGCATATGATTTAGGGCAAGTTGCTTGAGGTCTTTGGGCCTCTCTTTTCACATCTGTATAATAGAGGTGGTATTTTTTGACTTCCATTTGTGAAGTTTAAATGAGATTCGTTATTGTTGCTTTTATGTGAATCCTTAGTACATGGCCTGCTGCAAACACCCAGGACACCGAGGAAATGGTCGTTGCTGTTTGATTTTCCTCATCCCCAGTCTCAAGGGGAAGCCAGGCCAATGAGAAGAGCCACTTGCCATCAGGCTGTCCCTTTAGGAGTCACTGAAAGGGCCCCAGGGTGGGATGGTGGGGAGATAAGAACCACGAGAGAAGTTGGCACAAAGGAGTTATGGGAAAAAGGGTCCAAGATAGGCAGAAAAGAAGCTTTTGCCAGTTGATGGGGGAAGAAAGAAGTCAGAGGGCTTAGACAGTGAGGGGGGACAGAACATCTCCATGTGCACTCTCATCTCTTGCAGTCAGCAACAGGTATCTACGGGGAAGGCCGTGCATCCTCTACTACCCTGGAGGATCTGGAGGTAAGAGGCCCTGGGCCGAGGTGCAGTGACCCTGCAGGCCAGCCCTCCAACCTCCTCCCACAGCAGGGGCTTGTTGCCCCTCTGCCAGCTGAGGCAGCCCACACACCCCCACCAGCCCTAATGATTATTCTCTCTACCCCTCCCCACAATCTTCCTCCAACTCCTTCTCTCTGCATGCACCTCAGAGCCAGTACCAAGAACTAGCAGTGGCCCTGGATTCAAGCTCCGCAATAATCAGTCAACTCACTGAAAACATCAATTCACTGGTAAGAGTCCAGTGGGGTCCCCTGATTACAGCTGGTCAATCCTGGACTCCAGTTTCCTCTTGGGGCCCTGAAGAAAGGGGCTAGGGGCCCCTGATGCCAAGGGCAAATGGGGAGCTGGGCACCCAGGTCTCACCTGGAGGGACCCCAGAGCACAGAACATGCAGCATGGGTCTTCTGCACTGCCCTCTTTGCTGACTCTCTCTTCTCCAGACACCCCTGCTCTAGTCCTTGCCACACATGCCCTGGGGTTGTCACCTCTCTGGGAAGCACTAGCCTGACTGGTTGTCAGGGGTCCATATTTCTGCCCTGCCTCAGTCCCTAATTTGCTTTTTGAGTCTGGACAAGCCATCTCTCCTCTTTATGCTCGTGTTTCTGGAGGAGGTAGAGAGTATCAAAGGTCTTGGTTAGCTCTGAAAGTCAGAGATTTAAAGGCCCCTAGAATGGAAACCTCAGGGCCAAGGGCTCCTGTCTGTCCTTTCCTGTTTTATATCTCTGCTATGAAGAACTGTACCTGGCCTGTACATGCTCAGTAAATGTTTGTTGAATGAATGCACGTTTCTAAATCACAAACTGGCAGAAGGGGGGTGGGCCCTTCTCAAACTCTGTCTCTAGAGGTTCACCAGCCCCTCCCTCCAGGGCCCTTTTCCCCCTTTGCTTTGGGCAGGTTCGCACATCTAAGGAGGAGAAGAAGCATGAGATACATCTGGTACAGAAGCTTGGGAGGAGCTTGTTCAAACTCAAAAACCAGACGGGTAAGATGGGGCTGCCATGACCTGGCAGCTGGACTGGCATTAGAGGGCTGTGGGGGTGACTTAGAATGCCCCAGGGAGGTGGGTGGATGGAAGGGCTTTGAGGCAGAGGGAAAGAGGTCTGTGCCAGGGGAGGACAAGTCTTGTCATCTCCATGAGCCTCAGTGTCCCCATCAGTAAAGAGGGAGGAGTGCCCATTGTCAGCCACCCACAGTGCTCTCTATCTGAAAGTGACTTGGAAGACTGGCTACCATCCGGGTGTGAGGAGTCATTAGCAGTGAGGCCAAGTTTGGGAAGCCTGAGAGGAGGAGCTGTGCACCGAAGGGAGGATTTTTTTTTTTTTTTTGAGAATCCAGAGGCCCTTATTGTCTGCTTCCTTTCTCAGCTGAACCCCTGGCCCCAGAGCCCCCAGCAGGGCCATCTAAGGTAGAGCAGCTACAAGATGAGACCAACCACCTAAGGAAGGAGCTAGAGAGTGTGGGAAGACAGCTCCAGGCTGAGGTGGAAAACAATCAGATGTTGAGTCTCCTGAACAGGAGACAGGAGGAGAGGCTACGTGAACAGGAGGAGAGGCTACGTGAACAGGAGGAGAGGCTACGTGAACAGGAGGAGAGGCTACATGAACAGGAGGAGAGGCTACGTGAACAGGAGGAGAGGCTGTGTGAACAGGAGGAGAGGCTACGTGAACATGAGGAGAGGCTGTGTGAACAGGAGGAGAGGCTATGTGAACAGGAGGAGAGGCTACGTGAACAGGAGGAGAGGCTGTGTGAACAGGAGGAGAGGCTGTGTGAACAGGAGGAGAGGCTACGTGAACAGGAGGAGAGGCTGTGTGAACAGGAGGAGAGGCTACGTGAACAGGAGGAGAGGCTGTGTGAACAGGAGGAGAGGCTACGTGAACAGGAGGAGAGGCTGTGTGAACAGGAGAAGCTGCCAGGGCAGGAGAGGCTGCTGGAAGAGGTGGAGAAGCTGTTAGAACAGGAGAGGCGGCAGGAGGAGCAGGAGAGGCTGCTGGAGAGGGAGAGGCTGCTGGAAGAGGTGGAGAAGCTGTTAGAACAGGAGAGGCGGCAGGAGGAGCAGGAGAGGCTGCTGGAGAGGGAGAGGCTGCTGGAAGAGGTGGAGAAGCTGTTAGAACAGGAGAGGCGGCAGGAGGAGCAGGAGAGGCTGCTGGAGAGGGAGAGGCTGCTGGACGAGGTGGAGGAGCTCCTGGACGAGGTGGAGGAGCTCCTGGAGCAGGAGAGGCTTCGGTAACAGGATGAGAGGCTGTGGCAGCAGGAGACTCTGCGGGAGCTGGAGAGGCTGCGGGAGCTGGAGAGGCTGCTGGAGCTGGAGAGGATGCTGGAGCTGGGGTGGGAAGCCCTGTACGAGCAGCGGGCCGAGCCACGCAGCGGCTTCGAGGAGCTGGTGCGTTGCCCCACCTGGGGAGGCTGCCCTCTTCCCTAGCCCTCAAGGCCTTTGTTTCCCCACCTGTAAAATGGGGCATTGTAGCCTTCACATGAAATGGTACTTCTAAAGGCATCTGTGAGCCAGAGCCCCGCTCTGATGGCTGTGGGAGAGAGGGGATATTTTTCTAACCTGCCTCCACCCTTCCCGGTGCCATGGGAGGCGACACTAAGTTCTGGGGTCTCCAGTTTTAGTGGGTGGCCACTGATTGCTTCTCTCTGTCCAGAACAACGAGAACAAGAGCACACTGCAGTTGGAGCAGCAAGTAAAGGAGCTGGAGAAGTCGGGTGAGCTGAAAGAGACTGTAACCTCCGACCCATCCAAGAAGATGTGGGAGGCGGGCACCAGCCTCTGGGGAGGGGAGGTGCCAGGCCACAGGCAGCTGCAGCCTGGGGACAGGTGACCCCAGCACCCTCCGGGGCAGTCCTATGACTGTTTCTTGCTTCCTGCCCTCTGACTTTTAGAGGTGGGTAGCCCTGGGGTCCTCCCAGGTCTGGACATCATCATCCCAGCTAGAGGCATGGAGCCCCCCAATCACAGAGGAAGAGACAGTGGTATAAGAGGCTCCTTATGTCGGGTGTGGTGGCTCACGCCTGCAATCCCAGCACTTTGGGAGGCTGAGGCAGGACAATCACTTGAGGTCAGGAGTTTGAGACCAACATGGCCAACATGGTGAAAGCTCATCTCTACTAAAATTAAAAAAAATAATAATAATTAGCCGGGCCTGGTGGTGCATGCCTGTAATCCCAGCTACTCAGGAGGCTGAGACACGAGAATCACTTGCGCCCGGGAGGTGAAGGTTGCAGTGAGCTGAGATTGCACCACTGCACTGCAGCCTGGGACACAGAGTGACACTCTCTCAAAACAAAACAAAACAGAAAAACAAAAAAGACTCCTTAGATTCAAACTGGATTCCGGCCTCGGTTCCACTGGTCATAATTCAACTACTTTGCATCTCTAAGTCTCTGTTTCTTTAACTTCAAAAGGAAGTTAGCCTTTTCCTTGCAGAGGTGCTGAGGATTAAATGAGATAATACGTGGAAACATTAGGCATGTAGCACACTTAGCAGATGGTGGTTGGCTCCGCCTGCTTTTCCACCAGTCTGTGGCCTACAGTTTACATGCTGGGAAAAAGGACGTGAGATTTGATGCTAGGGAAGGAGGCATGGGGTTCTAAGCAAGGGAGACAGTCTCTTAGGCCTGGAGCAAGGGGCCAGGGGCCTGGGCAGGCCACAGAGCCCCACAGTGCCCTCGCTACCCTATTAATGGGCCAGGAATCTGGAAGCCAGCCACCACATGTCCTCATGCCCAGGGTCTTCCGGCAGGTGGAGCTGAAGAGCCAAGAGGCTCCGAGTCTGCAGCAGCAGCCAGACCAGTAGCTGGAGCCCCAGTCCCACAAGGAGCTTGGATGTGCGGACAAGCAGGGTGGTGAGTAGAGCCCTCAGGCGGGGTGGGCAGGCAGGAGCAGGGGAGGCTCGCACTGTGCCCAGATTCCCACCCCCCTCCCTCTCTCTGAAGATCTTAGTGAGCTGAGCCTCACTGATAGCATGGAGGCTGCACCGGGAGAGGACAGGGAGGGTTCTCCCCCATGACAACCCCACTGCACAGCAGATCCAGCAGCTGCTTCCTCTAATGCAGGACTCCCCAGGAGCACCCAGGCTTGGGTGGAGAAGCTGTTGGTACAGGAGAGGCGGCAGGAGGAGCAGGAGAGGCTGCATGCCATTCTTTTCGGGCTGCCGAGAACAGGGAGCTAAACATCACCATCATCTAAGAGCGGGTCAAGGAATTAAAAAAAAACAACAAAACGTTTAAGGGGTTAATATCCTACACAATTCATTTACTTCATTTGAATGTTAGAGCCACTTGTGTTTATTTGTGTTTCTAATTTATAGTTTAAATTTATTTGTGTTTCTAATTTATAGTTTAAATTTATTTGTTTCTAATTTATAGTTTAAATTTATTTGTAAAAAGTTAAATGAGAGTGGGTCTTTCTCTCATGTTCACTCTGGCATCCTTTAGCATTTTTTAAATTTGATAATTATAGGACGTTAGCATGCATATCGAGTTTGCCCTTATGTGGTGGGAGTTCAAACACACAAAGACCCACTGTATGCACACAACTGTTCTTGCTGGTTTGGGATAGGCTGCCATGCTTTTTAAATGTTAGTACAGCATGTATATTCATTACGGAATTCAGATAAAATTTCCTTATGTTCTGCTGTTATGTTTGATCGAATCCTAATCACAGTGAGCTCTTCATTAGCTCAATATGTGGTTTGCCCTCAAGTGCGCGGTCTATTACTTTGTAATATGCCACTGTGAGTACTGACATTTACAGTTGTTTAAAGGTGGAGCACTGGAAACAGCCTTTTCCCCTTTTTCTGTGTATTGGGGATGGGAGTAATAACATTTTGGGGAGCTTTTTAAATCTCCCAGAAGAGGAAAGTGGCCTGCTCTGGCAGGTGTGTGCAGGATAGAATATGTTTCATTTGTTCTGGTGCCAAGAATGAGCGCTGTACTATGGTAGTTCCCTTAGGATTTGCATGTGCTCTGGGCTCATGAAGACATTGCATCATGAGCTGTGGCAGTTGTACTTTTTTTTGATGACCTAAAAGGGGATTATTTCTGAGGAATGAAAGGCTCCCATCATGACTGTGGATGTGGAAAACCTTTTCTAGCTGAGAGCATTTATATCTACAATACATTTTAAAGTCAGAGTTCATGTTCCCTGTTTTAATCACATGACTACATGTCCCAGTACACAAAAGGGCACTGGTTGGCATTCTCCTTAATGTATTCAGTAAAGATCAGAAGAAATCCTTTAAGAGTTTAAATGTCCCTGAAACAGGCATATACAGGCTCTAGTCAAGAATGAATTCGAGTGAAGGAAAGCTGTGTTACACCTGGCATTCCTCTGTGTTCATGGAGCTTATTTGAGGCTAGAAGATGGATTTTACCATCTAGACCTCTCTGGCTAATAGCTAGTCTTCAACCATCTGACAGAGGAATTCTTTTTCTTGAATGGAAAAGACTTTAAAAATAATAACAAACATTATTATAAACAAATATATGTGAGAGTACTTAGTTGAAACAAAAAGGAATTTTAGTAGACAGTATTATACTACATTTGAAAATCAAGGAGCAGTTTATGCAACTTAAAATGTTTACAAACTGCAGCGCAATCTACTGTTTGTGAATGTCAAAGTGTCATGAGGAAAGTGTCTATACAATCACGGAGTTATATTTCCTCACAAAGTTCTTTACGAAGAGTGAAATATGTTTTTATACCTTTTGGTTTCAGTTAGAGGCATATTTTGTGTAATATTTATGTTAATGTGCATGATCAATGAATTATTTCAGTCATATGTTGCCTATATCATAACTGGAGGATGCTTGGGGAACAATCAACAGCTAAAACTTCATGAAGTTCTAATGTCTGTGTTCCAAAATACATCATATCATTAGGATGTAGGGAGAGATGTATCTGCACTCCCTGGGGTGGGCATTTCTAGTTACTAGACCATCTCCACTTTTAGCATTGGGCATCCTCATGATACTTTTATAAATATGACATTAATAGGAGATCAATAATACGATTTTACAGATTGAATAAGAGAATTGCCTGCATTCACTTAAAGATTGCAAATATTGAGCCCTTGTGACTTCAACTGACTCTTCCAAATTGTATGAATTTATCAATGTATTAGAGAAACTCAGTTTCAGAATGATAAAGAAAAACTGTTAGACCAAGCAATGTGGCTAATTAACAGTGGTAGGATTTCCAGCCCAAGGGTTTAAAATGGACTTAAGGTCCTGTTCTTGCCTTTTATTTTCTGAACTTGCTGCTTTTGCATTCTTTGAGTTCGGTTTAAAGACAGTTCCTTTAAGTCCATTTTAAACCCTCAGGCTAGAAGTCATACCACTGTTAATTAGCCACATTATTTGATCTAACAGTTTTTCTTTATCATTCTGAAACTGGGTTTACCGAATACATTGATAAATTATTTCAAAGGTATTTTTATAGTTCAAATCACTTCACTTTTACCCTGACACGTATAAATGACTAGGAATGACCTTCGGATAGCGTTTAGCATCTGTAACCAATCTGACAATAATGTGTTCATCAGGTACCTATGGATTAAATCACATACGGGCATATTTAAGCTGAACGTCAGTCTGAAAAATAAATGTACTATATTAACTGAAATACCACTCTTCATGTAGGTATTTTGTCATATGTTTAAGAAAAAGCTAAAAAGAATGGAAATCATGTGACAATAACTTAAGTCTTCCTTCAAAGTGCATGCAGTCTTTTGCAGTACCTCATTCAGCCAAGTATTTGTTCTCTTCCTCATTCAGTATAAGGCAGCTTTCAATTTGCTTAGAAGGCAACATTAGAAGGTTAGAGTTCATCAGAAACAGAATTTTAAAATATGAGTTCAACTGAATAAATGTGAATTTCTGTAGGAAGTAAAGAATCAAAATACCTATCTAAAGATGGCAATATATAATAATTATTTTTAAAGTATTTGATTAAACCAGATAGGTTTTCTCGAAATGAAAAAAATCAGTTCTAAAACCAAAGATGATTTTTTGAAAATGTGAAAATGTAAATCAGCCCTATCCATAATATAATTTCTCTAAAACTGTATCTGTCATTTTAAAATAATATAACTATTAAAAAATGTAACTGCTATCTTATTGTTTTGAAATAAGTTAAAACATTTTAAATATGAATACTGCAGTTTAAAAGAAAGAAACCAGGGGAAGGAAAAGTAGAGAAAGAAATGCCAATTCCAGTCCAAAGCTTTATTTGCCAAGTTTTCTTAGAATGACTTTTACCTATTTATGAATTCTTACAAACAGAATGTATAATGGAAATACTGACTTTTGCCTAAAGTGGCATTGTTGACTGCTGTGATGTTACTGTAATGTAATAAATTATTAAATTGTTGCAAAGTGCTGTTTTTGCCTTAAAATTTCGTGTGTCTTGAAAACTACAGTATTAAATACTATAGCATGCAAATAATGGGCATGCTTGGCATGAGATAATCTGTTTTTATTGTTACAAAATTGTAACTATGTAAGTGTGTTTATTAAAAGAACAAACAAAGTTATGGGATGAAAGAGTTACGGGATAAAAAATGTGGAAAAGTGTGTCAAAAAAAGTAGAAAAAATTGTATGAAAAGTTATTTAAAAAGTTATGGAAAAGAAGTTATGGGATTAAAAAAAGTCACGGGATATAAATAAAAATAAATAAAAGCAGGCCCCTTCCAGCATAAGCCTGGAGAAGTGGGTCTGGACTCTCCGCCCCCACCATGTCCCTACCACCCCTTCCCAGTCACCTCTTTACCTTTAGGGTAGCAAGACCCCTGTCTAATGGGGGGAGACAGACCCTTTGCCACCTTGACCAGGGCTGAGTCCTTAAATTTCTGGACGATGATGCTTGTTATTTAAGAGCCAGAGGCTGGTGGAGTTGGTTTGTTTGGAGTAGGCCTGATGGCCTCTCTACTCTTGCCAAAGCAACTTTTCCCTCAGGGGAGCTCCCATCTTCTTATTCAGAGAGGCAGCTGAGGCAGGACAGTGGGGCTAACAGTAGACCAGGCAAGGGCATGGGCTGCTGGGGTGACCCCCCCTTCCCCAGTGTATATATTGTATCTGCGTAACATTTTGTATATTCTGGGGAGTGGGGCTGCCCCTGTATCGTACCTAGTGGAGGTTGGAGCTGGCATATAGGGAGGAGGATCTAATAATTATTTGCATCTGGGAAACGTATTTATTGCTAGCATAGGACATAGGAAGGAGGCGGGGATGGGGTCGTGGCTCCCTTGGTGATGCGACTCCTGTTTATTTTGCTTTTCATTTTGGAATAAATGGATTTAGCCATACTGCTCAGCCTGGTGTGTTCCCGTTTCCTTCACTGGGTCCTGGAGTTTGTCCCACTGAATGAGGAGCCCCAGAGTGTCTGAGCATGTCCAGCTGGGCTGTTGGGGACCTTCCAGGCCTGTTACCTGTATGCTGCCTGGTGACACCTGGTGGATTTCATGGGGACTGCCATAGCACCTATGGAGCACAGTACGGCCCTGACAGCCAACAGGCTCAGAAGCCTGATCTAGCAGTGGCCGGGAAGTCAGATACCAGCACCCAAGGGCACTGACTTCCATCCACCCCAGGCATCTTCCCTTCCGTCCCCTTGCCTCCTTCTCCTGTCTGCACTGGGTGGCCTGTTCTGTCTGTCCCTCCAGAATGCCGGCTGCCCCTCAGTCTCCCTCCAGGCTGAGATCATGACCCTGACCCCTAGTGGCCGGAGCTGGCTTCACAGGATAAAAGCCAGCTAAGCTCCAGGGACTTTCCAGGAAAAGTGTCCCTTGGAAAGGATGTGGTCTTTTCACTTGCTCCCAACAGCACCTAAACATGGCTTGGCCTTTCCCCTCCCCTGAGCTCCACAGAGAACACAGCCAGCAGAGGACACATTCTCCGTCATCCGGAAATGGGTTTGATTCTCAGCCGAGGGACAGCAGGACTGGTAGAGACTGTCAGGCCACATGGCTGCCTGCACAGCACCCCCATGCTTGGTGGAGGGTGGGAGGGATGGCGGGGGCTGGCTGTCCACAGGCTGGGCATGACAGGGAGTCTCACTGGAGGTGGCACACTTTGGAGGGGCGATGTCAGGGGACAGCTTTCTCTTGCTGGACCACAAGACTCCAAAAGGACAGCACAGGGACTTATTCTTAGTGCTAGAGGCGAGGCGGTCGGCCATGTGTAACTGCATATATATATATAGCTATTTATAGAACAGGGCAGGGGCATACCACAGAGGGGGCACAAGTTTTCAGCAACGGTCACACCTGGATGTGTCAGCTCACCACTACAACAGACTAAGTCACAGATGAAGAGGGCTGGCTTTGGGGCTGGAGAGCCACTGTCAAGTCATAGTACACCTGCTCAGGCAGGCTTGGAAAGGGAAGTCTCCAAGTAGAGGAGGGATCTGTTTAGAGGTCAAAGTGGGGCCTGGGGCTCTCAGGACGGGATGGACTTGCCTGACCCGATCAGCTGGCAAGTGGAGAGAAAGCAGAGAGAAAACAGGAGAGAGAAAAGCAAGCGGATTGCTGGTGAGGCAAGTGCAGAGCATGGGAGTGACACAGCAGCTGTGGGAGGGCTGGGGACGGGAGGGCACAGGTGCGGGTGTGTAGTAAGGTTCCTGGAAAAGGGGCTGGAAGGGAAAGGGGAGGAGGATGGAGGGGGAAGCCGGAGCTTCACAGGTAGTGCCTGGGGGCTGCAGCGGCCCTCCCCACCCCACACACGCCTCTCCCATGGCATCCAGGCAGTGCACCCACAGTTCAGACCAATGCTCAGCCCCGTCAGGCTTCCCTTTTCTCTGGTCACCCTGTCTTCCAACCCACTGGCCCAGGGCCACCCCTCGCCTTGGGGAGCCCCAAGCAACAGCCACCAGGCCTGATAGGGAAGGAACACTGCTTGAACCAGGATGATGAAGCTAAAAGGGATGGATGGTTGGAGTGAGCACTGGAGGCCCCTTTGGGCCATCAGAAAGCCCAGAACCCTCTGAGAGGACCCTGGGGGAGGCAGGGAGGGCAGGCAGCCAGATGCCACTGGCCATAGACTTATAAGTCTAAGAGGGGAGCCTCAGCTTGTTGGGGGACTGCAGGTCACATAGGTGAGGCTGGGCCCTTCCTGCAGGGAAAAGCAGAAGAGGGAGAGTCTGTGGCAGGAGAGGCGGGCAGGCTCACTGGACAGAGCTCAGCTGGGCCAGCAGGCACTGTGGTCCCCTTGGTTGAATAGCATAGGTGACCTCTAGGAGCAACAGGCCAAGGTGCATGAGCCAACTGGCTGGCAGTAGTGCTTCAGCGGGGGCCAGGGACCCTGCCTTCGGTCACACACTAGCAGCTGTGATGGTATCTGGGAGGGAGAGATGGGGTCTGTGTGTCCCTGCCTGGCCTGTGAAGTGTGTTGTGGGATGACCGTGTGTATAGGACTCTCAGGCTTTTATCCTAGATCACCACTGGATTGCTGACAGATAGAGGAAGTGGGACCCTGACTATCACCCCTAATCTGGAGTGGATTTGGCTCTCGGCACTCCCAGGCTGGGAGCTGGATACCTGCCCTGCAGCATGACTCAGACTGCACGACAGGTACGGCGTGCCCAGGATGATGTTCCCAGGCCTCTGGCTGCCTCAGAATCCAGCCCAACACACACCCCCCTCCAAGCTCCCAGCCCCCACACCATAAACCACAAGCTCTCTGCCCTCTCTGATGGCTCCAGAGAGCACCCACATCTGCCAGCTTGGGCATGGAGCCCGTTCCAAGACTCCCCAGGCTCAGTCATGGAGGCTGGGGGACTTTGGGACCGTGGGGGCCGGCCCTGGTACCTGCGTCCAGCCAGGATGCTCTGCACCTGCAGCCAAGAGTCATCCACGGGCCCCCATGGGCATGCTGATGGTGATCATGTTGATGTCGCTGATGCTGCTGAGCACCTCTGTCAGCATATGGTGCATGCACAGCATCTCATCGCCCCGCTGTACCTGCTCTGCAGACTCCTCCATCAGCGTGTTCTGGTCCCCATGCGAGTACAGGTTGGATAGCAGCTCCAAGAAGATGAATTCCTTGGTCTGAGAGTGGGCAAAGAGGCAAGGAGGGTGCAACCTGATGCCTGTGCTGCCCTGGCTGCCCTGCCGGGCCCTGCTAGGACTGTGCGCTGGGCTTGGAGCCCCAAGTACGGCTTTTCAGGCGCAGCTTCTACACCACTTAAGACTCGAAGATCTGCCTCCCCACCGCCTTTTCTCACTCAGATGGGGACACTGAGGTCCAGAGGAAAAGTCACCTGTCCAAGGTTACAGATCTGGAAGGGGACCCAGGACCTATCATGCCACCAGGACACCTGTCTACTTGGTTTTTAAAAATTTTTTGGAGATAGGATCTCACTCTGTCGCCAGGCTGGAGTACAGTGGGTGAGATCACTGCTTATTGCAGCCTCAACCTCCTGGGCTCAAAGTGATCCTCCAACATCAGCCTGTTGAGTAGCTAGGACTACAGGCATGTGCCACCACCAAGTCCAGCATTTTTAAAATTTTTATGTACAGACCAGGTCTCACTATGTTGCCCAGGCTGGTCTCAAACTCCTGTGCTCAAGCGATCCTCCTGCCTTGGCCTCCCAAAGTGCTGGGATTACAGGGATGGGCCACTGTGCCCAGTCCCATGTTATATTTCTATGGGACAGCTCTGGTCTTGACCATGCCTCCCTCCCTGGACCTGGTCCCATAGGGCTGGTCGGCATCTCTCCCAGGCCAGCATGGCCACCTCCATCCCCAGTGCCACAGTCGCCCCCTGCCCCCATGGGGCAGTGCATGAACATTGTTGATCATGAGGTGCATGATGGTCCTGGGCAGGAGACCAACCATGAGGTCCCACACTGTCTTGTTGACAATGGCTGTATAGGAGTCTACCAGGTTCTGGGTGGTCTCCTTTAAGATCTATTTGCTTAGAATAGTGTTTACTAGAGGTGAGGAAGGGGGAGGAGGTAGCCAAAGGTTGGCTAACAGATTAACAGATATAAGAGTACATGGCTGAATGTGGTGGCTCACACACTAGTGTAATCCTAGCTCTCTGGGAGGCTGAGCGGGGAGGATCACTTGAGGCCAGGAGTGCACGGCCAGCCTGGGTAACACAGGAGGTATTATGTCTACAAAAAATTTAAAAATTAGCTAGGCATGGTGGTCCATACCTGTGGTCCCGGCTACTAAAACCCAAATTGAAAGACAAAATAAATCAACCATGACTTTTCACATTTTGTGAATGTGACCAAAATGTGACCAAGGACTGACTGAATTACATAGTATTACATCAGTTACATTTCCTGATTTTGATCATTGTATTGTGGTTATATAAAATAATGTTCTTGTTCTGGAAGTAACACTGAAATATTTGGGAGTAAATGGGCACATCTCCAACTTAACTTCAAGTGGAGCAGAAAAAAAGTTGTGTGTGTCCATGGAATACTATGCAGCCATAAAAAAGGATGAGTTCATGTCCTTTGTATGGACATGGATGAAGCTAGAAACCATCATTCTGAGCAAACTGTCACAAGGACAGAAAACCAAACACCGCATGTTCTCACTCATAGGTGGGAACTGAACAATGAGAACACTTGGGACACAGGATGGGGAACATCGCACACCGGGGCCTGTCATGGGGTTGCAGGAGGGATAGCATTAGGAGATAGACCTAATATAAATGATAAGTTAACAGGTGGAGCACACCAACATGGCACATGTATACATATGTAACAAACCTGCACGTTGTGCACATGTACCCTAGAACTTAAAGTATAACAATAATTAAAAAAAAATAAATCGTTAAAATAAAGAATAAATGTAATAGACTTTCTTGAATATAAAAAGTTGTGTGTGTGTGTATATATATATATATATATATAAAGAATATATGGCCTGGTGCAGTGGCTCACACCTATAATCCCAGCACTTTGGGAGGCTGATGCAGGTGGATCACCTGAGGTCGGGAGTTCAAGACCAGCCTGACCAACATGGAGAAACCCTCTCTACTAATAATACAAAATTAGCCAGGCGTGGTGGTGCATGCCTGTAATCCCAGCTACTTGGGAGGCTGAGACAGGAGAATCACCTGAACCTGGAAGGTGGAGGTTGCAGTGAGCCAAGATCCTGCCATTGCACTCCAGCCTGGGCCACAAGAGCGAAACTCTGTCTCAAAAAAGAAAAAAAAAATTAGCTTTGTGTGGCGGTGAGCGTCTGTAATCCCAGCTACTCAGGAGGCTGAGGCAGGACAATCACTTGAACTTGGGAGATGGAGGTTGCAGTGAGCCAAGATTGTGCCACTGCACTCCAGCCTGGGTGACAGAGTGAGACTTCATCTCCCCCCCCGCAAAAAAATAAAGCCATTGAGGCAAAATGTGAACTGGTAAACCTGGGTGTTCTTTGTACTATTCTTGCAACTTCTCTGTAAGTTTGAAATTATACAAAAATTAAGTTACAAAACACATTAAAAATGTCTGCTGTATTTATCTGCTTGACAGAAATAGATATGTAAGAATCACTTTAAGGCTAGAGCTTTCCCACTTGCTGGCTGCTTTTTTTTTGGAGACAGGGTCACACTTCGTCGCCTAGATTGTAGTGCAGTGGCATGATCTCGGCTCATCGCAACCTCCACCTCCAAGGCTTAGGCAGCCCTCTGACCGCCTAAGCATGTGTAGCTGGACTACACATGCACATCACCATGCCCAGCTTATTTTCTACCTTTTTAGTAGAGAGGAGGTCTTGGTATTGCCCAGGCTGGTCTCCAACCCTCAGGCTCAAGCAATCCCTCCCACCTCAGTCTCCTGAAGTACTGGGATTACAGGTGTGAGCCACCATGCCTGCCTGTTCTCCTGGACATGCAGCCAGCTAAGCTTGGCTCTGCAACAGCTCCTTGTCCCACTGGAGAAAAAGAGCCCACAGCTTTCCTCATATGCAAGGGCATGAACCAACCAAGTGCAGCCCAGCTCCTGTGAGACACACACACACGTGGTTAACTGACAGCGACAGAGAGCCTAAATAAAGCTCAGAGTCCAGGGTAGTCTACCCAGGTTGCAGCTGGTGAGCTCTGCCTCCGGTTAGGCTGAAGCATCCCAGTATCAATCCTCCCATACACATTTATTCACATTTGTTGAGATCTCCTATGTTCTAGGCATTGGGCTCAACATTGGACACAAAGACACCATTCATCCTAACTCCCACTGAAAGAAAGTCAACCTCTGATACACGATAATCCTGTTGCTACCTTCTGAACATGGGCAAGTTGGCCCAAATTGTATGTACCCAGCAGGGGCTGAAGACCCAGGGAAGCAGGGTGGAGCTGCCAAAGCAGCTTTCCAGGCTCATACTGCAGACCACTCTCAACACGTTCAGGCTTGCCCTTGCTCCTTTACTAAACTCTGGTGAACCCACTCCCCATAAACCAGATGCAGCAGCACCTGAATCCCAGACAAGTGCCAGCTGATCTGTTGCCTCGAGAGCTCCTGCCTTTCCTCTACCCACACACAACTGCAAAGATGACACAGGCAAGGCTGTTGTCCCAGATTTATTGAAAATAATACAGCACTACAGAAAAAATTCAAACAGGTCCCCGAGGCGTTTTGAAATTCATCCCAACTGTAGGCTGAGTGACCTGAAGGTTGGACAGACTGCCGAAGTCCTGGAACGAGAAAATGGATTCAGTGAGCAGTTACTGGTGAGATCTGTGAGTGGACCCCAGAAGAAAACACAGGCCCCTAGAGCCACAGCACTCTCAAGGGGGTCCAGAGGCGACCTGAAGGACCCTTTAAGAGCCAACAGGGTTCTCAATGCCTCCCACTTTTCCAGAGTGATCTTCCTTCAACACACACCTGACCATGTGGTATCCCCATTTACAACTCTATGACTTTTACCCAATGTACCATGCCATTTGTATCTGTTTTCACAACCCCTTCCTATCAATCACTCTAAAACACCGTTTCTCAATCTTGGCAACGTAGACATCCTGGGCTGGACATTCTTTGTTATAGGCAGCTGTACTGTGTATTGCAGAAAGTTTAGCAACATCCTTGGCCTCTACCCCTTAGAAGTTAGCAGGTATCCCCTGGCTATGAGAACGAAAAATGTGTCTGGACATTGCCAAATGTCCTCTAAAGCAAAACTCTGTCCCTTTGAGAATACACAGTGCCACTTGCTTTCCAGGACCAGCCCTGGGTAAGAGCTATTACTAATCTAATCAACATTTGTGAAGGGCCCAAGTACACAAGGCATCAAGCAGAAGGGAGGGAGGCAAGAGCAGACCCTGCCCTCAAACAAGTTCAGGCTGGTAGGCAGGGCAAGAAGCCAAGGGCCCAACTTATACCTGGAACTCCATGTCCTATTTGGTCCTCAGAAACCCATTTTAGTTTCAACAAAAATGCTGCATTCAGCGCAGTGGTTATTTCAGGAAGAAAAGACCCACAGCGGGGCTGTAGCTGTACTGGTGATGTTTTTCTGAAGCTGGGAAAGTACATGTGAGTTCATTTTGCTACTACCTTTTTGAGTGTCTTAAACATTTAATGACCATAAAAATAGGAAAAATGAAGTTGTTCAAAATCACCAACCGCCCATGAAGCCCATGCTTTCACCCAAGTATGCAAAAGGACTAAGATAAGCCATAGAAAAAACATCAAAGTGCAATGAAGATACTCGTGAACTACCTAAGTAGTGCCTTGTATGTACCTGGAAATGGACCAAAGCTCATTTCTGAGTGGTTAGCATGGAGACACCAAAGGAATGCCTTCACAGAAGAAAAGCAGGCAGATTCAGCCAGGGCTGACACAAAGGGGGCAACGTAAGCCAGCTATAAAACCAAGAACAGAAGCAGCCAAGAGAGAAAAGGTGTCCTGGAAGCCACTAGATTTGGGAATCATGATCTTGTGGCGAACTAACTCAATGCACACAACTTCCGCTACACCCCTTATGAAAGCAGTCCAGTTTAGTGGCTACAAGTTTAGATGGGATTCCCAACTCTGCCACTTACTAGCTGGGTGACCTTGGATAATAAGACCTACTGATGGTTTTTGACCAGGAAAATACCACTTTAGGAATCCAGCAAACACTTACCAAAAGCTTCAGCATTTCCTTAGTGTCAGGATCTACTTCAATAATCTCCTGATCCAAGGCTGAGACCTACAAGGAAACGAGGTAGGGTCAAAATACCAATCAATGAGATTATCACTCACCTCTCCTCCTCCTCTCCCCAGGTTCTTAAATATGGGGAAGAGGAGCTGCACAAGGATAGCATTCCTCTCACAAGGTGAGCAGTCTCTTACAGTATTACAGACCCCGATGACCTGTTCTTCTGGCCTTACCTTCCCATGCCCTCATTCAGTATTCAGAACACTTGAAGTCTGTGTTTACACCAAAGAATACTATATTAGGGGCAAACAATCGAGCCACGACAGCAGTCATCAAATCAACATTAAGGGCTCTCATGAAATATGGAATAGACTTAACTGGTTCCAGAAGAGCAGAATGGAGGCTAAGAAACTGGTAGGGGGCCTATGGGCACCCACAGCTGGTTATGGAATGTATGGATTAAAGGTCTCAGATTCAGCTGAGGTCCCTTTGGAAGCCAAGAACCCATAGCTTTATCATTTGAGGATTAGCCAGAAGCCCAAATATCCAGAAAGTTTACCTCAGGAACATAATTGTCTCTCCTTTCTCTCTCCTCCTCCTGCAGCTTGATGGAGATACCTCTTACTGGGCCTCTCTGAATTCGCTTCATCAGATGCGTGACATAACTACAAAGCACACACAGCCAAAGAGAACAGTGAGAAGACAAATCAACTCCCACCTGGTACTGAGCACATGTGCATATATAAATACCCGCTTTAGTTCTTTTCCACAGTGAGAAGGAAGAGGACTCACTATCCTGGGACCTCCTACACATAGAACCTCCACTGGCCTGAGCATTCCTTCCCCTTGGTTTCTCACTCTCTATTCAAACTCTCCTTCATGATGATCAAGCGCCCCACCCCCAACTCGCCCCGCCCCGCCCCGCAGTTTCACGACCCTTCACAGCCTTCATTTTCTTCCAATTTCAAATTCACATAACTTGGCAATTAATACGTTGACTTTGGCACTATTCTTCCAGGCCATATGCCTATAAATCTCTCGAACAGTAACTGCAACTGTGAAGTAAGCATTAGAAGTTGACATCCAGCCGGGCGAGGTGGCTCACGCCTGTAATCCCAGCAATTTGGGAGGCCGAGGCGGGCGGATCGCTTGAGGTCAGGTGTTCGAGACCAGCCTGGTCAACATTGTGAAACCCTGTTGTCTACTAAAAATACAAAAATTAGCCGAGTGTGGTAGCACGTGCCTCTAATCCCAGCTACTGGGAAGGCTGAGGCATGACAATCGCTTGAACCCGGGAGACGGAGGTTGCAGTGAGCCGAGATGGCGCCACTGCACTCTAGCCTGGGCGCCAGGGCAAGATTCCGTCTCAAAAAAAAAAGAAAAAAAAGAAAGAAAAAAGTTGACAACTAAAAGCAACGTAGCTTCAAAGCAAGAGGTCTGACGGTGGCTACCTTCGACCCAGGGTCACCGCGGCCAGTCATGACACAGGCCTAAGTTCACAACAGAAATCCTGCACACGCAGAGCTCTAGCCCTTCTCCGGGACACCAGGGAGTCTCAGGCTAACGAAACCACCAAGGCACCGTCTCTTCCCGAGTCGGAGGGCGGCAGAGCACACAAACAGATCGCGGAGCCCCGGAGGCCGAGGAAGGCCCGACTCACCCTGCTATCTTGTTGCGGAGCTTTTTGCTGGGGATAATGGCGATCTCCTCGCACACGCGCTTGTTCGTGTGGAAGTCGTTGCCCAGGCGCGTGTAGTACTTTTCTATGATGACCCGGGCCGCCTTCTTCACGGTTTTGGTGCGAACGCGGCCCTGCGGGTGGAGAGGACAGGATCACTCACGAGCCAGCGCAACCTTCTGGGAAGAGTGCGGCGCCGAGCCCCGGCCGGTGTGGTTGGGGACCGCCGGCTGCGCTGAGCCGGAGAGGGCCCGGCTAAACAGTGCCGGGCGCCGGGCTTAATGCGGAAGCCGCCGGCCCGTTGCGCTCCAGCCTGACAGGGCTCTGCGCCTTCCCGGCCCAGGGCCTCTCTGTGGGCTGAGGACCGCGGGAAGCTGCAGATGGGGGACGATTGTGGAGGATGGCGGCCTCGAGCCAAAACACCTACCATGTTGGCGGGTCCTTGGTAAAAGAGGAAACAGGAAGCACAGGCGAAGCCTGTTAAAGCTTAGGCCAGAAAGCCGCTTCCGCCCGGCCACGGTCGCTCTGAGCCTACTCGGGAGCCACACAGCGCCCCCTGGCGGAGTGGAGCGGGGGCGGCGGTGGCGCGCCCCTCCGGTGGGCAGGGTGTCTGTCCCGCCCCCGACGGCTCCTCCCTTTCCGCTCCCCGCTCCCCTCGGTTGACTTGGGCTCGCTTCTCTCCCCCATCTGATTTTTAATGGGACCGCCCGTGCGATGTGCTCTAGCGTAGCGTCCATCTCTTCCACACACGCCAGGGAGAGGAGAAGCATCCGGTCCTCGGGAGGACCGAGAAAAGAAGGCGATCCAGGGCCGTGGAACAATGAGGAAGTGGGGGATGGCGGCCGCCCAGGTCCCCCACTCAGTCCGCGGGCCGGAGACTTGTCAGGTAGAGACAGGGTGCGACTGGGCGAGACGTATCTCATTTCTTCCGGGCCTTTGCTCAAATGTCGCCTTATCAGAGGGCTTTCCCTTCAAACTTAGGTAAAATAACTCCCTCACTATCCCTGCTTATATTTCCTAGCACTTGCCGTGTGATTCGGCTTATTTTTCTCAACTAGGGGTGAGCTCCATGACAGTAATGGTCATTTTGTTTAGCTAATTCCCAGTGCTTGAACAGCGCCTAGCACGTAACAACCTCTAACATTGACGTGAAGGGCCCAGCTCACCAGCAGAGCTCCCAACACCTCAGGTACCTTCTCCATCCACTATCTTCAGGCTGTTCCTGCCGCACCCATCCTCAAACCAGGGCCTTCCGAAGCCACCAGCGCAGGCTGCCCCGATGGGCCGCAGCCTAGGTAGGGCCCTGCCCCCTTCTTCCAACTCTGCTCCCTGGGCTGACAGCAATCCTAGGCTCCCACCTGACAGGGGAAGGCTGAGCTGGCCAGGCTGGATGAGTTAAGCCCAGGGCTGTGCCTCATTCCTCAACGCACCTTGGGTACTCCAGTCGGACTCTCAACTGATTGGGGATGGAAACCTGAAGGACAGGAAACCCTGGCAGCAAAAAGTACCAATGGGACAAAAGAAAAGGCCAGAATCTCAGAACTGCGGGAGCAAACTTCCAGTCAAGCTGCTGTCAGGCCCGAAGTGAAAGATCAGGGTTTTTGTTTTTGTTTTTGTTTTTGAGACGGAGTCTTGCTGTCGCCCAGGCTGGAGTGCAGTGGCGCGATCTCGGCTCACTGCAACCTCTGCCTCCCAAGTTCAAGCGATTCTCCTGCCTCAGCCTCCCAAGTAGCTGGGATTACAGGCGTGCGCCACCACGCCCTGCTAATTTTTATATATATTTTTTTTTAGTAGAGATGGGGTTTTGCCATTTTGGCCAGGCTGGTCTCCAACTTCTGACCTCAGGTGATCCACCCGCCTTGTCCTCCCAAAGTGCTGGGATTACAGGAGTGAGCCATTGCACCCGGCCAGCCTTTTTTTTTTGAGATAGAGTCTTGCTCAGTTGTCCAGGCTTCAGTGAAGTGACATGGTAACAGCTCACTGCAGCCTCGATTTCCTGGGCTCACATGATCCTGCTGCCTCAGTCTCCCTAGTAGCTGGAACCACAGGCACACACCACCATGCCTTTTTTTTTTTTTGGTAGAAATGGGGTCTCCCATGTTGCTCAGGCTGGTCTCAAACCCCTGGGGCTCAAGCAATCCTCTTGCCTCAGCCTCCCACAGTGCTGATTGTAAGCGTGAGCCACTGTGCCCAGTCTGGCCTCTCCTTTATTTATTTATTTATTTAGAGACAGTCTCACTCTGTTGCCCAGGCTGGAGTGCAGTGGCATGGTCTTGGCTCACCGCAACCTCCACCTCCCGGGTTCAAGAGATTCTCCTGCCTGAGCCTCTTGGGTAGCTGGGATTAGAGGTGCCTGCAACTACCACCTGGCTAATTTTTTGTATTTTCAGTAGAGAAGGGGTTTCACTATGTTGGCCAGGCTGGTCTCAAAATCCTGACCTCGTGATCCGCCCACCTTGGCCTCCCAATGTGCTGGGATTACAGGCGTGAGCCACCGCGCCCGGCCAGGCCTCTCCTTTTGTGAGGAGACTCCCCCACCTTGCCCAATAGTTCTTGCACCTCTCTCAGAAGAGACAGCTTCAGTATGCAGGGTTCCCTCCACCTCAGACTAAATTGGAGGTTCCCAAAGAATCGGTCCAACAGCTGGGCCCAGGCCAACTCGACTGAAAAAAAAAAAAAAAAATCAGCAGACCTTGCCAGAAATCCTGTGAGCTCTGAGAAAGTTCCGTTGATAGGGCTCTCTGAACAGCAAAAACCCAATCACTCCCTCTCAGAAAGGAACTGCATCATCATAGGTGGGTCCAAGAGGATGAGCAGCCTCCGAAGAAGTAATAGGCCAAGACTTCCAGGAGAAGCTGAGAACAAGTGGCTTCTGCTGGCACGTGAGCAGCTGTGCCTCCAGCATTCTCTAAGCTGGGCCTGGAGGCTGTGAGGACCCCCGAGAAGCTAAGATATGAGGACTTTTTATATTTGGGCTAGAAGCACCCATCCACTGGAGAAGCATCTCCAAAGTATATTTGACGATGGAAGGGACCAAGAAGTACTCACAGGGCAGGTCTCCCACATGGTCCCACCATTATCCTGGGCCAGGATCTCCATCACAGAAATCCAAGGAAACAAGCTGTGGCTGTGCCATTACCCCCTTACTCCCTCCCGTTAGCCCCTTGCTCCCAGACCTCAAACACAGAGACAAAACCAGAACTCTGCTGCAACGTGTTTATTATGTGCCAAAAAAACTACACCACAGCTTACTCCACACATCTGTAGGAGAGTGCAGTCTTGCCTGCATATACTACAATGAGGTAGAGACTTCACACACAGCTTCACAAAACCCACAGAGTAGCTGGGATATGCAACAATGCAACGTCAGCTCAGCAGGAGGGAGGGGTTATGACACTGGTTCTTTGGCACACAGCTTCCCTAGGAGGGGCAAGTAGTTTTTGTGGGTTTTTTGTTTCTTTTTAAAAAAAAAAAAAAAAAAAAAAAGGAAAGAAAAAAAAGTCAAGTTTTCAAATTCCAGTGGCATTTCAGTCAACTGCAACTGTTATCTCATACATTCCTCAAATTAAAGATATAAGGGAAGGGTACTTGCCCCCTCTAAGAGAAAGGGCTCCTGTGAGCCTTCATCTGCCCCCACCGAAAAGCAGCCCTTTTTAGCTCAGTTACAAAAGAAAAAAGTCCTGTGACTTTGTGATTAAAAACTTCTATCAACCCCACCCCCCCACATAAGTGCAACTTAAGGAGGTGCAATAAACCATTTAAAACTATATACAGCAGCCGCTCAAACACCGTTTATCCGGTCCAGTTTCAAATAAAACAAAAAATTTTTTTTTTCTTGGTTGCAAATGCCTTGATTTGCAACTGTGAGAAACAGTGACCAGCAGTCCCCCAGACACAAATTTGCTATAATGTTAAAAGCTGCCAGGAAAGAAAAAATATCTTGTTCCAAACGACTTAAAAACTGTTTTAAGGAGTGTAAAAAGGAACCGGTAAAAACCCTCGAGCGTAAAATATGAAATATGATTTTGGTTTAAATGAAGAGCAAAGTCTCCTTATTGTTTACAGTAAAAAACACCAGCTGAACACTCAGTTTATGCCGTTCAGGTGGGGGTTAAATAAATGGAAAGGCACTGTATGGCAACTGCAAGAATGAAACCAATGAGACCTGCGCATCATCACCATCAGTATTGCAAGGAATGTAAAAAAGCGCTTTTAATAAATAAACCTAGGTGTAGGCATCCGTGTCAATACCTCAATACCTTCTGGACACGTAGTTTTTTTTTTTTTTTTTTTTTTCCCCGCTTTTCATCTGCAAAATGAGGAACTAAAATCTGGGAAAACTACAGAGTCGCTTGGAGGGTAAGCCAGAGGGTCCTTGCCCTTGGTACACCCCCTGAAAACAAAACCTGACAAAACTCAATGTGCATTAATTAGTGCAGAAACAAAGACAGATTCAGCAAGTGCAAAGGTGACTACAATTTTCCCTTGTCCTTGGGAAGCCAGCTCCCTGGTCGCCAGTGGCAGGGTGGTGCAGGCTGCTTGCCTGACCTGCCAGCTTTGGGCGCCACAGGCCACTGGGCAAGGCCAGCTCCTCTAGCTGGAATCTCGGTTCTTCTGGTTCCGCATCAGGGGGCTGTGGTGGCGCAGGCCCTCCATGCTGTGCCGCCAGTGCCAGCAGCTCCGGCAGAAGTATTTGAAGCAGACCTGGGTTGGGGGAACAAAAAGGAGGATGCCATGCCTGTGTCAGCACCAGACACAGGAGCTGTTGCACGAGCTGCTTGTTCTGTTTGGAGAAGGGTGGGAGACTCCCGATGGCCTCTGTGGGTTAGAAGAAATGGTCCCTAGGAATGCTCTCACCCCAACACAGAAGCCTGATTAACTATGGCAAACCCACCATCCTTGTTACAGGTCCCCTTACTTAAACATGTTGGGCTCGTAGTGTGTGCAGAGACCATGCTAGTTTCTCTTATCCCCTCTAACCATGACAGCTGCTCTCCTATTCCCCTGCCCTTCTCACCTCCTACAGAGTAGTTGTATCACATGGCTGCTAACGTGGAGAATGTATAAGGATACTGACTAAAAATTCTAATGCTAGGCAACATCCTGCTTTCTTCCCATTAAGTGAGGAGAGGTGACTGGGTTTCTCAGTCTAGTCCCATCTCTTGGTTGCTGTGTAACGTCAGGCAAGCCACTAATCTCTGAGCAATTATCTGACTATGGAGATTATCTGTGAAAGATCCAGATCCATAAAAGCCTCGTAGATGAGGCTGATCAGAGAGATACTTGGTCTCAGGCTTTAACTAACAATTCAAACTTAACTTCAAACTCTCACTTGAGAGCCTCAGTTTAACCATATTCAGAGACTCCAAATCTGATCAATGGCATCACTGCAACAAATTTTTAAACAAAATTTAAAAAGCACCCACTAAGCATGGAAGGACTGCTGCTGGTGTCCTAAGAGGTCCCAAACTTCCCCTAACACCTGTCAAAGGATGATACTGACTAGCAGCATTGACACCACTTGGATACTTGTTGGACACATGGAATCTCAGGGTCCGCCCCAAACCCACTGAATCAGAATCTAAGATCCTCAGGTGATGTGTCTGTAATTAAGGTTTGAGAAGCACTGCCAAACACATCCAGATCCACATTCCATCACCCAGGAACATTCAATAGAAAGCCACCTCGCTGCTTTCTGCCTGTCGCTGACACCTGTGGGTACAGCCCAGATGCAAATATCAAAGTCGTCCAGAAGTTCAGATGTAAAGGAGGACGAGGCATCCTCCTTTACAGAAAAATCAGCTTAGAAGGCTTCAGGGTTAGGCAGCTGAGCCTGGCTCCCACGTGCTGCTGACCACACCCAGCCAGGCTTCCATCATCTACAAAACCACCTCTCAGCAATAGTGGCATACTGCATAGCAATATCCCAGGCAAGAAAAAGACCAAAGTATAAAGACTCAATTCAACATATTTTCTTAAGAGTTCTGGATCAAGCTATCTAAAGTATGTCTGTCCCGGTCTGACCTTCAGCAAACATTACTGCTGCCTCCTCTATGCTCTCAGACACCACAGGGTACCTCAGAACTCCAACATTCAATGTCATGAACTTGGCATAACAATTTTTTTTTTTTGACACGGAGTCTCGCTCTGTCCCAGGCTGAAGTGCAGTGGCGTGATCTCGACTCACTGCAACCTCCGCCTCCTGGGTTCAAGCTATTCGCCTGCCTCAGCCTCCCAAGTAGCTGGGATTACAGGCGCCTGCCACCACGCCAGGCTAATTGTTGTATTTTTAATAGAGACGGGGTTTCACCATGTTGGCCAGGCTGGTCCTCCTGATCCGCCCACCTTGGCATCCCAAAGTGCTGGGATTACAGGTGTGAACCACCGCGCCCAGCCAACAATTTTTAATAGAGGGCAGGGACTTCATAGACATCGGACCCACCTGATCTCGACAGAAGAAAGGACCAGGCTGAGAACTGCAGATATGACACAGAGAATCTTCTAGGTAGGGGTCAATCTGAACCTGCACAAAGGCAAAATAAGATGATGAAGTGGCTCTTCTTACCAGGAGGCTCGATAGGCGATAGAAGAAGGGCACATTATTGGCCACACACAGGAATGCGGGATATTGGAATGCAGGATATTTGCCTGTTTTAAAGGAGGCTTGGAGAGAATTATGGGCCTGAAGTACAGAAAGGAGTTCTAGAGGACAGACTCATACACCATGCACAGTCAGGCTGGATGCCTCTGGGATTCAGGCAACCACACACCTTAATGCCTGGTCTTCTAGGCAAACTGTACCTCAGCCCTCTATCAATTAGCAGTATAGGCAAGTGTTCGGAGGATTCCCAAAAGGTTGGAAAATAGGAAGTCAGGCTACTGAGCAATGCCAAAGAAATACCACAGTGAGGGAAGGCACCCTACACACTGAAGAGGCTCAACAGTCCCAGTTCCCTTCCTCCTGGGCGTACAAAGACCAAGCCCACTCCCAAACCCTAACCTCAATGTTAATTCTCAGGAATTTGGCTCACTTCCCTAAACACACCCAGCACAAACAGCTTCAGGTCTCAGGCCTGCCCTGGGTAGTAACTGCCCAAACCCCTCTCATATACCCCAGAGTAAGGGCATAAACCAGCCAACTCACCTTCTTTGTGAACTTGGTGGTTTTGATCTCCACAAAAGCAGCGCTGACTGCTTTCAGGTAACTCCGTTGGTTATTGAAAGTCACACGACCAGAACCTAGGACAACAGACACAAGCTTCCCTTCTAACCAAATTCTCCCAAATGCTACTTTTTTTTTTTTTTTTTTTTTTTTTGAGATGGAGTCTCGCTCTTTCGCCCAGGCTGGTGTGCAGTGGCGCAATCTCTGCTCACTGCAAGCTCTGCCTCCCGGTTTCACGCCATTCTCCTGCCTCAGCCTCCCGAGTAGCTGGGACTACAGGCATCTGCCACCACACCCAGCTAATTTTTTGTATTTTTAGTAGAGATCGGGTTTCACCATTAGCCAGCATGGTCTTGATCTCCTGACCTTGTGACCCGCCCGCCTCAGCCTCCCAAAGTGCTGGGATTACAGGCGTGAGCCACCGAGCCTGCCCTAATGCTACTCTTTTAAAATGCAGGAAACCCTTTACGATACTAGTGCTGTCCGACAGAAATATAATGTGAGCTACTATGTAACTTTATTTATTTTTTGAGACAGGGTCTCCCTCTGTCACTCAGGCTGGAGTGTAATGGCGTGATCTCAGCTCACTGCAACCTCTGCATCCCAGGCTCAAACAATCTCCTGCCTCAGCCTCCCAAGTAGCTGGGACTACAAGCATGAGCCACCATGCCTGGCTAATTTTTGTATTTTTTTGTAGAGACAGGGTTTCACCATATTGTCCAGGCTGGTCTTGAACTCCTGGACTCAAACGATCTGCCCCACCTCGGCCTCCCAAAGTGCCAGGATTATAGGTATAAGCCATCATGGTCAGCCCTTATGTAACTTTAAATTTTCTAGTAGTCACACTGAAATTTTAAAACAGTGGTGACATTAATTTTAATAATATATTTTATTGGCCGGGCACGGTGGCTCACACCTGTAAACCCAGTGCTTTGGGAGGCCAAGGTGGGCGGATCATGAGGTCAAGAGATGGAGACCATCCTGGCTAACATGGTGAAACCCCGTCTCTACTAAAAATACAAAAATTAGCTGAGCGTGGTGGCGCACACCTGTAGTCCCAGCTACTCAGGAGGCTGAGGCAGGAGAATCACTTGAACCCAGGAGGCAGAGGTTGCAGTGAGCTGAGATAGCACCACTGCACTCCAGCACGGCAACAGAGTGAGACTCCATCTCAAAAAAAAAATTTTATTTAACCCTATATGTTAATAATATTATTTCCAAATGTGACAACAGCTGTGTTTCCAAAACTCAATGGGGCCACATTTAGCTGGTAGCTACCATATTCGTACCATATTTGACAGTGGAGATCATGTTAGCGTGAACCATTCAGGAATGGGGGAAGAATTTGCAGATCAAGATGGGAAGGAAAGATAAGGGACTCCTTCAGTGCAGGTAGAGCATAGGTTAAGGTTAAAGGATTCAGAGTGGAAGCCAAGATGCAGATAGAACACTTGTCTGAAGGGTAAGCCCAGCAGTTGAACTGAACCTCTCCTAGCCCTTAGGCACTCTGGAGACCTATTAAGAGAGCTGGAAGAAGCCCCATCCTGCCAAGTTCCTCCTCCGCTCCTGGGGCTTCTGAAGTCCCTGTTCTCAATCTGCTGCACAGTATTGGTGAGTACATGGTGCTCCTTCCTGACCAGATTCAGTGTGGGTGTGAAGACTAAGCATTTGGGGAGGTGGGTTAGCCACATGTTAATCACAGAGGTCAGGCTCTGCTCCACCTCCATACCTCATCATTGACATTTTGCCAGGACTGGCGAATTGACCTCCTTTCTCAGAGGAGCTGATCAAAACCTAGTGGTTAGGCCCACAGACTTCTGAGTTAGGAAAGCACAGGCCACACTCTGTTGCCTGACTCACTCAGAAAGTCCTCCTCCAGCCTGACCTGGTCTCTGACCTTAGACAATGCCAGAGCTTTTCAAGAACTTTTAATAAAAAACTCCAGGCAAGTTCAGAGAATTGCAGCCTTTTCATGAAATAGTACCTGTTGTCTGTTCCAAACTGGTTTCGCTGTGAACTCTGAGCTTCCAACAAAGTTCCTACCTCACTCTCACTTCTTATCACCTCCTGTAGTCTCCAATAGCTTTTTCTCCCACTGCGTGGGAGATGGTGGGTAGAGGGCTAGATACAGAAGGGCCAGTACTCGTGACTTGTCTAGAAAAAGATATTATGGTGCTGGTATATGCTGATCTGCAGACCTGGGTCAGGCCTCTCTCCTCACTCCCATGGGGAAGTATCACAATCTTGGTCTACTCCCAGGGGCCAACCAAGCTTTCGCACACAGAAGTGGGACACTTACCAATGGGATACTTGTGCTTATCTGTGTCAATCCCGGCATACACCACTCCACCAAATAGGTCGTTCAAGATGGCTGCCAGGGCCTCAGCATTTAGCATTCCATGCAGAGCACCGACAAACACCGTCCTGCTGGGGTCAAGCCTCTGAGATGGGCTCCGGACAAAGTTACTGTCGGCTAATACCCAGGGGATCACCTGCACCTGAAAACCACCCAAAGGTGTATCAGCCCTGGCAGAGAGCCACAGAGAGAGAGGTGCTTGCACGGCAAGGTACGTGCTCTGGAGATACTGAAGCTAAGCTAACGCCCTTACAGGGGTGAAAAGGTGCTGTTGCCCAATCTCAGGCACACAGGCGTCCAATAAACCACCCTGACTCCACCCCAACTGGAGTTGAATTTTACTGAGTCCATGTGTCCAGAATGGTAGAAGTGGACACAGTACTCACTCATGCTGGAGAGTAAGCAAAAAAGTACCACATGGCCAAACCCAGGAGCCCAGCATTCTATTTCAACCTCCAACTGTGTAGTTCCAACAAAGGGCTGTGGACACTGATGAAAAGGGCATAATCTGAAGTCCTCAAGAAAGGAAGGACTCACAGAGAAATTAAAGGCTAGGATCCTGAAGGACAGAGGGGTGGGAGTGCTTACGATATTTGTATGAGATGGTTACTGGCCCAACCTAGCCTTCAGAGGGTTTGTGCCAGAGCAGTGGAAATGACTGGCGAGAGGTTGGGTAGAAAGTCACATACAAGATCCCTGGAGTCTTAAAGGGCTGGGGCTGACCATGTCCTTTGCCTCTGAATCTCCTGAACCTGGAACAAAACCTTGTAGAGCAGGTGGAGGAGTCCAGAATGAAGTGAAGATCTAAAAATATGTCTTGAAGCAGGAAGAGATCTGAGGCAGAAACCAGCAAGGAGGCAAAAACAGTAGTTTCAAAGGACAGGTGATTAAGACTTGGACAAGGCTGGTGGCAACGAGCAGAGAACAGGCCAAGACCAAAGAGATTCTTCAACAGAAGAGTCTGCAGTACTCAGACAGCATAAGCAGGATGGGCAAGCAAGGAAGAATCAGGCCTGGTAGGTGCTGGGCCTACACGGTCTTGGGATGAGAGGACCTGGCAGAAGTTACAAGAGGGGAGCCAATTTCACTGGAAGATGAAAAAGCCAATTTTGCCCACAAAAGAGTTTGGGATTACAGGACATCCCGAAGAAGGATCCCACAGGAAGGTGAGGCTCAGGTAGGACATGAGGCTAGAAAGGTGAATCTGGGTCTAAAGGTGAGAGAAGCCACAAAGTGAGTCATTTATCTGAACTAGAAAAGAAGAAGGGAGTCAAAGATTGGCTATATTGGCTATGTTGGTGCTGGCGGGGAGAGGAACACAAAGGAAAAAGAAAAGTAGAGAGGAAGGAGAACTGCATCAGCCTATAGCCAGTGAATCAAAGAAAGATTAAATCCCTGTAAGGTGATGGGAGGGAATGGGAGACAGGATGGTGTCTACAGGGGCACTGAGGAGGAAGGGGAAGGGCTCTGTGATATGCATATGGCCATCTCTGGTTGTGAAAGCAGGAGGGGAGGAAAAAGGAGCATGTTAATTAAGTCCTAGAACATACTAAGGTGGGAAGACTACACAAGCTCCAGAGAATAAAGAAGCAGAGAAGGTAGGGAAGCTGTGGGTCACTGTGGGCAGCCAGAGGATGAGCCTGCCCTCTCTCTAACACAGAACAAGAGCCAGCTTTGTTACATGGATTTATTTTAAATCTAATGTGACCATCCCAATAAAATAGGCATTTCTCCTCTTACCCTATAGATTTTTTTAGAGAAGCTTTAAGGTTTACAGTAAATCTGAGCAGAAAGTACAGGGATTCTCCAAATACTCTCTGCCCCCACACTTGCGTGACTTCCCCACTATCAGGATCCCGCATGAGAGTGGAACATTTTTTTATACTGACCCATCATCCCCACCGAAAGTCCATGGTTTGCATCAGAGTTCACTCCTGGTGTTTCTTTTACCTTCTATGGGTTTGGACCAAAGTATAATGACATGTATCCACCATATACAGAATAGTTTCACTGCCCTAAAAATCCTCTGTGCTATGTCTCTTCATCCCTTCCTGCTAAACCCCTGGCAACCACTGATCTTTTTTACTAAAATAGGCATTTTAGTTTCCCATCTTATAGAAGAGAAGAGGAAACAAAGTTTCAGAGATATTAAATATCTAGTCCAATGTCACAAAAGTTGTGTGCTCTCAAATCCGATTTTACCACCGCACTGATTCCTGAGCTCAAAACTTGCTTTGACAAGTGGTTCTCAAACACTACCCACTAGAACCACCTGGGGATCTTTATTCAGTTGGAGATTCCTAAATTCCACCCAGAGTGATTCAGTAAGTCTGGGATAAGGCCCAAGAATGTGCAATGAGATCCCCAGGTGAGATAAACTCGTTAGAGACCCATGCTGCCAAGGATACATAAGGCTGATATTAGAAAAAGCGTAGGAAGAGAGAATCTTATGGGGAAAACCCACAAAACTAAATAAAGCCCTGAATAAGAATGAAGAAGTGACCCACAGGTGGGTGTGGGCTAAAGAGGAATTCACCCCCACAGACTGGGAGGTCACAAGGCACAGGAAGGGCAGGACCAGGGAAAAACAGCTGTAGGTTTATCAGTTAAGTCCAAGTAGAGAAGTTTGCTGTTCTCAATTTCATTTCTAAGACAAGAGGTTTGAAACCAAAGTGTTGGCTACAAGAAAGAAGAGCAGAATAAAGACGGGCAGACAGTTTGATTACCATGGGCAGGCATGCGCATGTGTGCATGCACACACCCCATTAAGTCCCAAAGGTTGCTTTTTTTTTTTTTTAATGTAATTGAGAGGATACTGCTATTTTATTGTGGGACAAGAAGAGCCTTCTTGCCTCAGCAGGAATACTCCTTGCCTGCAGCCTGCCTATCCACCTACCACAAGAAAATCCAGTGCCTCAATATTCCAAGACCCTCGATCCAGAAAGGACATCACGCTAACTCACCTCCTTGCAGCGCATCCTTCGGCTGGACATCTTGAAATAATATTCACTCAGGCCATCTGGGCTCAGCGGGTCATGAGAGCAAGCCTGAAGCAAGGATCGGACAGACTTCTCTAGTTCGAAGACCAGATACACATACCCTATTCCCAATGAGAGGAAAAATCGCATTAATATCCCTTAGGTGGCCACTCCTCAGCCTTGGCTTTGCAGCAGGGCGTTTCTTCCAAGAAAGAAGGTCTTGTGTATAAGATACATTTTTGTTTTACTCCTGAAAAGTCGTGTTGAGTGGAAGCATTTGCTATGCAGATGCCCTGGGTTGTGGGCCTCCCTCCCACCCTGGTGAAGGAAAGGACTGGCAAGCTGAGACAGAGGATCCCACCATTACCACAGCTCTCTATGCAAGAACACAGAGCATGTTCAGGTCAGCAGAGCCAGGCTTTCCTGGTGGCAGGAAAGATGGCAGGTATTGCTTTAAACACCTACTTAAACCATTAGTTCAGTTCAATGAAGATGGGGCAGGGTGAAAATAGCACCTGCTCCTTTCTACAGGGAAGGGATCTCATTTCAGACCAGTGAGGAATCAGATGCTTGGTCCTCATTCCTGCCAACTCCAAAGGGACTTCAGAATTAGGTCAGGCAACAACGTAACTGGGCAGGACAGGCAGGCAAGGGAAAGCTTTTCAAACGCCTTATTTTGAGAGGAAAGGTGCTGCTTGGGTTCAGGTTTAGAGAGAAGTGTACAAGGAAGGGGTTTCAGAGGCAACTCCCACTGCTGTGTAAGTCTGGACAGATGGAACATTAGCTCAGAAGAAACAGAGGGACATGTTAGGTTGAAGAGAAAGTGCTGACAGATGGCAGGTCTGTGCCCTGGAGTGCCCACCATGTTACCAACATGCAGCTGTGACATCCCAGCACCCCTAGGTGCAGTTATGTACTAGGGAAGGGAAAAAAAAGCTCCTACCATGTCTTTATTACCTTTAGGCATATTACCTTTGGGAGGACACCGGGGATGCTTGCCATCCTTACCAGGCCACTCCACACTCAAAGAGCCAAAAACACGGAAGGTGTTAACTAATCCAGCTGCAAAGAGACAGAAAAGAATGGCAGAAGCTGAGGAACCATCTTTCCCAGTAAAGACACAAACACAGAATCACCAGCATTCTCCTCCCTGGCTCATCCCCACTGACAAACAACTCAGAAACGAATGCTGATCTCCGGTGTAAGCTCCCGACATAAGGAGCACTATGGGGGTCTATGAAATGCACCTCTCCCCTCAGACACTCATGTAATACCCTGAGCTCAGGCAGGGCATTCAGCCCCTGGCCTCAATTCCAAGTTTCATGCTCCTGAAAGACATGCCCCACCCTTCAACTCTTAAAGCAGGTCTTAGAGACAGCTCACCTTCTGTAATATCCCAAGGAACACCTCCTAGAAACACCTTGCAAGAGTAGATGGGGTTCTTATAGTTCCGGGGAGGAAGCTGGCCACTCCAGGTACAGGTGGCTTCATTCACAGCTTTGGTAGATGGCAAAGAGATAAACAGGGGAGGTTAGAGAATCAACAAAGCCACACTCTTCCCTGGGGTGAACTTGTCCAGTAAGAACCTGACTGGCCACAATCCTTGCCCAGATGCCTGAGAGAATATCCATGATTATTCTGAAAAGCAAGAAATCTATGTCTCACCAATCCACTCAGTCAAGTATGATAATCCTACTTTGCTAATTCTGTCCCCACTAAAATTGAAAGGAATACCAAACCAGATGTGTAGGGTAAAAATTTACACCCCATGTTATTTTCAAACATTCAACTAATATGCTAACCACAAAGCAGTTTTATCCTGTTATTGCTTACAGTACTAATTCATAATTACTTGAAAATAAACATAGCAATACAACATCTTGCAGGCTTACTGGTACAAATGGGCCTTCTCCCCAATGTTCAAATGAGAAACATTCTATTCTGTTTCCTTGTCTTGGCTCTGAACTCATGAATCACAGAAGTTAGGACACTGCCAATAAAAACCAGCACTGGCAACCCAGTAAGACAAGAATGTCACAACTGTTCCAAGCCAGACTCATCTTTATAGCACCCAAATAGACAATGGGCCTTCCTTGATGCCAGCATGGTAACGTAATGAATCAGTCTTCAATCCTGTCCCCACTGTTTGTACCTTTCCAAATCAGAGACTGACCTTAGTGAGGACTAGCTAGTTCTTGCCCATTTATTTCACCCTCCTCTTTCAGCAAAGAGGCAGACAGCCAATGAAAGGAACTATCATTTTCATTCAGGACAAAGATGTGGAAGGATATTTCCTAAAAGGAATAGGCCCAACGTGTTGCTACAGCAAGAAACTGGGCAATGTCAGCAATCTTTTACGACAAAAACAGAATATAATGGTCTCATCCAAAAGCATGGTAATGTCATTTCACAGGAAAACAATGGCACCAGAGAAAGTACAAAGATGGGTTGCCAAAATCATTAGGTGAACAGGGCACAGCACTATCAGAGGAGAATGAGATCCAGCCCAACTCTGTGAGCAAACAGACACACTGAAGCCTATGGAAACAAATGGAATGCAGAAACTAACACTAACTTAGTCATCAAATTCAGGACCTCTGAAGAGCCAGTGGTTAATGAATATCTCCCTGAAGCAGTACTAGACAAAGATGAAAAACACATTTAATACATATTTAGGATAATTTATTTTTTAAACCTTTTAAAATATATAGAGATGGGGTCTTGCTATGTTTCCCAGGCTGGGCAACTCCTCGGCTCAAGCCATCCTGCTGCCTCTGCTTAAGTGCTGAGCCACCCAGGCCAGCCTAAGATTAAATTTAAATGTCAGAACCTTAAGGATTCCTAAGAGACCAGGACATCTGGTGACACTCCTCACTTTAGAGGTTGACAAATGGACCCCTCCTTCCCCAGTGCATCCCTGACTATACCAATCAGAAAGCCTCAGGGAAGAAAGCTCCAGCATGAGTTGTGTCTGATGGTCTTTGAATTAGAATGTGGAGAGGGTAGACAAAATTCTGGATATCCCTTCCAGAGTTTCTCTTGAGGACATCCACCCGTGGAAAAAGTAAAAGCAAGAGCAGCACACAGCCAGTCTCCACGGAACGGCACAAGTGAGAGATGGAGCCAGCTCCTTGTGCTGTGGCACATGCATGTGCCAGATAACCTGCCTCTTTCCTCTCCACTCAGCCTCAAGAAGTTCCTGAGTCTGTTCCCATTAGTATTTACTCCACAGAAAGATAATTCTTTGCAGATCTGGAGACTTCACCATGCAACCAAGCCTCCTCTAGACAGTTCACAAGTGTGTGAACTAAGGTCACTTCCTCTCTGCTCCCAAAATGAGGCCTCAGGCCTCACACATGCTCAAGGCACACTCACCTGCAGCTTGTCGGTGCAGCCTGGCCTCTCTCTCTATGCTGAAGGGGTCTTTGGGAGCTTCGAGGAGGTCCCAGGATGGCCACACAGAAGCTCCTGGCCATCTCTTTGAAGCACTGGTTGGGGAGGGAGTGACTGCAGCAAGAGCAGCTTGCTCTTGGTCCATCCGAGACCCTACCCCCATCTTTAAAGGGTCTCTGGGACCACCCCCTGACAGAGACAGGAAGGGCAGAGGTGGAGAAATGCGAAGGCTTGACTAGGGGAGGAAAAAGGAAGACAGGGTTTTAAAGGCTAGTTTTGTTATAAAGTAATAATCACATTATAGAAATTATTAAAAACATCCAATAGACATTTAGCATTTGATATATATTCTTTTAGACTTTCTTCCTGAGCAATTTTGATTAGTTCTAGTTATACTATAATTTAAACAAATGCTCCTTCTCTCCTCATTCAACTTTTCCATATTGCCAGTCTTTATAACCATTTAAAATGCATTTATCATATTCTATTTAGGGAACAAGGTACATCTCACTGACCCATACTCTTCCTGTTATATATATACTTTCCAAGTTTTCAGAACCATAAATAAAAATTAAGATGTAGCTTCTTCATATTTTGTGTTTTCTTTGGTCAGATTCCTAGAAAGCCGAATGCCAAAAATGCTATCTATGAGAGCTCTGCATTGTATCATAAATGTATCAGAACACCATAAGCTGTGTCAAACCTTTAAATTCTAATTTACGTGTGTGAAATGATACATTATCAAAATAACTCGTTGACAGAATATTTTAAAATCCCCAAATATTAATCAGTCATGAGATAAATTTCCAAGACTGAGTCCAATCTAAGTAATATAGACAGAACTACCAGCACTGTATCTGACCCCATTTTACAGAAGAGGTAACTGCAGCCCAGAGAAGCAAAGAGACCCGCATGTGACTGCCCTTTTAGAAATGCAGCCTTAACAGATAAAACCAATGGTCAGTGAGAACACCATCGCCAACTTCCATATTCTAGGACAGGCTGACAGGCGATCACAACCAAAGTTGCCAGTCCTGGGTATGGGGAAGAGAAGAAGGTGGTAAAATAAGTAATTCTATTCACTGCACATTCAGCTCGGGAGATTTGGCAACAAAAATGCTTATAAGGCATCTGAAACTGTATTCTTATTTTGGGGTAATTTCTCACTGCCAATCCCACCTGTATTTACTTCTACTATCCCCTATCTATATTATCTGTACTAATCTATCTATAATATCCCCTACCTATTCTAATTCATTTGCCAACTCCACTTAGCATGAAGACCACACGCATCATACATGGCTGTAGATAAGGAACGTGAAATGCAAAAATTAACTGAGGCAATGTTTCATAGATTCATCATGGCATGAATTGAAAGCTGACACGGGTCAGTGGAAAAAATACAGGAGCTACAGTCAGATCTGGATTAAAATCCTATCTCTGCTAATTACTACTTAAAAATTTTTTACGTTATTACTTAATTGTGAGATATCATACATCAAAGTACATAAATGACACTGTTTAAGGGCTAAAGAAAGCACCCCGTGTAGGTAAAGAAACAGAACACTGCCAGGGCCCTCACGTTTACTTTTGAAATTAAGTGTTTTCCAGTACTCTTGGAGTAGCTAGTAAAATGAGAGTCCTGAGCTCAGGTCCTGCAATGTATTGCTCAATGGGTCTTCAAAGCATCCTCTATCCTGTTAAGGATGAGAACTCTACAAATGTCCACAATAATCTCCACTCCTCCCCTCATCCCATCTCCCAGCCTGCATTCCAGGGGACAGGCATCCCATAGATATTGTACCCTCCTTCCCCTTGGACACACACAGGCAACTCCACCCACAACTCCCCTTTCCCAAATGAGTTACATACAATCAAATCTGAGAGATGATCTGATCCAGAGCTGAAGCCACTGGTGTCTGAGTCAGAGGGGCTGCTAGATCGAGAGTCCAGGATGGGCCGGGTGTCCAGGCGTGATCCTCTAACTGAGGGTGCTGGAAACTTGTCCACCAAGTCAGACCCAAGGGGATCCAGAGGCAGGAAGCTCAAGGGGGGTTTTCCTAGGACATTTCCCAGTGGGTTATGGAGCATGCTCAGTACTAGGAGGACAAAAAAGGAAACCTCATGACCTCTTAGTTTTCTTTGCAGCCAACAGCCTCTTTCTTCTCCTACAGCCACCCAACAAGAGATACCAAAGGCAAGACAACTAAAAGCATGCCAGCAAAACACAATATAATGAACAGATATATATCCAGCTCTGAGACCTGGCCGCAAGGGCCTTGTTAGAGGAAGTTACAAGCTGACTGAAGACCAGAGTTCCTGCTGTTACAATAGCAGCAAAACTGCTGGGTTATACTACCCAGGCTTAAAAGGTCAATGCCAGTACTTGGGAAACTGTCACTGGGGTCCCTGGTCACAGCTGCTATTAATGCCTGGATACACCTACAGCACAGTTAGAAATCCCAAACCATACTTCATCTTTACTGCCTGACGATTTGTTTATTAGAAGAATTCTCACCTTTCTAATGCTATAATATAGAATTTCAGGCCACACCCCAGAAATCTGGTATAGCATAAGCATACCACCTCATGTGAGAGGTTCACTTATGCAAACTTCTAGCATATACAGATTCTCTTCAATGTACCCCTGAACTTGAAATGTTTAGGATGGAAGCAGAATGACATGGTTAAGCCCATTCTTTGACTTAAACTTAGGATTAAACCCTGTGTCTGACACCTCTTGTATATGTCTGTGAGCTCTGGGAAGCTCACTTAGCTTCTCTGACCCTCTGTTTTCTCACTGGCATTTAGGGTGGAGTATCAACTATTTCATGACATTGTTAGGACAGCTCAATAATTAGATACCAGATGGAAAGAGCTCAGCACAGTAGCACCCAGCACACAATAAATATTTAAATATGAAACAAAAAAAGAGCAACGTTTTCCACACTTGGCCTTGGGGAACCTAAGCAAAGCACACCCTCTATCTATGAGAATAAGGAATAAGAGGGCTTTGCCATGGAGCTATGGGTGTGCTAAATCTAGGAAAGAAGCCTTAATTTGAAGTTTTTTTTTTTTTTCATCTGAAGAATGAGAACATTCACCTCAAAATGGCTGAGGTAAAACCAAAATCATATGTGTAAGTGCTGAATAACTGGCTGTGATTGGCCCCACTTCCGCCCTGACTAGCAATGAAATGAAACACAGGTCACCCAGAGCTGGTTTCCTCCCAGGCCTCTAAGTCAGTTTGAATGCTTGTCTGGAGCTGGAGTCCCAAGAAGCAGGAATAAACCTCTCAAGACTGAAATCAAAATCAATGCATGCTTTCAGGGTACGAGACACACATGCCATTGATGGAACATATACACAAGATCCCAAACATCTGTTAATATGGGACCAGACCAGCCCACGCTCCTTTAGGTATATGACCTCCCCTTTTGGATAAGACATGGTAGGTGTATCCTTAACATTTAACACAGGGGAAACTGTAGATATATCTATTTATCTAGTTATTATTTTGTAGTAAAAATAGCTTTAATTTTTAAAGAGACTGTCATAATACTGTTTTCCAAGTAGATGGAACTATATACCATTTTACATTCCCACCGGCAGTGATGAGAGTTTCAGTCCCTCTACAACCTGGCCAACACCTGGTTTGGTCAATCTTTTTATATCTAGCCAGTCTAATATGTATGTATGTTGTGGGATGTGGGTGGGGTGGAGCCACAGCACATCCAGCAAGGAGTTAGTTTAGCATTTTGTTTTTCAAGGAAACATTCCTAACTTTGAAATTGCCTTTTGAAGCAGTTTTCAAAGCTCTAAAATTTAACTGTATGCTAAAACTAAGTGTCTCAAAATGCTTGGATTGATAACCATCAGAAATAATCCCTGACAAACTTCTCAAATAATCCTTTGGTCGGGTGTGGTGGCTCACGCCTGTAATCCCAGCACTTTGGGAGGTTGAGACAGGTAGATCACCTGAGGTCAGGAGTTTGAAACCAGCCTGCCTAACATGGCGAAACCCCGTCTCTACTGAAAATACAAAAATTAGCCAGGCGTGAAAGTGCACGCCTGTAATCCCAGCTACTCGGGAAGCTGAGGCACAAGAATTGCTTGAACCCAGGAGGCAGAGGTTGCAGTGAGCCGAGATTGCGCCACTACACTCCAGCCTGGGTGATAGAGCAAGACTCTGAAAAAAAAAAGTTCCTTGACAAACTCCTGCCTGATAGAAATCCAAAATCAAAGCCTGTAGAGTCCATGCCCTGAGAAGGCAGAATATGTGAAGATTTTATTCAAGGTTCCACCCTAATGCTGCAAAGCCTGGCAAAGAGGCACTGTGAAAAATCAACAGATCACATGCACTGGTCTTAAAAGTGGTACCAATGCCCTGGAGGGCCTCATCCTTTTCCACATTTCACAAAAACAAGTTAGGGTGATGAACAGTGAGGTAACAATTCAAATCACAAAGAACTCTGACCACTAGGTTAAATAGTTTTTATCTTATTGTCATTTGTTTTTTTTTTTTTTTTTGAGACAGGGCCTAGTTCTGTTGCCCAGGCTGGAGTGCAGTGGCTCACTTCAACCTCAATCTTCCTGGGCTCAAGCGATCTTCCCACCTCAGCCTCTAGAACAGCTGGGACTACAGGCATGTGATATCTACCACATCTGGCTGATTTAAAAAAAATTTTTAGTAGAGGTAGCATCTATGTTGCCCAGGCTGGTCTCGAACTCCTGAGCTCAAGCAATCCTCTTACCTCAGCCTCACAAACTCCTAGGATTACAGGCATGAGCCACTGCACCCAGCTTGATTTTATCTTAAGGGTAACTGAGAGACACGGAAAAGGAGATCTGCAGAGCTGTTGTGTGGATAGCAAAGAAGGCTGACCAGGGAAACTAAGGAAAAGCACCAGTAGGAACCAGTGTCCAGCAAAGAGGAAAACTAAGTTGGACTTAAAGGATTTTCTCCAGCAGAGCTCAGATACCTGGATGGACACTGAAGCCATACAGAGCTATGATTTTGTTCCCCCAAGGGGGTATGAAGGAATAAATGTGACAACAGAATTGATGATAACAGCAACAAAGGAAATGAAGAATGGGTCGTGCATTATAGGCTAAAGACAGAACAAAGTCAATAGATTAGGAGCAAATAAATGGAAAACCAGTGATTTCAATAGGCTGATAGCTATAAGAGGAATGAGGGTGGCAGACAATATAAACACGAAGAGGTGGGACATTGAAGATTAAGAGCTCTGAGGATGGCAAGGTCCAGAGTATGGTAGAGGTGGCTGACTTAGAATGTGAGAAGTCTGAAATATTAGATAAGTCATTCATGTGGACACTAAAAAGACCGATGGTGATAACTGGGCCTGGAGTTAAACAATGAGATTTTCAGAGACCTGGGACAATGAGTAGGCTCTACTTGGCATAGCAGCATCTTAAAGGAAAAGTCTTCAGCTAAAGCAGAAAATGGGGGGAGCATTCACCAGTAAAAAAAAGAAAGCCAGTTTGTTAACCCTGGAAAAGGGGAGTTTCAAGTGGCACAGCAGAGAGCTCTGAGAGTTGTCAAGGGAGAAACAGCATAAAGCAGAACGCCAGAAAAAATACTCAAGAGGGGATGCTGCCCCAAAGGCTTGTATCTGAAAACACCAAAGATGGCAAGTATGGGCTCTGGTAACTGTCCTCACCCAAGGTTTTTTTTAAAAGGTATTTTGGAAAGAGTCAAAAAAGCAACATGGTAAGCACTACAGACCCCTTTCCTCATTCACATCATTTGTATTCACTATTGTGTTGGTACACCTGTTTTACCAGCCACAAACCCATCTACCTCTGCTAACTTGAAAGTTCTCTACTGTGCCTACAAAGGTATCTTGAGGCTTTGTCAAATTCCTGTACAAAGCTAGGAATTATCTCTGTAGTGATCCTCTAATCTGGCAATAAACCTAAGTAGAAAATGGCATGAAAACCCACGCTGGTCACTAACGAACTCTACTTCGTTAAGTGCTCACAGTTCATGGTCATTCATCTGTTCCGCAATCTGGACCAGGTTCAGTTAAGCTTCTAACAACTTACTGAACGTCTAGCACATGTCAAACACTGTGTTAGAAGCACTTTAGGTAAACAGTCTTCACCAAATCCTAAGAAGTGGCTGTTACTACTGCATCTTAACAAAAGGAAACCAAGACTTGGGGCAGTCAGTTTGTAAAAGTAACAGCTAATGAGTGACAGAGACTGGATGCTTTCCCACTCCAAGTACCATTCACTAGCTACTTTTTTTTTTTTTTTTAATCTTTAGGACTTCACATCTGTTTGTCTTCACATTCCTCAGCACTTTTCCTTTGTCTGAATCCTGTAAGACCATCAACTACAGACTACTGATCTTCCCTACCAGAAGTCCCTGCTTTAGGACCTAGAGTATTTGGGTCTTAAATCTATCTAGGGCCTTGCCACTACAGGAACTCATTAAAAATGCATTTTGGGTCCCACCCCAGACCTGAATCAGAATCTGCATTTTTAAAAGATCCCCAGGAGATGTGTATACACATTAAGTTTTAGAAGCACTGATCCATACAAACCCGAGGCTTGCTACTTCAAATTCCTAATCAATTGCCTTATCATACCCAAACATCTTTCATATATAATTATTTCCTCTGACTTAAAGACTGGAGGTTATGGCCAAGTGCAGTGGTTCACGCCTGTAATACCAGTACCTTGGGGGACTGAGGCAGGAGGACTGCTTGAGACCAGGAGTTCAAGACCACCCTGGACAACATAGTAAGGCCTGTCTCTAAAAAAAATAAATCAGCCAGGCATTATGGCATGCACTGATAGTCCCAGTTACTCAGGAGGCTGAGGCAGGAGGATCACTTGAGCCTAAGAGGTTGAGGCTGCAGTGGGCCATGATCGTGCCACTGCACTCCAGACTGGGCAACAGGGCAAAATCCTGTCTCAAAAAAAAAAAAAAGACTGGAGGTTATAATTTAAATACAGTTCTCACACTAAAATGGTAAATACTTAAGAGAAAAAAAAGGCATCAGATAAAGAAATCAACAAGGCTATATAGGACATTTACTTAAGAGTTCCTTCTCTCTGAAAACACTGGGTGGGAGTGGAGGACAACACAGAGAGGCAAGACAGACACAGTAACCATGAACAAATAAGAATATAAAAAAAGAATGGTAAGGATTATCATAGTTTCAGGAAAAGTGATGGCTAGAACAAGCTGATCACTGTGAAAAACATTCAAGACAACCCAAGGGACTTTGTAAGCTCACACGGAGCAAAACCAAAAGGAGCAAGGGCCTACTTAGAGCAGAAAGAGAAAAATGTTATTAAGGATTTAAGGACATTACTGGGTCACTTGACAAAACTGGAATATGAATGACAGTTTAATCAAAGTAGTGTTATCAACTTTAAATTGACTAAAGTTAACTGTTTTGTTACATATGAATGTATGTAAGATCATCTCTATTCTTTTTTTTTTTTTTTTTTTTTTTTGAGCAAGGGTCTCCCTCTGTAACCCAGGCTAGAGCGCAGGTGCACAATTACAGCTCACTGCAGTCTCAACCTCCCACTTCAGCCTCCAAAGTAGCTAGCGGCATGCCACCATGTCTGACTAATTTTTTTTTTTTTTTTTTGGTAGAGGCAGGATCTCACTCTGTTGCCCAGGCTGGTCTTGAACTCCTGGGCTCAAGCAATCCTCCTGCCTCAGCCTCCCAAAGTACTCAGGTCACAGGTGTGAGCCTCCGTGCCTGGGCCAATTATCTCTCCTCTTAATGATTCAGAAAACAATTATGTATTGATACATGGAGAGAGAATGTGCAAATGATAAAGCAAATGGGGTAAAATGAACACGAACAATAGGAGGTTCTGGATAAAAAGGATTACAAATATTCTTTGTATAATTTTATTTGTATAACTTCTATAAATTTGAAATTATTTCCATTTTTTTTTAATGACAGGAAGAAAAACAAGTCAATTCCCATTTGGCTTTCTTTGCCTCTTTCAAGGTAACTTATCTAATCAGCAGAGGGAAATCAAGCACAAGTAATAGGAACTAGGATCCCAGAGGATAAGACAGTAATTGAGTACTTTTGGAGTCTCTATTAGAAGAAATAATCTTTTAAACATGCTTTTTAAAGTCTCAAAAAAATCTGCATAGATATTTGCAGGCCCACATGTGTAAAAAGTTGTGCCTTCTCAACCAAGCATACCAAGACCAATCTTTACCATCCTACTCCAATAGCAATTAGCTCAACATCTGGCAAAAAGCAGGTGAACAATGACTGCTGAATTCTACTGAAAGACAGAGAGTACGTATTCCATAGAGCCAGTACGCTAAGGCCCTACCCTTTTCTATCAAGGATATTCAATTTAAGGACACAATGGTTTTTTTTGTTTTTTTGTTTTGTTTTTTTTTGAGACGGAGTCTCGCTCTGTTGCCCAGGCTGGAGTGCGGTGGCGTGATCTCAGCTCACTGCAAGCTCTGCCTCCCGGGTTCACGCCATTCTCCTGCCTCAGCCTCCCGAGTAGCTGGGACTACAGGCACCTGCCACCACACCCGGCTAATTTTGTGTGTGTGTGTGTTTTTAGCAGAGATGGGGTTTCACCGTGTTAGCCAGGATGGTCTTGATCTCCTGACCTTGTGATCCACCCGCCTCAGCCTCCCAAAGGGCTGGAATTACAGGCGTGAGCCACTGCGCCCAGCCTAAGGACACAATGTTGACTTAGAGTGTAATACAGATTTAGGGGAATAAACCTTAACTCATCCCTACCCAGCCCATCGCCAAAACAGAGGTTTAAAAACCAGTGACTCACCGCATCACATCTGCGACAATACTTCTTCCCTGAGTCTCAATTTCTTCAAAGAGAAAAAGGTTGAAGAAAGCTCCTCTGCTTGAGGAGGGGCAGGGTGGAAATCACTCTGTCCTAATCAACCCTCCCCAGACTCTACTGGGATCTTCAGGGCCACTGCAATACACTCCTACATTCAAGTACAGGAGCAAGAAAGAGTGTCTCACTGAATTATATACCAACCACATAGAAAAACGGGGAAAGGACTTGGATTGATGGCTCAGAAAGGGGCAATGCCATCCTAGAGAATAGGATCAGGGTGCCCCAGAATTAACACGTGGGATGTCAGCATCTCCATGCATCAGTTTCCTGCAAATATTAAATCAGAAGGGATATACTGTAAATTTGACTAGAAGATACCAAGAAGACAAGAGGCCTAGAACTTGCCAGCTGGTTTGATATTTCCTTCAACCCACAGAACAAGTGAATTTTGTGGAAACTGCCACCCATGGTCAGATGCCCTAGAGTGACCTAATTGTACCTCTATAGGGTCTGGCCAGGCAGTTCTCTGAGTGTCTACAGATCAAAGGAAGGAAAGCAGCAAAGACAATGGAAAGAAAGCAGCAAAGCAGCAAAGACAAAGGGAAGTGGGGGGACCTCATTTCAAGAAAGAAAACCTGTCTTGCTCCCAGCTCATGAGACCATACCTGCCCTATGTAAGGTTGCTGAGTACGCAGCACCGATTTCCACCAGCTGGGAATCAGAAGGAAAGGAGCAAAATAGCTAGCGTTAGACTGTTCCCATTTATATTCAAAGCCACGAGCATACCTAACTGGAAAGGCATTCTCTTTAAGCCACACAAACTAAAATCCAGTGGAAATGACAGGTCCCTTATAATGCAGGCCAGTGTCTCATCTCAAAGTCCACTCCCCATCATGGGGCACACAACTTCATAATTCCAAATGTCAAGTATTAACCTAGATGGATTAGAGGAGGGGGAGGGGTGGTGAGAAGTCCTAGAGTCAATCTCCAATAACGGCCAAGGCCCTGACCTCTTTGCTCTGTTCTTTCCTGGCCTCCAGAACACAAGGGATCATGGAAAGTCTGAGGTTTACCAAGTGCCTCCAGCTCTGGTGTCCAAGTGTCCAGCAAATTCCTATCTTCTAAAAATGGGTAAGACATTGTGCTCTTCCTAGAACAGACGTACCCATCCCCATTCACATGCTGGCAGGAAATCAGCTACAGACATCTCTCAGGGAAGTCATGGGGAGGAGAGGACCTGGCAGAGGGTTCCAGTTCATTAATGCTACCTCAGAGGGTATAAGAGACCAAATCAGCAGTGATATTTTTAGACTGATTGTTAATTTTCTCTACTTTCACCCTTCTATGCCAGCTCCTGTCGGTTTTACAGCTGAGTCACTGTTCAAATTTTCGGAAGCCTTCCCCAAGAGTACAAAGGCACCTGGAGTGTGATGGCAGCATTAGCAATGGCAACAAGAGCCTGGCACTGAATGCCTGCATTATAAGACCATCTGAGCTTGAGCTTAGCTGAAGGAGAGACTAGCCCCAAGACATGATGGTCAGATATTTGTTATCTAATGGGAATAGTCTAATGGGGGAAAAAATCTAACGGGGAAAATCCAGACCAGGAGCCATTATTTCTAGCCTGTGATATAAGGCCGTATACCTGGAACCCTTCTTCCCTATCACCATCCTTGGTTCTAGGTTGCTTACTCAGGATCTCTCTGAAGGAATAGGAAGGGGGGAGAGTAGCATTCATTCCATGTATGAAAACAGACCACTCTGCCTGTGACCCCAAATCTGCAACTCTATACCATATCTCTACTGTGGCGGTAAACAGAGTGTGGACTTCCCCCCGACTGTGGATCCCACAAGTTCAAGTTAGTGACAAACACAGCCCTTCTCCCCAGTATAACTCCCAGTCTTGATCATCAGGCAAGTTCCATTACCTGTAGAAAAGACATATTCATGTCCCTTGTAAGGTCAGCACACATCCTGCCCCTGTCACTAACCACCTCAACTTCTTTCTCACCTAGGAGGCCTCCCTGGCCACACTGCTTCCCAGGTTCTCCCTCCTCTCTGCACTGAAAGCTTTCCCAAATAGACTACTTGACTCCACAATACAGCTCATGCTCCACTGTATGATGAAAACTTTGTATAATTACATCACCGTCCCCTAGAAGCTACAGGGCCCAAGATACTGATCTTTGAAGAATCTGTCCATCCAGCTAAATCAACACAAGCAGGAGGCAGAAGAATGGGAGAGACCTTGTCTGAACTCTGCAGTTAAAAAACAACCAGGATAAACACAGTGGCTCAGCACTCATCATTCATTCAAAAAATATGTATTAGACAGCCATTAGCCAAGCACTGTTGTACTGCTGGGAATATAGTATTGGAGAACTGGGAGTTGAGGAAGATTTACAAGAGACCTGGTTGGGCCGAGGAAGTCCATGTTCCACATAAGAGAGACCTAATCCCGTTCTGAATGTCGCCTCAGAATGGTTGTTTGGAAGAAGCTTCAGATGAAAATTGCTTAAGACTCCCCACTCATCTTAGGCTGATGTAGCCTGCAGATCAATGGGGAGCCTGCAAGTGACACAGCACAGGGAACATTCCATTCACTGATTAGCAGTTAGGGTAGAAAACCAGAGTGTGGGCCAGGCACGGTGGCTCACATCTGTAATCCCAGCATTTTGGGAGTCCGAGGCGGGTGGATCACAAGGTCAGGAGTTCAAGACCCACCTGGCCAAGATGGTGAAACCCCGTCTCTACTTTAAAAAAAAAAATTAGCTCGGTGTGGTGGTGGGCACCTCTAATCCCAGCTACTCAGGAGGCTGAGGCAGAGGATTGCTTGAACCCGGGAGGCAGAGGTTGCAGTGAGCCAAGATCGCACCACTGTACTCCAGCTTGGTCGACAGAGTGAGACTCCATCTCAAAAAAAAAAAGAAAAGAAAAGAAAACCAGAGTGTGAACAGGTTAGTCCTCAAGAGACTTCTAAAGGGGAGTGGCAAAAAACAGACATGTCCTCTGGCAACCTTAGACTGCACATCTGGTCTGCCCACTGGGCTTCTGTACAAGGCATCATTAAGAGAGTCCTTGTTTCCAGGTCCCCCACAGTAGTCTCAGTCACCTCACTCTTCTGCTGCATAATGCTGCACACAAAAGAGTCGCAAGGGGGAAGGCAGGAAGACAAATCCAGCGGGTGGTACAGCTGATAAGCTGAGACTCAGGGATCAAGATGGGGCTGGAACTGTCTACCATATGCCCTCACCTTCAGAGATCTCATCAAGGGAGCACATCACCTCTAGCTGAATAGCCCCTATAGTAGTATATGGTTACTTTAAGTTTTCTCACCCAATATGTTAGAGTTCTGCTAACAGGACCACAGGTGTAACAGGAAGCATATGAATTTTGTAACCAGAGACCTGGGTTAGAATTCTGAGCCTTCCAGGAGTTGTGTCACTTTGGGCACTTTGTAACCTCCATGAGCCTATTTCCTCATCTGTACAAGCATTAAAATCATGTGATGTACTTAGCACAAAAATTAGTCGATAAATGGTGGTTATTAGTCACTCCATGCCCCATTCCAGGATACTGAGGACAGTTTCCACAGCCCTTCTGTTCCACTACAGATCTTAAGACATTGCAAGCAGGACAAGGGTAGCCCTGGACATGAGAAAGGGTAGCACTGGGGTATGAGAAAAACGCACTTATAACACTCATCTTGCCCCCAAAGTCTTCCTCCCCATCAAGGGATAGTGCCTCAGGGTAGGCACAGTCTAGAAGAGAAGGACCCCACAAAGTGTTACATCCAAGCCCATGCAGGCCTTGCAGGTACAATTCTCAAAAACAGACTCTATCCCAGGGTCTTCTTGCAGGACTCTGAGGCCAAGGAAATCTAGATAGCAGAAGTACTCTGGCCCCTGGAGAATGGTATCCATGTACCAGCCTAAAGCTAAGAATCCAATGAAAGGTTGTTACAATGAAGAAAATCCTTAGGGGAAAAAATGAAAGCCCCTATCATAGCAGATGCAGCACTCGGTATACCTCCTCATTTGTTTTCCTTTGATAGCCACGGAGATTCTTAAAGGTAACAATTTTATCTTAATCAATGTTGTACTTCCAGTGCTGCACACAACGAATGCTCGACGTTTGCCAGATGAATTTAGCCAACAGCCCTACTATCTCCAACCTTGCTCATTACTTAAGAGTGGTAGAAGATGGTCAGATGTGATGCCATAGCTGCCTTGGGCAATATATCACCAAGCAGAGCTCAAGGAATAAGCTTGCATCTTGGTCTCTACACAGAGACAACAGTGTAACAGGGTATCTGCAAGGATAACTCCGAAAATGCCCAGAGCTGTTGAAAGCCTCCTCCCTCACTGAAGCAACTGAGCTAGCTGGTTTTCAGACGGAAAGGCAGTGTAGGCACTGGAATGTGGGCTGCATGTTCCCGCATTGCTGGTGAGGGTGCACGATCTGGCACTGCAGCTGGCTGGTGGGAGGGCTGCATCCTACTCCAGGAGGTAGTACCCTCATGTGGGCTTTCCAAGAAGGCCCAGAGCCCAGGGAAAGAAGAGCAATGGCTGTCACCACAGCTCCAAAACCAAAGGCAACATGACGATTAGGGATGGGTGTGTCCTCAACCCTCAGAAAGGAAAACATACCCACACTAACCTGCCTACACAGCCAGATCATACTGCTGGGGCAACTCTGGTTCTGGTCCTTATGAATTCTGAGGCTCAGGCTGCAGTCCCTCCCTGGTCGACAAAATCATGTAATATTTATCACTAAAGTGCTTGGGATGGAAAGTGGAAAAGAAAAACCATTTCTATTTCAGAGACAAACAGCTACAAGCACAGGCCTTTCAGGTGGTGGAGAAGCTGTGGATATTATGACTAGATCCAAGCTACTTTTAATAGCTCAATTTCATAGTAACTTTCAGACCAAGCTCTCCAAGCCCCCAGTGGGGCACACCTGCATTTCTATGGGCCCAATGTTATAATGTATTTCAGAAAGAGCATTGTAGCTTAGAGAATGAGAGCCAAAGAAGGGCTATACTTCAACCTGATGCCAATGAAAGACAGTGCCTTGGTCAAACACTGATCACCCACAGACAGGTGCCCATCTCCTGTGTGAGTTCTTCTATCTTTTGCTCAGATACGGTGGAAGTGAGGACAGGGGAGGCTGGCTTCATAGGCCCCCAAGGTTGGCGTCAAGAACACACAAAACAAAGTACCGTGGTCTCCAGGCATAGAATACCAAACAGTGATACCATACTTCCTTGCCCAGGGGAACAGGGTAGTTGCTGACCTTTCTGGAAAAACCTGAGTCAGCAGAAGGCCAGTACTTCAAGAAACCCTATCTTAACCCAGAGATAGTTACTTAAGGTAAAGCTCTCCCCATCCACATCCACATAAAACAATTTCAATACCCCTCTCCTAAATGGGGTTTTACCAAAACAACTGGGCATTAAAATGCCTAACAGACACAACGGGCCCAGGCTCTGCAAAGCATTCTAAAAAAAGACCTGCGCCAAACAGGGTGGAGGCCACAGAAATCAACAAGACAGTACCTTGCTGCCATGGCTGCCGGTTCCTGGACCAGGGAGGGAAGGGAAGGACAGCAGACTTGGTGTTTCCCACTGTCAGTACCAACAGCGAATGGCTGTACCACCCCCTCCCCCCCGCCCCTTACCACCTTTTCATTTTCCTAGAGTATCTGCTGCCAATACCTCTTTATTATAATTTACATAAAGCAAAATATGTAGCTTGTAAGTATACCTGTAGTGTTTAAGTTCACATTTCTTCCTGAATACTCCAAGACTTGTATTTAGGCAACCCTCCTCCTTGTACCACAAGAGGGAAATAAACAGGTAACAGAAGGTATAAGCAGAAGCAATTTAAGGGGGGGCTGCCAAGAAGTCCCTTTAGTTTGTCCCCACTGAACCCTACCAAGAAGACAAGGGATCCTAAAGGGGAGTGGCTCTTCTTTTATCCAGCTGGTCACTCTCAACACAAAGGGAAAAAAAAAAAAGATTCTATAGCTGGGAGTTACCCCACCCCACTCACCCTGCCTACCCCTTTCCAGGATCAATGCTCTGAACCCTATGTTAAGTCAATTCCAAATATCTCAGTGCATTATCCAGCCTCATCTGAGGTTAAAATCCTTCCCTTGCCATGATTCAGAGACCACTCACTCTTCATATAACTCCCTGGTTTTTAAAACCACTGAGTAATTCTGGTCATCCAGTAATCAACCCCTTAACTCCCCTCCCCCACCTAAAAGTGTTTTGCTTCATCATCTCCAAGACAGGCCTGGGCACCAGGGGGTTAGCTGGATCTTTTCTGCACAAGGCCACCACGCCTTGGGGACCCTCCTCAGGGCCACTCCAGGTGCAGACTAACAACTCCAGGGAATTTATCAGGGTAAGTGGAAGAGCCATGCCTGCCTTTACGTGGAGCCATCTGTCCTGCCACACTCACAGCTTGCATTTCCATCTCTTGCAAAACAGCTCCATGTTGTATGTGTGTATGGTGGGGAGTGATGCAAAGGGGAACAGAACAACTGTTGCTGTGGATATCTTCGTTCACCACCCCCATGCATCCCCTTACCCCAGCCAACTCATTCTCTGGCACTCACCCGAGTGTGTGCTGCTCTGGGCTGAGGAATCTGAGTCCTGGGTGCTCCAGGGTCGGTCCCAGCCTGTCAGACTGAGGGACTGCAGGCCAAGGCACAAGTCATTTGCATCTGGGAGGCCACGGGAAGATTCTTGCGCAGAGGTTGGGAAAAGCATCCTGCTTGTAACTGTTTCTTCAGAGTCCTGGAAGTCTGTTTTGGAAAGGAGCACAGCAGAAACCTCAGAGTTAAGGGCTGTTTTCCCCAATATTATCAACAGTAAATATTATTAATAATAGTTTCCCCAGGCTCACAGGCCAGACATCCAAGCTGGCTGGATGCTGCAGCCGCTGCCTCTGCACTTTTGGGGACGCTGGGGCAAGAGCAGTTGCCATACAGGCCCCCTCCCCTCACACACACACCCCTATCCCGTCTGCATTACAGACTGGGCCAGCATGTGATCAGGCTGCTGATGCTTCCCGCTGCCAGTGACATCAGCCGGCTGAGCCGTGCAATAGAGAGCGGCATCATCCCTCACAGAACGGGGGAGGAGCAGGAGGGGACGACAGGGAGGAGACTTGCCTCCCAGGGAAAGACAGCACAACAGCTACTTGGAATAGTCCCGGTGCAGTGCCGTTAAGTCTGGGTTGCAAGGCAGCGCCCTCCGGTCTCCAGCAATGGTGGCCAAGCAGCCCTCACGCACGACTGAAGTCCTCTCCGCCGACAGCAGAGCCAAAGCAGCCGACTGCCTGCTCGTGTGGCTCTGCCCTCCTGCCCCTCCCTTTCCCTCCCCCTGCTCTCCACCCCCAAACCCAAAAACACTCTAGTCCTGGACTCTCTCCAGCTGCTGGCTCAAGCCCTGGCTTTGCAGCCCAATGCAAAGCTTCACAGTCCTGCTAGCAAAAATCTGTGCTCCAAGTGGCCCCTGAGCAGCACCCTGACACAGCAGTGTTTACCACTGAGGAACAAGATAACCTTCAGAAAAATACTGTACACTTGGACCCTGGGGAACAACACCTGGTGTTCCAGGCTTGTCTAGAGCAGCTTATCACAGAGAAAGGGGGTAAGCGTTGGCAGAGTGGGGGAGAGTCACTGGGCTGTTCCAGGTACACCTCAAAGGACATGGCCCACAACCCACATGCCAGAGTGAGACCTGCCCTGACTAGGATAATCCCTGTGCCCAGGTTCCCTCATCCCAACAAGATGGGTATTAGTCATGAACAGATACAGCGGCTCAGCTCCTCCCCTCCCTCCTGCAACTGTAGGCACAGACTGAGGAAACACTCTCGAAGCAGCATCTGACAAACCAAGAGAAACAGTCTCTGAAGTATCGTTACGCCCTATTAGAAACACCAAACTCTGAAACCTAATCACCTAGCTCTGTCAATATTGCTTCTCTTGCCCTTCCAGGAGCCCTGAGCATGATACAGGGCAGCCGTGAGGGCCACTGATGCCTCTAACATCCAGGCCCTCTCTCAGAGGTGCTGCACAAGACCAATGCTTATTTCTGTGGCCACTCACAGCTCCAGCAACAAAGACTAAGAAAATTCAGCTTCTGGAGCTTCCGCCATTTCCTCTTTGCCATCTCCTCCCACATCGGTCCTTTTCCAACATGAGCCCAGGGTCACTGGGCTTCTTCCTCATAAAGGAGGGTAGGGCAACAGGCCCAGACTCACCAGGCAGGCTGCTCAAACCTGGACTCAGCTGGTAGCACTCCACCTGCTTGTTCTCCCCTGTTGCAAGGAGAAGCAAGCAGATACGGGAAGCATGCCCACCTGGGACCTCCCATGGCAGGGTCGAGAGAATAATGCTGCCACAGAAATAGCTGTTCAGAACTTCCTGCAGTACACCCTGTGTCCACAGGCACTCAGGCATAGCCTAGAAGGGAAAATTATCAGTCTCCTTCCTTTGGAGATTTTTTTTTTTTTTTAAAGCTTTGCTGCTGTGTCATCCATCCACGTTATTCCTCCTGGCTGTAGATATTCTGCTTGCTCCCTATCTGTGTTTGTCAAAGCCTTGTTCATCATGGCAAAGGCCTAGCAAAAATCACCCATACTGGTGCTGCCCCTACCCCTGACTACTCCCCTCCTGCTTCTCTATGTTCACCCTTCCCTCAAGCTAAGGATATACTTTAGACTTCACCCATACATATTAGTTACCAAAACACAATGCTTCCTTCAAAAACATCCATATTTAAGTATCTATTCTCCCCTACACCAAATATCTATATAATCCCCATACCCCAATCTGAGGGCATCTATGTCTAGAAGCAGCCATTTTCTACCCATTAAAATCAGGGTGACTGTGCATATGATTACCCCCATCCCTCACGAGGAGAGAATCAACTATGCTCTTGCTACTCAAAATACAGTGTGGCAGACCAGCAATATGAGCATCACCAGGAGCTTGTTATAAATACTGAGTCTCAGGCCCCACCCAAGACCGACAGAATTGAGATCTGCATTTTAACAAGATCCCCAGTTAATATATATGTATGCAAAAAAAGTTTGAGCAGTCGGGTGTGGTGGCTCATGCCTATAATCCCAGAACTTTGGGAAGATTGCTTGAGCCCAGGAGTTCAAGGCAGCAGTGAAAGCCATGACTGCACCACTGTACTCCAGCCTGGGCGACAAAGTAGTTCCCATCTCAAAAGTTTGAACAGTACTGATGTGTACAACTAACACAATCTTCCCACCCCAAGCTGAAAGACCCCAGGCCTGAGCAACAGGTCTGTTAAACCCATTTAAGACCAAATGGCTACATGCATCCAGGAGCTTGGAGTTCTACACACAGTATAATTCTACCCTCACCCCTACAACCCCCACCACAGACCTCACCTTCCTCCTTATCCAGACATTCCTCAATCTGTTGTTTCTTCTAGATAAAGATTTTCACTACCATTGTAGGATTTCTTCACTAGCTCCAACTCAATGCAGGCCATACCTGTTAAAACCATTAGTGTGGCAGGCTGGAAAAATCAACAGCTTTAGATGACTGACAGACCTTGCTCTGCTCACCAGGTCTGCCACTGTGTCTTTCTGAGAATCTTTTCTTCTTTAAAGATGCAACAGTAGCCATCTTTTAGGTGTTTTGTGAGGATTAAAGAAAATATTTGAGGCCAGGTGCAGTGGCTCAAGTCTGTAATCCCAGCACTTTGGGAGGCTGAGGCAGGCAGATCGCTTGAGGTCAGGAGCTCAAGACCAGTCTGGCCAACGTGGTGAAAACCTGTCTCTACTAAAAATACAAAAAACATTAGCCAGGCACAGTGGCACACGCCTGCAGTCCCAGCTACTTAGGAGGCTGAGGCAGGAGAATTGCTTGAGCCCAGGAAGGGGAGAGGTTGCAGTGAGCCAAGATCGTGCCACTGCACTCCAGCCTGGGCAACAGAGCTAGACTCGGTCTCAAAAAAAAAAAAAAAAAAAAAAAAAAAAATCATAAACCATGTTCATGTACTGGAAGACTCAACAGCGCTAAAAAGTGATACCCACAAAATTAATATACAGATGTTCCTCAACTACAGTGGGGTTATGGTCTGATAAACCCATTGTAAGTTGAAAATATTATAAACGGAAAATGCATTTAAATACATCTAATTTACTGCACATTATAGCTTAGCCTAGCATACCTTAACTGTGCTCAGAAAACTGACACTAGCCTACAGTAGGGCAAAATAATTTAACACAAAACTTGTTTTATAATAAAGTGATGAACACCTCATGTAATTTATTGAATACTGTAATGAAAATAAAAACAGAAAGGTCGTATGGATACTCAAAGTACAATTTCAACTGAATGCGTATCATTTTCACACCATCATCATGTCAAAAACCAAAGTTGAACCAACCTAAGTCTGGGGCCATCTGCACATCTGTGTAATCCCAATATACCAGACTTAAAGCAATTCATTGGGGAAAAACTTTTTAACAAATGGCACTGGAACACCATATGGGGAGGAGGGAATAAACTCTGACCTATATACAAACATTAATTTAGTAGATATCAGAGACGTAAAAGTGAAAGCTAAGTATAAACTACAAAGCCTCTCTAAGAACCTATCTTTGTAACTTGGTAGGGGAGGGGGAGTACATAGAAGCAAGGGTTTCTTTATGTAGAGTACAGAAAGCAATGATCATGGAGAAAGTTGATAAGCTGACCTTATCACAACGAAAAACTTCTGCTCATCAAGATACCACTAAGAAAATAATTACGCAAGCCACAATATGTGAGAAAATACCCACAACCATATCTGACAAATCAGTAAAAGAAATCTTAACTGAAAAGTAACGAAATCTCAATTGTTAAAAGGCACAAAATCTGAAAAGCACTTCACAAGGATTATATAAATGGCCAATAAGAACTTCAAAAAGTGCTCAAAATCATTAGTCAAAGAAATCCAAGTTAAAACCACAGTGAGACACTACTGCACACCTACTAGATGGCTAAAATTTAAAAGACTGTACCACATCTTGCCAACATTTGATGTTGTCAATCAAAGCTTCATTACCGTAAATGGTACATCCACCTTGTACTTATGAAAACGCTTATATATTTTCTTCCTTTTCAATGGGAGAAAAGGTACATCCACTTTGAAAAATGGTCTGCCCATTTCTTACACAACTAACACATATTATCTTATGACCCAGAAATTCTACTCCTAGGAATTCAACTAAGAGGAGTAAAAGTGTATGTCTAATAAAACACCTGTGCAAGAATAGTCATAGCAGCTTTATTCATAATCACCCAAACGTGGATTCAGTCCATGTGAGAATCAACAGAACAAAATGTAGTACATGCATATACCATACTATTATTCAGCAATAAAAAGGAATAATACAGGCAACAATAAGATAATTATGGTGAGTGGAAAAAGCCGTACATAAGTTACATATGTATATAATTCCACTTATTTGAATTTTTAGAGCAGACAAAACTAATAAATGGTGAAAAAAATCAGGTGGTTGCCTCTGGCAGGAAGTAGGCAGGTAGATTAGGAAGGGGTACAAGGAAAGTAGCTGAGGTGATGCTAACAGTGTGTATATTTTGATGAGAGTGAGGATACATCAGTCAGAATGGATCTAATGACACATTTAGAATTTGTGCTCTTCACTGCATATAAATTTTACCTCAAAAAAGTTATAAACAAATATAGTATTGAATACTAGTTAATGATATGTATGGTGAAGGATTTTGGGGTAAACTGTAGCAATGTCTACAATTTAAAGATATGTGATAAGGCAAATATGACAAGATGTTCACTGTTCAATCTAGGTGGTATTACAGGTGTTCACTTTGTAATTCTTTTAGCTTTTATGTATGCTTGAAAATGTTACTAAAATGTTGAGAAAAAAATAAAGTCAGACTTTTTCTGAAAAAATGAAAGTCTGACTGAACTAATTGATTTGACAATAAAAACTGACTCCAGGCTGGGTGTGGTGGCTCATACGTGTAGTCCCAGCACTTTGTGAGGCCAACGCAGGTGGATAGCTTGAGCCAATGAGTTTGAGACCAGCCTGGGCAACATGGCAAAACCCCGTCTGTAATAAAAATACAAAAAATCAGCCGGGCATGGTGGGTGCACACTTGTAGTCACAGCTACTTGGGTGGCTGAGGTGGAAGGATCGCTTGAGCCTAGGAGGCAGAGGATGCAGTGAGCTGAGACCACGCCACTGCACTCCAGCCTGGGTGACAGAGTGAGACCCCGTCTCCAAAAACAGGACTCCATTAAATGAGGCATTATAGTAGAAATTTTTTTCTGTAAATAAAGTTAAATCTATAGGCCCATGGCTTTGACAAAACATACTTAAAGCAAATGGTAAGATTAAATCATTTTTAAATAGCATGTTGGCAAAGGTGTGTTTTGTTTTGTTTTTGCAGCTGAGGCTATAGGCACACCACTATGTCCAACTATTTTTATTGTTTTGTAGAGACAGAGTCTCACTATGTTGGCCAGGCTGGTCTCGAACTCCTGGGCTCAAGGGATCCTCCCACCCCAGGCTCTCAAAGTGCTGGGATTACATGTGTGAGCCACTGTGCCCGACTGCAAAGGTGTATTTTTAAACTAACTTAAAAAATTTTTTTTTAATTTCCTACAAATGTTGCACAAAAACTATTTTAAGTTTTCTCTATCTTTTAAGTATACTGAATTAAGGTGTGTCTAAGTGAAGGACAGACATAGTAGTAATCTCAAATCTGTTTTTATTTTTTGAGATGGATTTTTAGAAACAGAATCTTGCTCTGTCAGGCGGGAATGCAGTGGCATAAACACAATTCACTGCAGACTAGACTTCCAGGTTTAAGAGATTTTCCTACCTCAGCCTCCCAAGTAGCTGGGACTACAGGTGCATGCCACCATACCTGGCTAATTTTTTTGGGAAGTATATTTTTGTAAAGACAGGGTCTTGCTATGTTGCCCAAGCTGTTCTCAGACTCTTGAGCTCAAGTGATCTGCCTGCCCCAGCCTCACAAAGTGCTGGGATTACAGGTGTGAGCCACTGCATTCAGCCTCATCTGAAAAATATAGCATTGATAAAGCTATATTGGGCCAGGCACGGTGGCTCACGCCTGTAATCCCAGCACTTTGGGAGGCCGAGGCAGGTGGATCACGAGGTCAGGAGATCGAGACCATCCTGGCTAACACGGTGAAACCCCGTCTCTAATAAAAATACAAAAAATTAGCCGGGCATGGTGGCAGGTGCCTGCAGTCCCAGCTAATCGGGAGGCTGAGGCAGAAGAATGGCGTGAACCCAGGAGGCGGAGTTTGCAGTGAGCCGAGATCGTGCCACTGCACTCCAGCCTGGGCAACAGAGCGAGACTCCGTCTCAAAAAAAAATAAAAAATAAAAAAGCTACATTGATAAAGCATTATTGGTATAGTTAGGAAACTGAGTAATTCCATGTCTGGTATGACTAGGTAAAACGTCTTTTCACAAATTAGCTGGTTTTCCGTTCTTTCTTTTCAACCAATATGAAGGAGGAATGAACGCAACTATCAGCCAGTAGATGACTAAAAATAATAATACATGACTAATTTTTTGCACAGAACTAAATCAAAGAATTGTATGAACTAGTTCATTCCCCATCTACTTATTTTATGTGAACAAGTTTACTCAGGGCACAAACCTATGGAAACAAAATGTATATATACAGTGTTGAAAATTCCAAGTTGGTGGGCACAGTGGTTCACACCTGTAATCCCAGCACTTTGGGAAGCCGAGGCAGGTGGATCACTGGAGTTCAGGAGCTCGAGACCAGACATGGCGAAACCCCATCTCAACTAAAAAATACAAAAATTAGCCGGGTGTGGTGGCGTGCACCTGTAGTCCCAGCTACTCAGGAGGCTGAGGCAGGAGAATCACTTGAACCCAAGAGGCGGAGGTTGCAGTGAGCCAAGATCATGCCACTGCACTCCAGCCTGGGCAACAAAGCAAGATTCTGTCTCAAAAAAACAAACAAACAAAAAAAACCCCAAGTCATTCCAGCAATAAGTCAGTCATACAAAATTACATGTTTTTTTGTTTTGTTTTGTTTTTTGAGAGAGTCTCACTCTGTCGTCCTGACTGCAATGGCAAAATCTTGGCTTACTACAACCTCCACGTCCTAGGCTCAGAAAATTCTCCTGCTCCAGCCTCCCGAGTAGCTGGGATTATACACATGCACCACCACGCCCAGCTAATTTTTGAACTTTAGTAGAGACAGGGTTTCACCATGTTGGCCAGGCTGGTCTTGAACTCCTGACCTCATGTGATCTACCCACCTCGGCCTCCCAAAGTGCTAGGATCACAGGCATGAACCACCATGCCCAGCCTTAAAATTACATGAGATTTTAAAAGACCTCAATTTATGTCATTAAAAACTATTTCCAGGCTAGGTGTGGTGGCTCACATCTGTAATCCCAACACTTTAGGGGGCTAAAGCAGGAAGATCACTTGAGCCCAGGAGTTCAAGACTGCCTGGGCAACACAGGGAGACCCCGTTTCTACAAAAAGTAAGACAAATAGCTGGACATGGTGGTGTTTGTCTGTGGTCCCAGCTACTGAGGAGGTTGAGGCTACGATGAACCATGATTGCGCCACTGCACTCTGGCTTAGGCGACAGGTACCTTGTCTCAAACAAAAAACAAAACAAGCATTTCCAATAAACAATTATTAAAGAATAAAACTTTATCAAGATTTATAACATTTAGATTGCCTTAATTGCCCTAACAATCATCATTATCACCTTTGAGACACAGGAAATAATTTAAAATTTCAGTTTATGTACTTTTGTTGTTACAGAGAAGGATGACATGTGATCAACAAAAGACTCTCAAGCACGGCCGGGCGCGGTGGCTCACGCCTGTAATCCCAGCACTTTGGGAGGCCGAGACGGGTGGATCATGAGGTCAGGAGATCGAGACCATCCTGGCTAACAAGGTGAAACCCCGTCTCTACTAAAAATACAAAAAATTAGCCGGGCGCAGTGGCGGGTGCCTGTAGTCCCAGCTACTCGGGAGGCTGAGGCAGGAGAATGGCGTGAACCCGGGAAGCGGAGCTTGCAGTGAGCCGACATTGCGCCACTGCAGTCTGCAGTCCGGCCTGGGCGACAGAGTGAGACTCCGTCTCAAAAAAAAAAAAAAAAAAAAAAAAAAAAAAAAAAAAAAAGACTCTCAAGCACAAAATATTACATTAAGATAAAACTCAGCGGGAGAAGTGGACTACAAATACTAGGAGAAAAGAAATAATGGGCCAGGCGCGGTGGCTCACACCTGTAATCCCAGCACATTGGGAGGCCAAGGCAGGCGGATAATGAGGTCAAGAGATCGAGACCATCCTGGCCAACATGGTGAAACCCCTTCTCTACTAAAAATACTAAAAATTAGCTGGGCATGGTGCCACGTGCCTGTAGTCCCAGTTGCTCGAGAGGCTGAGGCAGAAGAATCGCTTGAAACTGGGAGGCGGAGGTTGCAGTGAGCTGAGATCATGCCACTGCACTCCAGCCTGGAGACAGAGCAAGACTCTGTCTTAAAAAAAAAAAAAAAGAAGAAGAAGAAAAAAGAAATAATGAAAAGTTTCCCCCTGTTAAAGAACTGGTTTAAATATTTTAAAATAGATAATAGGTCTCAAATCTCTCTACTATTGTAAATCTACAGTTTCACTTATAATAAAAATGTAGATACCAAGTTAAATATGCAAGGGGTACCCTGTACTAAAAATTTTATTGTGGTAAAATATACATGAAATTTACCACTCTAACCATTTTTGAGCATACAATTCAGAGGCATTAGTACATTCATATTTTTGTGCAAGCATCACTACTCTTCACCTCTAGAGCTTTTTTTACGCTAAGCTAAAATTTTGTACCATTAGACACTAATTCCCCACTACCCTCTCCTCCTAGCCCCTGGTTACCATTATTTTACTTTGTCTCTATGAATTTGACTATTGTAGGGACCTTGTAAGTGGAATTATACAATATTTTTCCTTTGTATCAGGCTTATTTTACTTAGCATAATGTCTTCAAGGTTCCTCCATGTTGCAGTACGTCCCCAATTTCTTTTTTTTTTTTCTTTTTTTGAGACAGGGTCTCCTTCTGTCACCCAGGTTGGGATGCAATGACGCAATAATGGCTCACTACAGCCTCAGCCTCCCAGGATCAAGCAGTCCTCCCACCTCAGCCTCTAAAGTAGATGGGACCACAGGTGCATGTCACCAGCCTGGCTAAATTTTTAGAGATGGAAGTCTCCCCATGTTGCCCAGGCTGTTGCTGAACCTCTGGGCTCAAGTGATCCACCCACCTAGGCCTCCCAAAGTGCTGGAATTACAGGCATGAGCCAATGCCTGGCATGCATGCATTCATTCATTCACTGATAGGATTTTGCTATGTTGTCCAGGCTGGCCCCAAACTCCTGGGCTCAAATGATCCTTCCTTGCCTCACCCTCTCGAGTAGCTGGGACTACAGGTGTGCACTACTGTGCTAGGTTTCCTTTTTAAAGCTCCTAATTTTGCATCGTACACAACATTTTGTTCATCCATCCAATTCATCCACTGATGGACACCTGGGTTGTTTCCTGTTTCTACCTTTTGACTATTGTAAATAGTACTGTTATGAACACTAGCATACAAATATGTGTTCAAGTCCTCGCTTTCAATTCTTTTGTGTGTATACCTAGAAGGAGAATTGCTGGATCATATGGTAACACTATGTTTAATTTTTTTTGGAAGCACCACACTCTTTTCCCCAGCAGCAGTACCATTTTACATTCCCACCAGCAATGCACAAATGTTCTAATTTCTCCATATCCTTGCCGACAATTTACATTTTAATAATGGCCATCCTAACAAGTGTAAACTGGTATCTCATTGCGGTGTACATTTTTTTTAAAAATTAGGTTGTACCCAAATGTTTGAAGATTGCTGTTGCCTAATTCATGAATCCCCAATGTTTTTAAAAATCTCCCCGACACCAGGTTTTTGTTGAATTGCTTTTGTTGAATTGCCATCCAAGTGGTCCTAAAGACAATGGCATCTTCTTGCAGCATTCTACCTCACTGGTTACAGTGATGGTCCCATAGGTAAGTATCTGACTCAAGCTGGGCAAGAATTACCCATTCCCATGACTACAGAGACCAGTCCAGGTATGGGTATGACTTAAGCCAAGCTAGCTGGGTATCTTTCCTTGAGATTTTTCTAACTGTATATAATGGAAAAAGAACTATTTCCTGATTGTCCATGATGCCAAAGGATGTGAGCATATACCCTTTCTCATAACTGGCAACTCTGCAAAAGGAGATAATGAAACTCACACTGGGAAATGAGCAGAGGAAAGACAGAAATAGACAAAATTGGAGGCCACAGATTCAGTATCCCTAGCTTTCCAGTGATTCCTTCCTATTCTATGAGCTTTGTATCAACAGCGTTCCAACATACCCCACATTTTACTAAAGTAAGTTCTAATTTGGTGTTTGATTTTTTACAAACGGGAGTGTTCTGCGTAATTCAGGCCCTTTAGCAAGGATAGACCAAACAAGTAACTACTGCATGCAGGATAAAAATCTCTGGGACAAAAGCCCTTAATATCCTGGCACCAGCTAAGAAAGTCAGCCACAAAAGAAAGCAGGAAAGAAGCTTAAAGACCACCTTGTCAAATTCCTCGCCATCCCGTCTTTTTTTACTAGAAAGCACACAAGGCTCAGAGATGGCCATAAGCGACAAAGCTACTAAAAGGCAGAAGATCCAAATCTCGATTTGTTGGTCTCAAATACAGGGACTAACTGATCCCCTGACCTCTCTCCCACAATGGGACACTTTCTAGACCCAGGTCTACACTCATACATAATAACCCTACTCAGACCTGTTTTATCATTAAGTTAGCAAAGGATCCCTTTTCTGCACTCAGGTCCCCATACTGTGTACTAAACCTATCCCATCATACTAGGAGTTCTTTTTTTTTTTTTTTTTTTTTTGAGACACAGTCTCACTCTGTTGCCCCGGCTGGAGTGCAGTGGCGTGATCTGGACTCACCGCAAGCTCCGCCTCCCGGGTTCACGCCATTCTCCTGCCTCAGCCTCCCTGAGTAGCTCGGACAACAGACACTGGCCACCACGACAGCTAATTTTTTGTATTTTTAGTAGAGATGGGGTTTCATCATGTTAACCAGGATGGTCTTGATCTCCTGACCTTGTGATCCGCCCGCCTCAGCCTCCCAAAGTGCTGTAGGAGTTTAATTCTTAACACTAACTCCCTCACCCTCCCCACTACTCTCTCCACAATCTGCTACTTATTCAGCAGAAAGTCAATTTCACATTCGGGTGTTTCTAAGATTTCGCTGCTATGTGCATATATTATTTTCAAAGGCGATAATTTTACTTCTTACCCATGGAGAGCAAAAAAGACGACTGCTGATTCAAGGCTAGCATCATCCAATCTACTGCTTATGGTATGGGGGAGTTCTGAAGCACGCCATCCTGAAGACTCTGGTTCAGAGTCCTTGAATACAACATGCCATCTAGGTTGTAGGTAACAACTAGTTTTAGTAAAACTAGTATAACCAAAACACAATGAAACATTACTTTACCTGACACTACACTGTTCAAATTGGGGTCTGCAGAAGTTCCTTAAACAGTACATCAAATTGGAGACCCTTTACAGTGCCAATCACGACTGCATCTACATAATATAAAAGCCAGTTATTTAAAACAGGAAGGCAGGGTATTTCCATATAGAGGGTAAATTGGTACAACATTCTGGAGAGCAATCTGACAAAAACATTGAAAGCTTCAAAAGATTTATTCTTTGATAAAGAAATACTACTTTTAGAAATTTATCCTATGTCCAAATAATCACAGATGCAGGCAAAAGCTTTAACTTCAGGTACTTCTTATAAGTGTATAAAATAGGCACCTATTTAAACAAACTCCAAAATACGAAAACTGAATGCCAGAGGTTAACCTTTTTTGTATCATGAACCATTTGGCAGTCTGCTAAAACCAATAAACCTTCTAAGAAAAATGTTTCAAAACATATAAAATAGTAATAATATTGAAATAGTAAATAAATGTCAAGGTATGTACAATGCCTGTAAAGGAATCAATATGAATTGTCTGATCATCCTATTGATACCAAATTATTAGGTCCTGCTAATATTGTGACTTGTTGCCTAAACTTACAGTTAAAAGAAATGCAGCTGGGCTTGGTGGCTCACACCTGTAATCCCAGCACTTTGGGAGGTCGAGGCAGGTGGATCACAAGGTCAGGAGACAGAAACCATCCTGGCTAACAATGTGAAACCCAGTCTCTATTAAAAATACAAAAAATTAGCCAGGCATGGCGGTGGGCGCCTGCAGTCCCAGCTACTCAGGAAGCTGAGGCAGGAGAATGGCATGAACCCGGCAGGCAGAGCTTGCAGTGAGTGGAGATCGCACCACTGCACTCCAGCCTGGGTGACACAGCGAGACTCCGTCTCAAAAAAAAAAAAAAAAAAAAAAAAAGCTACGTTTCAGTTAAACATCACTGAACGTGAAGATACAAGTTTTTACCTGTCTAAATTATTGGACCCCCTGAATTCTATCCATGTACCCAGGTTAAGAATCCCATAATGCAGGCTGGGTGCGGTGGCTCACACCTGTAATCCCAGCACTTTGGGAGGCAAAGGTAGGTGGATCACTTGAGGTCAGGAGTTCAAGACCAGCCTGGCCAACATGGTGAAACCCCATCTCTACTAAAAATACAAAAATTAGCCAGGCGTGGTGGTGGGCACCTGTAATCTCAGCTACTCTAGAGGCTGAGGCAGGAGAATCGCTTGAACCTGGGAGGAGGAGGTTACAGTGAGCCAAGATCACGCCACTGCACTCCAGCCTGGGCAAGACAGAGCGAGACTCCATCAAAAAAAAAAAAAAAAAAATCCCATAATGCATCTATCTACACAGTAAAATGCTATGTAGCCTTGAAAAGGGATATAAAAAATTAACACAAAGATAAAAGAGGCAAATAGTGTGTTCAAAATATTTAATATACACGTTTGAAAAAAAAAACTGGAGAGATACACCAAAATGTTAACAATAGTTATTTCTCAGTAGTAAGATGACATAATTTTTTTTTCCTAATTTGCTTTTTTTTTTTTTTTTTTTACAGTGAACACATTGTAACAAGAAAAAAAATGCAAGCTATTAAACTGGGTAAGGTGACAACATCCCCTAAATAAACTTGAGTAGTTTTTGCAGATAAAAGCCCATATTAGATTTCAAATTTGACATCAGGAGTTCAATGACAAAATGATATTAGGATCATAAATTTAAATAAGCCACAAAACATTAAAAATAAGAGTGACTTTGGAGGGCATTTAGCGGAAGCCCTTTATTTCACAGTAGGAAGACCCTCCCCCCAGTACTAATTCCAGAAGCCTTAAGTGCTGATCTCTGCATAGTTCCCTCTACCCCCATAAATGTACTCATTTATTCTCCAGACAAAATGATGCAACATATCTACGTTTGGAAACTAGACCACATTCTCCAAAGTGGAAGTAATACAGACTGTGATCAAGACACAACCAACAGTTAAGCTTTCAGCGGCAAAGTCTGGACATTCCAGCAGATGGGGGTGGTACCATGCAGAATAAGACTTTCAAAATTTAAATGAAACATCACATTCTCACTTTTCAAGGGAGAAAAAGAGCAGAAAACTTATTTTTGAAGTCCAGGAAGAACTAGGCAACTTACAACTATCACCACATTCCTCAAAACAACCCCATGGAGAAGACAGGCATTATATCCCTTTTACAAGCATTAAAGCCATGGCACAAAACAGGTGAAGCAATTTGACCAAGCTAAGCACTCATCTCATTCAAAACCCGAGCCCTTCCCCCACCATGCCCTTTATACAATTATATTGTAAAATTCCATTTTGTTTTTTAAAATAGCATGCAAGTAATAAGTAAAAGATGATCACTTTCACATCTCGGCAGCGTTCCTTGTCCTCAATCCTACTCTCTTCTCTGAATGAACAGTTTGAGATATTCCTTTTGTACCATTTCCTATGCATTTGTGAACACTGTTACCAACACTGGTACTATTCAACTTTAAGTTCTGCCAATATGATAGGTTAAAAAATACACTACTTAATAAATGAGAATCTTGAGTGTCAGGCACTAGCTAGGCAACCAGGATATAAGTGAAGAAAAAAAAAAAAGTTACAGCTCTTGTCTTTTTGGGTTTACTATTGTAGTGGTAGAGAAAAACCTGATAATGGTGTAAGTGATAAAGTATAATTGTGAGCAAGGTGCTAGGAAGGAAACAGACATCAGGATACAAAAGTATGTAAGGTGGTTTCTGGCCTAATAGGGGAACAGTAGTTAGAATTTCCTTGGGTAAGTATGCCTTTCAGATATTTGTTAACCTCATTTGGAATGTTAATCTAATTTGATTGGAAGGTTGAAGCATTTTTTTCAGATACAAAAAAAAAAAAAGCCACTAGCTATCAATTTTCAGTTTATATCCTTTGCCCTCTTTAAGAATGAGTTCTTATACTGTGGCTTTTCCTTTACATCAATAAGCCAGTACTTATTGTCCTCTAGAAAGAGAAATACCCTAAAAGAAAGAATACTCTAAAAATAATTTTGTTATACTTTTCTAAGCACTATGTTAAAAGTGCTTTAAACTCTAGACTATTTACAGAGGCCTCTAGTTTTAAATGTTATTCCCCTTTAAAAAAAATTACATAAAATAAATTTGATCTCTCCTTCTCTGCGTTTTTGGTCAGAACCAAAAGTTACCTAAGCTACATTTTTGTCCAGGTCAGCCAGATTGCTGGTAAAAACTAACTTCAATCAATCTGCATGAAAATGAGTAGACCACCTACAGTTAGTTTGTATTTCTGTGTTCATCGGGAAAGAATCTAAAGAAGTTGTAGGTTCAGGCTGGTTTCACAGCTATTCTAAATTTAGATTCACACATACAGTGCACATACACTCCCCTCTATACTTAGCGACATGGAATTGCACAGGTGTGAATTCAAGACGATTACTATTCCTAGCCTTTGTTAACATTTTAAAGAGTTAAAAGTTGCTAGTAAGGATGTCTGCTGCCCTAAGCCTGACTTATAGCATTTTCCCCAAGGGATTTTATTCATTAGGAACTAGATGACAATGAATTAACACACTACATACAACTTTGCAACAGAGAAGGAATTGCAATTGTCTTTAAGACAGTTTCAATAGTTGCCACCCCCTAGTTGTAAAAAAGATTATCAGGAAATTCAACATAGGAAAAGATTTAAAAGACTAACAGAAAAAATAACTGTTCTACTTATAAAGAAAATGGGAATTAAAATGAGAATTCTGCTTACCAAAACTGAAAAATTACAGTTACAATATTCAATGGTGATGAGCCATTTAGGTAATTTTTTCTTCTCTATGTATATGGTGAGACAGGACTCTCCAACTGCTGAGACAATCACAGAAGGACAGTATCTCCATCGAGAATTTAACCATCAAGAATTTTTAAAGTATCAAAACTCTTTAACTTGGTAACTGTATTATAAGAATCTCTCTAAATACTCATAAATGCTAAGAAAGATTTACCTACAAAGATGCCTGTCACAATGCAATCAATTGCGAAAACTGAAAATAACTATTCTGTCAAAATGGACTACGAACTTAGCCATTAAAATACATACCTCAGCATATGACAAAGGAGAACACTTAAGTGGCTGGGGAAAGAGAGTAAGTTGTATACAAGACGACAGCTGCATGAAGATATTCAGAAATACGGAGAGAACTCAAAGTCATCAAAAACAACTGAAGTAGACTACAGGTAGTAGCACGTATGAATCTTTACTGAAATTTTCAAATTGTTTATAGCAAATGTAAACTACTCAAAAAAATTCAGATAATTTTAAGAAATTAAAATCTAGGTATGGCTCTCTGACAGAGAAATTCACAATATATATTTAAAATAGTATATTTAAAGAAAGATGAGCTGTCCTAAGAAAATAATTCAGTAAAAAACCTTTCTGGGATGCTATCTGGTCATATGTTTTAAGAGTATGTTTATACCTAAGTACAAACATTGAGAAGTAGTTCAGTACTTCTAAGATTCTACTATGAGGATAACGGCCAAATTTTGTTTTGTTTTGTTTTTGTTTTTGTTTTGAGACAGGCTCTGGCTCTGTCACACAGGCTGGAATGCAGTGGTGTGATCTCATCTCACTGCACCCTCTGCCTCCCAGGCTCAAGCGATCCTCCCACCTCAGCCCCTGGAGCAGCCAGGACTACAGGCACATGCCACCACATCCAACTAGGTTTTTTTTTGTTTGTTTTTTGTTTTTGTATTTTTTTTTTGTAGAAACAGGGTTTCGTCATATTGCCCAGGCTGGTCTCGAACTCCTGGGCTCAAGAGATCCACCTGCCTTGGCCTCCCAAAGTGTGGGATTACAGGTGTGAGTGACCGCATCCAGCCCAAAGGTTTTCTTAATGTGGAAGTTCATCCCCACATTAAGAGTTAATAAAATAATAGCATGTACAACTTCAAACAAGGAGGATATGAAGAATTATCTCCACCTAATTCCCTACCCCAGAGATACCTTTCAAAGATTTTTATGTATACAAGCATGTATACACATAGCTTTTAAAAAATATATGCACAAATGGTCAAATATACCATTTCACATCTTTTTTCAAGTATTTTAAGAGTTCTTTCCATATCTGTATAAAGAAATCAGCTTCATTATTTTATGGCAGCATGGCAGTCCATTCCATGAACATGATGTATCTAACCATTTCTCTACTGATGAGCATTCAGGCTGCTTCTAGTAGTTTTTATTTCTTCTACAAATAAGGCAATGAACATCCCTCAACATTGATCTTGACTTACTTGGGCAAGCATACTTGTTAAATGCATACACCTTACAATCCAGTACATTTAAAATTGATAGCTGTTGGTCAAAATTGACCCAAGAACCACACCCATTTAAATTCCCAACGATATGAGAACTATTTCTTTGTACCCTTACCAAATTTTACTTTTTATGAACCTGACAGGTAAACAATAGAACCCATTGTTTAAATCAATGATGGGATTCTGAGCTGAAGGACAAGGAGTCTACCATATGTTCTTAAGATTGAGTATCTTTCATGTTAATTGTCCCTCTTTTCCCCATCATGTTCCCCATCTTAGAAAACAGATCCACATTAGTGTGCAAGACAAAATGACTCCTCTCTCCCCCATTCCCCGCAATCGTCTTGTTGAACCTAACCTTGAAATTTACACAAAATCTGTCCACTTATTTTGTCTCTATTATTACCATACTAGTCCAAGCCAACACACTTCTCACCTGAACTACTGCAATAGCCTCCCCTATGTTATCTGTGCTTTACCATTCAACACTTCCCACCCCCTGGAAAGCCCTGTACCTCTTAAACATCCCAAGTTCAGGCCCACGCCAAGGCCCTGCTGTTTGTTCTGCTTAATACTCCTGCTCTGGCCTTAAACCAGTTTCTCTACATGGCTGACTACTTGTTATTCAGTCTTCAGCTTAAATGCTACTTTCTGAGAGAGAGACCTCAATTGTATGTGGGGCGGCAATTTAATCACTAACCCCTGCCCCCATCCTAATCATTCCTTATCACATCCCATTGCTCAGTCTTCATATTGCTGAGTATAATTTGAAATTGTGGCCAGGCATGGTAGCTACTGCCTGTAATCCTAGCACTTTGGGAGGCAGAGGCGGGTGGATCACTTGAAGTCAGGAGTTTAGGACCAGCCCGGCCAACATGGTGAAACCCTGTCTCTACCAAAAATACAAAAATTAACCAGACATAGTGGCACATGCCCATAGTCCCAGCTACTCGGGAGGCTGAGGCAGGAGAGGTTGCAGTGAGCCGAGATTGCACCACTGTACTCCAGCCTGGGCAACAGAGCAAGACTCCAACTCCAAAAAAAAAAAAAATTGTATTACAGTCGGCACTCCCTACCTGTGGGTTCCACATCTTTGGATTCAACCAACCGCAGATCAAAAGTATTTTTTAAAATGTGTCCATATTAAACATGTACAGATTTGTCAGTATTCCCGAAACAATACAGTATAACTATTTACACTGCATTAGGTATAAGTAATCTAGAGATAAAGTATATATAAAGGAGGACATGCATGGGTTAGATGCAAATACTGTACCATTTTACATCAGGGACTTCGGCATTTGTGGATTTGGGTTATGCACAGGAGGTCCTGGATTCCCTAAAGATAACTAGGGACAACTTTTGCTTCTACTCCACCGTATTTCTTCATAGCTTTTCTACAGGAGAGCAGACACAGTATCTGCACTTTTCACATCTGTATTCACAACATCTAGAAGAGTTTATTAGTGTTGACTAAAAGAAGTGCAGAATAGTCTTTTCCTATGTGTCCCCTCATCCCTTTGACAAAAAAAAAAAAAAAAAAAAAAAAAAAAAAACAGTTGTTAGTCTCATTAATTCCTAAGAAAACTCTGTAATTCAAGAAAGTTAACCTTCTGTTACCCATTACACATATTTTTTCCTCCTTGGTCACATATTTAAATTATATAATTCAATGGTTTTTAATACATCTAGAATTCTGCAATTGTTACAATTTTAGAGCATTCCATCATCCCCAAAAGAAACCTGTATCCTTTCAGACAAGATCAGGCACACTCAGGGTGGTATGGCTATAGACAGAAACCTGTATCCTTTCAGCAGTCACTCTCTGGGGATTTTTTTTTAAGTTCAGCGATGTGCAGGTTTGTTATATGAGTAAACTCGTGAATTTGTTGTACAGATTATTTTATCACCCAGGTGTCAAGTCCAGTACCCAATGCTTGTTTTTTCTGATCCTCTCCCTTCTCCCACCCAACATCCTCAAATGGGCACCCAACACCCTCAAATGGGCACCAGTGTCTATTGTTCCCTTCTTTGTGTCCATATGTCCTTATCATTTAGCTCCCAGTTGTGAGAACATGTGGTATTTGATTTTGTGATCCTGTGTTAGTTTGCTAAGGATTATGGCCTCCAGCTCCACCCATGTTCCTGCAAAGGACATGATCTCCTTCTTCACGGCTGTGTGTAGTATTCCATGGTGTATACATACTACATTTTCTTTATCCAGCCTATCATTGACAGGCATTTAGGTTGATTCCATGTTTTTGCTATTGTGAATAGCACTGCAATGAACATATGTGTGCATGTGTTTTTATGGTAAAACGATTTATATTCCTTTTGGTACATACTCAGCAATGGGATTGCTGGGTTGAATGGAAGTTGTGTTTTTAGCTCTTTGAAGAATCACTACACTATTTTCCACAATGGCTGAACTAATTTACATTCCCACCAACAGTGTGTAAGCGTTCCCTTTTCCCCCCCGCCACAATCTTACCAGCATCTATTATTTAACTTTTTAATTGTAGCCATCCTGACTGGTGTGAGGTAGTAACTTACTGTGGTTTTGATTTTCATTTGTTTTTTGTTTTGTTGTGTTGTGACACGAAGTCTTGCTCTGTCACCCAGACTTGAGTGCAGTGGCACAATCTCGGCTCACCGCAACCTCTGCCTCCCAGGTTCAAATGATTCTCATGCCTCAGCCTCCCGAGTAGCTGAAATTACTACGGGCGCCTGCCACCATGCCCAGCTAATTTTTGTAATTTTTAGTAGAGACAGGGCTTCACTATGTTTGGCCAGGCTGGTCTCAAACTCCTGACCTCAGGTGATCCGCCCACCTCGGCCTCCCAAAGTGCTGGGATTGTAGGCATGAGTCACTGTGCCCAGCTTGATTTTCTCTCTCCAATGATCAGTTATAAAGCTTTTTTCATATGCTTGTTGTCCACATGTATGTCTTCTTTTGAAAAGTGTCTATTCATGTCCTTTTCAGGACACTATCATTTCCCTCTAACCTCTCCCACCCCTAAGCAACCATGAATCTATTTTCTGTCTCTACAGATTTACCTATTCTGGATATTGCACATAAATTAGATCATACAATATTTAAAAATTTTTTCACTTAGCATGTTTTTAAGATTCATCATTGTTTTAGTTTGTATCAGAACTTTTTTTTTTTTTTTTTTAAGACAGGGTCTTAATCTGTCACCCAGGCTGGAGTGCAAGTGGCACTATCTTGGCTCACTGCAACCTCCACTTCCCAGGTTCAAGCCATCCTCCCACCTCACCCTTCTAATTAGCTGAAGCTACAGGCGTGTGCCACCACATCCAGCTAATTTTTGTATTTTTTGTAGAGATAGGGTTTTGCCATATTTCCCAGGCTGGTCTCGAACTCTGGCTCAATTGATCCGCCCGCCTCAGCCTCCCAAAGTGCTTGGATTACAAGCAGGAGCCACCACGCCCAGCCAGAACTTCAGTTATTTTTATTGCCAAATAACATTTTATTGAATGGATATATATATGGGTATACCCTGGAGACACTGCAGGTTCAGTTGCAGACCACCTCAAAGTGAATACTACAATAGAGTCACAACCTTTTTGGTTTCCCAGTGCACATGGAAGTTGTTTTTAGGCCAGGCATGGTGGCTCACGCCTGTATTCCTAGCACTTTGGGAGGCAGAGATGGGCGGATCACTTGAGCTCATGAGTTTGAGACCAGCCTAGGCTACATGGTGAAACCCCATCTCTACCAAAAATACAGGGACTGGTACGGCATGCCTGTAATCCCAGCTACCTAGGAGCTTGAGGTGGAAGGATGGCTTGAGCCTGGGAGGCAGAGGTTGCAGTGAGCCAAGATTACACTACTGCACTCCAGCCTGGATGACAGAGCCAGATATTGTCTCAAAAAAAAAAAAAAAAAGTTAATTTTTGTATTATAGTCTATTAAATGTGTAATAGCATTGATGTCTTTTTAAGAAGTACATATCATAATTTTAAAACACTTCATTGCTAAAGAATCCTAACAATTGGGCCGGGCGCGGTGGTTCACGCCTGTAATCCGAGCACTTTGGAAGGTGGCCAAAGTGCCGAGGTGGGCAGATTACAAGGTCAGGAGATCGAGACCATCCGGGCTAACATGGTGAAACCCTGTCTCTACTAAAAATACAAAAAAATTAGCCGGGCATGGTGGCACATGCCTGTGGTCCCAGCTACTCGGGAGGCTGAGGCAGGAGAATCACCTGAACCTGGGAGGCGGAGGTTGCAGTGAGCCAAGATTGCGCTGCTACACTCCATCCTGGACAACAGAGCGATACTCCGTCTCAAAAAAAGAAAAAAGAAACTTAATAATTATCAGAGACTTCAGTGAGTCATAATCTTATTGCTGGTGGAGGGGTCTTGCCTCAATGTGCATGGCTGCTGACATAAGGGTGGTGGTTGCTGAAGGCTGGGTTAACTGCGGCAATTTCTTAAGACAACCATGATGTTTGCCGCATAGTTCGATTCTTCCTTTCATGAAAGATTTCTCTGTATCATGTGATGCTGTTTGATAACATTTTACCTACCATAGGAGAACTTTCAAAATTGGAGTCAATCCTCTCAAACTCTGCCTCTGCTTTATCAACTAACTTTATGTGGAAATTCTAAATCCTTTGTTGTCTTCAACAAAAATGTTCACAGCATCTGCACCAGGAGTAGATTCTATCAATAAACCATTCATCTGTAAGAAGCAATTCATCCCAAGTTTTATCATGAGATTGCAGCAAATTCAGTCACATCTTCAGGCTCCACTTTTAATCCTACTTCTCTTGCTATTTCCACCACGTGTGTAGTTACTTCCTCCACTGAAGCAGTGAGAACCCCTCAAAGTCATCTATGAAGTTTGGAATCAACTTCTTCCAAATTCCTATTCATGTTAATATTTTTACCTCCTCCCATGCATCACAAATGTTCTTAACAGTATCTAGAATAATGAATCCTTTCCAGAAGGTTTTCCCAGATCCATCAAAGGAATAACTATCAATGGCAGCTCTAGCCTTATGAAATGTATTTCTTAAATAATAAGACTTGAAAGTAAAAATTACTCCTTGATCCATAGGCTGCAAAACTGATCTTGTGTCAGCAGGCATGAAATCATTAATCTCCTTGTACATCTCCATCAAAGCTCGAGTGACCAAGTGCATTGTTAATGAGCAGTAATATTATGAAAGGAATCCCTTCTTGTCTGTACAGTAAGTCTCAACAGTGGGCTTTAAACATTCAGTTAGCCATAGTGCAAACAGATGTGCTGTCATGACTTTATTGTTCCATTTATAGAGCACAGGCAGAGTAGATTTAGCATGTTTCTTAAGGGCCCTAGAATCTTCAGAATGGTCGGTAAGCACTGGCCTCAACTTTAAAGTTACCAGTTTCATTAGCCTGTAACAAGAGAATCAGCCTGTTCTTCAAAGCTTTGAAGCCAGAAACTGACTTTTCCTCTCTAGCTAGGAAAGTCCTAGATGGCATCTTCTTCCAAGAGAAGGCTGTTTTCATCTACATTGAGAATCTGTTGTTGAGTGTAGCCATCTTACCAATGATCTTAGCTAGATCTTCTGGGTAACTTGCTGCAGCTTCTCCATCAGCACTTGCTGCTTCATCTTGCACATTTATGTTACGGAGACAGCTTCTTCCCTTAAACCTCATGAACCAAAAAAAAAGAAAAGAAAAGAAAAGAAAAAGAAAAACCTCATGAACCAACCTCTGCTAGCTTCCAAATTTTCTTGTGCAGCTTCCTCACCTCTCTCAGCCTTCTCAGAAGAGTGTTAGGGCCTTCCTCTGGATTAAGTTTTGGCATAAGGGAATGTTGTGGCTGATCTGATCTTCTATCTCGACTACTCAAACTTTCCCATATCAGCAAAAAGCCTGTCTTGCTTTCTTATCATTCATGTGCTTACCTGAGTAGCCCTTTTAGTTTACTGCAGGAACTTGTGCCTTGCATTCACAGCTTGACTATTTGGAACAAGAGGCCTAACTTTCGGCCTACCACAGCTTTCGACATGTCTTCCTCACTAAGCTTCATCATTTCTAGTTTTTGATGTAAACTGAGACACATGTGACTCTTCCCTTCACTTGAACACTTAGAGGCCATTGTAGGGTTATTAATTTTCCTAATTTCAATTTTGTTGTGTGTCAGGAAAGAGGGAGGCCCAAGAAAGTGGGAGAGAGACAGGAGAACGGCCGACTGGTGGAGCAGTCACAGCATACACAAAGTTTATCAATTAAGTTCACCATCTTACATGGGAATGGTTTGTGGCATGCCAAAACAATTACAATAGCAGCAAAGCAACAGTAAAATAAGTTGGAAATATTGGAAGAATTACCAGAATGTGGCACAGAAACATGAAGTAAGCACATACTTTTTGAAAAATGGCACCAACAGACTTGTTCAACACAGGATTACCACAAACCTTCAATTTGTATAAAACGCTGTATCTGTGAGGTGTGATAAAATAAAGCACAATAATATGAGGTATGCCTGTACTACATTCTGTTCATCCATTCATCACCAGTTAATAGACATTTGGATTGTTTCCACATTTGGGATATTATGAACGACACTGTTACAAATGCCCACCTATAAGTTTTTGTATGAACATTCGTTTTCATTTCTCTTAAGGAGTGAATTTCTGGGTCACATGGTGATTAACCTTGAGTAACCGCCAAATTGTTTTCCAAAACAGCTGCAACATTTCACATTAGCAATGTATAAGAGTTTCACTTTTTCTACATCCTGATCAACAATTGTTACTGCCTTTTTGCTACAGGCATCCTACCAGGTGTAAAGAGGCTCCACTGTTCAAAGATTGGACCATCTAAACAAAAAAGGGTAACTGCAATGGATCAAGACACATCAAACACATTAAATCTATGAGTTCACAATGATACTAAAAAACAACTTACTGGTCAACTTTGGAGAATGCTAGACAATCAGCTCAATATTATGAAAGAAAGTAAAGTAAAATAAGCATTTAATTGTGCTTGATTATTTGAAGAAACGTTCTCTTCTGGTTTACCAAATAGTTCATGAAATTAAGTTTATTTTTTAAAAAGCATATCAACTAATAAACGAAAAACAGAGAATTAGAAAACTGCTATTTGGCAACCTCTAATGTATCTAGGTAGTGACCATCAATGCCTGATGATATCACTAGAAAAGAAGTACTCAGTATCACCTACTAAGTATTCTTGCTAAGAAAGTCAAACCTAAGTCTGCTCAAGTCTCTAGCTATAATCACCAATTAACAGAAACTAGAGGGGGCCGAGGGACATGTGAAGTACTGCCATGGGAATGCAGTCAGTAAAATCTGTACTGCAGATAATTCCATAGAACACATGACCTACTTTTCTCAAAAAATTTATAGCAGAGGGCAGATGAAGAAAGCAATCCTAGCCTAAAAGCAACTTGAGACATAATCACAATCCTAACAATCACAGAATCACAATGCTATTCCTAAAGGATTCAAAACACAATTAGGTCTAATTTTTACTAAAGCTCACGAAAAATAAAGCAGTTAAGACAAGCATGTGGTGAAACTTGAACTGATTTATTCTCTTGATGGCATAATATTCTGACCGAATTCACTTGCAAATAAACTTCTGACATGAGAAGATTTAACTTGCAAATGCAAGTATTAATAAGCTTTCCATCTGAGAAAAAAAAGCCCAATTTGGAAAACATATGTACTAAAAAGTTCATTAAAATGTTCATTACAGGACAGGCGCTGCAGCTCACACATGTAATCCCAGCACTTTGGGAGACTGAGGCAGGCAGATCACTTGAGGCCAGGAGTTGAAACTCCAACATGGCAAAACCCCGTCTCTACTAAAATACAAAAAATTAGCTGGGCATGGTGGCTCACACCTGTAATCCCAGCTACTCGGGAGGCTGAGGCATGAGAATCACTTGAACCCCGGAGGCAGAGGTTACAGTGAGCAGAGATTATGCCACTGCACTCCAACCTGGGCAACAGAGGGAGACTCTGTCTCAAAAAAAAAAAAAAAAAAAAAGTTCATTACAGTATTATTTATAGCAAGAAGATACCCAAGAAGCATGTAGTTTTGTTTACATGGCAAGAAGAGGATATGAACTGTTAAGTAGTTTTGATACATCCTCTTGACATATTTAAGTCATTAATATGGAAGACAATCTAGCAACAAGCAAAAATACTCATGACAGGCTTAAGATACCAGGATGAATACATGCTATAGCTTCCCCTTCATCCTCCAATGCTGAAATGCCAATTTTAAAGAATCTGTAACCATATTAGAAAACAAAAAAGGATATCCTTGGTGTGCCAAAATCACAAAGAATCCTAAAAACAAGAAATATAGGCTGGGCACGTTGGCTCACGCCTGTAATCCCAGTGCTTTTGGAGGCTGAGGCAGGTGGGATCGCTTGAGCCCAGGAGTTCAAGCTCAGACTGGGCAACACAGGGAGACCCTATCTCTACAAAAAAATGAAAAAGTTAAGAGGGTGTAGTGGCACATGCTTGTAGTCCCAGCTACTTGGGACACTAAAGTGGGAGGATCAATTGGGCCTGGAAGGTCGAGGCTGCAATGAGCAGTGATCAAAATGTAGCAGGATTTCTTAAGGAATCAGAGAGACTGATGGGGTTTAGGAGTATATTTATTAATTAGGTGCACCGGCCCAGTTGGATTTACATCCAAAGGACTGAGCCCTGAACAAAGAGTTAAGTTACCTTTTAAGCATTTCGTGGGGCAGGGGAGATCTGTGCAGGGGGAAGCATATTACAGAAGCGAGAAACAAAGACAGTTATTTAATTAATTGAGACATGCATTAAATCATTTCTTACTTTCCAAGGAAAAACATGTTTTACAGCTTGAGTTTATCTGTCTAGTGAACTTTCAGCTGCACAGATAGAGAAACAGGGTCTTCACAATGCTTGGGAAAGGAGGAGAGACAAGGCTCACTAGCCACAGAAAAACAGGCAGTTAATTTTTAAAGAACTCCAGCTCTTTCTCTTTTTCAGGGGGAATTGGGTTTTCTTACATACAACTGAGTTTCTGCTTAACATTTTTTAATTTCTTTTAATTCCTGTTCCAACACCACTCGACTCCAGCCTGCATGACAAGAATGAGACCCTGTCTCAAAAAACAAAAACCAGCAAGACAGATGGATTCAAAGTGGAAGGAGGAGATGTTGAAAGAAGACTTAACAAAATAGGAGAGCTGCTCCAGATATTACAAAGCTTGAGAGGTGTATAAAAGGAGTTACCTATAGGACTATTGACAATGACTGAGTTGGAGGAGCCCAGTAGAAGCAGACAGGCTGGTTCTACTACTTCACCTGTGAACCAGGAACCTGATGACATCCAGGTGGCATGATGAGACTACATATCCAGAAGTTTAGCTACTATTACATCTCTCCCTTGTAATTTCCCATCCTGAGAGCAGGCTAGCATAAACCTACACAGCATTTGCACACAAGATTTCTCAGGCATTTCAAAAACAAATGTCATTTAGGCTAGGTGCGGTGGCTCACGCCTGTAATCCTAGTACTTTGGGAGGCTGAGGTGGGTGGATCACCTGAGGTGGGTGGATCACCTGAGGTCAGGAATTCAAAACTAGCCTGGCCAACATGGTGAAACCTCATCTCTACTAAAAATACAAAAATTACCCGGGCATGGTGGCGCACACCTGTAATCCCAGCTACTAGGGAGGCTGAAGCAGGAGAATCGCTTGAACGTGGGACGCAGAGGTTGCAGTGAGCTGAGATTGCACCACTCCAGCCTGAGTGACAGAGCAAAACTCTGTCTCAAAAAAACAAAACAGGCTGGGCGCAGTGGTTCACGCCTATAATCTCAGTATTTTGGGAGGCGGAGGTGGGTGGATCGCCTGAGGTCAGGAGTTTGAGACCAGCCTGACCAACATGGTGAAACCCTGTCTCTACTAAAAACACAAAAATTAGCTGGGCGTGGTGGTGGGTGCCCGTAATCCCAACTACTTGGGAGGCTGAGGCAGGAGAATCTTTTGAACCCAGGAGGTGGAGGTTACAGTGACCCAAGATCATGCCACTGCACTCCAGTCTGGGTGACAGAGCGAGACTCCATCTGAAAAACAAAAACAAACAAAAAAACCAAAGGCCATTTAAAAATACAAATTACAACCAATATTGACCAAATATTTTCAGAAAACCAAGAGATTCAATGTGGCAGCAACCTTAACATAAAACCTATACCTTTCCCATAAATATATACACCTACTGTGTACCCATAAAAATTAAAAGTAAAAAAATTTTAACTCTTATATCTGAGGAAATGAAGGATAATAAAGCCAAGAGAACAAAGTTTTAAAATAAATAATAATTCCCCCAAAGATACCAGACGATCCATTGGAGACCTTGGAAGTTAAAATTTGATTAAATAAAGCTGACAAATGGTCTGATTGGTAGAATGTTCACAAATGAAAAACTTAATAATGAGGTGGAAAGAAAAAGCAGTTCTCTTAAAATATTATGCAGGAGAATAAAAACGTTGAAAAATACAAGAAGATTGGAAACACTCCTCACTACTACTCAACTGGACACGTTCCTAGGCTCTTCACTCATACCATCACACTAATCTTTACAGCAACCCTTCACGATAGGTACTAGTACTAGAGGATAATTAAAATACTGAAATATTGAAATACAACAGAATTTTAAACTATTTGAGTTCCACCTCCAATAAAGGCTGGCAAAGTTATTCAAACTAACCTTCTTCCTGAAAAAAAATGCTAACAATAAAGAGGGACATCATCTTAAAAGCATCTGAAATCTTACAGGATAGAACTACTAGTCCAAATTCTTTAAAACAAAAACAAACAACAACAAGCGGAAACCAGGAAACCCTCTCCCCACCTCAAAAAAGCAAAATACCAGAACACAAAAGTCATTTTTAGTCTATGATGGAATCTCTTTGCCCATCTCAGCAAAGATGGTTCTATGGCCCCAAGAAGCAAAGGAAAAGAAGTCAATGTTCAAAACATACCCAAGAAGGGAAATGAATAGGATAGTCTATCCACATTAAGCTGGGACCCCCCAGAGTACCTACAACCAGAATAAAACCAGGGCCCAAAATCTCCTGCTGTGATCTCTAAAATTTAAAACCTCAAAGATGGAGTTTAACAGCCAAATGAGGTACAATAGGGGAAAAGCAGTGAACTAGAATATAGAACCAAAATGTATACAATACATAAGGGAGACACAAAAAAGTAGAAAATATCAAAGACACAAAAGATAGAATGAGAAAGTAGAATAAATATTTAATTACAGAGTCCCAAAAGAAGAGAAAGAAAAATGAGGCACAGGAAATATATGAGGAGATAATGGTTGTAAATTGAGTAATGAAAGATACCAGTCTATACATACAAGAAACCCAAGAACTCCCAAGGAAGAAAAAAGATAACCATATTTAAACTAAGAGTGAAACATCAGAAAGCAAAGGGATAATTAAAACAAACAAGGAACAAAAGAGAGAAAAAGGTTTCAAAGGAGAGTGACCGACTTTTGAAAACCATTGAAGCCTGAACATGTTCAGTATATGGAGAGTGAAATGATAAATGCCAATCAAGAATTGTGTAACCACCAAATACATCCTAAGAAATGAACGTGAGAAAGAGATTTTCAAGGAAGATAAAGATCATTCACTGCCAGCAGACTCACAATAAAAATATTCATCTTTAACATTAAATATGCTCCTTGAGCAGAAGGAAAGTGAACCCACATGGAAGAGAAATTCAGAGAAAAAAAAAACAATGAAAAGAGGACACATCTAAGTCTAAGTAAACAATGACTATATAAGATACTTTCTTCTGGGGTTCAAATATACACACAATTGAAATGTATAGCAGCAACAGCACAAAAGAAGTGGGGACAGGATAACAAGTTCTGTAAGGTCCTTGCATTTTCTAGGACGTGATGAAAGCACTAATTTCTTAGACGCTAGTAAGTCAATGATAACATGTTGTAATCCCTAGGTGTAGCCACAAAAAGATCAGTAAATATATGTTTGCCCAAGAGGCCATGGAAGAAAGAAAAAGGAATAGAACGTGAAGAACAAAGAAGACTCAGTAAAGATGATAGGTTTAAGCATAACAAAACGACATGGGTTTGGACAGGGGGAGGTTGGGTGGGTTCTTCATCCTCTCTCATCATAAACTACTTTTTTAAAGAACCCAGAACTTGTCTTTTTTTTTTTTTTTTTTTTTTTTGGAGACAAAGTTTTGCTCTATTGCCCAGGCTAGAGTGCAGTGGCGCAACCTCCGCTCACTGCAACCTCCACCTCCCGAGTTCAAGCAATTCTCCACCCTCAGCCTCCCGAGTAGCTGGGATTACAGGTGCGTGCCACCACACCGAGCTAATTTTTGTATTTTTTAGTAGAGACAGGGTTTCGTCACGTTGGTCAGGCTGGTCTCGAACTCCTGGCCTCAGGTGATCCGCCCCCACCTCGACCTCCCAAAGTGCTGGGTTTACAGGCATGAGTCACCGTGCTTGGGGGTACAACTTGTCACTTCTAATGTGGTTTTCTTAAAAAAAAAAAGATTTTTACACTGGGCACGGTGGCTCACGCCTGTAATCCCAGCACTTTGGGAGGCCAAGGCGGGTGGATCACCTGAGGTCAGGAGTCCAAGACCAGCCAGGCCAACATGACTAAACCCCGTTTCTACTAAAAATACAAAAATTAGCCAGGCATGGTGGCAGGCGCCTGTAATCCCAGCTACTCAGGAGTCTGAGACAGGACAATCGCTTGAAACCAGGAGGCGGAGGTTGCAGTGACCTGAGATCACGCCACTGCACTCCAGCCTGGGCAACAGAGTGACACCCTGTCCCCTCCACCCAACAAAAAAATTTTTTTTCTATTTCAGAACTATAAATAAAGATTTGCAGAATGGATTAAAAACCAATATCCCAACTATATGCTGCTTTCCAGGGTCATGTCTTACAATATAAGGTCACTGATTGACAGGTTGAAAAACATGAGAAAAGATATGCCATTCAAGCACCAAAAATGCTGTTGTAACCAAATAGGTATCAAAGTAAACTTTAAGGCAAAAACATGAGAAAGAAATGCATTTCATAAGTATCGAGAGATCAATCTACAAAGAAGATATAATTCTAAAACTTAATAAAAGCATACAAAAATCAATAAAGCCAAACAACAACCCTAAAAGGAGAGATAATTGAGATAACGAAAGCTAGAGATTTTAACACATTTCTCTTAGTAATTGATAGAATAAGCATATATTCCCCCTGCAAAAAAGAATATAGAAAATCTGAAACATCAAATTAGTAAATTTGACCTAACAGACATAAACAGAACACTGCATCCAACATCTGCTCAGTACACTGTCTTTATAAGTATATCTAGAACATTTAACAAAGTAGAGCATATGTTAGACTATAAAGCAAGCCTCAACAAATTTGAAGACTAAAATTATGTTAGAGGATGTTCTATGACCATAGTGGAATTAAGATAAAAATTCATAACAAAAAGACAACTAGAAAGTCCCAAATACCTGAAAGCTGTACTACAGACTTCCTCAGGGACCAACAAGACATCCAATGGAAATTAGAAAATAGTCAACTAAATGATAATTAAAAAGACTTCACAACTCATAAAATGCACTTAAATCCATGCTGAGCGGGAAATTTATAGTCTTTGGTAATGTATTAAAAAGATTAAAAACCATGGGCCAAGAATGGTGACTCATGCCTGTTATACAAGTGCTTTGGGAGGCTCAGATGGGAGGATCACTTGAGCCCAGGAGTTTGAGGTTACAGTAAGGTATGATTGTGCCACTACCTTAGTGACAGGGCAAGATCCTGCATCCAGAAATATATGTATATAAAATCGGCCGGGCGCGGTGGCTCACACCTCTAATCCCAGCACTTTGGGAGGCCGAGGCGAATGGATCACTTGAGGTCAGGAGTTTGAGACCAGCCTGGCCAACATGGTGAAAACCCGTCTCTACTAAAAACACAAAAATTAGCTGGGCATGGTGGCAAGTGCCTGTAATCCCAGCTACTCAGGAGGCTGAGACAGAAGAATCGCTTGAACCCGGGAGGCGGAGGTTACAGTGAGCCGAGATCATGCATGGCACTCCAGCCTGGGCGACAGAGCAACCCTTCATCTCAAAAACTAAATAAATAAAAATAAATAAAATAAAATCAATGATCAGGGTAATATTAGTGAAATGGCGAATAAGGACCTCTGACAATTCTTCCTACATAAAAACCAATGAGAACACTAGCAAAAAATTGTCACAATAAACTTTGTCAGAACTCTGGAAATTAAACCAAAAGCTTGCAGAAATCTGGGGAGTATTTGTTTAAAAAATAAAAACAAGATAGCTGAATCTTGGTAAGAACAACATTCTTTGTGGCCTTTTAATTTGTATTATTTTCATACCTTCCTCTCTAGCTCTACTACAACCCTGAAAACCAGCAACCTGCATCACAGCAAAAATTAGCAGCCTGGAAGCCACTGAAAGGACAAAACAGTTGGAGCTCAAGCCCCATCCTCAATGAATTGTCATTACTTGACCTTTTACATGGTTACACACAAGGTCCCACTTATGTGGTTGTATTTGACCTACCTCCGAGCTCACCAAGTACAGCCAGCCATTTCCCATTTCCCAGGGAAAGTTTATTTAAAAAAAAAAAATCAGAGGCAATTATTAAATATCCCAGGTGCCTGAGGCATTAGGCAACAGTTTAGGAACTCAACAGGCTAACCAAAAAAGCTTAAAAGGCTGGGGAATGAAATATGAGGCTTTATAAAAAACTCAATATATTCCTGGGAATCTAGGCTAACCTGCATGCTTGAAAGAAAGCATTAGAAGGCCCTAAGCTCTCTCTCCTGGTTAACCTTGAGGCTCTGTACAAACAGCAAGTGAAGAATACAAGAATACTGCAGAGTTGTAAACTGTCTGGCTCAGTGTGGAGGGCATACTGGGCCCCTTGTCAAAGACTGGGAAACTTACTGGTTCTAAGCATGTAAGGCAGTTTCTGTCCATCATTAGCCGACTACTAAGATAACCAAGCAGAGACTTCAGTGGCCACATATTTAAAAAATGCGAAGTTTACAGAACTAGCTGAGAAGAGCCACTAAATGAACAACAACAAACAAGAACCCTTCAGCCTGTGGAGGACGGATAACCCGATTTCCAGACTTGCTACATTATTTCCAATGTCCAATTTTCAAGACAAAATTTATAAGACATTCAAAGAAACAAGTATGGCCCATTCATGGGGGAAAAAATCACTAAAAATGGTCCCTGACAAAGGGCAGACATTACATGTATTAGACAAAGACTCTAGCTATTTTCAATATGTATGAAGAGCTAAAGGATACCATATCTGGCTGTGGACAATGGCTCTGTAATCCCAGCACTTTGAGAGGCCCAGAACGAAGGATCACTTGAGGCCAGGAGTTCAAGCCAAGCCTGGGCAACATAGCAAGGCTCCATTGCTACAAAAAACAAAACAACGGGCCAGGTGCAGTGGCTCACACCTGTAATCCCAGCACTTTGGGAGGCCGAGGCAGGCGGATCACAAGGTCAGGAGATTGAGAGCATCCTGGCTAACAGGGTGAAACCCTGTCTCTACTAAAATACAAAAAATTAGCTGGGCATGGTAGTGGGCACCTGTAGTCCCAGCTACTCAGGAGGCTGATGCAGGAGAATGGTGAGAACCCAGGAGGCGGAGCTTGCAGTGAGCCGAGATTGATCGCGCCACTACACTCCAGCCTGGGTGACAGAGCAAGACTCCATCTCAAAAAAAAAAAAAAAGACAGAAACAAGAAACCATATCCAAGGAACTAAAGTATGAGAATAATGTCTCACCAAATAGAGAATATTACTAAAGAGACAGAAATTACATATAAAAAAGAACCAATTAGAAATTCTAGAGCTGAAAGGTATAATAACTGCAATGAAAAATTCACTACAGGGGCTCAACAGCAGATTTAAAAAGAAAAACAATCAGCAAGGCTGAAGATACAGACATGGAGATTATCCAGTCTGAGGACAAGAAACTACAGAGCCACAGAGACATCTGGGATACAGTCAAGTATACCAAGATACACATATTAGAAGTCCCAAAGCAGATGAGGGAAAGAGACAGAATATGTGAAGAAATAATGGCAGAAAACGTTGATGAAAAACATTAATCTACATATTCAAAAAATCCAATGAACTGCAAGTAGGATAAGCTCAAAGAGACCTACACCAAGACACATTAAATGGTCAAAAGCCGGAGACATAGAAAGGGCAAAACTGCAAGAGAGAAGCAATCATCATATATGACATACAAGGGATTTTCAATAACATTAATAGCTGATTTCTTACCAGAAATTGTGGAGCCAGAAGGCAGTAGGATGACATACTGAGGGAGTTAAAAGAAGAAACTCAACCAAGAATTTTTTATCACCAACACGATCCTTCAAGAATGGAGAAATTAAGACATTCCTAGACAAAAAGGGAGTTTGTCACTAGCAGACCTCCCCTACAACAAATACTAAAGAGCATCTTTCCCAGTGAAGTGAAAGAATGCTAGACAGTTACTTTAATCCACATGAAGTAATAAAGAAGACCAAAAAAGATAACTACATAGGTAAATATAATAGAGAGTATATTTTTGTCTTTTTTTTCTCCTATCAGATTTAAAAGATAACCAAATGGGGGCGGGATAAGAAGGTATTGGTAAAAGGGTACAAAGTTTTGACCAGGATAAAAAAGTTCTGAAGAGCCATTGTATAGAATGACGGTAACTATAGTTGTATAGTTGTATACAACTATACAATGTATTCTATAGTTGTACTTGCTGAGATTTTAGATGTTCTCACCACAAAAATATAAGTATGTGAGGTAATGAATATATTAGCTTTAATCATTTCACAGCGTATACATATATCAGAACATCACACTGTACACCATAAAGTTCTCATTTGTCAATTATATCTTAAAGCTAGGAAGAAGACAAAAGATAGCTAAAGTTAATTATAAATCTGTATTGATAGGCACACCATGTATAAACACCTATTTGTGGCCGGGCACAGTGGCTCATGCCTGTAATCCTAGCACTTTGGGAGGCTGAGGTGGGCGGATCACCTGAGGTCGGGAGTTCGAGACCAGCCTGACCAACATGAAGAATCCCTGTCTCTACTAAAAATACAAAATTAGCCAGGTGTGATGCCGCATGTCTGTAATCCCCGTTACCCGGGAGGCTGGGAGAGGAGAATCGCTTGAACCCAGGAGGCAGAGGTTGTGGTGAGGCGAGATCGCGCCATTGTACTCCAGCCTGGGCAACAACAGCAAAACTCCACCTCAAAAAAAAAGACATATTTGTAATACATTAACAGCACAAGAGGAGGAGAAAATAAAGCGATACTGGTGCAAAGTTTCTGTATACTACTGAAAATAAAATTGGTTATTATTTGACCTAGATTGTTAATATAAATTAAGATGCTAGTTCCAGCTGGGCATGGTGGCTCACGCCTGTAATCCCAGCACTTTGGGAGGCCGAGGCAGGCGGATCACTTGAGTTCAGGGGTTTGAGACCAGCCTGGCCAACATGGCGAAACCTTGTCTCTAACTAAAAATACCAAAAAAATTAGCCGGGCATGGTGATGGGTACCTGGTATCCCAGCTACTCAGGAGGCTGAGGGAGAACTGCTTGAACCCAGGAGCTGAGGGGTTACAGTGACCCGAGATGGCACCACTGCACTCCAACCTGGGTGACACAGGGATACTCCGTCTCAAAAAAAAAAAAAAAAAGCTAGTTCTCAGCACATGCGCTAAGAAAATAACTTAAAAATACATAGTAAGGCCGGGCGCGGTGGCTCACGCCTGTAATCCCAGCACTTTGGGAGGCCGAGGCGGGCGGATCACGAGGTCAGGAGATCGAGACCATCCCGGCTAAAATGGTGAAACCCCGTCTCTACTAAAAATACAAAAAATTAGCCGGGCGTAGTGGCGGGCGCCTGTAGTCCCAGCTACTTGGGAGGCTGAGGCAGGAGAATGGCGTGAACCCGGGAGGCGGAGCTTGCAGTGAGCCGAGATCCCGCCACTGCACTCCAGCCTGGGCGACAGAGCGAGACTCCGTCTCAAAAAAAAAAAAAAAAAAATACATAGTAAAAGAGGCCAGGCATAGTAGCTCATGCCTGCAATCCCAGCACTTTGGGAAGCCAAGGTGGGAAGATCACTTAAGGCCAGGAGTTTGACACCAGCCTGGGTGACAGAGCAAGACTTTGTCTCTTTAAAAAAAACAAGAAACATATATATAAGAATGACAAGGAAATTAAAGAGACAAGGAAATTAAAGAAACAAGGAAATTAAAATGTCATAGGATTTTATACTAGAAAATATCTTAACACAAAAGAAAGCAGTAATGGAAGAATAGGGGGAAAAGACACAAGACATATGGAAAACAAACAGAAAAATGGCAGGTGTATATCTTATCAGTAATTATATTAAATGTAGATGGATCAAACTCTTGAATAAATGACAGACTGACAGAATGGACTTTTTAAAAGCATGATCCAAATATATACTGCACAACAGGAGATACACTTTAAGACTCAAAGACACAAATAGGGCTGGGCACGGTGGCTCACGCCTGTAATCCCAGCATTTTGGGAGGCTGAGGCAGGTGGATCACCTGAGGTCAGGAGTTCGAGACCAGCCTGGCCAACATGGTGAAACCCCGTCTCTACTAAAAATACAAAAATTACCCAGGTGTGGTGGTGTGTGCCTGTAGTCTCAGCTACTCGGGAGGCTGAGACAGGAGAATTGCTTGAACTGGGAAGCAGAAGTTGCAGTGAGCCAAGATCACACCACTGCACTCCAGCCTGGATGACAGAGCGAGACTCAAGTCTCAAGGAAAAAAACAAAGACACAAAAGACACAAATAGGTTGAAAGGATGGAAAAAAGTATACCCTGCAAATAATAACCAAATGAGAGGTAGAATAACTGTGCCTATTACCAGACAAAACAGACATTAAGACAAAAATTGTTACTAGAGATAAAGGAGGACATTTTATAATAAAAGGGTTAATCTATCAAAAAAAATTTAACAATTATAAACACCAATGAACCTAACACAGACCACCAAAATATATGCAACAAAAACTGACAGAAATGATAGGAGAAACAGATACTTCAACAGTAACACTATTGCTGGAAACATCAATAGCTCACTTTCAGCAATGATGGACAGAAACTGCCTTACATGCTTAGAACCAGTAAGTTTCCCAGTCTTTGACAAGGGGCCCAGTATGCCCTCCACACTGAGCCAGACAGTTTACAACTCTGCAGTATTCTTCACTTCTTGTTTGTACAGAGCCTCAAGGTTAACCAGGAGAGAGAGCTTAGGGCCTTCTAATCTAATGCTTTCTTTCAAGCATGCAGGTTAGCCTAGATTCCCAGGAATATATTGAGTTTTTTATAAAGCCTCATATTTCATTCCCCAGCCTTTTAAGCTTTTTTGGTTAGCCTGTTGAGTTCCTAAACTGTTGCCTAATGCCTCAGGCACCTGGGATATTTAATAATTGCCTCTGATTTTTTTTTTTAAACAAACTTTCCCTGGGAAATGGGAAATGGCTGGCTGTACTTGGTGAGCTCGGAGGTAGGTCAAATACAACCACATAAGTGGGGCCTTGTGTGTAACCATGTAAAAGGTCAAGTAATGACAATTCGTTGAGGATGGGGCTTGAGCTCCAACTGTTTTGTCCTTTCAGTGGCTTCCAGGCTGCTAATTTTTGCTGTGATGCAGGTTGCTGGTTTTCAGGGTTGTAGTAGAGCTAGGGAGGAAGGTATGAAAATAATACAAATTAAAAGGCCACAAAGAATGTTGTTCTTACCAAGATTCAGCTATCTTGTTTTTAGTTTTTAAACAAATACTCCCCAGATTTCTGCAAGCTTTTGGTTTAATTTCCAGAGTTCTGACAAAGTTTATTGTGACAATTTTTTGCTAGTGTTCTCATTGGTTTTTATGTAGGAAGAATTTCAGAGGTCCTTATTCTGCCATTTCACTAATATTACCCTGATCATTGATTTTATTTTCATTTATTTATTTAATGTATAGAACAAGATGACAGTATCAGGAAGGAAACTGTATACTTGAACACTATAAAACAACTAGAACAGACACAAGATATTTCAATCTACAAAAGAAGAATACACAATCTTAAGTGTATATGAAATATTCTCCAGGACAGACCATATGTTAGTTAGGCCATGAAGTCTCAATAAATGTGAAATGGCTGAAATCATACAAAGTACATTCTGCAACCACAAAAGAACAGAATTAGAAGTCAGTAACAGAAGGAAAACTGGAAAATTCTCAAAACGTGGAAATTAAACAACATACTCTTCATCAATGGATCGAAGAAGAAATCACAGGGCAATGAGAAAATACTTTGAGATAAAGAAACACACCATACTAAAACTTACGGCATGCAATGAAAATAATACTTGGAAAGTTGTAAAATCCTATGTTAAAGATTATGCTGAATGTCGTAGCTCACACCTGTAATCCCAGAACTTTAGGAGGCTGAGGTAGGAGGATCACTTGAGCCCAGGAGTTTGAGACAGCCCAGGCAACATAGTGAGAGACCCTGCCTCTACAAAAAAAATATAAATTAGCTAGGCATGGTGGTGCACAACTGTAGTCCCAGCTGCTCAAGAGGCTGAGGTGGGAGGATTGTTTGAGCCTGGGAGGTCGCGGCTGCAGTGAGCTGTGATCACGCCACTGCACTCCAGCCTGGGCAACAGAGCGAGAGCCTGTCTCAGAAAAAAAAAAATAATAACAATAGTAATTAAATATCAATAACCTAACATTCTACCTAAAGAAACTAGAAAAAATAAACACAAAGCAAGTAGAGGAAGCAACAAAGATTAAAGTCGAAATAATGTCTAGAAAAACTATAAAAAAAAAAAACAGAAGTTGGTTCTTTGAAAAACATCTGCAAAACTGATAAACCTTGAGCTAGATTAACCAAGAAGAAATGAAAGTGGGTACAATACTACCAACCTTACAGAAAGTAAAAAAGAATATAAATTACTATGGGCTGGCTGCAATGGCTCATGCCTGTAATCCCAGCACTTTGGGAGGCTGAAGTGGGTGGATCACCTGAGGTTGGGAGTTTGAGATCAGCCCAATCAACATAGAAAAACTCCGTCTCTACTAAAAATACAAAATTAGCCAGGCATGGTGGCGCATGCCTGTAATATCAGCTACTTGGGAGGCTGAGGCGGGAGAATCGCTTGAACCTGGGAGGTGGAGGTTGCGGTGAGCCGAGATCACCCCACTGCACTCCAGCCTAGGCAACAAGAGCAAACCTCCGTGGCAAAAAAAAAAAAAAAAAATTACTATGAATAATTATATGCCTGCAAATTAGAAAACATAGGTGAAATAAATTCTACAGCCAGAAATTACCAAAACTAACTCAAAGAAACAGACAATCTGCATACGCTTTTAATGAACAAAAAGCCTGTATTAGTCATCAACAAACTTCCCAGAGAATAGTCCAAGACAAGAAAGCTTCGCTGGTGAATTCTACCAAAAACCTAAAAAAGAATAAATACCAATTATTCACATGTACTTTTCCAAAAAGCAGACGAGGAGGGAACACTTTACAACTCAGTCATGAAGCAAGTATTTCCCTGATACCAAAATCAGGCAGAGACCACAAGAAAACAAAATCATAGACCTATCTGTTTATTAATCTAAATGCAGTGGCATCTAAGATGGATTACACACTATGACCAAATGGGGTTTATCCTAAGAAGACAAGGTTGGTTCATTATAAGAAAAAAAATCAATAAAATATAATATTAATAGAACAAAAGTAAAAAAAAATCACATGATCATCTCAATGGACACAGACAAGTATTTGATGAAAATCCAATACCCTTTCATGATAAAAATATTCAATAAACTAGGAATAGAAAAAAACATCCTCAGGCCGGGCCCGGTCACTCACGCCTGTAATCCCAGCACTTTGGGAGGCCAAGGCCGGTGGATCACCTGAGGTCAGGAGTTGGAGTCCAGGCTGACCAACATCATGAAATCCCATCTCTACTAAAAATACAAAAATTAGCCTGGCATGGTGGCGCACACCTGTAATCCCAGCTACTCTGGAGGCTGAGGCAGGAGAATTGCTTGAACCCGGGAGGCAGAGGTTGTAGTGAGCCAAGATCACGCCACTGCACTTCAGCCTTGGGGACAGAGTGAGACTCCAGTCTCAAAAAAAAAAAAAAAAAAAAAAAAAAAAAAGAAAAAAAGAAAAAAAAATCCTCAACTTGATAAAGGGCTCCTACAAAAACACCCACATCTAACATCATATTTAATGGTGAATGAAGTCTGCTCTCTTCACTTCTATTCAAAACTGTACTGAAGATTTTAGCCAGCACAATTAGGAAGGAAAATGAAACAAAAGGCATCTAGATGGAAAAAAAAGTAAAACTATCTTTATAGATGATACACCCAGAAGGCATGATCTTAGATGTAAAAAATCCTAAGAAATCACACACACAAAAATCCATGTACAAAAACCAGCTCTATTTCTATACACTAGCAATGAACAATCTGAAAATAAAATTAACAGTTTGACTTACAATAGCATGAAAAATAAATATACTTATGAATAAATTGCAAGACTTGGACACTGAAAACTGTAAGAAATCACTGAAATAAATTAAAACAAAAAAAATCCCCAATTCATGCATTAGAAGACTTAATATTGTTAAGATGGCAATAGTAGGCCAGGCACAGTGGCTCATGCTTATAATCTCAACGCTTTGGGAGGCTGAGGCAGGAGGACCCTTTGAGACCAGGAGTTCAAGACCAGCCTGGCCAACATAGCAAGACCCCATCTCTACAAAAAAATAAAAATAAAAATTAGCCAGCAGCCACGGTGGCACACACCTGCAGTCCCTGATACTCAAGAGGCTGAGGCAGGAAGATCACTTGAGCCCAAGAAATCACGTCTCAAAAAAAAGAAAACCCCAAAAAACAAAAACACGATGATCTAATAATTTTCATCTCAATAAGTTTAAAAAAAACACACAGTAAATCAAACCCAAAGAAAACAATAGGAAAAAAAATAAATGACACATAAAAGAAATGTATAACAGAATCGGGGGAGGGAGGGATCAAAGCCAAAAGTTTATTTTAAAAAAAAGATTAGTAACACAGACAAAAAAAAGCAAACGTAATGTTAAGAAATACTGGAAATTTTGTAATCCCAGCACTTTGGGAAGCCGAGGTGGGCAGATCATGAGGTCAGGAGATCGAGACCATCCTGGCTAACACGGTGAAACCCTGTCTCCACTAAAAAAAAATACAAAAAAATAAGATAAAATAAAAACTGGAAATTCTAAAACATCAGAAGAAGCTTTTACATAAACATTTATGCCAATGAATTTGAAAATTTAAATGAAACAGAGAAATTCCTAGAAAAACACAACTTAGCAAAACTTAGAAGACGGAATAGAAATTTGAGCCAGGTGCGGTGGCTCATGCCTATAATCCCAGCACTTTGGAAAGCTGAGGCGGGTGGATTGCCTGAGGTCAGGAGTTCGAGACCAGCCTGCCTAACATGGTGAAACCCCATCTCTACTAAAAATACAAAAATTAGCCAGCCATGGTGGAGCACCCCTGTAGTCCCAGCTACTTGGGAGGCTGAGGCAGGAGAATCGCTTGAGCCCGGGAGGCAGAGGTTGTAGTGAGCTGAGATCACACTATTGCATTCCAGCCTGGGTAACAGAGCGAGAGTCTGTCCAAAAAAAAAAAAACAAAAAAAAAAACACAGAAATTTGAATAATTGTATTTTAAAAACTGGGTCAGGCAAGGTGGCTCACACCTGTAATCCCAGCACTTTGGGAGTCCAAGGCGGGTGGGTCATGAGGTCAGAAGTTCAAGATCAGCCTGGCCAAGATGGTGAAACCCCATCTCTATTAAAAATACAAAAATTAGCTGGGCAGGTGGCAGGCGCCTGTAATCCCAGCTACTCAGGAGGCTGAGGCAGGAGAATCGCTTGAACCTGGGGGGCGGAGGTTGCAGTAAGCCAAGACTGCACCACTGCACTCCAGCCTGGGCAACATAGTGAGACTCTGTCTCAAAAAAAAGAACAAACAAACAAACAAACAAACAAAACAAACAAACAAAAAACTGAATCCACATTTTAAAAACTGTTCCTCAAAAAAACAAAAACAAACAAAAACACACTCCAGGCCCAAGTGGCTTCAGCAATGAATTATATCAAAATTTAAGGAAGACTATTATAAATTTCACACAAGCTCTTCTCAAGAACAGCGAGGAAAAAAAAAAACTTTTCAAGAAGCTAATGATTTGCTTCAAGAAGCTAACGACTCTGACACCAGGGATATTTTAAGGAAAGAAAATTACAAGCTTATCTCTTATGTGCATGAATACAAAAATCCTGAAGACAACATTTACAAATGAAATCCAAACAATATACTAAATAAAATATATTATGAACAACTTGAGTTAATTCCAGGAATGCGAAGTTGGCTTTACTTTGGTATTCTTTCCTGAATGTTATTCCTACATCTATAGAATAAAGGAGAAAGGTTAAATGAATAGATGCAGAAAAGCTGATATAATTTAATAACATTCATGATTTTATGTTTGTTTTCTTGGGGGTTTTTTTGTTTTGTTTTGTTTTTTTGGAGACAGTGTCTGGCTGTGTCACCCAGGCTGGAGTGCAGCGGCACGATCTTGGCTCACTGCAATCTCCACCTCCTGAGCTCAAGCGATCCTCCCACCTCAGCCCCAAGTAACTGGGACTACAGGTACGTGCCACCACACCCGGCTTTTCATACTTTTGTACAGATGGGGTTTCACTACATTGCCCAGGCTGGTCTCTAACCACCTCAACCTCCCCAAGTGCTGGGATTATAGACATGAGCCACTGCATCCTGCAGATTTTCTTTTTTTAAAAGCCTCTTGGCAAAGTCTGAAAAGAACTTTCTTAATCAGATAAAAAACATTCACAACTTCAGCATATTTAAAGGAGAAATGCTAAGAAGTTCACTCACAACCCCTCCCCTAAGACTGGAAACAAGCTCCCCCCGGGGAGAGAGACACTCACCCTGGATGGGAGCCTGGAACTCTACCACCCCGCCCCGCTCCCCCCTCAATGCCCCCCTGGGACAGCCCGGGAGGCTGCCAGGAAGGGACTGGCCTCCTTGGGAGGCTCCCAGGATCCTCTTCAGCCTCGCTGCTTCTGAGTCCCTGCCGGCAAGCCTCCGCCAAGCAGTGGCCTTGCTGATGCCTGGGGAAGCCCACCGGGAGAGAGACACACACCCTGGGTGGGACCCTGGGGCTCTAAGACTCCCTACCCTGGGACGGCCCCAGGGGCTGCTGGAAAGGGACTGGCCTCCTCGGGAGGCTCCCAGCGTCCTCTTCGTCACTCCTAACCACATAAAAATATGGGTCTTGCTCCCAGGCTGGAGTGCAGCAGCATTATCACAGCTCACTGAAGCCTCGAACTCCTGGGCTCAAGTGACCCTCTCACCTTAACCTCCCAAAGTGCTGGGATTACAGGCACGAGCCACTGCACCCAGCTGTAATATTCTATTTCTTGACCTGGGTAGTGGTTATGTGGGTGTCTGCTGTATAACTGATTAAAATATACAGGTGTTTTATGCAAGTTTCCATATATTCTATGTTTAACAATTTGGAAAAGTCCATCAAACTAGTCCAAGAATTAAACAAAACACAATGATAATCTAAGTAATCACTAAAAATTACTGAAGTCTAAATAAATACTGATTGTGAACACATACATACACACAAAACTGCAAGTAAATTCCTAGATATTATCAGTACCAAATGTGGGGGGGAGTACAATTTGAACACAAAATGAGGGCCTTTTTCAGCTTAGGCACCCAGTTTGAGAGAATGTATTCATTAAGCAATTGTATAATGTTACCTAACATGCACCAGGCCCAATACTGAGGATTAGAAATCCAAGGATTTCAAAAGATCTTTAAAAAAAAGAAAGAAAGAAACGAAACGAAACCCAAGGATATTTAAGACCTAGTCCTTACACATTCTTCAAGAGACTTACAGTATAAACAGAAAACCTAGTTCAACTCTTTAAAATATAAGTGTGTGTGTGTGTGTGTGTGTGTGTGTGTGTATATATATATATGACCTCAGCCAACGCTCTCACAACTGCATCTTTATATACCCACACTATCACAATCACTATCACCATTTAGTAAGTGCAGTTATGTGCATCATTGTAGATAGTATTCAATACAAATCTTATTTAAGCTTCACAAAACCCCTACAAATGGGTACTATTTCTACCTATGTGTCTAAAGAGGAAATTTAAACTCAGAGTGTAAGCCAAGGTCACAGCAAGTAAGTAGCACGACCAGAATTTGTTCTCAGGTCATCTGCATTCAGAGCCTGTACCCTATCTTTGTTTGGGTTTATTATGAAACGGACAATGTTTTTTCAAAACTGTACCCTATCCTCCCATTTTAAGAATGTATATGTTTACACCACCACATGATGGATCCACAAATAAACACGAAGAGCCAAGAAGGACCTTGCTTCATCTCACAGATTGACAGACTACAGAACATTGGAGGCAGGACAGTGTTATAAAGTTTCTGAAGTGACAACCAAGCCAACTTTGAATAAAATAATTTTTTCTAGGAAGACAGTCAATTTAGTTGTCAACTATGTAGCAGAAGAGCATTCATTGCACAACTTCATCTGTCAGTGATTTTAATTATATAATATGCATGGAATGTCAAGAAACAGCAGACAGAATGGCATAAAGGGAAAGAACCCTGGGACACAATTCTAGAAACTTACTCTGGGTTGATGCCAGATCATATATGCTACACGTATTATTTTAACTTCAGAAAATATTTTATAATATAAAGAAAACAAAATCAAGTTGGATTTACAGCTATATCAACTGGAATTTTGAAGTATGACAACATCTAGAGTCTACATGGAATGTGACTGAAAACTCATGAAATCCTAGCAGGATTATAAACTGGTAAATGCACTTTGAAAAAGTACCCAGCAACTTGAAGTGTGAAGACAATATACCAAACTCTGCAATTAACTTCTAGGTACATACTCAAGGAAGCTCTTGTGATGTGGGCACAGGAGACTTAAACAAGGATGTTCACCAAAATACTGTTTATAATAGCAAAAAATATATATTTACCTAAATACAGCAAAAAATATACACCTAAACATTTACCAAGAGGAATATTGTATATATTTATGTAAAATATTACTACAAAGCAATTAAAATGTATTGATTTTACTTACAAATAACTATCAATATGTACACATTATAAATATGACACATGGAGAAAAGCAAATGCCAGGAAGATAATGTCATATTCTTTGCATAAAGATTTAAAACATATGACAATCAGGAGGCGGCATGAGGGGTCTTCTTAGTTGCTTATATCATTCTATTTCTTGATTTGAGCTTGAGAGCATGAGTGTATTTGTTTTGTGACAATTTACCCAGTTATATACTTTAAACTGTGCATTTTCCTCAGTGTATGTTTTATTTACATAAAAATGTAAAACGATGTTTATGGACATACACAGAGAAGTATAAAAACACGGATGGGAAGGAAATATACCAACTTCAGGAGAGTTATCTCTAGGAAAATGAGGAAAAGAGTACACTTAAGTGCAAAACTTTTATTTGATGTTTATATTGTCTGAATAAAGGTCTGAATCAAACATATCAAAATCTTAACATTTGTTAAAGATCGGTGGTAAATACATTATTTTACATTCCTCTTTTTAAATTTTTTTTTTTTTTTTTTTGAGACGGAGTTTCGTTCTTGTCATCGCCCAGACTGGAGTGCAGTGGCATGATCTCAGCTCACTGCAGCCTCCACCTCCCGGGTTCAAGTGATTATCCTGCCTCAGCCTCCCAAGTAGCTGGGATTACAGGTGCATGGCACCACGCCTGGCTAATTTTTGTATTTTTAGTAGAGACAGGGTTTCACCATGTTGGCCAGGCTGGTTAAAATTTTTAAAAGCAAAAAACCCTATAAAAGCAAATATATGCATTTAAATCCTACCATTCAGAGATAACTATGTTTACAAAGGTTAACAGCTTTGAGACATAACTGACATATAAACTGCATGTATTCAAAGTGTAGAATTTGATATGTTTCAACCTATGTATACATACCCACGAAACCATCACCAAAAGTCAAGGTAATAAACATATCCATCTTCCCCAAAAGTTTATTTATTTCATTATTTGACCACTTATCGTCAAGTTCTGCCCCAAAAGTTTAATACCCTTTTGAAATCCTTTCCTACCTACCTCTGAGTCCTCTTGCCCAGGCAACCACCGATCTCCCTGCTGTCACTGGAGGTTAGTTGGCATTTGATAGAATTCTGTGCCAACAGAATTATGTGGTATATACTCTTTTGTCTGGCTTCTTTCACTGAACATAATTATCCTGAAATTCATCCATGTTGTAGTAGCAACAATAGTTTATTCCTCTTTACTGCTGAGCAGTACTCCTTTGCATTTGTTTATCCATTCATCTATTGATGGACATCTGGGTTGTTTCCAGGTTTTGGCTATTATATATAAAGAGGCTATGAACATTTGTGTTAAGTTTGTATACGGTAAATGGTTTCATTTCTCTTGAGTGTGACCAACACTACTCAAAACTGTCAACATAATCGAAAATAAGGGAAGTCTGAGAAACTGCCACAGTCTGGAGGAGCCCACATGATGAATAATGTGATATCCTGGGTGGGATCCTGGTACAGAAAAAGCACATTAGGTAAAAACTAAGAAAATCCAAATAAAATACAGACTACAGTATCAATATTGCTTCACTAGGTGTGACAAATGCACAATAATAATGTAAGTTGTTAGCAAAATAGGGGAAATTAGGTACAGGATATACAGGAATTCTCTATGCTAGCTTTGTAACTTTTCTATTAATTGTTATTAATTCTATTAAAGTTTTTTTTTTTTTTTTTTTTTTTTTTTGAGACGGAGTCTCGCTCTGTCGCCCAGGCTGGAGTGCAGTGGCGGGATCTCGGCTCACTGCAAGCTCCGCCTCTCGGGTTCACGCCATTCTCCTGCCTCAGCCTCCCAAGTAGCTGGGACTACAGGCGCCCGCCACTACGCCCGGCTAATTTTTTGTATTTTTAGTAGAGACGGGGTTTCACCGTTTTAGCCGGGATGGTCTCGATCTCCTGACCTCGTGATCCGCCCGCCTCGGCCTCCCAAAGTGCTGGGATTACAGGTAAAGTTTTTAATTTTATTAACTTTTGTAACTTCTTTGTAACTTTTCTATTAATTGAAAGCTATTCTAAAATGTAAGCTTATTAAAAAAAAAAAGAGTGGAACCACTGGGTCTTATGGTAGGTAAACATTTAACCTTTTAGGAACCTGCCAAACTGTTTTCCAAATAGTTGTACCATTTTGCATTCCTACCAGCAGTTTGACAGTTTCAGTTATTCAACATCCCTGCCAATTCTTGGTAAGGTCAGTCTTCTCAATTTTAGACATTCTAAGAGGCAAAAACACTTTTTGTGTATATTTTGTCAACATATATATTGAAAACACACATAAATACACATATGTATATTCTCTCTCATATACACTTTGACAAATGCACAATACGTATGTATGTATATATGAGACAGAATATGTATATTCTTCAAACAAGATCAGCAAAATCAGACTTCCTGGTTCCTATAGCAAACTGGCAGTTGCCTAGATCCAAATCTCTCCATATATCCTCTAAAACTCACAGATGAACAAAAGCAATAAAACTCACATCTCAAAACTATAGACTATTTGGGAGACAGGTTACCTCAAACAATTTGCACATAAGAAGGACTCAAATGTCCAAAACCTGAAATATCTACTTCTGGAGCCAACACTAGATAGGGCTGTCACAGCAGCAAACAAACAGAAAATGGCACTAAAAAACAAACAAACAAAAAACTCCTTTACAATAGCATTAAATACCATCAAAACCTAGAGATAAACTTAAAGAATCTGCAAGACATCTACAAACACTAAGAAAATTTTTAAAGACCAGATAAGCAAAGGGATATATCAACTTCTTGAATTGGAAGACTTGTCAACATATCCATTATCCAGAACTTGATTCATAGGTTCAACGCAATCCCAATCAAAATCCCAGTAGAACTTTGTGTATGTGGGGCAGGGGGTGGAGCTTGGACTGATGAGCTGAATCTATAATTTATATAGAAATGTGAAGATCCAAGAAAAGCCAAGAATCCAAAAAGACAAAGTTGAAGGACTTCACTACCAACTATCAAAGCCTATTATAAAGCTACAATAATTAAGACACAAGGACAGATAAATAGATCAATGGAAGAGAAGAGAGTATCCAGAAACGGATCTGTACATATACTATGGATGCCTGATTTATGAGAAAGGCAACATGGCAATACAATTTAAAAGAATTTTCTTTCACCAAAATGATGCTGAGTCAACTGGCTATCCACACAGAACAAAATTAATCTTCCCCTTCTTATACCATGTACAAAACAAAATTCCAGATGGGTTGCAAATCTAAGTGTGAAAGGTAAAACAACTTTAGAAAAGAAACATATACTACCTTCATGACCTTGGAATAGGCAAATATTTCTTAAACAGGCCACAAGCATTAAACACAATGGAATAAAGTCAGTAAATTATACTTCATTACAATTTAAGTTTTCTGTTATTCAAAAGACGCCAATTAAGAGTACAAAGACAAATCACAGACTCAAAGAAAATAATTTTAATACATATTTCAGACAAAGAACTCATATGTGGCCTATATAAAGAACTGCTACAAGTAAACAAGAAAAAGGTAGATAACCCTAAGAAAAATGAGTATAAGGCCTGAAGAGACACTTCAAGAAAAAGGATATCCAAAGGCCAGTAAACATGAAAATGTGCTCAACTTCATCAGTCACTAAGGACATGAACATTAAAACCACAACAGATACTGCTACATACACCCCAAAATGGCTAAAATGAAAGACAATACAATTATTGATGAGGATATGAAACAACCCAAACCATCGTACACCACTGGAAGTGTAAACTGGTATAACCACTGAGAAAAACTGGCAGCATCTCAAAGATAAACATACGTATACCCTATGACCCAACAATCCCTCTCCTAGGAAGATAACCAAGGGAAATTAATTCACCAAAAGATAATAGCAGCACTATTCGCAATGGCCCCAAACTGGAAACAACTCAAATGCCTATTAACAGTATAATGAATAAGCACTGGTACATTCATACAATGGAATACTGTAAAGCAACAGGAATCAATGACCCACAACCAGTTGCAACATGGATGAAACTCACAGCTAAAGAGTACATATCTGGGCCGGGTGTGGTTGCTCACCCCTATAATCTCAGCACTTTGGGAAGCCAAGGCAGGCGGATCACGAGGTCAGGAGTTTGAGACCAGCCTTGCCAATATGGTGAATATGGCCAGTATGTCTCTACTATGTCTCTACTAAAAATACAAAAATTAGCCGGGTGTGGTGGCATGTGCCTGTAGTCCCAGCTACTTGGGAGGCTGAGGGAGAAGAATCCCTTGAACCTGGGAGGCGGAGGATGCAGGGAGCCAAGATCACACCACTGCACTGTAGTCTGGGCGACAGAGCAAGACTCTGTCTCAAAAAGAAAAAAAAAGTGTACATATCTGTGATTCCATTTATGTAAATTCAAAATCAGGTACAATTTATCTATGCAATTAAAAGTCAGCATGAACTGGGTGTGGTGGCTCATGCCTATAATCCCAACACTTTCGGAAGCCAAGGCAAGGAATTTGCTTAAGCCCAAGAGTCCAAGACCAGCCTGGTCAACACAGCAAGATTCTGTCTCTACAAAAACTTAAAAAAAAAAATTAGTTGGGCATGGTGGCGCATGATTGCAGTCCCATCTACTCAGAAGGCTGAGGCAAGAGGATCACTTGAGCCCAGGAGTTCAAGGCTGCAGTGAGCTATGATCATACAACTGTGCTGCAGCCTGGGTGACAGTGATACCCCATCTCAGAAAAATAAAAATTTAGCATAACAAGTGCCCTTTGTAAACTAGAGACTGAAAGGACTGCAAGGGGAATTTTGGTGTATTCTTAATTTTTGCCTCTACATGTGACTAGTTATACAAGATGTGTTCAGTATATAAAAATTCAGTGAATAGTACACTCATACTTTTCTGTAAGTTAACTTCAACAACACAAGTTAAATCGTTGCCACTTAACTGTTAAAGCCACACAGTAAGGTTCCATAAAAGTTTATTTTGTGGGAAACAAGACTTCATGAGAGTAATTTCAATCATTTCCTGCAAGATGGGACTGAATGTATTAAACTTTGTTTTGGAATAGCTTTTCAGACAATTTAGTGACGATACGGTTTATGATCCAGTACAATAAGAAGTGAAACCATCTCAGTCAAAAATTCAACATTAGTCATGCCAGTAATCCCAGCAACTTGGGAGGCTGAGGCAGGAGGATGGCTTGAGGCCAGGAGTCTGAGACCAGCCTGGGCAACACAGTGACACCATGTCTCTTAAAAAAAAAAAAAAAATCCAGGCCAGGTGCAGTGGCTCACGCCTGTAATCCCAGCACTTTGGGAGGCCGAGGCAGGCGGATCACCTGAGGCCAGGAGTTCAAGACCAGCCTGACCAATATGGAGAAACCCCGTCTCTACTAAAAATACAAAATTAGCCAGGGGTGGTGGCACATGCCTGTAATACCAGCTACTCAGGAGGCTGAGGCAGGAGACTCACTTGAACCCGGGCAGAGGTTGCGGTGAGCCAAGATCCCGCCATTGCACTCCAGCCTGGGAAACAAGAGTGAAACTCCATCTCAGAAAAAAAAAAAAAAAATCTAACATCAGGCTACAACTATACAATTCTTTGGTCCTACATTAAAAGTCAGCAGTCTATTTAGGTCTGAGAGCTGGTTACATGGTTGTGTTCAGTTTGGGAAAGTTGGAGCTCTTCGCCTATGATACAGCATGTACTTTCCTGTATGTGTATTATATTTCAGTTTTTAAAAACTGTTAAATAAACATATCAGTGCTAAACCTTACTTAGGACTGCTTTGGCTAGTCAATTCCTTTCTAAACCTCCAAGCTATTTTAACTGATTATTGAGAAATGGCATCTCAGTGAATTAATATGAAACTGCTCCTCCAATCATTGCCTCCATCCTAAATATTAAGTCTCCCTACCCATATAGCAGTTAAGACATCCCTTAATGATGTTTCACCACTTTTCACATCTTTACAGACACCGTTACTAACAACTCAACACATTAATGCTTAAATCACATGTCCATTTGCAGCCCATTTTCTCCATTCCTCACAGATTCCAAAAGGTCTATGGCTTAAAGGACTAGGGAATGTGGAGAGGGCCCTCTAGGTGGCAGACATCCCTGTCATCTCCACTAGACAGTTGTTGGGGTAGGAAATCCAGCTCTGGCCTGACCTTCCAGCCCCACCCTAGCTCCTACCACCCATCATGCAACAAGGGCCTTCTTGGTGGGGTACTAGCCCAAAAGCTCAGGCCTTTGCAAAACCCTCTTAAACCACAGCAAGTCATAACTTTCTTGTATATAAACGGGGAATTCAGATGCTCCAGCTACTCTTTCCCTGCCCCGCCACATCTCTCTCCAGAGTCGCACTCTATCACCCAGGCTGGAATACAGAGTGCAACCTCGGCTCACTGCAACCTCCGACTCCCCGGTTCAAGCAATTCTCCTGCCTCAGCCTCCCGGACTACAGGCACGCACCATCATGCCCGGTTAATTTTTCTATTTTTAATAGAGACAAGGTTTCGCCATGTTGGTCAGGCTGGTCTCAAACTCCTGACCTCAAGTGATCTGCCCACCTCGGCCTCCCAAAGTGCTGAGATTACTACAGGCATGAGTCACTGCACCCAGCCCACATCTCTTCTTCATTAATTTCTATTCAGTCAGGGATAGACAGCAAGTCAGCTGTCTAACCAGGGGTTCAACCTTGTCTTCTTTCTTGGAAGCATTCTCCATCTATACAAATACTTCTCTTGGAAGACCCTCTTGCTTGGCTTAAATGACAAAGCCACATCCTACCCCACCCTCCTCCACGGACGGGGACGGAATCACTTCAAATGCTACCCCCCTCCTTATGTGATCCTCTTTATAAGCCAGGGAAGGGTTGAGCTAATGTTTGTGGTAGGAGGGACAGCTCTGTGACCTTTTGGTAAGCCCTGGCGGGAGGTATCTGGTCCCACCTCTTAGGGATTCTCATTACACCACAGGTCATTTAACAGCTCTTTAGTCTCAGCTTTGGGCCCTAATGGCCAATTCTGGAGCAACAGAAAAAAAATAATCTACTCAACATCCAGTTAAGACTAAAGTAATTTTAATTCTCTTCAAAGCCTATTTCAAATGCTGCTTTAACCAGAAGTGTTTCCTAGTTCTCAAACCAAACCAACCTCTTCCTGACCCTATCACAGCACTTTTCCAATGATGCTTTATCAACTGGGTTATGCATGCAACTAGCAATGTGAAACACTGTGTTAGGAAACACACCATTTGAAAATTTATTACAAAATGTTTGTTTTAGAAGAACTAGTGGGGAAAAGCATACAGAAAAAAATTACCCAGCCAGGTGCGGTGGCTCACGCCTGTAATCCCAGCAGTTTGGGAGGCCAAGGCAGGTGGATCACTTGAGGTCAGGAGTTCAAGACCAGCCTGGCCAATGTGGTGAAACCCCCATCTCTACTAATACAAAAATTAGCCAGGCGTGGTGGGGCATACCCGTAATCCCAGTTACTCAGGAGACTGAGGCAGGAGACTCACTTGGACCCGGGAGTTGGAGGTTGCAGTGAGCCGAGATCACGCCACTGCACTCCAGCCTGGACAACAGAGCGGGACTCCGTCTCAGGAAAAAAAAATTACCCATAATTTTTTTCTGCTATTACCTACCTTCACTGTCACATTTATATCATTCCAGTGTTTTTCTATGCATATATATTTAAGGCCATTCTTTTTACACTTTTTTTTACACCTGTTTTACACTTCGCTTTTTTTCATTTCAGACACTGTAGTTATCTTTCTTTGCCATTAAGTAGTCTTCTATAAACATTATATTTTATGGTACATGATATTCCATGGTATAGCTCTCCTATCATTTACTTAACATTCTGTTGCCAAATTGTCCCTAGTTATAATGCTGTCCATAAACAATCTTAGGTTTTCATAATTCTGATTATTTCCTTCAAGGAACAAAATTACTTTTGATCAGAAGCTACAAGTTTGGGTTATTTCTTAAGGTTCTTCATAGAAAAATATATATCCTAGTTTACTTTCTCATTAATCACAAGGTTGGTATTTTTGCTGGTGACCACAGAAAAAATGCTCTCTGCTGTAGGCCAGGCATCCTTGTTTCACCATTCGAGAATACAGGCCCACAGCCCTGAGCTGAATCACAAGTGGAAAGCAGAGAGAGTTCACCACACATGGGAGGGGCTGGGTATACGTGAAAGGCTCAAGAACATCAGCTACCTTTGACAGAAACCTTTCCTAGAATTCCTTGAGTTCCCTTAAATCTGCAGTATTGTCTTAACATCTGAGCCCCATAAGAAACCTGTGAGGCAGGTTGAGCAGGTACCATTCTGTCCTGCAGCTGAGAAAACTGACCTCTTTATCTCACTGCCCAGGGTCAAGCTTAGAACCCAGGTTTCCCAATTTCCTCAAGATCTTCCTCCTGCTTCTCTTAGAATGTTCTAAGAGGCTGAGAAGGAGCTGAAGAGCCCGAGAAGTCTTTAACTTGTACTTCGGCTACTGACCCTGGGCAGAGTATAATGGTAACAACATCGTCACCAGACCCTGGCATCTTACCAGTGAAGTCACTGGGCTCCCTGGACAGCTGCAAACATACACTCTGGAAAGCTCCTCTCCCATCAATCATGGGTCCTTTCCCTGAAGTCCAACACCTAGTATTAGCTGAAAAATATTTTCCTGTAAACTAGAAAAGTTTCCAGCATCTCTGAAACAACCCAGTGAGGTTTAAGTCATTGTTGAATTGTTGAGTGTCATACTTTTTTTTTTTTTGGCAGAGGTGGGCAGGGGTCCTGCTCTGTCACCCAGGCTGTAGTACAGTGCCACAACCACAGTTCACCGCAGTCTCGACCTCCCAGGCTCAAGTGATCCTCCCACTTCACCCTCCAAGTAGCTGCAACTAGGTGCACACCCCACATCTGGCTAATTTTTCTATTTTTTTGTAAACGGGGTTTCACCATGTTGCCCAGGCTGGTCTCAAACTCCTGGCTTCAAGTGATCCACCTGCTCCAGCCTTAATTACAGGCTTAAGTCACCATGCCTGGCCTGTCATTCTTACTGGGACATAATACATGCAATTTTCTCAAAGGAGAAAAACAGAACATGTATTAGAACTAAGAAAGATGACTCCCTGAACTTTTAACTCAGCGTAAACTAAAAGAGAATTGGGCTAGCTCATGACTTACATTTTTCTTTTGTACAAGTCAGAAGAGACAAAAACCACCCCCACCCCCAAGTATGCCCTTCTCTCATTTGCCTTCCTGTACGACAGAAGCAAATGCCACAAGTTAGTCACTCCCTTAATATGCCTCTCCCTCAAACATTACGCTATTTACTGCTCACATACTCCTGCATTTTTGTGGGAATTATTTCTAACGCCAAGTTAAAAAAATAAATAAAAGAATTTACAACTAAAAACAGTAGTTGTCCTTTGGTATATGTAGGGAATTGGTTCCAGGACCCCCAGAGTATACCAAAATCCGCACATACTCAAGTCTTGCAGTTGGTCCTGAGGAACCCACCTATACCAGAAAAGTCAGCCCTCCATACGTGTGGGTTTTACATCCCTTGAATACCACATTTTCCAGCTTTGGTTGAAAAACATCTGCATGTAAGTGGACCTGCACAGTCCAACGTAGTGTTGCTCAAGGGTTGACTGTAATTATCAGTCCTTGTTTTGAGAATCCCCATTGTGGCTAATTGTTTTCAAGGACCATTTTTAAAAATTAAACATATATTCTTTCATCTAAAACAACTGAAACAGGCCAGGCACAGTGGCTCGTGCCTGTAATCCCAGCACTTTGGGAGGCCGAGGTGGGTGGATCACCTGACGTCAGGAGTTTGAGACCAGCCTGGCCAACATGGCGAAACCCCATCTCTACTAAAAATACAAAAAATTAGCCAGGTGTGGTGGCGGGTGCCTGTAATCCCAGCTACTTGGGAGACTGAGGCAGGAGAATTGCTTGAACCCAGGAGGCAGAGGTTACAGTGAGCTGAGATCGCACCACTGCATTCCAACCTGGGCGAAAGAGCTAGACTCTGTCTCAAAAAAAAGAAAGAAAAACAAAATATAAAATAAAGGCCGGGTGCAGTGGCTCACACCTATAATCCCAGCACTTTGGGAGGCCAAGGCACGCAGATCACAAGGTCAGGACATCGAGACCATCCTGGCCAACATGGTGAAACCCCATCTCTACTAAAAATACAAAAATTAGCTGGGTGTGGTGGCGCGTGCCTGTAATCCCAGCTACTAGGGAGGCTGAGGCAGGATAACCGCTTGAACCAGGGAGTTGGAGGTTGCAGTGAGCCGAGATCACACCACTGCACTCCAACCTGGCAACAGAGTGAGACTCCGTCCCAAAAAACAAAAAGAAAGAAAGAAAAAGAAAATATAAAATAAAATAAATAACTCAAACCCAGAACACTTCAACATTCTTATAATGGGTTGCAACTCCCACAAAATTAAACACCATTAGGACATCCACACCTCTTGGAAAGAGTCAACTTCAGGGGATGCTGCCCTCTATCTCCACTATTCCTTGGAGTATCCAATAGATACAGAAACTAAATGCGTGCTGACTCATGTTTAAAAGCTGTTAAAACATTCGAGAGCTACACTGTCCAGTGCAGTAGCCACTAAACACCTGAAATGTCCATGTTGAGATATGCTTGTAAAATCCACACTGGATTTTGAAGTCGTAGTACTAATAAAAAAAATCTCATTAATAGTTTTCATATTAAATGTTGTCATATTATAATATATTGGGTTAAATAAAATATTAATTTCATCTGTATCTTAATTTTAACATGGCTACCAGAAAATCTGTAACATATGTGATCCACATTATATCTCTTTATATAAATACTTGTGTAATCTGTGACCTTTTCTTTTTTCCCCAACCTTTCTGTGTATCATAAAGTAGGTTTACACATCCTAATCAAAGGCAGTCTTCACCCAGAGAGGGATTCAATCCATAAACTAAACCACAAAAAGGCAAGTATTGCCAGCAACTCAACATTGTTCTTCACAAGCTTTCCAAGGAAGACCTCTTACATGCACTACTTAGAAGCAGATCTGTACAGATGCCTACCACGTTCAAGTTTTCAAACCTAAATCACCTGGCAAATGATCATGAATTCCTCGGTTTATAGGTGTAGTGCAGACTCTACTGAAATCCAGAGAATTATCCAATATGGCATTTATCCTTCGAAAGATATTGGCATTACTACACGTGGAGAGAGCAGGTGCTTCCTGGTTGTCCCAGCAATCTTTTATCCTTCCTGCTTCTTCTTCCTAGACACAGAAAAAAAAAGATATTTAGGTTTTCTACACTCCTTTATGACCCCCTTTCTCTCCACATTACGAATTAGATAAAGTAGGAAGGACTTAAGTATCTTCTTTATACATTAAAACACTTAATGAGTGTTTACTATGAGCTAAGTACTCGGAACTGTAAGAAAAAAATACCAAAATATTCTTGGCCAATTTGTGGAAAAATTTCCACAAAGGATACTATTAAGGAAGAGAATCAAGCACCAGGATTTAAGGCAAAAAGGGGTAGGCTAACTCTACTAGTTTTCTACAAATATAGTCAGGTTTATGATTAGGATTGCCTTTATCTATAAAGCTGCTAACCTCTGGGCCTTAAGGGAAAAGGTAAACACCAGCTGCCAGTCTTTTGGTTGTACAACAAGAAGGTCTGGACAAGAACTCTTTTTCAGAATTGGTTCAATTGATATTTTGTTCCTGGAGTCAGAAAGTACCTTGCCAGTAAAGGACTTTTTTTAATATATTAAAACACTTAATGAGTGTTTATGATGAACAAGGTACTCAGAAGTTCTTTTAATACTGGACAATGCCCCTGGCCACCCAGAATGCCATGAATTCAACAACAAAGAGGTATACATGCCCCCAAATACAACATCTCTAAGTCAGCCTCCAGATCAAGGGGTCATAAAGACCTTTAAGGCTCATTACACATGCTACTCTACAGAAAGGATTGTTAATGCTGTGGAAGAGAACCCCAATAGAGAGAAGGTCATGAAAGTCTAGAAGAATTACACCAGTGACAATGCCATCATTGTTACAGAAAAATCCATGAAAGCCATCATGCCCAAAATAATAAATTCCTGCTTAAAAAAACTGTTTCCAGATGTTGTACATGACTTCACAGATTTACCACAGAGCCAATACAGGAAATCATGAAAGAAACTGTAGATATGACAAAAAAAGGTTGGGAGTGAAGATTTCCAAGACATGGACCTTGGAGAAATCCAAGAGTTAACATACCAGAGGAATTAGCAGAAGACAATCTGATAGAGATGAGTGCTCCAAACCAGTGCCAGACATGGAAGACGATGTTGAAGTAGCAATGCCAGAAAACATATTGACATTAGATGATCTGGCAAAAGGGTTCCGATTATTCAAGGCTGCTTTTGACTTCTTTTACAATACAGACCCTTCTATTACACAGGCACTGAAACTAACGCAAATGGTGGAATTAGGATTGGTACCACATAGAAACATTTTTACAGAAATGAAAAAGCAAAAAGTCAGACAGAAATTATTTCTGTAAAGTTACACTGACTGTGCCTGCTTCTCCTTACATCCGCTCCACATCCTTCCACCTTTGCCACCCCTGAGAGAGCAAGACCAATCAATCCTTCCTCTTCCTCGGCCTGCTCAATGTGAAAACAGTAAATATGAAGATCTTTATGATTCACTTCCACTTAATGAACAGTAAATATATTTTCTCTTATGATTTTCTAGTAACATTTTTTCTCTAGCCTACTTTATCGTAAGAATACGGTATAAAATACATGTAACATACAAAACATGTGATCAACTGTTTATGTTATCGGTAAGGCTTCCGGTCAACAGCAGGCTATTAGTCAAGTTTTGGGGGAGTCAAAGTTATACATAGATATTTGACTGTGGGGGTTGGTCCTCCTAACTCCCACACTGTCCAAGAGTCAACTGGACTAAAAACCAATGAACTGTACATTAAAGGTGAACTTTAGGGTATGTAGATTTTATGTCAATACAGCTGTTTAAAAATTTTCATTCTGCCATTTATTGGCTGTGTGATATCACAGTTACTTAACCTCTATCCCTCAGTTTCCCCATTTGTGAAATGGAAAAAGGATACCAACTTTTTGATGACATATGTAAAGCATTTTGCATGGCATACAGTAGCTGCTAATTTGTATCTGCAAACACTAATTATTGAATACAAGAGAGGTAAGTACCAACAGTGGTAAAACCACCCAAACTGATTAAGTTATACAACTCTATGTGGTCATTATTAGTACATACAACTTTATTAACTGGCATGAGAAGATGGGTAAGACATTACCGAATGAAAAAAGAACTCCTATATATATATATAAAAAATCATGAACCCTTACACAAAAACTATTCTTTTGGTATTCCCTATCTCGGTAAATAACACCACCATCCACCAGATGCCCAAAGCAGAAATGTAGGTACCATTCTTCACTCCGGTCTCCCTCACTCTCCACAGCCAATGCCCAACATAAGAAGCAATGAAATATTGGTTGACAGATTGAGTTTTTTAAGGGGAGCCTGCCTCATCAGTTCTATTATCCTCAATTATCTTGCGGAAAACAAAAACAGACCAAGTAATGAAACTGGCACTTAATATCTCATAAGCTGGTCACATCAAAACAAAACAAGAAGAGGCCCAATGTCATTTTGTTTGGCCTACTAAAATCCAAGTGAGCATGAGAATGACCAAGAGCATTTACAGTTTTACCAACTCTGCAGGATGACCTTAAAGGGACAAACTTGAGCCTCACGTCAGCCTCAAGTTCTTGAAGATTGGTACCCTCTGCAAACTGTGAAGACGACCAAAATACACAATCCTACAAGGTTGTTTTCCCAAGCTCTCTAGAGTGGTGCCATTGAGAACTGTTAAATCCAGTGACACACAAGGCCCTTTTCACAACTGTAGATTTCTAAGCTGATTCTCAATTTCAGGAAGGCAACTTCATGAAGGCTAAGATGCAAAGATTTATAACCTGCAGAGAGGAGGTCTCGCTGTGTTGCCCAGGCTGAACTTGAAACTCCTGGGCTCAAGTGCTCCTCCCACCTTGGCCTCCTGAGTAGCTGAGACTACAGGCACGTGCCATTGCCTAGCACAATCTGCATTATCTTAAGGCTACATGCTTCATTCTTCACTGCCTAATAAACATTAGCCGACTGCCTGCTCTCTATAGTGAGCACCCCAAGGGGCAGCAGATTAGACACAGACTAAACCAAAATAAAGTTTTGAAGTCTGGAAAAGAACTTTTGGCAGGCAGGAGCTCAAAACCAGCCTGGGCAACATGGCGAAACCCTGTTTCTACAAAAAATACAAAACATTAGACAGGTATGGTGGTACATGCCTGTAGTCCCAGCTACTCAGGAAGCTGAGGTAGGAGGAATGCTTGAACCCAGGAGGCAGAGGTTGCAGTGAGCAGAGATTGTGCCACCACACTCCAGCATGGGTGACAGAGCAAGACCCTGTCTCAAAAAAAAAAAGAAAGAAAAAGAACTAAGACCCGATCCTGTAAACATCCACAACACAGACTACAACGTGCTGTAAATGTACATTGTCCTCCAAGCCAAGGTGGCCTGGAGGGACAGAATGTGCCTGGAAATGGGGGTAAAGAGGAAGTTCTAAAGAACACAAGAGAGTAGAGAGGCATTATCAAAAGTGGTCCAGTGTGGTACAGCATTAGGTATAGGAGAGAAAATTGGAAAAGCCTCATATGCCAAATTAAGGAGTCAGCATTGTCTTTCAATACACAAAATTGTGTCTTTTCAATACACAAAAATTAACCTAGCTTTTAATTACTGTAATAAAAGTACTATATATATATGGACTACATGGATTCCAGATCCTGGCCACATCTAAAGGCAAGTAAATAACAAAGTGAGTCTTAGAAGGAGACCACCAGCAACTACATGACAGATAAGTGGCAGAAGGATTAGTGAGAAAGTACCACAGTAGTCTAGGGAACAGATGCAGACTTGGGAGTCTGGGAGAAAGGTATTCCTTAGGAGAGGAAGGAAATCTTACTATTTCAAGGAGTCTGAAAAAAAAATCTAATTTAGGAATGTGTCTGGTCACCCTGCCCCACTCCTAATCCTGTTAGGAACATACACACCTTCCCAAATCAAGGCAAATGATATCTGACATGCCTCCCTCCCCTTCTCTCACATACATCAAGCCAGAGCTCTAGCTTAAGATGACATTATAATAAAAGTGAATGAGGTGTTCAATGTATATTCCAAACTGTTTCATCTTATAATTACCAATGTTTGCCTTAACCAATTTGGAAGGAAAAAAAAAAAATCAAAGCCAGGACTGTCAGATGGCGAACAGATCTACTACTCTCCTTTGTGTACAATAGGGATAAAAGTAATACTATCTCATAAGGCTTTTTGTGAATTAATGCACATAAAGTACTTAGCATAGGGCCTGACATGTAATTATGTGCTGAACCAACGAATACTGTCTATCAGTCGTATCATTATTATTATTCAGAGGCCACCACAGGGATCCTTGAGGAAGGATCTATTGGCTCATTAAGTGAACCAAAGACCTATGGCAACTATTTCTCTGAAGACTCCAGGCCCTTCTATTCCTGGTACCCCCTAACTCTTCCTCTTAATCATTTGACTTAAAATGCTTAATTAAAAGGCAAGAGATATGATTCAAATAGACCTAAGGGCTGAATCCACTACAGGTTCAGTATCTCTCATCAGAAATGCTGAGATGACCAAGAAGTGTTTCAGATTTGGATTTTTTTTTTTTTGGAAGCTGGAACATTTGCATATACATAATGACCTATCTTAGGGATAGGGCCCAAGTCTAAACACAGAATTCATTTATTTTTTTCTCTTTTTTTTTTTTTTTTTGAGACGGAGTCTCGTTCTGTCGCCCAGGCTGGAGTGCAATGGTGTGATCTCGGCTCACTGCAAGCTCCGCCTCCCGGGTTCACAGGATTCTCTCGCCTCAGCCTCTGGAGTAGCTGGGACTACATACGCCCGCCACCACGCCCGGCTCATTTTTTTGTATTTTTAGTAGAGATGGGGTTTCACCACATTAGTCAGGATGGTCTTGATCTCCTGACCTCATGATCCGCCCACCTTGGCCTCCCAAAGTGCTGGGATTACAGGCGTGAGCCACTGCGCCCAGCCAAATTCATTTATTTTTTATATATACTTCATACACATAGCCTGAAGTTAATTTTATACAATATTTTTAGTAATTCTGTACATGAAATTAAATTTTGACTGTGTTTTAACTGTCACCCATCATGAATTCAGGTGTCTAATTTCTACTTGTGACATACTGGTGTTCCAAAAGTTTCAGATTTTGGAGCATTTCAGATTAGGGCTGCTCGACATGTGTACTGTGTATATTCACACACACACACACACATTTTTTAAGAGATGGGGTCTTGTTCTGTCCCCTAGGTTGGAGCACAGTGCTGCAATCACAGCTCACTGCAGCCTTGATCTCCTGGGCTCAAGCAATCTTCCTGCCTCAGCGTCCCAAGTAGCTGGACTACAGACAGGCGCCACCATGCCCAGCTAATTTTTTTTTTTAACTTTTTTTTTTCCCCTCAGAGAAAAGGTCTCGCTATGTTGTCCAGGCTGGTCTTGAATTCCCGGGCTCAAGCGCTGCTCCTGCCTCAGCCTCTCAAAGTGCTGGGATTACAGGCATGAGCTACCACATCTAGCCAATACTGATCCTTTTAAACCGTCCAGTTATATGAATTCATAGTTCCTCATTTTCAAAACAGAAACCTACTATCCACCCCATACTCACAGACCCATTTACTTTGTGTAGTCCATCTGAACTTTCATCAATGTATAGATCTGCATTCAGACCAATGTTTTACCATGATAAAAAATGTTTTTCTCTTGGTTATTCTACTATTGCCTGACAGTTCCTGCCCTTATTTTCAGCATATTTTGCCATAAAGTGAGGTCACTTGTAGCTTTTTTTTGACCTTTAGTTGGTCTTCTACTGTCAACGGGAAAGAAGGCTTTAAGATAAATCAGAGACTTAATAGAGTGCAAACCTTAATACTACCGAAAATCAGGAGTCAACAGGAAGAATTACTTGGCAATGCTGTAAAACAAAAACAATTCTTTAATTAAAAAATTAATTTAAAAACAATTGTTTAATGCTAATGATATAGACACAAATACCCTCAAGATAAAACTAGTTCTACCTATCTACCTATTGTTAGAAAGAATGGCTTTTGAGGAAACTCACCTAATACAAGTTATTTTATTTGAGACAGAGTTTTGCTCTTGTCGCCCACGCTGGAGCGCAATGGCTCAATCTCCGCTCTCTGTAACCTCTGCCTCCCGGGTTCAAGTGATTCTCCTGCCTCAGCCTCCCGAGTAGCTGGGATTACAGGCATGTGCCACCACGCCTGGCTAATTTTTGTACTTTTGGTAGAGACAGGGTTTCACCATGTTGGCCAGGCTGGTCTCAAACTCCTGACCTCAGGTGATCTGCCTGCCTCAGCCTCCCAAAGCGCTGGGATTATAGGCATGAGCCACAGTGCCTGGCCCTAATCCAAGTTATTTTAGATCAGGCCTCAATTTTCTCCTCTCCAATAGATAAGAGCTGACACTCCTATCATGAAACTGTTTTCCTATAGCCATGATCATCAACTAGGACAACAAAGGTGAGGGAAATGGTCTGAAGAAAAGCATTTCCCTCCTCCACAAAGGAAAATCCTCCTCCTCCTCCTTAAAAGTGGGAATCATTGTTTTGAAAAGCAGAAAGAACACAGGCTTTGCAATACAAACACCAGGTCTACCACTTAGGTATCACTCTGAGCCTTGGTTACCTAAAGGTATAAAAAAAAAAAAAAGAGGGTAGCACCTACTTTGCAGACTTCGTAGTAGTCAGAAATACATAAAGTACATGGATATGCTCAATAAATACTTTTAGTGGCAGATGTCCAATTACACACCAGTTATTAAATTATATCACTGTTACTCAGAGGTATGGTTTCAACTTATTCATCCTAGCCAAGTTCATCAAGAAGCTTATTTACTTGTTTTAGCATATAACTGGTTTTTTTTTTTTTCCATCTATGGTTCAGAAGTATCACTCATAACTTTTTCTTTAAAAATCTGAACCACACTTTGTAGATATGTTTGCTAAAGATCCCCAAATTTTATATTTATTTGTATAGAAGAAATGAACAATTGTCTAATTTGGAAACCTTGGCCCTGCCTTTAAATATCATACTCCCCAGACCCAGCATTGTGATAGGATGGCCATTCTGGCAGCTCAAAATCTTTACTTGGGGATACTCACCTGTCGTAAATGAATGCCAACTATCATCTCTGGGTTGATTTTTATTCAGTTTGCCTTTAATGGACAACATAATACCAATGCTGAAGACCCTTCAAGACTATTACTATTAATCATGTACAATGGATTAATAGCCAGTTGAGAAATTTATAGAAGACTGTTTGAAGGGCCCAAGGTTTACTCAGTCCTCCAGAGAGAGTTCTAAAACTGGGGTCCCATGGATTGGAATGTAGTAATCCTCCTGACAAAAATGTGTTCACACTAAAAATTTTTCTGAAGTATTTTTCCTCCATTTAATCAGATGGTTTTTAAATGCATTGGTCTTGAACATTTAGACTTTTTTAATTAAGCCAGAGTAGCAGAAAGTAATATACTTAGATGTCCCAAATAACTGGTTCTGCTGAGACGTACTCTGGCAATTTGCCTTTATTTTTCTATTTTTATTTTTGAAACAGAGTCTCGCTCTGTCGCCCAGGAGTGCAGTGGTACAATTTCGGCTCACCACAACCTCCACCTCCTGGGTTCAAGCAATTCTGGTGCCTATGCCTCCTGAGTAGCTGGGACTACAGGCATGTGTCACCACACCCAGCTAATTTTTTATATTTTTAGTAGAGATGGGGTTTCGCCATGTTGGCCAGGCTGGTCTCAAACTCCTGACCTCAGGTGATCCGCCCGCCTCAGCCTCCCAAAGTGCTGGGATTACAGGCATGAGCCACATGCCTGGCCTGCCTTTAGTTTTATACCAATAATAAAGCTAAACAAAATTTCTATAGCACGGATACTCAGGATTTTAGGCATATTCTATTACGATTTTGAAGAGCCCTTATATGAACACTCATTTAGAGAAATGTCATTCAGACCACAGATCAGGAAATGCTACAGATTCCCATGAAGAATACATTTTCCTTATGGAAGAATGTAAGTCTTCTAGCCAAATTTCTCTATTTGCTTTAGTCACCAGCTCACTCAAAGCCAGATTTTGGCTCTACTTTAATGACTCTATAGTTTGCTGAGAGATGCTTCTCTGTGTTTAAATTTCTCCTTGGTCCTACCTCAAGTCTTCTATGCAACAATGTCAGGAATAAAAATTTATCAGGTTGGTCCATATGAAATTGTCAGTATTTTACCTTTTTCAACCAACAAAATGGCAATTTCACATAGTTCAACCTAATATTATTTCGTAAATGCTGACAACCCACTAGGTTAGATGTTGAGATTACAGATATGTATATATAAAACATACTCCTTGCCCTCAGGAGAATTATTCAGGTAGGAAAAAGAAACAAATCTAGTTAGCTAAGTGGAGATCAAGCATAAAATGCTATAGAAGAGAGGAATAAAGTAGGGTATCTAAAATGGTTTCACAACTCAGATGTTTTGGCTAGAGAATAATGAAAATGCAGAATTTCAATAAGCAGGCATGAGAAAAAGCATTAACACACAGAGAACAAGCACAGAGAGGATACAGAACACAGTAAATTCAAGAAAACAAAGTAGTCCAACAGGGCTGGACAGGAAGGCTCACCAGGAATAAACGAGATAAAGCTACAGGTCCTAACCTCCTTCCTGTGTCGGAAAGATAAATCCATCAACAGATACAAGATCTCCTCTCCCTGCATCACCTGACTTTCCTCTCTTCTCCACTGGCTCCCCTTCAGTTTGTCAGTATGTTCAAGACTCTTTCACCTTAAAAAACCACCACACCTTCCTTGATTTAAAATATCCTCCCAATTCATTGCCAATTTCTTCTGCTATACTATCAACCTTCTTGAAAATATATGATCTTTATTTAACTTCCTGTTCATCCTCTCAATCCACAATGTCCTGCCAGCACTGATCTCTCCCCTTCCCCAAAAAGACACTAAACAACTGCTCCCAAATTAATGCCTTCATAGCTGCCAAATCCAACTGATACTTCAAGTCTATCTTACCCTGCATCTTTGTAGGATCTGACCCTTCAGCTATTCTCCACTCAAGTCAGGAATCACTTTCTCCTGGCTCTCCCTTTCCATCTCTGGTTATTCTTCATTTTTCATAGGGTACATCTATTGTCCAATGTTCTTTTTGCTCTCTTAACTCAGTGTGGAAGAGGAAATACTACAATTTCCAGGACAGGTTTATGAGAACATTAGAGAATATTTCATACCAAAACACCTCAAGAATATTGAAAGCACATGGTCACTATAATTTTAACTCTCATCACTTACCTGTCACACTGCTAACTGTATGGACTGTAAGCTCACCAATCTGATAAACTATAAAGGTCCCTCACAACCTGTATCTCAGCACTGCCCCAGAATAGTATCTGCTGCATTTGCAGGCACTCAATACAGATACCACATGAAAGGCAGACCCGTATCACACTCCTGTCATAGGTATTTTTACCACCTCACTCATAACCTTCATAAATGGTAGTGACTCCTTTCTTAAGATTTTAGATACATCAAGAGAAATATTCATCAATTCTACCTCTTCTCCCTGTCAAAATTCTCAGCCACTAAAGTCATTTTGGGATTTGGGGTTTTAGGTTTGGACCACAGACCATTCTTCATCAATAAAAAAACAAAGGCTCCAGAGTTGTCTCAGAGCTGTTCTTGGACCTGGTCTCCATCACCTCTCCATATAATGCTTCTCTGGCTGCCTTGATGCAGAAGAGGGAACTTGGAGTCTGGGATTCTGATTTAAGCCCCAGTGCTCCATTAACTAGGGAACTTTGACCAAGATTTTCAATTTCTCTAAGCAGGTCTTTTTATTTGTAATGTGAGAATGACAGAGTCTCATAAATTCTCCTGAGGAATAAAAGAAACTAAAGGCTCTGGACAGTTGGTCTACATGACCCTACTCTTGCCCTCACCAATTTGACACAGCTTCCATTACTATCCTTTTTCTGCACTTACTGACAAGGTATCCTTCTTCCTATTTAAAAAGCAATTTTGGAGTCCATTTTTTCTCATACCCACAGGGCCTCTTGGTTATACCTGCCACAGCTCTCACACCTTTGTAAACATCATCAGGTCTCTCCCATGTTTAGAACTTTTCTTAACCCTGCTCTTCCCTCTAGTAGCCAGCCTGTCTTTCCCTAGCATCCCCATCAGCCCTCCGTACGGAGTACCCCATCTCTACGGCCTTTACTCATCTCTTTAACCCTCGAAGGCAAGCATCAGATGCTTCTCTCCCTTTCCACACATGCTATTCTGAAACACTTTTTTTCAAACCAAGTTCACTGTGCCTTATCAAATCCTATGGACATTTCCTGAGCCTTTTAAGACGTCTTCATTCCTGCCTGGATATTCTTACAGGATCTCTGGAAAGTACAAATCTAATCACCTACTCCAGAGGGCAGTGGTCCACAAACTTTTTGGTCTGAGGACTCCTTTATACTCTTAAAAATTACTGAGGTAATTTTAAGTACTTTTAATTACTCAAGAGCTTTTTGTGTAAGTAGGTCATATGAATATTCACCCATTAGAAATTAAAAAGGGGTAGATTTATTAACCATTAAAAAAACCTATTACATATTAACACAATGATTTTCCAAGACAAAAAAAATTTATGGAGTGGCATTGACATTTTTGCAGATCTCTTTAGTATCTGGTTTAATATAAGATAGCGGGATTTTCTGGTCTGTTTCTGTATTTAATGTGTTGTCATGTGTTATTCTGGTTGAAGTATATGAAGAAAATCCAGCCTCACACAGATACATAGTTGGAAAAAGGAGTATTTTAATATCATTGTCAGACAACTGTGGCTATTAATACTACACCAAAATTCCCAACAAATGGTAACTTCTTAAAGATTAGTTACAATATGGAATCTGAAACCATATGTACTCTTCATATGCTGTTACATTAAAACACATGGGTCAATCTTGCATTTTGGATGGATCTTTTACTCCTATCTGTTAGTCATTTGACAAATATTGGCTTGAATTATGCAAATATAACAAACGTTGACACACTAGTTAATAGTAAATAGTACCACCAATCTCACCAGGGGACTTCAAGTATTGGGGCAAGTGTCAAGCTCATGTGGTGGCAGATAAAGGTCTTCCAAAATTCTTATTTTTTTCTTCAGTGCTCAAATTGTATCACTGGCAACAAATAAAGTGAGCTATTTCTTATGAAGTGACTGACTTACTTGGTTGATTTTCAAGAAAATGTCTGCCAAATACCCAAAGTTGAATAACCATAGTTTGTTAGTTGTTCTTCTGGTAAAGAAAAAAAAGGTTTTCAAAGGAAAAAAAGAGGCTTATTCTTGAAACTCAGTCACATTTCCTTGAGACAATCATCATACTTGGATATGAAGCAAAAGTACTTTATACTGACTTCTCATTTGTCACACAGAATATTAAAGGCATATATTCAAGGGCTGAGATGTAATGAAATTAATTTTACTGCTTCCTCAAGGACATTTGTAAGTGACACTGGCTTTTCTGGGAATGTGTACCATGAAGAATACAATGACTGCTACTACAGTTTAATGGCATTGCCCTGATTCCTGCTAAGTAAGTGCCAGCTGTTTTACTCACCCCCATTGCTTTTGCACTATCGGTACAAATGTCAACACAGTGGGGTGGGGGAGCAGAAATCAACCACGTCTTAGAATTATAAAAATACTTCTGACTTTATAGCCTCTTAAAGGGTTTTGGTGACCACTAGGCAGGCATGGACCTAGCTTGGAGAACTGCTGCCACAGAGTAAAGGCCAAGTTCCTTATCAATAGCATATAAAACCCTTCATGGTCCGCCTTCAGCTTAGTGGCCAAGTTAAGTCCCTCCTGGTCTATTCCTACTTTATTCTGTTGTGTGTTCCCTCTCAATAAAAGGACAATAGTTATAAGTGTGTATCTTGATCAACATTCACTTATCTGTACATACCGGAGCAACCACCACACACAGCAAGACACAGAACATTTCCAACACTCTATAAGGTTCCCCTGTGCCCTTTCCCACACTATCCCCCAAAGAGTTTACTATTCAGGCTTCTGTTGTTACCAGTTAGTTTTGCCCATTTTTGAACCTCTTATAAATGCAATCATGTGGGTATTCTTTTGGGTCTGGCTTTTTTTTTTTCCCCACTTAACTTAGTATCTGACATGTCTACACATTAAAGTATAGAACAGTGGTTTTTATCACTGTGCTACATATTAATAGATGTGGATATATGTATTTATCCATATTCCTGCTCAAGGGTGTACAGAAAAGATTTAAAGTAACAGGTCTGACTGGTGTCTTTTAGCTACCATCTGGGAACCTAAATTTTGAGTTCCCACCATTCCCAGAACTGAGTGACTTACTATACCCAAAGGAACAAACAATATGGTTTATGCTGAACATCGGCTTTCCTCCTGGAGTCTGAAATTTTGGTACATTTCAGGCAGAGGCTACCTATTCAACCAGTCCTCAGACACACACGCGCAAACACTCTCTCTCTCTCTCTCTCTCTGGGTGCCCAGATTCTAACAAGCTATTCTGGCTGGCAACATTTTACATATGTTGTCAGTTGTAGGGGAATTAAACTATGTCCTGTTTAACTCTCCCGGGAAAAGAACATTGGAAGCTTGTACCAGATTTCACCCCACGTGCCTTTTCCCTTTGATGGTTTTTCTCCATATCCTTTAGCTGTAAGCTTAGCTATGAGAACCACTATATGCTGACTCCTGTGAATCTTCCTAGTCAATCATCTAATTTAGGCACTGTCTTGGGGGACCAGACATAACAGGCGTTTGTTGTTTTGTCCTATTTTTAGGGACAGGGTCTGGATATGTGGTCCAGACCAGAATTGAACTCCTAGGCTCAAGGGATTCTCCTGCCTCAGCCTCCCCGGTAGCTGGTACTACAGGTGCCACAACTAGCTTGCTTTTTCTTCAGATTTTGAATATTATGAATAAAACTGCTGTGAATATTCTTGTGCATGCCTTTTTATACTCATATGTGCTCATTTCTCTTGCACATAGGAACACAAGTGGACTACCAGGTCATAAGCTAGTACCCCTTGCGCTTAAAATTCTAGCAATACTGTACTTCTAGTTGCCTAAAAACAGCCCTGTTTCATATCTCCTTGTCCTTATACATGTTGTTCCTTTTGCCTAGAATGTCCTTCCCACTCCCTACACTATGCCTGTTTTGGCAATAACCTTTAAATCTTTTACCTGCCTACTTCTGATGTTATTTCTGATGAGGAAAAGGAAGAAATTGGTTCTGTTTTTATATCTGCTGGGTTTAACATACCTCAGATAGATACACGCATTCGGTAGTCCAATCAGAAGTATAAGTCTTCAGAACAACCAAGGCTAAAGAGCTCAATCTAAAACTTGGGCACACAACAGTCAACTGGTGCTTCTATAGGAACACATGGGTCTCCTGTATATATAAGGAGACAGGAATGATCCAACAGGGTTGAACTGTGAAGAATGCGGCATTTGGGGAGAAAAGGAAGCCTGCAAGTACCAAGACAAGACAAGATTGATCAGATAAGGAAAAAAAAAAAAAAGGAAGCCATAGTCTTACAAACCAAATGGACATTTCAAGTACAATAAGAGACCAACACAGCAGAGGTAAGAGTGTATGAATTTTACAAATAGTACTAGTCTAGAAATGAGAAAACGTGGGTTCAAGTTCTGTCTCTATTCCCTGCTCACAGTATAAAATTAGGGTAATCACTTTCCATTCTAAACTTAATTCTCCTAGTCCATGAAAAGAGGATGTCAGAGATTATATCTGGCTTTGGTGTCAACTCCAAGTTATATGTAGGAGACAGGTCTCTAACACCTTTTGAGCTTCACAACAATTCCAAGATTACAGCTTTAAAAAAAAACAAAAACAAAAACAAAAAGCCTCAGGAGAAAGGGCAGACACATGGGAGACAGACAGATGGTGTCAGGGCCAGAACCCAGGAGCACAAAGCCAGAATGCAGAGAGCACAGGTGTTAAGTAGTAAGAGATTAAGTGTTCTGTAAAAAGACACAAAAAAACCAACCTGCCCTTCACAGTAACTGTTCTCTTCCAACAGAGGAGAGCTACTCCCACACTTTTATCAAAGGGGATTGTAGGAAGTGGGGCTAAATCTGTCAGGATGGTACATAAAGCAGCATATTATGCTGGCCAAGAATAAAGAAACAAGTAACACTCTTAGTCAAGTTACTCCTAAAATCAATAGCTACTTGCAACCAAGACCCGTTTTTAGCATACAAACCAACCTTTAGACCTGCCCTCTGGGGATTCTCCTGTTACCTCAGGGGAACTCATCACGAATGCCTTAAATAAATCAAAACAAAGAGTGTTAACTCACTATAATTTAAAAGGACTGTTCCACCATTCAAGAATACAAAAAAAAAAAAAAAGAATTCAAAGGTTATCCATGCCTAAGTGTTCTCCTGAACTACTGAAAGTAAAGCTCAACCCCAGTCAGTCAGGAATCCTCCCAGGTCCAAGTTAATCAAAACCACATTATATATTAGGGTGGCAAAATAATCCCTAACATTGGGCTTTAAAATGACACCTAATAAAATTCATTGGAAATTACATCTACAATGTGAATTTAGCACTCTGAAATTTGGATACTAACTTTTTACAGCAAGTCAGATAATTTTCCTATGAAAATATGAAATATTACATCATACATGTTTTAGTTCAATCTTTTTCAGCTAGTTTACTATAATTGAGAAATGCACTGTTGGGGCAGGTCCTATCTTCAACATAAAAACTTTCTACGGAATCTGTGCTCACAGAAGATGAGACGCTCTAAAGCAGGCTGCAACAACGGCAGGAAAAAACTAAGGGCATTTCCAAAACTGCAATGTTGGGTGCAAAGGAAGCAAAGTTCATGGTGACCAAAAAGCTTTAAGAGCCTGCATGGTGGCTCATACCTGTAATCCCAATACTCTGGGAGGCTGAGGCAGGAGGATGGCTTGAGCCGAGGATAAGCCTGGCCAACATAGTGAAACCCCATCTCAAAGAAAAAATTTTTTAAAAAGTAGCCAAACATGTTGAATGGCTGTAGTCCTAGCTACTTCGGAGGCTGAGGCTGAAGGATCCCTTAAGCCAGGGAGCTTTGAGGCTGCAGTAAGCTGTGATTGCACCACTGCCCGCCAGCCTGGGTGACACAGTGAGACCTTGTCTCAAAAAAAACCTTAATAATAAAATCTTAAAAGGCTTAAGAAACGGTAAAGGGTGCAATCAGTGCTTCTGGGTCTTAATTCAAACAAGAGAAGCAAAATTCTTACATAACCCCCTCTACCATAACTTCTAGGTGCAAACCACGTCCTACCCTTTAGCCTCAGGGGCTTTCTGGCAAATTCTCCCCAGAGTCAGTACAGTTTATATACCGCCTAGGAAAAGCACATTTGCAGAACAGGATGAGATTAGCACAACTTCTCCATAGCAGAGAAAATAATTTGTTATTTGATCCCATGATTCTTTTACTGCCTCCAATACTAGCTACTAAAAACAGTGTAAACATTAATATTTAGGTTTGGTGTGCATTTCTGTCTCAAACTGTAAGCCAAAAGTACTAATACTCTAATTTTCCCTTAAAATAAACATAACTTTAGAAAATAATCATTTAGCTAAGGGACCTGAAACCAATGAATGAGAAAGCCTGCACAGACAACACCTAACGTTATAAATGCAAAAATAACACCAGCAGAGAGCTACTTTAGTCACCTCACCCTTCCCCTCCCCAGCACACTCCACACCCCCAAATCCACAAACACTGAACTCATAGCTGAGTGCCTTGCTGGTAAAGGTTGCTAAGAAGCAGCTAGAGGCAGGTAACATTTTAAAGTTTTCATCTTTCCAAAAACTTTCCAGGATACAGGTAAGAAAGCTATCTAGCTTGTGTCTGAGTTTACATTCTCACAGAAAAAAATTCTTTGGCAAAAGCTCTGAATATGCTTTTTACTCCTTTAAATCCTTGGGAATGAGGCTGGGCACGGTGGCTCACACCTGTAATCCCAGCACTGTGGGAGGCTGAGGCGGACAGATCACGAGGTCAGGAGTTCGAGACCAGCCTGGCCAATATGGTGAAACCCCATCTTAGTAAAAATACAAAAATTAGCCGGGCGTGGTGGCGCGTGCCTATAGTCCCCACTACTTGGGAGGCTGAGGCAGAAGAATTGCTTGAACCCCAGAGGCGGAGGTTGCAGTGAGCCGAGATTGTGCCACTGCACTCCAGCTTGGGCAACAGAGTCTCCATCTCAAAAAAAAAAAATCCTTGAAAATGAAATATAGGAAAAAAAAAATGTACATACCCCTTTACATCCGTAAGTGTGGCTGTGTACAATGCTGGGATTCTAAGTTTTATCCAGAATTGAAACCCCAGCCCCTCATTTCTGGGGCAGGGCTATTTTATGCCCCGGGAGCTTATCTCAGATTTTACCACAGACTGCTTTAAAAAAATTTTTTTTAACCTTTATTAATTCTTCCTGGAAATCTAAGAGACAGCATTATGGGAATCTTAGCTAAGACAGACAAGGTGAGATTTAGTAAGCTCCATGTTACTTTTACAGGTCTTAAAACAATTATATAATTTCAAATTTGCCTTGCCTCAGACAGAAAAAGTTAGTACTGAAATTTTAACTGTCCTGAAAAAAAGGAGCCTTTTGTGCAGAGGGTTGGGAGGGTCACCCCCACAGTGGGAGGAGCCTGCCTTCCCCAGACCTCCGGCTCTCAGGATCAGCTAACTGCTCTGACATACATTGTGGAATGATAGACACAGCACATTCCTCCTAACATCAGCACTGCTGTACTAACACTCAGAAGACCCACACTGACTTCTACAGCAACTGGGATTCCTGCCAATGCAGTTAAGGTTCACTTTGCCTATAAATGTGACCAGCTCCCAGACCACCACCTTTTTTCTAGAATGTACGCCACCAATAACCCCTTGATCCTTTGACATAACAGAACACACATAATAGGCTGGGCTACGGCACCAGAAGGACCTAGGTTCACACAATTCCATCACTTAACAGCCTTGTGACTTGATTTCTAAAGCCTGTTTCCTTTTCTGCAAAACAGCGGGGAAATCCAAAACGGATGTTTTAAGACAGATTCCAAACTAGCCTTCAGGTTGAATCCAACATTAAAGACATGTTACATTTGGTCTATAGTGTTTAAAATTTTTTTAATGCTACATTTAAAAGTCAGGAGATCCATCAAAATAGAGATAGCCAGTTTAGAAGCAAGTCAAAGATCCACCGACTCTGGGCCCACATTTTTGCTGAGCAACAATCAGCTAGTGGCTGCTCCTTTCAAAGAGGCACATACTCTGTAGTTCAGAAGCCATTACCTTTCTTTCCTCCTCCTTTGCTCATTTATGTTACCTCTGGCCCCTATAGGGTTTGAGTTTGCAACCCATTTTAAAGACTAAGAATAAAACTAATGGTTGTGCTCAGTGAAAATGCTTATTAAGGCAGCTATTATCATTTGGTCACTAGTTAAGTTTGGTGCTGAGCCTGGAGTCTTACTACTTTATCTTCCTCCTCCACTTTTTACTTCATGGGCACTGGTTTGTGCACTACAGCGAAAGAAAAGCACATAGAACCATTCCTGTATCAAACGCCTATGGCCTAACCCAAACTGCAAACGGTTCCATGATTATTCACCACAGGCATCAGCTCTCCAACCTCTGATGTGCTGCACAGGCTGGCACAACCTCCCTCCCACACATGGGAGCCTAGACCAGGGAGTTGTTTACAAGACAAACGGTTCGGAGGGGGGAAACCAAGTTTTGTTTTGTTTTTTGAGACGAAGTCTCGCTCTGTCGTTCAGGCTGGAGTGCAGTGGCTGATCTCGGCTCACTGCAACTTCCACTTCCTGGGTTTAAGCGATTCTCCTGCCTCAGCCTCCCAAGTAGCTTCGATTATAGGCGCCCACCACCATGCCCGGCTAATTTTTGTATTTTTAGGAGAGACGGGAATTCACCTTGTTGGCCAGGCTGGTCTTGAACTTCTGACCTCAGGTGATCTGCCCGCCTGGGCCTCCCAAAGTGCTGGGATTAAAGGCGTGAGTCATGGGGCCGGGCCGTACTTTTTTATTACAAAGGTTGACTTACACACAGAGTAGTCAACTTCCAAATCCTACTTCTATAAACTGAGCAGGCACTACCAGGCCACCCAAAGTTTAAATCGCCGTGACAAAAAATTTAAAAAGCGAAACTCAGCCAGGCAAGGGGGCTCACGCCTGTAATTCCAGCCCTTTGGGAGGCCGAGGTGGGCGGATCACGAGGTCAGGAGTTCGAGACCATCCTGGCTAACATGCTGAAACCCCATCTCTACTAAAAATACAAAAATCAGCCGCGCGTGGTGGCACGAGCTTGTAATCCTAGCTACACAGGAGGCTGAGGCAGGAGAATCGCTTGAACCCGGGAGGCGGAGGCTGCAGTGAGCCAAGATCGCGAGACTGCATTCCAGCCTGGGTGACAGGGCAAGACTCCCTCTCAAAATAAATAAATAAATAAATAAATATTAAAAAATAAAAAGCCAAACTCCTACAGCAACGTGCTCTGGGAATACAGTTCAGCTCCAAGCCAGCTCAATGGGGACAAATAAAAGACCAGTGATGAGTCCCCAAAACACCGTCCCCAGGGTTTTCCGACAGCCAGCAGCCCCATTGAGCTCCACAAGCTTTTCTAACTATGCAAAAAACCAACCAGGAAAACAATCACCAACTTGAGGTTTCCAAGGTTGGGTCCTGTTTGAATTTATTTTTATTTTTTAACCCAGCATGTGTCCCTAGACTCAAAGGGAACATGAGCCTCAGGGTGCAAACTGTCCTTAGCAGACACTCTTCCCGCTAGCAAGGGACCGCACCGTCACCTGAGGGGCAGCCAAGAGGCGGGCGGTGCACCTGTGCCTTCCAGAATAGGAACCCCACCCACTTGCCCCTCTTCCCCACCAACGACACAGCCCAGTAGTTGACTCAGGTGCCAGGAGAGAGCGCGGGGAGGCTGGGCGGTAGCCAGGGAGACCAAGGGAAGCGGTTGCCAGAGAAATGCGGCGTCAGTCAGGGCCGGGGCTGCAGGCGCGGGGCGGGGGAGGAGAGACGCGGCCTCCTCCCAGGCGGGCCTGGCGGGAGGCACCCCGGCTTCTAAGAGCGAATTCGGCTCCCGACTCTCTTCCCCCAGCTGAGAGCACGGTGCAAGGGGCCAGGGCTGCAGGGAGCAAAGTGCCCCCGAAAAATAAGCGCGCGCCCACGAAAGCGCCCAAGAGCCCAGGCGTCTGCCTGGCTTTTCTCGGTCACGGGGTCAACGCGGGGCCGCTCACAGAGCCTTCTGGTCTCCCTGGGTCCTCTAGGAATGAGGCAGCAAAGCCTCGGTCGACTCGACCGCTGAGGAACCCATGACATGAAAAAGCCTCGGGGAATGACGCCGGGTGGGACACCCCAAGGTGAGGACCCCTTTGTGGGTGAGTCCCCCCACACTCAGGTGACTCCAGGCGGGCACAGGCCCGCCCAACCGCTCGTCATCACGGGGGGCGACTCGTCCAGGGCCCCAGCCGCTGCTCCGCCAAACCTGAGGCCGCCCCTGAGTCTGGGCACCTGGCCTCGTCCGGCACTGAGGAGAATGACCAGAACGCCAGGCCACATGCACCCACTCGCCAGGCTGAGGGTCCGAACAGCACAGCCCAGAGTGGGCTCGGGTCGCTCCCCGCCTACGCCACCTCCGCGGCCTGCAAGCCTAACCCTCTCCCGCCCATGACCAGGACCCACCTCAATGCCGCCAGCCCGGCGGGTCTCCCGGGCACGAAGCCCCGCCAGTCTTCCGCCCTCGCGCCACACTACCTGGCCAGCCCCGCCCCCGAGACTCCCTCTCCGGCGCCAAGCGAAGGTGTGAAGCCACGTGACCTGCCCAGGATTGGGAAGCCGCACGAGGGGCTTGAGCCCTCCACCTTAAAGGTGCCGCGACCGCCGCCGTCGTGGGGCTCTCCACAGAGCACGGGGTCTACGCCGTCAGCAGCCCCGCCCCGTCCCGCCCGGGCGCCCCCACCGCGCGCCGGGTGCTAAAGAGACCCGCAGGGGGCGTGAGCTTCCAGCGCCAGCGGCTTCGGGTCTCCCGTGCGACGGCAGTGTGAGAAAGAAACGTTCCGGGCGCCGGTGCTCCTTTATGTCCGGTCAGCTCCCGTCTGGACAGACGCTCGAGGCCGCCTGGAGGCCGCAGTGCGGCTCGGAGGCCCCACCGGCCGCCCCCGCAGGGCTGCGGCGCCTTTAAGCCCAAAGGCCCTGAGTCACGAGGAGGCTCCCTGCCCCCCTCGCCCTCCACCCCTCCACGAGGCCCCACGCCCGCGGGCACGTGACCGCGCCCCGCCCGGGACTCGCCCGCACGGGGCGGGGGATGGGGGTACCGCGGCGCCGGACCCGGCTGCGCGCGGACCGTTAGCTACTGCGGCCGGGACGCGGCCCCGCCCAGGCGAGCGGCGGGTGGCTCTTACCAGCGGGAACGCCATGGGGCCGGTGTGGCCCTGCGGGGCTGACGGGCTGACCGGCCAGCCGGCGGGCGAGAGACGCGCACGCACGTGGGCACTATTTTTGCAGCGGGCCGCGCGCAGCCCCGCACCCCGGCAGCTTATGAAGCTCCTACGAGCCGCTCCTCGGAGCCGCCCCCCGGCCGGATGCGGAGCACCTGTGTCGGCCCCGCCCGGGCCCTCGCCTCCGCCCCCTCGCGCCCCGCCCCTCCTAGCAGGCCGAGCCGAGGAGGGCTCCGCCGCCCACCCGGAACCCGGCGGGGACTGCCGCCGCTGCTAGCCACAGCTGCCCCCTGGGGGGCCAGAGACCTAAGCCTGAGCGCGCCATCACCTAAGTGACCCTTGCCGAGTCACTGTCTGCCCTGGGCCTCAGTTTCCCTCTTAACGAAAGAGGGCACGATTTACAAGCCCCTGCGAGCGGCGGCGATCGCTTCGTCAGTAGAGCCTCGTGTCCGCGCTCCTTCTCTTCCAGTGATCTCTCCAGGGCGAGAGCCTGCCCTGGCATCCTTGGTCGGAACTGTAGCCCCTGGGCTCCAGGAGGCGCACTCACTTTAGACCCTCTGCTCCGTGCGCTGCAGAGGGGGCCGCGAGAGTCAGGAAGTTCCAGAAAGTTCCAAAGACATCACTGGTCCTCTTTGGACCGGAGTTCTCCGGAGAAACCGCTTCCGGCGCTCCTGACACACTGAGATAGAAAGTTTCACAGAAATAGGGCAAGGGATAGGGCGAGGGCTCCAGGGCAGGCGTCCTAGGGCACCTGGCGCAGGGGCGGACCGGAAACCCCAGGCAAACGCAGAGTCGGAGATGGCATTCCAGGCGGAAGATCAAGCAAAGGCAGAGAGGGAGGACGGCACCGAGCGGCTCCCTCTGACCAGGACTGAGGATGATGCGACCTGATACCGCCGGAGGGAAGCCTGGGCCCGGTTTGTAAGGGGCCTTTATTCTGCAGACAGCAGGAAAACTATTAGAGAATTGTAAAAGGGGTTGGCAGTTGTCGGGTCTGTTTTAAGGTGTTGCTGGAGACATAGAAGAGGTTGGACAGAAAAGGGGGAAAACAAGGGACTGGAGTGGGGAGGAAAGGGACCAGAGTTTATTGAACATTGCTAAGTGTTTTACATGTGTCATGTTATCATGATACTATTTAATAAGCACTAACTATGCTCCGGTCCTCTCCTGGCACTTAGGAAGGATGGTGCTGCCGTCTTCCTGGGCTTGATCTAATGGCTAAGGGGAGAGGGACAGGTAACTGTCAGTTTCTGCCTGAGGTGATGGAGAAAGAGGAAGCTGATATTATAGTCTAGTGTTTCAGAAGGATTAAGGGGGGAAGGGTGGTGAGCATAAGAGTAGAAGTCCACGAGGGGGTGAGTGACAGTGGGAGTTGGCCAGTCTCCATCCACTTGGTCTACTTACAGGAGCTTCTTTGGGTTGCTGAGGTCATGGGCAGAAAGGGTGATGACTACAGGGACAAGGCAGGAGCAACTTCGCTGGGACCCCTACCTCTTGAGCCATGCTTTCTCCAGGAGTAGCCTACTTGAGTCTTGTCCTGGCCCACAAGCAGCGTAGGATGGCTGCTTCTGATAGGGTGGCACACCCAGATGCCTACAGCACAGGAGCCAAGTGAGGGTGGGCGACAGCACTGAAGGCCCAAGGCACACCCAAAAGGGCTGTTAGCTGGTGGGCACCATGTAGAAACGAGGTCCCAGCCCAGTCATCTTTCAAGAAAAGCTGGAAGTACTTTTTTAAGTGAAATCTTGAATGTGAATTTTAATGTTGGTTATTAATTCAAATGAAAAGAGCCAAGCCCAGCATGTCCAGGGGCCCCATGCAGCTCACCGGCTGCCAGTTTGTGATCCCTGACATCGTTTCCTCCTCTCTGACCCAAAAGCTGAGCAAGATAAGAACCTGAAACCCAGAATAGTGCCCAAGGGAGCGGGTGTCTGGAGGCCCTGTCATATTTCAAAACTGTCAACCATAAGAAAATGAAGGCATCTTTCAAGAGACTTGGAACAGAAACTTCTGCTGCCTAAAATCTCTCTCCCTAAACTTTCTGTTGCAGGTAATAATAATAGCTCGTCTTCACTGACCACTTACTGTGCGCGTGGGAAAGTTTTGAGTGCTTTACCTATGTTATCTCATTTTGCAGATGAGACTGAAGCTCAAAGAAGTTAAGTAACTTGCCAAAAGACTCCCAGCTAAAAGTGTGAGAGCAAAGACTCAAACCAAGGCAGTCTTCTGGTTTCAGAGCCTGAAGTCTTAACCAGGTGAGAATAAAACTTCCAGCATGCTTATGTGTGTGCTTATCTGTGAATGACCCCAGAGCTGACTGCAGATGTTGAGAGAAGAGGTAACTTTGACCAAATGCAGTCATGACCTCAGGTGTGGGCAAGTCCTTGTTCCCTACCTGGACTTGGCTAGGCCTGCAGGTCATACAGGAAGAACAGTCCCTCTGAAGGTGACCATAATCCACAGGGCAGGGTGTGGAAAGTGACAGAGGTGAATTTATTAAATGACTTGGTCAAGTCCCCACAGCTGGTCACTGGCAGAAGCAGCAGAAACAAATAGGCAGCATTATCTATTCTCCCAGTCAACAAACAGCCTTTGAGCCCAGCTATGCCTGGCACTGTCTCTGCAGTCAAGCCCCAGACTTACAATACTGATTTTAAGTCCAACTATATAATTAGCTGGACTACATTTTAAATATGTGTACTAGGGAAACAGGAGGGACCCTATAGTCTTTTATATGCTCAAGTGTTCAGTGCTTCTGCAGGAGGCAGAGAGCTAAAAGAAGAGAGAAGTTTGATGGGAGAAAATAATTTCCTGGTTGCAAAAGATAAGAAAAGGAATTCACTCAGGAACTCAAGACCACAAGGTAGACACACACAGTCTCTGCTCAAGTTTTGCCAAGCTCTGTACAGAAGAAACCATGTTCTTTGTTTTTTCAAGTTCCTTTTAAGTGGGATAAAAAAGTGGATTGGGGCCAGGCGCGGTGGCTCATGCCTGTAATCCCAGCACTTTGGGAGGCCTAGGCAGGCAGATCATGAGGTCAGGAGATCGAGACCATCCTGGCTAACATGGTGAAACCCCGTCTCTACTAAAAATACACACAAAAAATTAGCTGGGCATGGTGGTGGGCGCCTGTGGTCCCAGCTACTTGGGAGGCTGAGGCAGGAGAATGGCATGAACCCAGGAGGCGGAGCTTGCAGTGATCCGAGATCTCACCACTGCACTACATCCTGGGTGACAGAGCGAGACTCCATCTCAAAAAAAAAAAAAAAAGAAAGAGTGGATTGGCCCCACCTTTCATCGTACACAAAAGTAAGTTAAAAATACAATTCTGAAAAGCTTTACTTAGAATTTTTTCAGAAGAAAATATAGGAGAATTTTTTTTTACCTCAGCCCGTGGATGAATTTTGTAAACTTGGAAAAATAAGATTGGAACAATAAGCACAGGATATAAAGGAAGACAATACATTTGACCACACTGGAATTAAAAACTTTGGTTTACTAAAAGAGTTTGTTTGTTTGTTTTGAGGTGGAGTCTTGCTCTGTCGCCCAGGCTGGAGTGCAGTGGCACGATCTCGGCTCACTGCAATCTCAGCCTCCCGGGTTCAAGCAATTCTTCTGCCTCAGCCTCCAGAGTAGCTGGGATTACAGACACCTGCCACCGCACCCGGCTAATTTTTGTATTTTTAGTGGAGACGGGGTTTCACCATGTTGCCCAGGCTGGTCTCGAACTCCTGACCTCGTGATCCGCCCGCCTCGGCCTCCCAAAGTGTTGGGATTAGGCGTGAGCCACCGCCCAGCTAAAGATATTGTTTAAAGCTTGAAAAGACAAGCCATAGACTGGAAGAAGGTATCTCCAATCCATGTATTTACAAAGAACTAGTTTCCAGACTATGTAAGAAGTTCTGTAATCAATGAGGAAAAAACACAACTCCACAGAAAAATGGGCAAAAGATGAGAATGGGCAGTTGACACAAGTGAAAATCCAAATGGCCAAGAAACATCAGTAGATGCCCACCCTCATCAGTAACCAGGGAAATGCAAATGAAACCACAATCAGATGCCGTGCCACACTTTTCAAATGGAAAAAAATGATCAACTTTCACTGTCCCAGTAGCAGGATCACTGCTAGTGAGGGCGTAAACTGATTCAGCTACTTTGGTGTGTGCTTTTATGTTTCATATCTTTTAATGGAGAGAAGGCAATGCATAGAGTGCACAAATCTTTTTTATTTATTTATTTATTTATTTATTTATTTTGAGATGGAGTCTCGCTCTGTCGCCCAGGCTGGAGTGCAGTGGCGAGATCTCGGCTCATTGAAAGCTCTGCCTCCTGGGTTCATGCCATTCTCCTGCCTCAGCCTCCTGAGTAGCTGGGACTACAGGCGCCCGCCACCACGCCCGGCTAATTTTTTGTATTTTTAGTAGAGACGGGGTTTCACCCTGTTAGCCAGGATGGTCTGGATCTCTTGACCTTGTGATCCACCTGTCTTGGCCTCCCAAAGTGCTGGGATTACAGGCGTGAGCCACCACGCCCGGCCACAGTACACAAATCTTAAGTGTATACCGAGGTAACCACCACCCGCATGGAGGCATAGAATCTCTCCAGAACCCCCACTGGGTTCCTTCCTGCCCCTTCCCACTTTATACCTCCCTCCTCAAGGTACCGTTACCTTACTGCTTTTCATTACAGATTCATTTAACCTGTTCTAGACTTCATATAATTTTTGGTTTCTTTCATTCAACATACCTGTTAGATCCATCCATGTTGTTGGCATGTAGGAGTAGTTTGTTCCTTTGTATTGCTAAGTAGTATTCCATTGTGTAGATACACCATAATTTATTTCTGCATTCTCCTATTGATTGGAATTTGAATTCTTTCCACTTCGGGGACTATTATGAATAAAGCTGCTAGAAATATTATTGATGTGAAGTATAGCAACTCTGGTGAGCAATTTGGATTCTCTAGTTAACTTGAAAAAGTGTATACTCTATGACCCAGCAATTCCATTCCTAGGAAAATATGTTAGAGAAACTTTCATACGTGTTAAGAAACATGAGTAAAAATGTCTGTAGCTGTTTTGTTAATAGTTACAAAAACAAAACAAAATAAAATAATCTTAAATGCCCACCAACAGGAGAGTGGATCAATAAATTATGGTATAGTCATACAATGGAATTCTATATATAAGTAAAAGTAAATGAAATACAGCAGATCACATCAACATGACTTACAAACAATATTGAGTGAAAAAGCAGGATGTAGGAGAAAACATACTCTCAGATGCCATTTATATAAAATTTGAAAACGTGTAGTACGCACCACCATCACAAAGTATGGTACTATATATTGTTTAGGAACACGTCTATCTATAGTAAAAGTACAAAAAAAAGGATGTTATTGATAAACAGAAAATTCAGAATGATTTGCTTCAGGTGGGAAAGGAAGCAGTCATGAAATGAGGGGTGTGGGGGACATTGGATTGATGAGCACTGAACTGATGAGTGCTTCAGTTCTCAAGTTGGATGATTAGTATACAGGTGGTTATGATAGTCTCTAAACTTGAAATACATAATAATATTTTAAAGAGACAGAGATGGGGATAATTAAGGGCCGTGATGTGCTGGTAAATGTTTGACAATTGGCTGGGGGAGGGAAGTGATTTGTAGCATTTGTCTCTTTCCATGGCATAAAAACTCCCACCACGGCTGATTTCAAATTGTCAGTGTGACATCATCTGGCTCACAAAATTCCTGAATGTGTAATAACAGTCAGCCCTCATGAGCCAGGAGAAGCCAACTCAGGCACACCACTCAGACACTGAATGTGGGAGCAGAGTGCTCTGAAGGCCAGACTCAGGGATCCAGGCTCCCTGAGGGCTTTCCCAACAACCTAGGAGATGGGTGGAAGGCTGGATTGTATTATTTATTTATTGCTATTAAGTTACCCCTAAAGCTAAGCAGCTTAAAACAACAAATATTTATTATCTTGCACAATTTCTGGGAGTCAGGAATCAGAGAATGGCTTAGCTGGCTGGTTCTGGCTCAGAATCTCTCATGAGTTTGTAGTCATGATGTCAGCCAGAACTGCAGTCACTTGAAGCTCTGCCTTGGGCTGGAAGATCAGCTTCCAAGCTCACTCAAGTGGGTGCCGGCAAAAGCCTCAGTTCCTTGTCACATGGACCTCTCCATATTGCTGCTCAAGACATGGTAGCTGGCTTGAGAGGGAGGAAGAGAACAACCAAGATGGAGGTTCAAAGAATTTTATAACCTAATCTGAGAAATGACATACCATCATTTGTATCCTATTATTCACATAACACCAACATTGATAATATGTGGGAGGGAATGACACAAGGATACAGATATCAGGTAGCAAAGATCATTGGGGAGTATCTTGGAGGTTGAAGGTGAGTGCTGGTTGTCCTGAGATGCTTGTAATGGGTTAGTGGATGCCCAGAGACATGGGAATCAGAGAGGCCATCCCCTTTGTTTTGCAGCTGGGGAAATTGAGACATTCAGAGATTTACTCGAGAGTATGCAGCTTTTCTTGGTGAGGGTCAGGAGTCCAGGGTCTTGGTCTTGCCTTGGTACCCATGAGAAACACCAACCCCACCTCTCCCTCCCTGACTTCCCTCTGAAGGTACAGATGCTGAGGTCTTAGCACATCCAAGGTCAAAGTCACCTTGCCCAAGCTCTCAAGAATTCCTCTTCCTCCATAGGTGTTTCCTTACATTCTTCACAGCCAAAACAAGACAACCCTCCTATTTCCACATACCCTGCCCCTCCCACAGAGGCTGTTGTTAACACATCCCTAATAGCCCCAAAGAGAAGCATCTGCCACTGTGTTGGCATTGCTGGACACAAATCCATGTTGGCCTTCTGAAATCCCACTGCCACTTGGAGCCTGGTGTCAAACTGTTTCAGGACTCTGTAATCTCTCAGCAAAATGAAACACTGCCCCAAACTGGAAGCAGACATGAGGAAGTTGTGCTGCCACGCTTTTTCTTGCTGGATGCTGTTTACATGGGTTATTCAGTCTATGAAAACGCATCAAGTTGAGCACTTGTGATCTGTACAATTTTATGTAGGAATACTATACTTAAATATTCATAAATTTATAAATTATATGTTTACAGATTCATAAATTTAAATACTGAAACTTTAGATTTTTAAAAAAATATATTTCCAAAGCCAGGGGCGTAATGTATTTGGGGCCTGGATAGAGAGAAGCATTCTTTCTGTTCTCCAGATGCCATAGGGAAGCGAAGCCTCAGTGACACCATAGCATCTTCTGCAGCAAGGGGGCAGTTGGTAATGGGAAAATAATGGGGGTTCCCAAAGGTCAGGATCAAAAAGTTCAGCCCTAAGTGCTTTCTTCTAGACAGGTCAGTGGGATTGGGGATGCAGGGAGAGAGACTGGGGTCAAACCAGAGCCATCAAGTCAAAGACCCAAAAAGGTATATACTGCTTCTTTTCCTTGAGGATACGCCACTTTTAATCCTTATTCTCCATATCCCAACCTGGGCTCCACCCTCCCAGGGACCAATTCACCATCCTTCTCTTGACTCTGGGAGCCAAAAGACCAGGTGGTGACAGAAGGAAGACTCAGGCTGAGGTCCTCGGGTGGGTCAGAATTTTCCAGTTTTCCCTTTCCTTTCCAAGCCAGGACAGGGAAAGTCCTCCCACTTTGAGTTCCACCCTCAACACCCATCCTTTTGATGTGGAAGATACACTATTGGGAGGTGACTGTCAAGATGCCAAGCAGAATAGGCTGAACTAGTGCAGGGGTTTGCCTTAGTCACCAGACAGATGGGAGTTCAAGCATGGGCACAGCTAATGTCGCAACTCCAGGGTCCTTGTAGTGGCTTCCTTGGTATCTCTAAATGGATCTATTCCCCCGGGTCACCAGCCACTGCAGCTAGCCAGGTGATGCAGCCTGGCTGGAAACGAGCTGTCTCTCTTGCCCATTTGCCTGGGCATTGTTTTGAAGCCATCCTGGACTAGACTCCAGTTCCCAGCCCCTCTCTGAGCTCATTGTCCTCTGACCCATCAAGGCCTGTGGTCAGGCTCAGACCTAGATCCCCACTGATGCACTACCCCATCCTTGTCACTGCCTCTGTGCCAGTCCCTGTGCTTCTATCCACTTCCAGGCCACTTTCGGCCCTTCCTTTGCACCAGCAGAGTCCTAAGAGTGCTTCCCAGTCCGTCCTGTGGTCCTGGGCCCCACCTGAATCCCACAGCCCTGGGCTAGTTCCCTGGTTGTCCCATCAAAACTATTCATGACTGGCCAGCCATGGTGGTTCATGCCTATAATCCTAGCACTTGGGAGGCCGAGGCAGGTGTTTTGCCTGAGCTCAGGAGTTTCAGACAAGCCTGGCCAACATGGCAAAACCCCATCTCTACTAAAAATACAAAAAATTAGGCTGAGTGCAGTGTCTCACGCCTATAATCCCAGCACTTTGGGAGGCCAAGGCAGGCAGATCACGAGTCAGGAGTTCGAGACCAGCCTGACCAACATGGCGAAACCCCGTCTCTACTAAAAATATAAAAATTAGCCAAACGTGGTGGCACACGCCTGTAATCCCTAATCCCAGCTACTCAGGAGGCTGAGGCACGAGAATTGCTTGAACCCAGGAGGCGGAGGTTGCAGTGAGCGGAGATTGTGCCACCGCACTCCAACCTGGGCAACAGAGCAAGACTCTGTCTCCCAAAAAAAAAGAAAAAAAAAAAAAGGCTGTTCATGGGAAGCATTTTCCCTGCCAACTGAGATCCAGACACTCTGTGACCAGGCCCCTAATAACCTGGGGACAAAGTGTCACCACAGTGGCAAAGACTTGGGCCAGTGATAAAATACAGAATACGATATGGGTTGGGGAAAATGCCCCCGGGGGATGTGGGGGCCCCCAGCCCCTGCAGGTCTGACCTGCTTCCACCTGTGTGTGCTGGGCAGGCCCCCATCTTATCCCTGCACACTCGCTCAGGTATGCTCATGTGGTAGGGTTGTGGGAGGTATGGCCTTGGAAGAGATGGGCTGGGCTGGAACGAGAGCTGGGGCAACCACTCCCCCTTCCTCTGTGACTGAGATTCTCTCACTCCAGACCGTTCACTCAGCACAGAACAGGCCCCATGCTCCTCCTGGGTGGGAAATTGCTGCCCCACCAATCTCCCAGCCCAGCCTTCACCAGCAGCACACCACTCCCCGCTGGGCTCCTTCTGCAGTCATACTCTCCCCTGCCCACACCTTGCTCTCCTGCTTCCTGCCTCTCTCTTTGGTCAAACACCAGAACCATTTCCTTATGAAGAGTTGCTACTGCTAATGCCAAAGCCTGGGACACATTCCAGAGACACCAACACAGAGCCGTGAAGGTTCCAACTCTCTGGACTCTCAGGGTTGGAAATCCCAGTGCCCTTTCCAAGAGGTTCTGGGAACCTGGACTGTACTTGAGGAATGTTGTGGGACTTGCCTTTTGCACTTCTGGTTCCTACAGAATCCCATTTTTTTAAAAGGGGATTTTTTTTTAGAGGTAGGGTCTTGCTAGGTTGTCCAGGATAGAGTGCTATTCACAGGTGTAATAATAGTGCAATACAGCCCTGAACTCCTGGCCTCAAGCAGTTCTCCAGTCTCAGCCTTCTGAGTAGCTGGGACTACAGACACATGCCCAGCTCTACTCTGGGGCTTTTGATATAGAATAAAGGTGGGTAAGGGATTCTCTGATGGTCCTTGTTCAAATTTCTTAGAAAATCACCCTCACCCTCTCTCAGTGCTGTGGGTAGTGCTGATTCAGAGGCAAAAGTAAGACTGAATCTTACTTTTGACTGGAGGACCATCTCAGAATCTGCAGTGACAAAAACAGTGATCCCAGGGAGACTTTGGGGCCCCAGGCTCTCAGGGAAGCAGCAGCTCCAGCAGCTCTCTGGTGTCACAGTGCCCAGCAAGTCCCTGGAGCCAGAGGCAGGGCTGTCCCCTGGCACTGCCTTTGTTCTCCTTCTGTGAGAGGACAGCCACACCTGCTTCACCCCATCTTACCCATGAACAGACATGCTCAGGGATGCCTAAGTGGCAGGGCTGAGGGACAGTATGGCCAAGGGCCTAAAGTCTTGGTCACAGAGGATCAGAGGCTGAGGTTCAACATCTCAAACTAACTGGAGTGTGTTCCTTGTAACCCAGTCAATCAAGATGTTGTGAGGAAAGTGTTCCAAAATCAAAACCAAGTTTGAGTAACACTGCAGGCTGAGAGGTGGTCACAGTGTACATTAGCATAGTAAAAGTTCTGAGAAGACCTGTAGGAAATGAACTTATTTCACTTAAATCCAAGATTCCTAAACTTATTTGATCATAGACTTTGCAGGGGGCGGGAGGGTACAGAACACATCCTAATGGAACACCTTTTATACGTTTTAGAACCACTGCTCACTCAGCCTCTTTCTTCACCAGAAAAGGTGTCAGGGAGAGCCCTGACCCCCACTGCACCCACCAGGTTTGTTCCAGGTGTGAGCAGATGCTGGTGTCTTGTTACAAATACAGAATCTGCTGCTCTGCCTATGGAGTCGCCATTCTGTTGTTTCTTAATAAATTTGCTTTCACATTATTATTATTATTGTTATTATTATCTTGAGACAGAGTCTCACCCTGTCGTCCAGGCTAGAGTGTAATGGCACGATCTCAGCTCACTGCAACCTCTGCCTCCTGGGTTCAAGCGATTCTCCTGCCTCAGCCTCCCAAGTAGCTGGGATTACAGGTGCGCACCACCATGCCCAGCTAATTTTTTGTATCTTTAGTACAGATGGGATTTCGCCATGTTGGCCATGTTGGTCTTGACCTCGTGATTGGCCCACCTCAGCCTCCCAAAGTGCTGGGATTACAGGTGTGAGCCACCACGCCCGGCTGCTTTCACTTAAAAAAAAAATGCAGAATTTCAGACCCCACCCTAGACCTACTAATAGAATCTGCATGTGATGGGATCCCCAGGTGACTTGCCACAAAGTGGTTTGAGAAGTACAGTTATGCATCTTCTATTCTTCCACTAAGATGACCAGTGGGTCAGTACCCCAGCCAGGTGGGGCCTCCAGGCCCCCTAACTGGAGTAGTTGACATATGTTGAACTGAGCACCTGTGTTTGGGGAAGTCCCCATGTTATGAGTCCTTCCTTCCCAAGGGACCGTAAGAAGAACTAAGGGGGTCTGCCAGCCATTGAAGAGGACTTGTTTTTGCAGAGGCTATAAAAAGGACCAAGGTGCTCTTCCAGCTCTGCCTTGCCACCCCAGCCCAGATGTCTCTTCCACAGAGATGCCTGCAGACTCCTAGGCATCCTGACCCAGAGATGGTTACCTTGGGGATTCAACAAGAGTTGTTCCTGACAAACCCCTAGAAGGAAAGGTGAGCCAGCAGCTAGAGAGAAGACATTTTATTGAGCCTGCTACATAAATAGCTACAGAAATCTGGGAGGACTGAAGGGAGTGGCTGCCATCTCTCTCTGCACAGATCACTAAGGAATCCATGGGGAGGGCATTAGGGGAGGGCTTGGTCCTCCAGAGGGAGAGAGGACACCCTGAATGCTATCTGGCATGAGGAGGATGATGAGAGAGAGAGAGAAAGATGAGAGAGACTGACAGCCTAGGTGTCATGGGGAGGTATAGATGGGAGCCAAACAGGTCACAGCATTTGGAAGTCACTGGGTCAGAGCCTGTATCACATCCTTTACCAGCATGGTGCCAATCACCATTTTCTCGCTGTTGACAGTCAGCTGGGCAGCTCCAGCTGGCCGGGCATCCAGGGTCAGCAGAACGAGGCTTCCACCAGTCAGTGTCCTCCCTGCAAACCTGAGGTGGGAATAGAAGGGGTGAGGAAGAGCTGCTAAGGGTGACTGTGTTTGGAAGGGGATCAGCAGCTGGGGCTCCTCCTTCAAACCAGGGCCCCCATGCTCATCATTTCCCCTCTACTGGTGGCCTAGTACCTGTACTCATCAGATGTCCCACAAGGAACACGACCCAGGTTGGCAGTGGCAGTCACTTTCTGCACCACAATGTGGTCACTCCGACAGGTGTCTGGCAGCATGAGTTTCTCTGTGATCTCATTCATGCCCATCAGCTTTCCTGGGGGTAGAGGTCGTGATGAGGGCAGAGGCCATGGTGGGTACAGAGGCCAGCACCTGGGTCTGCTTACTGAGCAACAAGTTCTCCCAGGCTGGGAAGGTATCATGCAAAGGGCAGGTCAGAATTTAAATCATCAGTCTTGGGGAGAAGGTACTTCCCTCTCAGACTGGGCCCTCCCTCAGGAAGCCTTTGTCAGCCTCTCTACCCCTCCCACCCAGGCCTTTATCCATGTTGTTACCAAAGACTGATTTGGCGCTTCCTCCATCAGACATCTGGGCTACCAGCCCCTTGAGAGTGGCCAGTCAGTTCTTAAGAGGTTCGCCCATCCTGAACCTCACACCCTTTGATCTTTCCTGGGGGGCCCTCCAACCCACATTCAACTCCCACTCAGCTCCTGGAAGCTAAGCCCTCACAAAAAGATCACAGGTGGCTGCTGTGATCTCTCAGCCAGAATCCAGTAGTCACATGCAGCATTCACAGGTACATTTTTAATTGTACCTCTGCAGTAGCAGCTCCAGACCTAGCCAGGGCTCCTGAAGCCTCCAAACCTTCACAGCACCCCCAGAACTCCTCATTCTGCAAGGCTGACTTCTCTCCACTCACATGATCCAGGCCCCCCATGGGAGCTCCTCCGTCTGCTCTCCTGCACACCAGCAGTCTTCTCTTCAGCCTCTTTCCTCCCTCCACTGCTTCCCCTATTCTTCACCTCCTTTTAGAAACTGACATCCCTCTCCTGTTTCTTCTATCCCCTTCATTCATGACTAATAACATTTTCTTGTTTTTGTTCCTTCAATCTGTTCATGTTCAAGTGTCCCCGTCTCCAAAAAATCCTTTCCAGAAGTGAGATCCTTCATCGTGCCAATGCCCTGTCTCCCTCCTCATTCATGGCTAAAGTCCTCCAAAGAGGACTGCATGTACTTGAGCCGTGGTCTCCCTCAACCCACTGCAGTTGGCCTCTGTCCCTCCTTTAGCAATGACCCTCTCTCCCTCAGGTTGGCAGTAGCCTTTTATATGCTGACTCTGAAGGTCTTAGGTAACTGTGGTTTGCAGACACCTTCTGCCTTGTTGTCTCTCCTGGTTCTCCTCCCACCTCTCCCTGTGCTCCTTCTCTTATCCCTCCCCTCCTCTTTCTTCTGCAGAATTCAGGTTTTCCCCCAAGGTTCTGTCCTTGGCCTTCCTATTTTCTCCCACCTCCCAGAGTGATCTCATTCATATTCACAGCTTCCATTACCACCTCTATGTTCATGACTCCAGCTTCAAAGTGTTTCCTGGGCATAGACCCATATTTTCAGTTGCATACTAAATAGCTCCTCCTGAATTTCCCAAATGCATTTCAAAATCAGCTTATCCAAAACTAACCATGATCTTCCCTCCTCCCTTGCCCAAGCCACTCTTCTTTCTTCTAGGCCAGAGGTTTTGCAAATTACAGCCTCCAGACCAAATCCAGCCCACCACCTATATGGCCCACAATGTTTTTAATATTTTTTAAGTGTTGGGGGAGCAATCAAAAGATTAATATTTCATGACACATGAAAATTACATGAAATTTAAACTTCAGTATCTATAAATATAAATGGAAATTTCTTGGAACACAGCCATACTCGTTCATTTACATACTGTCTGTGGATGTTTCTATGTTTCAACAGCCACAGTCGTGTTGTAACTGCAACAGAGACCACATGATTCTCAAAGCCTAAAACATTTATCTTTGGCCCGTTACAGAAAGTTTGCTGACCCCTGGTCTAGATGAAGGACACCACCATTCTCCCTACCATCCAAGCTGGACATTCTGGAGTCAGCTTCTATACTTCCCTCTCTGCCCACTCCCAGGGAGCACTCACCCTGTTCCTTCTTAAACTCATTTTCACTCATGAACACAGGGGCCATCAGCTCCCCAACAGGTGGCTGAATGGAGACGTAGAACTGTCGGGTCTGGGTGCTGGGAGGGGTGGGAGGAAACGGAGAAGAATTAAGGCTGTCATCTCTCCCCTCACTTCCCACCCTGTGTAGAGGCACAGCTTGGAGGCAGTGAAAGAGTGAGGTCAGGAATGAGGGCCTGAGATGGCTTCCAGACCCACCCAATCATGATGTATCCCCACTAAGCACCACCTCCATTTCCAGTTCATTGTTACCCTGTCCCTTTCCAGCCCATCCTCTCACCCCCACCTCGAGTTGGGCACATACCACAGCTGGAAGTTGGCTGCCTGGGTTGAGTCACAGAAATTAATGCCCATTACAGCAGTGGCAGATTCTCCAGGTGCCAGGGACTCTGAAGTGGTATAAGGCAGTGAAGGGGAGAGGGAGGGCCACCATCACCTGATAGGTCTAGAACCCAGCCTAGCCCTACTCTCCTCTCCACTGTCACAGCTGACCAGCCCTCTACAGAATCTTGGCTTTCTTGGCTGCTGGAGACTGTTCCCGGTTTCCTCCTGAACTCTAAGCACCCTTTCCCCCACTCACCCTCACCACATTTAAGTTAGTCCTGAAACAACCAAGGCCCAAATCTGCTGCTGCAAGCACCTCCCGCCCTGATGTGAACTTGCTTATTTCATCATCTGTCTTGTCCACCAGAGTGTTGATCATGTTAGATGCTATCTCTGTGCCCCTATAGCTTGGCCCCTGGCCTGGCACAAGGAGGGTATCAGCAACCACAGAAAGACTGACTCTGCCCAGGAGCCTCCTCCTCCACCCCATCCAAAGCCCTTCGCACCAATTTCGGGAAATTCTTGGATGCTGATGCCAGCAGGCAGTTTGGGAGTGCCCACATGCAGGCCCTTGATGGGGGTATCAGAGCTGTTGGAGAAGTGGATGTGCACGGACACCATGTGGGGATCCCCGGAGAAAGGTTGGCGGCTGAAGGTGTAGTCCACAGCCAGCCCCTCGCCAGCTACCCGGTGCAGCAGCTCCTGCCGCCCAACACCCGATACTGGACTCAGAAGCTAGAGTGGAGGGGTAGGGAAGGACAGAACTGAGCAAGATGGAGAGAGCCTGTCCCAGCATTGTCCCCTAGGGCCATCCAGCAGCTGGGACTCAAAGCTATCACATCCTCCATCACACCCACCCCCCACACACATCCACACCATAGGATGCAGCACAGGGATGTGTCCCTGCCCCAGCCCGGTCCCCTCCTCCATCCCACTCACCGACGGTACCAGGGTGGAGTCTGTGAGTGTCAGGCCCTCCAGGTCAGCAGCCAGACTGGTAGACACAATTGCTGGGGGAGACACAGGCTGGACACTGGGAGGGGTGACTGTGGGAGTAGATAAGACTATGAGGAGGCAAAGTGGAGGTGGCTTGGGTTGAGCAGGGAGCCTAGGGATCAAGGAGCACGCATTTCAGCACCATGGACAGCGGGGCACATGGCTGCCTGGAGGCTCTCGCAAAATACCCATTCCTAGACCTCAACCCCAGACCTGGGGAGGTCAGCCCTGCTGCCCTCTCAGGCCTGAAGATATGTTCTGTCTGCTCCCCTGCTCCCACAAGACCTGAGGAACCCGATCCAGAGTCCCTATGGGCTGTTCTAATTCATGCTCCCCAGGCCTCCTTTCCCCTGTGACTTTTACCACCCAAACTCACAATCCTCTAGATCAAGCAGGGAGATCTCCTTGGTTGCAGGAGCACTTTTGCTGCTGGGAGGCTGAAAGAGAAAAATGGGATGTGGGTGTGGGGAAGGGGAGCACCTTGGCATGTTCTGGGTTGGGTAGAAGATGTCATGTTCTGTTCTGGATGGTAGGGAGATAGATGTCTGGGCCTGGCCCAGAGGTTGGGGAGGGCCCTGGCCCATGAGCACACCCTGACTCTGCCCCAAGGCTCTCACTGTTTTCCTGCTCCAGGAGGCAGGTTCTAACTGCTCCTCCTCGGACTCCGATGTCATCTCGGACTCTGATGAGCTACTGCTGGAATCGCTGCCCTCATCAGAGGATGACGCTTCTCCTTTTCTCTCTGGCACCTTCTTCTTTGTCTTCCTCTTACCATCCTCCTCACTCTGTTCACTGAAGGAGTGGGAAAGGTTGGCTCAGGCCTGGCCTGGACACTCCCTCCTTGCTTCACAGAAGCAGGAGAAATGCTGAAAAGCTGGAGTGGTGTGGGGAGCCTGAGCCAGGAGGGTTCACACCTGAGGTCCTATAGCAGGGACCCCGTGAGAGCTTGAAGCCAGCTTGTGCCAGCTCAGGCTCTAGGACTCTGGTTGCTTCTCCACACCAGCCCATGAGGCCTCAGAGATCTCCTGCAGCCAGCGAAAGTAGGCGTCATGTGAGCTGACAGCCCCACCCAGCTCACGAGGGGCTCAGGGGCTCTTAGGAGACTGGCTAAAGCTCAATGCTAGCCCTCTTTCCAGGAAAGCCCCCTGAACCCCACCAGCCATCTGGCTAGCTCCCTTCTCACCTCTCACTGCCTCTCCCTTTCTCCTCATCCTCATCCTGGTCTTCATTGTCGGACTCACTGCTGGACTCCCCAGAGCCGCTCTCACTGCTGCTCTTACTGTCCGATTCACTCTCAGACTCAGGGTCTGTGGAGGAACAATATGAGGCCTCCTCCCTCATATGCAGGCCTCCTTGGGTCTGGAGCAGACACCTGGGTTCCACCTTCACATTCAGTACTGAACCCTCAAACCTCTCTGACCTGCCCCCAGCCCTACATGCCAGCTGGAACTGACAGAAACACAGATGGACTCCATGGATAGAAACCTGCACAAGCACACACACCTGGAACATGAATCCCTCAGGTGCACAAACAATTCACAAGCAGGTGCACACCCCTAGACACACAACCATATACATATACCCCTCATATAGTCAGTCACACAGATGCATGGGCAGAGCACAGAGGACCCCAGCTCTGCCATCTGCTCACCACTGTCTGCGGACTCCGTGGGGCCTGACTCCCCCTCAGAGTCCGAGTAGAAGGGTTTTTCCTTCTCCTTTCTCTTCTCCCGATTTGAGCACTTGGTCCATTCAGGTACCTGGAGATGGGGGTAGGGTGCAGGGTCATTTCATCATGGTTGGGGAGAAGGCAGGCAGGCACAAGCCCTTACCCTTTATTCCACCTCTTTGTGAGGCCCTACCTGGTCTGTCCCACAAAGGGAATAACAGAGGAGGAAGAAAGGGGCACTGTCCATGGAGGGGAGGGAATGCTGCTCACAGAGGAGCACTGCCAAACCAAGGTGGAAACAGAGTATGGGAAGGCCCAGGAGCACAACACACAGGGGAAGAAGAGGGACACAGACAGGGCAGGGGAGAGAGCACACGTCACACGAAGGTGGGACCTCAGTGTATTCGCCCAACAGGCCCACGTGAGTCTCAATAAGGGAGAGATCTTCTTCCTGTGTGTGTGGGGGAGGGTGTTAGGAGGGCTGGGCCGGCACTGCCAGGGCTCCCTACTGTCTGCCCCCACCAACACACACACACACACACACACACACACACACACACACACACACACACACACACACACTTCAACCCTCCACCCCGCTGACCTCCACGTTGCGCACAGATGGGTCTGGGGCTTCCTCCGGCCAGTCTGGGAGCTCCTGGTAGCCTGTGGCCTTGGCATTAAGCAGGTGGGACAGTGAGCCCAGCTGGAAGTGGTCCCGGTCTAGGGATAGGTTTAGAGGTCAGGCAGGTAGCAGCAGTGAGGGAAAGCTCTGGGAGCTGTTTTCCAGGTGGGGCTGGGTGGTGATTCTGGTTGGGACTTCCCAGGTGGGTAGGGGAAGGAGATGGATGTGTGCCCTAATGGCTCTTCCACCCTGACTGCACCTTTAGGCCCACATGCTGGAAGAAAAGGCTGTCTGGCCAGGCCAGAGCAGGGACTGAGGGCCAGGGAAAGGCAGCCTACAGAGGTGGGCAGGAGGAGACTCTGGGCCCACAGATGCTGCCGACCTGTCTGCTCAGCATGCACGTCTAGTCAGGCTCTGGACTCAGCAGGGAGGGATGAACAGTCAGAGCATGAGTGTGTAGAAGTCTGGATCAGAGTTGAGGCACTGCTGGAGGAGGGCAGCACAGGCCTGTGAGTGAGGATGGTGTCGGGGAGAAAGGGACTGTTGCCTTCTTCCTGGGAGAATTTCAAAGCTGTGCCCACCCTCAGAATCTCCCCATTCGTGAGGTCCAGGGAAGAGAAAAAGAACGAAAAGATACCCAGAAGAACTGAGCTTTGTGAAGGAGGCTCTCTTCTGTGTAGGTTCCTGGCTTCCACTCCTGGGGCCCGGAGAAGCAGCGGGAGGACCCTTCCCTCCCAGGCCCATCTCAAGGCCGTTGTCTTGGGAAAAGAGGCCTTAAGGGCCAAGCCCAGGAACAGAGGCAAGGCTGAAGCCCTGGGGCCTGGGATTTGGACTGACTGTAGTGACTAAGCTCACAGAATGCAGGCAACTGCTTTCTCAGGACCTTTATAAAAATATACACCTCTCCTTTGTGTGTTGTTTTGCTTTCTGCCTTCCTGGGTCCTTGGTATTTAAGATCTTGGTATGTATTCCAAAGCCTAGTGTCTGCTCAGGGAGGGAGATGGAAAAGGGAGCCTGAGAGGAGAGGAGGCACAAGTCCATCCTGGCCAGGAAGGCAGACCCTCAGGTGAGATGATGCTGGCAGTGGTTATGGGAGGGTGAAAGAGTAATTCCTGGTGCCACAGGAGGGACAAAAGGAGTGAGCCAGGGAGCAGGACTGTCCACAGAAGCCTGGTGCCTGGCTAGGGGCCTCAGGAAGGTCTGGGGCAGAGACTCTGGCCAGTTCCTTTCCATTCCCCTAGGAAGGTTACCCTTGATTTCAGCTCCCACCTTTGAAGGATGACTCCAAGACTGGAGCTGGTTTGGGTGCCAGGAAGAGCTTCTTGGCATGGCGGCTGAGGGCCCCACCCTGCTCGGAAGGGACGATGAGCTGCCGGGTGAAGCGCGCCCGGTCGCGAATATCATAGTTCTGGTCATATTTGGCCAGACTCAGCACATACTGGGTCAGCAGCTTGGTCTGGAGGAACAGGAAGAGGTGGGTCAGCTGACGGGGGGATGGGGACACAGGAGGCTCAGAAACAGATTCTTTAAGCCGACACTTTCAGGCAGAACGTCTCCTCTCCCTGCTTAGGACCGGCGCTTCCACCCAGCTGTCCCTCCCCACCTGCCCTTGTTCTGGGCTCAGAATTTTCTCTCATCTCTCTGGACATGCCTCCTGATGATCCCAACTTTGACAACTGCCTTGGGCCAACAAAAGAGGTTTTCCTTTTGGACTTTCCCCACTCCTGGCTCTGGACTCCATTCTTCCCTAGATTTGTGGTCCCTACCACTCCAGGCCTGTCCAGCCTCTTTACTCTAGGGCAGCAGGGTATGTGGAAGTATGGAATGCTCTGCTGGACCTCACAGTTTCCAGGCTCCACCACCCAGGGGGAATTAGACAACAAAAAGACAGGGCAGATAAACAGGGGTCCCTTTGGCAGGGGCCACCCTCATGCCCTATCCACCCATTTAGTAGATTCTGAGCAGCCCAGGGGTCTCAGAGGTCTTTATCCTTCCCTGGAAGCTTCTAATGACATCAGGGCAAACTGCAGCTGCCCATGCATTTGCCAAGGTCATGTAGGGTTCACAGTCTGCAGTCAGGGAAGCTACAACTGCAGACCTAAAATATCTCCATTTCTGCCATGATCTTGGCCTAATCTAACCTGCCTTAACATGGCAACAGCGGTAGCAGCCATCACTTATCAAGTGCCTTCTGGCACCAACTCTGTGCTAGGTGCTCCACACTAGCTCATCTAATCTCCCCAAGCCTTCTGAGAAGTAGGCATTATTGCCCCCATTTTACAGAAAAGAAGCAGGATCATTAAGGGGCTTTTCCCAGGCCAAGGAGCCCATCAGTACTGCACCTAGGCCTGCATCTGCTGGAGCTGCACCCCATCTGCTTCCCTTCACTGCCTACCTGCTGACATAAGGAGCCTGCCCTGGCCCAGGTCTCCATGTTTCCATCACTTGTGACCAAGATCAAAACCACCAAGTGGTCAACAAGCAGAATGCCCAAGGGCATCAGGGGCCGGCAGGAGGGAGCCTGGAACTGACTCTGTTCTTCCTGAGGTTTATGGTGACATACTGTTACGTGTAGCCTTGGACATGGTTAACCCAGCTAATCTGGCAGGGACATCAAGCAGATGTCCATAAGGGGCAAAGCCCCTCAGATGCTGACCCAGAGTCTGAGCAGCTGCTTTGGCAGAATTGCCCCACACCACTCTAGAGAGCCACTATGATTCCACATTCCTACCTCCAATCTGGCCCACAGGCCCTCTTCAGCTCAGTCCCTTCCAGCAAAGCAGCACCTGCGATACTGTTATAGTCACAGATAAGCAATCCCAATCCCATGCACCGCTAATAGAATAGACTTAAAAATATGAAAATAAGATGCCATCACAACAGATTTCATCACCAACCTGCCCCTCTCTTGGCCAGACACCATCTAAATGGCCAGGGCTAGTGGATGCCCTTACCAACATAGTCAATTATCAAGAGGCTGCTGATCCCTCTTTTGGTTTGGACAATGTCTTCCTCCACAGATTTCCCAGCTGGCTGATCACAGACTCCCTCCTTCAAGTCCTTGCCTAGTTCTAGAAAGAACTGTTTGGTATTTGGATCCATCTGTCCACAGCCTTAACTGCATGTTAACAACCAACACAGGAAGGGGCTGGCCCACCACCTCAACACTGCAGGATTTGCCTATAATAATTCATTACCCTTCTCCACCCCAAGGGGCCATTCCCTGTGGATTGTGGCATCCTGTGTGCACCACCAAGACCCCCACCTCATCTAGCCAGGATGTGCAGGAATTACAGGCTGTTCAAGAAGGCCTCTGAGATACACTCCAGTGTGCCAAGAACAGAACAAGGCTCCCCCTCACCAACAGGCTCCAGTTGTCAGAGAGGAATTTTAAGCAGGAAACACTGACTTCCTTTCCATAACCTATGCCAACATACATGCTACCTTGCAGATGCCTGCTAATCATGCTTAGAAAACTGGCTGTTAAAAAAAATTGAAATATATCCTCAATTCACACATTACACATGAGTAAGTTTAAGCTCTAGATGGATGTGGCAGACAGATTCTAAGGTCTTCCCCACCAGTAGCTGCCTCCTGGTGTTCATGCCTTTGTGCAATCCCTCACCTTGGGTATGGGCAAAACCTGAGACTTGCTTCTAACCAACAGGATATGGCAAAGGTGGTATATGACTATATATGATCCTATGATTATGTTTTATTAAGAAGACTCTGTATTGGAAGTTCTATCTAGAGCAATCAGACAGGAGAAAGAAATAAAGGGTATCCAAATTGGAAAAGAATTCAAATTATCCTTGTTTGCAGATGATATGATCTTATATTTAAAAAATCTTAAGGATTCCACCAAAAAACTATTAGAACTAATAAATTCAGTAAAGTCGCAGGATACAAAATCCACATAAAAATCAGTAGCATTGGCCAGGTGCGGTGGCTGATGCCTGTAATCCCAGCACTTTGGGAGGCCGAGGCAGGCAGATCGTGAGATCAAGAGATTGAGACCATCGTGGCCAACATGATGAAATCCTGTCTCTACTAAAAATACAAAAATTAGCTGGATGTGGTGATGCACACCTGTAGTCCGAGCTACTCAGGAGGCTGAGGCAGGAGAACCGCTTGAACCCGGGAGGTGAAGGTTGCAGTGAGCCAAGATGGCGCCACTGCACTCCAGCCTGGTGACAGAGCAAGACTCCGTTTCAAAAAAAAAAAAAATCAGTAGCATTGTCCAGGCACAGTGGCTCACACCTGTAATCCTAGCAAGCACTTTGGGAGGCCGAGGCAGGCAGAATACCTGAGGTCAGGAGTTCGAGACCAGTCTGACCAACATGGAGAAACCCTGTCTCTACTAAAAATACAAAATTAGCTGGGCATGGTGGTGCATGCCTGTAATCCCAGCTACTCGGGAGGCTGAGGCAGGAGAATTGCTTGAACCCGGGAGGCAGAGGTTGTGGTGAGTGGAGATCGCGTCACTGCAGTCCAGAGCCTGGGCAACAGAGTGAGAACTCCATCTCAAAAAAAAAAAAAAAAAAAAACCCATTGCACTCCAGCCTGGGCAACAAGAGCAAAACTCCGTCTCCAAAAAAAAAAAAAAAAAAAAAAATCAGTGGCTTTTTTTTTTTTGGCGGGGGGGGACGAAGATGAAGTCTCGCTCTTGTCCCCTAGGCTGGAGTGCAGTGGCGCGATCTTGGCTCACTGCAACCTCCGCCTCCCGGGTTCAAGCAATTCTCCTGCCTCAGCCTCCCAAGTAGCTGGGATTACAGGCACCCGCCACCACGCTCAGCTAATTTTTGTATTTTTAGTAGAGACAGGGTTTCGCCATGCTGGCCAGGCTGCTCTTGAACTCCTGACTTCAGGTGATCCACCAGCCTCGGCCTCCCAAGATGCTGGGATTACAGGCATGAGCCACCACGCCTGGCCGTGAATTCATTTTTGACAAAGGTATCAAGAACATACATTAGGGAAAGGAGAGTCTCTTCAATAAATGGCGCTGGGAAAACGGGATATCCACATGCAGAACAATAAAACCAGACCCCTATCTCTCACCATATGCAAAAATCAAATCATAGTGGATTAAAAACTTAAATCTAACACTTCAAACTATGAAACTAATAAAAGAAAACATTAGAGAAATTCTCCAGGACATTGTACTGGGCAAAGATTTCTTGAGTGATACCCCACAAGCACGGGCAACCAAAGCAAAAGTAGACAAATGGGATCACATCAAGTTACAAAGGTTCTGCACAGCAAAGGAATCAACAAAGAGACAAGCCACAGAATAGGAGGAAAAAATTTGCAAACTACCCATCTGACAAGGGATTAATAACCAGAATACGTAAGGAGATCAAATAACTCAATAGGAAAAAAAAATTCAATAATCCAATTTAAAAATGGGCAAAAGAGCTGAATAGACATTTCTCAAAAGAAGACATACAGATAGCAAACACGTATATGAAAAGGTGATCAACATCATTGAGCATCAGAGAAATGCAAATCAAAACTACAATGAAAGGCCAGGCACGGGTGGCTCATGCCTGTAATCCCAGTACTTTGGGAGGCTGAGGCAGGCGGATCACCTGAGATCAGGAGTTGAGACCAGCCTGACCAACACAGCGAAACCCCATCTTTACTAAAAGTACAGAAATTAACGGGGCGTGGTGACGCACGCCTGTAGTCCCAGCTACTCAGGAGGCTGAGGCAGGAGAATCACTTGAACCACAGAGGCAGAGGTTGCAGTGAGCCAAGATCGCACCACTGCACACTCCAGCCTGGGTGACAGAGCAAGACTCCGTCTCAAAAAACAAAACAAAACAAAAAAAGATATATCATCTCACCCCAAGTAGGCTTATATCCAAAAGATAGGCAATAACAAATGCTGACAAGAACATGGAGAAAAGGCAACCCTTGTACACTGTTAGTGGAAATGTCTGGAGAACAGTTTGGAGGTTCCTTAAAAAACTAAACATAGGCCGGGCACGGTGGCTCACACCTGTAATCCCAGCACTTTGGGAGGCCGAGGTGGGTGGATCGCGAGGTCAAGAGATCAAGACCATCCTGGCCAACATGGTGAAACCCTGTCTCTACTAAAAATACAAAAAATTAGCTAGGCGTGGTGGCAGGCACCTGTAATCTCAGCTACTTGGGAGGCTGAGGCAGAAGAAGAATCACTTGCACCCAGGAGGCAGAGGTTGCAGTGAGGCAAGATCACGCCATTGCACTCCAGCCTGGGAAAAAAGAGTGAAACACCATCTCAAAAAAAAACACTACAAATAGGCCAGGTGCAGTGGCTCACGCCTGTAATCCCAGCACTTTGGGAGGCCGAGTCGGGCAGATCACTTGCGGCCAGGAGTTCAAGACCAGCCTGGCCAACATGGTGAAACCCCATCTCTACTAAAAATATGAAAATTAGCCAGACTTGGTGGCGGGCGCCTGTAATCCCAGCTACTCAGGAGGCTGAGGCAGGAGAATCGTTTGAACCTGGGAGGCGGAGGTTGCAGTGAGCTGAGATCATGCCATTGCACTCCAGCCTGGGTGACAGTGCAAGACTCCATCTCAAACAAACAAACAAAAACTAAAAATAGTGCTACCATATGATCCAGCAATCCCAATGCTATGTATATACCCAAAAGTAAGGAAATCAACATATTGAAGTTATATCTGCACACCTACGTTTATTGCAGCACTGTTCACCATAGCCAAGATTTGAAAGCAACTTAAGTGTCTATCAACAGACAAATAGATAAAGAAAATACGGTACATATGCACAATGCAGTACTATAAAAAAAGAATAAAAAAGAATGAGATCCTGTCATTTGCAACAACATGGATAGAACTAGAGGTCATTATTTTAAGTGAAATAAGCCAAGCACAGAAAAACAAACTTCACATGTTCTCACTTATTTGTGAGGGCTAAAAATTAAAAGAATTGAGCTCATGGAGTTGGAGAGTAGAATAATGGTTACCAGAGGCTGAGAAGGGTAGTGGGTGGGGGAAGTGGGGATAGTTAATGGGTACAAAATTATAGTTAGATAGAATGTGTAAGATCTAGTATTTGACAGCACAACAGGGTGACTACAGTCAACAATAATTTATTATACATTTATAAATAACTAAGAGAGTGTAATTTGATTGTTTGTAACACAAAAGATAAATGCTTGAGAGGATGGATACCCCATTCCCTGATGTGATTGTTATGCATTATATGCCTGTATCAAAATATCTCACATACCCCATAAATATATACACCTACTATGTACCCATAAAAATTAAAAAATAAAAAGAAGACGGTCTTGCTAGCAGACTGGCTCTAGAGACTTTCTCCCTTGTGGCTTTGGAGAAATTAAGCATCCGTGTTGGGAGGCCCCTATGGCAATGAGCTAAGGACGGCCTCTAGAAGGCAAGGGCAGCCCCCAGCTGACAGCCAGCAAGAAGCCAGGGCCACAATCCTACAACTGCAAGGAAGTGGATCGTGGCACCATGTGACTTGGAAGTGGACCTTTCCCCAGTACAGCCTCCAGATAAAAACTCAGCCTTGGCTGACACCTCAGTTGTAGCCTTGCATAAGATCCAACTAAGCCATACCTGAATTCTCGACCCATAGACACTGAGAAAATAAACGTGTGTTGTTTGAAGCCACCAAATTTATAGTAATTTATTATGTAGCAGAAAACTAATACAATTGATTTAAAAATGTGAAAGTAGAAAAAAATTTGGAGGAAATTCTTTTTAATTTTTATTTATTTTTGAGATGGATCTTGCTCTGTGGCCCAGGCTGGAGTGTGGTGGTACCATCTCAGCTCACTGTAACCTCCACCTCCTGGGTTCAAGCAATTCTCCTGCCACAGCCTCCCAAGTAGCTGAGATTTCAGCGCACCACCACACCCAGCTAATTTTTTTGTACTTTTAGTAGAGACAGGGTTTTGCCATGTTGGTCAGGCTGGTCTTGAATTCATGACCTCAAATGACCCACCCACCTTGGGCTCCCAAAGTGCTGGGATTACAGGTGTGAGCCACTGAACCCAGCCTGGAGAAAATTCTAAGTGAAAAGTTTAATTGAAATGTGAATGGGGAAAAAAAAGTATTAAATATGAAAGCATTGAAAAGAAGCAGAAAAGTTTAAAATATTGGACAATAGACAAAAGTACAACTTCTGAATGACTATATATAGGAATAAAAAATAAGGAAATATATAATTAATGGTGGTCTTCTAAATGGTGGACTTATTAATAGTTTAAACTTATAATTTTCTGAGTTTTCCAAATGTTCTATGATAAGCATGTATTACCTTTAGCATATTAAAAAAAGTTTACGTTTTTAAAAGCAATTCTGCAAAATTTGTCAGAATCTTCTATTCACTGTAAAGGCGGTCACATGGGAGGGTTGTAGATCCCACTGTGCCCCTGGCAGACCCTCCTGCCACACATCTCACCTGACACATAAAAGCAAACTAACCTGCTAGGCAGTTTCCCCAGGGTCTATATCCAGGTGGATGTAATAGCCACTTTGATTACCAACCCCCCCATCCCCCGCCACCTGCATGTTATGCCTTTGTGGCCTCTGGTCTAGTATCTGATTATCTGCTGATCAATAGCAGGGCAGAGGCCTCATCTTGGTCATTTCCTTGGCCTCATCCTGGGCCAGGATCTGGCATGCCGTGGGCCCATGTCCAAATTGGAGAGAATGACTGAGATTACTGTGGCCTTTTAGCTGGGCAGATTGCCACTCATGGTCCCAGGATGGGAAGCATCACTACTGTTTTGCAAGCATGGTCATGTGCGCATCCAAACCACCTCCCTCCTAGTACCCCAAGGACTCCCCCTTCTTTACCACTCCCAGAAGAGGCTGGGAAGAAAGGAGAAAGAAAGGGAGGACAAAAATCTTTATTGAATCAAATAACCATTCTAAGGGGCCTGCAAAAACTCACTTGCAGGTGAAGGGCGCCCTGGAGGTGAGTGTCCATTTGCCTGAACAGCCTACTCTGGGTTCCCTGACAGGGGTCATTCCTAGGGGAGGGTTCAGCTGTATATACCCACAGCTCGCTGTGCCAACCCTGATGACAGCTGTTACTGCTGTGTTTAAAATGTTTATTTTTGTCCTGTTTCTCCTACTTGGCTGTGAGTATCTGGAGACCTGTAAATGTGTCTCACTCATTGTCATATCCTCAGGACGCAGCACAGTACCAGGCAAATAGTAGGCCTACATGTTAAATAAATGAACAAATGCACATGTAGCTCACAGTAACAACTTGGGGGAAATGACATGTGGACAGGCCCAGGCTTATGAAAACATGCCAACCTCACCATCCTGGGGTTTAGGACTCTGGCTCAGTGCTGAGCATGTCAGACTCCCACCTACATATATGTTAAATAAATGAACAAATGCACATGTAGCTCACAGTGACAACTTGGGGGAAATGACATGTGGACAGGCCCAGGCTTATGAAAACATGCCAACCTCACCATCCTGGGGTTTAGGACTCTGGCTCATTGCTGAGCATGTCAAGACTCCCACCTACCTGGGTGGCTCCCCACCCAGGCTGCTTCATCTTTTCAAACATTCCTCCCACTTGCTCCTTCCTCCCACCTGAACAAAGGAAGTATACAAATATTTTTTCAACGATTGAACGCTTCCCCATGGTGCTCTTTCTCCCTCTAACTTCTCTCTCTCCCCCTCTAACTTCTCTCTCTCCAATCTGCTTTGCCCACAACACTGATAACAAGCTCAGGGTCACATGGTCCAGTGTCTCTCCTCCTTCCACCTGAAGACCTAAGGTTTGGAAGTTACTTTTGATAAGGCTAGCATATTTAATTATACAGACTCAGTTGCCTCCACATGTTGCTGCTGTCCTTTGACTCCTGATTACAGTCACAGCACTTGGTGGCCCTGCCTACCTCACCTTGAGCCTCTGGGGCTCACTCTGGCCACAATGGATCAAAGAAGCCACTGAAAAAGATAAGTGCCACCATCCAAAGACTCCCACGCACAGTGGACATGGCAGGGATGCTACAGTCTCCAGGGGATATCCCTGCTATAAATCTGTAGACCCCAGCCACCTAGCCAGAGGTTTTGCTTCAAGGATTGGCAGAGTCTTTTTATAAAAGGGCCAGAGAATAACTATTCTAGGCTTTGTGGGCAATACAGTCTGTTGCAACTAGTTAACCCTGCTGTTGTAGCACAAAAGCAGCCATAGGTAATTTGTAAATGAATGAGCAGGGCTGTGTTCCAACAAAACTTTATTACAAAAACAGGAATAGGCCAAATTCAGCCTATGGGCAGTAGTTTGCCAATCCCTGTCCTGCTTAACTGAGTGGGAGAGTGTGGAAATCGTCATGGTGTTTGATGTCCCTGACACCTTGAAAAGCTCAGCACATTATGCTTCATTTTAGGAGAATCTCCTGGAACCATCTCAGGAGATGCCAGACAGCTAGGAGGCTCTGAACACCCTGATACTACAACTTAGTTGAGCCTCATCCTTGGCTGTGTATCTCTTATAACCTTTCACCTTGGGAATGACAGTGGCCACCAGCACCACCCAAGCCCAAGCAGAGACTCACCCCCTTATCTTTGGCACAGACTGGCCAAGCATTGTCAAGCTTTGGAAAGAAGCACAGACCACATCTGGGATGCATGTTCTCCCATCAGTACCTGCCACTGTTGGGCCCTTCCCTTATCCCAATCAACTGTGGTTCTTCACAGCCCCAGAGTTCCAAGGTGGCAGACAGGACTCTTGTACTAGCAGACTGGAGGTCACAGCTTCATAGGAGAGTCTCTTCAACAGTGACCACCAGCACTACAAGGTCTTTGTGGGCACTGGGGTAGCATTGGTTATGTGGGCAGACCAGCCACCTTCCCTGATTCTTCTTTTCCAAAATAGGAGCTAGAGTTCAGCCCTGCCTAGGGAGGGCCAAAAGAATACTGTCTAGGGAGTTTCTGGGGACCAGAGTATCTGGGGGGTCATCTCTTAATCTTTACCTGTTTAGAGTTGGTCAGGTAGAGCTTGGCTGCCAGGTTGATGACCTGCAGCTTGACAATATCCTCCTCTGCTGTGAATGACTTGGCCATTTTTCTTAAGACATCAGGTGCAATCCTGGGGACATGCTCACAGTACTCTCCGATGAGCCACAGGATGCTGGCTCGGGCCATGGGCACCTGTGGTTGTGGGAGAGGAGTGAAGATGGGTAAATACGGGAAAGTGGGTGGGTAGGATTGTGGACTTCCAGGGAAACAGCACTCCTCATCTGTGCTGGCCTGTTGTATTATGGGTTCTCTGGAAATGGGAGTTGGGGGTGGTGAGATAGAGAGAGGTTAAAAGGTAGACATTTCCTAGACAGCATTTCCCCTCTTCCCTAGGGCTTCATTAGCATAGAGCTTTCAAGACCCTAAGTCAGTCATGATGTAAAAGATTGATTTTCTGGATTCATTGTACCCTCAGTACTTTATTTCCATGTTACTCTCCAGAATCTTTGGGAATGCCTTGTTTAGATGTTTCAGCTTAGCAGTGCGATAGAAAAACACAAGATTTGTCACTCAACCATGGTTGGCTAGAGCTTTAGAGAGAAAACAAGAGTAGTAGTAAAGTCCATCGTGCTCATTGAGGGTCTCCAAAGGGAAAGCAAATCAGGGGTAACAAGGTCAGGGTCACATGGTCCAGTGTCTCTGCTCCTTCCACCTGAAGACCTAAGGTTTGGAAGTTACTTTTGATAAGGCTAGCATATGTAATTATACAGTCTTGAAATCATGGGGAGGACCTTGAAGTGGGGAGTGAAAATATGGCTTCTCCCTCACCTGGATGTTGTCTGTAAGCTTTGCCAAGTGTTTGATGATCTCTCCATGTTGTGCTGGCTGCATCTGTAGCAATTTCTTAATGACGACCACTGACTCTGCAACCACAAGCTCTACAGAACAAAAATGAGTGTGTGGACCCCAAGACAGTCAGATGGCCACACTCAGGTGGACAGACACACCTGCAGTGCCCCAGGCCCTTGGCTCTTTCTCTCAACCCCCTTCAGTTCTCTAGCAGCCCTCAGAGGTGTAGGAACACTTGGGCCCTGATCAAGACAGACAGACCAATGGATACACATTGTGTCTAGGCAGACTGGTGGATATCCAGTGGCCAGCAGAGTCAGACCTGCAGGCAGACACCCTCTGATCATCACGGTTAGACACTCAGGGAAACACTGACCATCACGGTTGGACAGCAGCTGCACCAGGCCATTGAGGCAGGTGTCACGGACTCGGCCGATGTTAGTTGCACAGCGTCCAATGGCCTGGATTGTGGCTGCCACAAAGTCCTTGTCCATGCTGCGAATATAGGTCTGTGGGATATGACAAAGAAATCCCTCAGTGACTCTGCAGGCTTGAGGGTGACCTTCAAGAAGGCTGTGGCCTTTCATTTTATGGCTTATCATGCCGGTGACTAAGACTTGGGAAAGGGGGTGACAACTCCACCCCCAATCCAGTGATTCCTTGGCCCAAAGCCAGCCAAACACATTGGAACGGGAATGTAAGATAATAGTTTCTCCAGCCTTGGGCTCATAAGAGGAGGTTTACCCACCAGGGCACAAGGATCTGATGGGCCCCTCTCCCAGGCCCTTCTGGCTGGGAGCTGGCCTGTACCTGGAATTCCCGTAGGACAGTAGGAATGTTGGTCTCATTGGCCAGGTTGGTCAGCACTTCCAGCTGCAGGGAGGGTTGGAGAGGCAGAAAATGGGTGGGTTGGCCAGTGGACTTTCTGTGCTTTCATTCCAAATACACTTCATAGACCAGAAAACAATCCTCATGACAGCCCTGCATCATCCTCACACTGATGAGGGAATTGACAGGTTATGAAACTTGTCTAAAAAGCAAGAGGACCAGTTTGCCTCTTAAGTGGATTCCCTACACAGTATGCTTACAGTATGACCATGTCACCTCCCTACTGCATTGAAAACTTAAAGCTTCCTATTGCTTTCAGGATGGAGACCATCGTATTCACCATGGTCTGTAAGTCCCTGAATGATCTGCTTGCTGTCTACCTCCCATCTCCCATCACTGTCCCCCTTGTCTTCCAGGCCCCAATCCCACTCCACTTCCTAACCCAGGGTCTTCGCAGATGCTGTTTCCTCTGCGTGGAGCAGTTCTTCCCATTTCTGTCCCTGCATAATTCATGTTCATCTCTCAGGCTTCAGCTCAAGTCTCATATCCTCCGGGAAAACTTCCCTGGCACCAGACTAGATGAGGTCTCCCTATTTTATGCCCTTATAGCTCTCCACACTTTCTTCCATATTTTGTAAGTGGACTTTTACATTTGCCTTGTGATTAACTGCTTAATGTCTCCTCCTCCCCACATCTGTAAGCTCCACAAAGGCAGGGTCCCTGATTAGTTTGCTCATCATGTACCCCTAGAACATAGTGGATGTTCACAAGGGTTAGGAAGATTAACTGTTGCTGAAGGAAATCACTCAATAATGAGGCAGCAGAGCAGGAATCAAATGGAGGTATGGGCTCCCGCCACTTTCCTTGTCCGTGAATGTTTGCAGGAGAGCCTGAGGGGGCAGGTGTGTGGGGGCCATAACACTGTGGGTGGGAGAGAAAAGTGTGAACCTTGGAGTCAGCAGAATTATGTGACCTGGGGCAGTTACCTCCCAGAGTCTTTTTTTCTTTTTCTTAGATTGAGATGGAGTTTCGCTCTTGTCACCCAGGCTGGAGTGCAATGGCACAATCTCAGCTCACTGCAACCTCTGTCTCCCAGGTTCAGGCAATTCTCTAGCCTCAGCCTCTCGAGTAGCTGGGATTACAGGCACCTGCCACCACGCCTGGCTAATTTTTGTATTTTTCGTTGAGACGAGGTTTTGCTATGTTGGCCAGGCTGGTCTTGAACTCCTGACCTCAGGCGATCTGCCTGTCTCGGCCTCCCAAAGTGCTGGGATTAGGCGTGAGCCACTGTGCCTGGCCAGAGTCTATATTTTTATAAAAGGAATATAATGTACACATCCTGGGATTATTATGAGGTGATATCAGGTTACTTCATTTATGAAGAGTAGCAGGTGTATACCAGGTACTAGGCAAAGAGCAGTTCCCTTCTCCCCCTGACCCTCCTTAGCCCAGCTCCCTGAACAAACAGCTCCAGCTGGGGCAGTCATGGGCTCCTGGGCTCAGCCCCAGGAATAGGCAGGCACCAGGGGGGCCACTGTGAGTTATTTGAGTGGGTACATGGGGTGGGGAGGGCTGGGAAGCACATGCACTTCTGTCCCTCACTCACCTTCAGGATCTTAATCTGGGTGGGGTCGGTGGACCTGATGTAGAAGCTCTTCAGGTAGGGCTCAAACATACCCTGGCACAAGAGAGGCAGCTAGGGAGCTCCACCGAAGCCCCAGGCCTGCCTCGCTGCCCAGAGACACCCCTCCTATCCTGACCCAGCGCCCAGGATCCTTGCCTCCTCACCACTGCCCTCCACTCCTCAAGTCTTCCCTCGTCCATCTCAGATCTGACTAGCTCTTTTTCCACTGGACATCCCCTCAGCGGCCCCTCAGGATCCAGGCCCTGCTCCCTATCTGTATTTGGAGCCTCCCCTGCCCCATCCTCTGCACAGCCAGGGTATTCCTCCATCTTCCCTTTCCCCGGCCCCGGTCCCAGCCCCGACAACGCCTCCAGTGCCCGCAGAAGCGGCCCTCGGACAGCGAGGACAGCCCGCCGTCGCAGGCTCACCCGGCGCTTGATGGACATGGTGGCCACGTTCTGGAGCACAACGTACTGCACCTCACTGCGGAGAGGACGGGTCAGAGCACCCCGGGCCCCTCGGTTGGGGCAAGGGTCAGCGGATGAGGGGAAAAGGTGGGGCAAGTCGTTGCGGGGAGAGGACCAGTGCGGAGGGCAGGACTACGGTCAGTGTGGAGCGGGTGGGCAGAGGTGGAAGCGGCTGGTGGGCGTGAGGGGGCGGAGCCGGGCAGCCCGTGGGGCGGGGCAGGAGGCGAGGGAGGGGGCGGGGCTGGGGGCGGAGCGCACCTGTGGCTGCGCAGCAGGCGCACCAGCGCCTTGGCGATGACGCCCACTTCCGCCTTGGGCGCCAGGTGGAAGTAGAGCTGCGCCACCGCCATCACCACCGCGGCGCTGCGGCTCTGCAGCAGGGGTTTGGTGTTGCGCAGCAGCAGCCGGTGGTCGGGGTCCATGACATAGGGCTTTCGGGAGGGGGCGGCCGCGGCGGCCGTCTCCTCAGACCCCGCGCCCTTGGCCTCGTCCTCCTCTGAGCCGTAGAAGGCTTTTTCCGCGTTCTCCTCTAGTAGGGATTCCTGGACGGGGAGACCGACGGGTCTGTGGGCGCCTCCCCGGGACACACTTCGGCCCGCTCTGCCTGGGCTGGGCCCACTTACGTTCTGGGTGGGGCTCAGGAACTGCGTGCGGGCGTAGCGGGTGAGCATGCTGATGATGACCACCTGGCCCCACTCCTCCACGTCGATCAGCAGGTTACAGAGTTTCCGGTAGTTTTTGTGAATCAGGTCGATGCGCTCCGGGCAGACCTCCTCAAAGGCCATCACCACACTGCCCGCCACCAGCTGGGGAAAGAACAAAGACGAGAGGGTGAACGCGAAGGGTGGAAGGCCGGCTGCCGGTCACCACCCCTCCCGGAGCGCCCCTATACACGCACCGTGGTCTTGTCAGCCAGAAGCTTCTCAATGACTTCTATCAGCTGATCCTTCTGGTCAGAGTCCAAACTGAGGGAGAAATCGGTGAGGGGAATTTGCCACTCTCAGCCCCAGCCTTCCCAATATCTGTCCAAGCCATGCTCACCTCCTGCACCCCAGCCTTATTGTTCTCCTCCATCTCTGTCAGTCCCCCAAACTACCCTCCTCAAACCCTCTGAGAAGCAGCAGGCAAGACTTAGGAAAGGCCAGGGGTGGGTTGAGAACTTAGGAACCAGCCTCCTGGGGAGCGTGGGACAGGGCTGGGGCATACCTGTAGAGTTTAGGGATGGCGTGGGCAGCTGTTTTCCGCACATAGGGTGACATGTCCGAGGCGGCTTCCTTGATAGCTAGCATCATGATGGGCACTATGATGGGCACACGGATGCTAGAGAGGACACGGAGGGCACTGGCACGAATCAGCTGGTTGGGATCCTAAAGGCAGAGGTGGAGGCAGAGCTATGAAAGGGCACCAGGTGCCCTGATGGGGGGAGGCCACACCTTTGGAAGTCACTGTCCCCAGCGACCACTAGCTCTTGCTTCCCTGCCGCTTGACTGGAGCCTGGATGGTGTGCCAGTGATGGGTATCTGGGGGACACTTAATTTTGGCTCTGGTTGCAGAAATCTGACACCTGAACAGGTGTTGCAATGGGTAGCTTCACTTCCAGAAACACTGAAAAACTTTCAGAACACCTAAAATTGCTGAAACACCTGAAACACTTCCTGTTCCTTGTAAGGGTTTTTTTGGAGGTGCCTGTTTTAATGCCTGAGGTGACCGCCCAGCAGATGCAAGCTGGTCTCCCTTCCGGAGTTCAACCTTACACTCCTTTCTCCCAGAAATCATTGCAAAAGCTGCTGTTCTTCCACAGTGTTTAAAACAAAATAGGGGTGTAGGCCCTTCCTTTTTTTTTTTTTTTTTTTTTTTGAGATGGAGTCTCGCTCTGTCGCCAGGCTGGAGTGCGGTGGTGCAATCTCGGCTCACTGCAACCTCCACCTCCTGGGTTCAAGCGATTCTCCTGCCTCAGCCTCCCAAGTAGCTGGGACTACAGGCGCGCACCACCACACCCAGCTAATTTTTTGTATTTTTAGTAGAGATTAGGTTTCGCCGTGTTGGCCAGGCTGGTCTCGAACTCCTGGCCGCAAGTGATCCGCCCACCTCGGCCTCCCAAAGTACTGGGATTACAGACGTGAGCCACCACGCCCGGCCCCAAGCCCTTCTTCTTTATTCCTACTGCATCCTATACAGAACGTATAAAAGCATTCCTTACACTGTATTGTGATCATGGGGCTTAGGACTGTCTTCCCACTATCAGCAGCAGCAGCTATATATTACAGGCATACCTCGGAGATATTGTGGGTTTGATTCTAGACCTCAACAATAAAGCAAATATCGCACTAAAACGAGTCACATAAATTTTTTGTTTCCTGGTGCATACAAGTTATGCTTATAGTTACAGCTGCTTGGGAAGCTGAAGTGGGAGAATCACTTGAGCCCAGGGAGTTGGAGGCTGAAGTGAGCTACATATGTTCATGCCACTGCACTCCAGACTGAGCAACAGAGTGAGATCCTATCTCCAAAAAAAAAAAAAAAGTTATGTTTACAATATACTGTAGTCTACTAAGCATGCAATAGCATTATGTCTTTAAAAAAACAATGTAGGCTGGGCGTGATGGCTTGTGCCTGTAATCCCAACACTTTGGGAGGCTGAGGTAGGAGGATTGCTTGAGCCTAGGAGTTCAAGACCAGCCTGGGCAACATAGGGAGACCCCAGTCTCTACAAAAAAAAAAAAAATTGAAGTCAGTCCTCTTAAACTCTGCCTCTGCTTTATCAACTAAGTTTATGTAATATTCTAAATCCTTTGTTGTCATTTCAACAATGTTCACAGCATCTGCACCAGGAGTTTTTTTTTTTTTTTTTTTTTTTTTTTTTGTAACGGAGTCTCGCTCTGTCGCCCAGGCTGGAATGCAGTGGCGAGATCTCGGGTCACTGCAAGCTCCACCTCCCAGGTTCACGCCATTCTCCTGCCTCAGCCTCCCGAGTAGCTGGGACTACAGGTGCCCGCCACCATGCCTGGCTAATTTTTCTGTTTTTAGTAGAGACGGGGTTTCACTGTGTTAGCCAGGATGGTCTCGATCTCCTGACCTCGTGATCCACCCACCTCGGCCACCCAAAATGCTGGGATTACAGGCGTGAGCCACTGCACCCGGCAGATTCCATTTTAAGAAAGGACTTTCTTTGTTCACTCATAAGAAGCAAGTCCTCATCCATTCAAGTTTTATCATGAGATTGCAGCAATTCAGTCACATCTTCAGGCTCCACTTTTAATTCTACTTCTACTTCTAGGTAGAATTCCACCACATATGTAGTTACTTCCTCCACTGAAGTAGTGAACCCCTCAAAGTCATCCATGGAGTTTAGAATCAACTTCTTCCAAACTCCTGTTAATGTTAATATTTTGACCTCCTCCCATGAATCATGAATGTTCCTAATGGCATCTATAATGGTAAACCTTTCCAGAAGGTTTCTATAAACCTTTCCAGAAGGTTTTCAATTTACTTTGTCCAGATCCATGAGAGGAATCACTATCTATGGCAGCTCTAGCCTTACGAGATGTATTTCTTAAATAATAAGACTTAAAAGTCAAAATTACTCATTGATCCATAGGCTGCAGAACTGATTTTGTGTTAGCAGGCATGAAATCATTAATCTCCTTGTACCTCTCCATCAGAGCTCTTGAGTGAACAAATGCATTGTCAATGAGCAGTAATATTATGAAAGGAATCTTTAAGCGGTAGGTATCAACAGTGGGCTTAAAAAATTCAGTAAACCATAACTGCAAACAGATGTGCTGTCATGGCACTGTTGTTCCATTTATAGAGCACAGGCAGAGGAGATCTGCCATAATTCTTAAGGACCCCAGGATTTTCAGAATGGTCATTGAGCACTGGCCTCAACTTAAAGTCACTAGCTGCATTGGCCCCTAACAAGAGCCAGCCTGTTTTTTAAAGCCAGGCATTGACTTCTCTCTAGGTAGGAAAGTGCTAGATGGCATCTTCTTCCAGTAAGAGGCTGTTTCATTTACATTGAGCATCTCTTGTTGAACATAGTCACATCTATCAATGATCTTAGCTAGATCTTCTGGACAACTTGCTGCAGCTTCTCCATCAGCACTTTTGCTTCACCTTGCATTTTTTTGTTATGGAGATGGCTTCTGTACTTAAACTTCATGAACCAACCTCCACTAGCTTCCGTCTTTTCTTCTGTAGCTTCCTCACCTCTCTCAGCCATCATAGAATTGGAGAGATTTAAGACCTGCCTATGAATTAGGCTTTGGCTTAAGGGAATGTGGTAGCTGGTTTGATCGTCTATCCAGACCACTTAAATTTTCCTATATCAGCAATAATCCTGTCTTGCTTTCTTTATCATTCATGTGTTTACTGGAGAAGCACCTCAAACTTCTGGGTTCAAGTGATCCTCCCACCTCAGCCTCCCAAGTAGCTAAGACTACAGGTGCGTACCACCACATCAGGCTAACTTAAAAAAATTTTTTATAGAGACGGTCTTGAACCCCTGGTCTCAAGTGATCCTCCTGCCTCGGCCTCCCAAAGTGCTGGGATTACAGGTGTGAGCCACCACGCCCAGCCTGGAGTAGCACTTTTAATTTCCTTCAAGAACTTTTACTTTGCATTCACAACTTGGCTAAATGTTTGGAGCAAGTGGCCTAGCTTTCAGCCTATCACAGCTTTTAACATACCTTCCTCACTAAGCCTAACCATTTCTAGCTTTTGATTTAAAGTGAGAGATGTGTGGTTCCTCCTTTCACTTGAACACTTAGAGGCCATTGTAGGGTTATTAATTGATCTAATTTCAATATTGTTGTGTCTCAGGGAATGAAGAGGCCCAAGGTGAAGGAGATGGGGGAACAGTCAGAACACACACAACATTTATTGATTAATTTCACTTTCATGTCTGAGCATGGTTTGTGGCACCCCAAAACAATTACAATAGTAACATCAAAGATCACTGATCACCATAACATATAATAATCATTAAAAAGTTTGGAATATTGTGAGAATTACCAGAATGTGACAGAGGCACAATGTGAGCACATACTGTTGGAAAAATGGCACTGATAGACTTGATTGATGTAGGGTTGCCACAAACCCTCAATTTGTAAAAAGTGCAATATCTGGCAATATCTGCAAAGTGCAATACAATGAGGTGTGCCTGTACTATTACTCTTAGAGAATGACGGGAATAGAACACTAAAGAAGGGTAGATATTACCCTGACTTTCTGAAATGGAAAAAGACAAGACAAGATCCTCACAATTGCAGGTAAAATTGATGCTAATTCCTGACAAAATTCTGGAATTGACTTTTAAACAGATGGGTTAGAAACATTTATTGAAAAGGAAGGAGTCTCTGTTTTCTTAGAGACAAATAGTCACATCATCTGCTTAAACCTGTTTTCCTTTTTTGTGTGTGAGCATTTTATTTGGGAAATGATTATAGATTCACAGAAAGTTATCAAAAAAAATGTGTTTTCCTTTTTGATGGGGTAACTAGGCCGGTGGATATTAGTATCTTGATTTCAGTGATATGTTTGTGGAAGTCTCATAGCATTTCCTGCATTGCTATTTTTTAGGTAGGCCTTTTGTTTCACCTAATAGCCAAGCATTTTTAAGAGCAGAATTCACATCTGTTTTATCTCTGTGTCACCCACAACCCTTTGCACATGAAAGGTGTTATTTATTTATTTATTTATTGCTATTGAATAAGATCCTTCCTAACAAGATAGAAAAATGCCAGCTGTCTGTACAGTCAGGTGGGTCTACAACGTGGTGAAATATACTTGGAGAAGGTTTATTAACAGATCAGTGTCAACCTGGAAACATGCTATGCCTCAGTCTTTTGCCCTGGTCCAAATAGCTTATCAGTATCTTGAAAGAAGACACAAAATCAGGAGGGACATAATTAAGATTCAGAATCACCCTGGTTTGGACCCTGTGCTAAACTGATAAAATGAAATAGAGTAGGGTTTCATAGGGGGTTCAAGGGACCAACTGTACAAAGACAGGATGTAGGGAGACCTGGATTATCTGCTTGCCAGTCAGAGGTTTGATTCCATGAGGGATCTCCTAAGAAAGTGAACACGGCCCTAGCCTGGGCTAGGATTGAAAGAAGGGAGAAGGCTGGATTGAAATGATTGGTTCCAACATGCAGGAGAGACCAAAAGCCAGTGACAACAAAAAAGAAAACAAGTTTTAAAGGAATACATATGTAGTACGATGACACCATTTACAAAACATTTTATATTGCTTAACAATATGCAAATTACTAGCACAGGAATAAATACATACCTATGAATGATAAACAAGAGAAGATATATAGGAGGCTTTGGCTATTTGAGAAATGTGTCATTTCTTATGGATATTCATTATATTATTCTTTATGCCTTTTGTGAACCTGTAGTAAATTTTATTTTATTTTTTAGATACAGGGTCTCCCTATGTTGCCCAGGCTGGAGTACAGTGGCTATTCACAGGTGCAGTCATAATGCAGTACAGCCTGAAATCAATTTTTTTTTTTTTTGAGATGGATCTCACACTGTCGCCTGGGCTGGACTGCAGTGGCACGTTCTCGGCTCATTGCAACCTCTGCCTCCCGGGTTCAAGCCATTCTCCTGCGTCAGCCTCCTGAGTAGCTGGGATTATGGGCACCCGCCACCATGCCAAGCTAATTTTTTGTATTTTTAGTAGAGATGGAGTTTCACCATGTTGGCCAGGCTGGTCTTGAACTCCTGACCTTGTGATTTGCCTGCTTCGGCCTCCCAAAGTGCTGGGATTACAGGCATGAGCCACCACACCCAGCCTGAAATCAATTTTTAAAAATTATAGTTGTGGAGGTTTCAACAAAAGAGAATGGTTTAAAAAACACCCCAAATAGTGGTAGTTGTCTTGAGATGGAGCAAGTTGCCTTATGAAGGAGTGAGGTCCCTATCAGAAAAGATGACCTGTTAGACATGTTCTAGAGCAAAGGCTGGCATGCTACAGCCCTTGGATAAAATCTGTCTATTGCCTGTTTTTTATATAGATTTATTGGAACACGGCCACGCCCACTTGTCAATGGCTGCATTTGCACCATAAGGGCAAAATTGAGTAGTTGCATAGTTGAGACTATAAGGCCTACAAAACCTAAAATACTATTTGGCACTTTGCAGAAAGAAATTATCACATTGAGTTGAACTAAATGAGCTCTGGTTTTCTAAAAGGGGGACAGGGTCAGTTGGTAGAGACTATAGGTGAAAATCTGTACAACAATTTCAGATTAGTTTTTATACTTAACCCTTACTCAAACCAAAAGATTACTTGCCAATCTAAGACGGATTCCATGGTTTTGACTTATAAAAAGAAATCTAGCACAATGTGTGGCATAGAGACACCCAAGTATTTACTAAATGAATGAATTGTATATTCAAGTGACCATGCTTTCTACTCTCACCCCAAAGAAGCCGACTGTCAACCCCTCTTGCTGGCCATAGCAGATTGGACAAGGGGTGGGCCCTGGATTTGAGCAGCAATCCTGTCTACCCAGCAACCTACAGAACTTCTGGATATGAAAAGATGAGCTGGACCTTTCACAATCTCTCTCACAGAAATTTGAACTAAAAGTATCCAGGCTAGGAGTATTAGCTCATCCCTGTAATCCCAGCACTTTGGGAAGCTGAGGCCACTTGAGCCCAGGAGTCCAAGACCAGCATAGGCAACAGGGTGAAACCCCATCTCTACAAAAACTACAAAAAAATTAGCCGAGCATGGTGATGCAGGCTGAGTAGTCGCAGCTACTCAGGAGACAGAGGTGGGAGAATCACCTGAGCTCAGGGAAGTCGAGGCTCCAGTGAGCCATGATTGCACCACTGCACTCCAGCCTGGGCAACACAGTGAGAACCTGTCTCATAAATAAATAAATAAATAAAGGTATGCAAAAATAGAGGAGTTAATGGTTGTAATCAGAGCTGAAAAATCCAATATGGAGAGAATGGCCTTGAAATGGCTGTCTTTACCCTCAAGATGTCTTAGACTAACCAGAAAAGCCCTTAGGGGGGAGACTTATACATGCACCTAACATATGTAAATCCAACTAGAGGCCTTGGGCAAAATGAAACAAAAGGTGAGAATGGTGTGGGGGATTCAGGCCACTGCTAAAGGTTGAAATCTACCTGGCTGTGGACCACAATTCACACCTTTACACAAAGGGGGGTGAGGGTTGAGGGGTTCTCCATTGCTAGAGACTCTCCACTCTCCGGGGGCTCAAGTGGTTCATACTAGAAGCAGCCATTACCACAGGCTCCTGGGAAGAGAGACAGGGGCCCTGGGTACCCACTTCATCTCTTACGCCCCTTCTGAGCCCAGCTTCCACTCTCTGAGGGTCTGGCTGGCCTCTTCTGACTGTGACCCTCCCAATTTTAGGCAGGTAGGAAGGGGTCTGCAGAGCCCGCTCCCATGCTCATGGCCTCTCCCCAGGCCTACTCCTCCGATACAGCGCCAACGAGGCCCAGGCCCTGGGAGGCAAACTGAGACCCCTGACCTTTAGGCCACGTTGGAAGGTGGAGATGGACAGCAGGGCCAGGTCTTGCTGCTCCTCAGCGTAGCGTACCAGGTACACATAGACAAGCTTCTTCACCTTGGGGAGAGCACGTTTCTCAGCAGAACGCTTCTCAGCAGGCACCTGTGCCCACCCCCCTACCCCTGGGATGTCATCTCCCCAGCCAGCTGCGGTCCATGGGGACAAACTCTCCCAGTGGGGGAGAGCACCCCTGAGTGTATCCGGGTCCTTTACCTTGATCCACATCCAGTTCAGGGACATGGAGACAGTGTCTTCTCCTGGCTCAGAGACATTTCTCAGCAGGTCGGGCCCCCAGGGGCTAAATCATTTCCTTCCTCACCCCAAGCTTGAGTGTGGTCCTGGGGGAGGTGGGGACAAGCAATCCCTCACCAGGTAGTGCTCACCTCTATGTTCTTACAGGCCACGTTCTTCACCACCGCGGGAAACAGGTCTGAAGCATTCTTTCCTCGGGCAATCATCTGGGTGGTGGGGTCAAGGTAGGGGAAGAGGGACAAAGCGAGAGGCACAGCACTAACTAGAGGGAAGGTCTACAAGGAGCTAAGGAGAGCTGCTCTTGGCCACCCAGGCCCCGCCCGGAGGGAGGCCTCCTCCTTCCCCTCTTACCGCCACAATCCTCTTCATGGCCTCCAGCTTGAGAGAATCCTTGTTGGTGTCCAGCATCTCCTTCAGGTCATCATGCCTGGTGGGAGGTACAAGAAGTCAGCTGAGGGCACAAGGGTGGGGATGGGGTATTAATCAGGAGGGTCCAGGCACAAAGAAGGGACATGGCCAGGGGAGGCTCAGGCAGGACCTGACCCGAGGAGGGACCAGAGCCAGGGGGAACAAGTAAAGTACAGATCAGGGGAAACATGTGGCCAGCTAATATTGTGGGTTGAACTGTGTCCTTCCTAAAAAGGATATATTTAAGTCTTAACCCCTAGTACCTCAGAATGTAACCTTATTTGGAAATAGAGTTGTTGCAGATGTAATTAGTTAAATGCAATCCTACTCTAATAGAGTGGGTCTCTAATCCCATGTCTGGTTTCCCATAAGAAGACAGCCATGTGGGCTGGGTGTGGCGGCTCACGCCTGTAATCCCAGCACTTTGGGAAGCTGAGACGGGAGGATCACTTGAGCCCTGGAGTTCGAGACCAGCCTGGCAACATGGTGAAACAATGTGTCTACAAAAAATAGATTAAATTGAAATTAAAAAAACACAAAAAACAAAAGACAGCCACTTAAAGAGACAGACACAGGGAGACTACCATGTGAAGGCAGACGATTGGAAAGATGCGTCTACAAGCCAGGGAATGCCAGAGACTGCCAGCAAACAACCAGAAGCTAGAAGGGGCAAAGAAGGATTTCCCTATGGGTTTCAGAGGGAGCATGGTCCTGCCGACACCTTGAGTTCAGACTTTTGGCCTCCAGAGCTGTGAGACAATTCATTTCTGCTGTTCCAACCAACCCAATTGTTGTACTTTTTTTTTTCAATTACTAAACTTTTTTTTTTTAATTATACTTTTAAGTTCTAGGGTACATGTGCACAACGTGCAGCTTTGTTACATATGTATACATGTGCCATGTTGGTGTGCTGCACCCATTAATTCGTCATTTACATTAGGTATTCCTCCTAATGCTATCCCTCCCTCCTCCCCCAACGCCACAACAGGCCCCAGTGTGTGATGTTCCCCACCCCGTGTTCAAGTGTTCTCATTGTTCAATTCCCACCTATGAGTGAGAACCTGCAGTGTTTGGTTTTCTGTCCTTGCAGTAGTTTGCTCAGAATGATGGTTTCCAGCTTCATCCATGTCCCTACAAAGGACACGAACTCATCCTTTTTTATGGTTGCATAGTATTCCATGGTGTATATGTGCCACATTTTCTTCTTCTTTTTTTTTTTTTTTTTTTTTTTTTTTGTGAGATGGAGTCTCGCTCTGTCGCCCAGGCTGGAGTGCAGTGGCGCAATCTCGGCTCACTGCAAGCTCCACCTCCTGGGTTCATGCCATTCTCCTGCCTCAGCCTACCGAGTAGCTGGGACTACAGGTACCCGCCACCACCACGCCCAGCTAATTGTTTGTATTTTTAGTAGAGACGGGGTTTCACCGTGTTAGCCAGGATGGTCTCGATCTCCTGACCTCGTGATCTACCCGTCTTGGCCTCCCAAAGTGCTGGGATTACAGGCATGAGCCACGCTGGGATTACAGGCATGAGCCACCGCACCCAGCCATGCCACATGTTCTTAATCCAGTCTATCACTGATGGACATTTGGGTTGGTTCCAAGTCTTTGCTATTGTGAACAGTGCTGCAATAAACATACGTGTGCATGTGTCTTTATAGTAGAATGATTTACAATCCTTTGGGTATATACCCAATAACGGGATCACTGGGTCAAATGGTATTTCTAGTTCTAGATCCTTGAGGAATCGCCACACTGTCTTCCACAATGGGTGAACTAGTTTACACTCCCACCAACAGTGTAAAAATGTTTCTATTTCTCCACATCCTCTCCAGCACCTGTTGTTTCCTGACTTTTAATGATTGCCATTCTAACTGGTGTGAGATGGTACCTCATTGTGGTTTTGATTTGCATTTCTCTGATGGCCAGTGATGATGAGCATTTTTCTTAAACGTTTAAAACATATTTTTAAGCAGAATGGGCCAACTCAGTCACAGTAACTGTTGATCTCCATAGCAGAGCAACCCACAAAGACGGAACTGATTTTTTACCCATATTCAGGAGTGAAAAATATACAACTTGTTTCTGAACCAAAACCACAATTTCTGCAGTTTAAAATGTTTCACTGCTAATATGGCCCTGGTAGAAAGTATGTAGTTTTTTTTTCTTCTTTAAAAAAAAAAAATTAAAATAATTTCCTAAGACGCTAAATCCTCAATCTGGAATGCAGATTCTGAGCACAAAGCAGCTCAGTTAACCTAAAAAATAAAGAAAAAATTCCCATCACCTGTCTCAGTAGGGCCTGAAAGGAGAGAAGTGGTGTGGGGAACCCCGGCTTTAGTATGGAGAGTCACGGCCCCTTGACCCAAACCGAGACTGTGAGTAGCCATAGCTGGTGCTTCTCTCAGGATAAACTCAGATGTAGGAAGTTTCACTATCATGAGAGTGGAATTTAGTGTCATCCAATTTATGCAGGGCATATTCCATGTCTTCTTTTCTGAGATACTCAACCATCCCCACACCGTCCTTCTGCACATCGGCATAACAGACATCCCCAACTTCTCGCATGTGATCCTTCAGGTCCTGCCAGCTGCCTGAGGAAGTCCTGAAACAAGAACTCGGAAATCAGATCTTCTTGCAGAAGGCCCATTCCTCCCACCACGGGGCCACCCACCCCGACTTCGTAAGTCCTGGAGAACTCCACACGAAGCCGACACTGGCCATAATCATAACTATTTCTTCCATAAATAGCATCCTCTGCATCTCGGGGGTCCTCAAAGCGCACCAAGGCGAAGGGCACAAGGCAGTGCCCATTCTTAAGCTTGATCTTGCGGATCCGGCCGTACTTGTAGAAAAGGTCTTCCACGTCCTTCTCGCGCACGTTGGAAGGCTCACCACGCAGATGCGCTCATCCGCCCAGCCCAACATCGGCACCTCCCAACGCCCCCTCCCCGCAATCCCCCCGCAGCGTCCCCGCGGGCTCTGAGGCGCTCAGCCGCACTGCACTGTGGGAACGAGAAGCAATTGTGGTACTTTTGATACAGGAGTGTAGGAAATGAATGTAGCCAGAAACAGAGAGCCAGGAAACAAGAGGAAGGGTTTGGGGTGGGAAAGTATGGACCTGGCTCAGGGAAAAGGACTAGTTGGATGGATAAGAAGGACCAGCGGAAAAGAGGTAGATGCCAAAACAAGAGCAGGGTGCCCTTGCCCTGCCTCCAGTATGTTTCCAAGTCCTGACCTCTCAGACCAAACTGATTCCAGGGACTGGAAGGGTCCCAGAGACTCCATAGATGGCCTCACAACAAAAGCCAGACCTGTCACTGAACATTGAACAGCCATTCAAGGAAGTCATTAAACTCTAGTGGGATGAATAAAGATTTGAGTAAGTGATCCCTTGCACTTGGCTGAGAGGAATAAGGGTAATGCTGAGCCAATACACAGGTTTCTTTTTTTTTTTAGATCTCATACTTCATTTCAAAAATTTGAAATTTCAAAGGGAACATTTTGTCAAACTTAAGTGACAGCAAAATTCATCTGGAAAAAAAAAATCAGTAGGTAAGAACTCCAAAGAATATTTTTGGGAAAAGAAGGAAACAATCATAGACAACTCACCCTATTGGACTTCAAAACATAAACACCACGAGACGATGATAAAAGCTGTTTGGTACCAGGTTAAAAACAGAAGGTCAAAGGTCATGGGGGGAATTTCATAAAAGGTCTAACTTGATAAATTACGAACCAATAAGAATCTCCCCCCGCCCCCACCCCCCCGCCCCCGCCCCACTTAAATAAATGCTATTGGGACAACTGCTTTGCAGCACTTTTTTTTTTTTTAGATGGAATTTTGCTCTCATTGCCCAGGCTGGAGTGCAATGGCACGATCTCGGGTCACTGAAACCTCTGCCTCCTGGGTTCAAGTGATTCTCCTGCCTCAGCCTCCCAAGTAGCTGGGATTACAGGCATGCACCACCACGCTCGGGTAATTTTTGTATTTTTAGTAGAGACAGGGTTTCACCATGTTGGTCAGGCTGGTCTCAAACTCCTGACCTCAAGTGATCTTCCCGCCTCATCCTCCCAAAGCGCTGAGATTACAGGTGTGAGCCACCACACCTGGCCAGCAGCAAATAATTTAACTTGTATACATATTTCACCCCAAAATAAATCCCGCATTTGCTTAACAGTTAATTATTTTTAAATACAAAAGAAGGAAGGGAAGATTTTATTAAGGTCATAAAATTATTAGCAGCAACAATATGGCTAGGTTTAATTGGTACGTTTTTGTTTTTTGAGACAGAGTTTCGTTCTTGTTGCCCAGGCTGGAGTGCAATGGTGCCATCTCAGCTCACTGCAACCTCCACCTCCTGGGTTCAAGCAATTCTCCTGCCTCAGCCTCCAGAATAGCTGGGATTACAGGCATGCGCCACCATGCCCAGCTAATTTTTGTATTTTTAGTAGAGATGAGGTTTCTCCATGTTGGTCAGGCTGGTCTCAAACTCCCGACCTCAGTTGATCCGCCCACCTCAGCCTCCCAAAGTGCTGGGATTACAGGTGTGAGCCACTGCGCCCAGGCCTTTTTTTCGTTTTTCTGTTTGAGACGAAGTCTCGCTCTGTTGCCCAGGCTGGAGTGCAGTGGCGCAATCTCGGCTCACTGCAGCCTCAACCTCCTGGGTTCAAGTGATTCTCATGCCTCAGCCTCCTAAATAGCTGAGATTACAGGTGTGCACCACCATGCCTGGCAAATTTTTTGTATTTTTAGTAGAGTTGGGGTTTCGCCATGTTGACCAGGCTGGTCTCAAACTCCTGGACTCAAGTGATTTGCCTCCTTCGGCCTCCCAAAGTGCTGGGATTACAAGTGTGAGCCACTGTGCCAGGCCTAGGTTTAATTTTTAAACTTTGGTATCTAAAAACTAAATTTATGAGAAAAATAAGGCAACTATACTAGCTTCCTAGAACCACCATAACAAAGAACCACAGGCCAGGCATGGTGGCTCACACTTGTAATCCCAGCACTTTGGGAGACTGAGGCAGAAGGATTGCTTGAGCTCAGGAGTTGGGACCAGCCTGGACAACATAGTCAGATCCTGTTTCTACAAAAATAAAAAAAATTAGCCAGGCATGGTGGCACATGCCTGTAGTCACAGCTACTCAGGAGGCTGAAGTGGGAGGATCGCTTGCACCAAGATGTTGGAGGCTGCAGTGAGCTATGATTGTGCTACTGCACTCCAGCCTAGGCAACAGAGCAAGAACCTGTCTCTAAAAAAAAAAAAAAACAAGAAGTACTACAGATGGTGGCTTAAACAACATAAATTTATTTGCTCACAGTTCTGGAGGCTGGAAGGCTGAGATTAAAGTGTCAGCAGGGTTGGTTTCTTCTATAGCCTCTTTCTTTGGCTTGTAGATGATTCTTGTGATATTGTAAAGAAATATATATTTGGTCTCTATACCCCATTTCTGAGACAGAGCTCCTAAAACTCTTGACAATAGGGATGCTAGGAGAACTTCTGTTCTAATATTTGGTCTTCCACCCAGTTCCTCACGCAGAGATCCTAAGACCTTTATAACTTCCTGAGTGAGAGGAACAACTGACATGGAAATCCCTTGGAATTTCCTGGGTGATAGAAGCATCTTTTGTTATCAGATGGTTGGAACTTTTTTTCTTTCTTTCTTTTTTTTTTTTTTTTTTTGACACTGAGTCTTGCTCTGTCGCCCAGGCTGGAGTGGTGCAGTGAGGCAATCTCGGCTCACTGCAGCCTCCACCTTCTGGGTTGAAGCAATTCTCCTGCCTCAGCCTTCCAAATAGCTGGGACTACAGTTGCCCACCACCACACCTGGCAAATTTTTGTATTTTTAATAGAGATGGGTTTCATCATGTTGGTCAGGCTGGTCTCGAACTCCTGACCTCAAGTGATCCACCCGCCTTGGCCTCCAAAAGTGCTGGGATTATAGGCGTGAGCTGCTGTGCCCAGCTGAGGGTTGAAACTTTCAATCCCACTATTTGACCTCTGGGGAATGGGGAGTGGGGCTGATGGTTGAGTTGATCACATGGCCAAAGATGCGATCAATCATGAAGCCTTCATAAAAACCCAAGAGGATAGGGTTTCGAGAGCTTCCAGACTGTGGAACATGTGAAGGTGCCTGGAGGGTGTGGTGCCTGGAGAGGGCATGGGAGCTCTGCACCCCTCCTTCCATACCTCTCCCTATGCATCTCTTCATCTGGTGTTTGTCTCTACCCTTTATAATAAATGGGTAAATATAACTAAAGTTTCCCTGAGTTCTGTGAGCCACTCACAGAGTTGAACCCAAGGAGGGTGGCATGGGAACCCCTGATTTATAGCCAGTTGGTCAGAAGTATAGCTGACAACTTACCACTTGGAATTGGCATCTGAAGCAGAGAGCAGTCTTGTGGCACTGAGCCCTTAACCTAAAAAATCTAACACTAGATTGACTTGAATTAGAGAACACCCAGTTAGTGTCTGCTGGAGAACAGGTTGTTGGTGGGGAGAAATCTCCACCCATTTTTGTGGCCAGAGGTGAAGCACTCTCTGGTGAGCGGTGTGTATGAGAGTAGGAGAAACACACTTTGGGTTTTTCTGTCTCTTACAACCATCTTCTCTGTCTTCACATGGTCTTCCTTCTGCGTGCCTATATCCAAATTTCCTCTTCTTATAAAGAAATCAGTCATATTGGATTAGGGCCCCCCTTAATAACCTCATTTTAACTTAATCACCTCAAAGGTAACATTCTGAGGTACTGGGGGCTAGAACTTCAACATATGCATTTTGGAGGGACACAATTCAGCCCATAATAGCAACAAAAGGAAAAATATTTGGGATATGGTAAATTAAAGTTTAATATTCGAAATAGAGGCCAGGTGTGGTGGCTCACGCTTGTAATTCCAGCACTTTTGGAGGCCAAGGTGGGCAGATCACTTAAGGTCAGGAGTTCGAGATTAGCCTGGCCAACATGGTGAAACCCCATCCCTACTAAAATTACAAAAATTAGCCGGGCATGGTGGCACACACCTGTAATCCCAGCTACTCAGGAGGCTGAGGAACGAGAATCGCTTGAACCCAGGAGGCGGAGATTGCAGTGAGCCGAGATCGCGCCACTGCACTCCAGCCTGGGTGACAGAGTGAGACTCCATCTCAAAAAAATTTAAAAAAGGAACTGATATACATGTATAAGGTCTCTTTGCAGCATTCACTGTCAGGGCTGCTACAAGCCCATTTTCAATCTGCATGCCCCTACAGATAGACACAGCCCTGAGCTGTTGCTCCCCATTCTGTGTGTGGAGCATGGGCTGGTATTCCTTGGCCAGATGCCCTTGTGCAGTGAACAATGTGGCTAACCATACTCAGAGGATGCAGAACTGGTGATCACGAAGTGATCAGAGAATTGTTAATAAACCCATGAAAAAAATGTGTCTATATATAGCTGATAGAATTGTGTGAAACTGATGCACTCATATGTTGCCAAGACAATTCCAAAATGTGGTGAGCAGCTGTGTGTGGGGACTCACACACACTAATTTCCCAGATGACACTCTGATAACCCACAGCTTTGACCCAGGCACAAGAACCCAGCTTGAGAAATATCACAGTGATAAAAATTAAAAATCAGGCCGGGCACGGTGGCTCACGCCTGTAATCCCAGCACTTTGGGAGGCCAAGGCAGGCGGATCACAAGGCCAGGAGATCGAGACCATCCTGGCTAACATGGTGAAACCCCGTCTCTACTAAAAAATTTAAAAAAAATTAGCCGGGTGTGGTGGCGGGCGTCTGTAGTCCTAGCTACTCAGTAGGCTGAGGCAGGAGAATGGCGTGAACCCAGGAGGTGGAGCTTGCAGTGAGCCAAGATCGCGCCACTGCACTCCAGCCTGGGCAACAGAACGAGACTCCATCTCAAAAATAAAAAATAAAAAAAAAATCAATGTGTGCAAAGTTAGTCACAGACATGCAACATTTAGAAATGACAGAAAATCAGAAATTGGGGATAGCACTGTTAGGAGAGGAAAGAGCATGATAACAATCATAAAGTGGCAAATGACTGCTGCTAATGCTGAGAAACAAGTGATGAATGCTGAGAGGAAGAGAAGAACCAGACAGAACACGCAACTTAGTCACAGGGCTGCAGAAATGCGTGAGTACCTGACGTCAGACAAGAAGAGGGGCACTAAGAAGTCACTATCCCAAGAATGTTAGAAACTGTCTTTCCCAAAGAGATTTTTGATGGAAAGCAAAATAGAAAGATGATGCCTTCCAGCATTATCTGAGGCCCTCGCTATCTGTCATGTGAGGACAGAAGAAAATATCCAGCCCCATCATGTTATCTGAAACTCCCTCACCTGGGGGGATGCCCCCCAAATCAGAGGACACCTTCTACTCTTCCAGGGTCAGGCCAGGGCCAGAAGACAATCACCCTCTTACCCTGCCAAACACAGACCAGACTGTTGAGTTTCTTAGTGGGTAGGAGGCTGAGCTCAGGACACCAGGGGCATGGTCATAGGTACAGACCATTGAGCTGGGTAGGCGTGGGCAGCACCGAGGGCCTAGGAAAAATGACAGAGCTGGGCACCAGCTTCCCTGAGATATGAATGCACAACACTCCACGTCAGGATCCTTCATACGCACACCCCACAGACAACTACACATTGATACCACCCACATATACCTCAGACACTCCCATGTCCCCCGACATACCTACACCTCACGGACAGCTCATACAAACATACCTACAGGTCCCGCAGACACTAGTAGAATCCATACATAAACCCACGCACACCCACAAAATCCTGCCTACACAACGCCCAGAGAAACACACTCCCCCACATACAGACACCTCCCACAGAAAAACTCTACACACATAAACCACCCACACAACTCACCTACACACCTACAAACCCCCCAGACATATACCACCAGGAGACCTCTCCCCACTCTCCCACACCCTCTTATAGACACACATATCCCATACATGTCCCCTACAGACATATATCACAAGACCTCTCCCCGCTCCCCCACACCCTCATAGAGACACACACACCCCACACACGTCCCCCTACACACACACACACATGCCGCATCACATCTAATACACAGATAACTTGGACCAAACTTGGCCTCTCCAGTCTCATTCACCAAAATGGTCAGTGGACTCCTAGTTGAGATTTTTGATGATAAATGTAGGCTTCTAAGATCAAATATATCCAGCCCCAAGGGTCCTCTGATCTTCTGAGGAGTCACCCTGGGATGGCTTTTCCCTGGGCTTCCGTGGAAGGAGGGCCAAGTTTGCCCAATCTCCTTTAACTCTGGGTATTCCCTTCCTCACCACACCCACAAATGCCACATGCGCCTGTCAAATGCACACACCCCAGGGCATCCTCCCCACCCAGCCTAGTGAGTACATTCCAGGCCCCTGCAGGAGAAGGGGAATGAAAGGGGGCAGGACCACTGGGCCTAAAGCAGCCAGCACAGGTAAGATTGACTGTCGAATATGCACTGACACAGAATATGCACTGACACAGACCGCAGCCACCACCTGAGGTGAGACCGCCCTGGGCCTCTCGTCCTCACTCCCACCAACTTCTGTTCCCAAGAGGCAGAGGCAGGGACTAAGGCACAACACCCTAAGGCCATGAAACATTATCTCCCATAGTCAGATCCCCTTACGCTGCTGCACTCACTCTGACCTGACCCCTAGTCTGACCTAGCCTAAGGGACTCTTCTGGGGGTGGCTGGAGCCAGCCAGGGGGCCTGGCATGGCACTGGGGGTCAGTCATGCTCACCTCCCTTGATATACACCTCGCTGTCACCTCTTACCACCTAAGTTCCAGTCCACTGGCAGGCAGTGGCTGGCCAAACCCTGTCTGTGCTGTATCCTGTCCCCAAACCTCGTCCAGAGCCCACTCCAGTGGGGGCCTGTGGGGAGAAAGAGGTCAAGGTGGGACCTCAACCCTCAAATATTTTACTATCCTCCTCCCCTCAGAGCCTCCAGGGAGTTAAGCCCCTCATCTCTCCTCACTCATACCCTCAGCCCCCATACGGTGCCCCTGACCACCTTCTCCGCCCAGCCTGGACCCTAAATGCCAGCCTAAGCCTCCATCAGAGGAGGTGGGACCGGAAGAGGTCTGGGCTGAGAGTGCAACTGCCCATCCCTGGCCTTCCTGGCTGTGTGGGTAGGGGGTTCCTGTGGGTTCCTCTATACCGTAGTGGCTGGCTCTGGCTCTGGCTGGCCTCTGGGCAAGGTCCTTCCAGAGATGCTTCTGGGGTCGTGTCTTCCTCCTGGGCCTGCAGCCACCGAAGCTCCTCAGGCTCCAAGGCCTGGTACCGGAGTGGGGGCCCACCTTCGGGAGCCAGCACAGGGCTAGCAGCCTCTTGATCAGCTCCGCAGGCCCCTCTGACCCCAGGCCTCACCACGGCCCCCGGGAGCTGCAGGAATCGCTGCATCAGGTTCTTCTCCAGGAATGGACTGAGCTGGCCAGGGCGCTGGGGCTCCTGTCACAGTCACCAGATGGCCCGCCCCCAAAACTTGGTAACCGGACACTGGCAGGGAGGGATGCTCCGGTTTCCTCTTCACTGCTCAGAGACAAGGCCTCTAGAGGGAAAGAAGGGCAGGGACAGGAGACCAAGCCTACCCCTAGTCTCTGGGCAAGGGACTAGATGGTCAGTGGAGTTGATAGAGAGGTGAGAGATGCCCTCTTCAGCTCCAATCCCACTGCCACAATTAGACTGCAGCCTCCTGAGAAATCTCATATACCCTCTTCTCACTGACCCTAGGCATCTTAATCCTCACCTGCCTTTCCAGAGCCAATACTTGATTTATTCCTTCCCATCAACCTTCTCTTATCTCTACTTCCTCCTAGCACCCTCCCCCGCAACCCCTGTGTCTATCCCTCCAACTGCTCTCACATCCTTGGCCCTCTTGTCCCACTGGTCTCCAATGCCACTGGCCTGCCAGTGGTGGGTGGCTTTTTTTTTTTTTTTTTTCAGATGGAGTTTCACTCTTATTGCCCAGGCTGGAGTGTAATGGCGTGATCTCGGCTCACTGCAACCTCCGTCTCCTGGGTTCAAGCAATTCTCCTGCCTCAGCCTCCCAAGTAGCTGGGATTACAGGCATACACCACCACACCTGGCTAATTTTTGTATTTTTAGTAGAGACGGGGTTTCTCCATGTTGGTCAGGCTGGTCTCAAACTCCCAACCTTAGGTGATATGCCTGCCTCAGCCTCCCAAAGTGCTAGGATTACAGGCGTGAGCCACCGCGCCTGGCCTGGTTGGCTTTCTTCATTGTATTTGAAACCCCTTTGACCCTCAAGTCCCCATTCCCAGCCTTGCCCTTATGGCTTCACCACCTGGTTCCCGAAAAAGGGAAAGTCTTTAGATGAAATCCCCTGCAGCCCCCTGCCCCAGACTCCCATCCATCTGCATTTATTTACTTATTTATTTATTTAGAGATGGAGTCTCACTCCGTTGCCCAGGCTGGAGTGCAGTGGTGCCATCTCGGCTCACTGTAATCTCCACCTCCCGGGTTCATGTGATTCTCCTGCCTCAGCCTCCTGAGTAGCTGGGATTATAGACATGCGTTACCACAACTGGCTAATTTTTGTATTTTTAGTAGAGACGGGGTTTTGACATGTTGGCCAGGTTAGTCTTGAACTCTTGATTTCAAGTGACCTGCCCGCCTCAGCCTCCCAAAGTGCTGGGATTACAGGCATGAGCCACTGTACCCAGTCTCCATCTGCATTTATACTCTCCTCTCCTCCTGCCCTCTTCCCTCTGGGCAGAGTTGGTCCTCCCTGCTCCCAGGCTAGTCCTCCCACCCAGCTCAGTAAGCCTCCCCTCCCATCACTCAGTGTTCTGTACTTCCTTTCTTCCCTTCAGCCTCTCTCCCACCAATCGCTCCTTCCCATCAGCAGTTAAACTTGCTCTAGGCTCTCCCGCCTAATATTAATAATAAACAAAAATATGGAGTCATACATTTTAAGAAACAAAAAAAAAAACCCAAAATAACAAAATAGACAAACTTCCTTGAACTGAGTGAGGTTCTCCTCCAGCAGCTTTCTCTTTTACAGTCAAATTTCTTGAAAGCAAAATTTCCATTCACTGTTTTATCTACTTACCACCTGTGTGCTCCTTTATTCATTTTAATCTGGCTTTAGATGTCGACTTAGAATGTGGGGTTGAAGGGTCATGATCTCTGCAACTTAACATGGTTCAACCAAAAAAAGTATACGAATAGATGGTTAGATAAAGCAAATAAGGTACGATGTCAATGACAGTTGAATCTAGATGGATGATATACATGTGTTCATTGTATTATTCATTTCATTTTTCTGTATGTTTTAAATCATCCACAACAGAATGCTGGGAAAGAAATAATCTAGCTCCTGTTCTCCTTACTTTGCCAGAATTTATCTCCCAGGGCAGGAGGTGGGGAATAGAGTAGAAAGGAATTGAGCTCTTCTTTGTCAACCAATGGTCATGATTTTTTTCCTTGTTTGATTTGACCTTAATGGGCATTGAAACTACTGACCACTCCCTCCTTCTTGAAATTACATTGTTTTCTTTCAGCCTTTAGTTCACCTCTTGGGTACCTTGAAACACTTTCCACTGTTCTCTGGTCACTTCTAATGTTGGTGTCTTCAGGGTTCAGACTTGTGCAGTGTCTGAACTCATTTTATACCTCCTCCCTGAGTTATCTTCACTTCTGTGGCTTTAATTAACATACATATGTTAATAATTCCCTAATCTCTCTCCTGGAACCCAAATCGTAATATCCAGCTACCTAATAGGGTAATATGTCCCTCAGAGTTTACAATCTCAATATGTCCAAAGCTGGGCTCAACATTAATTTTCCACAAATTTGCTTGTAACATCTTTATTTCCAATTACACTGAATAACACCATCATCCATCCAGTTGCAGGAACTAGTAACCTGAGTAACATCCTTGTCAGGCCTCTGAGCCCAAGCTAAACCATCATATCCCCTGTGACCTGCACGTATATATCCAGATGGCCTGAAGTAATTGAAGAATCACAAAAGAAGTGAAAATGGCCTGTTCCTGCCTTAACTGATGACATTACCTTGTGAAATTCCTTCTCCTGGCTCATCCTGGCTCAAAAGCTCCCCCACTGAGCACCTTGTGTCCCCCGCCCCTGCCCACCAAGGAACACCCCCCTTTGACTGTAATTGTCCACTACCTACCCAAATCCTATAAAATGGCCCCACCCCTATCTCCTTTCGTTGACTCTTTTTTCAGACTCAGCCGGCCTGCAACCAGGTGATTAAAAAGCTTTATTGCTCACACAAAGCCTGTTGGGTGGTCTCTTCACATGGACGTGCGTGAAATTTGGTGCCATGACTCGGATCGGGGGACCACCCTTGGAAGATCAATCCCCTGTCCTCCTGCTCTTTGCTTCATGATAAAGATCCACCTAATGACCTCGGGTCCTCAGACCAACCAGCCTGAGGAACATCTCACCAATTTTAAATCAGGTAAGCGGCCTCTTTTTACTCTCTTCTCCAACCTCTCTCACTATCCCTCAACCTCTTTCTCCTTTCAATCTTGGTGCCATCTTTCAATCTCTCCCTTCTCTTAATTTCGGTTCCTTTCCTTTTCTGGTAGAGACAGGAAATGCATTTTATCTGTGAACCCAAAACTCCGGCGCCGATCACGGACTCAGGAAGACAGTCTTCCCTTGGTGTTTAATCACTGCGGGGACGCCTGCTTGATTATTCACCCACGTTTCAGAGTTGTCTGATCACCGCGAGGATGCCTGCCTTGATCTTTCACCCTTAGTGGCAAACACCACTTTTTGGGGGGCAAGTACCCCCCACCCCTTCTCTCCATGTTTCTACCCTCTCTTTTCTCTCCACGTTCCTGGGGGACAAGCACCCCCGACTCCTTCTCTCTGTGTCTCTACCCTCTCTTTTCTCTCCACTTTCCTGGGGGGCAAAGCACCCCCCACCCCTTCTCTCCGTGTCTCTACCCTCTCTTTTCTCTGGGCTTGCCTCCTTCACTGTGGGCAACATTCCACCCTCCATTCCTCCTTCTTCTCTCTTAGCCTGTGTTCTCAAGAACTTAAAACCTCTTCAACTCACACCTGACCTAAAACCTAAATGCCTTATTTTCTTTGCAATGCCGCTTAACCCCAATACAAACTCAACAATGGTTCCAAATAGCCAGAAAACGGCACTTTCGATTTTTCCATCCTACAAGATCTAGATAATTCTTGTTGTAAAATGGGCAAACAGTCTGAGGTGCCTGATGTCCAGGCATTCTTTTACACATCGGTCCCTCCCTAGTCTCTGTTCCCAATGCGACTCATCCCAAATCCTCCTTCTTTCCCTCCCGCCTGTCCCCTCAGTCCCAACCCCAAGCGTCGCTGCGTCTTTTCAATCTTCCAATCTTCCTTTTCTACCGACCCATCTGACCTCTCACCTAATCCCCAGAATGCTCCTCAGGTCACTCCCCACCAGGCTGAATCAGACTCCAATTCTTTCTCAGCTTCTGCTCCTCCACCCTATAATCCTTCTATCACCTCCTCTCCCCACACCCAGTCCGGCTTACAGTTTTGTTCTGCGACTAGCCCTCCCCAACCTGCCCAACAATTTCCTCTTAAAGAGGTGGCTGGAGCTAAAGGCATAGTCAAGGTTAACGCTCCTTTTCCTTTATCCGACCTCTGCCAAATCAGTTAGTATTTAGGCTCTTTTTCATCAAATATAAAAACCCAGCCCAGTTCATGGCTCGTTGGGCAGCAACCCTGAGACGCTTTACAGCCCTAGACCCTAAAAGGTCAAAAGGCAGTCTTATTCTCAATATACATTTTATTACCCAATCCACTCCCAACATTAAATAAAACTCCAAAAATTAAATTCCGGCCCTCAAACCCCATAACAGGACTTAATTAACCTCGCCTTCAAGGTGTACAATAATAGAGTAAAGGCAGCCAAGTAGCAATGTATTTCTGAGTTGTAGTTCCTTGCCTCCACTGTGAGAGAAACCCCAGCCACATCTCCAGTACACAAGAACTTCAAAATGCCTAAGCTGCAGCAGTCAAGCATTCCTACAGGACCTTCTCCATCAGGATCTTGCTTCAAGTGCCAGAAATCTGGCCACTGGGCCAAGGAATGCCCACAGCCCAGGATTCTTCCTAAGCCTTGTCCCATCTGTGTGGAACCCCACTGGAAATCGGACTGTCCAACTCACCTGGCAGCCACTCCCAGAGCCCCTGGAACTCTGGCCCAAGGCTGCCTGACTGACTCCTTCCCAAATCTTCTCGGCTTAGCAGCTGAAGACTGACACTGCCCAATCGCCTTGGAAGCTTCCTGGACCATCACAGATGCTTTGGGTAACTCTTACAGTGGAGGGTAAGTCCGTCCCCTTCTTAATCAATACGGAGGCTACCAACTCCACATTACCTTCTTTTCAAAGGCCTGTTTCCTTTGCCTCCATAACTGTTGTGGGTATTGATGGCCAGGCTTCTAAACCTCTCAAAACTCCCCAACTCTGAGGCCAACTTGGACAATACTCTTTTATGCACTCCTTTTCAGTTATCCCCACCTGCGCAGTTCCCTTATTAGGCCGAGACACTTTAAATTATCTGCTTCCCTGACTATTCCTAGGCTACAGCCACACCTCATTGCCACCTTTTCCCCCAGTTCAAAGCCTCCTTCACATCCTCCCCTTGTATCTCCCCACCTTAATCCTCAAGTATAGGACACCTCTATTCCCTCCTTGGCGACTGATCATGCACCCCTTACCATCCCATTAAAACCTAATCACCCTTACCGTGCTCAATGTCAATATCCCATCCCCCAGCAGGCTTTAAAAGGATTAAAGCCTGTTATCACTCGCCTGTTACAGCATGGCCTTTTAAAGCCTATAAACTCTCCTTACAATTCCCCCATTTTACCTGTTCAAAAACCAGACAAGTCTTACAATTAGTTCAGGATCTGTGCCTTGTCAGCCAAATTGTTTTGCCTATCCACCCCGTGGTGCCAAACTCATATACTCTCCTCCTCAATACCTCCCTCCACAACCCCTCCACAACCCATCATTCTCTTCTGGATTTCAAACATGCTTTCTTTACTATTCATTTGCACCCTTCATCTCAGCCTCTCTTCGCTTTCACTTGGACTGTCCCTGACACCCATCAGGCTCAGCAAACTACCTAGGCTGTACTGCCGCAAGGCTTCACGGACAGCCCCCATTACTTCAGTCAAGCCCAAATTTCTTCCTCATCCATTACCTATCTTGGCATAGTTCTCATGAAAACACACGTGCTCTCCCTGCTGATCATGTCCGGCTAATCTCCCGAACCCCAATCCCTTCTACAAAGCAACAACTCCTTTCCTTTCAAGGGATGGTTAGGTACTTCCACCTTTGGATACCTAGTTTTACCATCCTGACTAAACCATTATATAAACTCACAAAAGCAAACCTAGCTGACCCCACAGATCCTAAATCCTTTTGCCACTCCTTTCCATTCCTTAAAAACAGCCGTAGAAGCTGCTCTCACACTAGGTCTCCCTAATTCATCCCAACCCTTTTTCATCACACACAGCCAAAGTGCAGGGCTGTGCGGTTGGAATTCTTACACAAGAGCTGGGACCACGCCCTGTAGCCTTTCTGTCCGAACAACTTGACCTTACTGTTTTGGCCTAGCCCTCATGTCTGCGTGCAGCGGCTGCCGCTGCTTTAATACTTTCAGAGGCCCTCAAAATCACAAACTATGCTCAACTCACTCTCTACAGTTCTCATAACTTCCAAAATCTATTTTCTTCCTCACACCTGACGCATATACTTTCTGCCCCCCTCCACTACCTCTCAGAAAGCTTAACTCATTGCCTTAACTCGAGCCCTCAGTCTTGCAAAAGGACTATGTGTCAATATTTATACTGACTCTAAATATGCCTTCCATATCCTGTACCTCCATGCTGTTATATGGGCAAAAAGCTTTCCTCATTACACAAGGGTCCTCCATCATTAATTCCTCTTTAATAAAAACTCTTCTCAAGGCCGCTTTACTTCCAAAGGAAGCTGGAGTCATTCACTGCAAGGGCCATCAAAAGGCATCAGATCCCATCGCTCAGGGCAACACTTATGCTGATAAGGTAGCTAAAAAAGCAGCTAGCATTCCAACTTCTGTCCCTCATGGCCAGTTTTTCTCCTTCTCATCAGTCACTCCTACCTACTCCCCCAATGAAACTTACACCTATGAATCTCTTCCCACACAAGGCAAATGGTTCTCAGACCAAGGAAAATATCTCCTTCTAGCCTCACAGGCCCATTCTATTCTTTCGTCATTTCATAACCTCTTCCATGTAGGTTACAAGCCGCTAGCCTGCCTCTTAGAACCTCTCATTTCCTTTCCATTGTGGAAATCTATCCTCAAGGAAATCACTTCTCAGTGTTCCATCTGCTATTCTACTACTCCTCAGGGATTGTTCAGGCCCCCTCCCTTCCCTACACATCAAGCCTGGGGATTTGCCTCTGCCCAGGACTGGCAAATTGACTTTACTCACATGCCCCGAGTCAGGAAACTAAAATACGTCTTGGTCTGGGTAGATACTTTCACTGGATGGGTAGAGGCCTTTCCCACAGGGTCTGAGAAGGCCACTGCGGTCATTTCTTCCCTTCTGTCAGACATAATTCCTCAGTTTGGCCTTCCCGCCTCTATATAGTCCAATAACAGACCAGCCTTTACTGGTCAAATCACCCAAGCAGTTTCTCAGGCTCCTGGTATTCAGTGAAACCTTCATACCCCTTACCATCCTCAATCTTCAGAAAAGGTAGAACGGACTAATGGTCTTTTAAAAACACACCTCACCAAGCTCAGCCACCAACTTAAAAAGGACTGACAATACTTTTACCACTTGCCCTTCTCAGAATTTGGGCCTGTCCTCGGAATGCTGCAGGGTACAGCCCATTCAAGCTCCTGTATAGATGCTCCTTTTTATTAGGCCCCAGTCTCATTCCAGACACCAGACCAACTTGGACTGTGCCCCAGAAAACTTGTCATCCCTACTATCTTCTGACTAGTCATACTCCTATTCACCATACTCAACTACTCATACATGCCCTGCTCTTGTTTACACTGCCGGTTTACACTGTTTCTCCAAACCATTACAGCTGATATCTCCTGGTGCTATCCCCAAACTGCCAGTCTTAACTCCCTCTTAAAGTAAATAAATAATCTTTGCTGGCAGGGCTATGCTGAACCTCCTTGGGCACTCTCTAATTGGATGTCCTGGGTCCTCCCAATTCTTAGTCCTTTAATACCTGTTTTTCTCCTTCTCTTATTCCATTTAGTTTTTCAATTCATACAAAACCGTATCCAGGCCATCACCAATAATCCTATACAACAAATGTTTCTTCTAACAACCCCACAATATCATCCCTTACCACAGAATCTGCCTTCAGCTTAATCTCTCCCACTCTAGGTTCCCACGCCACCCCAATCCCGCTCGAAGCAGCCCTTCAAGGCTATGGAGAAGCAGTATCTCTCCATACCACCCCCCGCCAAAATGTTTGCTGCCCCAACACTTCAACACTATTTTATGTTATTTTTCTTATTAATAAAAGAAGACAGGAATGTCAGGCCTCTGAGCCCAAGCTAAGCCATGATATCCCCTGTGACCTGCACGTATACATCCAGATGGCCTGAAGTAACTGAAGAGTGAAAATGGCCTGTGCCTGCCTTAACTGATGACATTATCTTGTGAAATTCCTTCTCCTGGCTCATCCTGGCTCAAAAGCTCCCCCACTGAGCACCTTGTGTCCCCCCACCGCCAGAGAACAACCCCCTTTGACTGTAATTTTCCACTACCTACCCAAATCCTGTAAAACGGTCCCACCCCATTTCCCTTCGCTGACTCTTTTTTCGGACTCAGCTGGCCTGCACCCAAGTGATTAAAAAGCTTTATTGTTCAAAGCCTGTTTGGTGGTCTCTTCACATGGACGTGCGTGAAAATCCTCATCTTCTCCCCCTGTCCCTCTAAACCCCCACCCAATATCCAATTAATCATCAGGTCTGAGGCTTCCACCTCTTCCACAGCCTCAAATCTTCTGCCTCTCCCCTGGTCTAGGCCACAATCATGCCAGGCCTGTGAACTTCAAGACCCACCTCCCTTGTCTCTTGTTCAATCTGGCCCACCTCCAATCTCTTCTCCACAATGCAGCAGCCTGACGTCCTTCTAAAATATAAATCTGATTATGTCGCCTGCTTAGAATCCTTCAGGAGTCCTCCCCACCCTCTTTTCTGGTCAGTCCAGTGGCTCACACAGATTGTGGCCTGGCTCTCAACCTTCCTGAAAGCCCTTTCCTCTGCCTGGAACATACCTCACGCTCCTGTCTTCCTTCTCTCCGGCGCCAGAGACTAGGTCCTCTCCCTGCTCCCACTGCCCCCATTACACTCGACTGTCCCTGACTGCTTCTTCATCTGTGCTCCCCTCTAGAGCATCGTGAGGACAAGAAGGGTCTCATGTTCACAGTTGTATTCCGTGACTAGTTCAGGACTCGACACAGTTGGCTTTTCATAAATGCTTGTTGCAGAATTTACGAATAAACAAATGAAGAAACAAACGAACGAATCAAAGGTGGGGGAGGGTGTGAAGGTGGAGCTGAACTACAGGGGCAATGCCAGGAGCAGGGATGTGAGGGTCAGATGGAGATGGGGACCAGAGGGAGGGGAAATGAATTTGCAGCAGGGCCAAGCTGGGAGGCTGTGCAAGTACATCCAGGGCCCGCCTTCCTGAAGAGGCCCCAGGCTCAAGCTCAAGTTCGCTGACTCAGACCCCTCCCCCACATTTTTGGGAAGCCAACCCGCCTAGCACGAAAAAGGAAGGGAACCCCTAACGCAACGCCGCAAACCGGAGAAACACCTGGAACCGGAGGGTTTCTCCTCTCGAAACTGAGCTGGCCCATCCCCCGCCAGCCCCTATCTGCCCCCCTCCGCGTCCTAGGCCGGCCCCTGGAGCCGGGGTGCCAGCGCTGCCCGCGCTGGGCCGGGGCTCCAGGCCGCAGGAGGGGGCCGGGCGGGCTTCCGGTCGGCGCGGCCGGGGCGGGGCCGGCGCTGGGGCCGGGCGCTGTCCATGGTGCCCGCGCGCCTCGCCCGGTCCCCGGCCCCAACCCTCCCGCGAGCTTCCTGGCGGGCTCCCTCACCGCTTGTAGTCGGAGGAGAAGATGCCGCCGCTCGCGGGGTCGTGGCCGTACTCGGGCTCCCCGGGGCCAGCGGAGCCGCCCTTGTCTTCGCTGTAGGCGGGGGCGGCCGACATGGGGCGGCCAGGGAGACTTCGCCGAGGAGGAGGTTGCGGGGCCGGAGGCCGGCTGGAGCGGAGGAAGGGAAGGCGGGCCGGTCCGGTCCGGGCTGGCGAAGGCGGCGGCGCGGCAGGGGTTCAGCAGAGGCTGCAGTGTGCAGCGGCGGAGGCTGCGCGCGGATTTCTCAATCAGGGCCGCGCGCTGAGGTCTTAAAGGCACCGGCGCCAGCCGAGCGGAGGGCGTGTCCGCGAGGAGGCGACAGGGGCGGTGCGTCAGGGCCTGGCCCCGCCCATCCCTAGGAAATGCCCTCTTCAGGGCGTCTTCTGCCCTTTAAAGCGACTTGGCTCGTCTCCAGATCTAAAGGTGGGCGAGTCTGCTGGACGGACGCTGGGACCGTCTTGCAGGGGATGTGGAATAGCTGCCCCCACCCCCGACCACCTGGCCTCGGCGGGACGGGCCTCTGGGGCTCCGCTCTCCCCAGACGCACGCGCGGATGCTCACCCACGCCGTGGAGGGAAAGCGGGAACTGGAAAGAAGGCTGTGCCCGCAGGCTGGGGGTTCTAGAGCGGGAAGGGGTCACCGCACCCGAGGACCGGCCTCAGATACCTAAGGACGCTCCCTTTCCCGCCCCACCTTTCCTACAAAATCTGGCTTGGCAGCAGGAAGCCGAGGAGCTTCCTGGAGGTGGCGGAATTTAAGGAATTAAGGTCAGGGAGCTCCGAGGAGCCCTTGGGGGCTTAGAGAGATGGGAAACAGGATACAGAGGACGGTGAACATCTAATTAAGCTTTGGAAAGTAGTTTAATGAATCTTTCTGAAGCCTCCACGTCCACCCAGGAGGGCCAAGGTCATGCTTAATCCGGGGACACGTCCACGTCCATTGACACCTGAAAAGGAAGAGAAGGGTCTGGTGTGACCACCAGGGCTCCTGAGTCATGTGAGCCCTCCAGTTCAGCTCCCGAGCCCGAGTGACCCCTAGGCCCAAGGAAGGAAGGCTTGGATCCGATGGAAAGTAGTGAATTGGGCTGGGGGAAGAGGTAGGATCCAGTTGGGCATCAGTTGAGGTGGCTGGAGTCTTTTAGCTGGGCATGGGGACTGGAGGAGTTCCTAAGGCCTGAGTCTTGGTCTGTAACTAGCATCCCGAAGTCTCCATGGGCAGAATTGGCGGGCCTACCTGGGAAGGAGTGGGGCCCAGAAAGGTGGAGCTTGGCTCAGTAGAAAAGTTCTATTGGGGGTAATTCTACTGGGGTAAGGTTCTATTGGGGTAATGAGAAGGTTCTGTTGGGATAACCTAGACAAGTGGGTGGGTCCGCTTGGTTCCGGTGGCTTTGTGCCTGCCAGAGAAAAGTGGATCTTGAATTTGGAGAAAACTGGCCTGGGTGGGGAGTGGGAAGAGAAGGGCCTGGATTTTGCAGTTGCGCGTTTATAAGGCGCTTTGGCTAGTCTGCTCAGGAGGTGGGATGGGTCCTGTGCAGGTAGCTGGGCCACGCTCACCGACCTGCTGGAGCTCCCGTCTATTTGCCGGGGGTCCAGGCTGGGACCTGGGACGAGCAGACACAGTGCAAAGTGCACACAGTTGCTGCGCATGGAGTGATAGGATGGTGGGTCCGCGTCCGTCGCTTCGCTCACTCTGCGCAGCACGCGCCAGCAGGAGCGCAGCAGCGGGCGCTGCCCCTGTTTGGATACGATGCCTTTCCAGGAGCCCAGAAACTTCCCAGGAGCCCACAGCCTCCTGAGTTCTTGCCTGCGGGGATCGCCAGAGGGGTGCGGATCAGAGCCAGGCTTAGGTCCTATGCCCTGTGATCCCGCACCCCCATTTCCTGAGACCTCAGGGACCCTGAGTGCCCAAACCCCATTTTCAGAGAAACGTACCCCCAGCCTGGGACTTCAGTCTTTATCCCCGAGTAGCCAGCTCACTGGTGGGGCGTGGCTTGGCTGGGCAGCCTCTCCGCAGACTTGGGCCTGTGTTTCTGCTGGAGGCACTCACCCTCAAAGTGGATGATCTCTCCATGGCCACAGTATATGCCAACGTGGGCCCCGCACCAGCGTCAGGTGGGGGGAATCAGCCTGAACAGGAAGACGTCTCCTGGCTCAGGCTCCCTGCCCTCCAACTACACAGCCTCGAAGTGTTGACCCAGGAAAGCCTCAGAGAGGAAGAACTTAATGGTGCTGACTGCCCCAGTCAGGGCCTGCATGGAGAAAGGGACCTGCCTTCCTGGCGTTTACACAGGCCTGGGATAGGGAGGAGGTGGGTCCTTCCAATGACCATAGGTCGGATGGTCTGCCCAGGGCTCAGGGAGACCTGTCTTGGGCTTGGGCCCAAGGCAGAATGTCTTCACTGCCACACACTTGCCTCCTTGTGCTTAAGGGACTCCAGAGGTCCAGATATCACAGATACATCCTGCCTCGAGCCCCTACTGAGAACCCTTCAGTTCCAGCAAATGGTGCCTCCTCCCCATCCAACTGTCTTCTCATCTCAAAGTCCAGCCATTCCATTCTCTCCTCCTCCCCCCTGCGCTAGGATCCCCTTCCCCAACCAGCTCCCATCTTGCCACTGCTCCTGAAGGCAACACCAGGGACTGGGTGGGTGTCAGCTGGTACCTGAGTTGAGCAGAAGACCTGAAAAAATCGGGAAACCTGGATGAGATTTGGACCTAGGACAAGCATCTCCTCCCAAGTCTGTGTGGAGAAGGACCTCTCCAGAAACCTCTGTTGAGCAGCTGCTCATTTGATCCTTAATACAATCACAAGATAGGAACAATGTCCCCATTTTCAGGATAAGGAAACAGGTTTACAGAGGCTATGTATCACTGGAGTGCACGCAGCTAATGTATTCCTGCATGTTTCTGTGCCCTGTGCCCTTTGTACTAAAATCAGTCACCTCTCTTAGCTCTTCTTCCTCCATAAGGAAGTGAGAAACCTGCTTAGTTCAGGCTTCTCCCATCTCTACTGGAAACAGAAGGCTTTTGGGACTTGGGAGGATGGCCCCATTGCCTGCACTGTGCCTGATGTTTGATCTAAGAGCCTGGGAAAGTGGGTGAAGGTAAGACCTGTGGGCATGGAGCTCTCCAGGGGTGTTAGAGGAGCTGGGAGCAGGAAGTAACACACTACCGCCAGGTGTCTGGGCATCTTTGTTGGAAGGAAGCAGAATTGGCTCCAGCAGATTTGACTGGGGTGGGAAAGACCCATATGCAAATGAAGAGCCAGGCTGCCCAGGCCCACCATGCAGAATGCCAGCTACTGTGTGGCTCACTGTGTCTCTCCCATCCCTGATCCTTCCTTTTTCTCCTGGCCCATTCCATAGTATCTTCTGCATTTTTTTTTTTAAGATGGAGCCTTGCTCTGTCTTCAGGCTGGAGTGCAGTGGCACGATCTCGGCTCACTGCAACCTCCGCTTCCCGGGTTCAAGTGATTTTCCTGCCTCAGCCTCCCGAGTAGCTGGGACTACAGGCACCCACCACCACGCCCGGCTAATTTTTATATCTTTAGTAGAGATGGGGTTTCACCATCTTGGCCAGGCTGGTCTCAAACTCCTGACCTTGTGATCTGCCTGTCTCGGCCTCCCAAAGTGCTGGGATTACAGGCATGAGCCACCTCACCCAGCCAAATCTTCTGCTTATTACTGGGTGAGTCTCATTTTCTCAGACTGGGAGCTATGGAAGACCCAGGTGACCAACTCATCCCAGTCTGCCTACAACTTCCCATGTCTTAAAATTGGAAATCTTGCATCTCAGGAACCCAGGAAAACCTGAATATTGGGTTCCCCTAGGATCCGGTCTCCCCCTTTCCATCTCCTGCAATCTCAGAAGGCCACAGGGAGAACCCAGTCATGTAAACAGCTCTTTGGCTTTTGGTTATGCTCTCCTACCATCTACTAGGTAGCGAGGGCACCTTGAGCCCTACTCCCCTCTACCCTCACTCCTGCTGGGCCAAGCAGAGGTTTACAGCTATGGAAGAGGGCAGACTGTTCTGGCCCCTGTTGAAGCAGTGGGCACCCCACCTGTGGAGAGGACAAGACAAGCTGAAGACTTCTCCAGTTACCTGAGATGTGAAGCTCATCTAGGGAGAAAAAAATAAAAAACCCAGCCGTCACCACATGGCCACTGAGGAGGTGAGGACAGAGGCTGTCCAGGCTCTCTCCTCTCCCCTCTGGTTGTGCACTCCTCCTGTGGAGCTGCTTGTCTGTCATTGCATGGTTGTGCATTTGATGTGCATGTGAGTCTGCACTAAAATGCTGGACACGACACGGGACTGGGATACCCAGCCCTGGCTGTGCCACCTCTCTATATGGGACATCAAACCAGCCCCTTCCTCTCTCTGGGCCTCAACTTCCTGTGAACTAGGGACAATAAGCTCCAAGGGCTGGACATCACAGGGCCATTGTGAGGCAGTAAGAGCTCTCTGTGAGCTGGGTAAGGCTAGCTGGCAAGGTTTGTTTATCTAAAGTCTGCCCCTAAGCATGCAGATGTGGTTGTGGAGAGGAAGGGTGGGGAGAATACATCTTTCCCAGCTCAGAGAAGAAGAACAATGGGCCCTCAGAGGCTGGCGGCCTCCCTGTGACCCCTGCCCCAGAGCTCTCAGGGAATCACCTAGATGGAAAGGCCCTGGGGAGCAGGGCCCCACCCCGACTCTCCCTCTGAAAGTACCCCAGTGCTGGTGGGGGTGGGGAGGCACTTCAGCCACCATCAGCTAGGCGCTAGACTTTGAGTCAAGGTCTGATGAGGACATGCTCCTTCAGATAGGGGATGTAGGTCCACACATGGTGCTCCATCCATAATGATTGATTGCCAAAAGCTGTGCTAAAGCATCATTTAGCCCTAACAATAATGACTTGAAGTAGATGATGTTATACTTCCCATTTTACAGATGGGGAAACTGAGGCTTGGAGAGGTTACAAGCTGGTAAGCGGCACAACCAGTATTCAGGCCAAGTGGTCTGGCTCCAGTGCCCGTGTCCTTCACCACTGTACAGTATCATCTTTCTCACGCTGCTGGCATGTGAGGTCCCCCTTCCCCAGACTCAACTGCCAGGAAGTGCTGACCCCCGTATCCTTCCTGACCTGGAGAAACAGCTACCCTTCTTAGTTTTTGCTGAGTCAAGCCACCGTTTTCTTTGTAAGAAAGAAAAGGGGGCAAGGCCCTGGAGCTGTAAGAGCCCAGGGAACAGAGACTCCCACTCCTGGGGCACCTGGCCTGATCATGCCACCCACCCCATGGGGACTTCTTGCTGGGGGCCTGAGCTCTTCCTCCCCTCACCCTGACTAAGGCTTTCAACAGAGCAAAGTAATGAGGGTGGTCCTGCAGCTGGGTGTGAGGGTGACAGGCAGTCTTTCTGAAGCCCAGGGCCTTTCCCCAGAACCGGGCCCCTGCAGGACCCCAACCAGTGGGGTCAACCCAATTTAGTGACAAACCTAAATTATCAGCTCCTCTCCTCACCCTTCAGTTTAACCTTGGACAAAGTGTGCCTCTGTGGAAGGCAGGGCTTTGGGATCACTGCTCCTAGCCGCCCACCTTCAGCGGGAACAAGCATCAGGGAGTAGGCAGTTCCATAGCACAGCTTGCTTCAGCCCGTCTTCCTTCCCATACAGAGCCTTTGGTTATCCCTTCCCTCTTGGCACAGAGCAATCCCACTTGAATCTGAGCCCCCAGCCCAATTAGCTCACCTTGCAGTGGCCACACTCACACCTTGCTAGATGTTCTTCTTCTGTGGCTAGAGAAGGAAGGACAAGCTGTCCATCCTTCAGGCAGATAAAGGGACCAAGAGGGAAGCCCTGGGGCCCTGTTCATCATCATTGCCCAGGCCAGTCTGACAGCAGCACTCCTTCCTCCTAGCAGCTCTGAGGCTGGGGTCCAGGTGGGTAATTGGTGCCCCCACCACCCCCTCCTCAATCCTCCTGGTGTTCAGTCCTACCCAGACCTGCTTGTGCCTCCTCTCTGACCTGGCTCTTCTCCTTCCACTGACCTCCAATGTGCTCAGATGCCTGCCACATCCCCAGACTGTGGTCAGAGAACAGTGAATGATTTAAATCCCTTTAAATTTACTGAGGCTTGCTTTATGGAGTAACATATGGTCTACTCTCGTGAACATACCATATGTAATTGAAAATGTTTATTTTGCAGAGTAGGGTATACTATAAATATCAATTAGGTCACGGTAGTTGATAATGTTCAGATCATCTATGACTTCACTGATTTTTTGCACAGTTTCTCTGTCAGTTGTTAAAAGAGGGATGGTGGCCGTGTGCCATGGCTCACGCCTGTAATCTCAGCACTTTGGGAGGCCGAGGCAGGTGGATCACAAGGTCAGGAGTTCAAGACCAGCCTGGCCAAGATGGTGAAACCCTGTCTCTACTAAAAATACGAAAATTAGCTGGGCATGGTGGTGGGTGCCTGTAATCCCAGCTACTCAGGAAGCTGAGGCAGAGAATTGCTTGAACCCAGGAGGCAGAGGTTGCAGTGAGCTGAGATTGTGCCACCACTGCACTCCAGCCTGGGCAACAGAGCGAGACTCCTTTGTTGTGGGAAGTCAGGGACCCGAACTGAGGGACAGGCTGAAGCCATGGCAGAAGAACATGGATTGTGAAGATTTCATGGACATTTATTAGTTCCCCAAATTAATACTTTTATAATTTCTTATGCCTGTCTTTACTGCAATCTCTAAACATAAATTGTGAAGATTTCATGGACACTTATCACTTCCCCAATCAATACCCTTGTGATTTCCTATGCCTGTCTTTAATCTCTTAATCCTGTCGTCTCTTAAGCTGAGGAGGATGTATGTCACCTCAGGACCCTGTGATGATTGCATTAACTGCACAAATTGTAGAGCATGTGTGTTTGAACAATATGAAATCTGGGCACCTTGAAAAAAGAACAGGATAACAGCAATGTTCAGGGAACAAGAGAGATAACCTTAAACTCTGACCGCCGGTGAGCCAGGTGGAACAGAGCCATATTTCTCTTCTTTCAAAAGCAAATGGGAGAAATATCACTGAATTCTTTTTCTCAGCAAGGAACATCCCTGAGAAAGAAAATGCGTCCCTGAGGGTAGGCCTCTGAAATGGCCACTTCGGGGGGCGGCCATCTTTTATGGTTGAGCTGTAGGGATGAAATAAGCCCCAGTCTCCCCTAGCACTCCCAGGCTTATTAGGACGAGGAAATTCCCACCTAATAAATTTTTGGTCAGACTGGTGGTCTGCTCTCAAACCCTGTCTCCTGATAAGATGTTATCAATGACAATGTGTGCCTGAAACTTCATTAGCAATTTTAATTTCACCCCGGTCCTGTAGTCCTGTGATCTCACCCTGCCTCCATTTGCCTTGTGATATTCTATTACCTTGTGAAGCATGTGATCTCTGTGACCCACACCCTATTCGTACACTCCCTCCCCTTTTGAAAATCACTAACAAAAACTTGCTCAGGGGGGCATCACGGAACCTGCCAACATGTGATGTCTCTCCCAGACATCCAGCTTTAAAATTTCTCTCTTTTGTACCTTGTCCCTTTATTTCTCAGACTGGCCGACACTTAGGGAACACAGAAAAGAACCTACGTGAAATATCAGGGGTGAATTTCACCCAATATCTGGCTGAATATCCCCCGATACTCCTTCTCAAAAATAAAATAAAATAAAAAACACAAAAATACAAAAATTAGCCGGGCGTGGTGGCGGGTGACTGTAATCACAGCTATTCAGGAGGCTGAAGCAGAGAACTGCTTGAACTCGGGAGACGGAGGTTGCAGTGAGCTGAGATCATGCCACTGCACCCCAGCCTAGGCAACAGAGCAAGACTCCATCTTAAAAAAAAAAAAAAAAGAGAGGGATGTTAAGACTTTCAAATATGATTGTGGCATCATCTATTTCTCCCATTAATTCTGTCAAATTTTGCTCTGTGGATTTTGAGATTAAATTGTTATGTTAATTTTTTTTTTTTTTTTTTTTTGAGATGGAGTCTTCGCTCTGTCACCCAGGCTGGAGTGCAGTGGCCCAATCTCGGCTCACTGCAAGCTCTGCCTCCCAGGTTCATGCCATTCTCCTGCCTCAGCCTCCTGAGTAGCTGGGACTACAGGAGCTCACCACCACGCCCAGCTAATTTTTCTGTATTTTCAGTAGAGATGGAGTTTCACCGTGTTAGGATGGTCTCGATCTCCTGACCTTGTGATCTGCCTGCCTCGGTCTCCCAAAGTGCTAGGATTACAGGCGTGAGCCACCGCGCCCGGCCTTAAATATTTTATGATTGTTGTCTTTTATCATTATGAATGTTCCTCTGTATCTCTGCTAACACTTTTTGCTTTGAAGTCTATTTTATCTGATATTATGCTCACTATTTGCATCTATATCTTTTACCATCCATTTACTGTCAATCTATTTATGTCTTTATGTTTAAAATGTATCTCTTGCTTTTTTCATTTTGTTAATCTCTGTGTTTTGTTTGTTTGTTTGTTTTTGTTTTTTTAACAGAGAGTTTTTTGCTCTGTCACCCAGACTAGTGTGTGCAGTGGCATGATCATAATGCACTGCAGCCTCAAATTCCTGGGCTCAACTGATCCTGCCACCTCAGCCTCCCAAGCAGCTGGGACTACAGGCAAATGCCACCATGCCCAGCTAATTTTTTCATTTTTTTATTTTTAGTAGAGATGGGGTCTTGCTATGCTACCCAGGCTAGACTTGAACTCCTGGGCTAAAGCAATCCTCCTGCCTTGGCCTCCCAAAGTGCTGGGATTATATGCATGAGCCACTGCACCCTGCCAATCTCTGCCTTTTAATTGGGCTGTGTAGTCCATAGATATTTAATGTAATAATTGATATGGTTGAATTTAGGTCTATCATTATTTATTTGTTTTCAGCTTTTGCCTTCTGATATTTGTTTCTTGGTTCTTCCTTTCTTGTCTTCTTTTGGCATATTTGAATTTTTTTTAAAATAATTCTGGCTGGGTATGGTGGTTCATGCTTATAATCCCAGGACTTTGGGAAGTGGGGCAGGGAGGATCACTTGAGCTCAGGAGTTGGAGACCAGCCTGGGCAACATGGTGAGACCCCACCTTGACAAAAAATTTCAAAAATTAGCCAAGTGTGGTGGCACACACCTATCATCTCAGCTACTTGGGAGGTTGAGGTGAGAGGATCACTTGAGCCCAGGATGTTGAGGCTGCAGTGAGCCACGTCAGGTTCCTGCCACTACACTCCAGCCTGGGCAACTGAGAGAGATCCTGTCTCAAAAAAAAAAAAAAAAAGAATTCCATTTTAATTATCTATTGACATTTAGCTCTACCTCTTTGTCTTATATTAGTGGTTTCTCTAGAGATTGTGATGTAACTACCTAACTTTTCACAGTCTACTTAGAGATATTATTGTATGACTTCACATAAAACATAAAAGCCTTGCAACTGTATAGGTCCACTTACTACCATCTCCTGCCCCATCTTTTATGCTGTATTTGTCATATGTGTTATAACTACATATATTATAAACCCCAGAAATGTTACACTTTTTGCTTTAAGCTGTCCTGTGCATTTTAAAGAGAGTGAGAATAAAAAAGTATTTTGCTTTTCCTCATGTATTTACCATTTCTGATCCCCTTCATTCATTCTCGAATCTAAGATTTCATTCATTCTTGAAGGTCTAAGATTTTCTCTGATAGCATTTCTCCTTAGCCTGAAAAATTTCCTTCAGCACTTCTTGTGGTGTAGATCTGCTGGCAATGAATTTTCTTAGTTTTACCCGAAAATACCTTTATTTTATATTTATCATCCTATTGGACATAGAACTCTGTATTAACTGTCCTTTTTCTTTCAGCACTTTTAAAGATTTTTCTCCAGTATATCTGTACTTCATAGTTTCAGGTGAGAAGTCAATGATCCTTCAAGTTGTTGTTCTCCAAATTGTCATGTGTTATCTTTGGCTGCTTTCAAAATTTTCTCTTTATCTTTGTTTTCAGTAGTTTCATTATGATGTGAATAGGAGTGGTTTCCTTCATATTTATCTGTGGTTCCCTGAGATTTTTGAATCCGTAAATTTATCTCTTACCAAATTTGAGTATTTGGGGCCATTATTTCATTAAAGTTTTTTTCTGCCCCATTTTCTTTCCCATCTTCTTCTAGAACTCCAATAAATACCACTACTTTAGTATTGTTCGATAGGTCAATTTTTTTCAGAGAAAGATGTGTCTCAATATTTCTTTGATTTCACTGACCCATTCTTCTGACACCCCCAATTTGCTTGTTAAGCTCGCACATTGAATATATTATTTTATTTATTTTTAGGTCTAGAATTTCTATTTTTTCAAATTTTCTTTTCTCTGCTAAAACTCTCTATCCATGTGTTCATTATCACTATCTTCTTTAAAGTCTTTTGTAAATATCCATATCTGCCTCAAAGTTTTTTTCCCCAACATTTGGGTGATCTTGGTATCTATTTCCATTGACATTTTTATTGTTGAATTACATTTTCTTTCTTTTTTCTTTTTCTTTTATTTTGAGACAGAGTCTCCCTCTGTCAACCAGGCTGGAGTGCAATGGTGTGATCTCGGCTCACTGCAACCTTGGCCTCCCGGGCTCAAGTGATTCTCGTGCCTCAGCCTCCCAAGTAGCTGGGATTACAGGTATGAGCCACCACGCCCAGCTAATTTTTGTATTTTTAGTAGAGATGGGGTTTTGCCATGTTGGCCTGGCTGGTCTCGAACTCATGGCTTCAAGTGATCCGCCCACCTTGGCCTCCCAACGTACTGGGATTACAGTTGTGAGCCACTGCACCCAGCCTACATTTTCTTTCTTTCTGTTTTTATCTTTTCTTCCTCTTCCTCTTCCTCCCCTCCCCCTCCCCCTCCCCTCCCCCTGCCCCTCTTCTTCCTCTTCCTCTTCCTCTTCTTCTTCTTCTTCTTCTTCTTCTTCTTCTTCTTCTTCTTCTTCTTCTCCTTCTTCTTCTTCTCCTTCTTCTTCTTCTTCTTCTTCTTCTTCTCCTTCTCCTTTCTTCTTGCCTAGGATTTAAAAAAATTGTGGCTAGGCGAGGTGGCTCTCGCCTGTAATCCTAGCACTTTGGGAGGCCGAGGCAGGTGGATCTCAAGGTCAGCAGTTTGAGACCAGCATGGCCAGCATGGTGAAACCCCGTCCATACTAAAAATATAAAAGTTTGCTAGGCATGGTGGCACACGCATGTAATCCTAGTTATTCGGGAGGCAGATGTAGGAGAATCGTTTGACCCCGGGAGGTGGAGGCTGCAGTGAGCCAAGAGCACGCCACTGGACTCCAGCCCCCCATCCCCCACCAAAAAATAGTATAATGAACATTGAGTATGATACAGTGTAGAGATTCTGGATTCTTTTAGCTTCCCCTGAAGAATGTTTATTTTTGTACTAGCAAGCCTCAAACTTGTGGAATCCTAATTTAACTCTTTTTTATGATGATTCTATTAAAAGTTTTACCCCCATTATTATGATGAATTCCTTCATCCTGGGATATAGTCTTTTAAGGTGTGACTTCTATGGGATTTCAGTAGACAGTCCAAGGCATTTGCCAAGCCCCTTTAAATTTCTGAAAATTGAACCACAAATTCTGCCTCCCTTGGAGTATGCAGCAACTGAAATATCTGCCCTTTTCCTTCTGCCTTTCAACTACTGCTTTCTACTGAGCTCCTTGGAGTTTCACTTCATGGACGTGTAGTAAGGGGTTATCCAAGAATTTGAAGACATTTCATGCATTGATCTTGGGAATCTTGTCTCTGAAGATTCCTCCTTTCAGGGATATCCTCCATCAATTTGCAGTTGCTCTAGAAACCCTGAACTTTCTCGACCAATATCTTTTTTTTTTTTTTTTGAGATGGAGTCTCACTCTGTCACCCAGGCTGGAGTGCAGTGGCGCGGTCTCGGTTCACTGCAAGCTCCGCCTCCCAGGTTCACGCCATTCTCCTGCCTAAGCCTCCCGAGCAGCTGGGACTACAGGCGCCTGCCTCCACGCCTGGCTAGTTTTTTGTATTTTTAGTAGAGAAGGGGTTTCACCGTGTTAGCCAGGATGGTCTCCATCTCCTGACCTCGTGATCCACCCGCCTGGGACTCCCAAAGTGCTGGGATTACAGGTGTGAGCCACCGCACCCAGCCATATATATATATGTTTTTGTTTTTGTTTTTGTTTGACGGAGTCTCGCTCTGTAGCCAGGCTGGAGTGCAGCGGCATGATCTTGGCTCACTGCAACCTCCGCCTCCCAGGTTCAAGCAATTCTCTTGCCTCAGCCTCCCGAGTAGCTGGGACTACAGGCATGTGCCACCATGCCCGGCTAATTTTTGTATTTTTAGTAGAGACGAGATTTCACCATGTTGGCCAGGATAGTCTCAATCTCTTGACCTCGTGATCCACCCACCTCAGCCTTCCAAAGTGCTGAGATTACAAGCATGAGCCACCGTGCCTGGCCTCTCCACCAATATCTTAAGCTGAGAAGTCTATAGCTTTGTGCATGAGTTCTAGCATCTCACAGTGTGTAAACTGGGGTGTCCCTAAGAAGGAAACTTTGGCCGGGCGTGGTGGCTCATACCTGTAATCCCAGCACTTTGGGAGGCTGAGGTGGGTGGATCATGAGGTCAGGAGATCCAGACCATCCTGGCTAACATGGTGAAACCCCGTCTGTACTAAAAATACAAAAAATTAGCTGGGTGTGGTGGCGGGCGCCTGTAGTCCCAGCTACTTTGAGGCAGGAGAATCGCTTGAACCCAGGAGGCAGAGCTTGCGGTGAGCCGAGGTTGGGCCACTGCACTCCAGCCTGGGCGACAGAGCAAGACTCCATCTCAATAAATAAAAAAAAAAAAAGAAGAAGAAGAAGAAGAAAACTTTGGAAACATGGATCTCATTCAGTGCACTTCTCTTTTTTCTGGGGTCAAATCTCCAGGTTCTACGGGCTCTTGAATTCTGTCTAGTTCCTCCATGTTGTTTTTTAAATTTTATTTTTTTAATTGACATTCAGTAAATGTCAATTGTACATTTCTATGAATTTTAACATATGTATAGATGCATCACAAGATACAGAATAGTTCTACCATCCCCCAAAACTAACTCTTTTCAACATCTTATACTAGTATGGTCCACATGTCTCAATTGGTGAACCAATGTTAGTACATTATTATTAACTAAGGTCCATACATTATTCAGCTTCCCTTAAGTTTTTGGCTATAGTCCTTTTCTTGTTCCAGGATTCCATCCCAGCACTATATTACATTTAGTCATCATGTCTCTTTGGGTTCCTCTTGTCACCATGGTTTTAATTTGCATTTCCCTAATTAATGTTAAACATATTTTATGTGCTTATCTGCCATCTATATAATCTCTTTGGTGAAGTATCTCTTCAAATCTTTTGCTATTTGTATTGAAATGTAGTTTACATGCCATAAAATTCATCATTTTATTTATATATTTATTTAATTTTTTTTTTTTTTGAGACAGAGTCTCTCTCTGTAGCCCAGGCTGGAGTGCAGTGGCGCAATCTTGGCTCACTGCAACATCCGCCTCCCAGATTCAAGTGATTCTCTTGCCTCAGCCTCCCGAGTAGCTGGGACTACAGGCATGCACCACCACCGGCTAATTTTTGTATTTTTAGTAGACAGGGTTTCACCATGTTGGCCAGGCTGGTCTCAAACTCCTGACTTCAAGTGATCCACCCACCTTGGCCTCCCAAAGTGCTGGGATTATAGGTGTGAGCCACCGTGCCTGGCCAAATTCACCATTTAAAAATGTACAATTCATTTGGAGTTTTAAAAAGTATGTTTACAAGGTTGTATAACCATCACTACTATCTTTGGTGTGTTTTTTTTTTTTTTTTTGAGACAGAGTCTCACTTTGTTGCCCAGGCTGAAGTGCAGTGGTGCAATCTCGGCTCACTTCAACCTCTACCTCCTGGGTTCAAGTGATTCTCTTTCCTCAGTCTCCCAAGTAGCTGGGATTACAGGTGTGCACCACTGCGCCCAGCTAATTTTTGTATTTTTAATAGGGACTGAGTTTCACCATGTTGGCCAGGCTGGTCTTGAACTCCTGACCTCAGGTTGTCCACCTACCTTGGCCTCCTAAAGTGCTGGGATTACAGGCATGAGCCACCTCACCTGGCCCCATCACTACTATCTAATTCCAGAACATTTTCATCACCCTCCAAAAATATCTCATATTCATTAGGCAGTCACTCCCCTATTCTCTCCTCTCCTAATAACCACAAATCTGCTTTTTGTCTCTATGAATTTATCTATTATGGACACTTTGTATAAATGGAATTATATAATGTATGGCCTTTTGTGACTGGTTTCTTTCATTGAGCATGTTTTCAAGATTCATCCATGTTGTACCATGTACCAGTACTTCATTCCTTTTTTTTCTTTTTTGAGACAGGGTCTTGCTGTTGCCCAGGCTGGAGTACAGTGGCATGATCACATCTCACTGCAGCCTTGACATCCCAGGCTCACACAATCCTCCCACCTCAGCCTCCCAAGTAGCTAGGATCACAGGCACATGCCACCATACCCAGCTATTTTTTTTTTTTTTTAATAGAGACAGGGTCTCACTGTGTTAGCCAGGCTGGTCTCAAAACTCCTGGCTCAAACAGTCCTCTCACCTCACCCTCCCAAAATACTGGGATTACAGGCATGAACCACTGCGCCTTGCCTTCATTCCTTTTAATGAACATATAATATTCCATTTTATGTATATACATTTTGTTTATCCATTCATCAGTTGATAGGCATTTGGATTGTTTCCACTGTTTGAATATTATAAATAATGGTACTATGACAATTCATGTACAAGTTTTTGTTTGAACATATGTTTTCACTTCTCTTGAGTATATGCCTAGGAGTGCAGTTGCTGGGTCATATGAAAATTCTGCTTAACTTTTTAAAGAAACTTGCCAAAGCAACTGCACCATTTTACATTTCCATGAGCAATGTTTCAGTTTCTCTACATCCTCACCAATTCTTGTTTTTATCTGTATTTTTTATTATGGCCATTCTAGCAACTGTGAAGTAATATTTCATTGTGGTTTGGGTTTGCATTTCCCTGATGAGTAATGATGTCGAGTATCTTTTCATGTGCCTATTGGCCATTTGTAGATCTTTCTTTTTTTTTTTTTTAGACGAAATCTCACTCTGTCTCCCAGGCTGGAGTGCAGTGGTGCAATCTCGGCTCACTGCAACCTCCACTTCCCAGTTCAAGCGATTCTTGTGTCTCAGCCTCCTGAGTAGCTGAGACTATGACCACCACGCCCAACTAATTTTTGTATTTTTAATAGAGACAGGGTTTCACCATGTTGGCCAGGCTGGTCTCAAACTCCTGACTTTAAGTGATTCACCTGCTTTGGCCTCCCAAAATGCTGGGATTACAGGGGTGAGCCACCACGCCCTGCCAATGCTTTGCTTTTGATGTTATATTTGAGAAACTTGCCTACTTTAAAGTCACAAAGATGTATACCTACGTTTTCTCCTAAGAGCTTCTAGTTTTAGTTCTTACTTTTAGGCCTTTGATCTACTTCGAGTTAATTTTTTATGTGGTGTGAGGTAGGCATCCAACTTCATTCTTTTGCATGTAGATATCCAGTTGTCCCAGCATCATTTATAGAAATGGTCTTTTCCCCCACTGAATTATCTTGGGATTGTGGTTAAAAATAGATTAGCCACAGAAAAAAAAAAAGAAAACCAAAATTTGTTGTCATCTCTTAAAGAATTAAGAATTGTACATAAAAACCTTACATCAATTAAAACAATGAATACATTTACAGTGTAAATGCAAACTTCTTCCAGCTCAAGGCAAGTAACAGCCTACCGGTGTCCTGGCAGGAAAACATCAGGAAAGAAAGGAAACTGGGTCCTAAGGTTTGGACTTTTCCAACCCTGACAGACGGGCAAGACAGAAATGACAACTGGTGGAGGAGCTCCTGCCGGTCTCTAGACGAATTCTGGAACCCTGAGCTCCGACACATTAGTACCCTGCACAGATGGAGAGACTGCAGGTCAGGCAGAATCACCAAGCCACGGACTTCTCTTCCACAAGCATGTTCTCACCTCTGCCATGAAGTGACTAAGCCACATGTACTAAGGGTTTAAATCAAAGATAAGTACAAGGTATTAAATACCAAGGGAACATTTAACTTCAGTACAAGGTCAAAATCAGCAACAAATCCTACAATCCAGTGCTGACATCAGATACAAGCTTCAAGGACAAATTTCTTTTCTTTTTTTTTTTTTTTTTTTTGAGACGGAGTTTCACTCTTGTTGCCCAGGCTGGAGTGCAATGACGCGATCTCAGCTCACCTCTGCCTCCCAGGTTTAAGCGATTCTCCTGCCTCAGCCTCCCGAGTAGCTGGGATTACAGGCATGTGCCACTATGCTCGGCTAATTTTGTATTTTTAGTAGAGACGGGGTTTCTCCATGTTGGTCAGGCTGGTCTCAAACTCCCGACCTCAGGTGATCCGCCCGCCTGGGCCTCCAAAAGTGCTGGGATTACAGGCATGAGCCACTGCACCCAGCCTGACAAATTTCTTTTCAAAGGCTTATTCCAGTTTCCTAAGGCTAGCATGAGATGTATACATTTTCCAGGGACAAATTTGTACTTCTGAATTGACTCAGGCAGCACAGGCTACGTATCTCATCACAGTCCATTTAGAAGCATTTGCGGTGAACAGTGGAGGGGCCTGACTGGTGGCACTCCCGCTTGCTGATCCACATTGGCTGGAAGGTGGACAGTGAGGCCAGGATGGAGCTGCTGATCCACATGGAATACTTGTGCTCAGAGACAGCCATGATCTTGATCTTCATGGTCCTGGGTGCTGGGGCAGTGATCTCCTTCTACATCCTGTGTGTGATACTTGGGTGCATGGCAATGCTGCCAGACAGCACCACATTGGTGTACAGGTCCTTGCAGATATCCACATCACACTTCATGATGGAGGTCAAGATGGTCTCCTGGATGCAGCAAGATTCCATGCCCAGGAAGGAGGGCTGGGACAGCGCCTCTGGACACCAGAACCACTCATTGCTGATGGTGACCACCAGGCTGTGGGAGAGCTTGTAGCTCTTCTCCAGGAAGGAAGAGGACACGGCAGTGGCCATCTCCTGCTGCAAGTCCAAGGCAACACAGCATAGCTTTTCCTGGATGTCACGCACAATCCCCCACTTCACTGTGGTGATGAAGCTGTAGCGGGCCCCTCGAGGATCTTCACCACGTAGTCGGCCAGGTCCCGGCCAGCCAGGGCCAAACACAGGATGACTGGGAGAGGGTGGCTGTATCCTTGGAGATGGGCAAGTGTGGGTGACCCCATCGCCTGAGTCCCCCATGGTGCCAATGGCACTGACAGAGGCATGCAGGGACAGGGTGACCTGAATGGCCCTGTACTTGACTGGGGTGTTGAAGGCCCCAAACATGATCTGAATCATCTTCTCTCTGTTGGCCTTGGGGCTCGGGGGCCTCGGTCAGCAGCACCAGTTGCTCCTTAGGGGCCACGTGCAGCCCATTGCGGAAGGTATGGTGCTAGATCTTCCCCATGTGGTCCCAGTTGGTGATGAGGCCTGCTCCATGGGGTGCTTCAGGATCAGGATGCTGCTTGCTCTGGGCCTCATCGCCCACATAGGAGTCCTAGCCCCTGCCCACCATCATGCCCTGGTGCCAGGGGTGCCTGACAATGGAGAGGAACATGACTTGAGGGCATTGTCCCCAGCAAAGGCAGACTTGCACATGGCAAAGCTATTGTCAACAATGAGCAAGGTGATTTCTGCTTCCATTGTGATCTGTCGGGGAAATGATGAGACAATGTCGAGTGTGGTCTGGCACCAGCCAGGGAGAAATTTAAATAATTTTTACCTAAAATTGTAATACATTATTCTATTTTGGTATAAATAAAATGGTTAAATAACATTGTGAGTTTTAATACACTTTTCAGTTTTTCTGTATTTTTCAACCACTTCCGCGTTCTGAAAAAAGCAACAATTTAAGAATATATTACAAAGTGTATGGTGCACACATTTTTTTATTTGCCTCAGGAGCCAATATGTTGAGACATGGCATTGTTGATTCAGCTGTGTGGGGCTTAACTATTGGAAAAGAGATTTTTATTTTTACTCTATGAGTTTGAGTATAGTGTGGAAAATCATCTGCTAAAAGTATCCCCATTTTACAGATGAAGACCCTATTAAGAAAGGCTAAGCAACCGCCCAAGGTCCCCAGCTCTGCTAGGTAGTTACCCTAGAGCTTGTGTTATTGGCCTCCATTCATGATATTTATAGACTTGATTAGCTAATAATCAGGTATTGTTTCTTGTATGTGGCTTTGTCTCTATTGATTGCATCCATTATATGTTAATATTTGCTTCTTACAGAATATTTAATAAGGTTGAAATATGAGTGGAAGGGACTTTATATACCACGGAGATAACTTAATCCATCCTGCAGTTCCCTAAGGAGCCAATAAAGGTGTCTAAGCCATAGAAATTGTGTAATTATATATATATATATAGTTTTTTTTTTTTTGAGATGGAGTCTCAACTCTTGTCACCCAGGCTGGAGTGCAATGGCACGATCTCGGCTCACTGCAACCTCCGGCTCCCAGGTTCAAGCGATCCTCCTGCCTCAGCCTCCCGAGTAGCTGGGATTACAGGCACCCACCATCATGGCCAGCTAATTTTTTTGTATTTCTGTAGAGACCACGTTGGCCAGGCTGGTCTCGAACTCCTAACCTCATGTGATCCGCCCACCTTGGCCTCCCAAAGTGCTGGTATTACAGGCGTGAGCCACTGCGCCTGGCCTAGATATGTTTGAAAGAATAACGAGGGGCCAGTATAAAAGATAAACTGGAAACAGAGAAAGCAAGTTTTTTTAGGGTTGCTGGATGAGGGCAAATGCATAATTAAATGACGAATGTGTTCATTAAGGCAGTGGTGGGAAGAACAAAAAGAAGAGGACATAAAAGAGTGATTGAGGTGATTGACAAAAGAAGGGACATAAAAGAGTGATTGACACTTGAGTATCCTTTGAGTTGGGTTGTTCCTAGCCATCCTTTCCGATCTTCCTTCCTAACTTAAGTAGGTTAAGGATTAAGGTTTCTTCCACTCTAGTTCTTGATTCATGTTCACTGGTAAATAACACCACTTCAGACTCTTTCAAAGTGCTATAATATTGATTTATTTGATCCTCTCAAAAGAAGAGTACAGACAACCATTTTAGAATGACTGTTAAGGGTCTTAACTTTAAGGTTCAAAGGACACACAACTCAGCTGTTCTGCAGTTGAACCCTGTGGGTAACAACACAGACGAACTTCAGTCTGTTTGGCTGATGGGGCTGTGGAGAGAGCAGGACACACGTCTTCATGAAGTTTCAGTCCTGACAGTTTCTCATAAGGTATCATTTCTTACCTCTCTTTAGGACCATTCTGAGAGAATACATGTAGAGATCTTCAAATCAGGAAGGTCATCACCACTATCTTTCTTGCCATTATCATATCAATCTTCCCCAATAGTAACACAGGACTTCTCTTATAGCATCCAGCTAAACTGGTTTTTCACTTACTGATGCTTCCTAGAGCCTAGGAAAAGCATAGAGGACCTACCTGTCTATCCCTCTGTTCTGGACTGTTGATTCCATAGTTGATTCCTACCTCCAGGGGAATGCTACAGATGCCTCCCTTCCCAACCAAGCAACAGGGACTAAGCAATTAAGAACAAATTTTCCTCTAAAGTTGTGTCATATCACAGATTATTACCATTATCTGGCCTCTTCAAAAGAGAATGCATTTTCCTCTATATGTAACCATGAATGTATATATGTCCAAATGGATTTGTTCATCTGTGTTGAACTTGGGAGAACCTTTAGTGATCTTCTATGGAATTCCCACATGTGCTTTTATTTGTGGGTCTGAGGTCCCAACGGGAAAAATAGAGAACTGATCACTATCCTGGATCTTCTCACACAAGTATGGGAACATCTGAACACTCATATTTAGAATGTTTGGGGATTTGAGTGGAAAAGGTATTGTTACTGGATAGAGTTGTTGAGGTTCTTGGTGTGTTGAACAAAGAATTGAACAAGGCCAGGCACAGTGACTCACACCTGTAATCCCAGCACTTTGGGAGGCCGAGGTGGGTGGATCATCTGAGGTCAGGAGTTTGAGACCAGCCTGGCCAACACGACGAAACCCCATCTCTACTAAAAATACAAAAATTAGCCAGGGGTGGTGGCGTGTGCCTGTCATCCCAGCTACCCAGGAGGCTGAGGCAGGAGAATCGCTGGAACCTGGGGGGGCAGAGGCTGCAGTGAGCCAAGATCGTGTCACTGCACTCCAGCCCGGGTGACAGAGCAAGACTCCGTCTCAAAAAAAAAATTAAAAAAAAAAAAGAATTGGACAAAGTAACAAAAGAACGGAGCAAGGAAAGAGCGAAAGCACAGGTTTATTAAAGACAATTCGCAGAGTAGGAGTGGGCTCCTGCAAGCAGCTCAAGAGCCTTCTCAATTACGGTTTTTATTAAGCTAAAGGAACCTAGCAACACCCCTTGATGCCCTGTAGAGGCCTCCAATTGGCTACACCGTGAAGGATTGGCTGAAACCGAGACCCGACCAGCAGTCAATCAGGGGCTGAAGTGGCTTGTTATCATGGGAGTGAGGATGTGGCCTATATGCTGCACCTGCTGCTCTCCTGCCAAATGATAACAACCCTATGTTTAAAAACAGCTGGCCGGGTGCGGTGGCTCACACCTGTAATCCCAACACTTTGGGAGGCCAAGGCAGGTGGATCATGAGGTCAGGAGTTCAAGATCAATCTGGCCAACATAGTGAAAGCCTGTCACTACTAAAAATACAAAAATTAGCCGGGTGTGGTGACGGGCACCTGCAAAGCTACTCAGGAGGCTAAGGCAGGAGAACTGCTTGAACCCGGGAGGCATCAGCAACCGTGCCTGGCCAGGAGCTTGATAGATTCTAACATGCAAATAAAAGAGCAAAGGGCCAAGAGTGGCCAAGACACTCTTGAAGAGTAAGGTGGGAGGATTTATTCTATCAACTATCTAGTCTTATTGAAACAGCCTCGTTTTCTGGAGTAACACTCAAGGTTCGTTGTCCCACGGCCATGGAGAACAAGAACAAGGACACACAAATAATGAGGTTAAGAGTGGAAGTTTAATAGGCGAAAGAAAGAGAAGAGCTCTCTGCTGCAGAGAGGGGTCCTGGTAAAATAGGTTCCAGTTCTGCGGTGAAATGCAGGGGGTTTTATAGATGAGCTGGTGAATAGGCGGTGTCTGATTTACCTAGGGTGCAAAAAACTGGTTATATCAGGTGTGCCATTTGCATAGGGCACGAATTTCTGGTAGCCCCCACCCTAATCTTCTATTATGCTGGCTGGTTCTCTGCCTGAGCTGTGCCATGTTGCCCATTTATCTATTACTGTACACATGGTAACAAAAAAAGGGAAGATGAAACCTCCAGGGTGGACATGCCTGGTCCCCAGGTAGCCCTTTTCTATTGGCACAGCTGTCGGCATTCCCCCAGCAAGCCTCTAGCTTCCTTATTTATGTTTGCAGCTTGATTTGTCAGGCTGCTCTTTGTTAGGAAAAAAATGATTCTTGGCTGGGTGCGGTGGCTCACGCCTGTAATCCCAGCACTTTGGGAGGCCAAGGCAGGCGGATCACAAGGTCAGGAGATCGAGACCATCCTGGCTAACAAGGAGAAACCCCGTCTCTACTAAAAATACAAAAATTAGTCAGGCGTGGTGGTGGGCGCCTGTAGTCCCAGCTACTCGGGAGGCTGAGGCAGGAGAATGGCGTGAACCCGGCAGGCGGAGCTTGCAGTGAGCCAAGATTGAGCCACTGCACTCCAGCCTGGGCGACAGAGCGAGACTCCGTCTCAAAAAAAAAAAAAAAAAAGATTCTTGGGCTTTTTGTTAGACTGGAAGCTCTGCTGAAGACTCTGCTGACCTCACTATCTGCCTAAGTAATTTCTTTCTACCTCCTGTATCATTATGACAAAGCTATAGTAATTACGATACTCTGGTATTGGTTCAAAATTAAACAAAATGATTGATAGAACAAATTAGAGGTCCTAGAAGCAGACCCACACATATGCAAGCTTGATATGACAGAGGGGGCATTGGAGATCAGAGGGGAAAGGAATAGTCATTTAATGACTAGATCTGGGACTACTGATTATCAAATCAAAGTGAAAAATAAAACTGGGTCCCTATCTCACACCACATAAAGGTCCCTATCTCACATCACACAAAATTCTATAGATAATTAAAACTAAATTTAAAAAAATAATATCTCCTAGAGAAGTTTTGTTTTTTTGTTTTTTGTTTTTTTTGTTTTTTTTTTTTGTTTTTTTTTTGATTAGAGGTGCCTGCCACCACGCCCGGCTAATTTTTGTATTTTTAGTAGAGACGGTGTTTCACCATCTTGGCCAGGCTGGTCTCGAACTCCTGACCTTAAGTGATCTACCTACCTTGGCCTCCCAAAGTGCTGGGATTACAGGTGTGAGCCACCGCACCTGGCCTAATTTTTGTATGTGGACTATCATGTTCTTATAAAACTATGCTTTCCTTGGTGTTTTTATTAACCTCTTTATTTGAGAAAATGAAACATACTCTGTTACCTTTTTTGGTGATGATCATCTAGCTTCTTAATCTTAACTATTTGTTAACTGGAATCTACTTTTTGTTTCAATGCATTTGCTGACCCTCTGGAATCCTGCTCAAATGAGGATCCATTATTTCCTAGGCTTTCTGCAAAGATAACATCCTGGAATTTCTTTTCATTGCATTCCTAGGTTGGGTCCTTTTTACTAGCTCACATGTTTCATTCTCTCCAATGTATATCCTTAAATTTTTTTTCAGAAAAATATGGAAGCGAAATAAATGTGAGTTCTTGCATCTCTGAAATATCTATTTTACTCTTTCATGTATTTGTCTGGTATAGAATTATAGATTCAAACAACTTTCTGTTCCGACTTTGAAGGTACTGCTTCAATATCTTCTTGTGTACCTTTTTGCTGATGACAAAACAGATGCCAATCCAATTCTCATTCTTGTTTAGGTAACCTCTGTTTTCCTTCTCTGGAAACTTTTAGGCTCTTCCTTTAATCTTTATTATTCCAAAATCTTGAAGGATTTGTCATAGGCATTTGAACCAGAGCAACTCCATCTTGAATAGGTGCTGAGACCTACTGGGCTGCACTTCCAGGAGGTTATGCATTGTAAATCACAGGATGAGATAGGAGGTCAGCAAAGATACTGGTCATAAAGACCTTGCTGATAAAACAGGTTGCAGGAAAGAAGCTGACTGAAACCCACCAAAACCAAGATGGTGACAAGTCACCTCTGGTCGTCCTCACGGTTCATTACACACTAATAATACATTAGCACGCTTGGAGACACTCCCACCAGCACCATGACAGTTTACAAATATCATGCCAATGTCAGGGAGACCCTATATGGTCTAAAAGGGGGAGGAACGCTTAGTTCCGGGAAACTAACTTTCTAAAGTTAGTTTTAGTACTTTCTAAAGTACTAAATTCCTTTCCTGGAAAACTTGTGAATAATCTACCCCTTGTTTAGCATATAATGAAGATGTAACTATAAGTATCCTTAGTGGGGCAGCCCAAGCTGCTGCTCTGCCTCTGGAGTAGCCAACTTTTATTCCTCTGCCTCTTAAAAAACTCACTTTCACTTTACTCTATGGACTGGTCCCGAATTCTTTCTTGTGCAAGATCCAAGAACCCATTCTTGGGGTCTGGATCGGGACTGCTTTCCGGTAACAGGTTTCTGTGTATGTATGTGTGTGTGTGTGTTTAAATTTGCTGTGTGTACAGATATGTGTGTATATATATGTGTTTAAAATTTACTGTGCTTGGTACATTTTCAATATAAAAACATGTATCTCTAAGTTACCTGACTATTTGTTCTCCTAGTATTTCTTTGCTTCAATTTTTTTCCTGATTTTTTTTCTTAACTTCTATTAGGTAGTTAGTAGATATCCTAGGCTAACATAATTTTTTCCAATTATCTTTTGGGGAAGGATGTTTTTGTTTGTTATCCCAATACTATTAAATTTTTATTTTGACAATCGTTTTTAATTTCTAAGAGTTCTCTTATTTGCATTGTTCCTTTTCCATAGCAGCCTATTCTTGACTTATGATGCAATATCCTCAAATCTCTTCACAGATACTAATTTTTTTAGTATACATAGATACATAAATTTTTTTCCAAAGTTTTCTCTGTTTCTTGTATAAATTGTAATCCATGGGAACAGCTCTTTTTTCAATAACGCCCTTTTCTTACTTGCTGTTAGTTTTCTTCAAATGTCTAGTAAATCTGGGTTGAACATTTAAGAAGATTTGCATAAAAACAAAGGACTAGGGCCAGGCGCAATGGCTCATGCCTGTAATCTTAACACTTTGAGAAACCCAGTCAGGAGGACTGCTTGAGGCCAGGAGTTTGAGACCAGCCTGGCCAACATAGTGAGACCTCGTCTCAACAAATAAATTAGCTGGGGCCAGGCACAGTGGCTCATGCCTGTAATCCCAACACTTTGGGAGGCTGAGGTGGGTGGATGACCTGAGGTCAGGAGTTTGAGACCAGCTTGGCCAACATGGTGAAACCCTGTCTCTACTAAAAAAAAAATACAAAAATCAGCTGGGTGTGATGGCATGTGCCTGCAATCCCAGCTACTCAGGAGACTGAGACAGGAGAATCGCTTGAACCCGGGAGGCAGAGGTTGCAGTGAGCCAAGACTGTGCCACTGCACTCCAGCCTGGGTGACAGAGGGAGTCTTTGTCTTTAAAAAAAAAAAAAAAAAAAAAGGCCGGGCGCGGTGGCTCACGCCTGTAATCCCAGCACTTTGGGAGGCTGAGGCGGGCGGATCACGAGGTTAGGAGATCGAGACCATCCTGGCTAACGCGGTGAAACCCCGTCTCTACTAAAAATACAAAAAATTAGCCGGGCGCGGTGGTGGGCGCCTGTAGTCCCAGCTACTCAGGAGGCTGAGGCAGGAGAATGGCGTGAACCTGGGAGGAGGAGCTTGCAGTGAGCCGAGATCGCGCCACTGCACTGCAGCCCGGGCGACAGAGTGAGACTCCGTCTCAAAAATAAAAAAAAAAAAAAAATTAAAAAAAAAAATTAGCTGGGCATGGTGGTACGCACCTGTAGTCCCAGCTACTCAGCAGGCTGAGGCAGGAGGATTGCTCGAGCCCAGGAGTTTGAGGCTGCAGTGAGCTATGATCATGCTACTGCGTTCTAGCCTGGGTGACAGAACGAAACCCTGTCCCTAAAAATAAATAAATAAATGACTAGGTAGCTGCTGGAGTTTCATCTGCTGCTGTGGGTTCAATTTTCATAGCTGACTTCTCTCTGGAATAGGAGGGATAATGTGAACTTTGTACATATATGGTGGATGTGTCAACTGGGAGGCTTCTTTTTAGGGTACACAGGCAGAAGGCAGAAAGAAGGGCCCTTCCGACTGCCAAAATGAGAAGAGCTTACCTACACTGGAAACTGGATTGTTCCAGAGGCAGATCATTTTCTTTAGGGAAGAGTGACTCCTTCAATTTTGGTTTTTAGTTTAGTTTTCCTTTAGTGACTGCTGCAGCTAGCCACTTTATATATAAGATTGGAGTAGGGAGAGTCACAGCATCAACTGGCACAAAGTGGTTTGTTTGATAGACTGTCTTTCAATTACCCCTTTGATATCAGTCCTATTTCCACTCTCCTTCTGCTCTTAGTCTGGAGCCTCTTAAAGGCATTCTTGGGAAAGAAGATTTCACATTTGCTAAATTCTCATTTGCACACGTTCCAGGCGATAGTTTTCTTTAGTCTATCTGCTAATAAGTTCCCACCCCATTGCTACTGTGGGAAAAACAATCAGCCCAGGATCCAGTTAAGAATCCCAGTGCAGGCCGGATGCGGTGGCTTATGCCTGTAATCCCAGCACTTTGGGAGGCCAAGGTGGGCAGATAACTTGAGGCCAGGAGTTCAAGACCAGCCTGGCCAACATGGCGAAACCCCATCTCTACTAAAAATACAAAAAATTAGTCAGGGATGGTGGTGCACACCTGTAGTCCCAGACACTCAGGAGGCTGAGGCAGGAGAATCGCTTGAACCCAGGAGGCAGAGGTTGCAGTGAGGTGAGATCGCACCACTGCACTCCAGCCTGGGTGACAAAGACTCCTGTCTCAAAAAAAAAAAAAAATACCAATGTAGGCCAGGTGTGGTGGCTCATGCCTGTAATCCCAGTACTTTGGGAGGCTGAGGTAGGAGGATTGCTTGAGCCCAGGAGTTTGAGACCAGTCTCGACAACATAGTGAGACCTACCCCCGCATCTCCACAAAAAACATAAAAAATAAAATCAGCCTGGTGTGGTGGTGCACATCTGTGGTCCTAGCTGCTCAGGAGGCTGAGGTGGGAGGGTCACTTGAACCAGAGAGGTTGAGGCTGCAGTGTACTATGATCATGCCACTGCACTCCAGCCTGGGTGACAGAGACCCTATCTCAATACAAAAGAATCCCAGGGCACATCTCAGACAGCAGAGGGATAGGGTACCTCCAGAAATAACTCTGATCAATAGTCTTCATAACAGGTTAATCTGTATGTTAAAGTTACTGATGGTCTGTGTTAAAAATGATTTAACTCCTTCCCTGTGTTATAAATGAATGGTCATCTAGTTACCCAAAGTTCCAAGTAGATTATCCTTCCAGAGGAAAATGAATCCATTAAGATGTTCAAATACTAGGCTGGAGGCAGTGGCTCACGCCTGTAATCCCAGCACTTTGGGAGGCTGAGGCGGGCAGATCACGAGGTCAGGAGATTGAGACCATCCTGGCTAACAGGGTGAAACCCTGTCTCTACTAAAAATACAAAAAAATTAGCCAGGCGTGGTGGCGGGCGCCTGTAGTCCCAGCTACTTGGGAGACTGAGGCAGGAGAATGGCATGAACCCGGGAGGCAGAGTTTGCAGTGAGCCGAGATCACGCCACTGCCCTCCAGCCTGGGTGAAAGAACGAGACCCTGTCTCAAAAAAAAAAAAAAAAGTTCAAATACTAACATTTGTCAACTAAAAATTAAATTTAAAAAAGATGTTCATATATTCCAAATCTCTCCCTTCTAGTTATATTTATTGATAACTTATTTCATTTGTATTCTAGAAGTTTCATGCCTTTCTTGTCAAATTGGTTAATTTAAATCAACGTATCAAAATAAAATATCTAAATACTACAAATCTTGAGCTTCTTAACCTAAAAATGCTGAAGGCTGGACCTCATCTTTTGGGAGATAAACTACCTGCTCTGTTGGGCACTGGTTTGAGAGGTCTGCCTGGCATTCACTAGCCAAACATGTTATGTCAGAGATATGATGTGTGCGCTTATTATGTGCCTGTCAGAGACAGTGGGGTTCTATGGAATATTACATGACTATTACAAGTGAATAGCAATATTAAAATAAGTTTTAAAAATAATGTTGAATGAATAAACAAGTGAATAAAATTGTTCACGTATAAAATGAACAGATGAACCTTAAAGTAGTTGGTGTTAATGGTGTTGTGGGTAGAAAATTTTATAATACTTTAATTCTGATTTAGTAACAAAGGAGTATTTTTACACAAAAGGAAAACCCTACAAACCAGCAAGTCTTCTTGGAAAGATAAGAAAAACTTATGCCAGGTGTGGTGGTTCACGCCTGTAATCCCAGCACTTTGGGAGGCTGAGACGGGTGGATCACTTGACATCAGGAGTTCAAGACCAGCCTGACCAACACAGAGAAACTCCGTCTCTACTAAAAATGCAAAATTAGCTGGGTGTGGTGGTGCGCACCTGTAATCCCAGGACTCAGGAAGACTGAGGCAGAAGAATCGCTTGAACTCGGGAGGCCGAGGTTGCAGTGAGCCAAGATCGTGCCATGCACTCCAGCCTGGGCAACAAGAGCGAAACTCCATCTCAAAAAATAAAAAGAAAAAGAAAAGAAAAACTTACATTATAATGATTATAATGAAGATAAAAAACTTCCTCAGAATTCCAATAGAAAAAATGAATCATTTAGAATTCAACTTTTACTAAATACATACAGATTCCAGCTTTCTCATCCATTAAGTGAATCCCTACAAAGTAAATACCATCTAGAAGGAAAGCCACAGAATACATAGTTCAGGACCGGCTGGGCGCGGTGGCTCACGCCTGTAATCCCAGCACTTTGGGAGGCTGAGGCGGGCGGCTCACGTGATCAGGAGATTGAGGCCATCCTGGCTAAGACGGTGAAACCCCGTCTCTACTAAAAATACAAAAACAAAATTAGCCGGGCGTGGTGGCAGGTGCCTGTAGTCCCAGCTACTTAGGAGGCTGAGGCAGGAGAATGGTGTGAACCCAGGAGGCAGATCTTGCAGTGATCTGAGATCATGCCACTGCTTTCCAGCCTGGGAGACAGAGCAAGACTCCGCCTCAAAAAAAAAAAAAAAGAATACATACTCCAGGACCTCCATTTTACAGTCAGGATGACTCAGCCTCATATAGAAACCTCACTCCATAATCTTCTGCAAAATTAGCACCAAATTCAGGCAGACCAGGTTTTTGTTGCTAGGGAGAACAGTTGCCAGAGAAACACACTAGAGGGTAAACACCAATAGATATATAAAAAGTATCAACGTCAATCACTCTGTATTTATTACTTTCACCTGCATTTCTAACCCATCTGTCATGGTCTATTATTATTACCCCCCTTTTATTTCTCATAAGACTCTCAGGCCCCACGAAGAATGCTAATAACAAAATTGTACATCTTAGTTAGCTTAGACTGCTATAACAAAGTACCATGTACTGGGTGTCTTAAACGACAGACATTTATTTCTCACCGTTCTGGAGGCTGAGAAGTTCAAGATCAAGGTGCTGGCAGATGTGGTTCCTGGTGAGGGTCCTCTTCCCAGTTTGCTGATGGCCTCCTTCTTGCTGTGTGCTTGCATGGCAGGGAGAGAGAGAGAGAAGCAAGTTCTCTGGTGTCTCTTAAGGGCACTAAAACTATTATGAGACCCCACCTTTATGATCTCATCTAAACATAATGACCTCCCAAAGGTTTCATCTTCATATACCATCATATTGGGGGTTAGGGCTTCGACACATGAATTTGGGGGGTCACAATTCATTGCATAGCATTGTACCTATTCAGCAGTATCCCTTTGAGAGTTATGTCCCAGCCCTGTGTCATGTTTTTATATGCAGAGGTTGACTTAGTCCTCATTATATAGCTGAGGGAACTGGGTCTAGTTCATTAACTACACTAAGGTTATAATCAGTAAGTTGTCACAGAGCTAGGATTTGAGCCCAGGCAGTCTGACTGTAAATCCCCAAATCCTAATTCCCTCCCTATATTGTCTCAACCACAGGAAAAATCACTTTGAAACCTGATTAACTGAGTTCAGGAGTTGTCACACTTTTATGGACTGGGTATAGAAGTACTCCAAACATTAATTAAACTGATTCTTTTGATAACTGCTTATAAGAAGATAAACCAGACAGACAATAAACGTTCACAATAGAAAGAGCTAAAAACAAAACTTTGGAGAATATGGACAGCCAGTTTGAAAGGAGGAATTTCTTGAATGCTGATCACATGAGACATGACTCGTCAGAAGCAACCACAGGTGTTAACTGATCAAACTGGCTAAGGATTTAAAAAGTTCCAGTGAGGGCCTAGGGAAGTGGCATTGTCCAACATGCTGGTAAATATGTATTTGCACTTCTTCTGAAGAGGAAATTTGAAAATAGGTATGTAAAGTTTCAAAAAAATTTATTCTTTTAACTAAATAAGTTAAACCTGGGTACTAATTCTAAGGAAGTCAAGATGTATGCAAAATTGTATGTACAAGGCTAGTCATTATATTACTTCAAAAATAGATTTATATATATTCTGATTATTAAAAACATGCTACTTATAAAAGAGTCAAGAAGACACAGCGATGTCCATAGAAATAAAAACAAAGACCTTAGGATTTTATCTCTTAGAACTTGCCATTGTTACAACTGGACCCCCCTACCCCTTAGTCATGTATATATATCTAATTTGAATTTTTATAACTCATTGGTTTTAAAAATGCACTTCTCTTACCTAGTTATTGATGCTCAAAATACAAATACATGCTTCCATCTTTTTTATTTTTGAGATGGAGTCTCACTCTTGTTGCCCAGGCTGGAGTGCAATGGTGTGATCTCAGCTCACCGCAACCTCTGCCTCCTGGGTTCAAGCAATTTTCCTGCCTCAGCCTCCCAAGTAGCTGGGATTACAGGCGTGCGCCACCATGCCTGGCTAATTTTCTGTATTTTTACTAGGGATGGGGTTTCTCCATGTTGGCCAGGCTGGTCTCAAACTCCCGACCTCAAGTGATCTGCCCACCTTGGCCTCCCAAAGTGCTGGGATTACAGGTGTGAGCCACCGTGCGTGGCCTTTTTTTTTTTTTTTTTTGAGAGGGAGTCTTGCTCTGTCACCCAGGCTGGAGTGCAATGGCGTGATCTCGGCTCACTGCAACCTCTGCCTCCCGGGTTCAAGCGAGTCTCCTGTCTCAGCCTCCTAAGTAGCTAGGATTACAGATGCACAACGCCACACCCGGCTAATTTTTTGTATTTTTAATAGAGACCGGGTTTCACCATGTTCCCTAGGGTGGTCTCGAACTTCTGAGCTCAGGCAATCCACCTGCCTTGGCCTCCCAAAGTGCTAGGATTACAGGTGTGAGCCACTGTGCCCAGCTGCTTGCATCATTTTATTTATTTTATTTATTTTTTTGAGACAGAGTTTCACTTTTGTTGCCCAGGCTGGAGTGCAATGGCACAATCTCGGCTCACCGCAACCTCTGCCTCTTGGGTTCAAGCAATTCTCCTGCCTCAGCCTCCCGAGTAGCTGGGATTACAGGCATGCGTCACCACCCCTGGCTAATTTTGTATTTTTAATAGAGATGGCGTTTCTCCATGTTGGTCAGGCTGGTCTCGAACTCCTGACCTCTGGTGATCCACCTGCCTCGGCCTCCCAAAGTGCTGGGATTACAGGTGTAAGCCTCCGCGCCCAGCCTGCTTGCATCATTTTAAATGAATGTCTAGTATTCTACTGTATGAATAGACCATAATTTAATCAGTGAACTCTTTTCTTTTTTTTTTTTTTTTTTGAGACAGTCTCACTCTGACACCCAGGCTGGAGCGCAGTGGTGCGATCTAGGCTCACTGCAACCTCCACCTCCCGGGTTCAAGCATTCTCCCTGCCTCAGCCTCCCGAGTAGCTGGGATTACAGGCGCCCAACACCACACCTGGCTAATTTTTGTATTTTTAGTAGAGATGGGGTTTCACCATCTTGGCCAGGCTGGTCTTGAACTCCTGAGCTCAGGCAATCTGCCCTACCTCAGCCTCCCAAAGTGCTGGGATTACAGGCGTGAGCCACCACGCCTGGCTAATTTTTGTATTTTTAGTAGAGATGGGGTTTCACCATGTTGGCCAGGCTAGTCTTGAACTACTGAGCTCAGGCAATCTGCCCTACCTCGGCCTCCCAAAGTGCTGAGATTACAGGTGTGAGCCACAGCGCCCAACCAGTGAATGCTTGATGAGCTTGTTTTTGCCTTGTTAAAATTGAAAACATGATTTATCATCTCACCCTCCTAAGTTTCATTAAAATCATACTTAAGAAATAAAAAGAGACATAAAGATATAAATAAGAGAATGGGAAAAGAAACATAAAGATCTAAACAAGAGAATGGGGAAAAGATCATTAGTAGATCAGAGATTTCAAAGAAATTTTGGAAGATAGCTGATGAAGGAATGATACTGATGCGGGGGGGAAGCAGAAGAAACTGCAGAGGGTGGAAGATATACCCCAGGAAAAAAACAATTCACACTACGGAATGCTAGAAGGGTCCAGAACCAGGAAATATCAGAGACAACTGAGTACAGGAATGAGATATAAGGCCAAGATTCCACATATGAAACAGTTTTCCTTCCCTTCCACCTCTGCATGCAGAATGCCTTACAGCCAAGAATCTACCCCCAGGGTGAAGGTGTGATAGGAGGAACACAGACCATCCAGAATTTCCCATACATTCACACATCACGCTGAAACGTTATTCTGGAAATAAATCTAAGGGCTCCGTAGAAAATCCCCTGCATTCTACCCATTACAGTAAAATGTCAGCATTCCTGTCCCATCATCTTGGCCATCAGAAAAGTTCCACACAAGAGAGCTCGTAATCCACTTATTACTTCATTAAAAAATATAAACAGTCAAGACCCCCCCACTCCAGACATTTGAGGAATACTTCCAATGTGAAATAAAGATGGGTGAGATCACGCCACTGCACTCCACCCTGGGCAACAGAGCAACACTTTGTCTCAGAAAAAAAAAAAAGAAAGAAAAGCTTAACGAACTGACATAATTTTTCTTAAATCCAGAAGAAAAGTGAGGTCACAGGGCAAACCACTATCCCCAAAATTGGAGAGGCAGACAGGTATGTACAAAAGTCACAAGCTACCCAGAGCAGAAATCTCCACAAAGGAACCAATGCCAGGGCAGAAAAACATGAACTGTAATTGAATTGCCAGAGGCAAGTGTAGACAAGTCTGAGAGTCAAAAATTCCAGAAGAAACCAGAAACAGGGGAGGGAGAACCCAAGCTTCTGTGAGTTTTACCTCCAAGAGTTTGACCAGGTTCTCACAATAAATATTAGAGAAAAATCTTGTCATGCTTCTAGCAGGAGAAGAAGAAAAAGAACCATTTCGAAACATGCCAGAGCATGCTGTTCTTAACAAAGTCTGCCCTCGGGAGAAATATTTAATCAGAGCCTAAATGGCTGGAGTTTTATCAGAGCCTAACTGGCCTGGGAGAAGGGAAAAATGCCCAACGCCAGCCCACTCTGGCCATCTTGTCCCACCTAAGGGGGAAGAAAAAAACTGAGAAGCACTTGTAAAGTTCACATTCCAGAAGCACATGCTCACTAAAAGACTGAGACCTAATCATAGGGTTCATAGAGGAATACTTTCCCTCTCCCCACACCTTACCCCCACATTACTAAAGGCCTATTTGCAGCAGTTCCTTTTCCCTGGTACATCCTGTCCAGCTATGAAGAAAAAATTACAAGGCAAACTAAAAGGCAAAACACACATTTTGAAGAGACAGAGCAAGCATCAGAACCAGACATGGCAGGAATGTTGGAATTATTAGACAAGAAATTTTAAACAACTTTGATTAATATACTAACAGCTTTAATGGGTAAAGTAGACAGCATGCAAGAACAGATGGTCAGTGTAAACAGAGAGATGGAAATCCTAAGAAAGAACCAAAAAGACGCTGGGAGCAGTGGCTTACACCTATAATCCTAACACTTTGGGAGGCCGAAGTGGGGCAGATTGCCTGAGCTCAGGAGTTCGAGACCAGCCTGGGCAACATGGCGAAACCCTGTCTCTACTAAAAATACAAAAAAATTAGCAGGGGGTGGTGGTGCGTGCCTGTAGTCCCAGCTTCTTGTGAGGCTGAGGCACAAGAATCTCTTGAACCCAGACCCAGGAAACAGAGGTTGCAGTGAGCCGAGATCATGCCACTGCATTCCAGCCTGGGTAACAGTGAGGCTCTATCTCCAAAATAAATAAATAAACAAAATAAAATAAAAACAAAAAAGAACCAAAAAAAATGCAAGAGATAAAAAACACTGTGAATAGAAAATGAAGAATGTCTTTGATGGGCTAATAGACTGGACATGGTGAGGAAAGATATGATATATGATGATATATCAACAGAAACCTTTTTTTTCTTTTTTTTTTTTTTTTTTGAGATGGAGTCTCACTTCATTGCCTGGGCTGGAGTGAAGTGGCGTGATCTCAGCTCACTGCAACCTCCACCTCCCAGGTTCAAGCAATTCTCCTGCTTCAGCTTCCCAAGTAGCTGGGACTACAGGCGCATGATGCCACGCCCGGCTAATTTTTTGTATTTTTAGTAGAGATGGGGTTTCACCATGTTGCCCAGGCTGGGACTACAGGCATACACCACCACACCCGGTTAATTTTTTGTATTTTAGTAGAGACGGGATTTCACCGTGTTGCCCAGGCTGGTCTTGAACTCCTGAGCTCAGGCAATCCACCTGCCTTGGCCTCTCAAAGTGTTGGGATTACAGGTATAAACCACCATGTCCAGCCAATAGGAAGCTTTCAAACTGGCAATAAAAGAGAACAAAGACAAAAAAAAAACAAACAAACAGAAGAGACTATCCAAAAACTATGGAACAACTACAGAAGATATAACATATGCATATTATGAATACCAGAAGGAGAGAAAAGAAAGGAATAGAATAAATTATTCATATTGTTTGAAAGAATAATGACTTGAGAGTTTCTCCAAATTAATGTCAGACACCAAACTACAGATCCAGGAAGCTCAGAGAACACTAAGCAGATAAATATAAAAAACAAAAACAGAAAACTGCAACCAGGCATATAATTTTCAAACTACAGAAAATCAAAGATAAAGAAAAAAATCCCGAAAGAAACTAGAGGGGGCCAGGTGCAGTAGCTCACACCTGTAATCTTAGCACTTTGGGAGGCCAAGGCGGGTGGATCATCTGAGGTCAGGAGTTCAAGACCAGCCTGGCCAACATGTTGAAACCCCGTCTCTATTAAAAATACAAAAAATGAGCCAGGCATGGTGGCAGGCACCTGTAATCCAAACTACCTAGGAGGCTGAGGCAGGAGAATCGCTTGAACCTGGGAGGTGGAGGTTGCAGTGAGCCAAGACTGCGCCACCGCCCTCTAGCCTGGGCGACAGAGTAAGACTCCATCTCAAAAAAAAAAAAAAAAAAAAAAAAGGCCGGGCACAGTGGCTCACACCTGTAATCCCAGCACTTTGGGAGGCCGAGACGGGCGGATCACGAGGTCAGGAGATCAAGACCATCCTATCCCAGCTAACATGGTGAAACCCTGCCTCTACTGAAAATACAAAAAAAAAAGTAGCCAGGCGTGGTGGTGGGCACCTGTAGTCCCAACTACTCCGGAGGCTGAGGCAGGAGAATGGCGTGAACCCGGGAGGCGGAACTTGCAGTAAGCTGAGATCGTGCCACTGCACTCCAGCCTGCGCGACAGAGAGAGACTCTGTCTCAAAAAAAAAAAAAAAAAAGAATTCTTTAGAGGTTGGGCATGGTGGCTCACGCCTGTAATCCCAACACTTTGGGAGGCCAACTTGGGCAGATCACCATAGGTCAAGAATTCAAGACCGGCCTGGCCAACATGGTGAAACCCCGTCTCTACTAAAAATACAAAAAAAATTAGCCAGGTGTTGTGGCACATGCCTGTAATCCCAGCTACTCAGGAGGCTGAGGCAGGAGAATTGCTTGAACCTTGGAGGTGGAGGTTCCAGTATGCTGAAATCGTGCCACTGCACTACAGCCTGGGTGACAGAGAGAGACTCCATCTCAAAAAAAAAAAAATTATTTAGAGAGAAGGAAAATAACACAGGTCAGAAACTAGGATCCACATAAAGAAAGAGCACCAAAGAAGTAGTAAGTGAAAGTAAAATAAAAAGTTTTTCTTATTTTTAATTGATCTAACAGATAATAGTTTGTGCAAAATAATATTAACAAATATATTTGCTTATGTGTGCTTATATATGTATGGTTATGTATGCTTACATATTGTAAGTGATATAAATGACAGCAATGATACAAGGATGGGAAGGAAGAATTAGGATTATTTCATTATTATAAGGAACACTGTTCAAGAAATGGTATAGTGTTATTTGAAATTGGGCTTGGATTAGCTGTAAATGTACATTGCAAACTCTAGGGCGACTCCTTTAAAAAGTAAAAAAAGTCACGCCTGTAATCCCAGCACTTTGGGAGGCCGAGGTGGGCGGCTCACGAGGTCAGGAGATTGAGACTATCCTGGCTAACATGGTGAAACCCCATCTCTACTAAAAATACAAAAAATTAGCCAGGTGTGGTGGTGGGCACCTGCAGTCCCAGCTACTCAGGAGGCTGAGGCAGGAGAATGGCATGAACCCGGTAGACGGAGCTTGCAGTGAGCTGAGATCGCGCCGCTGAACTCCAGCCTGGGTGACAGAGCGAGACTCCGTCTCAAAAAAAAAAAAAAAAGGTAAAAAAAGAAGTATAAGTGACATGGTAACAAGTGAATAAAAATGGGATTCCATACAAGGCTCAGTTAAAGCCACAAAAGGGGCCGGGCATGGTGGTTCACGCCCATAATCCCAGCACTTTGGGAGGCCAAGGCAGGTGGATCATCTGAGGTCAGGAGTTTGAGACTAATCTGGCCAACATGATGAAACCCTGTCTCCACTAAACAATACAAAAATTAGCCGGGTGTTATGGTGTGTGCCTGTAGTCCCAGCTACTTGGGAGGCTGAGGCAGGAGAATCACTTGAACCTGGGAGGTGGAGATTGCGGTGAGCCAAGATTGGGCCACTGCACTCCAGCCTGGGTGACAGAGCAAGACTCTGTCTCAAAAAAAAAAAAAAAAAAAAAAAAAAAAAGCCACGAAAGGCAGAAAAAAAGTAGAAGACAAAAATAGTTATAAAGAACAAGGGCAGCCAGGCATGGTGGCTCACACCTATAATCCCAGCACTTTGGGAGGCCGAGGCGGGTGGATCACCTGAGGTCAGGAGTTTGAGACCAGCTTGGACAACATGGCGAAACCCCATCTCTACTAAAAATACAAAAATTAGCCAGGCGTGGTGGTGCGTGCCTGTAATCCCAGCTATTCAGGAGGCTGAGACAGGAGAATTGCTTGAACCCAGGAGGTGGCGGTTGCAGTGAGCCAAGATCATGTCACTGCCTGCAGTCTGGGCGTCAGAGCTAGACTCCATCTCAAAAAAAAAAAAAAGAACAAGGGCAACAAATAGAAAACAGTAACAAATATGATAGATATTAATTCAACTATATCACTGTGAGGCCGGACATGGTGGCTCATGCCTGTAATCTCAGCACTTTGGGAGGCTAAGGCAAGTGTATCACTTGAGCCCAGGAGTTTGAGACCAGCCTGGACCACATGGCAAAACCCTGTCTCTACTAAATAAATACAAAAAATTAGTGGGGCTTAGTGTGCCTGTAGTCCCAGCTATTTGGGAGGCTGAGGTGGCAGAAATCACCTGAGCCCAGGAAGTCAAGGGTACAGGGAGCCAAGATCATGTCATTGCACTCCAGCCTGGGCAATGGGAGTGAGACACTGTCTCAAAAAAGAATAATAATAATCACGTTGAATATCAGTGGTTTAAATGCACCTAAAAGACAAAGATTGTCAGAGTAAATTAAAAAAAAAAACAAGATCCAACTATACATTGTGAACAAAATAACACACTTTAAAGACAAATACAGATTAAGAGGAAATGTGTAAAAAAGAGAAAGATATACCATGTTAACACTAATCAAAAGAAAGCAGTGGGATGTTCAGGCAGTCCATGTCAAGTAAAATAAATAAATAAATAAATAAAAGAAAGAGGCCGGGCATGGTGGCTCACGCCTGTAATCCCAGCACTTTGGGAGGCCGAGGCGGGCAGATCACGAGGTCAGGAGATCGAGACCATCCTGGCTAACACAGTGAAACCCCGTCTCTGCTAAACAAAATACAAAAAATTAGCCGGGCGTGGTGGCAGGCGCCTGTAGTCCCAGCTGCTCGGGAGGCTGAGGCAGGAGAATGGCGTGAACCTGGGAGGCGGAGCTTGCAGTGAGCCAGATCGTGCCACTGCACTCCAGCCTGGGTGACAGAGCGAGACTCCGTCTCAAAAAAGAAAGAAGGGGGGCGGGGAGAGAGAGAGAGAGAGAGAAAGAAAGCAGGAATAGCTATATTAATTTCAGACAGAGCAGAATTCAATGAAGGAAAAGTTATCAGGGATAGGCCGGCCACAGTGGGTCAGGCCTGTAATCTCAGCACTTTGGGAAGACAAGGCAGGTGAGTCACTTGAGCTCAGGAGTTCAAGACCAGCCTGGGCAACATGGTAAAACCCCATCTCTAACAAAAATACAAAAATTAGCCGAGCATGGTGGCGCATGCCTGTGGTGCCAGCTACTCGGGAGGCTGAGGTAGGGGGATCACCAGACCCCAGAAGTCAAGGCTGTAATGAGCCATGAGCTGTGATTGCACCACTGCATTCCAGCCTGAGCAATAGAGTAAGACACTGTCAAAAAAAAAAAAAAAAAGAGTTATCAGGGATAAAGAGAAGCATTATGTAATGATTAAGAAGTTATTTCTCCAAGAAGACATAACAGTCCTTAAAGTGTATGTGACTAGCAACATAATATCAAAATATGTGAGGTAAAAACTGATAGAACTGCAAAGAAAAACAGATGAATCCATTGTCATAGTTGGAGATTTCAACATATTGCTATCAGAAATAAACAGATCCAGCACAAAGAAAATCAGTAAAGACACAGTTGAACTCAACAACACCATCAATCAACTGAATAATATTGACATCTGTAGACGACTTCATTTAACAACAGCAAAATACACATTTTTCTTAAGCTCATAGGGAACATTCACTAGGAGAGACTACATTTTGGGCCATAAAATACACTTTAACCCACTTAGGAGAATAGAAATTATACAATGCCTGCTCTCAGACAACAATGGAATTTAACTAGAAATCAATAATGGAAAAATAACCTAGAAATCCCAAAATATTTGGAGATTAAACAATATACTTCTAATTTACATATGAGCCAAAGAAGAAATTTCAAGAGAAATTTAAAAATATTTTGAATTAAATGAAAGTGAAAATATAATCAAAATTTGTGGGAAGCAGTTAAAACAGTGATTAGAGGGAAATTAACACCATTGAATGCATATATTAGAAAAAATGAAAGATCTAAAATCAATTTTAGCTTTCACCTTAGGAAAACAGAAAAAGAAGAGTTAATTAAATACAAAGTAAGTAGAAGAAAACAAATAATAAAAATTAGAGCAGAAATCAATGAAATTTAAAACAGAAAATAGAGAAAATCATTGAAACCAAAAAGCTTGTTCTTGAAAAAGAGCAATAAAAGCAAAACACTTCTAGTAATCTAACTATAAAAACAATTGAGAAGGCATAAATTACTAATATTAGAAATGAAAGAGGGGAACATCACTACAGATCCCATGAAGATTAAAAGGGTGATAAAAACTCTATGCCCAAAAACAAAAACAAGAAAAAAACTCTACGCTCATAAATTTGATAGCCTAAATGAAATGGACCAATTTCTTGAAAGATACGATCTGGCAAAACTCACACAAGAAGAAACAATCTGAATAGGCCTATATCTATTTTTTAAATGGAATCAATAATTGATAACTTTCAGAAACAGAAAGTACCAGGTCCAGATGGTCTAACTGGTGAATTCTATGAAACATTTAAGGAAGAAATTATGCAAATTATCTATAGTCTCTTTCAAAAGATAGAAGTAGAGAGAATCTTTCGTAACTAATTTTTTTTTTTTTTGAGATGGATTTTCGCTCGTCACCCAGGTTGGAGTGCAACGGTGCCATCTCAGCTCACTGCAACCTCCACCTCCTGTGATCAAGCGATTCTCCTGCCTCAGCCTCCCAAGTAGCTGGAACTACAGGCACCTGTCACCACGCCCGGCTAATTTTTGTATTTTTAGTAGAGGCGGAGTCTCGCCATGTTGGCCAGGCTGGGCTCAAACTCCTGACCTCAGCTGATCCGCCCACCTCGGCCTCCCAAGGGGCTGGGACTACAGGCGTGAGCCACCACGCCCGGCCCCTACCCATCCTTTAAAGGGATACTCCGAATGTCTATGAACACTCAGATAAAACTGAACTAAATTTGAATCCACTTGTACTACATTTATTTGTCAACTCTTCGTTTGTCTACTTCTTGAGAACTTTAACAGCTGTACTGGGTTGGTTAGTGTCGCCCCCAAAATTCATGTCCTTCCTGGAACCTCAAAATGTGACCTTATTTGGAAAGAGTGTCATTGCAGATGTGATTAGTCATGATCAGGTCATACTGGAGTAAGGTGAGCCTTTTACCTAACAGGACTGGTGTCCTTATAAAACACACAGAGACAGAGACACACAGGGAGTATACCATTTGATAACAGAGGAAGAGAATGGAGTAATGCAGCTACAAGCGAAAGTACACCAATGATTGCTGGCTCCCACTAGAAGCTAGGAAGAGGCAGGAAGGATTCTATCCAGAGTCTCAGAAGAAGCAAGACCCCACTGACATCTTGATTTCTGACTTCCAGACTCCAGAAAGCGAGAAAATATATCTGTTGTTTTAAGCTATCCAGTGTGAGGTACTTGGTTATGGCAGCTTCAGAAAACTAATACAACAGCAATTTCAATTTCTACTTTATCTTCCTAGCCCCAAGAGTACCATGTGGCTATTAGAGTACAGGATTATGTAGGCTCTCAAATCCCTTCCATGGTAAAAGAATGATTGGGCTTCCAGCAGTGGCCAAGAATTGCCAGACGCTTATGAGCGCCTGCTGCGAGATGCTTGTACAGTGAATGCTCAATAAAGTGGTGGCCATTATAACCGCAAGCAATGAGACTACATAAATAGTAAGAAACGAAATAGAACAAGGGGCAGCGGGAGCAAAGAGAGAAACAAGGGCAGCTGAGGAAGGAAGCCTCAATTCCCCGGAGGACATCCGCGGGCGGAGGAAATGTGAATCTGCAAGTCGTTCTCCCAGACCCCGCTTAACGATTCCCGGCCCTTTCTCCACTCCCTACAGCCCTCGGACCCAGCAACAACCGGATCCTGTGCAGGTCTTCCCTGAGTCCAACGCGATTCTCCTGGATAACGTCAACCAGCTGAGCGATTCTGAGCCTGCGCGAAGCTCCTCGGCGCTTCCAGTAATGTCACGCTGGTGCGTGGGGCGGGACTTCCTCTCACGCGCAGGAAACGAGAAGGGCTTTTCCGCCGGAAAGAGAGTGGATTTACTAGGAAGGTGGGACGTTGGAGGGGTGGCCGCATGGAGTGAGTACTGTCTCTGGCCACCGAGCAGAGCCAGTGACAGCAGCGTCCTGGTAGGCAGGCAGGCGTATCAGGTTTCAGAGGATGCGGCTGGGAACGGGAGTAGAGGTGAGGGGTCGTTGCATCTGTCGCGGTGTGTATCTTTTGGGGGTTCAGCGCCACCAGCGACTTGGGCCTCATTCATCGCGCTTACATTTCTCCACCTCATTTGAAGAACGAGCTTCGTAGCCCACGGAGCTGAGGTTAGTATAAATGTGGAAGGGAGAAGTATGCACTCACCAGACTAAAGTTTACAGTTTTCACATAGGTTGTGCTGTTCTGTGTCCCATAAGGGCCTGCGAGAACCCAGACATTCTGAATCGGTGACGCCTGCTGGAGGCAGCAACACCTGTTGCATTAATTTTAGAACACACACACACGGAGTTGGTAATTCTTAAGCTTCCTGAATCTGCTGGCGGTCATTTGGTGTCAGAAGCAGAGCAAAGCCATCTTGGTCATCTCCCTCCTTTTAGCTTAAACCGAAGCATGATGGGGGAGATAGGCCGAAAGTTATACAGCTTGTTAATAACAGAGCCGAGAGTGAAAGCGCGATTTCTTCATTTTTAGCCCGGAATTATTTGTTGTACACCATACTGTTTCTTTGCATTGCTAGACAATTCGTCTTTTTTTACGAGGTTGACGGGGAGTTGCAAGGAGGAGTGAAAAGGGTGGTAATGTACATCTACATACAGTATAAATCCATGAAAGGCAAAATCCGTGTGTGTTAGGAGTTAGAACTGTGTCAGTCATCTACATCTTCCATAGTTTGTAGATGGAGATGAGTCTGTCACGTCGCTCTGTCATTTCCCTTTTAGCAACAGATGTGTAGTAACAATATGTGAAGAAGGAACTTTCATTGCCTGTTACATACATTTACACAGAGCGGCCTGGGGTTCACTGAGCAAGCTATGTGCTCACCCTAGAAAACTGATTCTGTAGAGTGCACTGCAGTCAAACCTCAGCTGTTTTAAGTAATCTTACATTTGGTGCTTGTGTGGCTTAAGTGTCTTGTGCATTATTGCAGTCATCTCTCTCATGTTATGAAATGGAAATGTGTTGTAGGAAAGTGGCAAGCCTGTGAAGAAAGTAAGTGAGCCTGAGGCCCAGAAAACCATACATTAGCAAATACTGAAAAACTGTTCACATCACATAGGGGGTATCTGAAGTACTGAGGAGCTCATTTAACCGGATGTTCATTGTGGGGAAGCCATGAATAGCCTCCCTCTCCTGGGTTCAAGCGATTTTCCTGCCTCAGCCTCCCGAGTAGCTGTGATTACAGGTCCATGCCACCATGCTCGGCTAATTTTTGTATTTTTAGTAGAGACAGGGGTCTCACCATGTTGGCCAGGCTGATCTCGAACTCCTGACCTCAGGTGATCCTCCCACCTTGGCCTCCCAAAGTGCTGGGATTACAGGTGTGAGCCACCGTGCCTGGCTCCTATATAAACAATTTTCAAACTTGTTGGTCTCAAGAGCCACTTAACAGTTATTGAAGACTCCAAAGAGCTTTTGTTCATATGAAAATAGTTTTGACTTCACTAACCCCCAGAAGGGCTTTCAGAAGCCCCCACAGAAACCAACTTTTAAGAACTACTTTATGCAGATGTTTCAAAGACATTTTAGATTATGTAGAGGAATGATTGCTGTTGTGATTGTGACATAAGCAGAAGTATCAACTTAAAAATGCAACAACAAGCACAGTAGCTTGTATTTCCAGTAGCTGTATAATTCCAGGCACAGAGAACACAAACAGATGTCCATTTTTAATTCTTTTCTTGTTTTTTTTGAGACAGGACCTCACTGTCACCCAGGCTGGAGTGCAGTGGTGCAATCACAGCTCACTGGCAGCCTCGACCTCCTGAGCTCAAGAGCTCCTCCACCTCAGCCTCCTGAGTAGCTGGGGCCACAGGTGTGTGCTACCACCCTGGCTAATTAAAAAAAAAAATGTTTTGTAGAGACAGTGTCTCTCTGTGTTGCTCAGACTGGTCTCAAACTCCTGAGCTCAAGCCATCCTCCCACCTTGGCCTCCTGAAGTGTTGGAATTACAGGCGTCAGCCACTGTGCCTGGCCTGTGATATTTTTCTATGCTTGGAAAGTTTATTAATCAGCTAGGATACTTCTCTACAAAAATACACATATATAACTTGAGATTTAAACTTTTCTCAGCCAGCTGTGGTGGTTCACACCTGTAATCTCAGCACTTTGGGAGGACAAGGTGGGTGGATCACTTGCGCTCAGGAGTTTGAGACCAGCCTGGGGCAACAGGGCAAAACCCCATCTCTACAAAACTGCACCCAGCTATTTTGTATTATTTTTATCTCGTTGCTTTTTTTTTTTTTCTTTTTCTTTCTTTCTTTTTTTTTTTTAGTGGTTTCAGGCAGTGGTTCAGACCAGCTGCTAGAGAATCATGGGCTAAGAAGAGAAGACTACCAATTTAGTAGATTTGGACATGGACAAGCCACAGGCAGTTTCTCTTCTCACTCTCTTGGCCAGTCATCTCTTGCTCACCTTCCCCTGCCAGTAGCCAGTAGCATGTGACAGCCTCTATATTCCATCTCCCTTTTCTCCCTCTTCCAGAACTAAGATGAGTTTTCAATGGATAACTGTACAGAAACATACCCACTGCTGAGTTTATAATAAATAGGTAAATGGTGTTTAAAATGCCTTCTGTAGGAATCCTTGGTAGATAGTTATATGTGGTTGTTTTTTGGGAAGTTGGCTTGAGGTTCTTTGAAGGGCTGGGAACGTGTATTTCTTTTGCGTGTGCCTGTGTGTGTCAAAATTTTATATGTTCATCAGTGCTCTACACGTTCAGAGAAACGTTTCCAATAACGAACCATAGAATGATCCCTGGAGCATAGGATCCCACTGTTTGAAAATTCTAGCCATCGATCACTTTATAAGAAAAGGATGAAATTTCAAACAAGGAGTTTGTTTATCTGATTTCCACCCTACAGATAATATATAAATTTGGCCAAAGTTGTTTGGGGAAGAGGGGCTGTTGTTAGGTACTGAGCTATAATACTTTGTTGCTTTGTATCACTTTTAAAAGTGACTTTTAAAGATACTTGACATTTGAAAAGGAATCACCTTTGATCTTTCTAAGTCCCTAATTTGACATTACCTTTATAGCATATAATTTATTCCATAAAGTCTTAGATCCTGAAACTAGTGGAAAGCCAAATACTCATGTTGTGCTATAAATATAGGATTGACAGTTAAGCTTACTCAGTAGTCAAGGGGGCGGCTTTCACTCACCAGCCTCCAGGGCATATGAACCAAATTTATGATTCAGAACATTTAAAATATACATTTTGAAGATCTTTGGGCTCTCTTAAGTATAGTCTAACTATAATAAATATTAAACATGTCAAAGGTCTCTTGCAGTGTTGGGAAGAGCATTCTAAACCACATACATCTTTCCCATCCCCAGATTGTTCTGTGTCCCCTCCCACTCTTCCCAGATTAGAAGTCACCATGGAGCACTATTAGTAATGGGACTCTGTATCAGATCTTTAAGGTGTATTGGGACAGAAGAAAGGTTGATATTTTGGGGTTGTTTGTTTTTTTTGAGACGGAGTTTTCACTCTTGTTGCCCAGGCTGGAGTGCTATGGCGTGATCTTGGCTCACTACAATCTCCGCCTCCCTGGTTCAAGCAATTCTCCTGCCTCAGCCTCCTGAGTAGCTGGGATTACATGCGCCCACCACCATGCCCGGCTAATTTTTGTATTTTTAGTAGAGACGGGGTTTCATCATGTTGGCTAGGCTGGTCTCGAACTCCTGACCTCAGGTGATCTGCCTGTCTTGGCCTCCCAAAATGTTGGGATTACAGGTGTGAGCCACCATGCCCAGCAGGTTCATATTTTTAATGTTTCCTTCTACTCCCCAAGCACACACAAATTTGAAAGCTGCTTTGCTTTCTAATAAAGAGGCTTTTCCTTTGATTTTGGAAGATAATTTGATGTCTCTTTTCTCTTTGCAGGTATATGAGCTCCCTGAAAGCACAAAGCAGTTATTTCCATCTTCAGATCATTCAGAGATTATGAAGGCACAAACCCTGCCTTCAATTTGCTTATAGTCAAGTGGAGCAGACACAAGTCAATGATTGCAGTATAGCCACTGAAGTAATCTAAAAGAGGTGAGTGTGGCACTTAACCTCTCCTGGGAGGGGGAGGAATAAGGCAGTGTTTCCAAGAGGTGATTTTGGAGCTATACAGGCATTAGGTAGACAAGGAAGGGGAGGTCCATTCTGGGTGCCTAGGACTCTGTGGCTGATTTATAAATCGTAAATGGTACAAAAAACAGTGTTGAGTATCTTTTACCTTTCTCCAGAGTACTGTTCTTACTTTTGGATAGTGCTTCTTGTTTTTTCCTTCCCTCTCCCTGTCCCTGTCACCTTTAAATTAAATGAATGTTTGGAAGGAAGTAGGAGGGTAAGAATCTTTCTGGGTGGCAGAATAATAGATGGGTCTACCAAGAGCGATGTATATACCCAGTAAAGCCATCTCTAAAACTGTGTTTCTGCATTGTTACAGTGCATAGTTGGGAAATCTCAGTTTTGTTGGCTGTGTACTTTCCCAGTGAATGGATTATATTCCTTTCTGCGAGCCAGTCTGTTTGAATTTAAGGGCATCTCTTAAATTCCTTTCAAGCAAGAGACCTAACATTTATACTTAGGAATGAGAGTAGTAGAGACAGCAAGATTAGAATCCAAGTTCATATACCAAAACATTTTTATTTGCTATGTCTGAGTGACTACATGTTGTTTGAATCAACTGCAGGCTAATTTGTAACATTTCAAATAAATGATAGTTTAATTCCTCCAGGATTTGAGTAAGGTGAAAATAGAGCTAAAAACCATGATTCTGTCACAGTCTGGGAAAATGAAAAAGCAATCAATTAGTGAGTTGGGCTTAATTTTTTTTTTTTTTTTTTCTGGAACTGGTGATAGCAGAAAACAAGCAGTAAAGTAGTCAGACATGATATACTTGACAAGAACCACCACCTGTTCAGTAGCAACTCTAAAATAAGTACTAACTTAGGGGCAGTTGTTGTGCCCAGGTCATAGTCATACTCCTTCCAGGAGACTTCCTGATGACAGAAAAGATGCTGACCAGCTGGGGTCTTCTTTCCAAATAACTTTTCTCTTGCATTTAGATTAATTAACCATTGGTTACAGTGAAACAAGCATATGTACAGAGTTAATCTCCTATAGCTTGAAGTTATACATGATCTTTATTTGAGTATCTTGACTTGTTAAAGGACAGTGTTTTAAAAGCTGGATTTGGTTATGTTCTTCTGGAGACTAAGAAAATAGAGTCCTTGAAATCAAGCTGACTCTGCTTTTAGCCTCCTAAATGAAAAGGTAGATAGAACAGGTCTTGTTTGCAAAATAAATTCAAGACCTACTTATCTACCAACAGCAATTACACGCTTTCCATTGTCTTCCTATAGAAAATAGGAGTAGTACACTTATAGATGAGAAAACTGGAGAAAGACATAGTGAACATGTGAGAATCTTGCTCTACTAATTGATAGGAAGGTGACTAGAAATTGGCGAAGTTTTCTTGGTAAGTTGAGGAGAGGACTTTTCTTATAGTGCAGTCTGGTAGCTGAACCGCCTTGCATCAAGACCAATGTAGTCTTATTTACAGAATGCCACATCACAGTGAATTGTGCTGTGGACAGCTTCCAGTGTGTGAGTTGTGGAAGATGATGATTTTAACAGATTTTGGAGGATGAGAAGTATTAAGAAGAAGGCCCCACTGTCCATGCATTTGCTCTGCTTTTTACTTTTGACCAAGTATACACTTCAGAAATATCTTATTGGATGTATACAAAGTGATTGTGTGTCATTTGAACCAGCAGGAAGTAATTTATTAAACACACTTTTCTAAATAAAAGTCATTTAATTTTATCAGAAATCAGTGTCATTTTAGATTGCAAGTCTCAAACCAACTTTCCAATTCTGACTTGTAAGGGTGCCTTAAATCCTGAATACTGTACTCTGTATTACTAAACCCATGTTAGTTTACGCCAAGATTCTGTGGTGGTTTTACATATTCTTTTTCCCCTTTGTTAAGGTGGGGAGGCCACAGCTTATGTGAATGACTTTCTCAGGAGTTATAAAGTGATACAGGTAAAGCTAAGAAAAGAACAGATTTTGATAACTTTTGTTTTAACTGTCCAGTGTTAGGGATTGTGGCTACAGTGGTCTAATTTTTAAAAACTCTTTTTTTTGCTTTGTTTTTTAACAGACTTATCAGCAGGTTGCAGGTGAACATGGCCTTGAGGTAAATCTGTCCCTTGCTGAATACAGTTTCAGTAGATTGTTTATAGTAGTTTCAGGAATTGAGATTTTTTACAAAAATACAAAAGTTTTGCTTGGTTCTGTTCTAGATGTTTTCTTCTAAATAAATGAGAAAGATGTTTCAACAAAGGCTCTTTATGCTGAATAATTGTGATGCTTGAAGTTGCTAATCTGCTTTAAGTGGATTTTAAATGTCAGGCAATTCTAGACAGTTTTTTCTTGGTCAAATAAAAATTTAATTAAAACTTTATACGTGTTGAGTTTTTAATCCATTTATCCGTGTTCATACTAACGTGTAGTATTCCATAAAGCCTATTAGAACCCTGAATTCAAACTTGCCTTCTCTGTGATATCCTGTTTCTTACTTGGTAGTTTCTATTTCAGTAGCTGAGAACTTTTTTTTTTTTTTTTTTTGAGATGGAGTCTTGATCTGTGAGCCATCTCGGCTCACTGCAAGCTCCACCTCCCGGGTTCACGCCATTCTCCTGCCTCAGCCTCCCGAGTAGCTGGGACTACAGGCGCCCGCCACCAGTCCCGGCTAATTTTTTTGTATTTTTAGTAGAGACGGGGTTTCACCGTATTAGCCAGGATGGTCTCGATCTCCTGACCTTGTGATCCATCCACCTTGGCCCCCCAAAGTGCTGGGATTACAGGCGTGAGCCACCGCGCCCGGCCGAGAACATTTTTAAATATACATGATATGTATCTTTTAATTGTTTATAACTGGAACTATTTCTGTGCTTACATCTGCTGTCCCTTGTTTCAGAGTAGACAGTCCAGCTTGGCAGGATAGGTGTGTGTGTGTATAACGAGTTATTAAATTGTCAGTGTGAATTGTTAATTCAGGAATCTGAGCTGCCATTTATACGAGTAGGCAGAGTTTAGTAGGAGATGAGAGTCTTTCAGTTTGTCAGACTTTGCAGGTGCTGGAAAACATCAGAGGTTTTTTGTTTGTTTGTTTGTTTGTTTTTGAGACAGAGTTGCGCTCTTGTTGCCAAGGCTGGAGTGCAGTGGCACAATCTCGGCTCACTGCAGCCTCTGCCCCCGGGTTCAAGCAATTCTCCTGCCTCAGCCTCCTGAGTAGCTGGGATTACAGGCGCCCACCACCATGCCCGGCTAATTTTTTGTATTTTTAGTAGAGACGGGGTTTCGCCAGAAAAAAGAAAAGTGGACTTTTTTTTTTTAAACACAAAACCTTAAATGATGAGATTAGGGCATATCTGGGTTTAGAGGCATCTGTGGGACATGATACTGAATTGTAATTGCTTCACAAATGGAATTATTCTGCAGCTTCACTCACAAGCTTTGAAAATGCTGTGTGTGCAGAGCTTAAGTGGCAACTGGAAACTTGAACAGGAGAACCAGGAATGTAGCTGATGGAGTTGGGCATTGAGCTCACAGAATGGCCTGGGGGCAGTGAGGCAGGATGCCTGAAAGCTGCCTAGCTAGAGATCAGTCTTCCTTCCCGTGCTCAGCTTTGCCCTTTGGTGGGCTGTTAATTTCTTTTAAAAAATTGTTGTGCATTTGCTAATATGCCACAGATGCCCTTCTGTTCTTTCACGCTGCCTCCATTCTAGGTTTTTTCCCATTTCTTGGCCATAGGTCCTTTGCTGTAGTTTTGAAAGAGCCCTGCCATCCTTCACATGGAGAGCAGTAAGAGGCCAAAGAGCAGTGGCTGAAGAAGATACTAATTTATTCAACAAATACTTGGTGACAGCTGTTATGTGTTAGCCCTTGGTGATCTAGCAATGAACAAAACAGGCACTGTCCCTCCCTTCATGGAATTAGGCATTATAGAGGTAATTTCAAAATTAGAGAGTGGTGCATACTGTGTAGGAGTGGAACAGGGAATACCCTGTATGCAGAGTACACAGTGGAAGGGACCTCACCACAGTGCTGCTCACTATTGGGAAAACGAGGGTAGAAGACATTGAGAAGGGCACACAGCTTCCCTGGTTCTCTACAGACAGCCTCTCGCCTTCTCAAGTGTATTCTTGGCTGACTCATGAAATGCATGGGTGTACTGGTGCTGCTGGAGCCATTAAGACTACCCTCGTCCTCTCCCAAGCTCTCTAGGTCTTGGAAACTCAAGATATTTTGCATATACACGAATATAGTTTGACAGCTTCAAAGACTTTTGAGTTCGTTTAGTCTGAGCCTTTATTTTACAGCTGGGCCTGGTAATGACTATCCTAGCAGCACACAGGTAGCAGCACACAGGACTAGAATCCAGGTTGGGTGAAATGAGCGCTAGCACACCAGTCAGATAATAGCATGAGCCATAAATTGTGCTGGGCACATGGTGCTTAAGTGCCAGGTTCAGCCAGCTAAGGCGTGAGCAGCTGCGAGAGGGGTAGGCATGGAAGACAGGAAACTGGACATCAGAATGTTCTAATAGAAAGTGACATGTTTTGGCATTGAAATGCCATTATGTACCTTTAGACACCCAGGCTTTTCCAAAGAAAAACAGGGATGCACAAATTCGTGAAGCTGACAACTAAATGTATATAGATGCTGAGAAAGGTCCACATTGAAAAATGACAACTTTGAATGTTCATAGTCTAATAGAATGCCAATCTTCTTTGGTGGAACTGTTATTCTTATATCTGGAGTTGTTCTGTTGTGCAGAAATTCATACTTATGCCTGAAAATTAAATTTGACATAATAAAGTTTCAGTAATTCTATAGATTGACTATTTATAGAACATTTCATACTAATTTTATTCATAGTCCTATGATTTTGCTATTTTCTAGTATTAAATGACTACCAAGGTGACAAGCCATTTCTAAAACTATACTCTCTAAACTATCTCTTTTCTAAAATTTGTCCTAAGAAACATTTTCTTTTTTTTTTTTAGATGGAGTCTTGCTCTGTCACCCAGGCTGGAGTGCAGTGGTGCAATCTCGGCTCACTGCAACCTCAGCCTCCTGGGTTCAAGCAATTCTCCCACCTTAGCCTCCTGAGTAGCTGGGATTACAGGCGTGCACCACCAAGCCCGGCTAATTTTTGTATTTTTAGTAGAGACAGGGTTTCACTGTGTTGCCCAGGCTGGTCTCGAACTCCTGAGCTCAGGCAGTCCACTTGCCTTGGCCTCCCAAAGTGCTGGGATTACAAGTGTGAGCCACTGCTTCTGGCCGAAACATTTTTCAAACATCATTTTTTCTCTAGCAACCTCTTAACCTAAGAAATTTACCTATAGCATCCTGAACTCTCTTTCATCTAAACTAGCATAGGAATAGAACATGTTTTTAAAATTTGGATTAGACATTTGAAACAGGGAACCTTGTGATTTTCCATGTGATAAAATGGGCTTCTTGGTATAAGCTCTTCTATGCACAGTTACTCCAGTTCTTAAACTTTCATATTGAGTGGGGAGCCAGTGGGCCTGTTACCAATCAATACTATATCACTATCCATGCTCTACATCCTGTGTACTTTGAAAAATGGCAGAAATGAAAACCTGTCACAGGAATTTCCTAACCCTGCTACCTACAGATATTTGAAGAGCTCTTTGTGTCAACAGGCTAGTCTAGGCTACTGGGATAAACACTTGGAATATGATCTAAACGTGTCAGAGGAAGCCTGCCTGTCTCTAGCCCATTTCACCTTAATTTAACTAAGCAGCTGCCAGAAGCTATGAGTCGTTTCTTCTACTTTCTATGCTACCACCAATAAAGTCTAATACTATGAGCCAAAAATGCAAGTCTGCTAGGAGACCTTATCCTAGGATACCTTACCTTCATTCTCCACTTGTAACGTGTGTGCACGTGTGTGCGTGCACGCACACACACACACACACACACCCTACATCTGTAAGAAACTGGCTTGGCTCTAGCACTTGGACTGTAGCTTTTGCCCTTCTTTTGTCATTCTTCTGTTTCCACCCCTCTTCTATTGTGTCTTCTTACCCCCTTTATTCTTCCCTCTACACGTGGACTTCTAGGCTTTCTTTATGCTCCCTTAGTTTTACTCTGCCCCTTGTTCTTGCCTTTCTAAAGAAGAGACTTTGCTCTTTAGTCTTACTTCAGGCAGAATCCCCAAATAAAGTATCTGCCTCAGTGTATAGTAATTCTTGGATTCCCCAAACTGGGTGTGAGGTTTAGTAGATTTCATTAGAGTCTTCATCTGTTATCGGAGGGGAAGTTGGTTTTCCCACTTATGCTTGGGCATGACACATAATGTGTAAATAACCATGATAGAGGATCATGGGCAGAGAGCATTGGATGAACATTAATAGGATTCATCAAATCAAGGAGGGTCAGAGGCCCCATTTTACAAGGTGTGATAGGAAAGCAGTGTGGGGTCTTGTTTTTCAGTTTTTGAGGTGAAGGAAGGTTGTAACCATGGCCTTCTAAGTCTGAAAGTGTATTCATTGGCCTGGGCTTCGTGAGACTTTTTTTCCCACTATATGGAACTACTCCATGTGTAAAGACAGAGTGCCCAGCAGCAGGAGCAAACCAGAATTAGCCATAACTACTAAGCCTCTTGCCCACATTTACTTAAAAAGATGGAACTGGGGCTTCAAAGCAAACTGTATTGGCTTAATACTAAAGGTGAACAGAAATGAAAAATCTATCACTTAAGTGGTTAGGAATGAAATCTTTGGAACCAGACTGCTTGAGTTTGAATCCAAGTTCCAAATCCATGTCGTTTGGATTATCTAATTGCTGTGAGGTGTGGTCTTCTTATTTTTATTCTTTTATTTTATTTTATTTTTTTATTTTATTATTTTTTTTTTTTTAGAGACGGGGTCTTGCTATGTTGCCCAAGCTGGCTTTGAAGTCCAGGGCTCAAACAATACTCCTACCTCACTCTCCTGAGTAGCTGGGACTACAGGTGCACACCACTGCACCCAGCATTCTGATTTTTCAAATGAGATAACACAATTGTGAGAAGTAAATGAGATAATGCATGTAAGAGTACTTGGCACATAATTCTCCATAAATTTTAGCTATTTTTAGTTGAAGAAAAGCTGCTCTTTCTCCTCTTACTTGGACTTTAGGGAAAGTGGCTGGCAGCAACTCCTGAAATATCTTAAAATATTTGTAAAATATAACGTGTGTCTTAATTATTGCTAGTGAAAAGGTCTTGCTGTAATCTTTCAAAAGCAAATTTTAATTGTGAGTATCCAGATTTTACTTTACCTTGATGATGCAAATGTGTGCCTCATGCACCAGGAGAGGCAATTTGCTCCCAGATCCTCCTGTTTACGGACATCTGCAAAGGCCACACCAACTCTGTAGTCCAAATGCTCATCCACCTCCACCTCCCAGTAATGGTGCCCTCGGACTGGAATTAGATTTCCCATGACAGCAACACACCTGGTTTTAGAAAGTGGAAGCATGTGTGATCTGGGGTGCCCCAAGCCTGGCTGTGCAGGTCAGTGATGCCAGTTGCTGGGATCAGTCAGTCGGTGGTCTACGAACGTGGTGGTAGGTGCTTCTGGACACTTAACTTGTAAAGTACCCTTAGCTCTCAAAGCTCAGTGGGCTGATACTGAAGATTTGAGATTATGTTACTGCTTGGTAATGGGAGAGGAGGAGGCACTAAACCAACAGAACAAGTTTTGTTTGCTCTTTAAAATGGTTGGGGCTTTCATAGAAAAAGGTTTGGTTCACTTGTTCATAAAAAAAGAAAAGGGTTGAAAATACACAACACAGCACGGTTAAGGGAACCATAAGCTTGAAGTTCACCACCATTGCTTATGGTACTAAATGAACATGGAAGGCCTTTGAGGTAGCCATCATGTTAGGGATGACTCCTGGTGGAATTCAGAGGCCAGCCCAAGGAGAACAAGATAGCAGATTCCTCACAGATCATTAAAATCTACCTCCACTGTTGCACTGGGAACAATTATACTGACAAAGATTAGAGTTATGTTTTGTTCTACATCAGCAAAGTATCAACAGAGGAAGGTTTTCAGTGAAAATCAAATTATACTGGTATCTCCAAAGTGAATATTCTACCTTCTTCAGGAGACTCCTACATTAACCAAAATATATATAGACCTCAACATCCCTAGAAAGATTTGTTCAGTTTAAAATTTTCTCTCTACTTTCAAAACCCCAAGTTCTTACTGCTCAAGCAAAGCTTTGGGAAGGAGGTTGCATGTTGGTTAACTTCTACCTCGGTTACCTCACCTATAAAATGAGGCCATCTCTGCTTCAAGCTCCAGACTCACATTTCCACTTGTTGTTTCAAATTCAGAATGTCCCAAATGGAAAAAGTCATATTCCCACCCCTCTTATCTACCAAAGTTTGGGGTGTAGTGGGGAGGGGTACATACTTCTCACATCTCCATTTTGGTTAATAGAGTCATTATCTACCCGGTAACCCCCTGGTGGAAAACTAAGATGGGAATAATGTAGTGGCTACAAGCTCACCTTCTAGTTTGATTCCTGCTTCAACCCTTAATAGCATTATACTCTTGGGCAAGTTACTTCTCTGTGTTTTAAGTATTCTCATCCGTCAACTGGGATTGGTAATAGTACAGGGCTGTTAGGATGATTGCATGAGATGAAATACATTTAGCACTTGGTAAGCACTCTATAAATATGGCAATATGATAGTCCCTGACTCATCTTCCTCTCTGTTGCCCTTTAAACAGGTGAGCACCTAGCCTTGTTGGTTTTATGTGCTCAACAGCAGTTGACTCCCCTGGCTCCTCTCACCCATGCTACTGCGTAGTCAAGCCCTCCATAGTCTCCTCTCTGGTCTCTGTTTCCCATCTGCCTTTGCCTTTCCCTCTCCCTCCCCAGCTCACGTTCTACCATGCACTGGAATCTTTCTGAAATGTAATCTGATCTTGTTCCCCTGCTTTAAATCCTCCAATAATTCTCACCACATAGAGGATAAAATCCTAACTTTTTGTGTGTATACTGGACTTTCTCCGACTTTCCTGCCTCATCTTCCACCTCTTCCCGTCATGGATCCTATACCGCAGACATACCAAATTCCTTATATTTCTCCAAACATGATCTTTCCGGCTTCTTTCATATGTACATGTACAAAGCAATTATCTGCCTTGAACTTTGGAACAGACTCACTCCATGGCCAGTTTTCCATCAGGAGTTTTGCTGTAAGGTACCACAGTGCAGGAGAGAGAGCACTGGGCTAACTGGTGGGAGACCTGGGTCCTTGTTTCTGTTCTCCCACTAGCCCACAGCATGACCCCTGTGAAGCAGGAGAACAGGGTCTGGGGGCAGGGAACCTAAGGACTTCCTAGAACTAAATTAAACGGAAAAACCCCAACCTTCTAAGTCCAAGTAAATAGCTTTGTATTTCAGCATGGCAGGAAACATCCTCTTCATTTGCATAGGGTGTACACCCAGTAAATGACTTTGTAACTTCACTTTAGCCACTTCATATACATAGGGTGTACACCAAGTAACCAGTGGGAACCTCTAGAGGATATTTAAACCCCAGAAAATTCTGTAACCCGGCCCTTAAGCCGCTTGCTTGGCCCACTCCCACCCTGTGGAGTGTGCTTTCGTTTTCAATAAATCTCTGCTCTTGTTGCTTCATTCTTTACTTGCTTTTTTTTTTTTTTTTTTTTGAGAAGGAGTCTCACTCTGTTGCCCAGGCTAGAGTGTAGTGGCGCCATCTCCGCCCCGCGGGTTCAAGCAATTCTTCTGCCTCAGCCTCCCGAGTAGCTGGGATTACAGGCACCCGCAACAGGCCCGGCTAATTTTTATATTTTTAGTAGAGATGGGGTTTCAGCATGTTGACCAAGCTGGTCTCAAACTCCTGACCTCAGGTGATCTGCCTGCCTCGGCTTCCCAAAGTGCTGTGATTACAGGCATGAGCCACCGTGCCTGGCCTCTTTCCTTGCTTTGTTTGTGCATTTTGTCCAATTCTTTGTTCAGAACGCCAAGAACTTGGACACCCTCCACTAGTAATTCCTGTCCCACCCTCATGACCTCTGGCTGCTCCAGCTCTGGCAGCCTAGGACCCAGGGACCATGCCCTCCCAGGGGACCGCGCCCTCTCCTGACCTCACCGTCCCAGGGGGCTCTTCTGCCTGCACCTGCCTGACCCCTCTTGCCCACACTCCTCTGGGTCCCCTCCCCATTAGGCTCCTCCCTCCTCACTCATTTGTAGGATTCCTTTTCCCTCGAGGCTGCCTCCGTGCCATATTCGGATTTGACCTGAATAACAGTGCACCTTCGGGAAGTTCACAGAACGCCCTTGTGAGCGGTTGACAAAGTACCTGGTGAAGTGAGTGTCGCTGGGTGACAGCTCCCTGGCGGGGGTTCTCCTTTCACTTCGTACAGCCGTAAGTCCGTCTTCAGAAATGGTCAGCCAGGGATGGCAAGTGTCCTTGTTTAGGCGAAAGTAGCTTCCTGTGGGAGGAGGAACACACAGAAGACCCGCAGCCAATCACTTGCTTTCTCCATGTGGGCGGTGGTCACCGGTTTAGCTTCGTGTGGGATACACCTAAGCCTGGACCTGGCCTAGTAATAGGCGTCCAGTTAACAAGGATGGCAATTGACACTCATCGGGCAGTCTTGTGTGCCTAGTATCCCCTTCAATCCTCACGACGACCCTTAGAAACAGGTGTCACTATTTCCATTTTGTAGATGAGGAAACAGAGGCACAAGGTGGTTAAGAAATCAGCTGGCAAATGATAGAACTTAAACTTGAACCCCAAGCCCCTCTGATTCCAGAGGCTGTGCTCTTTACCTCTAGCTGTAATGCCTGTGTATGGATAAGAATTTCTAACCTATTTGCCAAGGGAAATAGGAATTGAAGGACTTCTTAATGATCCATTTGACTTGCAATTAGGGCAGTATGGGACACCCCTGAACTCCTTCTGGCCTGACTTGCCACGTGTCCACATCTGTGCATATTCATCAATTTCCCAGTGAAGTCATAGCAGCACTGGGTCTGCCACAGAGTGGCCACTTTGGGTCCCAGAGACTTTGTGGGCTGGGGCACAGACCTATGGTGTGGACTGTAGCTGGCTCGCTCCTCACGCTGGGGCCCCCCATATTGAGGGCTCGCACATAGATAATGTAGCTCCGCCCCGGCTGCAGCTGCACCACGGACTCGCAGGTCGGGATGCCCACAACAGACCTGTACAAGGAAGCAGAGCTGCAGTCAGAATGGGGCTAGGACACCCAGGCCCAAGCACCAGGCATCCCTTTCAAAGCTGGAAGGTTTAACTCACTCTTGCGCTCCTGTCCTCTGACCCACATTTAACAGCAGCATAGCCAGGAGTGCTGGCTCCCCCTCTGCATTCCCTCCCACAGTCTCTGGTCTGCTTTTCTCACTTCATTGCTACTTCTTGTGTTTGTGGCTGTCTCCTCTCCAAGTCCCTCATTCTGGTTTCCCAGGCACCCAGCACTGTGCTTGGCATATGGTTAACACTGCATCATGGAGTGTGCATGCAGTAGAATCCAGTGTGTCTCTGTCCGTCTGTTAGGATCATAATGTCTCTGAGGTCAGGGGCTGAGTACCGCTATTCTTAGTACAGTACTGGGCCCATAGAAGGCCGTCAATTCAGCCAGGTGCAATGGCTCATGCCTGTAATTCCAGCACTTTGGGAGGCTGAGGCGGGTGGGTCACTTGAGGTCAGGAGTTCGAGATCAGCCTAGCCAACATGGTGAAACCCCGTCTCTACTAAAAATGCAAAAATTAACCGAGTGTGGTGGCAGGTGCCTGTAATTCCAGCTACTCAGGAGGCTGAGGCAGGAGAATTGCTTGAACCTGGGAGTTGGAGGTTGCAGTGAACCGAGATCATCACGCCACTGCACTCCTGGGCGACAGAGTGAGACTGTCTCAAAAAAAAAAAAAAAAAGGTCCTTGATTTATGTTTATGAGCAAACAATTCTGACTAGAGCTGAAAGTGTTAACTGCTGTTAACCCCCTAACAGCTGCCTATTGGAAATAATCCAATGTATTTAAATTGTACTATACAGAAATATAAGCTCATAATTGCCACTGTCTATATTGCTGCGGTTGCCAACCCCATGTCAGTCCAGTGGGCAAGAGAAGTCTTTAGGATGATGCCCATTTACCAATACAACACCCTCACCCAGATGAGGCCAAGTTGTCCAGGTTATCTTCAGGCTGCAGCTCTGGGCCAGAGGGGCACTTTTACTTATGCATTCAATAAATGTTAACTAAACTCCTTAGGTTCCAGGCACTGTATAGGGAGGCCCTCAGAAAAAACAAATGTAGTTCCTGCCCTCATAGAGCTTACAGTCTAGATGGGAAGAGCAGCATTCTTCAGGCAATCACTGGAAGGAATGTAAGATGGTAACCAAGACAAGTTGATAGTGTGCTGTAGTGTATAATGGTGGGGGCAGGATGGCTTTTGAGCAGAGCTCTGAAGAATGCTGAGGAGGTAACTGGATGAAAAAGGGACAGAGGAGTCTCCTACATAGGAGAAGCATGTGCCAAGGCCCTGTGGCAGGAAGGAGCATGAAAAGTAGGAGGAACTGAAACATGACCAATGTGGTGGGATCTTGAGAGGGAGGGGAGCTGGTGTGGGAGGAGCTGGAGAGGCAGGAAGGGGCCAGAGCCTGTGAAGGAGTTTTGCCTTTTCTTCAGCAATGGGTCGCCATGATTGGATTTGTACTGGAAGAATATGCACCAGCTCTCAGGTCATCTCTCAGGTTACTGACCAGCCCTCTGATGACCTCATCATTGTGAGTTGGTCCCAGGTGTCAAGTGCTCCTAAAGTATCAGCATAAATTGCAAAGGAAACCTGAACCATTAGGATGGCCAGAACCACTGGACACACTGCCCCACTCCTGAGTATCTCCAGAGTGGATTACCAAAGTCAGCCTCTGTGTGGCCATGGACACACAGATTCCACCTGGAACAGATGGATGGGTGGCATATGGCCACGTTTCAAGCCTGGCATTTAGCATAGAAGAATCTGCTTCCCTAACAATTGACACCAACACCTCTTCATTTCTCCAGCTCCAGGTCAGTGCACCCCTGTGTTCCACAGCAGGGGAGCCCCTGGTCCTGGTGGCTGGTGCTGGCCTGCCTGGGTGGTTCATCCCCTTTCACAAACTTCTGTAAACCAGAGGTAAACCTATGCTTCCTCCATCATAGGCTGCTGTAAACTCATAGGTTCTGCGAGCCCTTGTGGTCACTGAGTCCAACCCTTATCAATTTGTGAACCCCTCTAGCTCTCTGAGAATGAGGGGTGAACATGAGCTTCCAGACAGTCTTCTGTGATAGATGAAACATTCTTTGTACATTCAGCTGCAATCTCTTTTGTTTTCGCCTATGGCTTTCACCCTCACCTCTCTGAATTCTAGCTAGGTGGGTCTTTTAGTTCCTCCAGCAGCTCACTCCTGCCCCAGGGCCTGTGTTCATGCAGCCCCCTCCCCCCGAAGCACCCCTGCATTCGCTGTTCTTGGGGCTCAGTCTTTCCCATATGTTCAGGTCTCAGTTTAAACATCTTCTTTATCCAAAGTGGATCCTCACCTCCACCACCATTCTCTGTTTTATTACATTTCTTTTTCCTTCCTAGCACTGTATATTTTACACATTGGTTTGTTTTCTTGCCTTTTGTCTATTTTCCCACCAGACTGTCAGCCCCATTAGGGCAGGAAATTTGTCCATCTAGTTCCCAGTGCCTTGCACAGGACCTGACACCACCCAGGCACTCAATGCATGTTGAATGAATGAATGAATGAATGAATGAATGGGAAACCTTACTTGAGCTAAAACAACAACCACAACAACAACAAAACCTGAGGTTCAACCAACTTATTCATTCACTTGTCATTCACCTTCAGTAATAGCATTCCAGCTACTTCTCATGAACACTAAGCAACCAAAAATTGAGATTCCTGTGTATCAAAAATGCCAACCTTCTCTTCAGACTCCGTATACTTCCTAAGCCATGTCACTGTATCAGGTGTCAGGGCTCTCGTGCCCAGCAAATGCCCTCATGACTCACTCAGTTACACCCGAGGCTTCTGGACTTTCAGCCTGGGTCAGCTCCACAGTGTACGAGTCCACAGGATTCAGGTTCCCAGACTCCCAGCAAATCAGCACAGCCTCTTCACAGCTCCTTATCTCTTTGGTTTTAATAATGGGGGGAGAAGGTGCTAAATGTGGGAGAAAGGGAGAGATGAACAACTGTTGTGTTCATTTCCAGCTGTTTTGTTCAGAGCCATGGACAAACATCACAGCCACCTTCTTCCTCCCACAAAAGAGATTCAGTGCAATAAAAAGCAAACCAGGGAATCCCTTCCAGATGTTCCTGGAATAGAAGATGCTTGCAAGGTTTAAATGTCAGTGTGACCGAGAGTAGCAGTTTTTTATATTTTGAGACCAACCATCAGAAAATGTCACTGTCACTGTCGGCTGAGTGCAGTGGCTCACGCCTGTGATCCCAGCACTTTGGGAGGCCGAGGCGGGTGGATCACTTGAGGTCAGGAGTTCGAGACCAACCTGGCCAACATGGCGAAATGCCATCTCTTCTAAAAATACAAAAAAAAAAAAAATCAGATGTGGTGGCAGACACCTGTAATCCCAGCTACTTGGGAGGGTGAGGCAGGAGAATCACTTGAACCTAGGCGGCAGAGGTTGCAGTGAGCAGAGATCTTGCCACTACACTCCAGCCTGGGCGGGACTCATCTCAAAAAAAAAAAATGTCACTGTCAAACTAGGCATGTAGATTTTGTGTGTTAAATAAAAGAAAAAAATGTACACAGCTCTTCCTACCCTTCTGAATGAAATCAAGAGCCCTGCCATGTCTAGAAACCCATGACTCCTGTGTCCGCTTGAATGAAAGCCCTGCTATAGGAAATGAGTAGCCCATTACCTGTCATGTACACTGCACGCTCGCTAGAGGGGCTGGGGCCAGCCCTGTTGTGAGCTGTGACCCAAAATTCATACTGGGTATTTGGCACAAGGTTTGTCACTGAGCAATATGTTTCTTTGACAGTCACTGTAAACTCTGGGGAAAAAAAAAGATAAGAATTCAACCCTAAAAACTGGCCAAGTGGCTCCAATTCATTATGCCGAATCCCACAGTAGTAGATTACAAAACTGGCTATAAATTCCTCCCATCCCTGTATGCACTCCCTCTGCAGCATGACTTTGCTGCTCCTTCCATTCAGAGCTTCCTTCCTTCTCTCTATTCCTTGAAACTGGGCTTAGCTATGTGACTAGCTTTGGTCAATGGGGCAATAACAAACGATGCAAGCAGAGGCATGGAAGTGCTCGTGCACAGGGGCTAGCCCTCTTGCTGCTGGGGATGCTTCCACTACCACGTGAGCAAGCCCAAGCCAGCCTCCTGGAGGATGTGAGACCGCAGGGAGAGAGACCCCAGCTGCCCAAGTCCTCCCGGCTATCCTATCTGCGACAACAGTAAATGAGGCCATCCTAGACCAACCAGCCCTATCCAAGGTGGTTCAGAATAGAACTGTTTGGCCAGCCCACAGAATTACAAGAAATAATAGGGCCGGGCGCGGTAGCTCATGCCTATAGTCCCAGCACTTTGGGAGGCTGAGGCAGGTGAATCACTAGGTCAGGAGATCGAGACCATCCTGGCTAACACAGTGAAACCTCATCTCTACTAAAAATACAAAAAATTAGCTGGGCGTGGTGGCATTTGCCTGTAGTCCCAGCTACTCGGGAGGCCGAGGCAGGAGAATCACTTGAACCCGGGAAGTGGAGGTTGCAGTGAGCTGAGATAGTGCCACTACACTCCAGCCTGAGTGACAGAGCAAGACTCCATCTCAAAAAATAATAATAATAAATAAATAATAAATGTTTGTTATTTTAAGCCACTAAGTTGTAGGGGGTGGGGAGGGGGTTTGGTTATGCAGCAAAAACTAACACAACTCCAGACTTCCCCAGAATCTTGAAAGGCAGTGATAACTCCTTAATTTACGTTCGGATATCATTTCCTTTATAGTAAAAATGGTCAGTTTGAAAGATCTTTATAGATTGCCATGACACAGCCCCAATACAATGACTTCTGTGTATCTGCAGGGGGTGCTGACAGGGTTGATTTGTGGCAAAAGCTGGGGTTAATCAAGTCTGACTTCCTAGTCCCCAACCCCCCTTTTCAAAGCTCCTCGCCCCTCTCCATGTCCTCTTTAGTCCTTATTCTGACCACTCTCACCCTCCCTCATCATCACTTAAATTTACTCTTACTTTTCTCAAGAATTCCCCTTCTTTCCTGGGCAGAAACACCATCCTCAGCTTCTGGAACTCAGCCCTCCACCTGCATGGTCTGGTACAATGAGCAGAACTTGAGGCAGGACGCCTACACACCTGATTCACGTCCTTGTTCTGCCATAACTCACTGTGTCCTCACAGACAGCTTCTTTCTCTCTGACTCTCAGTTTCCTCATCCATAAAATGGAGATCTCTAAGTCTCTTTCCAGCAATCCCACTTCAACCCCACATGCCCAGGACAGGTGCTGTCAGGCTGGCCCTGGTCCCTTGAAATCTTCACATGTTCAGCTGGGGCTCTTCTGTTGTCTGACCCTCCCTCCTTAAGAAAGAATGGCTTATTGATTATTGTAGTATGGGGGGCCCTACCCCAGCTGTAACCCCACACCAGCCAGTCCCATTTCCGGGGAAAAGGATGTTGGCCAAGAGCTGCCCAGAGTGGAGGCCGGGGGCCATCTCAGGAGTTGTCTTCTCCTGGGAACGTGGAGCTGATCACCAGCAGCCCTTCCAGGCTGCAGAGGCCCCCTCACCCCTCATGGGGTCTGCAGATGAATCCTCCAGTTTCTTCTGCAGCACAAGGCTGCTATGAGAAGAGCACCAGCCTGACCCTCAGATGCCAGGACAAGCTAGAACCCAGCCAGCCCAGCAGGGCCTCCTTGACAAGGGGCACCCCTGGCCCCTCCTGCACACAGGGCAGCCAGAGACTGGTCCCAGGGACAACTCTGACCCAATGGCTGTAGATATGCTCCAGACCCCTTCGCCTGGCCTTGCTGTCCTTCCCAGTCAGGCCCCAGCGTGCCTTGCTAGCCCTTTCTGCCCTGTTCACCTGCCTGCATCCAATCCTCTGCATGTCTAGACCCATCCTGTCTCTACCATCCCAACTGCCAGGAAGACAGGGCCCAGGCCCCTGAGGGGCCTGAACTGTTCCCATGAGCACGGGCATGTTCCTGGCAGAGCCTCACCTGCTTGGTCCGTCCCAGGTGAGCTGTCCTGCACTGGCCGGTAGGACAGCTGATAGCTCTCCACAGTGTCGTCGGAGTATAAGCTCCAGCACACTCGGACTGAGGAACCTGTGGCTGAGTTAGGGACCTGTGGATTTATGACTGGAGCAGAAGGAGCTAGGAAAAGAAAAGAAAAAAGAAGAGGAACCTCTAATAGAGGTGTGGGGTGACAGTGGCCCCTTTCCCATGACCATTGATCCCCCCAATGAATCCACAGCCTTTGGGAATGGAAGAGAAAGTCCAGAGTAGACAAGGATGGGGACATACAGCCTCTCAACCATGAGTCTGCAAAATACAACCAGTATATCTATTCTTGCTTTGACAAGTGCAGATGAGCTTAAGGAGCAGGGGTCGGTGACAGGGACTCAGGCCAAGGCATAGATTGCGAGTCCTGCTCCAGGTTGTGGGTCCTCTGGCCCTTCCGTGGCACCTAAAGAGGCAGGACAACCGGGATCACAGCACTGCTGCCTCAGCAGAGACAAAGAAGCCTTCAGCAAGGAGGCTCTGCTTTCATTGATGGTATGGGGAAAGGGGGCATCCAGGGAACATCTCCCACATTAATGAGAGAAGATTGGGGTGGCCCAATTGTGATTTTCAGAACCAACTTCTTTAGAGTCCATCTACTAAGTTAATTCTTTTCTTCTCTGTAGGTGAATACTTCTATCTCCCCCACCCCTATACAGTCTCACACACACAACCAAGAATAAGAACAAGTGGTGTGTTTCCTCCATAATTCTTTTTTTTCTCTGTCTTTGAGACAAAGTCTTGCTCTGTCACCCAGGCTGGAGTGCAGTGACGTAATCTCGGCTCACTGCAGCCTCCACATCCCGATTCAAGTGATTCTTGTGCCTCAGCCTCCTGAGTAGCTGGGACTACAGGCTCACACCACCACGCCCAGCTAGTTTTTGTATTTTTAGTAGAGACAGGGCTTCGCCATTTTGGCCACGCTGGTCTCGAACTCCTGATCTCAAGTGATCTGCCTGACTCTGCCTCCCAAAGTGCTGGGATTACAGGTGTGAGCCACTTGTGCCCGGTCCTTTCCTCCATAATCCTTCTCCCATGGCAGCATCTCCATCCCAGACTTTTAATATCCTTAGTTTCAAAGGTTGAAATTGATCAACCCATGTAAGAGCACAGCTGAACTTAAAGGAGTTGACTTAGTTTTGGTTCATCCTTTGCTTTCTGATCAGGGGCTGAAAGATCGTAATGTGACAGAGGTGAGGAGGAAGACAATAACTTATATCCCCAGTGACAAAGTCCAGGGTGCACAACAGATGCCCTGCTAGACGCTGTCAAATACAGCTTCACCTGGAGATGCAGCGTAAGAAAATGTATGGTTCTGGGAACTTTAAACCCCTCAGGAAGCACTAGATGCAGGCAGGAAGGTGATGATTTATGTGAGATCTGGACACAGAAAAGTGAAGAAAAATGTCACTGCTTCTCAAGCACGGATTTGGGCAATAGTGCTTTTCCTTCCCAATGACTAATGATCATTTGGGCAGCACCATTCCTAGATGGGGAAAAGAACCATCCAGTGGACGTCATAGCTCTGTGAAATCTCTCCTTGACCCAGTGATTCTAAGAATGGTCCCCAAGATCTATGATTAAAGATTTGCATTACAGTATGGTTTACAATGGTAAAAAAAAATTAGAAACACCCCAGTATCCAACAATTGAGGATTAAATAAATGAAAATATGTAGGCACTAAAGTGATATTGCAAAAGAATTTATCAGGGTGAGAAAATATCTATCAAAATTGTTTTGCTGAAAAAACAGCAGATTTCAAAACAGAATGACTCAATTTTTATAACAAAAATACTGTGCAAGGAAAAAACCTAAAATGCTGTACACAACATTGTCCACAATCATGTTGTTCAGTGTTGGTGAGAAGGGGAAAGCAAGCAGTTGAAAAATGAGGAATTACAGACTATCCTTATAAATAAGTAATCACAATAATATTTTATTTTATTTCAATTTTTTGAGACAGGCTCTTACTCTGTCACCCAGGCTGGAGTGCAGTGGGGCAGTCATAGCTCACTGCAGCCTTACTCTTGGGCTCAAGCAATCCTCCCACTTCAGTCTCCCAAGTAACTGGGGCTATAGGTGTACGGTGCCACACCAAGCTAATTTTTAAGATTTTTTTTGTAGAGATAGGGTCTTGCTATTTTGCCTAGGCTGGTCTTAAACTCCTGGGCTCTAGCAGTCTGCCCACCTCAGCCTCCCAAAGTGCTGGGATCACAGGCATGAGCCAGCACGTCTGGCCAACAATAATACTTTAAAGAGCTACTTGGCACCATGTAATATGTTGTACATAAGTTTTCTCATTTAATTCTTACCATATTCCTATGAGGTATTATGATGTCCATTTTTACAGATGAAGAAACCAAGACTCAGAGAGGTTAGGTGAATTGTCCAGAGTCACACTGCTAGGAAGTGGCAGAGTTGGGATTCTCATGAGCTCCATAGAATTCCAAAGCCCATCTCTTAACCTCTATGCTAAAAACAGATACCCAGGAGGAACCTCAGAGAGGTCAGCCTCTGTACTCACTTATGAGCTAAAGACAAAAATAGGAAGTTAGAGGGAAAAAAATACTTGTTTCTAAATCCTTTTTTTTTTTTTCTTTTTTTGAGACGGAGTCTCGCTCTGTCACCAGTTTGGAGTGCAGTGGTGCGATCTCGGCTCACCACAGTCTCCACCTCCCGGATTCAAGCCATTCTCCTGCCTCAGCCTCCCGAGTAGTTGGGATTACAGGCACGTGCCACCACAGCCAGCTAATTTTTGTATTTTTAGTAGAGACGGGGTTTCACCATGTCGGCCAGGATGGTCTCAATCTCCTGACCTCATGATCCACCCACCTCAGCCGTCCAAAGTGCTGGGATTACAGGCGTGAGCCACCGCGCCTGGCCTTGTTTCTAAATCTTTATTATTTTTTTCAGACATTGACATTTCCTACTCAAAGCTCAGGGGGTCTGCAGGGTTTTCTACAATAAAATCATATAATCCGACTGGCCATGGTGGCTCACGCCTGTAATCCCAGCACTTTGGGAGGTCGAGGCAGGTGGGTCACGAGGTCAGGAGTTTGAGACCAGCCTGGCCAACATGGTGAAACCCCGTGTCTAATAAAAATATAAAAAATTAGCCAGGCATGGTAGCGGGTGCCTGTAATCCCAGCTACTCGGGAGGCTGAGGCAGGAGAATCGCTGGAACCCAGGAGGCTGAGGTTGCAGTGAGCTGAGATCGCACCATTGCACTCCAACCTGGGTGACAGTGTGAGACTCTGTCTCAAAAAAAAAAAAAATTCATATAATTTGCAAACAGAGGCAATTTCCCTTTTTCCTTTTCAGTTTGGATGCCTTTCTATCTTTCTCTTGCCTAATTGCTCTGGCAAGGTCTTGTAGCACTACGTTGAATTGGAGTGTTGAGAGTGGGCATCTTTGTCTTGTTTCTGATCTTAGAGGAAAAGCTTTCAACTTTTCACCACTGAGTATGATGTTAGCTGTGGGATGTCATATATGACATTTTTTATAATGTTTGCTCTAATCTTTATTATTTCCTTTCTTCTGCAAAATTTGGGCTTAGCTTGTTCTTTTTCTAGTTTCTGGAGGTGTAAAGTTAGGTTGTTTATATGAGCTCTTTCTTTTTAATGTAGGCGCTTATTGCTATAAATTTCCCTTGTAGTACATCCCTTTTGCTGCATCCCATAAGTTTTGGTATGTTGTGTTTCATTTTCATTTATCTCAAGGTTTTTAAAATTCCCTTTTGATTTCTTCTTTGGCCCCTTGATTGCTCAGGAGTGTGTTGTGTAATTTCCACATATCTGTGAATTTTCCAATTTTTTCTTGTTATTGATTTCTAGTTTCATACCACTGTGGTCATAAAAGATACTTGAGGCCAGGCAGAGTGACTCAGGCCTGTAATCTCAGCACTTTGGGAGGCTGAGGTAGGAGGATTACTTGACACCAGAAGTTCAAGAACAGCCTGGGCAACATAGTGAGACCTCATCTCTACAAAAACATTGAACAAATTGTCTGGGTATGGTGGTGTGGGCCTGTAGTCCTAGCTACTTGGAAGGCTGAGGCAGGAGGATTTCTTGAGCCCAGGAGTTGGAGTTTGCAGTGAGCCATGATCACACCACTATACTCCAGGCTGGGCAACAGAGTGAAACCCTATTTCAAAATAGTAATGATAATAACAATAAAAGATACTTGATAGATTTCATTCTTTTTAAATTTGTTAAGGCTTGTTTTGTGGCGTAACATGTGATCTAGCCTGGAGAATGTTACATGTGTGCTTGGGAAGAATGTGTATTCTGCTGTTGCTGGATGGAATGTTTTGTACATGTCCATTAGGTCCATTTGATCTATAGTGTTAAAATGCATCAAAAAGAATAAAATACTTAGAAATAAACTTAACTGAGGAGGTGAAAGACTTGTATACTGAAAACTATAAAACACTGATGAAAGAAATTGAAGCAGACACAAAATAATGGAAAAGTATCCTACATTCATAGATTGGAAGAATTAATATTGTTAAAATGTCCATATTATGCCAAATGATCTACAGATTCAAGGCAATCCCTATCAAAATCCCAACAGCATTTTTTACAGAAATAAAAAAAAAATCCCCAAATGTATATGGAACCACAAAAGAACCCAAGTAGCTAAAGCCATCTTGGGAAAGACAAAGCTAGAGGCATCACACATTCTGATTTCAAAATATATTACAAAGCTACAGTAATTAAGACAGTATGGTACAGGCATAAGGACAGACACATAGACCAATGAAACAGAATTGAGAGCCCAGTAATAAACCCATCCAAATGATCTTTGCTAAGGGTGACAAGAACACACAATGGGGAAAGGATAGTCTCTTCAACAAATGGCATTCAGAAAACTATATCCACCTGCAGAATAATGAAATTTGATCCCTATCTTACACCAGAACAAAAGTAAACTCAAAATAGATTATTAAAGACTTAAATGTAAAACCCTGAAACTGTATAACTTCTTAAAGAAAACATAGGTGAATAGCTTCTTGACATTGGTCTTGGCAATGATTTCTTAGATTTGACACCAAAAGCACAAGCAACAAAACAAAAAATAGGCAAATGGCACTACATCATACTAAAATAGCTTTTGCATAGCAAAATAAACCATTAACAGAGTGAAGAAACAACCTGCAGAATAGAAGAAAATATTTGCAAACTATCTGATAAGAGACTAGTATACAAAAAAAATAAGAATCTTCTACAACTCAATAGCAAAAATCCAAACCGATTAAAAAATGGGCAAAGAACTTAAATAGATATTTCCCCAAAGAAGACATATAAATAGCCACCTTGTATATGAAAGAGTGCTCAATCTCTCTAGTTATCAGGAAAATGCGCATCAAAACCACAATGAGATATCACCTCATACCTGCTAGGATGATATTGTCAAAAAGTGAAAGGAGGCCGACCGCGGTGGCTCAGGCCTGTAATCCCAGCACTTTGGGAAGCTAAGGCAGTCAGATCACTTGAGGTCAGGAGTTTGAGACCAGCCTGGCCAACATGGTGAAACCCTGTCTCTACTGAAAATACAAAAAATTAGTGGAGCGTGGTGGCGGGTGCCTGTAATCTCAACTACTTAGGAGGCTGAGACTGGAGAATCACTTGAACCTGGGAGGTGGAGGTTTCAGTGAGCCAAGATCGTGCCACTGTACTGCAGCTTGGGTGACAGAGCAAGACTCTTTCTCAATTAAAAAAAAAAAAAAAGGTGAAAGGTAACAAATGGTGAGAATGTGGAGAACTGGAACCCTTATATACTGTTGGTGTGAATGTAAAATCATGCAGCCACCATGGAAAACAGTATAGTGGTTCCACAAAAAATTAAAAATAAGCTGGTTGTGGTGGTGTGTGCCTGTAGTTCTAACTACTCAGGAGGCTGAGGTGGGAAGATCATGTGAGCCCAGGAATTTGAGGCCAGCCTGGGCAACATAGCAATACCCTGTCTCTGAAAAAAAAACACAAAAAAACCATATATATATATATATATATATATATATATAATAACTATTACATGATCTAGTAATTCCTGGGTATGTATTCACCAGAACTGAAATCAAGATCTCAAAGATACCTGTGTTCCATGTTCATTGCAGCATTATTCACAATAACCAAGACATGGAAACAACCTCAATGTCCATCAATAGATGGATGGATTTTAAAAAGTATGTGTGTGTATACATATGGAATATTATTCAGCCTTAACAAAGAATGAAGTTTTACCATCTGTGACAACATGGATGAATCTTGAGGACATTATGCTAAGTGACATTAGCCAGTCACAGAAGGACAGATACTCCATGATTCCACTTACATGCAGTATATAAAGCAGTCAAACTCTTAGAAGCAGAGAACGGAATTGTGGTTGCCAGGGGCTTGGGGGAAGGGGAAACGGGGAATTGTTGCTCAATGGATACAAAGATTAGTTATACAAGATGGGTAAGTTCTAGAGGTATGCTGTACAACACAGTACCTGTATTTAACAATATTGTATTGTACACTTTAAAATTTGTTAAGAGGATAGATCTCATGCTAAGTGTTCTCATCACAAGAAAGAAAAAAGCTCTGGGTAGTCTGAACCTGCCGCGAAGTACACACACAGGTGAGCACCTGGAATGGTGTTAATGGAGCCCATCAGCTGCTCCACATCAGAGAAATCCAAGGTCTGGTCTTCAAACTCAGGCTGTGCAGAGATTTCCACGTCTGTTTTTGTTTTCAGGAATTTCCCGAGTCTGTTGGTATAAAAAGACATGCTGACTAGAATGGAGGGGCATTCTCCTTAGGGTATATATATAGTGCTGAGTCACTGTCATAAATGAAGAGGGGCTCTTTGCTGAACTTTCATTTAGTTACAAACAGCTGCTGGCTGCCATCTACCATCTTTTTTGGAGATTGACCTAGGGGTCATCAATGGGGATGGGTGGGATTGGTTTGTGCCTTTGAGGGAGAGGAGAAAGGGTAAGGTCATGTCAGAGGGTGGGTAGAGGGCGATCTGCCAACAAGATCCAGAACCACACCCTCTGGAAGATCTCTTAGGTGCTAACCTGGGAGTTCCCACTCTCAAGTCACTCCAGGCCCAAGAGGTACTGAGGGTCCAGACTCCCCAGGCTTCCTCTCCACATGGTCAAGTGCCCTCAAGTTGCTGATCATGGGACTCGGGGTCTCCTTGTATCTGCTTCCTGGCAGTCACAAGGTTTGTAAATGGCAGAGGCAGAATTTGAAACCAGGGCCAGGCATGATGGCTCACACCTGTAATTCCAGCACTTTGGGAGGCCAAGGCAGGCAGAGCACCTGAAGTCAGGAGTTCAAGACCAGCCTGGCCAACATGGTGAAACTCCGTCTCTACTAAAAATACAAAAAAATTAGCCAGGATGGTGGGGGACACCTGTAATCCCAGCTATTTGGGAGGCTGAGGCAGGAGAATCACTTGAACCTGGGAGGCAGAGGTTGCAGTGAGCTGAGACCTTGCCATTGCACTCCAGCCTGGGCAACAAGAACGAAACTGTCTCAAAAAAAAAAAAAAAAGAATTTGAAACCAGTTCCATCTTTGCCAAAATCCCTGCAGGGATTACATTATGAAATCTCTATGTTCATGTTGCTTTATGGACATTTATTTTATTTGATTCTCACAAAGCTATCCTCATTTGTAGATAAGGTGTCTTCTAGACTGATTAGATTTGCTCAAGGTCATGAGGGTAGCAGGATTTGAACTGCTATCTGTCTGATTCTAAAATGTGCACACTTTCTGCAACTGGACAGTCTGGGTCCAGGCATAGTGGGGGGATGTTGGGGGTACTCCACAGATCTCAGTTCTTTCTGGTGAAATGAGGGGCTTGTGGAGGAGAGCTGCCCACAGGCTTGCTGACTGAGCCTCACCGTACACGCTCCCTACTAGCCCTGAGATCCTGAGATTCAATACTAGATGCTCCTAGTGACTGCACACCATCATTCCAAAGCCAGTGCTAATTTAATCAGGATTGACACAAAAGCTGAAACTGGAACCGTATAACCAAATGGAACTGAGTCTATTTGGATAACTAAAGTTGAAAAAAGTAAAAAAAGAAATACATACTAGAACAAATGTATTACCTGTCAGCCATAGCCACTGCATCCTAAAAAGGAAAAAGAGAAAATATTAAGTTGATTTTGGAAATAAATTTCTTTTTTCTTTTTCTTTCTTTCTTTTTTTTTTTTTCTTAAATGGAGTCTCACTCTGTCCCCCAGGCTGGAGTGCAATGGCACAATCTCGGCTCACTGCAACCTCCGCCTCCCAGGTTCAAGGGATTCTCCTGCCTCAGCCTCCCAAGTAGCTGAGATTACAGGCACGCACCACCACACCCAGCTAATTTTTGTATTTTTAGTAGAGACAGCGTTTTACCATATTGGCCAGGCTGGTCTCGAACCCCTGACCTTGTGATTTGCCCACCTCGGCCTCCCAAAGTGCTAGGGTTACAGGCATGAGCCACCGTGCCTGGCTGGAAATAAATTTCTTTTACCAACATATTGTTATAAATAGATAGATAGATATAACTATATATGTGATAATACATATTGTCACATCATATATATAAGATAGTTATATAATAATTGATATAACTAAATATATATAATAACATAAACATAGAAGAAAACTTGGAAATTAGGAAAAAGTTAAAAAGCCCAGCTGTATCCCATACCGTAACAAAACCACCCTTATTTCTGTGCATTTTCTTCCATACCACAGTACTGCTTTTCCCCATCAACTTTGTCATGTGCCTGTGGTCCTAGCTCCTTGGGAGGCTGAGGCAGGAGGATCATCTGAGCCCAGGAGTTCAAGGCTGCATTGAGCTATGATCACACCACTCTCCTCCAGCCCAAGCAACAGAGCTAGACCCTGTCTCAAAAGAAAAACCAACAACAAAAAACCCACACTATGTAAGCACTTTCCATGTAGTAAATGGTCTTTTGGGCCATCAGCTTGAACACTTGCATAACAGTTAATTGTGAACAGTTAATGAATGGAAACGCCATCATTTACTTGATGGTTCTTCTCTTGTTGGACATTTTGTTGTTTCCAGCTTTTCACCATCATACATAACAGTGAGAAGCCCACCTTCATGTTTATCACTTTCTCCATGTTCTGCATATGGTGGGCCCACTAGTTCAAGAGGTATGAGCATTGATGGTTCTTGCAGTGCCTGCCAAATTGCTCTCCAGCTTTATTCGCTGGCCCCTCACCCCAGGCACAGCAGAAAGGAGGCATGGTTGGGCTTTGAGGGGCGACTGTACTCTTGGACAATGTGGGGGCCATATTTAGCAACCAGGAAGCTCTGGAGGCTGAAGGCCCCTCCCCCACGCCCTGGACACCACATCTTCCCCCTCCTCCTGTGGCACCTTGTGAAGAAATCTGACTGAGATTGAAATTCCCATAGCCTAGCCATGTAGAGGGTTGGGTCAGATTTAATTTGTTTTCAAGAAAATTAGGAAATGGATTTTTTTTGCATGTCTGAGTTCGTGAAGTAAGATTTTTAATTGCTACACTTGTAACTGGGAAATTTAAGGTGCCTTTTCAGCCTTGACAACTTTCTCCCCAGAGCTCCAAGAGGCCATCTGAGGTGGCTGGAAAACTCTTAGAGCACTCTTGGCCGGGCGCGGTGGCTCACGCCTGTAATCTCAGCACTTTGGGAGGCCGAGGCAGGTGGATCACGAGGTCAGAGGTTCGAGACCAGCCTGACCAACATGGTGAAACCCCGTCTCTACTAAAAAAAAAAATACAAAAATTAGCTGGGCGTGGTGGCGGGTGCCTGTAATCCCAGCTACTCAGGAGGCTGAGGCAGGAGAATTGCTTGAACCCGGGAGGAAGAGGTTGCAGTGAGCCGAGATCGTGCCACTGCACTCCAGCCTGGGCAACAGAGCGAGACTCCATCTCAAAATAATAATAATAATAATAATAATAATAATAATAATAATAAAACTCTTGGCCGGGCATGGTGGCTCACGCCTGTAATCCCAGCACTTCGGGAGGCCAAGGTGGGCGGATCACGAGTTCAGGAGATCAAGACCATCCTGGCTAACACAGTGAAACCCCGTCTCTACTAAAAATACAAAAAAAAAAATTAGCTGGGCTTGGTGGCGAGCGCCTGTAGTCCCAGCTACTAGGGAGGCTGAGGCAGGAGAATGGCGTGAACCCAGGAGGCAGAGCTGGCGGTGAGCCGAGATCGCGCCACTGCACTCCAGCCTGGGCAACAGAGTGAGACTCCGTCTCAAAAAAACCAAACCAAAACAAAACAAAACAACAACAACAAAAAACTGTTAGAGCACGGTTTTTGCTCAGCTTAGCTCCAGGATGAGGGAACAGGTATCTGGGTGACCAGAACAGAGGAACAAAGACTGGTGCTGCCTCTGCGCTGGGGGAGGGAGAGAGTCTGCGCTGTGAGTCCGCCTGGCCACTCACGTGGAAGCCATGCAGAGAGATTGGGCCACAGCCTCCCCATCACGATCATCCAGTGGAATCAAATGGATGCTGGCCATAAAAGTCGATTCCAATGCCTCCAGGAGGAAAGAGGACAACCTAGCTTACCTCAACCATAACTGTCGTTTCCGTTTATAATTCCATCTCTTTCCATTATGTTCATTATTTCATTTTGTTTCATTACTGACCTTTATGAAATCCACCTTCTCCTCGTGACACATCTCCTCTATTGTTTCCATCAGTTCTTTGCAAGTATCTAGGTTTTCTCCACAGCTGACCAGTTGTCCATATAAGGCTTCCAGCTTCTCTTTCTTTTTCTCCCCTAGAGCTTGTATTTTTTCCTCATATTTTTGAGCAAGTGTTTCCAAGATCTCGTTGTAATGTGACTCAAAGTTTTGTTCTTGTTTTCCAAAATTCTCCTGCAAGACAGTTGATCTCAGTCATCATTTCAGCGCATGTAGTGTGTTGATTAGAGTCTTTTGTTTTTTGTTTTTTTGTTTGTTTGTTTTTGAGACACAGTCTTGCAGTGTTGCCCAGGCTGGAGTACAGTAGTGTGATCTTGGCTCATTGCAACCTCTGCCCCCCAGGTTAAAGTGATTCTCCTGCTTCAGGCTCCTGAGTAGCTGGGATTACAGGTGTGCATCACCATGCCCGGCTAATTTTTGTATTTTTAGTAGAGATGGGGTTTCATCATATTGGCCAGGTTGGTCTTGAACTCCTGACCTCAAGTGATCCGCCTGCCTCAGCCTCCCAAAGTGTTGGGATTACAGGCAAGAGCCACCACGCCCAGCCTGATTAGAGTCATTAGAGAAATGAAAATATGTGCCTATCAGAACTATTTTAGTTCCTCTACTTTGTCCTCTCATCTCTTGTTGGGAGTTGGAATGGAAACTGGAGGTGCTGGAACATAGGTGTCTCCGGCCTAGACTCCAGGAATAATCTAAACAAAAGCACTGCTTTCTCTCCTGGCAGCATTTTGCAATCCAGTTCCAGTTTCAACTACCTTCTATCACCATGACAAGTGACCAGGGAGATTATCAGTGATGATTCTGCCCGATATTGGACCTTAATGTGGAAATATTTTCCCTGAGAGATTCCCATCTATCATTCTCTCCTGAGCTCTTAACATCTCATGAGGCTCCTCTTCACTCCCTGGTGCTTGGATCATACAAATATCAAGATTAAATCAACTAGGATCATATCAACTAGGGGAGAAATGAAGGCAAAGGAGGAACAAGGGTTGTGGTCTGGCGGCACTGCTTACAGATGAGAAGATGCAAGAGGGCAGAGGGAGGGTTCTGACAATATTAATCCAGGAGCACAGTAGATGAGAAATATTAATATTAATAGAGTATATATTGCTTATATTGTCCCCAGAGCTCTGCAAGCTCTGATGGATGTCATCCTCATCAGATGATGGGGACATTTCCAAGGAAGAGGATCTTATCAATCATTCAGGGAGTAATTACTGAACACCTGCTATGTGCACAGGACTTGCTCAGAATGGTGGAAGAGAGAGAAAGGCAATAGATGAACTTCCCAGTGTTGAGTATGAAAGGATGGCCACTGAGGATGAAGGGACTTTGATCTGAGAGTAAGCTGGCAGAGCAGCATGTAAGAAGTTTTTTATTTTATTTTATTTTATTTTATTTTTTTTTTATGGAGCCTCATTTTGCCACCCAGGTTGGAGTGCAGTGGAGCGATCTCAGCTCACTGCAACCTCTGACTCCTGGGTTCAAGTGATTCTCCTGTCTCAGCCTCCCAAGTAGCTGGGATTACAGGCACCCACCACCAAGCCCAACTAATTTTTTTTGTATTTTTAATAGAGATGGGGTTTCACCATCTTGGCTAGGCTGGTCTCGAACTCCTGACCTCAAGTGATCTGCCACCTTGGCCTCCCAAAGTGCTGAAATTACAGGCGTCAGCCACTGTGCCCGGCCAATGTAAGAAGTTTTGTCTTCGATGTTGTACACTTACCCCCTTCTACCACTACCCTATGCTTGGCAGTGGAAGGGTTTGCCACTTCTCTGTATCTTCCATGGGGGATTAGTGCAATAGCTCTCCTCCCTTGTAAGATTGGGGCTGGAAAAGGTCTACCTTCATGGGAAATGGGCCTGGGGCTTCGTTGATTCATATAAGATCCTCCTGTTGGTACCATCCGAAGCTGCATTAATAGAAGTAGAGCATCCGCATGAAGAGAAGAGAGAGGGCAAGTCCTAAGCTCCTCAGTCCTGGTTGACCTCATCTGGAAGGTTGGGTTGAGCTCTGGCATCATAGTGGTTACCATGTATCTACTAGGGCACACACAGGGGACTGTGGCATGTTTGGTGACAGGCATGGAAACTTATTAATCTTATGAGAAATAGATATCAGCTGAGGAAAAGAACACTTACCAAAAACGGGATGGGTATCCTGTAATACCTTGTCAAGGCTGAACCGTGAAAGAGGAGCTAGTCTTATTCTGTGTAGCTCTAGGGGCCAATATGACTAGTGGACAAAAGTTACAGAGCCACACCACACCTTCTATCTCAGTCGTCTTGGCATCTGGATCAAGGCTCACATTCTTACCCATGTCAAGATTGGGAGGGAGAGGGGCTGTCAAAGAATAGAAACTCCTTTCCAATCCTAGAATTCTAAGCTTTTACTGATCTCTCAGAAAAGTCTGGAAATTGCTAACTAGACAAAGGCAATACATTATTTATTTATTTATTTATTTATTTATTTATTTATTTATTTGAGATGGAGTCTCGCTGTGTTGCCCAGGTTGGAGTGCAGTGGTGTGATCTCGGCTCACTGCAACCTCTGCCTCCCGGGTTCCAGCAATTCTCCTGCCTCAGCCTCCCAAGTAGCTGGGACTACAGGCACATGGCACCACACCCAGCTAATTTTTTATTAGTAGTAGAAATGGGATTTCACCATGTTGGCCAGTCTGGTCTCGAACTCCTAACCTCAGGTGATCCACCCGCCTTGGCCTCCCAAAGTGCTGGGATTACAGGCGTTAGCCACCGTGCCCAGCCATAAATTTATTTTTTAAATGCATGCAGAGCTAAAAATATTCCTTTGTTTGAGTAGCGATCATTGGCAGAAGTGGGTATTTTGCCTCTTAGAACAACAAAAAAGTGTTTGACAGTCTACACCTGACTTTATATAGTCAACATTATAGGTACCCCCAAAAGCCTAAAATTAACAACTCCCGAAACCAACGGAACAACATGGAACTCCACTGTTTCTGGTTTCTCCGCCAATGCACCAGATAGCAACCCGGGGATTCTCAGTAAGAACTTCTACCCCAAAAAAAGAGGTCCAAAACAAATAAACAAACCCAAAAAGACAAGGGCAAAAGAAAGGATGTCCCCTCTTCACCACCTGGGCTCAAATGAGGGAATTCACTGGATGATGCCACCGTGAAGTCATCTTTGTTAGAATAAGGGTCTATCAAGTTGAATGATGAAAACAGTATACATTAAAAAAAGAATTCGAATAAGGGTCTAAATCACATACAATTGGTGATTTGGGTAAAGGGGGATTAGGAGAAAATGAAGCCAGTGAAGGAGAGGGATTGTGATTGGGAAATTTCTACCTTATTTACTCATGCAACAAACATGTATAAAATGCCTGCTCTGAAACATACCATGTAGTAGGACTAGGGATATTGAGACAGACGACCCAGCTTTCACACCAAGAGCTTATAGTTCAGCAGGGAATGCTGACAGGTAATTGGTTCCATGACGTCCATGCCCAGGTGCTATGGGAGGTCAGTGAAAGAAGGGAGGAGAGAAGGGGGAGTGGTGACCCCTCACATTCTAAGAAAACAGATTCTCTAGCTCATACCAGAAACAGCTGCTTGACATAGCCATTGATGGAAGAAATGTGAGTCTGATGAGGTCTTCAAGTGTGCTCTTACCTCCACAGTGATGAAAACCTCCTCCAAATGATTTGCAAAGTTTTCCATCTCAATTATCTGCTTTTCCAATTTGTACATGTTTTTGTGAATTTCATCCTATCCAACAGAGGATCACAAAGAAGGTATTAATGTTACATCTTCTCTCACTCTTGTAGAAGGCGTTTTAGATTTATTCCCTGCGTATGTACTTGAGATACCAAAGCAATATCAAGACAGAGAAGAACCAAGGACACCTATTTACCTTGGCACTTTCCAGTGCTTCATTGAGTGGGATCACTTCATGCTCCTTATGTTCATCAAAAACCTTCTGAAAAGCTCTTATTGGAGTCTTACAAGTGACACAGAAGACATCAGCAGCTTCTTCTTCATCCTCTTCCTCGGGGATGACATAGCATTCATACTCCTCGCTGGCACGGCCGTGTGTGTACCTATAGGCTTCCCGCAAGTCCTGGCACTGGCCTGCTGAGCCCCACCCTCCGAAGCCCAGGTCCTCGGCCTCCGCTGCCTCTCCACTAAGTCTCCAGTCTCTCTGCTCCCTGGCTGGGTCTCTCCTCTTCATCATATAAGGAGGATATTCTGAAACCCCTGTTCTGGGTATGTTTTCATCAACAAACTCATCCCCTAATTCATGATCATCTTCAAGTCCATATAAGTGGACAAGTTCATCCACTTCCTCTTGAAGGTCTCTTTGAGCCTTACCATCCCCTGCTCCTCTTGACTCATTGGCCATTTCAGCTTGGACTACTTTCCTCATCCTAGTGTTCTCTTCTGGAAAGAGGTGCAGTCTGTCTTCAGAGTCATACAGGTCCATGTGGTAAAAGTGGAAATCCTTGGGAGTAGACCTGTCCAGCCCCAGTTCCTCCCCCGATTCCTCCTCCATTGTAACTCTGGAAGTCCTCAGAAGCACCTTTATATAAGAAAGATCCTTCCTGGACACTTAATAGTGAATATCTGGGCCCTGGAACACAAAAGGAGGAGGAAAATCATTTCTGGAGAAGGGCATTGCAGTAGATGATCATTAGATTGGGCTCTACTCATATAAAACTTTAAAAAAATTATCTGTGTAGTTCAGTCGTGGTTTCACTTTGAACCATCTTTAAAAAATTTGTTTTCTATGGGAGGATGGGCTTTCTAAGGTTAAAAGAGACAAAAGAAATTACAAAAGAAATGTCTAATAGATATGTCCAACAAAATACTTCCCTCATACATTAAAAAAAAAACTTAAAAGGCAAAATAATGGGAAGCATCTCAGGCAATTATTATTATTATTATTATTAATTTATTTTTGAGATGGAGTCTCACTCTGTCACCCAGGCTAGAGTGCAGTGGCATGATCTCGGCTGACTGCAGCCTTTGCCTCCAGGGTGCAAGCAATTCTTGTGCCTCCACCTCCCAACTAGCTGGGATTACAGGTATGTGCCACCACACCCAGCTTATTTTTGTATTTTTGGTAGAGACGGGTTTTCACTATGTTGGAACTCCTGACCTCAGGTGATTCACCCACCTCAGCCTCCCAAAGTGCTGGAATTACAGGCATGAACCACTGCGCCCAGTCTATTATTTTTAAATTGTATAAATTAATTGAAAAAGTGGCATCTCAATAGATGAATGTGCACAGACAATTCACAAAACAATTACTTTTGTATATGATAGCACCTGCACAAAAACATTTGAAAAAAACTGTACTTAAAAGTAACAGAACAGGCCTGGCGTGGTGGCTCATGCCCATAATCCCAGTACTTTGGGAGGCTGAGGCAGATGGATTGCTTGAGCTCAGGAGTTCGAGATCGTCCTGGGCAACATGGCAAGACCCTGTCTCTACCAAAAATACAAAAAAAAAAAAAAATGCCAGGCATAGTGGTGTGCACGTGTGGTCCCAGCTACTTGGGAGGCTGAGGTGGGAGGATCACTTGAGCCTTGAGGGGTGGTGGTTGCAGTGAGCCTAAATCACACCACTGCGCTCCAGCCTGGGTGACAGAGCAGGACCCTGTCTCAAAAAAAAAAAAAAAAAAAAAAAGTGACAGAACAAATAAGTAGATGCTGTTTTGCCTTTTCAGTTAGAAAATATTTAAAAATATCAAAAGTGATACCCGCAGCTGGATAAGGGGACAGTGAAGTGAGCACTCTCATATGCTGCCGGCTAGAATGTAAACTGGCCCCACTTTTCTGAAGAGCAAGCTTGGCAACCTGGGTCAGGAACCTTAAAGATGTTCACACTTTCAGCAGGGTGTGGTGACTCATGCCTGTAATCCCAGCACTTTGGGAGGGCAAGGCAGGAGGATTGCTTGAGGCCAGGAGTTTGAGACCAGCCTAGGCAACACAGTGAAACCCCATGTCTACAAAAAATTTAAGCATTTGCCAGGTGTGGTGGTGCATGCCTGTAGTCCCAGCTACTAGGGAGGCTGAGGCAGTGAGCCATGATTGCGCCAGTGTACTCCAGCCTGGGCGACAGAGCAAGACTCTGTCTAAAAAAAAAAAAAAAGTGTTCATACTCTCTAGCCTGTTCATACTCTCTCTAACCTAGTAATCCTCTTCTGGAACCTTGAGGAAAAATCCCAAATACAAGGAAAAAAATTATTTTATGTAAAAATGCCCACTACAGAATTTTTTTAAGTAGCAAAAACTTTTGTTTTTGAAAAGGTTTAATGATTAGGAGAAGGGCTAAGTAAACTCGGGGATGTACACTACATAGAATACAAAGCAGCCTTCAAAATGTTTATGGAGAGCAAATGATAACTTGGAAAAAGACATACAATATGATGTTAAGCAAAATAAACAGAATGCCCATTATATGTAGAATATCATGTCCACTATTTTAATGAAGTACATAAAGTCTAGAAGGATATAATAATAATAATAATAATAATAATAGTAAATACAATATTAGTAATAGCTACTACTTCTTGAACACTTATCGTATGCCTTTTCTGTGTTAGGCAGTTTATATATACATTATCCTCACATCGACCCTATGTGGCAGGCACTGCTATCATCCCCATTTTGTAGATGAGTCAACTGTGTCTCAGGGAGGGTATCTTGTGCAAGGCCACACAGTTAGTATATTGTTGAACTGGGATTTGAGCCTTAATCGGTGTGGCAGCTATAAGACTGTGCTTCACAGATATCCAACTACAGGGAGTGTAATTGACTGGAGGTTTCAGTTGCCCTCTGAAGTTCATTGCTGCATAGCATGCTTGCCACAAACATCTGCCATCCAGTGACAAGCACAGCCAGGAATTCTAAGGCAGATCCATTTCTGGTTGATACAGAACTCCTCTGAGCCCTCCTCTAGTTCCAATTACTCAGGAGGCTAAGGTGGGAGGATCACTTGAGGCCAGAGTTCAAGACCAGCCTGGGCAACATAGCAAGACCCTGTCTCTTAAAATACAAACAGAAGGCTGGGTGCCTGTAATCCCAGCACTTTTGGAGGCCAAGATGGGCGGATCATGAGGTCAGGAGTTCGAGACCAGCCTGACCAATGCGGTGAAACCCTGTCTCTACTAAAAACACAAAAAATTAGCCAGTTGTGGTGGCAGGTGCCTGTAATCCCAGCTACTCAGGAGGCTGAGGCAGGAGAATTGCTTGAACCAGGGAGGCGGAGGTTGCAGTGAGCCATGACTATGCCACTGAACTCCAGCCTGGACAACAGAGCGAGACTCCGTCTCAAACAACAACAACGACAACAACAACAACAACAACAAACAAACAAACAGTTCTCTGATGGCCAGAGGAGTTGGCTGGAGGATTCTCTGACAGCCTCACCAAGGCTTTCTTAGACCTCATGGTAGTCTAGGATACTTGCCTGAATCTTCCCTGAACCTTCCCTCTTGCTCTCCTTCAGCCAGGGTCAGACTTACATCATGGTCTGGCAGCTCTTCCAGCCTTTCCTAGCTGCCTCCCCATTTTATTGCTCACACAGGTATTTCCTCTAATAAAATTATTTTCCATCTTATGCCTGCTTCTTGGAGAACGAGATTAACACAGTCGGTTGGACTCCAAAGTCCATGCTTTCTTCCTGGCACAGAGCTGCCATTTGTGTGTGTGTGTGTGTGTGTGTTCGTGCGTGTGTGTGTGTGTGTGTTTGAGACAGAGTCTCACTCTGTCGCCTAGGGTGGAGTCCAGTGGCGCGATCTCGGCTCACTGCAACCTCCGCCTCCCGGGTTCACGCCATCCTCCTGCTTCAGCCTCCCTAGTAGCTGGGACTATAGGCGCCCGCCACCATGCCCAGCTAATTTTTTTTTTTTTTTTGTATTTTTAGTAGAGACAGGGTTTCACTGTGTTAGCCAGGATGGTCTCGATCTCCTGACCTCGTGATCCGCCCACCTCGGACTCCCAAAGTGCTGGGATTACAGGTGTGAGCCACCACGCCCGGCCCATTGTGTTTTATTAATTCTTTTTTGTAACAGTTTTATCGAGGTATAATTCATATACCATACAATTCACCTGTTAAAAATGTATACTTTAGTGGTTTCGTTTTTTGTTTGTTTTGTTGTTGTTGCTTTTTTTGAGGCGGAGTCTCGCTTTGTCACCCAGGCTGGAGTGCAGTGGCGCGATCTTAGCTCACTGCAAGCTCCGCCTCCCGAGTTCACGCCATTCTCCTGCCTCAGCCTCCCCAGTAGCTGGGACTACAGGCGCCCGCCACCATGCCCAGCTAATTGTTTGTATTTTTAGTAGAGATGGGGTTTCACCGTGTTAGCCAGGATGGTCTCGATCTCCTGACCTTGTGGTCCGCCCGTCTCGGCCTCCCAAAGTGCTGGGATTACAGGCGTGAGCCACCGCACCCGGCAATTCAGTGGTTTTTAGTATACTCACACATATGTGCAGTGATCACCACAGTCAATTTCACAGCATGTATTTTTAAATTTTTAAAATTTTTTTGAGACATGGTCTCCCTCTGTCACCCAGGCTGGAGTGCAGTAACACCATCTTGGCTCACTGCAACCTCTGCCTCCCGGGCTCAGGTGATCCTCCCACCTCAGCCTCCCAAGTAGCTGGGACTACAGGCACTTGCCGCCATGCCTGGCTAACTTTTTAATTTTTTTTTTAGAGACGGGGTCATGCCATGTTGCCCAGGATAGTCTTGAACTCCTGAGTTCAAGGGATTGCCCACCTCAGCCTCCCAAAGTGCTGAGATTACAGGAGTGAGCCACTGCGCCCGGCTGTAATTTTAGAGCATTTTTATCACCTCAAAAAGAAGCACTGTACCCTTTAGCTATCACCACCAGCATTCCCCCATCTCCCCTATCCTAAGCAACAACTAATCTACTTTCTGTCTCTATTGATTTTCCTGTTTGGACATTTCCTATAAACGGAATCTTATAGTATGTGATCTTTTGTAACTGGCTTCTCTCACTGAGCATACTGTTTTCAAGATTCATCCATGTCGTAGCATGTATCAGTATTTCATTCCCTTTTTAGGACCAGAAAAGTATTCCGTTGTATGGATATGCCATATTTTGTTTGTCCATGCATCAGTTGATTCGGGTGGCTTCCCATTTCATTTGGGTTGTTTCTACCTTTTGGCTATTTTAAATAAGGCTGCTAAAGATGTTTTTGTACCAGTTTTTGTTTGAATATGTTTTCATCTCTTGCAGGTATATACCCAGGGGTGAGTAAACACCTCAGAGTGGGATCACTGGGTCAAATGGTAACTTATGTTTAACTTTCTGAAAAACCATCAAACTGTTTTCCAAATTGTCTACACCATTTTACATTCCTGCCAGCAGTGTAGGAAAGCTCTGATTTCTCCACATTCTTGTCAGCACTTGTTATTATCTGACTGTTTGATTACAGTCATCCTAGTGGTTATGAAATGGTATCTCATTGTGGTTTTGATTTGCATGTCCCTGATGAATAATGATGTTAGTTATCTTTCATGTATTTATTGGCCGTTTGTATACCTGCTTTGAAGAAATGCCTCTCCAAATCTTTTGCCCATTTTTAAATTGGATTATTTGCCTTTTTGTTATTGAGCTCTAAGAGTTCTTTGTGTATTCTGCATTCTAGTCCACTGTCAGGTATGTAAATTACAAATATTTTTCTTCTATTCTGTGAGGTGTCCTTTTATTTTCTTGATGATGTCCCCTGAAGCACAAAAGTTTTTAATTTTGCTGAAGTCTAGTTTATCTATTTTTTTTGTTGTTGTTGCTGCTTGTGCTTTTGATGTCATGTCTAATAATCCATTGCCAAATTTGGGATGAATCCCACTTGGTCATAATGCTTAATATTTTTCTTTTTTGTTGTTGTTTTTTAAGAGGGATTACAGGCATGAGCCACCGTGTCTGGCCTAAGTTTTTGTCATATGTGACTAGATTCAGTGTGCTAGCATTTTGCTGAGGAATTTTGAATTCATATTCCTAACAAATATTGGCCTGTAGTTTTGGGGTTTTTTTCTTGTGATATCTTTCTCTGGTTTTGGTATCAGGGTAATATGTCTCATAGAATGAGTTGGGAAGTGTTCCTATTCTTCTATTTTTTGGAACAGTATGTGAAGAATTGTTATTAATGCTTGTTTCAACGTTTGGTAGAATTCACCAGTGAAGCCACCTGGTCCTAGACTTTTCTTTGTGGGTGGTGTATTGATATTCTTATTAATTTTTTTTTGAGACAGGGTCTCACTCTGTCACCCAGGCTGGAGTGCAGTGGCACAATCTCGGCTCACTGCAACCTCCACCTCCCAGGTCCATGTGATTTTCCTGCCTCAGCATCCCATTGGAAAAATTAGGGATTACAGGTACCTGGCACCACGCCTGGCTAATTTTTGTATTTTTAGTAGAGACGGGGTTTCACCATGTTGGCCAGGCTGGTTTTTTGTGTTTTTTTTTTTCACGTCAAGAAATAACTTTATCCGAAAGGAATTCAAATGGAAGATATATTTAGCATCAATTCATGTATTAGTAACTTATACATGTATTGTCAAGTATGACATCCATAAAAGCACAAAACAGTTTCTCACACGTTCCACCAAACTTCTGGCTTACTTTGTGTGTCACTTCCATGACTACCAATCACACATGCAGAAACTAGGAGAGACAGTGAAGATGGCTTTCCAGGAAGTTTACAAAATAAGAAAGGAAATGTATGTCAAAATATAGCGTAAGTAGCAATGGGGCCCTGAATTCACTTTGGAAAAAGCTAGTTTTTTAATTATTAATTTAATCTCTTTACTTAGGCCTATTTAGATTGCCTATTTCTTCTTGGGTCTGTTTTGGGACTTTGTGTCTTTCTAGGAAATGTCTATTTCATTTAAATTATCTAATTTATTCAAATACAATTGTTCATGGTATTTCTTTTTAATCTTTTTTATTTCTGTATGCTTGGTAGTAATGCCCCCTTTTTCATTTCTGATTCTAGTCATTTGAGTTTTCTCTCATTTTCTCTTGGTCAAACCTCTGACTAGAGGTTTGTCAATTTTGCTGATTACTTCAAATAATCTGCTTTTGGTTTCTTTAATTTTCCCTATTGTTTTTCTGTTATCTATTTCATTAATTTCCACTCTAATACTTATTATTTCCTTCCTCTGCTTGTTTTGTTTAGTTTGCTCTTCTTTTTCCAGTTTTTTAATGTATTGATTTGAGATCTTTCTTCTTGTTAAATATAGGCATTTATAGCTATAAATTTTCCTCTAATCACTGCTTTTGCTGTACCCTACAAGTTTTCATGTTATCTTCATGTCTATTCATCTCAAAGTATTTTCTAACTTCCATTTTCATTTCTTCTTTGACCCATTGGTTATTGAGGAGTGTGTTGTTTAATTTCCATATATTTGTGAGTTTTCCAACTTTCCTTGTGTTATTGATTTCTATTTGCATTCCATTGCGACCAGAAAACATATTTTGTATTATTTCTGTCCTTTTAAATTTATTGAGGTTTGTTTTATGGGCTAGCATATGGTCTGTCTTAGAGAACGTTCCATAGGCATTTGGGAAGAATGTGTATTCTGCTTCTGCTGTTGTTGAGTAGAGTGTTAATATAGATGTCTGTTAGGTGCATTTGGTTTATAGTATTATTTAAGTCTTCTATTTCCTTGTTGATCTTCTGCTTAGTCATTCTATCCATTACTGAAAGCAGAGTATTGAAGTCTTCAACTATTATTATTACAGTTTCCATTTCTACCTTCATTTATGTCAGTTTTTGTTTGACATATTTTGGTATTCTGTAGTTAGGTGCATATACATATGTAATTGTCATATCTTTTTGATGGATTGGCTCTTTTCTTTTTTTTTTTTTTTTGAGAAGGAGTCTCGCTCTGTCACCCAGGTTGGAGTTCAGCGGCGCGATCTCGGCTTACTGCAAGCTCCGCCTCCCAGGTTCACGCCATTCTCCTGCCTCAGCCTCCCGAGTAGCTGGGACTACAGGCGCCCGCCACCACGCCTGGCTAATTTTTTGTATTTTTAGTAGAGACGGGGTTTCACCATGTTAGCCATGATGGTCTCGATCTCCTGACCTCGTGATCTGCCCGCCTGGGCCTCCCAAAGTGCTGGGATTACAGGTGTGAGCCACTGCGCCAGGCAGATTGGCTCTTTTCTAATGACAGTGTATCCCTCTTTATCTCTACTAACACTTTTTTGTTTTAAATCCATTTTTTCGGATGTCAGTACAGCCCCTCTAGCTTTCTTGTGGTTGCTGTTTACATGATTTATCTTTTTCTATCCTTTTAGTTTCAATCTATTTGTATTTTTGAATCTAACGTGTGTATCTTGTAGACAACATAGAGTTGGCTATATTGTTATTAATTTTTAATTGATTCATTATGAGAAGTTTCCTAAGAATTTCTAAATTACAACACTTTGTTGGAGGAGCTCAAGCTATGATTTTTTTTTCCATATAACAAAATGGCATTTCCTACAAAATAATATAACACGCCCCCAAAGAAAATCCTCCCCAGAACCTGAGAATGAACATTCCAATTCTTAACTTTCTAGTAGGATAATAAATCAGAGGTTAGAAGAAGATTATCATCTACAAGTCTATCAGAACTAAATATAGGCATTTATGGCTATATCAGAGGAAGACATTTCACTCTAAAGGAGTATTAGGCCAGGTACAGTGGCTCACGCCTGTAAACCCAGCACTTTAGGAGGCTAAGGTGGGCAGATCATTTGAGCTCAGGAGTTTGAGACCAGCCTGGGCAATATGGTGAAAACCCATCTCTACCAAAAATACAAAAAAATTAGCCAGGCGTGGTGGCACACGCCTGTAATCCCAGCTACTCAGGAGGCTGAGGTAGGAGGGTCTCTTGAGCCCAGAAGACGGAGGTTGTAGTGAGCTGAGATTGCACTCCTTCACCTCAGCCTGGGTGATGGAGCGAGACTCCATCTCAAAAAAAAAAAAAGTATTAGATGATAGGTGAGTTATGATAGGAGAGTAATTATGAAGAGGACACTAAAGGATACTCTAAGACTGAGAGAAAAACTGTAACACAGGATAAACTTCACAGGGAGTTCAAATGTCATAGAAGAAGTTTTGATTTCCTTTTCTTTTTCTTTTCTTTTTTTTTTTTTTTTTTTGAGATGGAGTTTTGTGCTTGTTGCCCAGGCTGGAGTGCAGTGGCGCGATCTCTGCTCACTCAACCACCGCCTTCTGGTTTCAAGTGATTCTCCTGACTCAGCCTCCCAAGTAGCTGGGATTACAGGCATCCGCAACCACATCCAGCTAATTTTTGTATTTTTTAGTAGAGACGGGGTTTCACCATGTTGTCCAGGCTGGTCTCAAACTCCTGACTTTGTGATCCACCCACCTTGGCCTCCCAAAGTGCTGGGATTAGAGGCGTGAGCCACTGCGCCCGGGAGAAGTTGTGATTTCAACCCACATCATGGCAAACGGAATTGTCCTGGCCAGAGCTGGTCCCCAGTGGCTGTAAAAGCAAGAAAAACATATGGAAACACAGGTGAACCAAGGTTGGCTGGCAGGTGAGCTGAAGAAGTTGGCAGCATTGCTGCGGGCATAAGACGTATTAGGAGAACCAACGGAAAGTGGTCACCAGGCCTCATGAGAGACTCTGAGCCACAATCACCCAGACGAACTGTTCTCAGGTTCTTGACCCTCAGAAACGATTCAAGAGAATAAATATTTGTTGTTTTAAGCTGTCAAGTTTTGAAATAATTTGTTATGCCACAATAGATGACTAGTTCATTGTCCCAGACTAAAAATAAACTTTCCACCCAGCTTTCTCTGCTAGCTGCTATTCTCTCTTTCTCCCCTTTCCCTCTCCAGACTCCATCAAAGGGTGGCATTTCCACCATCACTCTTCAGGCTATGGAATCTGTATGCGAAGACTTTCCAAGGGGTACATGGTATAGATAGCTTCAGGAGGATCAGCTCCCAGATGCTCAACTTTATATTTAATCTTTCCCAGAGCTGCTCTGCCTGGGAAGGAACTAGCATTTGAGGCTTCATGTAGATTCTTTTTTCACAATAGTCCTTTTTCTCTTTATTACAAAAGTAAAACTATACCTCTCACTTATCCTGAATATTTCATTGCACTGTAAGATTTCATTGCTTGGTAATTAAAAAAAAAAAAAAAAAAAAACACCTCCAGGGGACTAAATGGAAGGACAATTTGAAGTATTGCTATCAATGGTGGAGGGTGAATGACATTAATGAATGCATAAGAAAAAATTTGTTTTCAAGCTAAGTGGTTTCCAGTTCTTTGCTTTCAATAAAGTTGAAGGAGGATCTAATCAAATTGTCAGCTAATATATGATTAAAAATAATTTTTCATGATAGATCACTATGTACTTTTTGAAACACATTTCAGAAAGAGTTCAAAAATGTGAGTGACATTGCTATAATAAAACACTTTCATTTCCATCAATGTTTGATTACGTAGCTAAGCAAGGTTGCTCTGTTCTTACATCAACAAAATGAAAAGCGGAAAGACAATTGACCCTAATTCCTGTTGCAGTCTAAAATATGTAATTTTCATCAATGGATACACAAATAAACTTTTTTTAAAAAAGCTCCATCTACCTCATTAAGAGATGCATTTCCATTTTATTTTTCATTTAACAATTATTGGCCAGGCGTGGTGGCTCACGCCTGTAATCCCAACACTTTGGGAGGCCGAGGCGGGCAGATCATGAGGTCAGGAGATCGAAACCGTCCTGGCTAACACGGTGAAACCCCATCTCTACTAAAAATACAAAAAATTAGCCGGGCGTGGTGGCGGGCGCCTGTAGTCCCAGCTACTTGGGAGGCTGAGGCAGGAGAATGGCGTGAACCTGGGAGGCGGAGGTTGCAGTGAGCCAAGATCACGCCACTGCACTCCAGCCTGGGCGACAGAGCGAGACTCCATCTCAAAAATAACAATAATAATTATTATTATTTACCAAAATTTGTAATATGTTTATGTTATTTTGCTTACATGTGATTAAAAGTTGTATTGGTAACTTCATCCAAAAGAAAAAAAGAGTTTAATATTCAGAGATGTATGGTCCCAGGAGAACAAGAGAAAATCTTTCATCTCAAGTTATACATCTGTATTTTTGTAGAGAAGTATCATAGATGACCAACAAAAGACTTTCCAAGCACAGAAAAATATTACAGGTCAGGTACAGTGGCTGACACCCGTTATCCAAGCACTTTGGGAGGCAAAGGTGGGAGGACCACTTGAGCTTAGGAGTTCGAGACCAGCCTGGGCAACAAAAAGAAACCTCACCTCTATTTAAAAATCAAAAAACAAAACTAGCCCAGCGTGGTGGTGTGTGCCTGCAGTCCCAGCTACTCGGGATGCTAAGGTGGGAGGATCACTTTAGCTTGGAAGATTGAGGCTGCAGTGAGCTATTATCTTGCCACTGCACTCCAGCCTGGGTGACAGAGCAAGACCCTGTCAGAAGATAGAAAGGAAGAAAGAACGAAAGGAAGAAAATTCATGTTTTAAGTGCACAATTCAATGATTTTTAGTAAATTCCCCAAATTGTGCAGCCATCATCACAATCCAGTTCCTAATGCCTACCCCCATTAAAAAATTGTGGTAAATCTAATGTCTTTTTTTAAAAAAACTAATATTATTAAACTATTTTAACATGACATATATATATAATGTTTTGAGAAAAATAAGCAAAATATTTTAAGATATGGTTTAGCACTGTTTTTTCCTTATCCATCACTTTTATGATCCAGTTTTCCTTAACTTCCATTTATGTGATCAAAGTTAGCAGCCAGCTGTTTGTCTTCCCTATTTGTTCCACAGTTGTACACAGAAAACAGAAGTCAACAAGTTCGTCGGCTTCCCCTATCAGCTCTGTTTAACTTTCTGCAGTGATAGACTGTCACTTCTGCTGATAGACTGTCCTTTTAATAGCCACTTCCCAAACTATATTTTTAAAAAGGCATTAAGTTTTCTTTCCACTATCTCCACTGTTTTGTTTTTTTTTTTTTTTTTGAGACAGGGTCTTGCTCTGTTGCCCAGGTTGGAGCACAGTGGTGAAATCTCAGCTCACTGCAGCCTTGACCTTCTGGGCTCAAACAATCCTCCCACCTCAGCCTCCTGAGCAGATGGGATCACAGGCATGCACCACCACGCCTGGCTAATTTTTGTAATTTTTGTAGAGACACGGTCTCACTATGTTGCCCAGGCTGGTCTCAAACTCCTGCTTAAGCAATCCTCCCGCCTTGGTCTCCCAAAATGTTGGGATTACAGGTGTGAGCCAATGCGCCTGGCCTATCTCCACTTTTGATTGCCCTTTTAATATAACATTTTCTCATGGCCTAATTTGGAAATTCATGGACCCTGTCTGGTGCTCTCCTGACTGCTCCATGCCATTCAATCCTATTGACCCTTCTGTGTCCCCCGGCTCAGCTGGGATTTCCCCTAGGCCACTGACTGCTGAAATCTCTGCCAAGTTCCTCCCCTTGGCTGCTCTTTATATGCAGGCATCCCCTTAACCTCCATTCTAGGCCCTCTTCCCACTCTCCACTTGCTCTAGGTGATCTCATCCAGTCTCACAGCTTCTATGTCCCCGTCTTTTCTGAGGGCTCCAAATCCATGTCTCTGGCTCTAACCTGTGCCCCATGCAGAGGCAGAGGCTCAGAGGTGCAGCTGCTGTCTTGAGCAGCCCCCTCCAGCAGCCCCCTCAAACTCAGCACTGCCAGATGGAGCTCATTGCCTCTCTCTTTCCCCAACTCACCATGTGGTGTGACGTCACCTCCACGGCAGCCCCTGCATGCTGCCTGTTAGTGGGGTGTCCTCCCACCAGCCCTGCCAGAACTCCTCCTCTCAATAAGGTTTCTCAAACTTTCCTGCACACACGTCGCCTTGGGGTTCTGGTTAAACGTAGAGTCAGAAAGTCTAGAGTGAGGTCTGGAAAACTGCATTTCTAAATCTCTAAATGGTGCCTATTCTGCTGGTCTACCTTGTAAGGTAGAAGATGCCTGGATGCCCAGCTGGCCCGTGAGAGGTTGGGACAGTCTTCCAGAAAACCCACCTTCTTCAGCCTCTCTACACTCTGGCCATGAATGTCTGTGATGTCCTGAACTGACTGCCTGCCCTTCCCTCTGCCCTCCCTGGACATTCCTGCTGTAAGCCTCCAGTTTCATCCCTCTTCCTCAGCCTTTATTTGTGGAGGCCAAGTTACCCATGGCCTCGGGAAGAAGAACTCTGCCCTGCGTCCTCAGAGAAGAACTCTGTCTCTGGTCAGAGATGACACCTTGCCCTTATGGCCTGGACCTCCCCCTTCCTTCCTGGGGACAACCAGCCAGGCTCTGCTCACTGCCTGCCCCAGTGCCCTCCAAGTTTTGTCCTGCAAGCACAGGAAAAGGCTAGGAGTAATGATGAGGAAAGCAGAGGTGCCAACACAGTTCTACATCTGGCCCATTTAGGAAGGATTTGAGACAGGCAGGCTAGCTAGGTTCCTATGTTAAGATGGTCTGGAGGAAAATGATAAAAGCCCCTCAGTCGGCCCCACACAGTGGCTCACACCTGTAATCTCAGCACTTTAGGAGGCTGAGGTGGGCAGATCACCTGAGGTCAGGAGTTCAAGACCAGCCTGGCCAACATGGTGAAACCCCGTCTCTACTAAAAATACAAAAATTAGCTGGGCGTCGTGGTGGGTGCCTGTAATCCCAGCTACTCGGGAGGCTGAGGCATGAGAATCGCTTGAACCTGGAAGGCAAACGTTGCAGCGAGCCAAGATCATGCCACTGCACTCCAGCCTGGGGGATAGAGCGAGATTCTGTCTCAAAAAAAAAAAAAAAAAAAAAAGCCCCTCAGTCAGGCTCTTGCTTATCTAACTCCCAGCCAATCAGTAACAGAAGACCCAAGAAGCTATAACTGCTATAACCATAAGCTCCTATTTCGGGGGTCTAGGGACTTCCTTGGAGACCCAAATGTGCAGTTACATTTAAACTCCAACCTATAGTTACCCCTTCTTCATTTTAATGCTAAAAATCACCCCTGGGGTGGTGATTTAAAATGCTAATGCTACATATAATATATGAAGAAGCATGTTGAGCCACTGTGCAAGCACTAGAAAAACTCTCCTACACCTGCCCCAATGTAACCCTTCCCCATAGAAAGCCTTTATAAAACTAACCCACACACTACTGCCCTCAAGGAGCAGCCCATTCTTTTCTTCTTCAGTGCCAGCTTCCTTGTGCACAAGCTAAAATAAACTTTCTCTATGCTGCTGTGTCTGGTGATCTCTCTTGATTCCTATCCTGGGAGATTACAAGAACCCAGGATGCTGGAAACATTTTGATCCAAGAATAGGAGGTTCTGGATCACAGTGATGGAACCATGTCCTGCTCTTAACCCAGAGGGGCCCTTAGTCATTTCATCTGGTGCTCCGTACCAACTATCACTCCCCCAGTTAATCGTGGCTACACCCTGCCTTCGAAATCCCTCACATTTCCCTCCATGGGCTCACCCTGGCTCTTTCTGACAGCAAGACAAAAACACAAGAACCAACCAGCCTTCTCTGATGGTAGACGGGTTGGGGAGGTGGGATGTGGAAGTGTGACTACCTGGACTCAGCCCTGGTGAGCCCCTGGGGACCTTCTCTCTTCTCCTCTTCACTCTGAAGTGTCCACGGGATGCTGTTTTTCTAGGTACTGTATCAGCACCACACAGAGAGGTCGACTTCCAGCAGTCATTAGGTGACAAAGATGCTGCTATCCTAACCCAATGCCATGTATGTTATTGGTTTCAGAGATCTGGATCCTCATAAGGAAACCTTACTCCTGAGACTCTAAGACTTGGGAACATCACTCTTGGAGTTCTCCCACTCTCCAATGCTCCAAAACTCTTCACATGGAAGATAGTGGTAAATATCACTTCAGTAACACCTGCTGAGGCTGAGATACCATGACCATGCAGGATTAAAGCACACAAGGCACCAGCTCCACCATGTCTTGGTCCATGCCACCTGGGACCACAAACAGGATCAGGTCCACCCCTAGATGGAGAGAAGGATGAGTGGAGGTAGGTTTCCAGAGGCAGCATCGCAAAGCCAGTGGTTTCCAGGCACCAGGGCCAGTGTTTTGCCTCCACAGCCAGTGTTTTGCCTTCATATGATTTATGAAGACTCCAGAATTGAGTTTTCTTTATGGGGAGGTTACTACTAAGAAACCTGTCTACCATTAGGCTCTGGCTGGGGCAGTCCTGGCTCATCCTCACTAATGCAGCCTGTACACAGGGCTGGAGAAGTGTGGCTTCAAGTGAACTAGGGCACAGCTTCTTCTCACACTGAATCTGCATCCCAGCAAAACCAGTGCTGAGCTGGACCAGCAAGTCTCCCCCTCCATACATACCAGACCCAAGGGATTGCTAGCTCCTCCTGGGTATCATGCACATTGCCTGCACTTTAGCCCATGTTTCCCTCCGATGGTTCCCAAGGTCAAAGTTCCCTTCCAGCTATGGAAACACCACTTTGCCTCCTCTCTCATCCTGAATCCCTTGTTGTAGTGGATGATTCTCAACAAAGTAATCAGAGCCTTCTGCCCTGAGAGGCCCTGAATCCTGCCTTCACACTCCTGTATGTCAGATTGCCCAGCTAATCAGAATTACCCACATTGCATAGAAATAATGTCTTACCATTAACAGCTGGGTTGAGCTCTTACTTGGCATCATGGGGGAGGAAGAGTAGGAGAATGAAGCTGAGCACAAGTACCTCTGGAAATAGAACCTGAGAGGATGGGAGGGTCATGCTTCTTCTCTATGGGCCTCTTATCAGCCAGCAACAGCAGCAGCAGGTCTCCCCAGCTTAGGAGCAGTTCCTCATTTCTACTCCACCAGGTCTCCTGGTTGCTGCCTCTGCTCCTGGGGCGTTATAGATTCCACCTGGTCATGGCAGAGTTAGTGTGTTATGGGGCAACATGGAATGACCTGGAAAGTCTGCACCCATGCAGAGGTCATCTGGTGAAGCCCTAGGTCCTTCTGTGACCCTGGCTAACCTTACCACATGCATGGTCTGTGGTGTTGGGCATCATTCATTGCCCCAGCTCTGAATGTTCATGGGGTTGGTGAGGTGTGAATTCAAGAGAACAGGATTGGGCTAGGCGCTGGGGGTACAATGGATGAGACACAGTTGCTGGTGTCAAGGAGGCTCCAGACAAGTGACTAAGGGATTATTACCCCATCTGGGGCTATGCACAACTTCTCAGAGACGCTGCTTTCCCTCTTTCCTGGGACCCCAGAGTACTTCTCCTTCCTAAAGCACAGAGTCTGTGCCAAAATCCCACTATTTCCCTCTGTGGCTCGAAATCTTGCTTGAAACCCTCCTGTCTCTACAGTCTGCTGACTGCGCGCACCATGGTCCTTCCTCAGGGGTGTCCCTGCCCAGGATAGCAGCATAGCTTATACAGCATATGTTGCTTTGTTCAGGCAGAAGTGGTACATCTGCACATCGTGCATTCTGAGGGCTCCATTACTGGCAAGTCCCAACTCTCCTGGGCACCAGGGATCCCCCACCCCATGCCATAGCTCTATACTCCCCAAGCAGCCCCACCTTCCCTAGCGGTAACCCTCTGTTCCTTCTGGCCGCGCTCAGGGTCTTCCATGTGAGACTCACCCTAGGCCCTGGCTCAGACTGTCCTGCCTGCTGAGAGCTCCCACTCTTCCCTATCTCACCACTGCTTCTTAAACCCCATACTCATCCAACATGGCCCTCCATGAAGTCCACTGCATTGCTACTATCCATGAATGAGAGCATGACATCCACCCCCTCCAGCACCAAACCAGAGACCAGAAGCTCATCCTTGACACCCCCAATCTAATTAATAACTAATTCATGCTGATTCTGACTCTACCTCTTGAATCTCTAAGTAATATCCCTTTTCCTGTCCCCTCTCCCTGCTCCCCAAGATCACTGCCCTCTGGATTCAGAGAGTCCTGTGTTTGCATTGTTTCTGCCACATCCTGGAAGTATGACTTCAGGAAAATCATCTCTCTAGGCCTAACTTTAATGGACTATAAAACAGCTCTATTAACAGTGTCTACCTCATAAGGTTGGCATTTAGATGAAATAACATAATGTACTTTATGCATAGTACATAGCTTAAAGTAAGTCCTCAGTAAGTGTTAGCTGCTGTTATTGTTGTTGTTCTTACTATCATTATCATGATTCCTACCTTAGTATCTCCCACCTGGGCTAGAAGCCTTCTACCTAGTCACTCATGGAGAGTGACCACAGCAGTGTGGAATCATCCATGGCTACTGTGGGAATATTTGTCCCTTGAAAACAGCCGATGATGAAAGAAGGCACCAAGCAGAACAGCCTCATAACCACGCACAGACATCAGCTATGAGATCATTCCTCTCCCAGGGGGCCCAGGCAGAGATATGGTATTCTAGGGATGGAGGTCCCTTGGAGAGCATCTAATTCAATTTCCTGATTTTATTCAGCAGGTCATGGATGTTTAAAAAAAATTCCTGATTTTAGGATGGCAAAACTGAGATCTTGTGAGGATAAAGGACTTGCTTATAGCCAATTTTCTTTTACAAAAATGTATCTGGGCTACTCTGTATTTAGCCCTGTGCTTGAATCCAAGCTTTTCACCTGACACACAACCAGTCAGGTGAAGAGCTTGGATTCAAACCCAGGTTTCCATTAAATCACACCATCTACAGACAGAGGAGCAGTTCACTAAAATAATGCTTACATTCCCATGTGCTACCCAAAGGGAAATAGCCAGGATTCTGTATGACCAATAAATCATCATGAGAAATTATTTCAACCAGAAGCTGGAATGTGAAACACCAAGTTGAACTGTCAGAAGACTGGAAAACACTTAGTGCAAATACAGATAAGAACACATGCTTTCAAGCTGGCACTTGCCCTTCGAACACACAACACAAAGTGGTCTCAACACAAACTGGCTCAGTGTCAAAGTAGGAATTTTGCAACACACCCTACAGTTAACAGTCACTTTTCCCCTCAACACCTAGACTCTTTCTTAACAAAATCAGGATTTGGGGAGAAAGGAAAGTTGACAATAAACTGTCATTTTATAAATGGTGAAACTAAAGCTTAGAGAAGTAAAGCAATTAGTCATAGTCCATTATGAATGTCTTTGCTGGATACCCTTTCCTCTATGCCAAGGGAAGCAGTTAAAAAAAATAAAAAAGATGTTTGTCTAAGGCTTATATGGGAGGTGTATCCCTGTGCATTACTTAGAAAAGTCCCCCAATAATTTTTTTTTTTTTTTTTTTTTAGAGACAGGTTCTTGCTATGTTGCCCAGACTGGTCTTGAACTCCTGGGCTCATGCAATCTGCCACCTCACTTGGCTTGTTTATTAACCTTTTATGGATCATGGGCATATCTACTGAATCTACTGAAACCTGTGAATTCTCTTCCCAGAAGTGATTCCATAAGGGCAGGAACATAACTTTGCCTATAATTTTAGCTCTTCCATGCAGCCCTTGGCAATTCCTGAGCCACAGCAGTGAAAGAAAGCTTGCCTTAAAGTGTTACAGTGATATGAAATGATTCAAATCAGCTTTGCAGACACTGCCCGAACCTGAAAACTTTCTATAGGAGGAGGCTGTATGCATAACAAGTGAAAAATAATTACGATGCTGTTTTTTAGTATTTGAATCAATGCATGAAGTTATTATTTTTCAGCATGTACACACAGATTAAATAAAATGTATTTACAACACAATAGTATAGCCAGATGATATTCAACATCTATATTTCCAAACTGTTCTACCAAATGGTTCTAACTAATGGGTCCCAGCACTACAGATATCCTAAAGACACATTATAAGAATCACCAGCCCCTGTCTGCCTTCATCAGAGCCTCTCACATCCTGTCCCAACATCATGTTCAGTTAATGCGAATTCTTGCTTTAAGAAGGCACAGAAAACATTTACACTATTTATTGTAATTTAAACATCTGCAATTTACCATGATATCTCTTCCCACCTACAGGAAAGATATTGCATTAATATTGCAGCATTGAGTTTCTAATAATACAATTTGCATTGGAAGAATATGACTACCCCAAAACTTGCCTGCTAAGCGTCCATAAATGCTTCCTTTAACTCAGAGGACCTGGAGTTCTGCTAGAAAATTGAATCTGTGTTCAGCAGGCTTTCCTTCCTAGTGACCTCTGCATGCCCCACAGGCTACCCCTGCCTATTTTACACCAGAGTTCTGCAAGTGGGGCACCAAAGCTGGATGGTAACATGAGCTGGCTGCAGCCACAAATAGCAACAGGCCTGCCATGAGTGAAGGTCCAAATATAGACCTGCTGTGGCTGAGTTGCCACTTCTTACTACTCAAGTGTCACCAGGAGAGGTCACATGCCGTGCTCTGAGTTACTTTCTGTGCTGTGAGGGGTTTTAGACTTGTGGCTCTACCATGGGTCTCAGATGGCTGGTCATGTGGAGAGGGCTGGGGACTGTCACGGCAAGACCAGGAAGAAGATTCCTTTTTTTTTTTTTTAAGTGAATGAGTTTCTAAAATTATATGCAAAATTATGTCTGTGTCCTTATAGAATCACTTCCGGGAAGAGAACTCACAGGTTTCAATAGATTCTCAGAGGTGCTCATGAACCATACAAGGTTAAAAAACATTTTGGGGGCACTTTTCTAATCAAAGCACAGGACACACTTCCCATATAAGCCTTAAGCAAACATTATTATTTTTTTTTTTTACTTGCCATGGTATGGCATAGAAATGGGACTATCCAGCCAATACATTCCTTATGGACTATGATTGACTATTTCTCTAAGCTTTAGTTTAATAATTTATAAAATGACAATTTAGTGTTAATGTTCTTTTCTTCCAAAATTCTGACTCTGTTAAGAAGTTGAAAGAGTCTAGGTGTTGAGGAAAAAAGTGAGTGTTAACTGTGGGTGTGTTGCAAAATTCCTACTTTGATGCTGAGCCCACAGACCAGCATAACAGTATAATCTCTCTCTCCTCTCTCTCTCTCACATGCACGCACGCACACACACACACACACACACACAGTGTAATAGTCAGAGTTGTCCAGAGAAACAGAACCAATAGAATGTATACATATATGGAAACAGATTTATCATAAGGAATTGACTCATGTAATTATGAAGACCAAAAAGTCCCAAGATCTGCAGTTAGTAAGCGGAAGATCCAGGAGAGCCAATGGTGTGGTTCTAGTCCAAAGGCCAGCAGGCTCAAGACCCTGGAGAGCCAATGTTTCCATTTGAGTTGGAAGGCAGGAAAAAAACCCATATTCCCACTTGAAGGCAGTTAGGCAGGAAGAATTCCCTCTTATTCAAGCTTTTGTTCTATTCAGACCTTCAATCGATTGGATGAGGCCCACTCACATGAGGGAGGGCAACCAGTTTTACTCAGTCTACTAACTCAAAGGTTAATCTCATCCAGAAACACCATCACACACACACACCCAGAATAATGTCTGACTAAACACCTGGTGACCCAATCAAGTTGACACATTAAAATTAACCATCATACATATATATACATATGCTATAGACAGTTTATATTCCCCTAAAATTCCCATGTTGAAACCAAATCCCCAATGTGATGGTATTTGGAAATGTGGCCTTTGGGAGGTGATTAGGTCATGAAGGCAAGCCCTCATGAATAAAATTAGTGCCATTACATTGGGGGTCCCAGAGAGCTCTTCCATGTGAAGATGCAGTAAGAATACAGGTATCTACGAACCAAGAAGCAGCCCTTCCTTACCAGACACTGAATCTGCTGGTGCTTTAATCTTGGACTTTCCAGCCTCCAGAACCATGAGAAATAAATGTTTGTTGTTTACAAGCCACCCACTCAATGGTATTCTGTTATAGCAGCCTGAATGGACTAAGACATATATTAATATATAGAGAGAGGATAATTTTATTTTTTCTTTTCTTTTTTTTTTGAGGCAGAGTCTCACTGTTTCGCCCAGGCTGGAATGCTGTGGTGCAATCTCGGCTCACTGTAACCTCTGCCTCCTGGATTCAAGCAATTCTGATGCCTCAGCCTCCTGAGTAGTTGGGATTATAGGGCATGCACCACCACGCCCGGCTAACTTTTCTTTTTCTCTCTCTTTTTTTTTTTTTTTTTGGTATTTTTAGTAGAGACGGGGTTTGGCCATTTTGGCCAGGCTGGTCTCGAACTCCTGACTTCAACTGATCCGCCCACCTCGGCCTCCAAAAGTGCTGGGATTACAGGTGTTAGTCACTGCACCCAGCCACCCACGACAATTTTATAATTAGAAAGATTGACAGTTTCCGCTTGAAAAACCAAATAGATAAGAAAACTAACAGAAATAACACAGTATAAAGCAGATAGTAAAAAGATATAATGTGAGGAATATACAAGAAAGATATTTAAAACAGACTGTTAAAAATCATAAGTAACTCATATTAGTTAAAATAGTATATTAAAATAGGGGAAAATCAATCACTTCAGCTAAAAGTTTATCTCTCCAAGAAGACTGAGTGACTGAGTCCCAGGGCCCAATCCCCAACCCTCACACCGGCAGCAGGCATAAAAGGGGAGGGACCTTCAGACAAAGGCACCTTTCCATCTTCAAGTTGCATTCCACAGAGGTTCCTAGATTTCTTGAGGTCATTTTCAAGGCAGAGAGATGCCCTAACTAGAGCTTTAGCTTCGCCCTGATTTTTTCGTTTGCTTATTGTTTACCCTTGGGGATAACAGCAAGTACAAAATCTGATTCCAACTTTTCCCAGCTCAAAACCTTCACAAACACTTTCACTTGTTCCCGAATCAACACCTCACAGGCCTTGCTTTGGCAAACGGCTCCTGATCCCAGCTTCCTGGCATCTCCCTCCTTTCCTCCTCCCATTCCCACCACCTGTCTCAGTGCACTCCCAGGATGGGAGCTGACATGGACTGTATTTCTCAGTCTACACTGCACATTTCCTAGGCAGAGACTAGGGCCGTCTTGGTGCTTGTTGCATGAACAGATTTAGCTCCACCCTGACACGTAAACTGGATTTCCTGATATCTCCTTAAACAGGCCTTCCGTAGCCAGGGGGGCATGTCGAGCCCGAGTGTCGGTGTATCTTAAGTTTGTCTGGGCCTCCGTTTCCTTAACTCTAAAGTGAAGAGTTAGAACACAGATTGTATTTAAACACCCTGGTTGGGAGCTGCAGTGCCCTGAATTCCCCCTCTTACTCCACCCCCTCAATACTGACACACAGCCGACACTCAATAAAAGTTTGTTGAATTGACAAAAATAAATTTGCGGCTTCTTGCCCAGTACTTGGCACTTAGAGGCCCTCAATAAATGACTATCGAGTTTATATTTCATCTCCCCAACGCATTTGTGACATTCTTAAGGGCGTGAACCATGTACTCAATAGGGCCCTGATGATAGAAAAGAAAATCAGCTTGGTCCCTGTTCTCAAGTTCATAGTTTAGTGTGGGAGACTAATACAATAACTCGCCGATTCAACAGATATTTTTCCAACGTCCGTATGTATTGGGTGGAAAAGGTGAGGCAAGAGTTGTATTTCCCAGACTCCTGAACAGGTTGCGAGATGATTGACTCCTGAGGGAGACCTTCTCACCTTTTCATTGGTTGTCGCTGGCCCTCTCGTCTATCACCCAACCAACCCCGAATGCCTCTTGTAAGCCCCACCTCCGGCAGCCAGCCAATCAGAAGTGCCGGGGGCCAGGGTGCTGCTGGGGCACTGACGCGGTTTCGATTCTAGCGAAAAATGATTTGGCTCGGACTGTCCCGTGACAGGCGGTGCGAGGAGGCCAGGCCCGCGCCCGCCGAGCCCTAGGGCCGCTGCTGCCGACAGCCATGGAGGACGAGCAGCCTGACAGCCTGGAGGGCTGGGTGCCGGTCCGGGAGGGCCTCTTCGCCGAGCCCGAGAGGCACCGGCTGCGCTTCCTGGTGGCCTGGAACGGCGCGGAGGGCAAGTTCGCTGTGACTTGTCACGACCGTACCGCGCAGCAGCGGCGGCTGCGCGAGGGGGCCCGGTTGGGGCCCGAGCCCGAGCCCAAGCCTGAGGCCGCCGTCTCCCCGTCCAGCTGGGCCGGCCTGCTCTCGGCCGCGGGGCTCCGCGGCGCGCACCGGCAGTTGGCGGCGCTGTGGCCGCCTCTGGAGCGCTGCTTCCCGCGGCTGCCGCCGGAGCTGGACGTGGGCGGCGGCGGGGCCTGGGGTCTGGGGCTCGGGCTGTGGGCGCTGCTGTGGCCGACGCGCGCGGGTCCCGGCGAGGCGGCGCTGCAGGAGCTGTGCGGGCAGCTGGAACGCTATCTGGGCGCGGCGGCCGACGGCTGCGGCGGCGCCACAGTGCGCGACGCACTCTTCCCGGCTGAGGGCGGCGCGGCCGACTGCGAAAGCCCGCGCGAGTTCCGGGAGCGGGCCTTGCGCGCGCGGTGGGTCGAGGCGGACGCGCGGCTGCGCCAGGTAAGCGAGGCCCGGTCGCCGGCGTTCGTCCGCGCTTCCATGGCCTGGGACACTGTGGGAGGCTCCCCCGGCGCCGAGAGCCCTGGCTGACGGCTGACGGGGAGGAGCCGGCGGGCGGAGAAGGCCGCGGGCTCCCCAGTGCCGTCACCTGCGCGGGACCGCTGCGGGAAACCGGCGGGAGCTGCGGGAGGGTCTGCAGAGAGGACAAGCGAAGTTAGAGCCTAGTGTACTTGCAGCTGGGAGCTGGGCTAGGCCCCCAACTTTTGCCCTGAAGATGCTGGCAGAGCAGGATGTTGTAACAGGAAATGCCAGAAATATTGCAAGCAAGACTGAAAACAACCCATCCATGTAGGAAAGAATAACACGGACTAAATGTAAGCAATTCCTGTGTATGAGGGGACGTCGCAAATGGGATAAAATGGTTTAGAGGAAGAAATGGCTTTTAGGAGATAGGGTGTTTTGTTTTAAGTAATATATACTTGGTCAAATGGAAAGCCGGCAGAAGGTGAACTTTATTCATCAGTTTGGAATGACCGCATTAGTGCCCTTTTAAGCTTGAAAGAGGTAGTTTGAGAGAGAGTAATTATTTGAGTGGTAAACTTACTGAACCTAAGGGGAGGGGAAGTACAAGTTCACAGAAGGGTTTAGGAGAAAATATGCCTTCTAAGTCCACACCCACAGTTTATTAAGGAGAGCCAGGCTGGAGTCTCGGCTCACTGCTGTTATTAACCTGAATGATTTTTTTCTGTGCATTCTTCTGAGGAAGGGGAAGTGAAGAGAAGAATTCAGCCTAAGCTAAATGTAGAATAAGCTTTCCAAATTAAAATGGTTTTATAAAAGGAGCTCGTTAGTGGGGTCATTTTTGTACTGTGGGTTTTATGTGTAAATATCTACACACCCACTTCTCGTGTTGATTTCACTTTAGAATATGAGGAAACCACAGGGGAGTTTCAGGCCAGTCAGCGTTTGATCTTCAACTTTATCGTCTTCACCTTAGGATATGAGGAACCCACAGGGGAGTTTCAAAAATGATATCATTTTGTATCAGACTTGTTTTTTACACACTCGGTTTCTCACAGAGATAGGTGGTTTCTCCTTAAAATCGAACATGTTTATGATGTATTTTACTGTAGTAAATACTATCAGAAAAGTTATAGTTTTCCCAAATTTAAGTTCACTCTGGGGTACTATAGCATGAATGTAGTTCATACTGTTGAGCTAGCCGTTCACGTTAGTGTAGTTCACATATTTATCTGGAACTTAAAAATGAGGGGTTGGGAGAGGAAGCTTAAATTCAAAACGTGTTCAAATATATAATTTTAATATTTAGAATGGAAAAGCAATTGATTCTAGAATTAGACCAATTGCTAGTATTGCTAGGATATATAAAATGAAGCTGAATGTTTTAACTCTGGAATTTTTCTGAATAGTTTAAGAAATAAGGCTGAAATGTATCACTTGCCTTAAGTTTACTTTTGCGTGTGTGTTTTGATTTTGTTCAGTGAGGCTTTCACTTAAAAAAAAAACCCATAATATTATTACCTGGATAAAAAACTATAGCTGAAAGTAGATCACTTTATCCTTAAGCAGAAGGATGGAAATAGGAGAATTTAAGAATGTATTGGTTGAAAAAAATCTATATTATTTGATTTTATTTCTCTTCTTCTGGGAGTAAAATAATTTCCTGCCAAGTGAGTCCACCTAGATTATACACTGTTCAGTTTATTTTCTGCCCTGCAGCAGAAGCAGTAACCAGCAGAGACTGGAACCACAGTTGAGGCTCTGTAAATGAGGTGACTGCTAAGGGCTTCATGGGAATATTAATCTGGGGCATTAAGAGAATCAACATGCTGAAGTACTTGGAGACAGCTCTGTAATGTTTTATGAGGTCTTTTTTTAAAATTTTTTTCGAGATGGAGTCTTGGCACTGTCGCCCAGGCTGGAGTGCAGTGGCGCCATCTTGGCTTACTGCAACCTCCGCCTCCCGGGTTCATGCTATTCTCCTGCCTCAGCCTCTCCAGTAGCTGGGACTGCAGGCGCCCGCCACCACGCCCGGCTAATCTTTTGTATTTTTAGTACAGACAGGGTTTCACCGTGTTAGCCAGGATGGTCTCGATCTCCTGACCTCGTGATCCGCCCACCTCAGCCTCCCAAAGTGCTGGGATTACAGGCGTGAGCCACCACGCCTGGCCCTTACGAGCTTTAAAAAGGAATACAGCCTCACAACACCTTTACAGTCAGAAAAGTGAAATGAAAAAATATCCACAACCTCAAACCTTCTTTTGGGTCCCTTTCGCTGCATACTTAGTGCATAGTTGAGATTAAACTTTGCACTCTGCCTCTCCATTTAATATTATAAAAGTGTCTTTTTTTTTGAAATGGAGTTTCCTTCTTGTTGCCCAGGCTGGAACCACTGTCTCCCAGGTTCAAGCGATTCTCTGCCTCAGCCTCCCCAGCAGCTGGGATTACAGGTGTGAGCCACCATGCCTGGACAAAAGTCTCCATATTATTAAACAATCTTCAGAAGCACAGTGCTGAATGACTACAGTAATAATATTCTTACATGGATATATCATACTTTTCTTAACCATTCTTGTTTTATTGGGCATTTTTGATGGAGGATGATAACATTTTCATATTTAATCAGTATTTAAAATTGATGTATTAAAAGTTGAGAACATGAAGGTTTCTTTTGTTTAGTTTTGTTTGTTGGGTATGTATTAAATATACTGTCCTGACTTGAGCTTTATTCACATTTGCTTTCTAGGTTATTCAAGGACACGGAAAAGCCAACACCATGGTAGCATTAATGAACGTTTACCAAGAGGAAGATGAAGCATACCAGGAATTGGTTACCGTGGCAACCATGTTCTTCCAGTACTTATTGCAGCCATTTAGGGCTATGCGAGAAGTTGCAACTTTATGTAAGCTTGATATTTTGGTATGTTTTTTTAAAATTTTTACTTTATCAGATTTACTATTTGTCATAAATTATTTCTTTATTTACACTTAATGTTCAATCTCTGTTTGTACTTTGTTTGGGTTTACCATTATGTTTATTTATTTACTTATTTATTGATAGAGATGAGGTTTTGCCATGTTGCTCAGGCTGGTTTCGAACTCCTGAGCTCAAGCAGTCTGTCCACCTTGGCCTCCCAAAGCACAGCATTACATGTGCCTAGTTTACCCTTATATGTACATATTGAGTTTATATTTAAAATTGATAGAAAATGAAGACATTTACGTTGGTCATCTTAATAGCTTAAGATTCCTACAGATTTGAAAGAGTTAAATGTTTTTTCTGGTGATGAATTTTTTTTTTTTTTTTTTTTTTTTTTTTTTTGAGACAGGGTCTCCCTTTGTCAGCCAGGCTGGAGTGCAGTGGCATGATCTTGGCTCACTGCAACCTCCTCCAGGTTCAAGCGACTCTTCTGTCTCAGCATCCTGAGTAGCTGGGATTACAGGTGTGTACCACCACGCCCAGCTAACTTTTTTTGTATTTTTAGTAGAGACGGGGTTTCACCATGTTGGCCAGGCTGGTCTTGAACTCCTGACCTCAAGCGAGCTACCCATCTCAGCCTCCCAAAGTGCTGGGATTACAAGCATGAGCCACTGCACCCAGCCTGATGAATTGTTTTTGATGTGATATTTATTTGCTTCAGCTTGTTTTCCTCTAAGGACTTACGCAGATTTCTTAAAATAAGATGAAAATTTAAATAGCAGGACCCTAGATTGTAATTCAGTAACTTAAATTTTAGTAAATGCTGTTATCACTCTTGCTTCATTGAGCCATCAGACAACCCTGTGACATCATTCAGAAAAGGCATGCTTATTCCAGTGTTACAAATGAATCTAGAGTCCAGAGGAGTTAAACAGCTTGCCTTGGGTCTCAACAACAGAAATCAGAAGACACCTAAGATGTCTCTTGGTTTCTGCCCCCTGCACCGGGCCATCTTTCCACATATAATCTCATGACCCTTGCCAGATGATTGTATTATAAAAATAGTATCACATTTAGATGAGAGTCATACCACTCTAACCTGTGGATAAAGTTGTTCTGTTCATTATTTTGAAAGTCTATTATTTGGAAAGTCTACTTCTTGCATACATTTTTCCTTTCTTCTTTTTTTTTGAGATAGAGTTTTGCTCTTGTTACCTAGGCTGGAGTGCAGTGGCGCAGTCTCAGCTCATCGCAACCTCTGCCTCCTGGATTCAAGCAATTCTCTTGCCTCAGCCTCCCGAGTAGCTGGGATTACAGGCATGTGCCACCACGCCCAGCTAATTTTGTATTTTTTTAGTAGAGACGGGGTTTCTTCATGTTGGTCAGGCTGGTCTCGAACTCCCGACCTCAGGTGATCTGCCTGCCTTGGGCTCCCAAAGTGCTGGGATTGCAGACATGGGCCACCACACCCAGCCTATATTTTTCCTTTCTTTTTTTTTTTTTTTTTTTTTGAGACAGAGTCTCGCTCTGTCGCCCAGGCTGGAGTGCAGTGGTGCAATCTCAGCTCACTGCAACCTCTGCCTCCTGGGTTCACGCCATTCTCCTGCCTAAGCCTCCCGAGTAGCTGGGACTACAGGTGCCCGCCACCATGCCCGGCTAATTTTTTTGTATTTTTAGTAGAGATGGGGTTTCAACATGTTAGCCAGGATGGTCTTGATCTCCTGACCTCGTGATCCGCCCGTCTCGGCCTCCCAGAGTGCTGGGATTACAGGCGTGAGCCACCGCACCCGGCCTGTTTTTCATAAAAGGTGTTTTAAGATATCACTCACAGATTTTATATATATATATATATATATATATATATATATATATATATATAGTACAATTCAGTGATTTTTAGTATATTCAAAGTTGTGCAGTGATCATTACTGTGTAATTTCAGGACATTTTCACCCCCAAAAGAAACCCTGTACCCTTTAGTCACTCCCAACCCTGGGCAACCACCAATCTACTTTCTGTCTCTGTGGATTTCCCTACTCTGGACATAGCAACAGCATTATTCAATATGTGGTCCTTTCACTCAGCACAATGTTTTCAAGGCTAATCCACGTTGGAGCAAATATCAGGATTTCATTTCTTTTTATTGCTGAGTAATATTCATTGTATGGATATATTACATTTTATTTATCAGTTGATGGACATTTGGGTTGTTTCCACTTTTTGGCTATTATGAATAATTCTGTGAATGTTTGTGTGTAAGTTTCTGTGTAGACATATGTTTTCATTGCTCTTGTGTATGTACTAAGGAGTAGGATTGCTGGGTCCTGTGATTACTCAATGTTTAACCTTTTGAAAGACTGCCAGACAGTTTTCCAAAGTGGGTGCATATTTTATATTCCCAAAAGCAGTAAATGAGGGTTCCGGTTTGTCCACATTATCACCAGCACTTGTTACTGTGTGTCTCTTTGGTTACAGCCATCCTAGTGGGTGTGAAGTGGTATCTCGTTATGGTTTTGATTTGTAATTCCTTGTCGGCTAACTTGTACATATTTCTTAGGCTTTGTAGAAGAAAAATTGCATATTGGATGACATAGCAGTACACGTCTTAGTTCAGGCTGTTATAACAAAGTACCGTAGATTAGTGGCTTATAAACAACAAAACTTTTTTTTCACAGTTCTGGAGGCTGGGTAGTCTGAGATCAAGGTGCTCACAGATCCATTGTCTTGTGAGGGCCAGTTTCTTAATTTGTAGATGACTGTCTTGCTGTGTCTTCGCATGGTGAAGAGCAGAGAAAGAGAGATCCTGTGTCTCCTCTTCTTTTTATAAGGGCATTAATCCCATTCTTGAGGGTTCCACCCTCATGACCTAATTACCCCCCAAAGGCCCCATCTTCAAATATGATCACACTGGGGATTTAGGCTTCAACATATGCATTTTGGGGGGAGTCCAATACCAGTACATGTTATAAGCATGAATATACAGATACTATATTTTAGGTGATTATATTACATATCCCTAAAAGAAACAGTAACAACAGCTAATACTTAAGTGCTGTGTTCCAGGCCCTATGCTGAGTGCTTGACAACACAGATCACTCATTTAAACAATTGTGTATTATTATTAATAGAAGCATAAGTTGACAACATTCCTCTCTAGAAAAAGTTATTCTAGGCATGTGAAGTGAAAGTGGGTTTTTTTTTCGCTTTATGCCCCAGAGTGTCCTTTTGTCTTACAGGTGGTGCTCAGCTTAGAGCCTTATTCATACGCAGTAAGGGACTGCTGAATGAATGAAAATTTAATTGACTGAGTAGTAGTGTAGTTAAATTAATCCATGTGACCAATTTCCTTTCAATTTCCTAATGGCTCTACATAACTATTAGCTCTTACTAAGAAAATTTTCCCTTCTGTCTGTAGAAGTCTTTGGATGAGGATGACCTAGGTCCTAGAAGGGTAGTTGCCCTGGAGAAAGAAGCTGAAGAATGGACCAGACGGGCTGAAGAAGCTGTCGTCTCTATTCAGGATATCACAGTGAATTATTTTAAGGAGACAGTAAAAGCATTAGCAGGTGATAATTTAAAAAATGCTATATGAAGATACATGTAATTGATTATCATTTTATTCAAATACCATTTGAGTCCCTCTTACGCACTAGGTACTATGTTTTCTAGGTGCTGAGAATTCAGTGTCAAGCGTTAAGAGACGTTGTACAGTCTGGTGAAGGGAGAGAAATCTTAATTATCTATTCATTGAAGCACATGGAAAATGGCAGTGACAGTAAATGGCACAAAGAAGAGAGACATGGGCTCTGAGGGTCTGTGAGAGAGAAATTGGGCTTGATCAGGGTGGTGGTCACTGAAGGCCTCTGAGAAGTGGCGCTTGCCCCAATATCTGAAGGGTAAATGGAAGTTGAGAGAAAATAAAAAGTGAGGAGTATTCCGGGCAGAAGGAATAGCACTGCCAAAAGTCCCCTGCCTTGAGGGAAGTTGGCAAATTAGGAGCTTAAAGAAAACCTGCGGGGCTGGATCGCAGAGAGTGCAGGACAGTGTGGTATGAGGGAAAATGCTGGCCAGACAGGCAGGGGTCAGACCATGCAGGGGCTTGTGGGCTGGGTGAAGGACTTTTTTTTAGTCTTAAATAATTGTTGATAAAAACACCAAGTAGGAAACAACTTAACGTCTGTCAGTTTGTTAAGTTATGGTACCTTCATAAAACAGAAAACTACGTAGCTGTTAAGCATGATTCTTGATTTTTTTTTATGAGTGGCAAGAGTTTCTGATACATTGTGCAGAATCAACAAGATAGAAAGCAGAATGATGATCCTGGTTTTGTGGTCAAACTATCCATATGAGCCTGTCTGTCTAGCTAGACATAGAAACAATATGGAAGCAAGTGTGCCAAAATATAAGAAGCAGTTGCCTCAACTAGGTGAGATCATGACTTACTGTCTTTTTAAAAATGGAATACCTAAAATTTTATATCAATGAACATGTATTATTTTTATCATAATAAAAAAGTTAATAAAATTTCTTTTAAAAAGGATATTCTGCAGGTAGTATGGAGGCAATAAAAAAAGGATTAGCTCATGATAAATGTTTCCCTTTTTAATGAGGTGTAATTATATTTTATTTTTATAATCCAACAGGAATGCAGAAAGAAATGGAACAGGATGCGAAGAGATTTGGTCAGGCTGCCTGGGCCACAGCAATTCCCAGGTTGGAAAAACTTCAGCTAATGCTAGCTCGAGAGACTCTGCAACTCATGAGAGCGAAAGAGTTGTGTTTAAATCACAAAAGAGCTGAAATTCAGGGAAAGGTAAGACAAAGATAAACATAACTTTGTTTTAAAAATACACTTTTATTTTTAAAACATTTTGTATAAATAAAGGATACAAGTGCAGTTTTTGTTCCATGGATATATTGTGTAGTGGTGAAGTTTGGGCTTTTAGTGTAATCATCACCTGTATAATGTAATTGTACCTATTAAATATTTCTCATCCCCCCTCCCACCCTCTTACTCTTCTGAGTCTCCAGTGTGTATTATTCCACACTGTGTATACACATTACTTAGCTCCCACTTATAAGTGAGACCATGTGGTAAAGCACACTTTTATTTTTAGATAGCACTTTTCTTTCCAGGCATCGTTAAAGAGCTTCTTTTCTTCGCTTATTCCAACACCATCTTCTGTGGAAGGTTAGACATAAAGTTTTCCTTTGGTTAAGATGTTTCAAAATACCATATTGTAGGTTTCACTTTATAGTAATACCAAGCTCAGTATTGAAATGGGTACTGTACTTGAAAATCAACCCAGCAATGTTTTCACTACAACTTTAAAATAATCAAAGAGATACTTCACTGCATAGTCACTTAAATTTTTTCCTATAATCTTATGACTTTAAAGCAGAAAACACTGTAAACACCTGTCTTAGTTGGCTCAGGCTTCTATAACAAGATTAAATATCACAGATTGGGTGGCTTAAACAACGGACATGTATTTCTCACAGTTCTGGAGGCTGGAAAGTCCAAGATCAAGGTGCCTGCAGATTCACTGTCCGGTGAGGATCCTCTTCCTGTCTGGTAGACAGCTGCCTTCTTAACTGAGTGCTCATATAGCCTTTCTTCTGTGTGTATGTTTAGAAAGAAAGTGATCCCTCTCTTTCTCTTCTAATAAAGGCACTAATCCCATGATGGGGGTGCTATCCTTTTGACATAATCTGAACTTAATTACTTCCAAAGGACCCACCTCCAAATAACATCACACTGGGAGTTAGAGTGTCAACATACGAATTTTTGGGGGGACACCAATATGCAGTACATAATAATACCTCATTGCCATTTATGTTTCTCAGAACCTAAATGTTTTCCTCTGTTTCAAGGATGAGATAAAGTATTTGCATCACTAGATGAAATGAAAAAGTGTTTCTTTCCTATTTGCTTTGTTATATTTAGTACTGAACAAGGAATAGAAAATAGCTAGAATGCTTCTAAAGTTTGTTTTTAATATACTAATTTATTTTAACTTATTTTTCTTTTTTCTATGAAAATAAGATGGAAGATCTTCCAGAACAAGAAAAAAATACAAATGTTGTAGATGAATTAGAAATACAATTTTATGAAATTCAATTAGAACTATATGAAGTTAAATTTGAGATATTAAAAAACGAAGAAATACTGCTTACTACACAGTTGGACTCTCTTAAAAGACTTATAAAAGGTAAAATTTAAGTATATAGATTGCAATGTTTAAATTATAAATTTAAGGAAATACAGACCATATTATCAATTACTTTTTGTAAATTATAACATCTGAAAATTTCCTAAAGTTTTCCTTCAGTGGTTTATTATTCAAATAATATATTCATTGTTAACACATAGCAAAACAAAGAAAGAAAAATGATTATTACCCCAATCCCATCATCTAGAGATGCTTAGTGGTTGGCTGGGCACAGTGGCTCACGCCTATAATCCCAGCACTGTGGGAGGCCGAGGCGGGCAGATCACTTGAGATTAGGAGTTCCAGACCAGTCTGGCCAACATGGTGAAACCCCATCTCTACTAAAAATACAAAAATACTAAACCCTGTCTCTACTAAAAACACAAAGTCCAGTGTGGTGGCACGTGCCTGTAATCCCAGCTGCTTGGGAGGCTGAGGCAGGAGAATGGCTTGAACCTGGGAGGTGGAAGTTTCAGTGAGCCAAGATCGTGCCACTCCACTCTAGCCTGGACAACAGGGCGAGACTCCATCTTGAAAAGGAAAAAAAAAAAAAGATACTTCGTGGTAACAATTTGCTGTATAACTTTGTAGATTTTAAAATATGCTGATATATAAAAATATAAATTTTTAACCAAAATATATAACCAGTTCAGTAACATCTTTTTAAACAATTTTTAATTTTTATGGGTGCATAGTAGATATATATTTTTATGGGTTACATGAGATATTTTGACATAGGCATATAATGCATAATAGTCTCTTTTTCATTTAATACATAACTGTCTTTCTATTTCAGTGAATAATAAAAGTATCAAAATTTTAATGGCTGCATAGTATTCCATTATATGGATATACCATGATTTCCAAATTTCAGGTGTTTTGAACAGTAGTGTAGTGAACTTTACACATGTCTTTGAGTATAGGACAGATTATTTCCTTGGAATAAATTTCTAAGGATGGAATTATTGGGTCAAGGGCAATGTATATTTTACATTTTGATACATAACAGTACAATAATCATCTGAGATACATTTTTCCTCACCTCCATATTATTTTCTGATTTCTAAATTTCATGCTACATAATGACCCTCTAGATAGGTTGTACATTTAAAATGATGCTCCCAGGCTGGGTGTGGTGGCTCACACCTGTAATTTCAGCACTTTGGGAGGCTGAGTGGGGCAGATCACTTGAGGTCAGGAGTTCAAGACCAGCTTGGCCGACATGTTGAAACCCTGTCTCTACTAAAAATACAAAAATTAGCTGGGCATGATGGTAGGCGCCTGTAATCCCAGCTACCTGTGAGGCTGAGGCAGGAGAATCGCTTGAACCTGGGAGGTGGAGATTGCAGTGAGCCGAGATGGTGCCACTGCACTCCAGCCTGGGCGGCAGAGTGTAAGACTCTGTCTCAAAAAAAAAAAAAAAAAAAAAAAAGAAAAAAGATGCTCCCATCAGCAGAATATGAGTGTGTATGTTTCCCAGACTCATGCCATTCTTTTGCATTTTTGCTTACTTGACAGAGAAAATGGCAGTCTTCCAATTTTCATTTATTTAATTATGAGTGAATATTGAACAAAATTTTGTATGTTTACGAGCCATTTGTACTTATTTTATGAAATGCCTATTCATAGTCTTTGTCCATTTTTCTTTGGAATATTTCCTTTCCACATTAAAAATAATATCCTCTATTGTCTGTCATATGTTGCAAATAATCTCTCCTTGTCATTTGTGTTTTCTTGCCTTTCAGAAATATTTAATTTTTATGAAGTCACGTTTATCAATTTTTTTCCCCATGGCTTCTGCTTTTAGTATTATGTCTGGCAATATTCTCCAATCCCAAAATTATGTCAATATATGCTTATGTTTTCTTTTCGTATGTTTATGATGTTGCTTTTTAAAACATTTAATTCTTTAGTCCAGGTGGAATTTATTTTGATTGTCGTAGGAATTGAACCTTTCCCTCAAATTGTTAAGCAGTCCCAATCACTGATTTTAAAAACATTTTCCCTAAATGTTTAACATTTCTCAAGTTAAACATTAGATTGACTTTGGTCTGTTTCTGTGTTGTTCTCCTCCATTGGTTTGTGAGTGGCTTCTGCTGCTGGCTCCATACCGTTCCCATGACTGTACCTTGGAAGCACATTTTAGGGTCTGGTAAGGCAAGTACCTCCCCCATTACTTCTCCACAAGTTTTCTGACTATTTTCACTCCTTTATTCTTCCAGATGAAATTTAGAATCAAGTTCAAAACAAAAACTCGTTGGAATTTTGATTGTGATTTTGCTTAAAATTAGAGATTACTTTGGGGAGAATAGTGGTCTTTGCAATTTTGAATCTTCCTACCCAAGAACATGGTATGTCTCTCTCCATTTATTTAAATCTTTTTTCCTAAAGTTCCTCCAAGTTTAATAAATTTCTTCACATAGATCCTGAACTTTTAGTTTAATCCTGAGTATTCAGAATTTTTTGCAGTAGTTTCAGGTTATAAGCATTTTACATATTTAGGAAAAAAATTACATTAAAAAAAGAAGTTAATCTGGAAGGATGCATGCCAGATTGTTCATAATGTTTTTCCTCTGAGAATGACTCAGAAGGTTTGGGGAAGGAGCAAGACAATTTCACTGTTTTATGTACTTCTGGAGGGTTTGAATTTGTTACAGTAAGCATGGCTTTAAAAAAAATCAATATGTAATCAAGATTATATATGACTAAGACATCTTAATAATATATTGCTGGTAGAATATAAGTTGCCTTTCTGGAGGGCAATTTGTCAATGGGTATCAAGATCCTTAAATATTTATCTGCTAAGGAAGTGATAAAAAGTGTACACAAAGATTTATACAGGGATGTTCATCACAGTGAAATGAATAATAGTGGAACATTGGAACAGCCTAACAACATGGACTGCTTAAATTAGAGAATACTATGCTGCCATTAAAATTTATCTTTTTAAATTTTTTTTTATTTTTGGAGATGGAGTCTTGCTCTGTTGCCCAGGCTGGAGTGCAGTGGCACGATCTTGGCTCACTGCAACCTCTGCCTCCCAGGTTCATGCTGTTCTCCTGCCTCAGCCTGCCAGGTAGCTCGGATTATAGGCATGCGCCACTGTGCCTAACTAATTTTTGTATTTTTAGTAGAGACGGGGTTTTGCCGTGTTGGCCAGGCTGGTCTTGAACTCCTGACCTCAGGTGTTCCGCCTGCCTTGGCCTCCCAAAGTGCTGGGATTACAGGCGTGAGCCCCTGCGCCTGGCCTAAAAATGTATTTCCATCCCATGGAAAATGTTCTTTTAGAACTCCATTGATATGTGTAGCTATGTAAGTAGTATGTGTGTGTGTGTGTATATATATATATACACACATATGTCTATATACATGTATGTATACATGCATACACTACATGGATATACACACATGCTACTTACATACATGTATATAGTCATGTATATACACATGTGTGCATGTATATTACATATACACATATTTTTCATATATGTTAATAGTGCTTCTCAGTGGTGGGATTACAAGTGATCTTTATTTTTCTTACATTTAAAAAAATTCAATGCATTTTTTAAAATAATAAAATATGTTTTAAACAATCATTAATACATTTTTAGAAAAACAAGATGAAGTTGTCTATTACGATCCATGTGAAAATCCAGAGGAACTTAAAGTCATTGACTGTGTGGTGGGGCTGCAGGATGATAAGAATTTGGAAGTGAAAGAACTCAGAAGGCAGTGCCAGCAGCTGGAGTCTAAACGGGGCAGGATCTGTGCCAAAAGAGCCTCTCTCCGGAGTAGAAAGGTAGGTACGCTCAGAGCGGCTTTCTTTTCTTTTCTCTTTCAGAGATTTATTCTTGTATGAAGGATAAAGGTATTGAAATAAGGTTTTTACCAACACAGTGATTACATTTTGTGTGCTTATGTACTTATCCATGGCTATAGTTAAAATGCTTTTAAATATTTTTCTTAAAAATATTTTTTTTCTTTTGGGATTTAAGCATTTAGCAAATCTCAAGGTTTTAATTTATTCATTCAACAACTATTTGTTGAATGCCCATTGCATACACAGGCACACAGGCACTTTATTTTTATTTTTTTGAGACAGAGTCTTGCTCTGTCACCCAGGCTAGAGTGCAGAGGCATGATGTTGGCTCACTGCAACTTCTGCCTCCTAGGTTCAAGCGATCCTCATGCCTTAGCCTGCCAAGTAGCTGGGTTTACAGGCACGCGCCAGCACGCCCAGCTAATTTTTGTATATTTTGTAGAGGTGGGGTTTCACCATGTTGGCTAGGCTGGTCTTGAACTCCTGACCTCAAGTGATCCGCCCACCTTGGCCTCCCAAAGTGCTGGGATTACAGGTGTGAGCCACCACCCCTGGACCACAGTACTTTAAAAACCACAATAGGTAGAAACTCTATTTCTAATAGCCAACTATAACAATTCTAAATATATTTTACTGTAAATTATTGAGTACACAAAAGAATTACAGATAACAATATTCAGCTCACCTCAGACATTATATTTGGTGATTTTTTTTCTTAATTTTAAAAAATCCATGAATACATAAAAAGATAACACTAAGAAATTTAATTTTCTCTGACAGAAAAGGAAGCTCCTATATATCATTTTTATACAGACTTTTATATGTATTTACTCATATTTACTATACTTTTCTCCTTTTTTTTTTTTTGAAACAGAGTCTCGCTCTGTCTCCTAGTCTGGAGTGCAATGGCGCAATCTCAGCTCACTGCAACCTCCACCTCCCAGGTTCAAGCGAGTCTTCTGCCTCAGCCTCCCGTGTAGCTGGGATTACAGGTGCCTGCCACCACACCCGGCTAATATATATATATATATATTTTTGAGATGGGAGTCTCACTCTGTCGCCAGGCTGGAGTGCAGTGGCACGATCTCGGCTCACTGCAACCTTCATCTCCAGGATTCAAGCCTGCCTCAGCCCCCTGAGTAGCTGGGATTACAGGCATGTGCCACCACCCCTGGCTAATTTTTGTATTTTTAGTAGAGACGGGGTTTCACCATGTTGGCCAAGCTGGTCTTGAACTCCTGACCTCAGGTGATCCACCCGCCTTGGCCTCCCAAAGTGCTGGGATTACGGGCATGAGTCACAGCGCCTGGCCACACCCGGCTAATTTTTGTATTTTTAGTAGAGACGGGGTTTCACCATGTTGGTCAGACTGGTCTTGAATTCCTGACCTCAAGCAATCCACCTGCCTCAGCCTCCCAAAGTTCTGGGATTAGAGGCGTGAGCCACTGTGCCCAGCCTACTATATTTTTCTTATTAGAATTAAGAAAACATGAAAATTGTGACTTTTGTAGCTTATAAAAATGTTCATTACTCTTCCATGTAAATACAAATACTTAAGAAAAACTTCGCTAGGTGCCATGGCTTATGCCTGTAATCCCAGCACTTTGGGAGGCTGAGGTGGGAGAATCACTTAAGGCCAGAAGTTCAAGACCAGGGACAACACAGTGAGACCTCATCTCTATGGTGCGCACCTATAGTCCCAGCTACTCAAGAGGCTGAGGCAGGAGGATCGCTTGAAGCCAGGATGTTGAGGCTTCAGTGAGCTATGATTGTACCACTGCACTTCAGCTGGGGTGATAGAACAAGACCCTGTCTCTAATAAAAAAATAAAAATAAAAAACTTTGTTAGAAGAGTATATTCTTTGCATGTTTGTGTTTAAGAATTGTACTTCTGGATTTAGGAACTGTTATTCAGAGGATTTGAAGATATACAGGCATTTGCCCTTTGCTCCACATTTCAGAAAACCCATGAGCCCCAGGAAGACTCTCCTTTGGCACTCCCATGGTGCTGTGGATGAACAGATGCCTCCACCTCCTTGGCAGTGTTTTTTATATATATATATAAAATGCTCCTATGCCTTCTCTTATCCAGACTTGGAGCATTAACCTTCACTCTCAAGATATAATCACTCCCCCTACCCCATTTAGAGGAGCTCTTTCCACTGATTCTGGAAATGTTGGAATTTGGAAGGCACTCAGTTAATAGAATGGTAGTTGAGGTGAGCTATCAACTTGGGTTCAAATCACAGCTTGGCCACTTAGGTAGCCATGTGACCTTAGGCAAATTACTTAAATCTCTTTCGAGCTCACAGTTTTCTCATCTGTTAAAAGAGGATGATAGGCTAGTGCGGCACCCGTAATCCCAGCTACTCGGGAGGCTGAGGCAGGGGAATAGCTTGAACCCGGGAGGTGGAGGTTGCAGTGAGCCGAGATCACGCCACTGCACTCCAGCCTGGGCAACAAGAGCGAAACTCAGTCTCAAAAAAAAAAAAAAGATGATAGTGGCAATAATACAAATTTCATGTGAGGATAAAGTATCATAAGGCATGAAAAGTACTTGGCATTGAGGCTGAAACCTACTCAATAAATGTTAGTATTATCTGTATTACTGTATTATTTTTTACATAGATGAAGGATTTTATGTGCATATCGCATATTATATATTGGTACAGTGCGTGGTTAAGCACAGGTGAAACAGTTCTAATTTTTCAGGTATTTGTAGGTTGCTCTGCTTTTGTAGGTATGCTCGGAAATGTGATGAGTATTAATAATGTTATGGGGAAATGTGTTTAAACAGTCACATTAAAACATTGTTGGGACACATCCCATTTAAGAATGGCGACTGCCTATGTGTCCTCTCATGGTTGGCGGATTGTTTTTCATCTCTTAAAGCACTCTGCTGGGAACAAATTATTTCCATAAGCAGCCAGGCAACCCTCATCATAGACTGCGGAGGAGACAGTACCATTGGGCCGCTCCAGAACTAATATTAATGAATGCCTTACACTATAGCCCAAATGCAGTGCTTTTTTCTTTTAATCTTTTATGCTATACCAGGGTAATATTAAAAACCATGTAGGTGATTTGTATTATTCCACCAGGATCAGTGCAAAGAAAATCATCGGTTCAGATTGCAACAGGCTGAAGAAAGCATAAGATACTCTCGTCAGCATCACAGTATTCAGATGGTGAGTCTCCTCCGAAGGAAAATGTTCTATGTTTGTGTAGCGTGACATGCAGGCCTAGACTTGTGGAAACTGGAGTTGCGCTGCCCTGGACCTGCAGCTGTCAGCCATTAGCCTCCAGGTCTGCAGCCTGGGCGCAGCCTTGGGGTGGTAATGTTGGGGTACAGCCTCTTTCTTTGCTGAGACATTTTTATTGTATGCCAAGACATTTTTTGTAATGTTGAGCAATTTACAAATATACATTTGTTTAAATATAGAAAAGAGACAAGATAAAAGAAGAGGAGCAAAAGAAAAAAGAATGGATCAACCAAGAACGTCAAAAAACACTCCAACGATTGAGATCATTTAAAGATGTAAGTTCTATAAACAATCACCTCATCTACACTTCTGGGGAAATAACTGAAGACCACCCTAAAAAAGATGAAAGTATGAAGTATTAAGAACAGGTCATTCAGAACGTGAAACATTTAAAAAATACCATTATTTCTGGTATATCAATAAAAAACAACAAAAATAGAATATCAGTGATTCAAAACCCATGATACAAAATAACTGCTGTTTTTGACATCACAACACGCTTGGGTTCCTGCTCTGCACTCCTCACTGAGTAGTCCTAACTGGCACTGGTGGTTTAGATTGGCAGGGAAAACTGAAAACTGTTCAACTCCCTTGACTTTAGCTGGCATTTCCCCTCATTTGTAATAAACAATTCTTTAAAATGTTATCCAGGCAGCATTGTGATATAAGTGTAGTGAAAGTGCCCTGTTAAAAGTAAAATTTAGTGGGTTTTTTTTTGATATCTACAACTTTCTTTTTTCTTTTTTTGAAGTATATACTTATGAGGATAATGTTATTTTTTTATGCCCTCTGTTCTAGGCCTACATTTGTATTTCCTCCACAAAATGATCCTGAGTCTAATTTTTTTCTATTTGTTGACTTTATTATTAGAGATAAATTCCTTTAAAAAAAGCTGCTATGAAAATTCAAAAAATAATTTTTTGCTTTTATTTTTAATTGACACATAATCATTGTACATATTTATGAGGTATAGTGTGATATTTTGATACAGGTGTATAATGTGTAATGATCAAATCAGGGTAATTAGCATATCCATCACCTCAAACATTCATCTAAAGGTAAATAGGTTTTTTAAAACAATGTAAATAGGGAGTCAGGCACGGTGGCTTACGCCTGTAATCCCAGCACTTTGGGAGGCTGAGGCGGGCAGATTCCTTGAGGTCATGAGTTTGAGACCAGGCTGGGCAACATGGTGAAACCCTGTCTCTACTAAAAATACAAAAATTAGCCGGGCATGGTGGTGCATGCCTGTAGTCCCAGGTACTTGGGAGGCTAAGGCACAAGAATCACTTGAGCCTGGGAGGCAGAGGTTGCAGTGAGCTGAACTTGCGCCACTGCACTCCAGCCTGAACAACAGAGTGAGACTCTTCTGTCTCAAAAAAAAAAAGTAAATAGGGGCTTATTTAAGAATATCATTGAATTTACTGACTGTAAAACATAGACCTGCTTTCATTCCCCAGCCCCTTCACAAAGACCCAAGTTTATTGTAGCCCCCAAAAACAACCCACTTTATCCCAGAAAAGATTCTGGAATAGGTATCAGATGCCTTCTGTATACCAGGCACCATGCTAGGCACTTCACATTCACTCTCACTTAGTTCTTGAAACAGCCTTGTGAGATAGTTTCATCACCACTTTACAAATGAGTAACCAAGGTTCAGAATGGTTGGTTACACAACTTAGTTCAAGGTTAAACAGCAGGAATTGAAGCCAGGTCTTACTCCAGAGCCACACAGGGCTTCTCAGCCTGGGCAACACATCCACATCCCCTGGAGAGCTTCTTCTAAGTACTAAGGCCCAGCCCCACCCATAGAAATTCTGATGTGATTGCCCTGGATCGGGGCCTGGGTGTGAACTGCAGCAGGAAGCATGAATTGAAGGAGCTGCATGAATACCAGATGAACACAGAGCCAGTGAGGTAGAGAGGAACTGGCTGGTCACCATCACCAAGAGAGTTTCGATGAACAGAATGGAGTCAGTGTGGAGGAAGGGATCCAAGGGCAACCAGCCCATCTCCTCAGGCCTCACTCAGATCAAGGAATTGTTTGGCAATACAGAAGATTACTTTTTCATGTGTGGGTGATATGAAAATGGGAGGGGTAGGCAGATTTAAAATGACAGAATCAGGCCTCCTAAGCTCCCAGCGAAACTGGAACAATTAGTTAAACGCTAACAAGTTCATCCCAAATTGGGATAAATTACTGGTTTTCTAGTCCAAAAAAGCCCATATGGAGGTATGCACTTGCATGGGGTGATAGGAAAGTCTGTGTGGCTTAAATTTTGGGTAAAAGAATTTAAGAATTCAGTTTCCTTCAGTTTAATGAGCCACCTGTGTGACGAAAGCTCATGGGCTTTTGGGATGTATGGACAGCGGCCATACACAGAATAAGGGAGTTCTGTGTTTACCAAGAAGTGCCACCCTTGAAGGGGACATAGCCAATTTGAGCACATTTGGAAGGGAGGAAGTAGGAGAGGGAGAAAACTAGAAATAAAATCATGTGATGCATGATATCTATTGCGATCAAGAAAGTTTTTTGAATATCTGAAGGGCTGTACAAGGTAAAGGATTTAATTTATCATGCGTGGACAGGCTGTATGTGCAATATAAGGCAGAACTCGGCCAGGCGCCATGGCTCACGCCTGTAATCCCAGCACTTCAGGAAGGTGAGGCAGGTGGATTGCTTGAACCCAGGAGTTTGAGACCAGCCTGGGCAACAAAGTGAGACCCCGTCTCTACAAAAAAACAAAGGCAGAACTTAACAGTCCAGAGTCACAGTGACATGCTGCAGCCGGGATGCCACAGAGGGCATCCTTGGGTGGTTCAGGGAACCCCAGCATCAGGGATGACCTGATCAGTTGGATGGAGATCAGTTGGATGACCACTGGAGTTTAGCCCTCTGGCCCATTTTCTGGGATTCTAATTCTGCTGGCATGGTCTCTGACAGAAGGCTGCAGGACGGCAGCTGCATGGCTGTGTCTGCATCAGGGAGGTTTGGGGGCTTGTCGCCATGACATTGCTATTTGTCCTGAAAGGAGCAGAAAGTGAGGGAAATAGAAATACTCCTTGAGTTTATCGTGGATTGCATGGGGTGTGTGTGTGTGTGTCCTTGAGTTTATCATGGATTGCATGGGGGGGGTGTGTGTGTGTTTAGGTTTGCATTGATAGGATCATATTGAACTCATCCTTTGCCAGTTTCTTTAACTTAGGTTTTTGAGATATATTCATGTTAATATGTATAGAGCTAGTTCATTTTAATGAGTTCATAGTATTACATTTTATGTTTTATTGGCTAATCAGTGCCTTCTTTAGGGACTTCCTCTCAAGATTAGCTCTTTGTAGGGCTAGGTTTTTCTATATCAAATGAATACCTGAAAGACCAGAACTTTTTCAATTTACATTTTTTAAATTATGAAATTAACTCTTAAGCCTAAAAGTAAGAGAAAAGAAATATCCACAGGCTCTGTTATAGCTTCCACTTGGATGTCGACTGTGCTGGCATTTTTCATAGAACTTTTCTCATTTTTAATCATAATACATACTATTTTATATCTGGTTTTCATTGAACACTATCATCTGATTTTTTTCTGATGTTTCAGGCGTTGTACTATTTATCACTTTTTATGGCTTTTTTTTTTTTTGGAGACGGAGTCTTGCTCTGTCGCCGGCTACTTAATATTTTGAATAGATTTGTCATAATTTTTTCAACAAATATCTTATTATTCGTATTTTAGCATTTCTAATTTTCCATACTAAAAGTTGATGACTATTTTCCTCTATATGTATGCTTTCATATCTTCATTTTATTACAGAGAAGGTAATACTTGATCAAAGGATATAAATGCTTATCTTTTTTTTAATCCATGAAAAATGGGTTCGGTAGAAAGGATGGCTGTACAAACAAGGAGTCACTTTGTGAATTAGACCATCCATGCATAGAAACGGATGTGTTTATAGATTTCTAGAAAGTTTCAGCATTTTGATGGTTTGCACTTGTGGCAGATTGCTCACCATGGTTTTTCATTTTCAGAAACGCCTAGCTCAATCTGTCCGAAACACCTCTGGCTCAGAACCTGTGGCTCCAAACCTGCCAAGTGATCTTTCCCAGCAGATGTGCTTGCCAGCTTCCCACGCGGTGTCAGTAATTCACCCGTCCTCTAGGAAAACTAGAGGTGTTCCCCTATCGGAAGCTGGTAATGTGAAAAGCCCCAAGTGTCAAAACTGTCATGGAAATATCCCTGTCCAGGTTTTTGTTCCAGTTGGTGATCAAACACATTCCAAATCCAGTGAGGAATTGTCACTGCCACCACCTCCTCCTCCTCCACCACCACCACCGCCGCCACCGCCGCCCCCACCCCCTCCTCTCCGTGCTCTGTCCTCATCCTCTCAAGCTGCAACTCATCAGAACTTAGGCTTCCGGGCTCCAGTGAAAGATGACCAGCCACGTCCTCTAGTGTGCGAATCACCTGCTGAGCGACCACGTGACTCCTTGGAAAGTTTTTCATGTCCAGGTAATCCACTGGAATTCTGTCCCTGCTCCCCATGAGTTGTTAAGCTGTTGAAGCATTCTAGCTTCAGAAGCCATCATCTTCAAATGGAAATCATTTTTATAATTCTCTATAGCCTTAAAATATTCCAGTATTTGCTGCCTTGAGTATCATTATTCTTTTATTGGAAAGTTAGTATAGTATAGCCTAAATCTGGTTTCATAAATGTTAATTCAGTTTGAAGAAACCATCTCTATACATTTAATGATCGCATGACTTGGGGTTTCTGAGGTTGTTAAAGTATCAACCTATTTGAAGTTTCTTAAGACTTCAGTATGTATTTGATTTCTGCCGTTGGAATACTTTTCAATACTGTTTTAAATTATGCTTACTCTTGCATCTCTGAGTCCTTTATAGAATCCAGTTGTTGTATTTTAAGCAGAATACTGGTTGGAAATTACTGTAGAGGCATACTAGCCAGAATGTAGAAGGCTGTTCTTGCAGACTGACTAGCACACTGAGGACCCTTACTATTGGAAATCTTTCTAAAGTGCAATGGGACAGAAAGAAAAAGTGGGCCACTTGTCTTGGCAAGTGCAGTACACTGAATACTCCTGACAGTTTCTTTAATAGGGCTATAGTTCTCACTCAGAATTTGAATTTTGACTTTAGACATTAAGTGTTGAGGAGAATGGCCTAAATCTGCCTAGACTTGGAGCCTACTTCTTTGGGGGGTATGTGTGTGCACTTTAGATAAATCCTAGCAAAATTTATGTAAATTTGTTTTTAAAAGTATGCTTAAGCACCTCCACCTAAACTGTGCAAGGTTACTGTAATAAGTGTTATGAATGATATAGCAGTTCCAAACTGTGATTCTGGTTAATTGAGCAATCTGGCTATTCTGAGTTCAGAGCTTCACTGTACCTAGAACCAGGTACAAATGAAAATGTTCATATATTAGGTGGAGACCCAATGGCCTGTTTCCATGGGGTTTGCAACAACTGCCCTGTGAATGAAAAGTAAAGAGTTCGCGTGGCTGTGTCTAGATCGGACTTTGGAAGTGGGCAGATCTTTGTGGGGTGCCACATTCCCAGCCCAGATTTAATGCACATGGTTTTGGGAAGTTCTGTTCAACTCACAAATGCTGCTAATTCACAGGAAAGAATAAGAAAGTGTGAATTTGCACCAGAGAATGCCCTTGATTGTGAAACCTGTCTCATTACCCCCAGAAAGAAATTGTAATAAGAAGGTATAAGTTTAAATCCAAAGCAAAATAGCCTTTTGTTAGCCACAGCACGGCCTTTCAATCCTGAACTAGAATTGATTATTAATCCTTGAAGCCTTACCTGGAAGATCTCTAAATTAGTGGCCACAGTCAGGCCTGTCTCCAGCAGGCGATAAAAGATTTTTACCCTCTCAGGGGTCTCCAGGTGCCAGAGTGAAAAATAGCTTCTCCTCACCAATGCCTTGAAGCTCTGATCTAATTGTGTTTTGACAGCATTTCACATCCTCAAAAATAAAGTATGTAAGCCACCTCAGGGTAATGTAGGTGGAATTAAACACATTATATACAGAAAAATGTGCCAGCACCACCCCTCCGGTGGCGGTTCATTGAGTTGCCGGTTAAAGTTTTATTTTAAGCCTTTTCATGTGTAGAAACCTACTCACTTCATTGTCATAGAATGAGTCATCACTGACTAATACCCAAGACTGAAGTTAAATTGAGCAGGATAAATTTTTTTTAAAAGATTTCTTTTAGCTGGACAGGGTAATGAAGGAGATACAGCTTCAGAGGTATCCAGGTCACGCACAGTGGGTGAGACTATTCCACCCCAGGCCTCCGTAACACTCTTCAGGATGGGAGGGACAGATCACATTTGTCTTGAAAAACCGTCATTCTAACAAAAGTGCATGTCTGTTCCTGTCAGTTGCTATGGATTTGAAGAAGTTAGCAGAAAGGAAGTGGTTAAGCTAAAACATGAGCTATTCAGCTGTCCTGGATTCAACCAGGGAGCTTATCGTTAGCACGTAATCAAGGCATTTGCTTAATGAAGTGATTATTTGTTTAAATCATGGTGTTAACTGATAGGAGATTTCACAATTTCATAGCAGTAATGTCCTGGGAAGGGAAAGTGTTTTATTGATAGTACTAGCTCTGCTTATTCAATTTCAGGATCTATGGATGAAGTGTTGGCCTCCTTAAGGCATGGCAGAGCTCCTCTCCGGAAGGTGGAAGTGCCGGCGGTGCGCCCTCCCCACGCCTCAATCAATGAGCACATTCTGGCTGCCATAAGGCAAGGGGTCAAACTGAAGAAAGTTCACCCTGATCTTGGCCCAAACCCCAGCAGCAAACCAACCAGCAACAGACGCACCAGTGACCTTGAGAGGAGCATCAAGGCTGCGCTCCAGAGAATCAAGAGGGTGTCTGCTGACTCTGAGGAGGACAGTGATGAGCAGGACCCTGGCCAGTGGGATGGTTAGGCTCAAGTTTGACAAAGGCACCTGCCACAGTAGGCTTGAATAAAGTGGGTGAGTCTTAGACCTATCGAAAAGCATACTAACAGGGTGCTGATAGATGGGCCACATAACACCCCGGAAGATCAGCAGGGCCTTGTGTAGGCTGCTGCAGCATTTTTTTTTTTTTTCTTTTTTGAGATGGAGTCTCACTCTGTCGCCCAGGCTGGGGTGCAGTGGCGCCATCTCGGCTCACCGCAAGCTCCGCTTCCCAGGCTGGGGTGCAGTGGTGCGATCTTGGCTCACTGCAAGCTCCGCCTCCTGGGTTCACGCCATTCTCCTGCCTCAGCCTCCCGAGTAGCTGGGACTACAGGCGCCACCACCTTGCCCAACTAATTTTTTGTATTTTTTAGTAGAGACGAGGTTTCACCGTGTTAGCCAGGATGGTCTCGATCTTCTGACCTCGTGATCCGCCTGCCTCAGACTCCCAAAGTGCTGGGATTACAGGTGTGAGCCACCACGCCCAGCCTTTTTTTTTTCTTTCTTTTGAGACAGAATCTCTCTGTCATCCAGGCTAGAGTGCAGTGGCACGATCTTGGCTTACTGCAACCTCCACCTCCCAGGTTCAAGCAATTCTCTGTCTCAGCCTCCCGAGTAGCTGGGATTACAGGCATGCACCACCACGCCTGGCTAATTTTTGTATATTTAAGTAGAGACAAGGTTTCGCTATGTTGGCCAGGCTGGTCTTGAACTCCTGACCTCGTGATCCACCTGCCTTGGCCACCCAAAGTGTTGGGATTATAGGCATGAGCCACCGTGCCTGGCTGATGCTGGAGCTTTTATGTGACATGGTGACTCTTAAAACTGGGGAGGGACGTAGAGATGAGAGTTTCACACACCAGCCCATAGGTGGGATGTCAAGACCCATCGGAAGTGTCGCTGGCCTAAGAGAAGAGCACTTATTTCTCACCATGGCTGATCTAGAATTGTTCCCTGATTCTGAAAGAAGTTTACACTACACTGGTAAGCAGTACTATTAGACTACTGACTGTGGCCTTCTGTGCATATGGAATAATGATTTCTCAGATTTGTAGGCTTGAATGTGAATGTTATTTTATCAGTAATCAGAATAAATTGCTTATATTCAGGAGTTATTTTAAATATTTAAATGAAATTTATTTTAGGCACCAAGCACTACATAAACTCATAATAACTATTTGCAATGCATTAGCATCACTCACGGGGTAATGAAAACATACCTTAGCTGCTGTAAAAGCAAAGTCTTCCGTGTCCGGGTGGGCTGAAAGTTTTTAATAAAATTTTAGCTAAACATTTGTTTAAGTGAATACTAAGGATGGAGCAATAGTGTTATTTTCCTCAGGAACTGAAGTCTCATGCTGAAGTATTTTCTCCTTAAAATTAAATTTTTAAAATCAGGGAAGGGGAAGGGACTGATGCAAAGCAGTCCGTTCATTTCTCAGACTGCGAGCATCCCTACTAACCTCATCACCCTCACTCTGGTGATATTACTCCTGGGTCTCCACAGAACAAAAGGAACGCACCTCGTTTACAAAGAAAGTCCTGATTGATATAGAACAGAAATCTTCCTACTTCAGTTTTTTTGTTTTTTTTTTTGAGACAGAGTCTTGCTCTGTCAACCAGGCTGGAGTGCGGTGGCACGATCTCAGCTCACTGCAACCTCTGCCTCCTGGGTTCAAGTGATTCTCCTGCCTCAGCCTCTCGAGTAGCTGGGACTACAGGCGTGTGCCACCACACCCAGCTAATTTTTATATTTTTAGTAGAGATGGGGTTTCACCATGTTGGCAGGATGGTCTCGATCTCTTGACCTCGTGATCCTCCCACCTTGGCCTCCCAAATGCTGGGGGTTACAGGCGTGAGCCACCACACCTGGCCTTCCAGTGTCTTAACTAACTGGTACACAGCAGCCTGAGGGGCCTCAGTTGGCACAGCTGGGAGGGGCGTGAGTCCCTTTCAGCAGCTGCAGCCTGGGTCTCCCTCTGTGGCATGGCCACTGCCAGGTTTCCCAGCCACTGCCAGGTTGCCCACGGGTCTGTCATGTGTGCTACCTTTTCAGAATGCAAATCCAACTCCTGTGTATGAATGAATGTGCCTCACTGTGCTGGCCCAGGCCTGATGGGCCAAGCCCTGACTCTGCACTGGCCCCTGTACCTGCCGCTCCCACCCAGGTTCCCAGGGGTGTTCCAGTGGGGGACGCAACCTGCGGGCTACTCGCTGGGCATCAGGTCCAGATCCCAGAGACAGGTCCAGTGGCTGTGGCCCAGGCCTCCTTCCCCACCACAGACAGGCCAGGCTCAGCATCAAACTTCCTAGGGAAAGAATTTGGAATTGAAAAAGTAGCAAAATCACAACTTTGTGGGACTTTTCTTATGCATATTTTGCAGTTTGGCATTGTTTGTAATTACGTATTTATAATTTCAGTATTTTGAGATACCAGCGAGCTTAATCAGGCTAAAATAATTCTCAGAATTTGCTTTCTAAGGGCTGCCAAACACAAGAGGCCTTTGAAAAAAGGATCCTTTTCAAAAGAACGTTCTCACAATAAAAATTCCTGGCCCAATTGTGTCTTCTGTGCATCAACGCTTCCTTTCCTCCTCTGGAACCTTCTCTCCTTCCTTTCTCCCTTTTCCTGCTTTTTCCAGCCAAGCCTTGAAGTCAATCCAGACTTTGGCTTCAGGGAATTCAGAGCCAAGGAAGTGGGGACAAGTGTCTCCTATTGCCCAGCTTCAGAGCTCTCCAGTCGGCCTCCAAAGCACTGCCAGTCTTCACCTCTCCCTGGCTTTCCAGCCCACACAGGAAGGGCAGCCCCTCAGCCTGGCAGACAAAACCCTCAGAGACTTGGTTGCCTCCCCTGGGCAGCCCCTGCCCCTGCCACAGGTTTTAGTCCAGCAATACCATGCTGCTTCCTGCCTGCCCCCAAAGGGCCTGCTCTCTTAAGTGCCTGGAATTCTCCCTGCACCCTTCATGTCCTGGCAAACCCATGCCCATCCTTAGGTCTCAACCCCACAGCCTTTTCCGCCAGGTCTTCTCTGACCTCTCTCTCCTATACAGCCATGTACTTTGTCTTGGGAGTCTGGTACAAAGGAGGACTGGCATCTGCTCCTAGTACAGCCAATCCTATGGATTGTCCTGGAGTGAAAAGCATTGAGCTAGGCCAGTCAGACTTGTGTATTCATCTGTTCGTCCATTCTCTCTTCAGAATTTGAACTAGGGAATCAGGCAGGTGGTAACGGCAGCCAGAATGAGGAGGTTATTGGTTAAAGGCCACATGGCATGTGAAACCCACGTAGTTGAGTGGATTTATGGGGCAGAGGCTCTCAGACCATAGGGTGTGTAAAAGCACATGAGAGTGCATTGGTTTTCTATTGCTGCCATAACAAATCACCACAAAAGTAGCTGCTTAAAAGACAAATTTCTTATCTTACAGTTCCATAGTCAGAAGTCTGACATGGGTCTCACTGGGCTAAAATCAAGGTGTTGACAGGGCTGTGTTCTCTTCTAAAGGCTCCGGGGAGAAGCCATTTCCTTGCCCTTTCTGGTTTCTAGAGGTTGCCCCTGTTCCTTGGCTTGTGGCCCCTTCCTCCACCTTCAGTGCCAGCAGCATCGTATCTGACCCTTCTTCCATCATCACATCTCTTTCTGACCCAAGGAAAGGTTCTCTGCTGCTGCTGAGAACTTGTGTGATTAGTCTGGGCCCACCCGGATAATCCAGGATCATCTCTCCATCTGAAGGGCCCTTTTGCCAACTATGGTAACATAGCCACAGGTTCCAGGGATTAGGATGTGGACATCTTTGGGGACCATTATTCTGTCTAGTAAAAGGAGCTTTCTAGAATGAAGATTTCCAGGCCCAGAATGCAAGGGTCCTCATCCAGGTTTTTTTGGGATGGGCCGGCAACACAAATAGTTCTGAAGCAGCTGCTCTGCAGATTGTCCTTAGAAAAATGCTACTACACAAAAGTCAGAGGACCTTAGTGGGCTGGTGACGCAGGAACAGCGAAGCAGGTACACTTAGAGCCACCGTGGGCTCCTCCTGGGGTCAGCGATCCTGAAGCCTGGTATTCATGAGGTCTTCAGAATGTCCCAGGTCGTCCCAAGTCTGGAGAAGTGGGGTGCACACTGGCCTCTGTCGTCGGCTGCCTATGAGAGCTCTGCCTTGTGGGGGAGCCTCCAAAATCCCCCATCAGCTGAGTTCCATGAACGCCTGCAATGGAGCAGCTCACCCCTCCACTGGAACAGAGCAGATCTGGGGAAAGTAATAGTCTTCTTACTGTGGTGTTCCCAGGGCCTGGGCATGAGGGTGCACAATAAATATTTGCTAAATGAAAACATGAATGAATGATTTAACAGCTGTAAGTATGAAAAGGACGATGGAAGAGGCACAAGTCCCCCTCCCTGGTAGTGGTTTAGTTTCATCCGGAGGGCTGGGGCCTTTGGGGCCTAAAAGAGGAATGGAGTTGGAGCAGGAAAGGATTCCAGGGATGGAACAGCATAAGCAAGAAGAACACAGGGAGAGTGCACAGCAAGGCCTGGGCAGGCAGGGGAAGAGCCTGCAGGGTCCTAGGACCTGATCTGTCTATGCTTTAGGAAGAAGCCTCTGGCAGCTCTGCATTAAAGGAATACGAAAACGGAGGAGATCCTGGAGGGTACGGGAACAGGGTAGGCATGGGCCGGTCAGAGCAGCGGTAGAGTGAAGAGATGACATGGCAAGATGGAGAAGCACAAGACTGTGTAACCTACTGTGCAATAAGCAAGAGAAAGGGCACAGAGATGGTAACAACTCTGGCAGGCGCAGCGGGGCCACTGCTGGGAAGTAGGGGGTAGAACTGTGGCTCTCGGCAATGCAAACAGCATCGGTGGCAGCCACAGAATTATTTCCACTCAGTGGTCTTGACTCCCGTGCAAACACACATTGGGCTTATCTAGCAGTCCCTTCAAGTTAAATGAAGTCATTGTGGCGCCAGACAGGGCATGGCTACAGGGAGGGCCCAGGCAGGCAGAGCCAAGTACAGCTTCATGGAGATTCCTACAGCACAGAACAGCTAATTCCTATGTCCCAAGCATGGGATGGAGGCATGAGGTATCCAGCGGGGTAGGAAACGGGGATATCTCAGCAGACGTGAATCCCCTCCCCTTAACATGTTGGAATATGTAAGCTCCCCAGAACTGTAAAGGACTCTCCTCTGGAGAAAGGGGAGTGCTGAAGCTGACTGAGTCAAATTGCATGAGCCTGGTGGAACAGGGGCTCAAAAATCAACACTCACTTGAATGAAGGAAAAATAGAGAAGGTCCTATTTCTTTTACTCTTGAGCTGAGGGCTGGGATTCACCACTCCTACACATTTGGGAAAAGCCGGTTCTGTGTTTGATACAGACTTTGCCATGTGAATAGCCTGTTCCAACAGCTCTGGAAAAACCTTTTCTGGTGGGGGCTGTGTATGGTGGCTTGCACCTGTGATTCTGGCATTGTGGAAGGCCAAGGCAGGAGGATCATTTGAGCCCAGGAGTCAGGACCAGCCTGGAAAACATGGCGGGACTCTGACTCTACAGAAAAAAAAAACCAAAATCTTATCTGGTGGAATGAGTCTCTGAGATTAGCTTTTACCCCAATAGCCAGGCATATAAAGCTACATTCTCCTGCCTTCTCAGAAGGCTAGTCCCCACAGAAGAAAAGTGCCTCATAGGTTGCCTTTGTGTGGGCCCTACTGAGGCAGAATATGACCAGATGAAGGGCAGGCATCCCCTAAACATCCCTAAGCATGGGGTTGCCCCAAAGCAAGAACCAGAAACATTGGCACACTCAAAAAATCCCAAGCCTAATATGCCCCAGCCCCCACTTCCACTTATGCTTTGGTTCAGGAGTAGCCTGCAAGGACATTAGCCTACTTAGGGAGATCAAGAACTTCCAAAGTATCTTGTCAAGATACAAAGGATTTCTGAAAGATTTCTGTTGACTTAAAAACAGACACAAATATTTTACTGAACTATGTATTTCTACAGAAACTATTACAACAAAATCAGGTAAAATTCACAAAGGTATACAAGCCTTTAAAGGAAAATATTTTTTCCCTTAAATATAAAAAGATCATTTGCCAAATAACATCAAAAAGAAACAAAGCAAAAACTGTTAGAAACAAAAGAAACAGACAGAAATACAATAATAGGAGACGAACATATCTTTCTTAGCCTTAATGAATCAAGTAAATTAAAATTAAAGGTCCATAATATTATACTTTGTAAGGTCAAATGAATACATCTGATTGAATTTTGTTCCCTTCAGAGAATATGCTTTCTTCTTCAGTTTCCTGGAGATATGTATTAAAACTAAAAATCAGGTCTCAAGAAAACATCCATGATCTCCAAAATGCACACAAATTGTACAGGCCATACTCTCTTTGACAAGGCAATAAAACTAGAAGTTTGTAAGAAATGCTAAAAAACAACAACAAAATAAACTACCTGGAAATTTAAAAGTATAATTTCAAAAAACTCCAGTAAAAAATAAAGTCAAATCTGAAATTATAAATTATTTATAACTTAGAACACTAAATATAAATTTAAGAGATATGGATAAAGATGTATTTAGAGGAAAAGTCGTACCTTACAATGTTAGTAACTGTCTTTTATTAAGTAAGAAAAAGTTAAAATGGCATGTAACTTAAGAAGGTGGGAAAATAATAAAGGAAAAAATTAAGAACAAAACGAAAAGAATCATGAAATAGTAAAACAGTAAAATTAAGATATAAATCTCAGAGTTGGTTATTTGAAAAGATCAATGAAACAGAGTAATTCTGGAAAAACCAATGAGAACAAAAAGGGAAAGCACACGCAACATGGGAATGAGGAAGCAGAATACTACAACTCCAGGCCAACAAATCTGAAAATAGAACAGAATCACTATTTAGGAAAATTCACTTAATTAAAAAAAATTTTTTTTTGAGAAAGGGTCTTGCTCTGTGTCCCAGGCATGCTCACGGCTCACTGCAGCTTCGGCCCCCAGGGCTCAAGTGATCCTACTGCTTCAGCCTCCTGAGTAGCTGGGACTACAGGCACACACCACCATGCCTAGCTAATTTTTAGTAGCGACTATGTTGCCCAGGCTGATTGTGAACTCCTGGGCTCAAGCAATCTTCCTGCCTCCGCCTCCAGAAGTGCTGGGATTACAAGCATGAGCCACTGTGCTTAGCCGGGAAAATTTAAATTGCCAAAAACTTACAGAATAGAAATAAAGTTTGAAGAAAATAATGAGCATGAAAAAAATTAAAAAAAAACAACAACCCCATATTTCCTAAAAAGGCACTACTAGATTTGGACAGTTTCATACATGTTATAAAAACTTCAAAGAGCAAAAAATTCTAAATATTTAAATGTTTCCAGGGCATAGAAAAACAGAGCTTCCCAAGTTCTTTTTAATTTTTTTAAGAAGTTAACAAACACCAATAACTGACAAAGCAGAAAAAAAATTACCCAACTATTCATCTTATTTAGGTATGAAAAATTCCATAATAAAATGAGAAAACCAAATCCAGAAGAATTTCACAATTTAAAGCTCTTATTTTTATTATACAAGTAATACACAATCTTTGTAGAAAAATCAGAAAGTACAGATAAGAAACACAAAATAAAAATCTACTATGGACCAACCAATCATAAATAACCACTGTTAACATTGAAAGGAGATGTATATTAAAAGAATAGTATACTATGACTACATCAGATTCTTGTAGAAATGCAGAGATGTCTTAACATTAGCAAATCTATTAAAACGATTCATCTAAAGTCATAATAGAGAAAAGCCAGTTGATCATCTTGACAGATGTGGAAAAAAGCCATTTAATAAAACCCCAACATCCATTACTAATAATATTTTCATCAAACTAGAAATAGAGGGCATAACCTGAATGTATAATTCAAATATTAAGATTATTTTACACTAAGAGTCAAATTTATAGTTTTGGAGAAACACTCTTCTAAGTAAAAAAAATTTGATATATATATATCAAATAATGTACAATATCAGCACAATTATGTAAATGTTTTTTAACATTGTTCTAAAAGTACCAGTCAATGTGATGAGTTGAGAAAGTGAAATAAGATTACAAATATGGGAATAAAATTATCAACCTACCCAGAACTATTACCCAACTGAAAAAGGCGAAAGAAATTAACAACAGCAAAACCTTTAGAATAATTCAGTAACTGGCTAGTTACAAAATCAATAACCAATCGCCAAGTTAAACTATTATACAACTACACACTACTCTCTTATGCAGAGGTAAGAATGAGGTAGATTGATGTGTACTGACATAGGAAGATCTATTGCAAAGAGAAAAATGCTAACAGCAGAAGGGTTGTCTCATATGGTCAAAGTGCTAAAACATACTTTAGGAAAAAACTGATGAATATGCTGTTGACTTTTTCTGGGGGAAAGGGATTTTAATTATGGGGGACTTTAATTTTCTACATTATGTTTTTAAATAATGTTTACACTTACATAAGTCTAATGTTTTAAAGTCATAAAAGCGATAGATTTAATTTTCATTTTTTAAAGTAGTAGGATCTCATTTACAATAGTAACCACACTAAAAAAATCACCTATACTAGAAAAGATAGGCTGAGAAACATAAAACATAAATTTACTGAAAGGTTAAATATTATAAAGATGTTAGTCCTCTTGTGTAAAATATGTAAATTTTACTCAATCCAATTTCTAATTTTTCTAAACATAAAATTATCTCAAACTTCTTTTGGAAGGTTTTTTTTTTGTTTTGTTTTTTGTTTTTTTGAGACAGAGTCTCGCTCCGTTGCCCAGGCTGGTGCTATCTCAGCTCACTGCAACCTCTGCCTCCTGGGTTCACTGCCTCAGCCTCCCAAGTAGCTGAGATTACAGGTTCCTATCACCACAGCCAGCTAATTTTTTTTTTTTTTTTTTTTTTTTGTATTTTTAGTAGAGATGGGGTTTCGCCATGTTATCCAGGCTGGTCTCGAACTCCTGATCTCAGGTGATCCATCCACCTTGGCCTCCCAAAGTGCTGGGATTACAGGCGTGAGCCACCATGCCCGGCCTGCACAATATACTAGGCAAGTTTTGAAAAAGTTTAATGGGGAAGTTTAGTCCAAAGCTATGGCGATCCAAACAATGTGGTACCAGTGCTAGAATGTGCAGGAAGATCACAACCCATAATAAAGAGTTCACAGCACACTCAAGGCCAGGGTGCTTATCCTGGCACCCAACAGAAGGGCTACTAGGTGTATGGCAAAAATGGGATTTCATATAGAATAAAGGACAGACTTCCCAATAAACAGTGTTGGGGTAATTTAGAAAATACATTCCAGATAGATCAGAGGTTTTTAAAATTTTTTTTAGAGACAGGGTCTTGCTCTGTTCCCCAGGCTGGAGTGCACCGGTGCCATCAAAGCTCACTGTAACCTCAAATGCCTGGACTCAAGTGATCCTTCCACCTTGGCGACCCAAAGTGTTGGGATTACAGGCAAGAGCCAACACGCCCAGCCAGATCACAGATTTAACTGTTTAGAAAGAAATAATAAAAGTACAAGAATAAGATAGTGGTGAATATTTATACAACCTTGCCATCAGAATTGGGAAGACCTCGCCGGGCTTGGTGGCTCACACCTGTAATTCCAGCACTTTGGGAGGCCAAGGCGTGTGGATTGCCTGAGTTCAGGAGTTCGAGACCAGCCTAGGCAACATGGCGAAACCCATCTCTACTAAAAACAAAAAGTTACCTGGGCGTGGTGGCATACACTTGTAGTCCCAGCTACTCAGGAGGGAGGTTGACACATGAGAATCGCTTGAACCCGGGAGGCGCAGGTTGCAGTGAGCTGAGATCACGCCACTGCACTCCAGCCTGGGGGCCAGGGTGGACCCCGTCTCAAAAAAAAAAAAAAAAAAAAAAAAAAAAAAGAATTGGAAAGACCTGCATAAGCATGACGGCATAGGTAGCAACCATTAAAAAAAAAAAAAAAAGTAACAGATAAACTTGACTAAAAGGTGTTTTTTTAAATGTCTAAACGTTTTTAAAAAGCCATACGTGCAACTTAAAATTTTGTTTTACAATGTTTATGAAATAAACCTCTTAGAAATCAATGATACTGCTGAACACCTTAAAGGGTTACATTTTAACCAAAAAAATATTTTTTTTAGCTCTCTGTCCCCAGGGTAACTCCAGTGTTAAAGAGGAAGCAGTACACACTCACACACTGTGGGTGGGAGTATAATTGGGTCTGTCTTTCTGGAAGGCAATTTGAGGCAATACATATTACAAGTCCTAAAAATGTGCATTCTTTTTTATTGTTGCAACAGGATATGTTATGCTGCAGTTAACCAATTAACCCTGAAACCCCAGTGTTTAACACCTAAGGTTTATTTTTTTTATTCATGCTACCCGTCCATGCAGGGTGGCAGGTGAGGGTAACATGAAGGGAGAAGGGGGCTGCTCCACGTAGTCACTCAGGGATCCAGGCTTGACAGAGGCTCTGTCCCTGGGACATCAGCATTTGCTGAGGGAAGGGAAGGCAGACACTGCGGAACTGCTCATGGGCATTTCAGTGTCTGTCTGGAGCTTCATGTGTCACCTGTGCTCACATTTCATTGGCCAGAATTAGTCATAGGACCCTGAATGAGTACAAGGGGGATGGAGGGTGAAGTCCTGTATGCCTCAGAAGGAAAGGAGCCGCAGATAGGGAGGCGCGTACTTTTGAGCCAGTGATAACTTCAGAAAATTACCCTAAGTCAATATTCTGAAAAGTTCGCAAGGATGTTAGAAGAACTTCATTATGTCCTTGACTACAACAGTAAAAAAATTGGAAACAACCTAAGTATCCAAGGTACAACCTACATAGAGGTTAAAAATAATGTAATTACATATTTACTGATATAGAAATCTATTCACAATATAGCATTAAAAGGGATAAAAGTTATAAAACAGTATGTATAATATGATTATATTTCATGGAAAAAGTAATAAAACACACACAGATGCATAGAAAAAAGTCTGAAAAGATAAAAACTGAAATGTTAACAGTGGTTATAATCAGATAGTGTAATAACAGGTGATTGGTTTTTTTCCCACTCATCTGGAATTTCTTTAAAAAAAGTATTATATTATTTATGTACCAAGAAAGCATTTAAAAAGGGAAACAAAAAACAGTACTCTTGGGAGAGTTCACTTATCCACTCCACTCTTCTCATTAAACTCTTATATTTGATGCAAGGAATGTCTTCTTGCCTGTCACATCATAAGACGCTGCTCTCACAACTGACGTAAAGTCGGGACTTCCTATTAAAAGCAGTACAAGAGGGTAAAAACAATAGCACAGCCTCACAGCTGTGAATCATCAGTCCTGCCCATCACTCGCCAAAACATGCACCACTTGGGACTCTGCCGTGGTTTACGGGCTCCTGCCAGGTGCCCTGGGGGTCTCTAGGGCCCAGGAGAACACTTTGCCGCAAGGCTCTGCACCGTCAAAGAGAGTAGGGCACTGAACAATTCCACTTCAAACAAAAGATCCACAAACTTCTGGTAAATGGATTCCAGAACATAGATCACCACCACCAGAAATAGAAAATAAAGTCTCCTCTTAGGTATACATATTTTTAATTAAAAACGCTTCCTTACTGTTTCTCCCACTTCCCCTTTTGCTGTTTCTTCACACACACACACACACACACACACACACACACACACACACACGCGTGCGCACATACACAGTCGTAAGTTCACTAGAACATTTCATCCAGCTCAAAATTCTTACCAAAGCCACCTTCCTGCCTGGGTAGTGTTTAAAGCCAACTAGAAAACCCATATTCTTGAGATCGGTACATGGAAGAGGCATGTAAGTAACATTTTCTAGACTAGACAGGAGTCCCTCTCCATGCCAAAACCCCCATCATCTCCAGAATATATACTGTTTCTTTGGGGAAGCCATGTACTCAGAAATTAGGGTCCTTTTAAAGCATGCATATCTTTAAAAATATACATGGACATTGATCTTGCAAGCTTCTAGTTTGCAAGTGCTTCAAAATCTAGTGATGTCTCAAGGCAATGAAAGAATTTAGCTTCTAGAAGGATGAATGGAACAAACAATCCACTTCTGGATATTAGCAAAGACCAGTGGCTGCCTCTTTTGAGTGCCTGTGCTAAGTCACATCACGTCTGCCTTCTTCCCAAAGGTGCACCTGGCCACATGTGAGGTCCCACCATAACGTCCCCAGCGCGTCCTGTGGTTGGCTCTCATCCAAAATTGTCCCTGGTTTCTATAGAGAAGGAGACTTTTCTAAAGAAAAAGAGCCCTGTTAAAATAGGCAGAGCATGATGTTTCTGGGAGGCATATTCACTGTATTACGCTCCACCCTTTACTTGATGTTTTGCATCAAATGTAGTCCACAGCAGGCAGGCGCCTGCCCACCACCATCAAGGCTGTGCTCATGGAGCCTGCAGGCTGGAGACCAACTGCCCTCTGTGCACAGTCTTCCTGGGTGTTGATCAGGTCCCGTTCAAGCTGCTCCCACCACTGAGCAAGGCTGCTCCCTCCCCAGAAAGCCAGAAAGGAGTGCATCTCCAGGAAGGGGCGGGCAGTGGACAGGCCACCCCCAGCCAGAACTCTGTTTCCATTCCTGCGATCTCAGGGCCTCCCACTTGTTTTGAACATACTGCTCTGCCTCCACTAAAGCCATCAATAAAGAACTCAGGGTGTGTTTGTTTTCCATAGAACTGGCCTCACAGGCAGAGACATCATTTTAACCAACTTTCTTGGAAAGATTCCTGCAAAACCAGAATCATTCCAAAGTGGAACTTATCATTTATAACAAACATTCCTAAATGTCATTCGGATTCACATTTTTGTAAACTGTCCTTTGCTGTGGACACATATTGAAATAATATAATTGTAATATGCTCTTATCAGGATATAAGAATTATTTTCTCTTGGCACCCACGGGTCACCAAAGGGACTAGAGTGGCATGTCTCAAAAGATACTGCATCAAGGTCCAGGAGACCTGGATGCAGAGTCCACGCTGCTGGTCACCGCTGGGTGACCCTGGGCGTGTCACTTTCTCTGTCTCTACTTCCCATCTGCAAAATGCAGGTGACAGTCTCTGCCCTGTTCTCTCACCCAATTAAAGTCTAATGTGATGGCAGGCAGGAGAGATGAAACTGAGGGGCCACACAAGTTCGAGGTCTTGTGTGGATACTGGTTCTCTTTCCCTCCAAGGCCTGACCATACTGTCCCAACCTGTTGCTCTGGTGGTTTTACATTCCCCGGGCGGCACTAGGAAGGCTTCCTCGCCACTCCCAACTTTAAAATGCATCCAGCTGGGTCTTGACTGGAATGAAAGGTTATTTTTAAAGGTCCTCTTGGTTAAAGGGTTCCAAGTTTTAGTTGATCTTTTTTAGACACCAGGTTTCATGGAGGCAGAAGGAAAGCTTATCAAGGTATAGCAGCCAGTCTTGGAAACACCAAAATCAGGAGACCTCAATTGCAAACTGAAAATGCAGTCCTGGCCCTGCAGCTTCCAGGCAGCACAAGCGGCTGCGATGCTCACGAGTGAATGGCTTACATTCTGCCTGAGTCTGGCGTAAGGTTATGACAACAGTACTGAGACTGGGCTGGATGTCAGAATAAACGAGGGCACGTCACACCAGCTCAAGGGAACACCGTCCAGGTTGCTCCAGGGCCACTATTTTAAAAGAAAGTAAATGAAAAGACACTGAGATCTTCAGAGAAAAGCAGAAGGAATGGAAAGTTCAGTGCTTTTGTAAAAGCTGTTGTGCTTTCACGGCCAAGCCCAACTTACCTTTCCCTTTAAGGGAGTCCTTACTACTCTTAGCTCCAGGGTTGCAACAGCTGTAGAGCTGGACACACAGCAGGAGGAATCCAAGTTCCTCACCTGCTGCCCACAGGATGCTCACCACACTCTTCAGTGCTTGGTGAACTGGGATCATGGGTCTCAACTGCACAGCAGCCCACTGTGGAAATGGCTCTTCCAACATTTTCTACACCTCCACTTCTGGAGTTTTCTAAAGTCACTGCTATCAGAATGTACAAGTGGCTTCAGTAACTATTCTATGCATGTCACCTGAGCATTCTCTTGTCAGTCAAGCGGGCTCTTTCTAGATTCATAAGTCACCTGATAAAGGCAGAGGTCATCTGAAGACCCCAGCGGAAGGTGTTTGGAACCCAGTGTCCACTGCTCCCAGGCAGCCACACACCCAGCCTGCTGCTGGGCAGACCAGGCTGGCTTGAGAATCCCCTTATCCCGCTGCTGGGCCACGGGGCTGACTCATAGCCAGCTCGGCTCTCTGGTCTCCTGGTGCAGCCAGGAGGGAGCTGCTACCAACTGTCCTGAGAGCCGTCTGGAGCTCTGGGGAAAGGGAAGGGCCAGCAGCAGACTACCCCGAATCACAAAGATGGCTGGCCACGCTTTCCACTTCCTGTCTGCCAAAAGCCCTATGTACTCAACCAAAGCCCCCACTCACCTTGCGGGAGCTCCTCTAAAAGTGCCTTGGTGCTCCAGATGCCCAGCCTTCCCTTCCATCCACATCCCAAACAAGACTCCCCAGCTCAGAGAGGCGTCTCCGTGAGGGGAAGGGAAGGAGAGCAGGAGGACTCGTGTTCACCTTGGGGCCCAGGGCACCTGGGTTCGGACCCCATCTCCCTCCTTCCTCGGGTTGTTTGCTCATTAATCCAAATTCAGCAGGGAGAAAGTCTAACCACGTCCATGGGAGAAGGTTTCTAGAAGGAGTAGTCCTCTTAGGTGGTTCTCAAAGGGGTGAGGGGGCACCAAAGCCTCCCCCCTGCTCAAGGCATTTAGAGATGTGTGGGGCCAGGGATTCAAGCCATTATTGCCACACACGGGCAATCTCCCAGGGCAGGATGCCAACAGCACCCACAGGCCCGCTGGCCCCACTGAGCAGCTCTGTGAGAGAGGAGAGGTTTATGGCTGCAGTCCCTTCCCTAGGAGAAACTGAAAAAGGCAGGACGCAGAGCTGGGTGGAACACCTCTGTCATGAGGGCCAAGGCTTGTCAGCTGAGCTGCTCTCTCCCCCCGAAATGCCTGTGATTTCTTCCCAGCTGTCCAGACCCATAAGACAATCCTACCCTAGGTACCAAGCCCTGGGCAGCCCCTATACCTGGAATCCCTGGGTCACCATTCCTAGGGGAGAAGGTGATTCGAGGGTCTGGAGAGCCCCAGGGGCAGAGCATCACGGATGGGCTCCAGGGGCCTGAGACCAGCTCCTGCTGCTTCCCCTTCTCCCTCCCTGCCCCAGGGCCACCCGAGCCCCAGCTTGGGTTTGACCAGACAGTGGTATTCATGTCTGTTAACTACCCAGCACAGCAAAGATGGTGCATCATTCGACAGGGTCCCAGCTCTGCTGTGGGGTTTGATTAAAACACTAAATTCTGTGTACACATTTAATTGAACAAATATTTATTAAGCACCTACTTTGTGCCAGACATTGTGCTAGGCACCCTCACTGTGTGCTGTTCCCACAGCACAATCATCTGCTCAGAAATTAAAACCAAGAAAAGGAACACTGTTGCAACCGTACAAACTGGGGGGGCGGGGGGCAGGGGGCAGTAGCGTGGATGCAGGCAACTCCGGGCCAGAAAATGCACCCACCAGAAGCTTGTTTTCCATCTCTCAGAAAGTTTCCACTAAACAGTTGTTTTAAAGCCTCTCGATGTTGACAGAGAGGAATGTTGTTCTCTCTGTGCCCCCCGGGGCTGGTGTCTGGTGGACATTCAAATACTCTGAATGCTATTTGATAAAAGGAGCCTGATGGCTTGGTGTAAAGAATATCAATATTTGGATTACAAAATGCGTGTTTTTTCAGTTCATATGGTTGCAACAGCCCTTATGAAAGATATAAACATCCCTGCCCTGACTGCATAAATGTTGAAGGTAGACCTAGTTCTGGATTCCTGAGTCAGAATCTTCCAGTTGTCCACAACCTCACAAGGCCAGAGAAGCGAGAGGAGATTTCTATTCTGAAAAGGAGTGAGTGGACGGCACAACTGGTTTGGAAACACGACAAACTGCGCCTGCATTTACAGAAGCAATGCACACAGAAGAACGTCCTAGAGCTATCTGGTCTCGCACACACGCTTGGGACTCACGGGCGGGGCCTGGGCCTCGGCCAGCCCTAGTTATCGGTGCCCAGCTTGGAGAGCCCTCGGCGGAAGTCATGCAGGTCGTCAATCTTCCCGTCCAGCACCTCCAGGAAGCTCTTCAACTCCACCTTCAGGTGGCGCTGTCGGTATTTGCTCTCCTCAATGTCTGTCTTTAAGGAACGCACTTTGTCTTCCAGGTTTTGATTGTCTCTCTCTGCCGCCTGGCCAAGCAAAAGGGAGAAGGGTCTAGAAAACTGAGTGACGAGAGTCATCCTTCAAAACCTGCTACAGCTGAACCAACCATTCTCCATCCAATCTGAGGGCCTGGGCCAGGGCTTAAGCTGCCTAGAGACATGCTACCCCAGCACACAAGCCTGTGACCAAGACATCAGAAGGGAAGCAGCAGGCACTTCAGTGACCTCCTCCTTTCCTGCCTGCTCTCCCACAGAGGGACCAACACCCAGCCTGAAAACCCAAGACCCAACAAAGCAGGCAGAACGCAGAGTCCTGCCTGAGGGAGACCTCACACAGGGCCCAGCAGGGAAAGTCTGAAATCCCTGTCTGAGTGGCTAGCAGAGACCACATTTCAGTTCCATCCTGAGAGACAGAACAGATGGGAGAGTGGCTCGTTCCCCTGGTCCCACAGAGAGGCGTGGCCTCCTCAGCCCCAGGCCAGCCTCTGGCCCTCAGAGAGGAAGGACTGGCCATGCCAATGACTCAGGGACAGCCAGTCTGTGCACCCTCTGATGCTGTTACCATGGAGATGTTCTGTGGCGCTGGGCCCCACAAGCCTACAGAGGCACATCTAGGTAAATCACAAGCAGGTTCCCAAAGACAGGACAGCTGTGAGTCCTTAAATGAGCCATAAGCCTTTAACTCTTCATATCAAATAAGAGCTTTATGTTGAGGGAATAAACAGAGACCTTTCTGAACATGTGCACAGGAAGCAGTTACCAATTCCAGGGTCATGTAACTACATGAAGCGCCGTGTGCATATCAGAGGACCTGCAGGGAAGAGGCGCTCCGAGGTGGAGGAAGCCCTGAAAATCCTCATTTTAGTGATCAGAAATCTGAGGATAGGGAGGAAGGCCTGCCCAAGGTCAGTGCCCAAGGCCACTGGCAGGGGAGTGGCTGAAGTGGCCCCACACCCTGACCCTGGGCTCTCAGGCCGCCCCCCCGCTCCTCACCCCCACCAGGGATCTGCAAGGAAACAGTCGTCTACACTGTGGTGATGCACAGGGGCCTTCATAGAACTTGCAAAACCAAAAGACAAACGTTGCTGAGTCTGCCCCGGGGGCAGGGGTGGATGCGGTGCCATCTGGCGTGCAGTCACTGCCAGCTTTTTGTGAATAGAAAATCTCTCCTTCAGCATTCTCAGTGTGAAAGTGATAGGAAGCAGGAAAATGAGTACCATGACATTTGTGCCTTCTTGTCTGAGCCAGGATGGCTGTGCCCCCAACCCACGTACCTCTAGCTTCTCAGAGACATATTCGCACTCTGACATGAGCTGAGGTATGATTTCACTTTGTTTTCGGAGATCTTTCAGCTCCTACATGAAAAAAATTTGAGATAGAACATGAAAGCAAGTCAGATAAAATATATTCTTGAAAATCACCAATGTGTGCACGCTCGTGGAAGCAGCTTTGGGACCCTGTCCTGTTTGCATAGACAGTGATAGTGACCATGCGAATACTTCATCTCAGGGAATTTCAAGGGTGAAGTGTGTCACACGCCTTGTCACGTGAAGTCTGTACACACCACCACAAGGCAGATGTTTTTCCGATTTCTGTTTTATAAGTGGAGAAAGTGAGGCCTAGGGAGTTTGGTAACATGAGCACGGCCTCCAACATGTGTGCACTTAACTGTCTGCCCCCTAGAAAATAAATGACTGTAGGCCAGGCATGGTGGCAGTGAGTGCAGGTGGCTGGCGCCGGGAGCTGGGCTGCGGTGTGGTGGGCACGTGTGTGTGGTGCTCTCATGGCGTGTGTCTATAGTCCCAGCTACACAGGAGGCTGAGGTGGGCGGAATGCTTCAGCCCAGTTCAAGACCAGCCTGGGCAACATAATGAGACTCCATCTTAAATAAAATAAATACATTTTAAATTTTTTTAAAAAAGAAAATAAGTGGTTACATCATGGGTCTCTAGCGGCATTAATTTGGCAGCAAAACTCAACTTCTGAGGACAGATGACAAACGCATCTGAGTGTCTTGTGAAATGTTCAGCTCCCTTGTGGATCTGCACGACCAGCTATAGAACAGGGGTAACAGGGAGGCGGCAGAGGTCATGGGGAGGCCTTTGCTCCAGCCTGTCTGCACCTTGCTGTGGCTCCCAGCTCTCTCTCCGTGCTGCTATCCAGGCAGCTGCCAGGGCCAGTCATAGGCCCCAAGACACCTGCTGTGTGCCACCCCGCAAGGCCAAGAGGACGCCAAGGGGCCCTGCTCGGAGCACCATTACTCACTGTCTCCTTTTCTCGGAGCTCTGCCTCCAGCTCCTCGATCCTCCTCTTCAGCTGCGTGTTCTTCTCCTTCTCTCTGTTGATCTCACTGCATTGTTCTTCCAGCTCATCAATCTTCAATACACACCACACAGGAAAGCAGGGACGCCAGCTTAACATTAGTCATTAAGCAAGAGATCACCACAGCTATGCTTCTCTTTTCTTTTAAAATAAACCCTAAACTAATCCACTTATAAGATTTTCTTTGTGGCTATGAACAAACCCCATGCAGCTCCATCATGGGGCTGCCTGCACCGCTTGCATGGGACCTGCTTTGCACATGATGCCTTACCAGAGGCATCTTACCAGCAGAGCCAAATAAGTAATAAAGCCTGCCTTCAAGATGCTCTGGGCTTCTGGTTTCCTCTCATGGCCGTGAAGAAGTAGATTCAGATTTGCTTTAAGGATCCATCACAAGCAAGGGCCAAGTGTCCCCTGAATTGATCTGCTTTTCTCCAGAATGACTGTTACACCACTGTAATCACGTCCTGCATTATTCTGTTTCATCTCAAGGGTTTAAGCCAGCAGGGTAGAAAAATCAAGCAACCTCATGGTACAGTGGCTGCCGAAAAGGGAAGCAATGACATTTCGAATATTATAAATCAAGGTGACCTTCCCCTGGGAATGCACGTGGAAGGGGCCTGGCCTGTGGGCCTCTTCCCCAAGGCTGAATGGCAAATCCCTACACCGCATCTTTCCCTTTCCAAGGCTGACCCCTCAAAACAGTTACCTGTGTGGAACAGGGGTGCAAGGGCTTGGCACTCTCACACTGCCATTGAATGCTGGGGGCCAAAATGTGTGTGCAGAGTGGACAGCAGGCGTGGACCCCACATGCAACACAAAAGCACTGTAGTGAAGTCCCCCCGAACAGGCAGCAGCAGTCCTTGACATGAAGGGCACCGAGGACACTTCCCAGAGGCAGGCTGCACCAAGCCTTGGGGTCTGAACTCCCAGCCCCTGCTGCTGCTGGAAACCACACCAACTTCCGCCTCCAACCCTGGGAGGCAAGCTTGTGAGATGTCGACTCAGGGAGGTCGACACGCCTCCAAGGGAGCGAGTTGTGCGTGATGCTCTTCCTCCACTCCCCCCGCACTGCTGCTGGCTATCAGACTGAGACCAAAGTGAGAAACTCAGCTCTTTTCTTGAAAATGCAAGAAAGGGCAATCGATCCCTCTGGCAGGCAGATCTGCCAGGCCTCGGGTGGGAACGTGCAAAGTCAGCAATTGGCCTGGTGCCCAACCGTCAGCACCAAGATGAAAAAATGACACGAGACACTTTTATGTGGCATTAGCATGAAAGTAAGACAGTGTGACAGAGGGCTGGGATGCAGGGGCCCTCCAGGTCGGGCAGGGCAGGGGAGAAAAGGGGGTCAAGGGGGAGTGAACACCAATCTAAATGGGACCTGTCCCCCTAAAACCCTGCACTGACGGAGCATACTCCAAAGCCTATGTGTTTCTAGTGGGAGGATTAACCATGATCAAAACAAGGTTAGCAGAGAAACCTCAAGACCTCAATGGGGGGTCTCTGGCCACCCCAAAAGCACCTTATGAACTAGAGTGTGACTAATGACAGGGAAGGTTACAGGTGCATTTTCAAACAAATCAAAATGCCAGGATGTCAAGGTCGGAGAGTAGAGGGCGTACAACAGGTCAGCACCTGTTTACCCTCCTCACGCCTCAAGCACCATAATCCTTTTCTCAACTCCAAATTTACATGTTTAGAAACAATAATGTGAATGGAAGCAGGACTTCCAAGCAGGCGCAACTCACCATCTCCCAAGTCTGTTTCTCACCTACCCTCTGGGTCCCCTTCCTCCACGGAGGGTCACTGAACCACAGAAATGCTGAGGGAGGGCACTCTGAGAGAGACAGGGCTGACACCTCCAGTTTATCTTCTCCTCAGTAAGAGGAATTATAAAACTTGGTTCAGAAAAGGTAACGAGTCTGGCCAGGCACAGTGGTTCACGCCTGTAATCCTGGCACTTCAGGAGGCTGAGGCGGGTGTATCACCTGAGGCCAGGAGTTTGAGACCAGCCTGGCCAACTTGGTGAAACCCTGTCTCTACTAAAAATACAAAAATTAGCCAGGCATGGTGGCAGGCGCCTCTAATCCCAGCTACTTCGGAGGCTGAGGCAAGAGAATCACTTGAACCTGGGAGACAGGAGGCTGCAGTGCACTGAGATCGTGCCACTGCACTCCAGCCTGGGTGACAGAGCGAGACTCCATCTCAAAAAAAAAGAAAGAAAATAAAACCAGAAAAGGTAATGAGTCAATTATGTACGTGGTTAAATTCCTACTAAGAAAGGCAGGGAGGGGGAGGGACGTTCCCATGGGAGAGGCAGCAAGTCTTCCTCTGGCCATGGGGATAAGGGCAAAGTTGGGGAGGGAGAAAAAGGGTTGTGGGTGCCCCCATCTCCCACTGCCCACACCAGCTGGCCTCGGGGCTCACTGCATCCACCGTACCCACCTTGTTGCGGAGCCGGTCATTCTCATCACGGCAGATGGAGAACTGCCTCTTCCACTGCTCCACACTGGCTGCCGACTCCTGCAGTGCTGTGGTCAGCCGTGCATTGCTCTCCCGAAGGGTCTGCAGCTCGATCTCCCACTTCTTCACGTTGGCTGCGCTGCAGGACAGGGACGGGCGGTGACGACGGGGTGGGTGCTGTCCCGTCTGGCTCCGCCCGCGTGGGGAAGGGGACTCCGCCATCCCTCAGCACACCCCTGGGGGGCCCACGCCCTCTCCCCACAGTAAGCTGGCAGGTGGGTCTGGCTACCCTGATCCAGGGCCAGGAGGGACTGGCCCCTCTCTCTGGTGTGAACATGTCATCCTGTGGTCTATCTTCTTAAAGAATCACCTTAGAAGAGAACACAATTCTTGGGCCGGACGCAGTGGCTCATGCCTGTAATCCTAACACTTTGGGAGGCCGAGGCGGGCGGATCACTAGGTCAAGAAATCGAGACCATCCTGGCCAACATGGTGAAAACCTGTCTCTACTAAAAATACAAAAAAATGGTGGCGGGCGCCTGCAGTCTCAGCTACTCAGGAGGCTGAGGCAGAAGAATCGCTTGAACCCAGGAGGTGGAGGTTGCAGTGAGCCGAGATCACGCCACTGCACTCCGGCCTGGCGACAGAGCGAGACTCCATCTCCAAAAAAAAAAAAAAAAAAAAAAAAGAAAACACAATTCTTCACGAATGAAGAGACAAAGCTAGGCATGAGGGCTGCAGGGCGGGCAAGGCCCATCCCATCCTCCTTACTGGCCGCCCTGCTTCCTCCTGAAAGGAGTTTCATGGGTGGACCGGGTGACCTTCAAGAATCGTATGAAAGCCATGGACGGACCTCCAGGACGCTGGGTTTAAACAAGCAAGAAGCCAACAGCTTGGCTCCGGGGAATAATGGTCCCACTGTAACCTGTGCCTTCTCAGAGCCTTTGAAGGAATCCAGATCTGAGGGCCTAGGGCTTGGAGACAGGAGAGAGTGACCAGGAATCAGTGCCCTGGGGGCACAACAGGGGTCTGGAGGGAGCTCTGGCTGGCCCATATCCCCCCGGGGTGTGAGGAGACCAGGAATCTGAGGGACACCTCTGCTGTCACCACAAAGGCCTCATGTTTCATCTGATTCTACATGCTTGGTGAGGAGGACGTTTAAAACAAAACCAAACTGGAATCAGGTTCCCCTCATTGTTCTCTTCTGACCCTCCTTCAATTTCCTTGCTAGGAGCCCACACATCTGTGGCGCTGAATGTGACTGGAGGTGACAGGGCAGAGCTGCACGTGACAAGCCCATGGGGAGGTTTCCGCCTGGCTAAGTCCTCTTTCTAAAGGCTCTTCCTAATTTTTTTAAGTAAATACAATGGTGTGTCTGAATAGATCTGTGTTATCTTTTATCCCACAACCTCAAGGACCTCGAGGACTTGGAAAATATGTACTTTCACTTTCAAACACCACTGACTGAAGAAATAATAAAATGTTATTATCTGGTGAATTCTAGAGTTGATGACTGACAATTTAAGCTAATTTAGGGAAATAGCTTCCTGCCCATTCTTGTAGTACCTCACTTGCTCATTAAACTCAGATTTGAAAACATTTATTTTTAGGGGTGAAACATTTTCACCCAGGCAGCCCACTGTGACTTAAACAACCAAAAACAGCTCTCAGTTGGGTGTGGTGGCTCACACCTATAATCCCAGCACTTTGGGAGGCCAAGAAGGGAGGATAACTTGATAAGCCCAGGAGTTTGGGACCAGCCTGGGCAACATAGCAAGACCTCATCTCTACAAAAATAAAAATAAAAATCAGCCAGGTGTGGTAGCGTGCACCTGTGGTCCCAGCTACTTGGGAGGCTGAGGCGGGGGGATCAGTCGAGCCCAGGAGTTCAAGGCTGTAGTAAGCTATGATGACACCACTGCACTACAGCTGGGATCACAGAGACTCTGCCTCAAAAAACAAATAAATAAATAAATAAATAAAGCTCTCACAATTGTCTGATGAGTAAGAAAAGAGACTGGTCACAGTTCTGTCCTTTGAAGTACCTGACAAAGAGTCACAGTCCAAAGGCAGGGGGTTGGATCTAAGGGTCACATGTGCTTTCTGGAATTCCTAGGTCAGATCACAGCCGGGCCAGCTGAGTTGGAGAGCTGGGGGCCAACTCTGTGGCGGCTCTGGCTGTGGAAGGGGACAGGCTGCCTCTGGTAGGCTCCTGAAGAGACTGTGAGTGCAGCCTTGAGTGGAACACGGGCCATGTGAGGTGATGGAAGGTTTACTAGCCATGTGACCTTGGGCAAGGAGTCACTTTGTCACTTGGAATTCAGTTTCCTCATCTGTAAAATGGGGGGAAGTTCAAAATGACAGCTTCTCTTATGGACCCAATGCTTGAGACCTCCCTAAATTCATACGTTGAAACCCTACCCCTAATGTGATGGTCTTAGGAGGCGGGGGGGCGGGTGTTGAGAGGTAACTAGGATTAGGTGAGGGCGTGAGGATGAAATCTTTATGAATGGGATCCAGGTCTTTACAAGAGTCCTCAGAGAGCTCACCTCCTCTCCCCACCTGTGAAGACACAGGGAGAAGACTGTGGTCTATGAACCAGGAAGCAGGCCCTCACCAGACACCAAATCTGCCAGTGCCTTAATCTTGGACTTTCTAGCCTCCAGAACTGTGAGAAGTAAAGGTTTGTTGTTTAAGCCACCCAGTTTGTGGTATTTTGTTATAGCAGCCTGAGCTAAGACAGCTTCTAAGATGATACAGCTTTTTTTTTTTTTTTTTTTTTTTTTTGAGACAGAGTCTTGCTCTGTCGACCCGGCTGGAGTGCAGTGGCGTGATCTTGGCTCACTGCAACCTCCGCCTCCCGGGTTCAAGTAATTCTCCTGCCTCAGCCTCCTGAGTAGCTGGGATTACAGGCATGTATCACCGTGCCCGGCCAATTTTTGTATTTTTAGTAGAGATGGGGTTTCACCGTGTTGCCCAGGCTGGTCTCGAACTCCTGACCTCAAGTGATCCAGCCACCTCGGCCTCCCAAAGCATTGGGATTACAGGCATGTGCCACCACGCCCAGCCAATACAGATCTTAAATGGGCAACTCTGAGGAGGGGGGCTTCTCGGTCTGAGGGAGACTGGGGAAAGCCTGCTGAACCCCTACCCCTGGCCAGCAGAAAGCCCTGAGTGTGCTCATGGGACCGCCCTAAACCACGAAGCTCAGCCCAGCCTGTGGGGAATGCTCCACATTCTCAAGATACAAAATCATAAGCACCGCTCATGCAGTAAATTAAAATCTTACTGATATCATTATGGGGATTGTGTTACATTTATAGATCAATTTAGGAGAAACTGATACTTTTAAAATATCAAGGCTTTTTGCCACTTCCCAACAGAATGGCTATTTATTAAACAATTATTTTATAAACCTTGAAATCATTTTAAAGTTTGCTTCACATAGATCTTGTATATTTAAGTTTATTTCTATGTAGTTTATGGTTCTAGTTCATACTGTAAAGGATCTCTTCTTCAAATATATATTCCACATGACTTTTTTGTATATAGGTGACTGAGTTTTGTGTGATTTCATATTTTAATAGTTTATGTTTTCACATGCGTTTCTCAGATGTTCAAAATTCTTTTTTTTTTCTTTTTTTTGAGACAAGAGTCTCACTCTGTCATCCAAGCTGGAGTGTGGTGGTGCAATCTCAGCTCACTGCAGCCTCTGCCACCTCCCAGGCTCAAGCAATCCTCCCAACTGAGCCACCAGAGTAGCTGGGACTACAGGTAAACACCACCATAGCTGGCTAGTTTTTAAAATATTTTTTCTAGAGACAGGATTTCATCATGTTACCCAGGCTGGTCTCAAACTCCTAGGCTCAAGTGATCCGCCTGCCTTGGCCTTCCAAAATGTTGGGATTACAGGCAGGAGCCACCATGCTTGGCCAAGAGTCAATGTTATAGATAAATAAATGATAAATTTGCCTCCTCAAAAACAAAACAAAGCACAAGCACAGGGGTGCATTCACACACACACACACACCCTCTCTCCACACATGTACACTCAATCACACACACTCTGACACTACCACACTCATGCACATTTGCCCTCTCTCCACACATTTACATACTCACAATATCTCTCTCTCACACACACACACTCTCTATTTCCCACACACACACAAATGGATGCTGATGTGGTTGGCCAGAGCAGGGCCATGAAGCCAGCTGGCCTTCCTTTCACCAGGAGACAAGAGTGGATGCTCTAAGCAGGTCCCAGTTTTCTCTCCCAATTTCCTGAAACCCTGTCCAGCAAGAAAGGCTTCTAGGGAAGTGCTGAAGGTGGAGAAAATAGAATCTGGACTTTAAAACAGCCTTACCTCTGCGTCAAGGCAATCTTCAGCTTGTCATTCTCAGACTTCAGGTGTGTGTTGGCTGGACCGGCGTGAGAGGCCTTTTCATCGTCCGTCCCGTTGACACTGGATGCCTGAGTAGAAGATGGGGTTTCACGCCCAGATTCCTGGCCAAAGTGAATTATCTTCACACGTTATTGCTTGTCTGCACATCGGCAGCAAGTTAGGCATAATAAGAAACTTTACGAGTGTGGACGAACCAACTCATCCAACCAGAATGCAGCAAAGACTAACAAGTTTTTGTTTTTTTTTTAAACAAACAAACAAACAAAAAAGAAAACAAAACCTAACAAAGACTATCATGACCAAAGAAAAAGGCACTGAAGAGACCATGTGGAGTTCATAAAGTCTGTGTGCTTTACTGACAAGGGAACACCTGGGCCAGTGCTCAGAGCCTTTTTACTTACGCCTTATGGAGAAACCCACCAAACTTGGGAGACCTGGTCTCCTGAAATACCACAGGGCAGAAGCCACAAGGGAGGAGGGACTCTTAGAAACAAGGAATGAAAAAGCACATATTAGAAAAGGAGACAACTTAAATATCTTGGGGCTATGGAGAGTTAGATCAACACATTCATTAAAGAGACAAGAACCAGGTCCTGTTGTTTGCCCACTCCCTTACTACTTAGTGCTGTTATGAATATGTTCAAGTGTTTTCCGTAAGTCATACCACGTAGAGGTGAAATCTCATCTGGTGCTAGATAAGACCTTAGAAAGATCTTATTTAGCCTCAAATAAGTACATGGGCAAAGGAAGAAACTAGAAGAGAATGGTGTATAAATCCAAGTTTCAATTTCTGAATTTCAAAAAAAACACCATAAACAAAATTAAAATGAGACAAAAACCCGGGGGGTGGGGAGGGGATGGGAATATATACAGCAGTACATATGAAAAACAAAATGTCGGCCGGGCGCGGTGGCTCACACCTGTAATCCCAGCACTTTGGGAGGCTGAGGCGGGCAGATCACCTGAGGCCAGGAGTTTGACACCAGCCTGGCCAACATAGTGAAACCCTGTCTCTACTAAAAATACAAAAGTTAGTCAGGCGTGGTGGCATGCACCTGTAATCACAGCTGCTCGGGAGGCTGAGGCAGGACCCGGGAGGCGGAGGTTGCAGTGAGCTGAGATCGTGCCACTGCACTCCAGCCTGGGCAACAAGAGGGAAACTCCAACTCAAAATAAAAAAAAGGAAAAAAATATTAGTATCTTTCCTATATTGACAAGCTCTTAGAGTCCTCATCTTTTAGAGCTACATGCTGAAATATTTACGGATGAAATGAAACATCTGGCATTTGCTTTAAAATATGGTGGGGGGGAGCAAATGAGTAGGTGCACAGATTAAACAATTGGTCATAATTTCCTAACTGTTAAAGCTGACCTATGGGTACAGGAAGGTCCATTATACAATTATGCCTAGATTTGCATATGTTCACATTTTTTTGTGTTTAAAAATAAAGCTCTTGAAAATCAATACAAAAGATTAACACCTTAACTTAAAAAGGGGTAGGTAATTGATATTCACAAAAGAAGAAAAGCATACAATCGATAAACATAAAAATATTTAATCTCACTAGTAAAGAAGTACAAAATGAAGGCCAGGTGTGGTGGCTCACACCTGTAATCCCAGCACTTTGGGAGGCCAAGGTAGGCAGATCACTTGAGGTCAAGAGTTCAAGACCTGCCTGGCCAATATGGTGAAACCCTGTCTCTACTAAAATTACAAAAATTAGCCAGACATGGTGGCAGGCGCCTGTAATCCCAGCTAATGGGGAAGCTGAGGCAGGAGGATCCCTTGAACCTGGGTGGCAGAGGTTGCAGTGAGCCGAGATCACGCCACTGCACTCCAGCCTAGATGACACAGTGAGACTCTGTCTCAAAGATAGAAGATAGAAGATGAGAGAGAGAGAGAGAGAGAGAGAGAAAGCGAAAGAGAAAGGAAAGAAAGAAAAGAAAACAAAAGAAAAAAAGAGAAGAGAAAAGAAAAGAAAGACTTTTCATCTGTCAAATTAACAAAGCTTTGCTGATGAGGGTGTGGTAAGAAAAAGCCTTATTCACTGCAGGTGGGAGTTAGAATGGTGTATTTCTGCAGGCTAAGTTTGTGGTATGCATCACAAGCTTTAAGAACATCCATACCTTTAACCCAATATCTCCATTTCAAGAAGTTATGCAGAAACCACCAAATGCACAAAGACATGCAAGAACATTCATCACAGTGTTATTTATATTAGTGAAATTTTAGAAATGCAGATGTCACAAATTATAGGTTAACCAAATAAGCTGTGATACCAACACTAGAATGCTGTCCAGTCATTAAAACAGTTTTGAAAAGGAATAATCATGACATAAAGTTAAAAGGTATAATATAAAATATATCCTGGAAAAGTATGTTAGAAAGATACACACCAAAACACTAATAAAATATCTTCAAGTGGTGAGAAGGTAGATGATTTTTATTTCCTTCTTTATAGTATGGTATATTTTTCCTTTATACAATAAACATGTATTGCATTTATAGTCACAAAACAGCCCCACATTTTAAGTGTTTTTGTAATTAGGCTGCTTAAAAATCCAACTATTTTGAAAACTTAATCAAAGTGTTCATACTCTAAGAGATTCAGGAAACCAAGTAATTGTGTGATTACTAATTTTAAAAAGCATACAAGGGCCGGGTGCAGTGGCTCACACCTGTAATCCCAGCACTATGGGAGGCCGAGGCAGGCAGATCGCCTGATATCAGAAGCTTGAGATCAGCCTGAGCCAACATGGTGAAACCACATCTCTACTAAAGATACAAAAAAATTAGTCGGGTGTGGTGGCGCATGCTTGTAATCCCAGTTAGAGAGGCTGAGGCAGGAGAATCCCTTGAACTTGGGAGGCAGAGGTTGCAGTGAGCAGAGGTTGCAGTGAGCAGAGGTTGCAGCAAGCTGAGATCGCGCCACTGCACTCCAGCCTGGGCAACAGATTGAGTCTCTGTCTTAAAAACAAAAACAAAAATAGTCTTTCTCTCTCTTTTTTTTTTTTTAATAGAGATGGGGTTTCGCCATATTCCCAGGCTGGTCTCGAACTCATGAGCTCAGGTGATCCACTGGCCTCGGCTTCCCAAAGTGCTGAGATTACAGGTGTGAGCCGCTGTACCCAGCCTTAAAAAAATACATACAATAACCTCTATACCTGGGGAACTATCAGGAAGGATAAATACTGCTAAAGATTAGAAACAAAAAGTCATTCCTAAATAATACATATACGTTAAATAACATCTTATTAGGTATACATGTATTTTTAAGGTTTAAAATACTTAGCTTATGCCTGTAATCCCAGCTACCTGGGAGGCCAAGGCAGGAAGACTACTCGAGCCCAGGGGCAGCACAGCAAGACCCCGTCTCAAATAAATAAACTTTTGAGAGGGGGTAAATATTAAAACAAAATCTTATCTGGAGAAATTCAGATATTAAACTTAAATATATCACTGTACTATGCGGTATTCTGAAAAAGATAGTATATTAGAAACTTTCTAGACCATGGACAATTTCAGATGCTGAATTTCATAGGTCCTCAGAGATTAATCAAGTAATTAGCATACAAAATTAATGGTATCACTGAATCATATTAAAGATTATTTAGAAAGATTCAGGAAAGTTCCTGTCTACCTGAAATCGAATTCACATGCATTTCCATAGGTCCATGTGGGCATATTTTATATGATGAGGCCAGAACAAGGTATTGGAAAGACAACTCAAGGCAGACATAGGTTCTGCCTTTGTGAAACATCCTGAGCCACACCAAATCTCCTGTCCCAAGGGTCGGCCACAGCACTGACAAACCCAGGGTCCCTGTCAGCATTCTCTCCCCTCCTCTCTGAGCACCGACATATTGGGCATACTCCCTCCTGGGGCTCAGCGATGCTGGAATTTCTCCCTCCCTGTCATCTTTGCTGGCTCCCATTTCATAACTGGGCCTATTTCCTAGGGCTCCAGCATCTGCCCTCCTCTCTCCACTGCTTCTTTGTGCACCCGAGACTGCAGCTACTGCCCCTGTGAGGCTGATGGTCAAGTCTAGAGCATCGATCTTGACTGCTCAAGATGCCCAGGCCTCCTGGTTCTCTTCCTGCAACCTGTCCTCATTTGCAACCCCCTCCCCGGGCTTCCCTGGCCCAGCTATTCTCTCCTTCACAGCCCCCTCGACAATCTTTCTGCTCTCAGTCCCTCCCTGCCTGCCTTACCATCTGCAAGCAAGCCAACCCTCTCAGGTGAAATCCAAATCAACAGTCACAACACACTTCCAACGTCCACCAACTACTCAAGAATAATTAAACAAGTAGCTAATAAATAAAAAATTACCCAGTAATGAAGAATTCTAGGTCTTCACAGTATCTCCAAGCACATCTCAACGCCTCCGACAGCACACCTCAGCTGCCAGCAGGCAGACTCCTGGCTATCTTGCTAGTATATCACACTTACTCCTGCCCCTAAGTATTCTCTCCTGAAGTCTCCCTTTCCCTGGCTTTCTACATATAACCCTGTCACTAGGTCGACTTCCCCCACCACCACATATACTAATCTAGACATCAGGAAAGTGGGTGTGTTGATTTCAGATTAAAATAGGTCCTTTTCAGTCAATCTTCACACTTTAGACAGACTACTGAATTCCTGGCCAAGCCGGATCTCCTCTGTTAAGACAGAGCTGTTGGAATAACCACTTCCACCTGACCTCTGTTAAAACCGGAGATGAACACAAGGGCTGTCTGACATCAAGTCTCTCTCTTGTGGGCACAAGGTACCCTACACAGAAACTCACCTCCCAGCACAGCCAGGAGACATGCTGCCTCGCCTCTGGCATTTAAACACAGTGACCACAGAATGTCTCTCCTGGGCCAGGATGTGTATTAACTCAAATCACATCAACCATTTTCTGTCAGAAATACAGTACCACATCCTAAAAAATTCAAGAGTCTCATAAAAACATGTCACTGTGATCAGGCTAATAGTTGAAAAAGCCTTCAAAATGACCTATTGTCAAAATTCCCTATTTCTGGCCAGAAGTGACAAGGAACAAAGAGTCCCTATCACCAACCCCACTGGGATTTACTTCATAGACTAATGTCTTACTTGGGAATGATTACTTGAGGTCTCGATTTTCTCCTGCGTCTTGTCTTTGGCTATCTTGGCAGCTTCTTTCACCTCCTGGAATTTCTCTGCAAACTGAACATGAAGAATAGTTATTAAGGCTTTTATTAACCTCACTCATGGCTGGTATTCAGAACCCACCTTTATTTATTTTGCATCCATTTTAGGCCCATACATTCTGTATAAATCCAGAAGAATTTTATTTGCTATTAAATGAATATAAGGATGTATATTCCAGTAAACAGCACTGGGCAAGGTCAGTTCTGAACCCATATCTAAGCTACTGAAGCTAGTTTGATGATGATGTATTAAAAACAAACTAATACAAAAATGGCAAATGAAATTTGGCTATACCACAAAAGAAATCCACGGAAAACTTCATAATCCATACCGAAAAGATCCAAAACCTCTTAGTGTCATTTTTTTCTAGATGAATACTAAGTATTTAGGAGTGAAATGTCTTGATGCTTATAGTTTAAAGTACTTCAAAAACAATAAAAGAGATGAAGAAATGTGGTAAAATGTTAACAACTGTTAAATCTAGGTAATGTGTATATGGGTGTTCATTATACTATGCCCTCCACTTTTTATTAATATCTTAATAGTTCCATAATAAAACAGTTCTTCAAGTCCTGGGACAATCATATCACCCATTAGCTTATTGCCACTAACAAGGTGGCCAATTTTAATTAGCAAATTCATTGTTTGAACAGAGAATAGCCTGTGATAATGGTGGTATTACAAAGTAAGAGCTAAATATGGTTGCAGACAAAACAAAAACTAGCAAGTTGCAAGGCTATCACCAATTCTGCAGGTTTTATTGAGAACTCATTTATTTCTGAGCACAGGCTATCCTCTGAGTATCTTCACAATGCCGACAACAGTGGTCTACTTTAGGAAACCTTGCCAGATAACAGATGTAGGTGAACCCAGCACCCTAGGGTAAGCAGTAAAGGTCAGTCTTTCTGTTCTGGCCTGTGTTGCAGGCCCTGTGAGTAAAGCCACAGCTGGGGAGGCTTCATATTTAACTATTGCAATGCTGGCAGAGGAAAATCACATTACCTGTTGCTTAAAACACGAGGTCCAGCAGGGATGCACAAAGCCTCCCTCACCTTTTCTTTTTGGGGACCTCTTAAGGAAAAACATCATTATCATGAACTCCTTTGTGGCAGGGTCCACATCTTTCCTCTCTGCACCCTCCTCCCACACCTGGCAGAAAGCAGGGACAGTACAAATAAGTTTGTTCAGTGAATGAACGAGTTTTAGGCTTGCACAGCCCTGTCCACTTTAGGAAAAAAAAATCATGTAAAAGACTTGGTTCTGGTCTTCAAAGGAGCTCCAAGTGTATCTAAGAAAAAGATTTTGTTTACATTCAAACATGTGAGAATCAAAAAGAAAATTTCAGACAGTAAGCTTAAAATATAATGAGATAGGATAAGCCCTATGATATGGTTTGGCTGTGTCCCCGAGCTTTGGCAGGATCCCCATGCTGTGTGCAGTCTACAGACTTGGTGACCTGCATCCCAGCAGCTCCAGCTGTGACTAGGAGGGGCCAAGGGACAGCTCGGGCCATGGCTTCAAAGGGTGCAAGCCCAAAGCCTTGGCAGCTTCCACATGGCGTTGGGCCTGCAGGTACACAGAAGTCAAGAATTGAGGTTTGGGAACCTCTGCCTAGATTTCAGAGGATGTATGGAAACGTCTGTATGTCCAGGCAGAAGTTTGCTGCAGGGGTGGGGCTCTCATGGAGAACTCTGCTAGGGCAGTGCAGAAGGGAAATGTGGGGTCAAAGTCCCCCACAGAGTCCCTACTGGGGCACTGTCTAGTGGAGCTGTGAGAAGAGGGCCACCATCCTCCAGACCCCAGAATAGTAGATCAACTGACAGTTTGCACCGTGTGCCTGGGTAAAGCCACAGACATTCAATGCCGGCCCGTGAAAGCAGCCAGGAGGGAGCCTGTACCCTGCAAAGCCACAGGAGCAGAGCTGCCCAAGACCATGGGAGCCCACCTCTTGCATCAGTGTGACCTGGATGTGAGACATGGATTAAAAGGAGATCATTTTGCAACTTTAAGATTTGACTGCCCTGCTGGATTTTGGACTTGCATGGGGCCTGTAGCCCCTTTGTTTTGGTCAATTTCTCCCATTTGGAATAGGTGTATTTACCCAATGCCTCTACCCCCATTGTACCTAGGAAGTAACTTGTTTTTTATTTTACTGGCTCATAGGCAGAAGGGACTTGCCTTGTCTCAGATGAGACCGGACTGTGGACTTTTGAGTTAATGCTGAAATGAGTTAAGACCTTGGGAGACTGTTGGGAAGGCATGACTGGTTTTGAAATGTGATGACATGAGATTTGGGAGGGGATGGAAAGATATGGTTTGACTCTGTGTCCCCAACCAAATCTCATCTTGAATTGTAACTCCCACAATTCCCACATGTCATGGGAAGAACCTGGTGGGAGTAACTGAATCATCGGGGCGGGTCTCTCCTGTGCTGTTCTTATGATAGTGAATAAGTCTCAGGAGATCTGATGGTTTTAAAAATGAGAGTTTCCTCCCATAAGCTCTTTTCTCTCATCTCCTGCCATGTGAGACATGCTCTCCACCTTCCGCCATGATTGTGAGGCCTTCCCAGCCACGTGGAACTGTAAGTCCAATAAGCCTGTTTCTTTTGTAAATTGCCCAGTCTTGAGTATATCTTTATCAGCAGCGTGAAAATGGACTAATATACCCTATCAGATACATTTTAAATAAATAATCATTTTTAAAGGTGTGGTATTAGTAGATGCATGATGGAACAGAACAAACAGGTGAGAAATGGGCCTCAACTTTTATATAAAAAATTAGCTTATGACTAAGGGGGAAACAGAAATTAATGAGGAAGATTATTCAACATATAATTGAGATAACTTTAGTAAATTGAGAGAAATGAATTTAAATCCCACAAACCTGTAGCATGATAAATTATTGATGAGTTAAAGGGGCAAGAAAAAGAAAATCAAACTTTAAAAAATCAGGATGCTTCTGAAGAAAAAAAAATTCTGGATGCAAACAGAACTGAGCATGTATCAAGCTTCTGCTTGAGAGGTGGGTGGATAATTTTCTAAACTTGGAAGAAATTTCTTAAAACCCACAAAAGTGACAGACTTCACTACATAATAATTTAAAGCTTTTGAATATAAAAGGAAAAAAAAAAAAAACTAAACCAGAAGGGAAACAACAGCCTTGGGAAAATATCTATAGCTAAGCTAGTACAACAGAAAAAGGGCTATTTTCTTTAGTATGGCAAGAGTTTGTACAAACTGAAAAGTATGACAAGCCCAGTAAATAAATGGCAAAATTCAGGAATAAAAAATGCAGTAACAGCTTATAGAAAACACCATTCAGCCTTGTTGGAAATGTAAATCAAAATAACGAGGTACCATTGTTTGCCTGTGAAATGAGCAAACACTAAAGACAATTAGATTCCCTGTGCTGGCAAGATATTTCTGGTAGTGTTGTGTATTGGTGCAGCCCCACTGAGAAACTATTTGGAAATATGTCTTGTTAGTGAAAAAAACATTCATACCTACTGACCCAGTGATACTGCTTCTGGGAAACCATTCTGCCAAAATAATTGAGAATATGGGGGGAAAAAAGGCCCTCAATACCAAGATGTTAATTCCAGCATTGTCTACAAATATGGAACACTGGAAACAACCCAGTGGGCCCTAGGAGAATGATAGAGAGAAACTTCCTCTCAAAGCCTCCAACTAGCAGAAGAAAACTGCCAGTCATGAGAGCCGCCTAGTAATTGTCCTTTGGTGAAAAATCGCCTCCCTCCAAGTCTTGCATTTTCTAATATTTCCCCCTTATTCTTAAAAAAATATATATATATGCTTGTAAATTTGGAAAATACAATTTAGAAAAAAATATTTTTTTCATATGATTGTTGGCTGCATGTATGTCTTCTTTTGAAAAGTGTCTGTTCATGTCCTTTGCCCACTTTTTAATGGTTTTTTTATTGTTGTTGTTGTAAATTTAAGTTCCTTATAGATGCTGGATATTAGACCTTTGCCAGATGCACAGTTTGCAAAAATGTTCTCCCATTCTGTAGGTTGTCTGTTTACTCTTTTGATAGTCTCTTTTGCTGTACAGAAGCTCTTTAGGTTAATTAGATCCCATTTGTCACTTATAAGTAGGAGCTAAATGATGAGAACACATGGACATATAGAGAAGAACAACACACACAGAAGCCTACTGGAGGGTGGAGGGTGGAGGGTAGGAGGAGGGAGATGATCTGGAAAAATATATATTTTTTAACTTTTAAGTTACATAAGTTATATATATCACTTATTTATTTTATATATATATATATATATTTTTTTTTTTTTTTTTCCCCTTTTGAGACTGAATCTTACTGTATCTCCCAGGCTGGAGTGCAGTGGTACGATCTTGGCTCACTGCAACGTCCACCTCCCAGGCTCAGGTGATTCTCCTGCCTCAGCCTCCTACTGAGTAGCTGGGATTACAGGCATGCGCCACCACGCCCGGCTAATTTTGTATTTTTAGTAGAGACGGGGCTTCACCATGTTGGCCAGGCTAGTCTCAAACTCCTGACCTCAGGTGATTCGCCTGTCTTGGCCTCCCAAAGTGCTAGGATTAGAGGCATGAGCCACTGCGCTCAGCTATATATATATATATATATTTAGACCTACAGTCCCATTGAGGTAGGAGGCAGGACTCAACTCTGGACTAGACGGAAGACTGGTTAATGGGCTCACCAGAGCCATGACAGTTTACTCATTCCCTGGCAATGACCTAGAAGTTACCACACTTTTTTTGGAAATGTTTGAATAACCTGCCCCTTAATTTGCATGTAATTAAAAGTAGGTATAAATGCGACCACAGAACTGCCGCATAGCTGCTCCTCTCGACACACTGCCTACAGGGTATCCCTGCTTTGCAGGAGCAGCCACAGGGCTGTAACACTGCCACCTCAATAAAGCTGTTTTCTTCTACCACCAACTCACCCCATAATTCCCTCCCAGGCAAAGCCAAGAACCTTCCCAGGTGGAGCCCCAATTTATGAGCTCCCCTGCCCTGCAACACCATCATCCAAGATAAGAACAAACCACATAATCTTCTGATATTTTTCTGTCTGTATATTTGCATTCATTACCTACATTTCTTTTAAAATAGATTATATATCTCATTTTATGGCCTCTTTTGAAATAAACAATATGATATTAATACTTCCATGCAATTATATGATTTTCTACTAAACATCTTTTTTTTTTTTTTTTTTTTTTTTTTGAGACAGAGTCTCACTCTGTTACCCAGGCTGGAGTGCAGTGGCGTGATCTTGCTCACTGCAACCTCTGCCTCCCGCGTTCAAGTGATTATCCTGTTGCAGCCTCCCAAGTAGCTGGGATTACAGACGCCTGCCACCACACCTAGCTAATTTTTGTATTTTTAGAGGAGACAGGGTTTCACAATGTTGGCCAGGCTGGTCTCGAACTCTTGACCTCAGGTGATCCACCCGCCTGGGTCTCCCAAAATGCTCCGATTACAGGCATGAGCCATCACGCCCAGCCTCTATTACACATCTTGATCGCTACATATTACCCTGAAGGATACACTGCAGTTTAACCAATTTCCTAGTACTGGATGTTAGGGCTTTTAAATTTTTTTTATGTTATAAATGATGCTGCAATCTTTGTACTGATATCCTTATACTCAGTTACAATTGTTTCCTTAGAATAGATTCTTGTCAATGAAATCCATGGATCAAAGGATATTCAAATTGCAAAGGTTTCCGAAATGTATTGCAAAATTCTCACATCTTCATTAAGGTCATTTTTTGGTACTTATTAAAATTGTGGTAATAATTTTAAACAAAATCATTATCATGATAGAAAATGAAACCATTACTGTTTGATTTCATTTGTGGCTTCTTTTGGCCTTAGCCATTGAAGACCTGAAGCAAACACTACTGTTTGTTTATTCAAAATCTGTTTCTTTTCCCGTAGCTTAACAGAGTCTCAAGTTTTTCTGGAGCAGGAAATTTCCTAGGTGCTAGAGAATGAAAGCTAGTCTAAGCCAATCATGGAAATCCGTTTCCCTGGTTTTTGGTGGGGTAGGGGAATGGGCTAGGGACCCAGCATTGATAATGGGGCCCCAGAAGTCTGCCAGGGGGGTTGCTGTGGTACCAGCCTCTTCCTCCTCCCTCTCGCCAAGAATGCAGGTGTGATGGGTAGAGCTTTAGAAGCCATCTTATCACCACAAAGGAAAGGCCGATAAAAGAAAAAAGAAACAAATGAAATCCATGCAGATTGTCAGACCCAACATCATGGAGCCACTGTACTAGCAACCACCTGCCTCAGGACTTCTTCACATGAGAGGAAATTATCCCATGTATTTAAGCACGGTGATTAGGTTACCTGTTACTTGCAGCCAAAAGCTTTCTACCTAAAACATGTCAAAATAATTATTAATATCCTCCATTTTAAACATTAGCTGTTAAATCAGGACCCAGAAAGGGAGGAGATAAAACAATGTTCTTACGATACTGAGTGAATAAAGTGACTACATGGGGACAAATTTGAATTACAGATGAAATCACTGAAGTGGGTCAAAAGCAAATGCCATGCACGTATCGGGGTTTGGCCAGATCAACCATGGTGCACTGGCAACGCCATCCTGGGTCGCTCCCCATTAAGGGCAGAATATGTTTCCTTCTGCCTGTAATGAATAAGATGGAACCAAACTTAGAACAGTGACAACTCGAGGTCAAATGCCAGAAAGAAACTAAACTTTAACCACTGGCTCATTCTTATATTTGTTCCTCCTTCTGTCTCCTTTCATAAGCTCTTCCTTTTATCAGCACATGCAAGTGCCTTTTCAATTTCCTTCAGTAGGCTGGGGTTTTATGTCCTCTCCAGTGGGTGGACAGACGAGTCCCAGTTTACTTCTGAGAAAACACAGCTTCTACTATTTTTGGACAGCCTATCTAAAGAGCAGGAAATTGCCCTGTAATAATACTTTTTGGACTGTGGTTGGGAAATAGTCCTTATAATGGAGCAGTTAAGACCAAGGCATCTATTTTCTTTCTGGGGGGTAGAGAGGGAAGTATGTATAAAGTGTTCTTAGATGAAAATGTCCACACTGGTGTTCCTTTCTCTAGCCTAGTTATAGTGCTTGATTACCATTTCCCTACAGGGCTGTGGGTGGTTGCTCTGGGAAGTCAGGAATACTCAGCCTGGCTGTCCCCTCAGCACACGCCTTGGGAGCCCTGGAGGCCAAGTTCCTCTGTGCTAGCTAACTGTCACTTGTTGAGATGGCCAGACTCACTTCATGATAATTTATCAGCGTGTGGTTAATCATTTCCTTCAGAGAGCAGGGGAAGAAGTTGATTTGAAACATTTGGACAAAGGGGTTATCTGAGGGCTTCTCTGACAAGTCTTTGTGACGATGGAGGTTGTGGGCACCGAGCAGAACTCCAGCACTGCACCAGAGGCTGAGTGGCTTGGCAGGACGGTGCACTCCTCCTTAATGATAGGACATTTTCTTCTGTCTGGGAAAAATTAGATGTGGCCATCCCTGGAAGCCAGCACAGCTCAAGGTCTCTTCAGTTCTCAGAGAGGCACAGAGCATTTAACTTGGACAATGTGTTCTGGTTTTCGTGGGGAGTTCTTGCTGTCGATTCTTTTCATAGAAACCTTCCCCCCTTTCTACCTAGCTGCTTGGGTTCCTTTAAAGATTGAAGAAATTGTTCCAGGCAGCTGTGAGTGATTCTCTCAAACCATCCTTGGCTTCAGGGAAGAACTTCCAGCCCTGGGAGGGAACAGGAGCACATGACCAGGACGGGCCTGCCAGGGATCACGTCTTGGACAGAAGCTCCCAAGCCTATTTGCCAGGATATGAGGCAGGTGTGGGAAGGGGCCACTCGGCTGAGGGGAAGGGAGTTCCCAACACACCCTTCCTCACCAAGGACCACTTCAGGAGGGAAAGACATACACCCCCATTACCCCCTCAGACAGAGGTTCCAGCTAATTATTCTTTCAACAAGTCACCATCTCATTTGCTTCTGCTTTAAACAAATTCTCTCTGCTCCTCACAGCACCTGTTCCTGTTCCTCTTCCCCATTTCAGAAAACGGCCTCACCACCCTCCATCCCTCATCACCCCAGAATCTCTTCTTCCTCTTCTATTCACCCCAGTTTTGCCAATATTTGTGCCTCGGTATTTTTAAAATTTCTCCAACTCTTAACCCTTCATCAGTTCTACCCTGGACTAAAACAATCTAATCTGACTTGCTGCCAGAAAAAATTCTACCTAAAATGCATCTGAGCATTTTCCTTCTGGTCTTAAAATCCTTCTCAGGCCATAGGACAAAGTCCAGAAGCTCTGGCATGACCAATAAAGCCTTCCACGACTGGACCTTAGCAGCCTTACCCACCCGAAAATCCTGGACACTCCATCAACAGTGAACTCTCCACAGCTTCCCTCACACACCTCACAGTGCCACGACTTCCCTCCAGCTATCCTGTTGTCGGGCAGACGACGGAAAAGGGAAATCTTCCCTGTGGACAAACCCCGAACATCTCATGGTGCCACATGCACAGCAGAGGTGGCCTGGATTTGACATCTCAGTGGGAATGGTTAAGGGCCTAGCTGCATGAGGAGGAACCGGGAAGAAACAAGGTGACAAAGAGGTTTGAGCAACAGCAACATCAATGGGTCCAAATGGAACCAGAGCCTGAAAATACTCATGTTCCATATGCATGCTCTTCAGAGGCCTTTACAGCAAAACAGAATATTTCAAACTAGGTGGCAGGAGGGGCTGTTCTATGGATACCCAGTCATTCACTTTCTCCAGGCAGCCTGGTACTTGCTCAAAAGACTTAAGGACACACTGGCCATGGTGCCAGGGAAAAAGGCACCAAATGGCCTTGAAAACACATACTCCTGCTCTCCACAGCCACCCTGACTCCCGGCCCTGCTGAGCATCCTACTGTCAACACAGTGACCCACGCCAAGCATCACACCTCTAGGCACCAGCCAGCTCCCTGGTGAAGGCTGATTCCACTGGGCCCCTTATTCCAGGGGAAGAGTGATTTATCATCACCAGAATAGATACTGTGGACCGCCATGCCTCTGCCAGCCCTATCAGCCAAAGATTTACCCAATACTTTCTGTCCCACATGACACTGCTTCAAACCAAGTGAGGCTGCAGAGAACTCACTTCTCTGCATATGAAGTGAAGCAACAGTGATTGCCATAGGATTCTCAGCTCCTCCCAGGTACCGTATCAGCCAGAAGTGGCAGGCCTTGCAGAACTGTGCTGCACTCGTGCCTGCTGAACATCCAGGATCACAGCACACAAGCCCAGGAAGTGAGGGATTGTGGACAGAGAGGACGTCTCCCATAACTATGTCCAATGACCTGCCCTCGAGATTTTTGCTTTTTGTCCATGTTTCCAGGCCCTGGTGATCTGGAGGTTTTAGCACCCAGGAAAGAATGCTTCTGTAAGAGGGCGGCACAAGGGTGGATGCTCAGAGTGCCATCAGGCCATTTTGGACTTCTCAGGCTTCTAAGGAAACAGAGTCTTCGTGGAAGTTCCTTGGGATGCAGAGGACAGTCTGTGGGGTATCCCCACTGGGGTGCTCATTTGTGACTGGGTATGGGATGGCCGGATCTGTGCGCTGGGGACCTCCTTAGAAGTGTGTGTGCGTGCACACATATATGTGAGTATACACACACATGCACACACACTGGACAAAGGAAGGGGACCAGTTAGCAGGCCTCTGCTGTGGGAGGCTTCCTGACTCACCCTAATTTCCCCCTCTTTGAAAACTGTCTTCAATACACACAAGTAACCCAAGCAGTCAAGTCTGTTCTAGGCAACTCTGTCAATTCCCCAAGAATCTGGAAATTTGTGAAGCCCTGGAACAAGGGCCACATCTCTGCATCCTCAGTGCTGAGGATGGTGTCAGCAGAGCAGAGGCTGGGTCAGCACTTGTCCAGCCAGTCAGTCAGATGTTCACAGCAAGGGTCTAGAGAAAAACAATTCTTAGAGCCAAGCTGCCAGAAGCAAGTCTGGCTCTGGCCCTTCCCTGGGTTTGCAGCTCTCTCCTGCACTCCTTGAGAGACTCCAACATTCTTCCAATAAATTTCTTTGACTTGTAAACTAGTCAGTCTTACCTTAAACCAAAATATTCTAAATACTTACAAAGGGCTCTTCTACCACCCTAAAAGGAAATGTAGTCTCTAAAACAGGCTCTCAGCCCCTTTAAACTGCTGAGTAAGGCCTCTCAGAGGCGATCAGTTTATTCCCTCAGTTCTTGAGGTTCTCCAAGTCTGTGGTCAGCCATGATTTGCTCCTCAACACCTTTCTAACCATCCAAGGAGTTTGTCCCAGGGCCCTTGGAGAAGTGACTTGGAGCTATGAATCCTCTCCCTAGAAAAAAAGTAACATACACACACCACTGTGTGGCATTTTAAGGCACGTGGGGAGTCCAAGCTAAGCGCTTCCATTATGCATCACCTTACTCCCCAAGAGCTCCAAAAACAGAGTCACTGACGTTGATGGCTGTCAGAGACAAAGTGTGCCTTACTTCAAAAGGGGTAACATGCTTATTTCATCAAGATGCATTCTTGGCAGCAGGAACACAGTCTCTTCCTTGGAAGTTCTATAGTAACAACCCTCCGATAACTGTGCCCTCACACAGGAAGGTCACCTAATCCTCAGAGTCCTGAAAACCCAATGGATCTGGTTTTGGCACACAAGCCAGCGCTCAGTCTGTGCGCTGATACCACCGGGCACAGGGAGCAGTGGCTGACACCTGGAGGGGAGGATGGACTGGCCACACTGCAACTTCAGGCCCCAAAGCAGCATTTGTTAGATACGAATTTCCCTTCCCCAGATGACTTCCGTGAACCTGGTATTTCAAAAGGGCCTCTGCTTTGGCAGCCCCGTGATGCCAGGAGGAGTGAAACCAAAGACCAGAAAGGAATCCTGCTCACCAAGGGCACATCCCTCGGCGGGCAATCACTGATGAGAATGGCATCTGATGCGGGATTTACTGCACTGTGGATAGGACCAAGTTACCTTTGTCAGCTGCTGCTCAGAGGAAAACCCCAAACCAAACACTGTGTTGGCTCTGCTGTCGGCCCACTGCCCAAACTTCTGTGACGTTTTGGTGAAGGTCATATTCGGTGTGATTGTGCTGTTTATGATCACCTGCAGAAAAACAGCCCAAAGAGTGAAAATTTAAATGTTGAATGAGACAAAGTCATTCCTTAGAAAGTCTTCTATTGGCAAAGCCAGTGCTTCAAGCCTGTATCCTCTGCCCTGTTAAATTTGGTCCCGCGTTCTCCTGGAACAACCCATGCTGAGTCAGATGAACAACCCATGCTGAGTCAGATACACAACCATGAAAAGGGGCAACTTCAGAGACTTAACAGTCAGTCTAAAATAAGATCCTACACGTTATCCGTGGGAGAAAGTCTCTCCTAAACAAAGAATAGTTTCCCAAACTGCTATTTATTTCCCCAAAGCTGCCACGCATCAGAGTGCCCTTAATGGCTAGCCATGTCCCACATTCTTGGAAGAACTGCACTATGTCGCTTTATGAGTCACCTGGAGCCCCAGTGTCCAACTCAAACAATTGAAAATCTCTATAAGCAATTGAGGCCTGCTGCTTCCCAACAGGAAGGAGCAGGTACAGTCCAATTAGGATAATTTGTGGAGGGTTAATTGACAAAGAAACTAATTATACGGGTGTGAGTGGGGTACAGGGAATCTGTAAGGATGGTGCAGCAGCCTGGTGCTAGCTGTCACCACTCCTTGGCCTAAAAGAATGAGGGGATGGAGAGGCTACAGACCCTGGGAGGGGGAGGGGTCACGTAGAGCAAGCTACCTGTTGGGGGACACAGTCAGCACATGGCAACCTCACAGGAGTGGGGAACTGGGGGAGCAAACACCCTCGCCTCTCTCCCTTTGATTTCCACTTGCCATTGGATAAACCCAGCTAGAAGCCAGAGGGCTTGGGAGCCCACTGATGTCTGCAAGTTAGCCCCTCAGGGACCAGAGCAGTGTCAAGAAGGGTAGAGGATGAATCTGAGGTGGAAGGGTAAGAAGATAATATCTAGCACATGGTACTTTTATTCATTCAAACATTTATTGAACATTTACTATACACCAGACATTCTGCTAATCAAAGATACAAAGATGAATGAGTCAAGGTTCCTGGTCTTTCAATGGCAAGTAGTCAGGAAGAGGGCAAAGACATCAAACAATTGATAAGGGTTATAAAATATCAACAATGGCTTATTCAGTAGAAATCATTGCAAGCCCTAGGACTCTAAGAAACACTCAGGAAAAATACTCTTGGAAATAAAGGATTACTGGGTGTCTATGTAAGGGCAGGGTAGCAATAACCACTGGCTGCTTCCCCATCAGATGATCTGAACAGGGAATAAGAGCAATCTAAGTAAGTATTCTAAAGAGTGAACCTACCAGCAATTTTACTTACTAAGGTTGTTTATTCTCAATGGTCAACTCAGAACACTTTCCTTGTAACTGATAAAACAGAGAAGACAAAAAAAGTTTGAATGGCATAGGGCTTGCTTTCTGTGGTAGGAACCTGAGTCTACTCTTTTGCTAAAGGACAGACCTTCCAGATACAAACCGTTGCCTTAACTAAAGGGATCTAGACAGTAAGTGACAGCTGTCAGTAGTAACAGAAGTATCATTGCTCTTGCTAGATCTACATTTATCTATCTATCAGACTATTGAGTTTGCTGATAAGCCACTGGCTCAAGAGAAAACCTTAGCTTAGCTGGTAAAATAATTTTTAGAATACTAACAACAGCAATTACTATTTGTTGAACACTTATTGAGTGCCTCATTTATATTAGTTCACTTAAACCTTACAACGAGCCTATGCATACGACTATTCCTTCATTTCACAGAAGTAACTGAGATTTGGGAAAGTTTTTTTGTTTGTTTGTTTGATTTTTTTGAGACAGAGTCTTGCTCTGTCACCCAGGCTGGAGTACAATGGCATGATCAAGGCTCACTGCAACCTCCACCTCCTAGGTTCAAGCGATTCTCCTGCCTCAGTCTCCTGAGTAGCTGGAATTACAGGTGACCGCCACCACACCCGACAAATTTTTGTATTTTTAGTAGAGAAGGGGCTTCATCATGTTGGCCAGGCTGGTCTCAAACTCCTGACCTCAGGTGATCCGCCCGCCTTGGCCTCCCAAAGTGTGGGATTACAGTCGTGAACCACCGCACCTGGCTGAGATTTGGGAAAGGTTAAACTAACTTGCTTAAGGTAACACATTAAAGCTGGCCAGTAGGAGACTCTAGAGATAAAAACCCAGTTGTCTGACTCCAAGACTTGTCCTATAAACTTCCATATCATGTTGCTTCTCATTTTATACACGATGAAGGAAACATTACTGCCCCTCTTCTTTTCCCCATCTATGAAGTACTGATGTTCATGTGCTACGGTCCAGCTGACTTTTCCTTTCTTTATAATAACCCTTCCATAATGCCAATGTCCATCTGAGTCAGGACATTTTACCAAATGTTTTCCATCTGGAAAACTGAATGCAACATGAGAAGTCAAGAGATCTGTCTACTGTCACTGGACACTATCAAGAGATGGGGGCAGGGAAGCAGGGCGTGGAAAATGGAGATCTAAACTACTGGCAAGTGTAGGGGAAAGCTATGGGACCTTGGAGGGTGGGGGGATTCTGGCTCAGCCCCAAGCAGGGTGGATATGGTGGAACCAAGACAGACCTAAGGAAGGTGTGTGGCTGGGAGCTGGATCAGGATGGATCACGTGACCCCAGAAAGCCAACCCTGGTCATCTCTCAATTACCAGAATCCTGGGAGGACAAAGCAATGACTACATCCATTCAGAAACTGGATTCACTTTAAATCTTGCTGCTACTTCACTGCAGGCCTATGCCCCTAGGTCAGTCACCACACCCCAAGTCTCCTTGAAAGGCAGTGGAAAGAGGCTGGCCAGAGTATAGGATATGGCTCTTAAGCTCACCCCATACAGGCTATCCCAGAGGCAGTCAAGCTAGAATAACAATGGTGATACCCCCTGCTATTTCCTTAAAACTTAGTTTCTAGGGCACTTTTTCACAGTCTTTAACCCCCATTTTTTTCAGATGGCGAAACTGAGGCTTAACAAGGTCAAGGGACCTGTTCAAGGTCATAAAACTAATAAGTGGCTAAAAAGAATATAATGTATGTCTTACTTACAAAGCAACAACGGACTGATTTCTAGAGCTAAGTCTATTTACGATGGCTGGAGGTTCATTCAGCTTCTTAAATCTGTAGACTCATCAGTTTTTAGAAAATTCTCATTCTCTCCATGAATATTGCTTCCGCTCTATTCTCTCTCCTTGCTTCTACTTCTGGGACTCCAATTACAGACATGCTAGGTCTTTCATTTTTCTTTGAGATAGGGTCTTGCTCTGTTGCCCAGGCTAGAGTGAAGTGGCACAAACATGGCTCACTGCAGCCTCGACCTCCTGGGCTAAAGTGATCCTCCCGTCTCAGCCTCCCAAGTAGCTGGGATTACAGGTGTGCACCACCATGCCCAGCTAATTTTTGTATTTCTTGTACAGATGGGGTTTCGCCATGTTGCCCTGGCTGATCTCAAACTCCTGGGCTCAACCAATCCATCTGCCTCAGCCTTCCGAATGCTGGGATTATAGACAGGAGCCACCATGCTGGCCATGCACAATATTTTTTACACTCATCAATTATTTTTCCCTGATTCTTGGTACTCTCTGATTCTATTTGGGTATTTTCTATTAATCTGCTTTCCAGGTCACTAATCCTGGCCACTGATGTCTCCAATCTGCTGTTAAATCTATCCATTGTTATCTTAATTTCAGACATTGTTATTTTTTAGTTCTAGAATGTCCATTTGGCTCTTTCAAAAAAAATTCTAAGACTCTGGGAGTATTCTCCTTCCTTTCATCTATTTTGTCCATTTTCCCTCTGTTTCCTTGAATATATTAATCGTAGTTTGCAGGCTCATGCCTGTAATCCCAGCACTTTGGGAGGCAAAGGCAGATGGATTGCTCGAGCCCAAGAGTTCGAGACCAGCCTGGACAACATGGCAAAACCCCATCTCGACTAAAAATACAAAAATTAGCAGGGCATGGTGCTGTGCACCTATAGTCCCAGCTACTCAGGGGGCTGAGGCAGGAGGATTACCTGGGGCTCCGGAGGTCAAGGCTGCAGTGAGCCGTGATCGTGCCACTGTACTCTAGCCTGGGTGACAAAAGTGAGACCCTACCTCTAAGAAAAAAGAAAGAAAGAAAATAAAGAAATCATAGTTTGCAATAGCATTGTCTTAAAAAATAAAAACAATCTGCATACCTTAATTTTAAAATATTTTATTGCTAAAAAATGCTAAGGACCATCTGAACCTTCAGCAAATTGTAATCTTTTTGCTGATGGAGGGACTTGTGTCGATCCTGATGGTTGCTGACTGATCAGGGTGGTGGTTGCTGAAGGGTGGAGTCATTGTGTCAATTTCTTAAAATAAGACAACAATATTTGCTGCATTGGTTGATTTTTCCTTTCACAAAAGATTTCTCTGTAGCATGCAATGCTACTTGACAGCATTTTACCTACAGTAGAACTTGCAAAAACAATGTCCACTACCAACAGAATGGATAAATACACTGCAGTATTTCCATACAATGAAATACTAATCCAGCAGGAAAATTAACCAAGGCTAACCAAATTGATCAGCATGGATGAATCACAAAAATTTAACATTAAAAAAAAAGAAGGAAGTTACAAAAGAACACATACATTATGAGTCTCTAGTATGATTCTATTCATATAAAGGTCAAAAACAGGTAAAACTGAATAACAGATTATTTAGGGCAGGGGTCAGCAAACTATAACCCTCAGGCCAAATCTAGCCTATGGCCTGTTTTTGTAATTAAAGTTTTATTGGAAGACAGCCATGCCCATTCATTTACATATTGGTCTATGGCTGCTTTCTGGCTACAAAAGAGTCAAATATCTGCAGCAGAGACTGTACAACCTGAATAAAAAACTTTTTTAAAAATTACTCTCTGACCCTTAGAGAAAAAGTTTGCCAACTTCTGGTTTAGCGATATATACACATGTGGCAAAACTATGCAGAAAAGCAAGGGAATGCTTAATACACTCTTAATAGAGTGGTGATCTCTTGAGGAGTGGATGGGAGAGCATCTAATTAGGGAAAGGCCCATTGAAGGACTTCTGAGGTATTAATGAAAGACGTACTTCCACTGGGTGGTGGGTACATATGGGTTTGCTTTATTATTAGACATTGAATGGTACCTATTAATACAAATGGTTAAAAATAAAGTCTACAAACCCATAACAAAGTTGTTAGGGAGGCTAATCTTCAGAGTGGGCAGAGGCTTATGAAAACAGCAGGTAGTATCCTTCCCGCCCATGGAGACACTGGAAGATTGTGTTAGGGACCGAGGAGGTGGCTGGACCTGTGGGTTCTGGCGTCAGAGGAGATACGAGACTTGAGTAAACTGGGGGATGAGAAGTAAAGGGGTCACCGGGTGGAGAGTGTCATCTGGTGGAAGAAAAGAAGAGAGGCCCAGGGCAGAAGGCTGACTTAAGGAAGCAACCAAGGAAGAGCAGGTGAAGGAGTTGGCAGTACACGTGCCACAGGTGGCCAGCAACCAAGGAAGAATTCAGCCCTGGGAGCCAAGGGTGAGTGTGTGAAGGATGAGGGCACAGCTGAGTGCCCTCAATGCGGCAGAATGACTTAGCAGAATGAGAACTGTTTACCCCTGGAGAGAGGGGAGAACGGACCTGGGGGAAGGAACCAAAGCCCAGAAGGGAGAAGGGGCTGTGCTAAAGCACCCCAGGCATAAGCTTCATACAGGCTCCCATCTCTGTGTACACCTTCTTCTTGCGTGAGTCATCTCTAAAACTTTCACAGAGAAAGAAGCCACCCTAGTAAAAGACCCAGTCCTGCAGATCAGTGGGACCAAGTTGTCACAAAATGCACAAAACACAGGTAATCAAGAGCTGCTTGGAAGCAGCAAAATGCTAAGTTTCTCCTGTCTCCAGTCTCACCTGCTCTGGATTTCAGAGGAAGCTGCTCATGAAACAGGCAGGGGGAGACAGGCCCATCGGATTCCTTTCATGAGAAGTCTTTCCCAAATCCAGGGAGATGAAGTTGGATGAACCTGGGAGTTTTCCATAAGAGGCTGTGACTGAGTTACAGCAATAAAAAGACATGTTGCCTGCTCCAAGAGTAGTTATTAACAGGTGCTTTTTAAAAATTTAAAACAACAACAACAAATCACAGACAGCGAAGAAAAGAAATATTCACTGAAAACCTACTGTGTGCTCGGAACCTTCCTTATGCTTGCTCCCTTAACAGAAGGTGCTCTGTATTTATTCAAAGGAGTGAATTCTAATGAGGAGTGGACGAGCAGAGCCTGAATGTGTTCCTGAAAGTAATTTTACATTTCCAAAAGAAAATACCAAATAAGTCAGAGTTTTGGATACTGATATCCTCTGAACCATCACAATCAGGCAGCACTCGCAACACAACAGGTGTGGCTAAATATTTGTAGAATGGATGACCTCTAAGGTCTCTTCCAATACAGGTTTCTGTGATCCTATAAAATAACTGAGAACCAAGGGCAGCAGAGTCATCCAGAGCTCCCAGGAGAAGCACCTGCTTCAGGCAAGTCTTGTCCACAGGCAGGCAGTTTCTCATAAGGATGGCAGTGATTAACTCAGTCTGGAAAGAGTGCCAACAGCACAATGAAATCAAGTGCTGTGATGGCTCAATTAACCAATGCTCTGAAAATGGAGTTTCTTTATAATGGAGTTGGCCGTTCTGCCTAAAAACTCACCATAAATCACATGCCTATTGGCATGTGCCACATGGTTTATAGCAGTGCTCTGAGAAGCTGGGAGTGGGGAGATGCCCTCATGTGGCTCCCATCTGTCCAGTGTCTATAAACAGGGACAACCCAAGGTTTGGGTCCTTGGGTCCCCCCTTGGCAGTGACCCTGCTGTCCTTCTGTGGACACAGTACACCTGCCACAGGCCTGGAGAGAAGGTGGCCAGGCCTGACCTCATCATCCACTCATTCCCCCACCCCCTTCTATGGCGTTGCCCACCCTGGCTTGGTGCTAGGACTCCAAAGATGAGCCAGGCATGGCTGCCATCCTCAAAGAGCTCACAGTCTCCTGGCAGCCCCAACACTGACATGGATCCACATAATCCCCTAGAGCTTGGGCAATGCTGAGGCAACACACTGAAGTTTTCCCACCCACTCATGTCTTTAGACAACAGCTGGAACTGACACATGAAACATTGTCCCGGGGAAGAAGGAAATGTCTTCGTGTTTTAAGAATAAAGAACAGGTCTGAGTACAGATCTTCCTGAGATGAGTAGCACCAACTGCTTCCAGAAGGAGGAGAGGCTGTCCATGCATCCCTCCCCAGGTAGAGCGTGACACATGCTTGGACAGGGCAGAGGAGCTGGCTGTGCCTGGCATGGAATGACAGCTGCTGAAGCTGTTGGCCACAGCTTTCCTTCTCAAAGAGCCTGTGCTCTTTGGCTGCCCACAGTTTACACAGAAGCTGAATCTGATGTGGCGTTTGCTCAAAATGAGCTGAGTCCATTCTACACCAGCCACTGCTTTTTTTTTTTTTTTTTTTTTTTTTATTATACTCTAAGTTTTAGGGTACATGTGCACATTGTGCAGGTTAGTTACATATGTATACATGTGCCATGCTGGTGCGCTGCACCCACTAATGTGTCATCTAGCATTAGGTATATCTCCCAATGCTATCCCTCCCCCATCCCCCGACCCCACCACAGTCCCCAGAGTGTGATATTCCCCTTCCTGTGTCCATGTGATCTCATTGTTCAATTCCCACCTATGAGTGAGAATATGCGGTGTTTGGTTTTTTGTTCTTGCGATAGTTTACTGAGAATGATGGTTTCCAATTTCATCCATGTCCCTACAAAGGATATGAACTCATCATTTTTTATGGCTGCATAGTATTCCATGGTGTATATGTGCCACATTTTCTTAATCCAGTCTATCATTGTTGGACATTTGGGTTGGTTCCAAGTCTTTGCTATTGTGAATAGTGCCGCAATAAACATACGTGTGCATGTGTCTTTATAGCAGCATGATTTATACTCATTTGGGTATATACCCAGTAATGGGATGGCTGGGTCAAGTGGTATTTCTAGTTCTAGATCCCTGAGGAATCGCCACACTGACTTCCACAATGGTTGAACTAGTTTACAGTCCCACCAACAGTGTAAAAGTGTTCCTATTTCTCCACATCCTCTCCAGCACCTGTTGTTTCCTGACTTTTTAATGATTGCCATTCTAACTGGTGTGAGATGATATCTCATAGTGGTTTTGATTTGCATTTCTCTGATGGCCAGTGATGATGAGCATTTCTTCATGTGTTTTTTGGCTGCATAAATGTCTTCTTTTGAGAAGTGTCTGTTCATGTCCTTCGCCCACTTTTTGATGGGGTTGTTTGTTTTTTTCTTGTAAATTTGTTTGAGTTCATTGTAGATTCTGGATATTAGCCCTTTGTCAGATGAGTAGGTTGCAAAAATTTTCTCCCATGTTGTAGGTTGCCTGTTCACTCTGATGGTAGTTTCTTTTGCTGTGCAGAAGCTCTTTAGTTTAATTAGATCCCATTTGTCAATTTTGTCTTTTGTTGCCATTGCTTTTGGTGTTTTGGACATGAAGTCCTTGCCCACGCCTATGTCCTGAATGGTAATGCCTAGGTTTTCTTCTAGGGTTTTTATGGTTTTAGGTTTAACGTTTAAATCTTTAATCCATCTTGAATTGATTTTTGTATAAGGTGTAAGGAAGGGATCCAGTTTCAGCTTTCTACATATGGCTAGCCAGTTTTCCCAGCACCATTTATTAAATAGGGAATCCTTTCCCCATTGCTTGTTTTTCTCAGGTTTGTCAAAGATCAGATAGTTGTAGATATGCGGCGTTATTTCTGAGGGCTCTGTTCTGTTCCATTGATCTATATCTCTGTTTTGGTACCAGTACCATGCTGTTTTGGTTACTGTAGCCTTGTAGTATAGTTTGAAGTCAGGTAGTGTGATGCCTCCAGCTTTGTTCTTTTGGCTTAGGATTGACTTGGCAATGCGGGCTCTTTTTTGGTTCCATATGAACTTTAAAGTAGTTTTTTCCAATTCTGTGAAGAAAGTCATTGGTAGCTTGATGGGGATGGCATTGAATCTGTAAATTACCTTGGGCAGTATGGCCATTTTCACGATATTGATTCTTCCTACCCATGAGCATGGAATGTTCTTCCATTTGTTTGTCTCCTCTTTTATTTCCTTGAGCAGTGGTTTGTAGTTCTCCTTGAAGAGGTCCTTCACATCCCTTGTAAGTTGGATTCCTAGGTATTTTATTCTCTTTGAAGCAATTGTGAATGGGAGTTCACCCATGATCTGGCTCTCTGTCTGTTGTTGGTGTATAAGAATGCTTGTGATTTTTGTACATTGATTTTGTATCCTGAGACTTTGCTGAAGTTGCTTATCAGCTTAAGGAGATTTTGGGCTGAGACGATGGGGTTTTCTAGATAAACAATCATGTCGTCTGCAAACAGGGACAATTTGACTTCCTCTTTTCCTAATTGAATACCCTTTATTTCCTTCTCCTGCCTGATTGCCCTGGCCAGAACTTCCAACACTATGTTGAATAGGAGCGGTGAGAGAGGGCATCCCTGTCTTTTGCCAGTTTTCAAAGGGAATGCTTCCAGTTTTTGCCCATTCAGTATGATATTGGCTGTGGGTTTGTCATAGATAGCTCTTATTATTTTGAAATACGTCCCATCAATACCTAATTTATTGAGAGTTTTTAGCATGAAGGGTTGTTGAATTTTGTCAAAGGCTTTTTCTGCATCTATTGAGATAATCATGTGGTTTTTGTCTTTGGCTCTGTTTATATGCTGGATTACATTTATTGATTTGCGTATATTGAACCAGCCTTGCATCCCAGGGATGAAGCCCACTTGATCATGGTGGATAAGCTTTTTGATGTGCTGCTGGATTCGGTTTGCCAGTATTTTATTGAGGATTTTTGCATCAATGTTCATCAAGGATATTGGTCTAAAATTCTCTTTTTTGGTTGTGTCTCTGCCCGGCTTTGGTATCAGAATGATGCTGGCCTCATAAAATGAGTTAGGGAGGATTCCCTCTTTTTCTATTGATTGGAATAGTTTCAGAAGGAATGGTACCAGTTCCTCCATGTACCTCTGGTAGAATTCGGCTGTGAATCCATCTGGTCCTGGACTCTTTTTGGTTGGTAAACTATTGATTATTGCCACAATTTCAGAGCCTGTTATTGGTCTATTCAGAGATTCAACTTCTTCCTGGTTTAGTCTTGGGAGAGTGTATGTGTCGAGGAATGTATCCATTTCTTCTAGATTTTCTAGTTTATTTGCGTAGAGGTGTTTGTAGTATTCTCTGATGGTAGTTTGTATTTCTGTGGGATCGGTGGTGATATCCCCTTTATCATTTTTTATTGTGTCTATTTGATTCTTCTCTCTCTTTTTCTTTATTAGTCTTGCTAGCGGTCTATCAATTTTGTTGATCCTTTCAAAAAACCAGCTCCTGGATTCATTGATTTTTTGAAGGGTTTTTTGTGTCTCTATTTCCTTCAGTTCTGCTCTGATTTTAGTTATTTCTTGCCTTCTGCTAGCTTTTGAATGTGTTTGCTCTTGCTTTTCTAGTTCTTTTAATTGTGATGTTAGGGTGTCAATTTTGGATCTTTCCTGCTTTCTCTTGTAGGCATTTAGTGCTATAAATTTCCCTCTACACACTGCTTTGAATGCGTCCCAGAGATTCTGGTATGTGGTGTCTTTGTTCTCGTTGGTTTCAAAGAACATCTTTATTTCTGCCTTCATTTCGTTATGTACCCAGTAGTCATTCAGGAGCAGGTTGTTCAGTTTCCATGTAGTTGAGCGGCTTTGAGTGAGATTCTTAATCCTGAGTTCTAGTTTGACTGCACTGTGGTCTGAGAGATAGTTTGTTATAATTTCTGTTCTTTTACATTTGCTGAGGAGAGCTTTACTTCCAACTATGTGGTCAATTTTGGAATAGGTGTGGTGTGGTGCTGAAAAAAATGTATATTCTGTTGATTTGGGGTGGAGAGTTCTGTAGATGTCTATTAGGTCTGCTTGGTGCAGAGCTGAGTTCAATTCCTGGGTATCCTTGTTGACTTTCTGTCTGGTTGATCTGTCTAATGTTGACAGTGGGGTGTTAAAGTCTCCCATTATTAATGTGTGGGAGTCTAAGTCTCTTTGTAGGTCACTGAGGACTTGCTTTATGAATCTGGGTGCTCCTGTATTGGGTGCATAAATATTTAGGATAGTTAGCTCCTCTTGTTGAATTGATCCCTTTACCATTATGTAATGGCCTTCTTTGTCTCTTTTGATCTTTGTTGGTTTAAAGTCTGTTTTATCAGAGACTAGGATTGCAACCCCTGCCTTTTTTTGTTTTCCATTGGCTTGGTAGATCTTCCTCCATCCTTTTATTTTGAGCCTATGTGTGTCTCTGCACGTGAGATGGGTTTCCTGAATACAGCACACTGATGGGTCTTGACTCTTTATCCAACTTGCCAGTCTGTGTCTTTTAATTGCAGAATTTAGTCCATTTATATTTAAAGTTAATATTGTTATGTGTGAATTTGATCCTGTCATTATGATGTTAGCTGGTGATTTTGCTCATTAGTTGATGCAGTTTCTTCCTAGTCTCGATGGTCTTTACATTTTGGCATGATTTTGCAGCGGCTGGTACCGATTGTTCCTTTCCATGTTTAGCGCTTCCTTCAGGAGCTCTTTTAGGGCAGGCCTGGTGGTGACAAAATCTCTCAACATTTGCTTGTCTATAAAGTATTTTATTTCTCCTTCACTTATGAAGCTTAGTTTGGCTGGATATGAAATTCTGGGTTGAAAATTCTTTTCTTTAAGAATGTTGAATATTGGCCCCCACTCTCTTCTGGCTTGTAGGGTTTCTGCCGAGAGATCCGCTGTTAGTCTGATGGGCTTTCCTTTGAGGGTAACCCGACCTTTCTCTCTGGCTGCCCTTAACATTTTTTCCTTCATTTCAACTTTGGTGAATCTGACAATTATGTGTCTTGGAGTTGCTCTTCTCGAGGAGTATCTTTGTGGCGTTCTCTGTATTTCCTGAATCTGAACGTTGGCCTGCCTTGCTAGATTGGGGAAGTTCTCCTGGATAATATCCTGCAGAGTGTTTTCCAACTTGGTTCCATTCTCCACATCACTTTCAGGTACACCAATCAGACGTAGATTTGGTCTTTTCACATAGTCCCATATTTCTTGGAGGCTTTGCTCATTTCTTTTTATTCTTTTTTCTCTAAACTTCCCTTCTCGCTTCATTTCATTCATTTCATCTTCCATTGCTGATACCCTTTCTTCCAGTTGATCGCATCGGCTCCTGAGGCTTCTGCATTCTTCACGTAGTTCTCGAGCCTTGGTTTTCAGCTCCATCAGCTCCTTTAAGCACTTCTCTGTATTGGTTATTCTAGTTATACATTCTTCTAAATTTTTTTCAAAGTTTTCAACTTCTTTGCCTTTGGTTTGAATGTCCTCCCGTAGCTCAGAGTAATTTGATCGTCTGAAGCCTTCTTCTCTCAGCTCGTCAAAATCATTCTCCATCCAGCTTTGTTCTGTTGCTGGTGAGGAACTGCGTTCCTTTGGAGGAGGAGAGGCGCTCTGCGTTTTAGAGTTTCCAGTTTTTCTGTTCTGTTTTTTCCCCATCTTTGTGGTTTTATCTACTTTTGGTCTTTGATGATGGTGATGTACAGATGGGTTTTCGGTGTAGATGTCCTTTCTGGTTGTTAGTTTTCCTTCTAACAGACAGGACCCTCAGCTGCAGGTCTGTTGGAATACCCTGCCGTGTGAGGTGTCAGTGTGCCCCTGCTGGGGGGTGCCTCCCAGTTAGGCTGCTCGGGGGTCAGGGGTCAGGGACCCACTTGAGGAGGCAGTCTGCCCGTTCTCAGATCTCCAGCTGCGTCCTGGGAGAACCACTGCTCTCTTCAAAGCTGTCAGACAGGGACACTTAAGTCTGCAGAGGTTACTGCTGTCTTTTTGTTTGTCTGTGCCCTGCCCCCAGAGGTGGAGCCTACAGAGGCAGGCAGGCCTCCTTGAGCTGTGGTGGGCTCCACCCAGTTCGAGCTTCCCGGCTGCTTTGTTTACCTAAGCAAGCCTGGGCAATGGCGGGCGCCCCTCCCCCAGCCTCGTTGCCGCCTTGCAGTTTGATCTCAGACTGCTGTGCTAGCAATCAGCGAGATTCCGTGGGCGTAGGACCCTCCGAGCCAGGTGTGGGATATAGTCTCGTGGTGCGCCGTTTCTTAAGCCGGTCTGAAAAGCGCAATATTCGGGTGGGAGTGATCCGATTTTCCAGGTGCGTCCGTCACCCCTTTCTTTGACTCGGAAAGGGAACTCCCTGACCCCTTGCGCTTCCCAGGTGAGGCAATGCCTCGCCCTGCTTCAGCTCGCGCACGGTGCGCACACACACTGGCCTGCGCCCACTGTCTGGCACTCCCTAGTGAGATGAACCCGGTACCTCAGATGGAAATGCAGAAATCACCGTCTTCTGCGTCGCTCACGCTGGGAGCTGTAGACCGGAGCTGTTCCTATTCGGCCATCTTGGCTCCTCCCCACCAGCCACTTCTTACTGAAACACATCCACTCCTTCCCTGGGGAGGAGTGGAGGCGGCTTCCCCTTCCAGCCCACAACAGCCTCCTGCTTTGAGAGGAACGAATGGCCCAGAAGTACCACTCAGAAGCTCAAAGTAATATACTTGATGTGGCCCAGCCAACAGAGAGAGGCAGGACTCAGGCACTAGACCTGCCCAAAGTCACAGAGGTGCAGCCCATGAGCTAAGACACAGCCCCAAAAGCTAAACGCATCTGACCACCTGTCATCATGGTTCAGATCAACATTTGGGATCAAAGGCCTAAAACAAAGTGGGGCTGACCCAGTGTGGTAGAACACAATGAGGACATCAGGAAGTGTTCATACTCCCCCAGCCCAGGTGCATCCATTCCTAAGTGGTCTGCCTGAGGCTCCACGGCATGCATGAGGCCTGGGACGTGCAGCTGGGCAGGGAGCAGAGCTCCAGGCTTGGGTAGCCAGTGAACATGGAACCAGAATAGATGCTCAGGAATAAGAACAGAAGTGGAACCAAGCCGACTGAACAGAGATGGGGGTGAGGGTGGGCAAGGGCAACAGACAAGAGCCCATAAGGAGAAGGCACTGGCATCAGCACAGATGCCCAGCAGTCCGCTCAACACACTGCACCTGATTCCAGTCTGCAGACAGCAGGCGATCCATCTGGAGTATTCAGGCAGGATCGAGATTGGGCTCAGGGAGATGAGGACCTTAGTAATGGGTGGGGAAGGGGCAAGCCGCGGGGGACCAGGCAGCAGCAACAGTTGCTATCACCCTAGGGTTCTCTCTCCATGCCCACCCGACTTGTGGAACAGCTGAAGGCACAGGGTATGATCTAGACCTAGGCTGCTGGGTTTACAGGTTGCTGCCTGCCAGGTCGAGAGAGGGCCCAGCAGGGCTGAATGTGCATTGGGACCACTTTCCAGTGCAGTGTGGTCAGGTTCTCCAGACAGGATACGTGCTCCCATCCCCAATCCCTGAATGCCAACTGTAGTAATTAAACAACTGAGGTCCACCCTACTCCCCACTTCCTGGGGCCTTCTGTTCCCTCATGGGATGCTTCCTTTTGCAGAAGGAGGCTCTGTCATGGATCTCTGGTGCCACAGCACTAAGGGAGGAACACGAGGTGGCGGCAGGGCGCGTTGGCTCACACCTGTAATCCTAGCACTTTGGGAGGCCGAGGGGCAGATCACTTCAGGCCAGGAGTTTGAGACCAGCCTGCCCAACATGGCAAAACCTGTCTCTATCAAAAATATATAAATTATCCAGGCATAGTGGTGGGTACCTATAATCCCACCTACTTGGGTGGCTGAGGTGGGAGAATCGCTTGATCCTGGGAGGTGGAGGCTGCAGTGAGCTGAGATCGTGCCACTGCACTCCAGCCTAGGCGACAAAGTGAGACCCTGTCTCAAAAAACAACAACAACAACAAAAACCAGGTGGCTGGGCACCATAGAAAGGGTAGTCCAAGATCCTCTGGCTGGCTTTGAGTTCCAGCAGCACCCCATGGCCTAGGTTTTGGATTCCCAGCCTGTAAGTGAGTCTATAGCTTGATGACTCTCCCACACTGAGCCTGGACTAGCGCTGTGCCACAGCCAGGGGCTTAGCCTACCCTCCCACACCCATCTGATTTCTCATAACTGTCATATTTGGCTTGAACCCCACCACATTGTCACAGCCTTCAGGAACTGCAGAGCCATAACGACACAGTGGCTGACACTTTGACGAATTACTAAAAGCTCAGCTAATAGGACTAAAGCACTTGCTCTAAGAAAGTCGTTTTATCTATATTTAAGCCCGATATATCCTTGGATAACTCAACTGACAAAAGTACAAACCCATCGAAGGATGGCAGATGAACTGGCAGAATCTATAGATAAAAGAAAGCAGGTCAGCTTGATTCACCACTGCTGTCAGAACATCCTGGAAAGAGTCCAGGCAATTCCAGCGCAGAAGCACAGAGGAGAGAAACGGTAATTACAACTGTGGCATCACTATGTCTCTCAGAAGGAAAAAAATAAAGGCACCTTTCAGATGTTCCCCCATCAAACACGAGGTGCCTACCTACTATGTGCCAGGCACTAGCACACTTCCTTACTGCTCATCAGATCACCAGATCCTGGGGATGCGCTATCATCCTACTATCATCCTGCTTGCTTAGGCAGAAAGACCAGTTCCTTCATCTCTGAAGCGGAGGGAGATAACACACTACCCGCCTGATAGGTGTCAGGAAACTCTCCTCTACCAGCCAGGAGAAGCCTGCTCCAACCCAACAAACCAGGAACTGGTGTGCAAATAACTGGGCACCCGCCCCGGCCTACAAAGCCTCCCCAGAGGCGTGAACCTGGGCCAGGTCATTGCCTCTCCTTAGACCTCAGCTGTAAAATGAGGACTTCTGGGGTCCCTTCCTGAGGAAGAAGGGCTGTGGCAACTGGAAGGGAGAACAAGAGGATCCCAGGGTCAAGCCACCTTTATCTGCAGTTGCCAAAGTGCAGAGAAAGGGTAAAAAGCAGTCACTTAGAGAACATGGGCTGAAGTGCCCTGATCTCCTGAAGAGATCGGGAGGCACCAGCAGGCTCTCGTGCCTTCCCTGGGAGAGCTTCCCTGGAGGCTTCCCCACACCTTCTGTTTGTGGAGTGTGGGGAGAAGCCTTTACCCAGGGCCCATTCTATTGCCCAGCCCCTGACTCCCCACTCCCCTGCTTCCTGTTGCATAGGAAGGCTGATCTAGAGGCAAAAGTCAGACTAGACTGCAGGTAGGAGATGAGGCAGCTACTGCAGGAGTCCAGGCAAGACTGTGATAGGACAAGAGTTATGGTCTTAAAAGAGCAGGCACGAGTGGGTGACACTTCAAAGGCAGATTCACTTGACAAACTTAAAGAAGGACTCTATGTTTCGCTTTATTAGCCCAAATGATTGGGGAATAAAAATGGAGAGGTGGTTTAGAGGACAAAAAGGGGAATTCAGCTTTAGATACACTGAATTCCAGGTGGCAGCAGATAATCCATGTAAAAAATGTACAGCAGGATGAAGACAGAAAACCAGCAGGTCTATTTTTTTTTTTTTTAAAGACTTGGTGATACTTCTGCTGGTATCCCTTCTTAATTCTGTTCCCATGATAATGTGGCAAAAATATCATGGGAGACAGAATAACAAAAATATATATGTATTTCAAGAAATACTCCAAAACCACTTAATAAAATTCAACTCCTATGCCTAATAACACCAAAACCCGACTAGATACAATACCCAATGCTGGCAAGGGTGCAACAACAGACACTCTCATACAGGCTGGAAGAACGAACCCTTCTGGAAAACAATCTGGCAATATGCATCAAGAGCCATAAAGTGTTAATATCTTGCCCCATAATATTCTAGGAATCTATCCTAAGGACTATTCAAAAGAAAGCAATGGTATGTGAACAATTGAGGATATTTGGTACATGAAGATGCTCATTATTTATAATAGCAAAACATTGGAAGCCACTTAAATATCCAACCACGGGGGGAAATTAAGAGCATTATAGGCCGTCGGCAGAATTATTATACAGGCATTAAAATGTTAGTTATGAAGACAGTGGTAACAGAGAAATATTTTTCTTCCCCATTTACCGTAAGTTTAAATGCAAAAAGAACAGAATATGTTATACAGACATTATAACAATAACTTATGTGTTAAGACGGCAGGATTTTGGGTGCATCTTGGATGAAAGATAAGCAACTGGGAGTATTAAAATCAGCTGAGGGGGTGGTACCTTGGCTCCGTCCACACTGATGATCCGATAGCTGTTCCTTGTGACATCATAGAAGTAGGAAACGGTGACCGCCTGCTTGCTCGCAGGCATCCAGTTCTTCTTGGTGTTGGGGTCAATCTGGAAGACATGCGCTCGGGTGGTGAAGATGGGCTGTTCTCTGCAATAAGAGAGTGGGCGTGTGAGTTGAGAGAACATGACTTAATGTATAATTTATGATTTCTAGGCCACCTACTGCCCCAAAAGATTTTAAATAGCTTATAGGGAAACATACATATGCATGAAGACAATTAAAATAAAAGCAAAGAGAGAAGAAAAAAAGAGACACCAGTGAGTAGTTTTTGCAAACCACATTCCACTTAGCTGTTATCCCGAGACTGCAGGGCAATTGGTGTAATGAACAATTTGCTTAAAAGGCAACTCCTTGTTCAGTGTTTTCGAATCCCCGTCAAGTGTCCTATACTTTTTCTGACATCCTGTTGTCATTTTTAGGATTTTGGAACCAATTCACTTTTTAGAATTTTTGTGACAAATTTTGGGGGATTCTGCAACAATTTTAGGATTTTCCAATCTATTTGCAGCTTAATGTTATATTTCTATTAAGTACTTCTCAAATTTGCAGTAATTTATGAATGACATAATTTTATCTTTTTTTTTTTTTTTTTTTTGGATATAGAGTCTCGCTCTGTTGCCCAGGCTGGAGTGCAGTGGCATGATCTCGGCTCACTGCAATCTCCGCCTCCCGGGTTCAAGCGATTCTCCTGCCTCAGCCTCCTGAGTAGCTGGGATTACAGGCGTGTGCCACTGCGCTCAGCTAATTTTTGTATTTATAGTAGAGACGGGGTTTCACTATGTTGGCCGGGCTGGTCTCGAACTCCTGACCTTGTGATCCGCCTGCCTCGGGCTCCCAAAGTGCTAGGATTATAGGCGTAAGCCACTGCGCCTTTTTTTTTTTTTTTTTAAGAGACAGTGTCTCACTGCTGCCCAGGCTGGAGCGTAGTGATGCAATCATAGCTCACTGCAGCCTGGATCTCTGAGGCTCAAGCAATTCTGCCTCAGCCTCCCAAGTAGCTAGGACTACAGGCACGTGACACCACACTTGGCTAATGTTGCCGGGAGGTGGTGGGTAGAGACAGGGTCTCTCTGTGTTGCCCAGGCTAGTCTTAAACTCCTGATCTCAAGTGATCCTCCCACATTAGCCTCTCAAAGTGCTGGGATATAATCCCAGCATGAGCCATTATAGGGCATGAACCACTGCACCTGGTAATATGATAGAATTATTTTTTATCTCTGTATCTCTTCAGTCTACTTCTGGAACCATTCAACAACCTGACCAAACCTTCAAATTTGATGTTTCCAACTTATAAACCTTTTGAGTTTTATGTAAATTCATCAAATCCATCCCTTCTGCTATTCTTGCCTCTATATTGTTGCTTTTTCACTCCACATGCCTAAAGCATTTTATGCGATTCACCAAATTTGCATATTACCTATGTTTCTTTCTGTTGAGTGGGGAATTAGATTTTGACAATACGCATTTAGAAACAAGGCAGATGAATAAAAATTGTAATGGATTTCACTGCATTTTGTATTCTAAGCTATCTACTTCCCAAAGTAATGCAAAATGGCACAGACTTATCACAAAATACATTTATTTTTGAAGAAAGCATCTTTACACAGACTGGCTCAAAAATCCTTTAAGTGTTCAAAATAAGATACAAATAGAAAAAAAGCCATCAACGTGTAAAAATAGTCCCATTGTTGCGGATCACGAGGTCAGGAGATCGAGACCATCCTGGCTAACACGGTGAAGCCCCGTCTCTACTAAAAATACAAAAAATTAGCTGGGCATGGTGGCGGGTGCCTGTAGTCCCAGCTACTCGGGAGGCTGAGGCAGAAGAATGGCGTGAACCCGGGAGGCAGAGCTTGCAGTGAGCTGAGATCACACCACTGCACTCCAGCCTGGGCGACAGAGCAAGACTCCATCTCAAAAAAAAAAAAAAAAAATAGTCCCATTGTTTATAAAATGCTACAGATTTAATAAGTACTTATTAGAGACACAAAATTAAAAGGTAACTTAGACAATTTTTTAAATCTTTACAATGTCAAAAGAGATAAAATAAAAGAGACATAGACAAGATACAAAAAAAAAAAAATCAAAGAGAAAAGAATTTGAAGTGTTCCAGTCTCTAGATGGAATGATTTTAGGCGAAGCAGTCTTTGAATCCATCCTGAATGTAGAATACTCATTATTAAAATTTTAAGAATGCTCTTGAGAAACTTTTCCTAGAAAACCAATTTGCCATTTGAGCCTCATATAAGGGCTACTGAGTAACACCAGCAGCATCAACCATCAACCGTGGTTTTGAAGAAATGCAGCAATCTTCTTTATGCCTGTTTCTCCTCAGGCATGCTATTAATGCTGCTTCAATGCAGCTGTTTACAGAGGCCAGCATTCCAGAACAGAGGCTAGCAGCATTCCTTGCTCCCTGAAACTTCCCTTCTAGGTCCCCTGGAGCAGGACAAGTGCCTCTGGGGCTGTGGATTACTAGGGCATTTTTATTCCCTCAAACAGAGACCAAGTTCACCCACACACTCGATGCTAAACCAACACCCTTCCAGCAGCTGGGTGACAGCTGTTAGAAACAAAAGGAAGATTCTCACTGTAATTTCCCGCATCTGCTGTCAAGAGAGGCCAGACGACAGGGAGTGTGTGCATATCAGTGCAAGCCCTCATACCCCATCCATGTGATATAATCCAGTCTGCAGTCTGGATCACCCAGCTGTGCCACTCTCAGCCCAGCACCATATTTTGCTAATCATCTAAGTACAACACCATAAAGGAAAACACTTCCACACACAGTATTCTCCTACATACGTGAAAGGAAGGAGCAATTTAAAGGGCAGCAACTACAGAACATTTGTTGAAGAATCAAATTATGCCTCATTGTCAGAGCACTAAATGGGCTGGGCTGGGGGCCCACGGGTTAGAGAAGGCCTTTCTGGGAAGGGACCCAGACTTTCAGATCTTCCCTCCTATTCCCTACATCAGAAAAGAGGGATTGGGTCTCGGTTTGGGCATGCTTAGACGGGTGTTCCCTAAATCTCCATGACAGGAATTAGCTGGTACACTTACTAAAAATACATGTTCCCAGGCCCCATCCTAGCCCCCCTTGAACCTGGCTCTCCAAGGAAGGGCCCAAGGGGCTCCATTTTTAAGAACTCCAGGTGATTTTTACTTTCAAGGAAGCTGGGGAGACATTCACATTAGATATAATCAGATGATCTAAAAAAGAAAAAAAGAAGTGGCCCCTAGAGCCAGCATCTCTACTCCAGAACAACACTGGTGACTGAATGACACAGGGAGACTCCAGAAAGTTCTCCCACAGCTGTAGAGGGGGCTGGAGGTGGGGCAACAGGGGGACCAAGAACAGGGTCTCTGGATGCAAAGGATGGGGGCAAGGGGCAAGGGGAGGCAGAGCTGTTCTGGTCAGGAAGGAGGGTGGAGATGAGTGCGGCCTGTGGTGGCCCAGCAGTAGCCTTCCGCAAGCACTCTCTGTCCCTGAGGCCTACAGGAGGGAGGAAGTGAGGAAAGCAAAGTGGAGAGATGGAGGGGAAGGCACAGGGAGCCGAGAAGATGGCAGAGCTTCCTGACCAGGCACAGGCAAAGCAGCCGGCTGTCTGCTCGGCATGATCCAGGTGTCAAAGTGAGTAGACAAGAAGGGTTCCATCTCCAAATCTGCCTGCTCAGCTCTGTGGATGGACTGAAGTCATGGTGAGCTGCCCTCGGGACCCCCAAGTAGAAATGCAACGATGTTGGAAGAACACAATGGCTCACCTGGCCACACTCTTGGTCAACATGGTCAGGCCCTCTGCAGGGCAAGTGGCTGCTCCAGTGTGAGGGGAGGCACAGAGACCTGGGAGGGGTACTGCAGGGCCTCCTGGCAGCTCCATTCTGAGGTAGTCACCATGGCAGGAAGCTATGGCCCTCCAGAGGCCAAAGACCTGCATTCCTCATCCTCGAGCCCCTGGGCAAACAGGGGAGGATTGCACGGCCAGTCTGGCAGGAAACTACCCGCCGCTCTGGGATTTCACATGAATAACCAAGTCTGGGGGCACTGGGGAGTTCCATGCTATTCTTCTACAATCCAAAAAGTCTAATGATATTTCAAAAAAAGGCAAAAAAGAAAGGCAAGGAGAAGAAAAGCTCGTAGCTGACCTTTACTGAGTACTTACCATTCTGCTAGGCTCGCTCTCCACTTTGAAACTGCAACAATCCTACAGGGAAGGGGCTGAACAGGTGGGGAAACAGGAACTCAGAGAGGCCAGGTAACCTGACTTGGGTCATGCAGTATATGACAGGTCTGAAATTTGATGTCATTTCTTTTTTTTTTTTTTTTTTTTAGATGAAGTCTCACTCTGTCGCCCAAGCTGGAGTGTAGTGGCATGATCTTGGCTCACTGCAACCTCCACCTCCTGGGTTTAAGCAATTCTCTGCCTCAGCCTCCCAAGTAGCTGGGATTACAGGCGCCTGCCACCACGCCCAGCTAATTTTTGTATTTTTAGTAGAGACGGGGTTTCACCATCTTGGCCAGGCTGGTCTTGAACTCCTGACCTCATGATCCACATGCCTCGGCCTCCCAAAGTGTTGGGATTACAGGCTTGAGCCACTGCACCCAGCAATTTGATATTATTTCTAAGTGACATGGAAACCCTCCCTCTCAGCCATTATGTTATTCTCTCTTCCTATAATAATAGCTGTCTGTAGTAGGCAGCTTCGGATGTGACTCCTGGTGACCCCCACCTCCTAGTGTTCATGCCCTTATGGAATCCCCTCCTCTTGAGTGTGGGTGAGACCTGTGACTTGCTTTTAACCAACAGAATATGGCAAAGGTGATGGGATGTCATTTGTGTAATTAAGTCACATAGGATTATGACATCTGTCTCCTATCAGACTCTCTCAATAAATTACCTTACTGGTTTTGATGAAGCAAGCTGCCATATTAGGGAGATCCACCTTACAAGGAAATGAGGAAAGACTCCAGCCAACTGACAGACAGGAACTGAGGCCCTTAGTCCAACTCCCTTGGAGGAATGGAAATTCAGCCAACAACCACATGAGCTTGGAAGCAGATCTTTCCATATGTGAGCCTTCAGATGAGACTCCAACCCTGGTCAACACCTTGATTACAGCCTTGCAAGAGACCCTGAAGCAAAGGGCCCAACTAAGCTATACCAGACTCCAGACACACAGCAATGTGGTTTAAGATGCTATGTATGTGACAGTTTATTACGTAGCAATAGAAGAGACACTGTCCTTCACAGAAAGCTTACTACACACCAAGCAAACCATAAATGTTCTCATTTAATCCTCCCAACAGGGCTGTGAGTGGGCAGGGCTCACCACACAGAAAATCAAAGGTCACAGGATCACTTCAGGCAAACTGAACAACAAATCTTAACACCTTTATGGGCAAAATCCAAACAGAGACCTCACCACAAAATTCAGAAAAGCAGACCCTGACTTTGAAAGAGTCTTCTGCTTCACTTGAGAAAGCAAAAGAGCTAGAAGTAGGACATAGAAGTCATTTCCTCCAGTGTGCAAATCAATATAAATAGAAAGATTTAAGAGAATCAGAACTTTCCAACCTGCGTTTCCTTCCCAGCAGGGAAAAGCTGAAGAGAGTGTATCAGAGGACAGAAATTACCTTCATATCCAAATTTATTCTCCTTCCTTTGATGTTCAATGTTCAGAGAGTAAATTTCAAATATACTCCCATTCCTTCTTCAGTGCTTTAAATAGAAAGCAGATGTTTCCGGATGGCAGAACGCTTCTTTAGACAGACAATATAACCTACCGTTCCTTGCATAGTCTCTTTAGAGCTGAATAAACACCAATTGCTGTTCATTGAACACATTCTGGAACCTGACAGTAATTGTTCCCAAGAATAATTAGATACTCTGTGCAACATATGTATGTTTGGAATATGAAAACCACTCGGCAAAGAGGCCACTCCTGCTTTGAACAATTTCTGGCTCCATGTGAAATAATTCTGCAAAGAATTAGCACGACTACTTTTGCAAAGAAACAAGAGAGAGAGAAATGATGTTTTAACTTATAATTCTTCACTTGCAATGTTTAGCTCCACACTTTTTCTGACATAAACCTACAAAACATCAAAATTCTTATTTTTCCTACTTCTATTTGATTTGAATTAAAACAAACCCTTCAGACATTATTTTACAGTATTACAAAGTCTTGTAAGGTACCCTAATTAGTTTGTATCTGTCTTGAGTCTTAAACCCCTCCAAACACCATCTACTACACCAACCGACAGGTCTTCCTCTAGTCCAGATGGGTCACACTCTGCCTGCCCAGCTGCAAAGGCTTCCCTGGCTCTGTCCCCAACAGGACCAGCTCCCAGTGCTTTGCATGAATTACAGGCTGTCCCCTGACCACCTGGCCCTGCCCTCTCACCAGAAGGGCTTCTGCTGCTTTCCTTCTAGAACTTCTGAATCATCTGTACTTTCACACATCCCAGCCAATGCATGTGCCCATCACTGGACCCAATACATCCTCGCTTCACTGTCCCTTCATGTACTGTCATAGCATCTTGTGAAGTCTGATTTGTGCTCTGAAGACACAGGCCCTTGACTGGTCACCCATCACAAGGGACTGGAAGCATGGGCTCATCTGGCCCCTGACCCACACTCTAGGTGGTCAACAGGCTACGCCAGCCAGCAGGGCCAAATCCTCAGAACCCAGAACAGAGAACTGAAGGAAAAAGGAGATGTGGACAGAAATTTTTTCTTGTACATTCTCCCATGCAAAGAATCTAACTTACAAGCATATTGGAGTTCTACTTTTATACAAAATCCACACAGTAACGTTATTCTTATTTGCAGATAATAGAATTGCACATAGAGAACACCCAAGAAAATCAACTGAAAAAGTGAGTAATCAAAATTCAGTAAGGTGGCTAGGTATAAAATCACTAATAAAATCAGTAGCCTTCCTAAATACACAAACAACCAGATAGAAAATATAACAGATTGTCTGGCCAGGCAAGGTGTTTCATGCCTGTAATCCCAGCACTTTAAGAGGCCAAGGTGGGCGGATCACTTGAGGTCAGGAGTTTGAGACCACCCTGGCCAACATGGCAAAACACATCTCTACTAAAAATGTAAAAATTAGCTGGGTGTGGTGGTGGGCACCTGTAATCCCAGCTACTTGGGAGGCTGAGGCAGGAGAATCGCTTGAACCAGGGAGGCGGCGGTTGCAGGGAGCCGAGATTATGCAACCGCACTTCAGCCTGGGCAACACAGTAGGTGAGACTCCATCTCAAAATAAAAAATATATAATAATAGATTGCCAAAAATCCCATTTACAGTAGCAACCAAAAGGATACAATTTCTTGGACTCTATTTAGGAAGCATGCAAGATCTATGTTTAGAAAATAAAAGCAAGCCAGGTACAATTGTGTGCCCCTATAGTCCCAGCCACTCAGGAGGCTGAGGCAGGAGTATGGCTTGAGACCAGGCTCTAGTACATACTAGAATTGGGCCTATGAATTTCTAATGCATTCCAGCCTGGGCAACATAGCAAGACCCATTTTTTAAAAAACCCAAATAAATAAATACAGTAAGAACAAAAACTTCTGAGGCACACAGAAGAAAACTTTAATAAGACATATTCTTAAATGGGAAAGCCAACACAAAGCTGTCAATTATCCCTAAATTAATATATAAATCTAACATAATAAAATTATTATTTTTAGAACTAGACAGGGTTATTCACTGGAAAACTCTATGTGAGGACAGCCAAAATATTCTGAAAATGAAAAGCAATGAAGAGTTTTAGCCATCTCAGATATTGAAATGTATTATTATAAAGTTATAGCAAACAAGGCAGAAGGTCTTAGCAAATAAGTAGGTAAATAATGGAAGAGCAGAGAGTCCAGAAATAGAAGCCTAAAGAAGTGAGTGCATGACACAGGCAGTATTGCTCATTAGTGGAGACACAGAAATCCTGTTACAACAATGCACCCTAGGAAGAGTCTGCATCTGCTGGACCTTAGCCAGATGTCTGTCTCCTTGCCTGGTCTGAGCCCCTTCAAGGAGGTCACAGCTGCCCCATTCTATTAAAGTTATTTTCTTCCTGCCCCCAAACTGCCCAATTAACAAACCTGATAAATTAGTGATCTGATAGAAGAAATACTTGTCACAAATCCTCCTAGTCCTCTGACTAGGAATTCCCTTTTTGGGTCACATTTACACCAGGGAATGGATGAGGCAAGTGCCGCTGATGAATGCTGACAGGCTTTATTAATGACACTACCTTATTTCCTAGAGTGTCTGACAGTTTTTAAGGAGCTTTGAACATACATTCTCCTATTGGCCCTCCTGAGATGTGAGTTTGACTAAGTTCTGGGGCTGGGTCACAGGCAGAGGGCTACCCAGAAAAGCCATCAGATCCATTCTCATGTGCTTTGGAAAAGGGTCCCGATTCTCCAAAAGGGCTGGATGGGCCCAGGGCAGTGGGTGAGGACCTGGACAGCCAGGAGGGAGACAGGCAGAGTTGTGGAGAAGCAAAGCTGAGATGGAAAACAAATACAGGCAAAGGGGTGCAGAGGAGGAGGTAAGGCTTCTCTGAGGACGCAGGATAGGTAAACATTACGGCGGCAGGGATGAGTGAAGTGAAGGGGAAGTCTAGGACAGGGACAGAAGAGAAAATAAAACTCACTAGCAACATAGCAATGCCATCCTATGTTCAAACAGCACCCCTGAACCCCTGCACAGAAACCCCTCTCCCACCTCCACACATATATCTCCCTCCACCTCAGTCCAGAGCCCAGCAAATCTGCTAGGTTTAGCAGATAAGGGAGGAAACAGCTATTCAGGCACCAGAGGTGCACTCAAGAGATCAGCAAGGGCCACTGTGTGGCACAGGAAGCGGGTGGCAGGAGATGAGGTCTCAGGGAGGGCCAAAACCAGACAGCCATGGAGCCTGAGCACCAGGCTAAGGACATCAGTCTTTAACTCGGGGCCAGCATCTCCCTAATGTGCTCTGTGGAGCTATTTTCTCTTCCAAATACATTCCAAAAAACATACATGTAGGAAAAACATTAAAAGCATTTGGATAGTCATTCTCATAATTATCTGCTATCACCTTCAAGAAGTGTTCTCAAGCCAAGACTGCCAGGAAATAGCTTGGGGGCTGCATAATACACAGGTATCTGTCGTGTTAGCCACAACACAGGTGTATTCTTGCTCTGACAAAGCAGCCACTGCATGGATGGTTACTTTCTATCCACAGTATGCTGTCTATAGAAGGAATCTTGTCTCAGGATTTCAACATATATTTGTGATTTTATTCTGTAGATGGTATGGTTAACATTTATACTATAAAAATTCATCCCACCTGAATCTATCATGAACAAAGGAAGTTTTAAACAAAAAGAGTTTACGATTCACATATGAACTCCACAAGCTAAGAACTGGAAAACATCCAAGTGATTTTTTTTTTTTTTTTTTGAGACCGAGTCTCTCTCTGTCACCCAGGCTGTAATGCAGTGGTGCAATCTCGGCTCACTGCAACCTCTGCCTCCCAGGTTCAAGTGATTCTCCTGCCTCAGCTTCCTGAGTAGCTGTGACTACAGGCACCTGCCACCACGCCCGGCTAATTTTTGTATTTTTAGTAGAGACAGGGTTTCACCATATTGACCAGGCCGGTTTCAAACTCCTGACCTTGTGATCCGCCCACCTCAGCCTCCCAAAGTGCTGGGATTACAGGCATGAGCCACTGTGCCCAGCCAATATCCAAGTGATTTCTAAAAAACCAGGTGGTATGCTGCCCAAGTCACAGGATTAATGATTTCTGAGACAGTTGAATTCAAGAGAGCACAAAATCTTCCCGAAGGAACCGTTTGTGTTCTTCCTTTTGCTATAACACATCTGTGTGCAAAGATTTTCATATTACACTGTAATGAAACAAATTATGGAAGACGTCATGCCATACCTGATATGAGGGTATGACTTGGAAACATTATTCTTAATATTGACTAGATACGGTTTTTTAAAGGACTGGAAAAATAATGTTCTCAATTTTAAATACTGAGGGCTTTTATATTCATCTACAATAAAAATGAAGTTAGATATCTACTTACATACTTTGTTCTTAAGCTGAAAATAATTTTGTTTTATTCTGTTACAAAGCATTCACACACAAATGTGAATAATCTCCCAGCAATTAATTCATCTGTGAGACCATATCTTGCTGTCCACCTAAGAGTCTGTTATATTTTATGATCGGTTGATCTTCCACTAGTGTTTCAAAATGTAAATTGTTCCATAGTAAAATAAATTTAGAAAATGCTGAGCAAAGGAGTGGCACAATCAGAACTACAATTTAGAGGGATCACTGTGGCACTTCTATTGAAGATGGGCTGAAGGGGGAAGAGACCGGAAGCTATTACTGAGGCACTTCGCAATCATCCAGGCACCTGGAGATGAGGGCCTGGCCTAGAGCGGTAGGGACCGAAGGAAGGGAGTGGGTTCCTGAGATTTCAAAATGGCGTCGGGAGCATTTCCAGTTTCCAGTTCAGCACGTGAAGAGCTTGGAAGTCGCCACTCCATTTTAACAAGTAAAAGGCTGGGTGCGGTGGCTCTCGCCTGTAATCTCAACACCTTGGGAGGCCAAGGTGGGCGGATCACCTGAGGTCGGGAGTTTGAGACCAGTCTGACAAACATGGAGAAACCCTGTCTCTACTAAAAATACAAAAAAAAATTAGCCAGGCGTGGTGGCACATGCTTGTAATCCCAGCTACTCGGGAGGCTGAGGCAGGAGAATCGCTTGAACTCGGGAGACAGAGAGGTTGCCGTTGGCCGAGATTGCGCCATTGCACTCCAGCCTGGGCAACAAGAGCGAAACTCCTCTAAACACACACACACACACGGCAACAAGAGCGAAACTCCTCTAAACACACACACACACACACGCCACACCCCACATCAAGTAAAAAGCTGAACAAGACTGGGCGCAGTGGCTCACGCCTTGTAATCCCAGCACTTTGCGAGGCCAGGGCGGGCAGATGGCTTGAGGCCAGGAATTCGAGACCAGCTCGCACAACATGGTGAAACCCCATCTCTACTAGAAATAGAAAAATTAGCTGGGGGCTGGGCATGGTGGCTCATGCCTGTAATCCCAACACTTTGGGAGGCCAAGGCGGGCAGATCAGTTGACGCCAGGAGTTCGAGACCAGGCTGGCCAACACAGCAAAACCCCGTTTCTACTAAAAATACAAAAATTAGCCTGGCGTGGTGGCCCACACCTGTAATCTCAGCTACTCGAGAGGCTGAGGTGGGAGGATCGCTTGGGCCCGGGAGGTGGAGGCTGCAGTGAGCCAAGATCACACCACTGCACTCCAGCCTGGGCGACAGAGTGAGACTGGCTCAAAACAAAAAAACAAAAAACACGGAAAAATCAACACCTCTTCTCCGCTCTGTCACAGAAGTGAGGTCACAGGGCAAACCACTGCCCCCAAAATTAGAGAGACAAGCAGGTACCGAGAATAACAACTTACCAGAGCAGAAAGCCATAAGCAGAGACCTCTGTGGAAATGAGTGCCAGGGCAGGAAAACCTGAACTACAATTGGGGAATTGCTGAAGACTCAGTGTGGGGTAGGTCTCAAGAGTTAAAAACTCCAGAGGGATCCAATCATAGGGGGGCCTGCCCACTGTCTTCAGTTTTACTTCCAGGAGTTTTACCAGGTTTTCACAGTGAGCATCAGAGAAAAATCCCCTCGTGCTTGAGGCAGGGGGAGGGGAATGCAGCCATTTTAAAATACACCAGAGCACCTGTTCCTTCCTAACAAGGCCTGCCCTCAGGAGAAACTAATTTACCAGGGCCCAATCAGCTGGGGTACTATCAGCACCCAACTAAGCTAGAGGAAGGGAAATACCCAACTCCAGCCCCCTTCAACCATCCTGTCCTACTTAAGCGGAGAGAAAATAATTGAGAAGCATTGGTAAACTTCACAGTCCAGGTGCACAAACTCACCTAAAGACTGAGACATAGTCACAGGGCTATGGAATGCTTCCCCTCCCCCGGACCTTATCACCACATTACTAAAGGCCTATTTATGCAGTTCCCTTCACCCAGGACAGCATGTCTACCTTTCACCAAAAAATTACAAAGCACACCAAAAGTAAAAAAATAAAATAAAAAATAGTTTGAAGAGACTGAACAAGTATGAGAACCTGCAGTCGTAATATGGCAGGCATGTTGGAATTATCAGACCAGGAATTTTTTTAAATGATTAATATGCTAAGGGCTTTGATGGAAAAAGTAGACAGCATGCAAGAACAGATGGATAATGTAAGGAGATGGAAATTCTAAGAAAGAATCAAACAGAAATGCTACAGATTAAAAACACTGTAACAGAACGAAGAGTGCCTTTGATGCGTTCATTAGTAGACAGGACAGGGCTGAGGAAAGAACCTTTCTCAGTCTTCAAGGCAGCCTTAAACTGCTTTCGGAAGGCTCAGGGATTGGAAGTTCTGAAACTTTCAAAACTAAAAAGCAAAGAGAAAAGACTGAAAAAAAAAAAACCACCAAAAAACAGAATAGCCAAGAACTGTGGGAAAACTGGAAAAGGTATAAGATAGGCATAATAAAAATACTAGAAGGAGAAGAGGGAAAGAAAAATCAGAAGCAACATTTGAAGCAATGACTAAGAATTTCCCCCAAATTAATGTCAGACACCAAACCACAGATCCAGGAAGCTCAGAGAACACCCTGCAGGATAAATGCCCAGAAAAACTATACCCTAGGCATATCACATTCAAACTTCAGAAAATCAAAAATAAATTTAAAATCTTGAAAAAAGCCAGAGGAAAGAAACACCTTACCTACAAAGGAACAAAGATAAGAATGACATCTAACTTCTCAGAAGCCCTGCAAGTGAGAAGAATGGAGTAAAATATATACTGTTAAGAGAAAAAAGCACACACCAACCTATAATTTTGTACTCTGAGAAATTATTGTTTAAAAGTGCAGGAGAAATAAGGACTCTGAGATATACAAAAATGGATGCAGTTTGTTGCCAATAGACCTGCCTTACAAGAAATGTTAAGTGTTTCAGAAAGAAGGAAAATGAGATAGGACAGAAACTTGAATCTACATAAAAAAAGAGCATCAGAGAATGAATAAGTGAAGGTAGCATAAAAACTTTTTTGTTATTCTTAATTGATCTAACAGATAACAGTATGATCAAAATAATATATTCGAATATGTATGTATATATATGCTTATATGTAAATGAAATGAATGACAGGATGATATAAGCTATGGGATGGAGGAGTTAGGATTATTTTGTTATTATAAATTACTTGTACTACACATGAAGCAATATAGTGTTATCTGAAAGTGAGCTTGGATTCATTGTAAATGTATACTGCAAACTCTATGGCAGCCAGTAAAAAAGCGTAAAAAAAGAAGTATAATTGATATGCTAAGAAAGGAGAAGAAATAGAATCATATGAAATGCTCAATTACAACTACAAAAGGCAGAAAAAGTGTAGAAGAAAAAATTGGAACAAAGAACACGGGCAACAAATAGAAAACAGTAACAAATATGACAGATATTAATCCAATGATATCAAATCACCTTAAATGTCAATGTTCTAAATACACAAAAGACAGAGATTGTTAGAATGGGTTAAAAAATAAGGCCTGACTACAAGAAATCCACTTTTTTTTTTTTTTTTGAGATGGAGTTTTGCTCTTGTTGCCCAGGCTGGAGTGCAATGGCTCAATCTCGGCTCACTGCAACCTCCGCCTCCCGGGTTCAAGTGATTCTCCTGCCTCAGCCTCCTGAGTAGCTGGGATTACAGGCATGGGCCACCATGCCCAGCTAATTTTTTGTATTTTTAGTAGGAACGAAGTTTCTCCATGTTGGTCAGGCTGGTCTTGAACTCCCGACCTCAAATGATCCGCCCACCTTGGCTTCCCAAAGTGCTAGGATTACAGGCGTGAGCCACCGCGCCCAGCCACAAGAAACCCACTTTAAATATACAGACACATATAGATTAAAAGCAAAGGGATGGAAAAACATACACCATATAACACTAGTCAAAAGACAGCAGGAGTAGCTCTATCACTTTCAGACAGAGCAGACTTAAGAGCAAGGAAAGTTATAAGAGAGAAAGAGTCATTACCTAATAATAAAGGGGCCAATACTAAAGGAAGACATAACCTTAATGTGTATGTGCCTAACAGCAAAGTGTCAAAATACATGCCAAAACTGACAGAACTACAAGAAAAAAATTAATGAATCCACTACTATAGTTGGAAATACCAACAGCCTTCAGTTAGAGATGGACAGATCCGAGGCTGGGTGCGGTGGCTCACGCCTATAATCCCAGCACTTTGGGAGGCCAAGGCAGATGGATAACTGGAGAGTCGGGAGTTTGAGACTAGGCTGGCCAACATGGTGAAAGTCTGTCTCTACTAAAAATACAAAAAACTAGCTGGGCATGGTGGCGGGTGCGTGCAGTCCCAACTAATCAGGAGGCTGAGGCATGAGAATCGCTTCAACCCAGGAGGCAGAGGTTGTAGCAAGCCAAGACTGTGCCACTGCACTCCAGCCTGGGCGACAGAGCCAGACCCTATCAGAAAGAAAAGAAAAGAGAAGAGAAGAGAAGAGGAAAGGAAAGAGAAAGAGAAGGAAAGAAAGAAAGAAAGAGAAGGAAAGAAAGAAAGAAAGAGAAAGAAAGAAGGAAGGAAGGAGAAAGGAAGGAAAGAAAAAGGAAAGAAAGCAAGAAGGAAGGAAGGAAGGAAAGAGAGAGACAGAAAGGGAGAGAAAGGGAGAAAGGGAGAAAGGGACAGATTCAAAGAAGCAGAAAATCAGTACATAGTTGAACTCAACATCACGACATCAACCAATGGGGTATAATTGGCACCTACAGACTATTGATCCAAGAAGAGTAGATTGCATGTTCTTTTTCAAAGTGACATGGAACATTCAAGATAGACCATATTCTGGGCCATAAAACACACCTCAACAAATTTAGAAGAATAGAAATTATATAATATCTGTTTTCATACCACAATGGAATTAAACTAGAAATCAATTAATAGGAGTGGCCAAAAAGTAGAAACAACTCAAATGTTCATCAACAGATGAATGGATAACAAAATGTGGTGTATCCATATAATAGAGTATTATTTGGCAATAAAAAAGAAATAAAATACTGATACAGGCTATAACAAGGATGAACCTTGAAAACATTGTGCTCAGTGAAAGAAGGCAGTCACAAAATGCCAGACATTCTATGATTCCATTTATATGAAATGTCCAGAATAGGCAAAAAACCTATGAAGACAAAGTAGATGAGTGGCTGTCCAAGCACAGGAAGCCAGGGTAGAGGAAATTGGGAGTGACTGCTAATGGATTCTGACTTTCAGGGGGAATGAAAATGTTCTATAAAATTAGATTGTGGTGATGGTTCCAAAGTCTCTGATTACAGTAGAAAAAAAATCAATGAATATGTATTTATACATTCATTGTATAATGAATGTATATTATGTGAATTGTATATTATGTGAATTATATCTCAATAAAGCTTTATTAAACTTATAGGAGGCCATTGATTCAGACTGAGCTTCTGCACTCAGTCCCAACAGACCAAACCAAAATGGAGTCACTTATACTAAAGTTCCAGGTGACCATGTCAAAACTAAGTGGTTTATCTGGTCTTTCAAGAAATCAGGACAGAGAATAGCCAAATCCACACACAGGCCAGTTTTATCTGACATGATAAGGAAGCTCCCTCCACTTTAACCTTTACAGGGACAGTAACTTTGAAACAACCCATCTGCTTTTTGTTCTTTCTTGTTTCTGCTTTCTTCAGCCCTTTTCTGTCCATACATACTCAATGTCCACATTGTAGGGTGGAATTCTCTGAATCTCTTCTGATTCTGAGGGCTGCCCAATTCAGTAATTGTTCTGTTAAATTTATTTTGTCTTAAGTTTTTCTTTTAGTCAGCTGTTTTGCTTTTTTTTTAAAAAAAAAAAAAGATCAAACATGGAGGATGAAGGAGAAAAAAGACTCAGTGACTCTAAATTGTCTGGCTTGGGCAACTGAGAGGAGATTTTAGTCATGCTGGGTGTGCCTTGCCTGTGAACCAACTGGAAGAGATGTTGGGAAGTGAGTGGTATTTCTTTTTGGGGTGACTGCTGTGTTAGAAGACAACACCAGGGAGCCCACAGCAGCAGATGAGAAGAAATCACAGTGGATGAAACCACTCAGGGAGGGTCTGCAGAGAGAAAAGAGGAGAGGAACAACCAAACCAGGGAGGCACTCATGTCAGGGGCAAGAAAAGGTACTATCTTTGGATGAACACAGGGCCAGGAACACAGTGGGAAAGCCAGGAAAGAGTACTGGAACTCAAAGAAGTTCAAGATCATTCAGGTTGATTGATCATTCCAAAAAACCATTTGGCTATGTTGGAAGTAAATGCTTGGTGCTGCGAAGTGAAAACAGCACTCAGGCAAAAGTTTTCTCAGCAAGGCAATTTACTTCTATAGAAGGGTGCACCTCACAGATGGAGCAATGGCGAGAGCACACTCGACAAGGGAGGGGAAAGGGGTCTTCTTCCTAACGCAGTTAGTCCCTACTGCTGTGTCTTTCCCCTGTTGGCTAGGGTTGGACTGCACAGTCTAAGCTAATTCTGATTGGCTATTTTAAAGAGGACAGCGGTACAAATTGGAGTGGTGGGGTGAGTAGTTTTGGCGGGAGGGATGGTTACAGAACAGGTGACTAAGGATGACTAAGGACAGAGCAGGTGACCAAGGATGACTAAGGACAGAGCAGGTGACCAAGGATGACTAAGGTCAGAGCAGGTAATAGAGGCTAGGAGGGGGTCATTTACTGAAGCTAGGGGCAAGGAGGTGTAAAGAACAAGGAAGTTAAACTTTAAAATGGAGAACAAAGAACCAGAGAGCTGAACATACTGACATATTGGCTCTTTGAAGAGGAACTCAGAACTCATTGTACTTAACAACTTTTCCACTCTTGGATTTTAAAGGAAGTTAACAGGCTAAAACCTTTGAAGAGGAATTTTACTGTATCCTACAGTTACATATCATATTAAAAGCTAACTTGTTTCAGCTGGGTGCGGTGGCTCATGCCTGTAATCCCAACACTTTGGGAGGCCGGGACAGATAGATCACCCGAGGTCAGGAGTTTGAGACCAGCCTGGCCAACATGGTGAAACCCCGTCTCTACTAAAAATACAAATTAGCCAGGCATGGTGGTGTGTGCCTGTAATCTCAGCTACTCAGGAGGCTGAGGCAGGAGAATCGCTTGAACCTGGGAGGTAGAAGTTGCAGTAAGCTGAGATCATGCTACTGCACTCCAGCCTGGGTAACAGAGCAAGATTCTGTCTCAAAAAAAAAAAAAAAAAAAAAAAAAAAAGGCTAACTTGTTTCCCTACCTTTACTGAGAAAGGTAAAGAAAGTGACGGACATCTCAAATACACATTAAAAAGATGATACTGCCAGGTGAGGTGTCAAAGCCCCCACATTGTAAAGTGGTTGACTCGTGGGTTGGTAAGAATTTACTGACAACCATATAGGCTTGAAGAAGTTTTATTAGAAAGAAGGAACGCTGCCGAGGAGTCCAGTGGGGTGAGTCGGTGAGAGGACTGAGCACCTTATGGTGGATTTTTCCTTAGGGGTATTTATGGACCTTAAGGCAGGAGCTTGAGGGTAATTTGGACCATACTAGCCACGTAGGTCATGATAAATGATTACATCTGTAGTAATTCTGGTGCCTTAATGTCAGCAAGGGTTGCACAGTACGTTTTGGCATGGCATTCTGGAGATGTATAGAAATCCTAGTGACTTATAAATTTTGGGGGAAAGAAATCTGGAACCAGATGCCTGCTTTAGATAATAGGGAAGTGCAATTACTTCTAATTTCCCAGATAAGGAGTTTGCCTCGGAAGGCGTGTTTGATGGTCACCAGGTGGTCTTTGCTCCCTTCTAAATTCCTCAGATGGGAGTTTTTGTCTCCGGGGCCTGTTCAATGGTCACCAGGTGATTTTTGTTCTCCTCAGAAACATTCTTCATTTTGTCTCAGCAACGTAACAGTGCCTAGTTTCAAGTCTGGTTTCTGTCAGGGTCAAAGTTAAACAAGAGGAAGGCTGCTCCACACAACTTTTCCGTTTCTCTTCTTAAGGAGTAAGGGAGGAGGGTTCAGGGCTAAGTCCCTTCAGTCTGTGTGAGGTAGGGACATTAATATAACCACCTCAAGGGTTTGTTAAGATTAAATGTGATAACATGTGCAAAGTGCCTTTTTGCTATTAATAGCAGACTGTTAAAGGAATGTTATGTTGATTATAGGTGTAAGACGCCACTGCAGGGAAGAGAATCCCTTTGCCACCTTAGACAGCTCAACCCTCCCATAGAGAATCTAGCTCTCTCTCCCTATTACCATCAGCAAATTAAACAAAGAAATCTTCAAAAAGAATAACTGTGCTTTTATAACTTAAGAAAATTGTTCAAAGTTTAAAAACTTAGAAGTCTAGGACTTGTTTTTTTCCTTTACTTGCAAATTAGTTCTAGTTTTGGCAAACTGGTTTTATGGTTCCCAGGTACCTACCCTTTCAGGTTTCCAGGTAGCAGCAAGAAGTACCCTAGTACCACTTCTAGAAGCCAGTCGTTGTAAATGTACGGCTACCACTCTGAATTTAGGTTTAGGGGAAAAAAAGCTGTTTTTTTATTTTCCTAGGAATCACTTTAGTTTAAAATTAGATTGCATGGTGTAAAGAGCTGGTAACTTGCCAAGTCAATTACAAAAAGTGTAAAGCATAAAACCAAAGGTGCAGACATACCTCAAAAGAGTGTTTATATTTTCATTTACACTATCAGTTGGTCTCTCAGGCTAATGGCTATATGTGTGTGTTCCAATAAAACTTTATTTACAAGAACAGTTGGCAAGTATAGAGTTGCCAGATTTGGCAGATAAAAAGACAGGACTTTCAGCTAAATTTAAATTTCACGGCCGGGTGAGGTGGTTCACACCTGTAATTCCAGCACTTTGGGAGGCCGAGACAGGACCTCACCTGAGGTCAGGAGTTCGAGACCAGACTGGTCAACATGGTAAAACCCCCATCTCTACAAAAGTACAAAAATTAGCTAGGTGTGGTGGCAAGTACCTGTAATCCCAGCCACTTGGGAGGCTGAGGCAGGAGAATTGCTTGAACCCAGGAGGCGGAGGTTGCAGTGAGCCAAGATCGCACCACTGCACTCCAGCCTGGGCAACAGAGTGAAACTCTGTCCCAAAAAATAAATAAATGAATTTAAATTTCACATAAAAAATGAATAATTTTTAAAGTTATTTGTATTGAGATATAATGTGGACACCATAAAATCTACCTTTTTAAAGTCCCCAATTCAGTGGCTTTTTATTCACAGAATTGCGTAACCATCACCACTGCTTAATTTCAGGGCATTTTCAGAGCACCCCTCAAACCCCGTACTCATTAGCAATCATTCTCCTCTTCCCCCAGCCCCTAGCAACCACTAACTTACTTTCTGTCTCTCTGAATTTGCCTGTTTCAGGCATTTCATATAAATTGAATCATATAATATGTGGCTTTTTATATCTAGCTTTTCTTTTCAGTGAGCGTAATATTTCTGAGGTTGATCCATGTCAATATATATCAGTGTTTCATTCTTTTTATGGCTGTATTATAGCCCACTGTATGGATATATCACTTTTTTTTTAATCCATTCTTCATCTGATGGACATTAGGGTTGTTTCCATCTTTTGGCTATTACAAATAATGCTGCTATGAATATCCATATACTATAATTATGTGGACATATGTTTTCTTGGCTCTTGGGTATATATACCTAGGAGTGGCATTGTTAAGTCATAGGATAACTCTATGTTTAGCTTTTGAGGAACCGTCAGGCTGGCTTCCAAAACAGCTGCTCCATTTATGTTCCCACCAGCAATGTATAAGCGTTCCAATTTGTGCACATTCTCACCAACACTTGTTATTGTCTGTCTTTTTGATATAGCCATCCTACTGGGTGTGAAGTGAAGGATGACAGATACCGGGCACATCTCTAAAGGAACAACCGTGTACCTATCTGAAGGCAGCCTATACCCTAAGTAGGCGGACTGTGTGTGTGTGACTGTTCTGGGCCCTGAATGACTTTCTTGGGTTGCAGCTGCCCAAGGAGGGAACCTCACACACTAGTTAACCTATTTCAGGGTCTTTTATTAACAGGAAAATTTTAAATAATGCTCTTAGAAATACTGAAAACACAGAAAACTGGGGTGTAGAGAGACAAGAGGGAGTCAGGTAACTGTAAAGCAAATGGTTTTTATGCGGTGCAGCCTTGGAAGTTACAAGCAAACCTGCAGATAGTGGGCAGGCCATATTTCAAAGACGACGAAGATGTCATACTGGACTCTGCTATTCACTCCTTGTATGAAGTGCCACGATGGAGTTAAAGCTCAGCATCCCTGTGCCCTGGAGAGGGTGGTTATGGCAGCCACCAGTGCCCAAGGAGAACATCCACTTTTCTTACTTTGCCTCCAGGTTAGTCTGATTTTTTTTTTTTAACAGCAAACATTGCCTGATGTAGTCTGATCATCTTGAAGAAGCCTGAGCTACACGGAGAGGGTAGCTCCAGATCCTTCTAGAACTTCTCTTCTGCATCTGGAAACCCCATGCAGTTCCTAACCAATGGTGCCTACCAGCAGAGCCTGAGAGTCTGACCTACTGCCTACAGCCCAGGGCACACAGCCTGCCTCCCCCTATTTCTGCTATTGTTCTTGCTTCTGTAATTTCATCCCAACAGCAGCACTCTATCAGGCCATCTTCCTGAAAGCAACACAAACCCCTGCTTAGAAGAGTAAACTATTGACGGTAGACAGCAGATCACACAGTCAAGCTTTGCATGCCTTAGGAAATGTTCTTGCTGCAGTCCCTCCATCCTGGACCCTTCCTCCAGAATCCCCCACTGCCAGTCCCTCATCCTGGCTCCCTGGGAATTCTCAGGTGCCATCTCTTTTCTGGTCATTTATTTAAAACGTGTACAGGGCTGTGGAAAACTGGTGCTTCCTCAAAAAGTTAAATACAGCATTTCCACGTGGCCCTGCAATTCTTCTAGGTATATACCCAAAAGCATTGAAAGCAGACCCAAACAGCTACTTGTATGCCCAGGTTCAAAGCAGCATTATTCACAACAGCCACAAAGTAGAAACGACCCAAAGTCTATCAACAGATAAATGGATAAACAAAATGTGGCATACACATAGAATCGAATAGCCTTAAAAAGGAATGAAAGTCGGCCAGGTGCGGTGGCTTATGCCTGTAATCCCAGACTTTGGGAGGCTGAGCCGGGCAGATCACGAGGTCAGGAGATCGAGACCATCCTGGCTAACACGGTGAAACCCCATCTCTACTAAAAATACACACACACACACACACACACACACACACACACACACACACACACACAATTAGCCAGGCATGGTGGTGGGCACCTGTAGTCCCAGCTACTTGGGAGGCTGAGGCAGGAGAACAGCGTGAACCCGGGAGGCAGAGCTTGCAGTGAGCCAAGATCATGCCACTGCACTCCAGCCTGGGTGGCAGAGTGAGACTCCATCTTTAAAAAAAAAAAAAAAAAAAAGGAAGTCCACTATATGCTACAACATGGATGAACTTTGGAAATATGCTAAGTGAAATAAACCAGTCACAAAATAAATATTCTATGAGTCCACTTATATGAATCAAATTGTCAAATTCATAGAGACAGAAAGTAGAACAGTGATTACCAGTGGCTGGGGGAGGAGGGAATGGGGAGTTATTGCTTAATGGGTTCAGAGTTTCTGTTTGGGATGATGAAAAGTTCTGGAAATGGAGAGTAGTGATGGCTACACGACATTGTGAATAAGCTTAATGCCACTGAACTGTACACTTACAAATGATTTAGGTGGTACATTTTATGTGTGTTTTACTAAACAACAACAAAGTGTGCTGGGAGCAACTCCTGGTGAGGTCGGGGATGGCTTCACAGAGATAATGACAGGACTGAGTCCTTAGGAGGACAAAGGGAGGAAGAGCAACTGTGAAGAACAGCTCAATGGCACCAAAGAGAAACCTGCAAAGGGCGTGCATTTAGAGGACAGATGGAGGTGGGCACAGTGGCTCACACCTGTAACCTTAGCGCCTTGGGAAGCCGAAGTGGGAGGAATGCTTGAGGCCAAGAGTTTGAGATCAGCCTGAGCAACATAATGTGACAAAAAATACAAAAACTAGCTGGGTGTGATGGTGTGTGCCTGTAGTCCCAGCTACTGGGGAGGCTGAGGCAGGAGGATCACTTGAGCCCAGGAATTCGAGGCTCAACTGAAAATTTTTTCAATTTTTTTTAATTGAAAAAAAAAAAAAATCAACTGCTGAAAGAATTCTGGAGATAGTGATGATGGTTGTAGAACAGTGTGAATGCACTTAATGCCCTGAACTCTATACATGTAACATGGCTAAAATGGTAATGTTTATGTTATCATAATATTATGTTATATAAATTTTGCCATAATTTTTTTAGAAGACTGGAAAAAAACCCCACTGTCTGCCTCTTCCACACCACTGTTGGAGTACTATACCTTGATAGAATTCACTGGGAGGCAATTTATCATCACACATCCAAAGTCTCAGAACTGCCAGGTACAGTGGCTCATGCCTGTAATCCAGGCACTTTGGGAGGCTGAGAGGAGTGGATCACTTGAGCCTAGGAGTTGAAGACCAAGGGAGACCCCTTCGCTACAAAAAACAAACAAACAAACAAACAAACAAAATTTGCCGGGCATGGTGGCACGTGCCTGTAGTCCCAGCTGCTGGGAGGCTAACGTGGGAGGATTGCCTGGGCCTGGGAGTTCAAGGCTGCAGTGAGCTGCCCTGTCTCAAATAAATAGATAAATAAAGCCTTAGAACTGCATACTCCTCAACCCAACAACTCCACTTCTTGGAATCTATTCAAAAGTGATAAATAAGGATATACAAAGATACTTATGCCAAAGGATAGTCACTGAAGAGCTGCTTATTAAAAACAAAAACAAACAAACAAAAATAAACCTGTAAATAAACTAAATGCCCCAAAGTTGAGGATTGGTTAAATTAAGTATGATATATCCGTGCGAAAAGTACCACTTGGCCTTTCAAAATTATAAGTAAATATTTGCTCACATGGAAAGATGGTCTTCTTTTCTTTATGTATTCTGATTGATTCTATACTTCACTGTTACAAAATAAAGAGACCACCCAGTGTTGCTGAGTCCCAGCCTAGCTACAACTTTCTGTCCCCTTCCCTACCAAATAGAATTAGCCAGACCTTGAAGGACTTGAGTGTCACTTGAAACTTCTTGCCTCAGAGGAAACAAAATAATGGGGGGAAACAAAGAATTCATGGGTTCCAGAATTCCAAAAATATTCAGCCAACACTCGGAGCGTGGAGTGAAAAGAGCGAGTTGCTAAACAGCACCATCCTCTGCTCCCATTCTTATAAATATGTGTACAAATATATATTAACTTAACAAATATTTAATCCACAACTATAAAGGAGAGCTGTGCTGGGTGCCAAGAATATCCCAGGAAACAAGACAGCCATGGCCTCAGAATCCAGGGAGATTGGTACCTGTCTGTCTGAGCACCTGTGTGTACATGGGATGAGGTACAAAACAGTGACCCTAAAGCAAGGGTCTTCCGACAGGATTGAGAATAGGTCTATTGCATGCATGTGACGTGAGGACAGCCTTGCTGCAATGAGAAGTCTTATCCAGGCAAGAGAGAGGCCAGTGTCTCTTGCTTCCCAATCTAAAGGTCAAGTGCAGACCCCGCTGGACCAAACAGAACAGGTGTGAGGGTGCTCCAAACACCAGGGTCGGCAGAGGGGGAGAGGTTAAGTACTCTCAAGAGCTTTAGATGGCAAAGGGACAAAGATGACACAAGCTGGATGGGGACTTGGCACTAAGAGAGCTGAGCCCTGAGTTGCCAGCTGCTTGGCCCAAAGTATGGGCTGCTCTGGAAAGAGCCAGAGCCCTCATTTTTTTTTTTTTGAGACAGAGTCTCACTCTGTTGCCAGACTGGAGTGCAATGGCGCGATCTCGGGTTACTGCAACCTCCACCCCCTGGGTTCAAGTGATTATCCTGCCTCAACCTCCCGAGTAGCTGGGATTACAGGCGCACGCCACAATGTCCAGCTAATTTTTGTATTTTTAGTAGAGACGGGGTTTCACCATGTTGGCCAGGATGGCCTCGATCTCTTGACCTTGTGATTCGCCTGCCTCGGCCTCTCAAAGTGCTGGGATTACAGGTGTGAGCCACCGTGCCCGGCCCAGAGCCCTCATTTTACAATTTTTGTTTTTTTCTAACTCACAGTTAACCCACTGAACAAGAAGTACCCATTTCTGATTTGCATTTTCCCTATAAATCCCATTATTGAAAGAGTTTGCCCTTCTAGGCAGAATTTATGAAAAAGTAATTTATTTCCTCATTTCTTCATTGCTCTAAGAAGTCACATATAACCGCCAAACGGTTTTCTAATCTGCAGGATATCACCAAGGTGGCCTCAAGAATTGATAGGATCCCAGCCACAAGTGAAGGTATGTTACCAGCTAGAGCAGGCTGAGAGCAGAACAGCTGCCCTTTATCTTGGGGAAATAGCACAGGCACCTGTCCCTCCTCTCCCAGGGCCCCAGGGGGAACTGCTGGAACAGCCCTTTCCTTCGCACCCAAGGACATGGCACATGATACCAAAGACACATGCAGGAAGGTGCAAGCGGGGAAGATCCGCCCCCGTGGGGACAGCAGCAAACCCCAGTGTATGTGAGAGGGAGAAGTTACGTGTTTAGAATATTATGAGATTGAGGCATTTAAGGGAAGTCTTCAAGGAAGGAAAACTAGTTAAGAAGAATAAACCCATTGTTCTACAGCCATGGTGAGCTTGCTGTAAACACTTGGAAACAGTGTGCCTCCCACCAGCCTTTCATATGCTGCAGGCCTATGCACACAGTAGGCCCAAAATACTTGCTAAACTAGATTATTTGGCTTTAAAATTATATCACATGTGCCCAGCAAGGCAAAACTCATCTCTATTATTTCCCACAATGTCAAGGGCAAAAGTGAAATCAACCTCATCTGGTCTAAGACAGGTGTGGGGGCCCCAAATCCTTATAGTTTAGGGGCGAGACTGCTGCTGAGACTAGAGCCCTGCAGGACTGGGTCAGCCTGCTCCTCAGCTGGACCATCTACTCCGAGGAGCAGCTCGGAGCAGGATCATGGAGAACACCTGGGCAGCAAATGGCCCAGAGCTAACTAGGGACTAAAAGCAGGCAGCATTGCCCGAGCCGCATTACACACTCATCAAAGTCCCAGTGTCTACTCTCATAAGAATCCTTCAAAAATCTAACGCTTGACCCTAGGGACACAGAGATATATAGACGCCATCCCTCCCGGACAGCACTCACTGGCAGTGACTCAGGATGAGTACTGGGTGCAGAAACTCCAGCACCTGAGGGTACAGATACTCAGGCCACGGTGCTCTGGGGTTCAGGTGTCACAGCCAGAGGTCTTTGCCAGGGATCCTCTAGAGCAGGCAGATGCTATTCTCAGGACAGTGTGATCATGTTGGGACAGTGCCCACGGGACAGGATACCACAGTGCTCAGATTTCTCTCCTACCAGGGCCTCATTTCCGTGTCCTACTTGAGTATCAGGCCCCACCTCAGCAGGTGAGGCTGGGTGGTCTGGTGGGGGCTCATTCCCTTAGTTCTTCTCCATGGGGTTTCCCCTCCACACTCACCTCCACAGCTTTGAGGACATGTCTATGTGATGACACCTGAATGTGTACCTCCAGCCCAGGTGTCTCTCCTGAACCCCATGCTTGCACCTTACCTCCCTGCTGCTGTTCTCCCTGCACCCCTATTTCAGTGACTCACACCACTGGATCTGTCACTATGGCAGAAACCTGGGAATCTCACACCCAGCACACAGCAGGAACATCTCCCTCGCTGTCCTCTCCTCAGCAGCCCAGGCTGTCAGCCTCCTACCTAGTAGTGTCCTCCAATGGGCCACAGGTGTGTTGAACTCGGCCCCGTAAATGGCTGTGCAGGGCACAACTCTGAGTGTCAATCATGAAAGACACGCAGACTCATTACATCAACTGCCTGGCAGATCACAGATTTCCAGAAGGTGTCTTAAAGAAGCGTTTTTTTCTAATTTGTACAAAGATGTCACTTGTCCTGGGAAGAAGTAGCCTGCTGAGAAGGGGATCTCAACCCTCAGGGTGCAGAGCAGGGCCTGGGCCACAGGAGTCCCAGGGCTGGGCACTGTTTTGTCCATTTGCCTAGGTGCTGTAAACATATTTTCCATGTGTCCGTGACACTAAAAAGATTGGGAAACACTGACCTAGATTACACCAATAGCCCCTCTGTGCTTCTGGATCTCTTCTGTTGGCAAAAACAAGCTCAGGTCTCTCCCATTTATACCAGACATGTAAGTTAACATGCCTGCTCTACCCAACACCTCTCTCTGCCTTCAGGCCTTACTCAGGGAAGTCACAACGGGTTGCTCGTCCATACAGGATCAAGGACAGGTTGGCCTGTTGGCCAGACGCCCAGCACAAACAGCTCAGCCCAGTGAGGGAGAGTCATTAGGTAAGCCATCAACCACCTCCCTGCAGAATTCAGTCATCATTGTTGCATGTGGAGTCCCTTCTCATACATAATCATACATTACTAGTATAATAATCCAATTATCCAACTCTCCCAACAAAGAGGCTTCACAGATCAAACTGACCTCAGGTTTGAGCATTATTTACAAAAAGGTCAACCAGAAATTAATTGGAACGTCCAGTACCAGGAAGAATCAAGTCAATAAATTAACACAATAGAGTACTATGTAACCCTTTTAAAAAAGAACATTCTTATGACTATATAAATATTGTTCCCTGCAGAGGCAAAAAATGTGCCAGGATTATAGTTCTTTCTGTACAGTTCCAATGTCAACAGCAGAGTGCTACTCACAGGAAAACATTCCTAGTATCAAGGTCAGAGAGAAGCTTCTCCTTTCTAGCACTCTCCCAGTTGTTCAAAAGCAGGCGGTATCTTTCGTGCACTTCATATTTGAAACATGACATGCTTGTGATAATTTTTAATTTTTGTGATGTTTTCCTATTGCCTTCTCTATCGAGGAAAGAAACACAGCCCGTCTTCCCATAACCCTAGTATATTCCAGCTTGTTCACTCTGTCCATTGTCTGGAATCTGCTCCAGTCTCTGTCCTCAAGATATTATTCTTGGAGCCAGTAACTTCCACCTGTAATTTGGAGTGAATGCTTCTGAGGCCCATTCATAGCCATCTGTCCAGAAGTTCTTTTCACCAGACTCCCAGGAGCCATCAATTCTTTTTGCCCACTTCCCCACATCATGACCTCCTTCATAGTCTTCGCCATTGTTTTGCTGTTGTAGATCCTCAAGATGAGCGGGAGGTCAACTTTAAGTCCTTGCACATCAGGAATGGCCTTTACTTTCCCCCTTATACTTGATTGGTTTTGGCTGGATGTATCCTAGGGCTGCTGTACCAAATTCCCACAAACTTGGGGGCTTACATGACAGGAATTTATTTTCTCACAGCTCTGGAGGGCAGAAATCCGCAGTCAGTTGACTGGGCTGAAACCAAGGTGTCGCCAGGGCCATGCTGCCTCCAGAGGCTCTAGGGTTGGAAGCTCTAAGGAAGCATCCATTGCCCCACCTTTCCCAGCTTCTAGAGCTGCGTTCCTTGGCTCATGGCCTCCTCCTCCATCTTCAAAGCCTGCAGCAAAGCATCTTCAAAGCTCTCTGCAGAGATCCTCACATCCTCTTCTCTATTCTGTGTGTAGTAAAATCTCCCTCTGCTACTCTCTTCAGAACACTTGTGATTACACTGGGCCCTGGATAATGCAGGATAACCTCCCCATCTCAAAGTCCTTAACTTATCATATCTGCAAAGACCCTTTAACATATACGGTAACGTAGGTTCAGAAATGAGCATCTGATATATCTATGGGAGACATTTTTTAGCCTACCACTCTGGGGGTAAAACAATCTTTTTTTTTTTTTTTTTTAAGACACAAAGTCTTACTATGTTGCCCAGGCTAGATTCAAATTCTTGGGCTCAAGCAATCCTCTTACTTCAGCCTCCCTAGGAGCTGCGACTACCACAGCACTCAGCTTAAAACAATTGTTTTAAATGGCTTAAAAAAAATGATTTTCAGACGGGCATGGTGGCTCACACTTGTAATCCCAGCACTTTGGGAGGCCAAGGTGGGCAGATCACCTGAGGTCAGGAGTTCAAGACCAGGCTGGCCAACATGGGGAAACCCCATCTCTACAAAAAATACAAAAAATTAACCAGGTGTGGTGGCACACACCTGTAATCCCAGCTAGCTGAGGCACGAAAATCACTTGAACCCGGGAGGCGGAGGTTGCAGTGAGCCAAGATCGCACCACTGCACTCCAGCCTGGAGGACAGAGTGAGACTCCATCTCAAAAAAAACAGGTTTTCCCTCATGTGCCACTGTGCAGGCCTTGCTCCACTCTTCTCCTGTCATCTTATCTGATGAGAAGCTGCTTCTGCTGGCTCCTCCTCCCCTTCCGGACTCCTTGGTGCTGGAGCACGTCACACTTTCCCCCTTTCCCCACGCTGATCTGAGCTGATACCATGCTTCCAAATACCATCCGCCTACCCTGGATGCACGCCAGACCAAGGAAGACTTTATTCTAGAATGCCAACATCCACACTCCCAGTCTTGGCTCTGCCAGTGGAGTCCACTCGTCCCCCATCCCGCTGATATGCACAGTGTCCCTGTGGCAGGAGTATCACCTAGTATCACCTGAGACCTCCAATTAAAGCCCCAGCTTCAGCACCACTTCTCACTCCTGCCCTTGCTGGACCTGCAGACTCAGTTCAGAGGGTCTCTGGGGTTGTGCAGGGCAGACTGGTCAGCTACCCCAACTCCCTGTGGCCCCTCCACTCAGACTCTGGGCTCTGGTCTCCTCTGTGCTATATTTCTGACATTGCCTTTCCTCTACTAGCTTTCTATGGTCCAGAAATTTATTGTAATCTCTCAACTACTGATAATTCCCTCCCATTCATTTTGCTGTCCTGGGATTATACTTTTCATAATCTCCTTATTATCATTTTAATGGGTTCTGGGGAGAGAAGGTATAAATAAGCACAAGTGCTGAATCCTCCATCTTGAACATTAAGTTAATCTCATTCATTTTTCAGTTATAACTTGCATATGCTTAAAAGATAACAGATATTCTATTCTAAGCTCCTTGTCCAAGGGCTCCTATTGGTGGGAGGTTGGAGGTGGGCTTGGCACATTCAGATTTACATCCCAGCTTGTCACACCCACCCCACCTCCAACACTGAAAGACCTTCCTTGTATGAGCACCACTGCCCCTGACACAGATCTGCCAGGACACTTTAAGGAACTGGCAAACATATGTGGGGTTTCCTCTTTCCAGGATTTGTTTTAAAGCAAATGAGTTCCATGGCCTTCCCTATAATGCCAGACTACAGGCATTGAGGCATTAAGAGAATGCACAACTCTAAATCAAGAACACTTTTTGCAGGTTCTATCAGCCCAAGAGAACCTTTTTACTCAAAAGTAAAGCCTGCATGATACCTCCCTGCTTTACAAAGCCTCAAGTTTAAAAATAAACATGGGCATTTGAAGGAGCACAAAAATAGTTTGTGTCCACAGCTTTACATAGCCCAGCGGCACTAGGTATATGCTGGCTCGGAAGAAGCCGAGAGAGGCCACATTCAATAGAAAGTTAGCCCTTGTGAACCTCAAACGAGTGAGACACAAGTGAAGGGAGCCTTTTTTTATGCTTGATTCCCTTGTACTACACAGGGCCAACTGCACTCCATTCAAACCAACCACAGGTGTCCGCCTGTCCAGCTATTCATGAACAGGTTGTGAAGGCAGCCTTCTGAGCCAAAATCCAAGTCCTCACTCAGCCTTTGTCTCCACCTAACTTTGTCATCTCCTCCCTATCAATCCCTGCACCCAACCTACAGGCTTAACAGATGTCCCTGCTCACCCCATACCTGTGCTTTCCGAGGAGCTGTGCCTTCCTCCAGAATGCCCCCTGCTCATGTCACCCCTGCACTGAGCACACCACCCCCAGGTCAGAATCCTACCACCCTTCAGGGCAAAGTGCAAATTGGTCACCTCTTCCATCAGAGGCACGTGGCTCCAACACCAGACTGGGTTCTCTCCCTGGATACCAGCTCTCTCTATACCTCACTCGTGGCCGTCATATGTTATTCAGGCTCATCTTTGGGTAGCTAGAGATGTGTTCCCCCCAAATTGGGCTGCAAGTCCCCTTGGGTAGGGATCAGGTTTTCATTTCTGGGGCCCCTGTAGTGCCTTGATAAAAGAGGTGCTTGGGCCAGGCGCAGTGGCTCACACCTATAATCCCAACACTTTGGGAGGCTGAGGCAGGGGCATCACCTGACGTCAGGAGTTCGAGACGAGCCTGGCCAACATGGTGAAACCCCATCTCTACTAAAAATACAAAAAATTAGAGGGGTCTGGTGACACGTGCCTGCAGTCCCAGCTACTCAGGAGGCTGAGGCATGAGAATTGCTTGAACCTGGGAGGTGGAGGTTGCAGTGAGCTGAGATCACGCCATTGCACTCCAGCTTGAGTGACAGAGCAAGAGTCCGTCTCAAAAAAAAAAAAAAAAAAAGGTGCTTGATGTTGTGGCCAGAGGCTTTGAGTGAACCCCAGTCTCAGAGGGCTCAGAGTGACCAGCTCCTGCCTAGTGGGACCCTGTGTAATTCCAAAAAGCAAACAGCAGCTCTTTGTTGGACAGTACAGGGAGCTGAGAACATGCTCTACAGCAGAACCGCTAGATAATGTTCTCCTCCCATGCACGCATGCAAGTGTGCACATACCCACCCACACTCACGCAGGGTATGCTGAGGTACACTGACCCTCTCGGCTCCTGGCAGGGCCTGACAGCTGGAACCCTGGCTTATGGTTGATCTTACCATCAACCTCCTTCATTTTCCCCAGTCGGTTGTACAAGTGACCCTTCCCAATGCGCCCTGCCTGGTCTGAAAGAGGCTGTAAAGCACAGCTCTACCAGGGTAAATTTAAGGGTCATGACTACATCTTACGTGCCGTGTCTCAGCCAGAATTAAGACAGAGCTTGGCACCCAGGAAATGTGTCAACAAAGAGGTGAGAGAGAGGCGTGCAGACATAGAGAGACAGAGAAAGAGAGAACAAGAGGTGATGGGAGCAAGCACTCAGTAAAGTTCCTTGTACACTTCTTTGGGTTTGGAAAGAAAAGGTACGGAGTATTGGTAGGTCTTCAGCACACAGAAGTAAGCAGCTAACAGAAGACCGGCACATTCTCCCGTCACTCTGGAGTGCTTTGGCTGCTGTGTGGGTAACGGGTTAAGATCAATCAGATGTGGGGCTATGGTACTGGATCTTCTAGAGTTTATTCTCCCTTTGGAAAAGGTTCAATGCTTGACTTTTAGTAAAATGAGGCTGCCAGCAGGTGTCTAGACAGCTGGGGCCCATGTGTGCTGGCCCTTTTTTTTTTTTTTTTTTTGAGTCTGGCCCCAGAACAGCCCCTGCTTGTTCCCATGCACCAGGGACATGTCACTTGTCTTCTCCAAAGGGCCACATGGCTTGTGTGTGTAGACTTCTCCCGACTTCACTTTTATCTTCTTCAAGCTTCCATCCTCAGATTGACATGTTTCCATGCACATTTACATCTTAGGGCTTCAGGGCAATTCACAGTCTGCTCCTAAGAGATCTGTTTTCTAAACAGAAAATGCCTTTCCATGGTCATACGGCAATGCTTGCTAAGATCCGCTCCCCGCAATCTCAGCAGAACCTTGGAAAAGGTACTTCCTGGAGGTTCTAGTGCTTATTGATCACCTGTTGTGGGCTGGGCATCATGCTGGGCACTGACATACATCTCACCCAATTTTCCCAACAACCTTGAGAAATCGGCATCTATACTTTGTTTCACAGAGGAAAACAGAAAGGAAAAAAAGATTAAGTAACTTGTCCAAAGCCACACATAGCTACTCAGTGACAGTCACCTAAGCCCAACGTGATGCTCCAGGGTCCCTTTACTTTGTTCCATTGTGCATATCATCAGTTATTTCCCACACCTTTGTTCTACCCACTCTTCTCCCAGACCACCTCAGCCCTTTTCCTCTCCCCCTACCACTATGTTTAGGCTGAAGCCCTTGAGGTGCTCAGCTGATCTTGGGGTAAACAGGTTCATCCTTATCCATCCCTTACCAAAGCTGTCATCTCAGGCCTTAAGGAATGATTCAGAAATCCCAAGCCTCTCATCAATAGGATCTCCACAGCCTTTCCCAAAGTCCCACTCAGGAGAAAGCCCAAAAATACTCCTTAAGTTCCCAAAACCTTCAGGTTCCAGCCCAAGGTTTCACAGCCCCTGCAGGTGCCTCTCACGCCTGTTTAGACCATGTTCATCAACCAGCCATGGGGTCAGTAAGATGGGGCATTAGGCAGGACCTGGTGCCTCAACAGCCAGCCCCCTGGGTGGCCACACAGAACCTCCATGTGGTCCCCTGGGTCTCTCTGTAGCCACCAGCTACCACAACAGGTCTCTTCCTCCCATGATAGCAGCCTGAACTGCCTAGGACCATGTGTGTCAGTTTCAGAGGGTGGCATGCATAAAATGAGGATTCTAGATGGGCTGGAGTTAGTTTGCACTACCTTGGGAAATCCTCTTTCTCTCAAGCTCCTTGTCCACATTCAGCCCCCAGAACTGTTCAGAGAAATTTCCCTTTGGCTGTGTAACCCTTAAGAGTTCCTTCTTCCCTTTGACCTCCTCTAGCCCAACCCACCACCCTCTCAAATGTCACTTCCTCAGGGAAGCCTTCCCAGCCCCTCCATACCAGGTTAGATACCTATTATTTGCTTTCATGGCACCCCATAATTCTCCTTCAGAACATTTTCACAGCTGGACCACTAGGCTCCTCATTGCCCCTTCTAGATAATTCTCTTCCCCCTCCCTAAAATTCCCCAGCCCTGAATCTCCTATCATCAGACTCTGTCAACCACCAACCCCCATGATACTCCCCCTCATTTCTCAATGATTTTAGCTCTAGATCACAGTCCCTCTCTCCTACACTAATCTTGTCTTGATTCTTTGTGATTTCAATACACACATAGATGGTTCTTCCAGCTGGGCTCAGTTCTTGACCTTCTCTTCTCTTGCCTCTCCAACTCCCTGTCATAACCTTTCATTACCAGTAAGTCCAACCCATCTATAATCTTCATGTCATATATCCCACTCCCTGACACTGACACACACTGTCCCAGTCCACACGGGCTGCTATCACAAAATACGAGAGGCTGCGTATAGCTTATAAACAACAGAAATTTATTTCTCACAGTTCTGATGAGAGGTCCAAAGTCAAGGTGCCAGTAGATTTGGTGTCTGGTGAGGGCACACTTTCTGACTCACAGATGGCATACTCTCACTGTATCCTCATGTGATGGAAGCAGCAAGGCAGCTCTCTCAGGCCTCTTTTATAAGGACCGCTTTAGTTTGTCTGTCCCCTCCAAAACTCATGTTGAAATTTAATTTCGACCAGGTGGGGTGGCTTACACTTGTAATCCCAGCACTTTTGGAGGCCGAGGCAGGCAGATCATCTGAGCTTAGGAGTTTGAGACCAGCCTGGCCAACATGGTGAAACCTCGTCTCTACTAAAAATACAAAAATTAGCTGGGCGTGTTGGCACACACCTGTAATCCCAGCTACTCAGGAGGCTGAGGCAGGAGAATCACTTGAGCCCAGAAGGTGGAGGTTGCAGTGAGCTGAGATTGTGCCACTGCACTCCAGCCTGGGCAACACAGCAAGACTGTCTTCAAAAAGAAAGAAAGAAAGAAATGTAATTGCCATTGTAACAGTATTAAGAGGTGGAGCCTTGAAGAGGTGATCAGACCATGAGGGCTTCACCCTCATGGGGAGGATTGATGCCATTATACAAGGGTGAGTTCCACCCTTTTTTCTCTCTCTTTGCCCTTTCATTATGTGATGACAAGCAAGACCCTCCCCAAATGCCTGCACCTTGATACTAAACTACCCAGCCTCCAGAATGGTAAGCCAGTAAATTTCTGTTCATTACAAATTACCCAGACTGTAGTATTCTGTTACAGCAGCACAAAATGGACTAAGACAGGAACTAATCCCTTTAATGAGGGCTCTACTCCTATGACCTAATCACCCCAACAAAGTCCCCACCTCCTAATACCATCACATTCATGATTTGATTTCAACATATGAATCCGTGGGGGACACAAACATTCAGGCTCTAGCACATATGATGCCACTCCCAGCCCAGCCCATACTCCCAGTCATCGACACCTGCCTCTGTTGTGTCCCACAACACTTACCACCTTCTAACATGCCATGAAATTTACTTATTTGTTGTTTTCATTTAATGCATGTCTCATTAAAATGTAAGCTTCAAAAGGCAAGAATTCTTGTCTGTCTGGTTCATGGATATCATCACTCCCATGAACAGTGCCTAGCCTACACTAGATACTTAACAAATACTCACTGAATGAGTGAATTATAATTGAGGAATTACTTTTGTAATAATTACTCACCTCTTACCTAGGACGGAGGAGCTTGAAACTCCCAATTTCTATAGCGATAAAGTGTTGCTTGATTGGGAAACCAGTCCTGGAAACCACACTGCAATTTATATATTTTATATTCCATAATTGAGTAATTATTTTTATAATATTCAATTCCCATGTTCCTTGCTATACTGTAAGCTCTACAAGGACAGGGGCAAGTACTCAGTAAATATTAGTTAACTGCGTGAATGGAGGAGCAAAGTTAGGATGTAAGAAGTGCACTGCTGGCTGGGCGCAGTGGCTCACGCCTGTAATCCCAGCACTTTGGGAGGCCAAGGTGGGTGGATCACGTGAAGTCAGGAGTTCAAGATCAGCCTAACCAACATGGTAAAACCCCATCTCTACTAAATACAAAAAATTAGCCGGGCATAGTAGTGCATGCCTGTAATCCCAGCTACTTCGGAGGCTGAGGAAGGAGAATTGATTGAAACCGGGAGGCGGAAGTTGCAGTGAGCTGAGATTGTGCCATTGTGCATTCCAGCCTGGACAACAAGAGCAAAAACTCCGTCTCAAAAAAAAAAAAAAAAAAAAAAGTGCACCGCTAGGCTACTTCTGCCCCTCCACGGCAGCATGACTGCCCATGTGGGATGACTGCGGGCCCGGCCCAACTCTGTATCCTCTCAACCACTATAGTATTGGCAGTGGTTTCTCTGCTAGAAATGCACTGCTGGCCTAAAGACCAGCCAGAAGTACACTACTGGGCTAAATCTATTGTGTGCAAGGGTAACCTCCACCTGGACTGCTTGGACGCAGCTCTCTTCCCACTGGCGGCCACCGCAACACAGGTAACCTAAATAAAGCTGTTGATTCTGATAACCCCAAGCACAAAACATTGGAAGCCTTTAGAACATGAGAGGTCTGAGCACATAGACTGGTTTCTGTTTCCGCCATGCAAATATTTAATTGCATGGATGTAGGGGGAAATGGACTTTACCTGTTACCAAGAACAGTTCCAAAGACTTCCTAAAAATTTTCATTCTAAAACCAGATTACCTACTCCAGCTCTCTTTTGGTTAGAAAACAAAAGCAAATAAAAAATAAAAACAGATTACCTAGAAGACTGCAACCATGAATAACCAGCAATAAATACTTAACAAGATCCTATCTAGGTTCAGATCATAATTTTAGACTGTAACTTCTTCATCAAGCTGCATTCGTTATTCACTAGGTTAGTTTAGCCTTTAATGGGTAGACTTGCTCCAAGAAAAAGGGCATATAAATAAATTAAACAACCGATTTTTGTAAGATGCATAAAGAACCAAATTTCACTTCTCAAAGTCAGTCTCACCTCTCACCTAGGATAGAGGAGCTTGAAACTCCCAACTTCTATGGAGATAAAGTGCTGTTTGATTTGAGAAACCAGTCCCGAAAACCACATCACCTTCCCTCTCACATTCCCAACAGATGAATCCTATTACAGCCAGGAGAGCCCCATCTACAAAAAAACAGCTGTAACAACTGGCAAAAAAATAAAAACTAAAAAAAAAAAAAAAAAAAAGCTGTCATGCATCTTTGAGACAATCAACAATGCAGACGACCATCTAAAGTGTGAATCATTGCTGGGTATGGAAAAGATTCTGATTCAAGGCCAAAAAGAGGGTGAGCAATGTGGGCTTTGGGGAGCTTACAACCCTGCTGTGTGTCAAGATTAGTATCAATACAGCCGATCATAGACCCAGCCTAACAGGCTTAACTTATTTGAGATTTAGATTCCTACCACGTAATCTGAATAATGCCTTCATAGAAGTGATCGTAATATACAATCCAACAGGATCAAAGAACTAAATCATTCTGAGAAACTCTGCTGAAACCTGAGAAAAAGGACCAGGGAGAAGCTGGGAGATAGATGGATGAGAAAGGGAAGACAAGGAAAACGGCTTAGCAGGTTCTGAGCAAAAGAAATCCATAGGAGGCCAGGCACGGTGGCTCACGCCCGTAATCCCAGCACTTTGGGAGGTCAAGGCGGGTGGAACACCTGAGGTCAGGAGTTCAAGACCAGCCTGCCCAACATGGAGAAACCCCGTCTCTACTAAAAATACAAAAATTAGCCAGGTGTAGTGGTACACACCTGTAATCCCAGCTACTTGGGAGGCTGAGGCAAGAGAATCACTTGAACCCAGGAGGCGGAGATTGCAGTGAGCCGAGATCGCGTCACTGCACACTCCAGCCTGGGTGACAGAGTGAGACTATCAAAAAAAAAAAAAAAAAAAAAATCAAAGGAAGCCTCGGCTACTAGCCTCCACCCTGTTACAGGTATGCTAACACAGTTTTGTTGTTTTTTTTTTGAGACGGAGTTTCGCTCTTGTTGCCCAGGCTGAAGTGTAGGGGCAGGATCTTGGCTCACCTCAACCTCCGCCTGCTGGGCTCAAGTGATTCTCCTACCTCAGCCTCCCGAGTAGCTGGGATTACAGGCATGTGCCACCACGCCTGGCTAATTTTGTATTTTTAGTAGAGATGGGGCTTCTCCATGTTGGTCAGGCTGGTCTTGAACTCCGACCTCCAGTGATCCGTCCGCCTCGGCCTCCCAAAGTGCTGGGATTACAGGCGTGAGCCACCACGCCCGGCCTAACACAGCTTTTCTGAGGCACATCTCTGCTTTTGGTTTTAGACTTCAAGTTGTACTCTTGAAATAAAGGCTGTTTTTCTCATGGAACTATAAAAGTCTCACAAAATGTGACCCTCTGGGTGACTTCCCTCAGGGTCGGACCACACACATAACCACCAACTTCACTCTGTGTGCTGGCTGTGTGACCTTAACCAAGTCACTCCACCTCTCTCAACTCTAGTTTATCCATAAAATGTGAAGCTCAAATGAAATACCGTATAAAGGGAGTCAATAAGTATTAGTTACCCCGGCAGAACTCACTCTTCCACAGAAACCATGTAAGATACCACAAGGACCGCCTGGCATGACCTGACGTCTGTACAGCATGCCATCCTGCAGCCTCAGAGGTAAGCGTCCGGTGCAATCACAGAGTGCACAGACAGCCAGGAAGCAGCTCTGAGATGCCATCACTGCCCCTGAAGGGAGGGTCTTCTGCCTGAAGATAAAGTAGCCTTTTCCCTGCACAGATTCTCCAGAAGTTTCCACCAAGTGTACAGAGAAACCACTGCCAATACTATAGTTGTTGGGAGGATACAGACTTGGGCCTGGCCCACAGTCATCCCACATGGACAGTCATGTGGCAGTGGAGGGGCAAATTAAGGCCAGCTAAGAATTCACTGTTTGTCTGATACAAACAGCTGATGGATGCAGCTTTTCAGCAGAAAACTTGCATTCTGGCTGGGTGTGGTGGCTCATGCCTGTAATCCAAGAACTTTGGGAGGCCGAGGAGGGTAGATCACTTGAGGTCTGGAGTTTGAGACCAGCCTGGCCAACATAATGAAACCCCGTCTCTACTAAAAATACCAAAGTTAGTCGGGTGTGGTGGCGGGCACCTGTAATCCCAGCTACTTGGGGGGGCTGAGGCAGGAGACTCACTTGAACCCGGGAGGCGGAGGTTGCAGTGTGCCCTGTGCACCTCCTGCCCTGTGCACACCCCGCCTATGAGAGGTGCTCTTGGGCTCCCTCAGTTGCCCATACAGAGCCAAGATCTAGCCACTGCACTCTAGCCTGGACGACAGAACAAGACACTGTATCAAAAAAAAAAAAAAAGCTTGCATTCTACCACATGCCACCTTCATCCTCTTTTATGACATTTCCAGGGTTATGCCAATTTCACCAAATGCCTAAAAGGCAGTATTTGAAGCTGTACCAATTTTTGCTATGAGGACAACTTCGTCCAGCACCCACAGAGCTCTGCCCTTGAGAGACAGGCCCCCTGGGGCCACAGTGTGACCAGCCTGGGCTGACACTGCCATTCTTAGTGTACTCCACTTAATTATTTAAGGCATGAGGCATTGTTTCCTTCTCAAGGCAAAGCTTTCAGAACATTTAAAATTCATGGGAGAAGCCAAGGAGTAGCTTTTTTTAGCTCCCTCCCTTGAAGCCAGTGATATGGCTTTCAATCAGGCTGTGGGATTCCAATTCCAGTTTTTCAGAATATTTCATCCTTGGTGAAGCATGCCTGCTTTAAAAAAAAAAAAAAAAAAAAGGCCAGGTGCGGTGGCTCATGCCTATAATCCCAGCACTTTGGGAGGCCGAGGCAGGCAGATCACGAGGTCAGGAGATCGAGACCATCCTGGCTAACACGGTGAAACCCCGTCTCTACTAAAAATACAAAAAATTAGTTGGGTGTGGTGGCATGCACCTGTAGTCCCAGCTACTCAGAAGACTGACGCAGGAGAATCGCTTGAACCCAAAAGGCAGAGGTTGCCATGAGCCGAGATCGCGCCACTGCACTCCAGCATGGGCGACAGAGCGAGACTCCGTCTCAAAAAACAAAACAAAACAAAACAAAACAAAACTGACAGAAGAAAAAGAGAGGACACTCTCACAAAGTCAAACTCAATTAACCAGCAGTTCTGTCTCACAGGAGTCACTTTAAATTTACTGAATCTGATTCTGTTAGTGCCAAAGAAAGACAGGAGCCCTAACCATCACTAGGAACACACTGGGTGAGGGGAAGACAGGACTTTCTACTACGAGATAAAGCTGTGCTCAAACCCAGGCCTGGGGGGCCTAATTCAGCACTCTTCTCACCCAACTCCATCCATATTATGGAAGACAGCCCAATGCTAGAGACCATCTAGGTGGGCAAGCAAAGGCCTATGCAGGAGAGCTCATTCCCGAGTAAGATGTAGGGAAGAGGGCCGGGCGTGGTGGCTCACGCCTGTAATCCCAGCACTTTGGGAGGCCAAGGAAGGTGGATCACTTGAGGTCAGGAGTTTGCGACTAGCATGGCCAACATGGCAAAACCCTGTCTCTGCTAAAATCACAAAAATCAGCCAGGCATGGTGGTGCGCACCTGTAGTCCCAGCTACTTGGGAGGCTCAGGCAGGAGAATCGCTTGAACCTGGGAGCTGGAGGTTGCAGTGAGCCAAGATCACACCACTGCACTCCAGCCTGAGCCTGGGCAACACAGCAAGACTCTGTCTCAAAAAAAAAAAAGAAAAAAGAAAAAAAAAGACCTGGGGAAGAGCTACCCACCACACCCCAAGGCAATGCCATACGGAACAGTATTCTCACACCACAGAGGAGTAATTGAGGCCCCAAGACAAGCTGATGGTGCACTCCCTAAGATGAGAATTAATGCGCTGCCTCCTGAGCCACACCCCTGAGCCTCCACAAGGGCTTCATCACTCCCGCAAAGCTCGGCCCTCAAGACACTCTCTCTGAGGATGAGGAAAACCCAGCAATGTTCAAAGCTGTTTACTCCTCAGAACAAGGTTTGGACAAAGCTTTTGGCGGCATCACAGGCCTTCTCCTCCTGCCTCCTGCCCTGTGCACACCCCAACTGTGAGAGGTGCTCTTAGGCTCCCTCAGATGCCCACACAGAGCCAAAGCTGGGCTCCCTCCCACCGATCTGAACCCCACTGGGTGGGTCCACATAGAGCAAGCTCCCCACCACAAACGGCAGCTGGTAATCTACAGGGGGGCGGCTCTCTCCTCCCCGTGCCCTCACTGTCAGCTCAAGTTGTCCCTTCTCTAGGCTAAGTATGCCCAAGTCCTTTAAACAGGTGGTGCTAATCTCCTTTGGATCAAGGACCCCTTTGAAAATCTGATAAAAAAAAAAAAAACTATGGACACCCTCCCCAGACAAGCACACACTTATCTACAACTCTCCATAGGATGGGCAGGGGTGTTCAGAGACCCCACATCCCACATTAAGAACCCTTCCTTGAGATGAGGTCTTGCTCTGTCATCCAGGATGGAGTGCAGTGGTGCAATCATGGCTCACTGCAGCCTCGACCTCCTGGGCTCAAGGAATTCTGCTGTCTCAGCCTCCTGAGTAGCTGGGACTACAGGTGCATGCCACCACACCCAGCTAATAAAAAAAGAAACAACAACACAAAAAATGACTGGTAGGGAAGAGGTCTCACTACATCACCCCAGGCTGATCTCGAACTTGTGGCTTCAAGCAATCCTCCCACCTCAGCCTCCCAAAGTGCTAGGTTTACAGGTGTGAGCCACTGCACCCAGCCAAGAACCCCACCTTCTCATCATTCTCACAGAAACATGCCCAGACCCCTCCTGCTCTGCATTCTCTCCTCCAAATGTCCTTCCATACATCTATACTTAGGGGACCTCTGGTGCCCAGAACCAAACGCAGGGTTCTAGATGGGAGCGGGGCAGGCCCACTGCCTCCTTTCCTACAGTGCTTTCACACTTCACTAAGGTCTTCAGAGTTTGAGGCAGCATCCTGGCAACCACATCACCAGGGCTGACTCACAGGGAGCTCACCTTCCACTCGAAATCCCCAAGTCTCTCTCACACTCACGAAAGACCCGCCCCACTCCCCATGCCCAAGACATGAATAGGTGCCATCACTCTACCTTGGGAAGGGGTGGACACCACACTTCCCTGCCACCCAGCAACACGCAGAGTTCTCCCTGCCCTGGATGTTCCCAAATCTGAGCCGGTCCTTCCCGCTCCCTATCCTCCCACACTCACAGGAAATCCTTCTGGAAATCAGCAGGCCTCAGCATCCCTGGCCAGAACACTCTCTTCACTTTCATGCCTTACTGGAAACCAGTGAGTCCCTGAGAGCAACACTCCCCACCGCCCCCCACATATGCAGAACAGAAAGGGAGGGGGAAGGGTATCCTGGTGGCCCCCATCATGCAGTCCCTCTGTGCCCTGGAGGCGAGGTCATTCAGCCACCTGTTCCCACCCACCTTCGCCTGCCTCCACGTTACTTTCTGCCACCCACCAAGGGCTTCAGCTCCTGGCCCAGCCTCCTCTTCCGCCCACCACCTGTCACCATCCACAGAGATAACCCTCAACACCCTGGACTCAGTTCCTCAGCCTCTTCCACTCCAATGCCTCCTTCCCCATGCTCCTTTAGTGACCCTCACCCACAGCCATACCCTGGAATCCTCCATCACCTTAAAACATGAGCTGCAGATCCCTTGCTTCCCGCCCACACCACCCATCCTCCCAGTTCCCCGCACATGCATTTCCCATCTCGCAGAGACCTCCAGGCCACTGATTTACTTCCCCACTCCACCAGCCACCTCCCGGCCTCCCTTTCTTCCTGGGAGGGCCCATGTCCATCCCATGGTCTCTCATGGTTACCAATCCCCGGTGGATCCTGCCCCCCTGCCTGGCCGAACCCCAGCCTGATGCCTTCTGCCACCTGCTTCCTCCACACCCACACCCACGCCACTGGGCAAGGTCAAAACAGGGTGGACAAGTTTCACTTTAAATTCATGTTCTCTGACCTCAAACTGTCACTCTGCAGTGGCCGACAGGCCTGTGTTTCTCTGGTAGCCTTGCCGCCCACTCCCGGAAAACAATTTCACATCACCTTCTCCTCCAGCTTCCCACACCCTGTCCCCCACTCACGCTCTCTGCTGACGACCCTGCCTCATACTTCAGATGGAAAAGAAGAGCCACAGATGGGAACTCTGTCTTCCCACCACACCAATCCCGCCTGCATCTCTGTCATGGTGGCCTCCTTCCCTGGGGCTCTGAACCACAGCCTCTCATCTTCTCAAGGCCTGGGCTCCTCTGCCCCCCGCCTTCAACTGGCAGCGCTCCCCTCACACCTCGCCTGCTGCATCTCCTGCCTTCAATGCTTCCCTCCGCACCTGCGCCCTCTCATGTATGGTCCTATTTCTCTGCTCCCTTAACAGTCAACTTCTTCAAAATGTGGTCCACATAACCCTGCTCCCCAGCCTCGCACTCACCTTCCAACCCACCTGGCTCCTGGACCCATCTCAGCAGTGCTCAAACCAATGCCCAAACTCTCCTGCTTAGGACACTTCTCCACTGGCCACCCTGAGGCCACCACACCTCACTGGCCACTCCTCCTCTATCTTCTCTGCTGGCTCTTCCTCCTCTATGGCCACCTAAAGGATGGGTGTTACACACTCAATCCTGAGCCCTCTCCTTCTCTGCCTGCCCTCCCTCCCTGGGTGACCTCACTAGCCTTCTCCCAGCTGACCTCTCGGCTAAGCCACAGATTCATACAATTACCTACCTCCTCCCCAGCTCCACCTCCACTCACCCCCTCAACCTGAACCTGTTGATACTGAATTTGACTCCCACACCCCCATCCTAACTTGCTCCTCTTCCAGACTTCCCTACATCTCCTAGTGGCATAACCTAAAACCCAAAGGGGCCTTCTTTATTCTCTCCCTCTCCCTCATCCCTTATGCCATATCTCATCCATCTGAAGGTTCTTACAAATCCATCTGCAAGCCTTCTGTAGAACCCACCCACTTCTGTCTCCTCTGTGACCTTCTCAGCCTCAGCCAGCAACCACTTTGACCTGGAGACCTTCGATGGGTCTCCTTGCTTCCTTCAACTGTTGTCCCCTTCCACTGCATCCCCCACAGAGCAGAAGTGTGCTCTTCTTAAATCTGAAGAAGGATCATGCTGCAGCCCTGCTAAAACCTTTCACTTTTATTGAATCATACTGCCCATCAAATAAAACCGCCAGTCCATGCCTCAGCTCAATTTCGTCCTCGCATACGTCTTTCTCCAATCTGAGACAGGGTGCCCTCCCCTCACTTGCTGCAATCCTGCCCTGCTGGTCTGACTTCAGTCTCTCAAACATTCCAGACATCCCCCTCCTACTTGCAGTCTTTGCACCTGCTCTTTCCTCCACCTAGAACGCTCTGCTCCCTTTCTGCACATGCGGTAGCAGCCTAAATGTCACCACCTCTTCAGAGGGGCATCTCACAACCACACATTCTAAAGTCGGTCTCAGCCCTTGCTTTTTTCCCTCTGGCACTAAGCACAACCTGCAGTTATTTTATTTGTGGATCCATTTACAGGTTGTGTTTTCAGGGGAGGGGCCAGGGACAGGTGGAGCTGTCTCCCTCACTAGAATGTAAATTCCACACAGAGAGGGATGGTGTCTGTTTTGCTCACCATTGATTACATGTTGAAATGATACTATTTTTGGTATATTGGATTAAAATTTTAATTTCACTTGTTTCTTGTCAATCTTTTAATGTGGATACTGGAAAACTTAAAATTACATACATGGTTCTCCTATTTCTTTTTTTTGTTTGTTTTTGAGACAGACTCTTGCTCTGTCACCCAGACTGGACTGCAGTGGCGTGATCTCAGCTCGCTGCAACCTCCGTCTCCCAGGTTCAAGCGATCCTCCCACCTCAACCTCACAAGTAGCTGGGACTGTAGGTGCATGCCACCATGCCTAGCTAATTTTTGTATTTTTTTTTTTTTGAGATGGGGTTTCTCCATGAACTCCTGAGCTCAAGTGATCTGCCTGCCTCTGCCTCCCAAAGTGTGTGAGGTGTGAGCCACCATGCCTGGCCAGCTCTCCTATTTCTATTAGACAGAGCTGGTCTGGAAGGCAAGGGTGGGGGAGTCACAGATTATAACAGATTATAACTTCATATTATAATTAAATGTTTTATGTGCTAAACAATATAGAGGGGCCTGGACCAAAAATATTCAGGGTACACACAAGACTATTAGGTTGGGTTAGGTTATAGCAGGCTTGAAATATCCAAGTAATGAGGATGAAGTCATGAATCATCACTACTTAGCTCATGTCAAATATCCATGACATGTGCACATTTGAAGGCCAACACTGGGATGACAGAGGATGTGTTTCAACATAGTCATACAGCAAATATCCTGCTGCCCCTCCCAACGCCAATGGGTTCCCAGGCCACTGTGAATGACATACAGTCTAGACATTCTTCTCTGCATAAGACTTCATGCTCTCACCTTCAGCTTTCCCCTTCTCAAACTTAGTGAATGAGACTCAGTGACAGAAACTTGGATTTTGTTATGGTTTGGTTTCTCTGACTCTGGGCTGCTGCTGGACTGAGTGGGCTGAGGGACAGTGATGTGCAGAAGCAATCAGCCCATATTCCCTGAGTTCCATGAGACACACGTTAAGTCAGAGAGTTGGGAGGGACACAGATAAGCTGCCCTCACACTGCCTCTGCCCTCCAGGTCAGCACATTAATGTTCGTTCCCTCCAAGACATTATCCGCTCCCATGGAGCAAGAAAATCCACTTCTCACAGAGGTTAATAAACTTACAGATCTCATTACTCAAAGAGGTCATGCTGGTGAGAATTTTAATGCATTTTTCAGAAAGGGTCTGGAAGAATTAACAACAGAACAATGACTGGCAACTCAGAGAAGTGAGGGCAAAGAGGTGACCAATGGAGACAGAGCAGGCTCCCCCTCCTCCCACATGGTGTGCCCAGGGCTGTGGATGGCAAAGCACTCCGAGTCCGATCAGGGTGGCTGTCCCTGTGCACCCACCTTCTGGGTCTGGGACTGCTTGCATCTGTTCTTACTCCCTGGTTGCTTGGCATGTTGGCACACCATCTACCAGTGGCCACTGGCAGCTTTACAAAGTCACAGTCTTCAATCTTCAACCGGTCCCTGAAGGCTGTTCTCTAGTCAGTATTTGCTTCAGCTCACTCCTCGCCCCAACCCTACAACCAGCTTTATCAACCCATTTTCCTTCTTGATCTACCCTCCGGTTCTCAGATCAATCCCTTATCTCACACAGAGAAGAAAATGCCAGCTCAGCTGGGCATGGTGGCTCATGCCTGTAATCCCAGCACTTTGGGAGGCTGAGGTGGGTGGATCACCTGAAGTCAGGAGTTTGAGACCAGCCTGGCCAACATGGCGAAACCCCGTCTCTACTGAAAAAACACAAAAATTAACCGGGCGTGGTGGTACACACCTGTAATCCCAGCTACTCAGGAGGCTGAGACAGGAGAATTGCTTGAACCCAGGAGGCAGAGGTTGCAGTAAGTTGAGATCGCGCCACTGCACTCCAGCCTGGGCGACAGAGCAAGACACCGTCCCCCGCAAAAAAAGAAAATGCCAGCTGATCAAGCTCCTATGCCCCTCTTCTGGCCACAGCCTCAAAATGCCTCTATACCTGCACCTTGCCTGGTCTCTGAGGACGATGCACTCCTCTTCAGGTCTTCCTCTAGTTGCCGCCTGCCTCCAACCTTACTGCCTCTCATCCTTCTCTAAGATATTCAATCTCCCCTTTTCTTTACCCTCAGACTCCCAACATCCTCAACTTATGAAACAAACATCAATGGTCCTTCTACCCTGACTCACTTTCAAGCTACCTTCATCATCAGCTAGACTTCTCCACCCGCTCCTCACATACTCACTTATTAAATGCATTTTGCCTGCAAATGGATTTGTGTTTTCACATTTGGCTGAGGCTGCTCTCAAACTCCCTCAGTGCCCTAACACTCCCACTCCCACAGGGAGTCTCAGTCTCAGTCTCCCGCCTCCTCTAAGCTTTCTGAGGCCTCTGACCCTGTTGAAGATGCTCCCCTTTTCAGCCTCCTCTCCCCTGGCTTCTGCAACCCCTCTCTCCTCCAGCCTTCCTCTGAGTCTCATCACCTCTCAGGCTCATTCACCGGCTTCTTTTCCTTCCCTCCAGTTGCAGGCCTTGGCCAGAGTTCCATCTTTATCCTTCTTGACTTTCTTTCTCCTTAGAAGGTCAAATCCATCTTAGAGGTGATGGCTCCCAAATCTGTATCTCTGACTCTATCTGAACTGTTGAGTGTTAGAGCTGAATTTATACTTGCTATGGATAGCCTGGACAAGTGAAAAGTCACCATATCCGCCCAAAACTAAACTCTCATTTTCCCCAAAAGAACTGCATCTCCTCTTACGTTCCCAATCTCAGTCAACATCACCACTATCAGCCGCACAGCCTAGAAACATACACGTCAATGGTAATTCAGCCTCTTGCATTCTCTCATCCTAACAACCAAGAGTGGAGTCCATCCACCACATGACTCTCATGGGAGCTTTGGTCTCCAGAAAGTGCATCTTAAGAACAGGAATTTTGGCCGGGCACGGTGGCTCACGCCTGTAATCCCAGCACTTTGGGAGGGCAAGGTGGGCGGATCACTTGTGGCTAGAAGTTCGAGACCAGCCTGGCCAACATGGCAAAACCCCGTCTCTACTAAAAATACAAAAAAAATTAGCCAGGTGTCGTGGTGCAAACCTGTAGTCCCAACTACTTGGGGGGCTGAGGCAGGAAGATCGCTTGAACCTGGGAGGCAGAGGTTTCAGTGAGCCGAGACTGCACCACTGCACTGCAGCCTGGGTGAAAGAGCAAGACTCTATCTCAACAACAACAAAAAAAAGAACATGAATTTTGCTCTCAGATATGCTCAAGCTTGGTTTCCAACTCTGCCATGTCCTGACTGACAGCTTTGGTAGGCTACTGAATCTCTTAAGCCCAGTCTCTTCAACTGTGAAAATGGGGAGGTTGTCCAAATGTCCATCAATGATAGACTGGACTAAGAAAATGTGGCACATATACACCATGGAATACTACGCAGCAATAAAAAAGGATGAGTTCATGTCCTTTGTAGGGACATGAATGAAGCTAAAAACCATCATTCTGAGCAAACTGTCGCAAGGACAGAAAACCAAACACCGCATGTTCTCACTCATAAGTGGGAATTGAACAATGAGAACACCTGGAGACAGGGTGGGGAACATCACACACCGAGGCCTGTCGTGGGGTCGGGGGAGTGGGGAGGGAATAGCATTAGGAGATATACCTAATGTAAATGACGAGTTAATGGGTGCAGCACACCAACATGGCACATGTATACATATGTAACAAAGCTGCACATTGTGCACATGTACCCTAGAACTTAAAGTATAATAAAAAAAAGAAAAAGAAAATGGGGAGGTTGTTGTGAGAGTTAAATGAGATATTGCATAGACAGCACTCTGCATAGTGACTCCAACCTACCAAGTTCTCATTAAATGATAGCTTAATTGTGTCCTCATTTAACAACTATATATGAAAGACCTGCAAGGCGGGAGGATTGCTCAGGAGATCAAGACCAGCCTGAGCAACATAGTGCAACCCTATCTCTACAAAACATAAAAAATTAGCTGTGCATGGGCTGGGCGTGGTGGGTCACGCCTGTAATCCCAGCACTTTGGGAGGCCAAGGCGGGCGGATCACGAGGTCAGGAGATCGAGACCATCCTGGCTAACACAGTGAAACCCCATCTCTACTAAAAATACAAAAAATTAGCCTGGTGCCTGGCTGGTGCCTGTAGTCCCAGCTACTCAGGAGGCTGAGGCAGGAGAATGGCGTGAACCTGAGAGGTGGAGCTTGCAGTGAGCTGAGATGCACTCTAGCCTGGGTGACAGAAGGAGACTCTGTCTTAAAAAAAAAAATTAGCTGTGTATGGTGGCATGTGCCTGCGGCCCCAGCTACTCAGGAGGTTGAGGTGGGAGGATCGCTTGTGCCCAGAGGTTGAGGCTGCAGTGAGCTATGATTGCACTGCACTGGAGTGTACTCCCTGAGTGACAGAGCAAGACCCTGTTCCAAAAAAAAAAAAATCTAACTCTCACCCCCAGTGAGAAGTCTGGAATCTTCCATATGTTTTCCTCTTTTACAGTATTACATATAACCCTAGAAGCTGCCTCAGATCCATTACAGAGCAAGGCAAGGTTTACATTATATAAATCTGCTATATCAGCTTTCTCTCTCTATCCCTTCAGTTCTTGCCTGGAGTGTGACCAGTTCCTATGAGGTCTCTTTCCTTCCAATCTCCATACTACCCTTCATTACTATCTCTAAAATAATTTTCCTGGCTGGGTACAGTGGCTCACACCTGTAATCCCAGCACTTTGGGAGGCCGAAGCAGGCAGATCACTTCAGATCAGGAGTTCAAGACCAGCCTGACCAACATGATGAAACCCCCTCTATACTAAAAATACAAAAATTAGCCGGTTGTGGTGGTACACACCTGTAATCCCAGCTACTCGGGAGGCTGAGGCGCAAGAATCGCTTGAACCGGGAGGCAGAGGCTGCGGTGAGCCAAGTTCACACCACTGCACTCTAGCCTGGGCGACAGAGTGAGAGTCTGTCTCAAAAAAAAAAAAAAAAAAAAAAAAATCCTAAAACAAGCATTATTCTTCTCTTCAAAACTGAAAATGTTCCCTTACTGCCTACAGACTGAAGTCCATACAGTATAGTGCGCTCCTGCCACCCACCCCAAGTCACCTCTTCCTCTCCAAGCCCACTGCTTGATGCCCAGGTCAGGCCTCATTCTTCAACACCAGGACAAGCTGCTCCCCTGACCTCCAGCCTCACCTATGGCTGGCTCCCTGCCACTCACAGGATTAACTCCCAACACCTTAGCCCAAAGCTCTCTCCTTCATGCCTATACCTTCCCAAGCCTTTCTCCACATTCACCTTCTACTCCACATTCTTTTCCATCTCCATGCCTATTATTAATAGCTAATGTAAATCAACATGTGTGTTTCATTCAATCCTTACAACAACCCTACAACATTGGTATAATACTATTATTATTCTCATTTCACAGATGAAGAAATGGAAGCTCAAAGAAGGTCAGCACATTGCTCCAGTCACACAGGCAGTGAATGGCCAGGCAAAGACTGGGTCCAAGGTCCCTGTTCTTGACCCGCATACTTCACTACTTCCCTTAGGCAACACTCTCTGCCTAAATGCCCTGTTCCTCATTTTGTCTGCCTGAGAAACCCCTCTTTATCCTTCAAGATTTAGCTTGGATGTCACCTCCTTCAGGAAGCCTTCTCTAACTTCGTACAGAGTTAAGCATCTATCTACGTTCATATTTCAATAACAGGCTTATTTCATTGCCCTAATTACCTGCTCACCAGCCATCTCCCTCAGGAAGGCAGGGACTCTGTCTTACGACCTGTCTTCCTGGTGTCTAGCCCAGAGAAGGTACTCAACATTCAGGTGATGGTCATTGGCCAAAGGATCAAGAAAGGTAAAAGAGCTGACGAACTGATGAAGGGTGATCAGAAAGGAATTCAGATCCATACGAGTAAGGATGGGAGTCCAGAGACATACAGGGACCCTGAAACTACTGACTAGTCCACATGGCCCCTGGTACAACATCCTCCAATGCCCATCCATTGGGCAGTGTTTACGTGATGTCCAACTTCTCCACTAGCCTGTAAGCATCCTAGAGCCACCGATGTCCATCACTGTGTTCCGAGCACCCACGACAATGCCTGACACAGGTAGGTCACTGCTGAATGAATGAGCGAATGCATATACAAATAATCAATGAGGAGCTCCCTGACCAGCAACACAAATCCCTAGTCTGATGCCACAATGGGGAGAAACCACTTAACTTTGTCCACACTTGCACCTCCCTGTAAAAGCAACGAGTTGGCAGACCGGTTTTCTTGTTGATATACATGGGTCAGCTCATTCTCCCGGCCTTCCCGATCCTCTGGCTGGCGACATTCCTCCACCCACACCACCTGAGAGGCTTAGCAATATGAGGCAACATTTCACAGGGTAAGCCTCGGATTGCCTGAGTCACCTGATGACTGGAAGCCAACTCTGGCACTGCTCAGGACTGGGAGCAGAGTGACTGGGTCGTCTGGAAGGCAGCCACACAGTGGCTGAAGACTCAGAGAGTGCCCAAGGGGATTAAGGATGAGGGAATGGAAGCACATGTCATCCCCAACCACCTAACTCCAGACGGTGCCCAAAGGGCCAACTTCCCACCCAAAGAAGAAATGATGGCAGTGGTAATGATAATGATGATAAACTTGGCCATCATTTACTATTTATGTGTCCGGCATTGTGCTAAATGCTCTATACACATTTTCTATTTAATCACCTCAATCATTTAATAGATGAGGACAGTAAAGCTTAGAGAGAGAAAATATGTCATCTAAGCTCACACAGCCAGTGAGGGTGAGGAGGGCTGGGGCTTGAGCTGTATGTGCTTAACCAGCCTTCCCAGCTCCCACAACCAACGGTGCTCCATGACAATGCAGCTGAGACAGCTGAGTCTACGCTCAGTCCACTTGGAGGAGTTAGAGAGCTCTTCCTCATACCAAGTGAGCTGAAATATGTCTTGATGCCACCTCCACTGGGAGCTCCTTTTCCTTGTCTTTGGAGCATCCTGGAAGAGGCTCCATTCCTTTTCCCCATGAGGACTCTCTCTGTCACCAGCTCCCACAGGACACAAGCTAAAACAACTCTTCGTTTTTCCATTTATCTAAAAACTCCAATTAAAAGCTTTCCCAATTAGAGATCCCAAAAAGGATCCATTGCCCAGGCAGTGGGGTCTGCAATATTCCTCACTCATCAGGTCCCTGTGGATACCGCCCACCCCATAACCCACAGACAAGATTACCCGCAGAACAAAAGGAGGACTAAAGGCAGACTGGACTTGGCCTGCCCCTCACTGGTGATCTGGACAGAGATTTCCCCAGGCAGGGCAAAGAAAGGGGCCTCCTAGAGCCCCTGCATAGCTGGGACCCGCCCTCACTTCGGCCCTCCTTTGACTGGGAGCCACTTGTGTACTCAAGAGCTTCTTTTTAATACACGGCTCTCACCCTGACTCCTCTGGCTAGTGGCAAAGCCTCATCCTAAGCTTGTCTGCACAGGGGTGGGGACTCTACCATCTCCAATTCCTCAGAGGAATAATAATAAGACTATCAACCAGGCTTATGAATAAAAATTTTTTTTTTAAATCTCTCTAGTCTTTGACAAATGTCTAAATGTGTTCCCCACAAGCATATTTTTATTCTAACAAGCTAATTTGAAATATAATTTAAATAAATTCTACCAGAATGATACCATATGACTAACAGCACCCCGGTGGCAGAACTACTGGAGTCTTCATCATGCATTCAGAGGCTCCCATCCTGCCGTTCTTCCCACACAAAACGCACCCCGCTAGGAAACTGGATCATGATGCCAGCTCTCACCTCCAAACCTATAAATACGACTTGGGGGCAGTCTGTGTGCACAATACCTAGAAAATGCAGACACATAACAAGCAGTGCTTAAAAGACCAGTGGATCAAAACCAATGCAAATTAGAAGCTTTATGCCCCAATTCCTCACAATGCTTCTTTTTGCTCAATTTATTTTCACCCTGGGGGGAAAAAACAAAGTCTAACTCTCAAGATCTATAAAGTCAGGACTTGATACACCACAGATTTCTAACATTCAGAAAAATGCCTTTTCTCTATTGTAAATATGCTATTTGACTGCTGTTCACGTTTGACAAAGGTGAAGAAGGTTTTTCTTGTCAAATGGAAAAGGGGTCCCTGCCCTCAGCCCCACCCCGTGTATCAAAGAGAAGTTCTTTATCCAAAGGTTTTAGATGTTTGTGCAGGCTGTGGTGACATTTCAGTGGATTTGCCCACGGTTTTTTTTTTTTAAATTTTTAATTTCCCTTCATACTAAAACAGGAAATATAATGTCCTTCCTTTTGTATACATCCCTGCCAACTGGCTCACTGGGGGAATTCTCTTTGAAGGAGGGGGTGTGATATACACCAAAGAACCTTCAAAGCAGAAGGGGGCCTTCGAGGTATGGGCATGGGTGCTTCCTGCTTGCAAAGAGCCTTCTCATCCAAGTCTTAAAGCAGAATTACTCGGCCCTGATATTTCCAAACAAGGAGAAACAATTTGAGCAGCTGGGTCTCGGTCCACCAACCAACCTTAGCAACAACGATGAATCCTTGATGTTCTTACCAAGATTCACTAAGGAGCCGTGACTCACCCAAATGACACAGGCACTGCAAATTACCCAATGTTAATTGTGATCTTGGTCTCCTCTACCATTTCTTTCCTTCAGTAATTCATTTAAAGCAAACAACTGCTTTAAGAAATTGTTAAAATGTCTTAAAAAAAAAAAAAAAAAGAGCCTGTCTTGTTCCAGAAAGGATTTAAATAGGTTTACAAAGATGTATAAGATTTAGCAAAATGACAAATTAGAAGTAGGTGTGGATTTAAATGATGAGGTATTTTTATAGTTATTGGCATGTAAAGATGTCCACTCAAGATATTTTAAGTTGGAAAAATTATGTTACAAGACAGATGTATAAAATGATTGCATTTTGTTAAAAATAGACTTGCTCTATGTAGACATACATCTAGACACACACAGACATATATACATGGAAAAAAGTACAAAGGCAGACATTGAAATGCTGATGGAGGTTATCCCTAAGACGTGGGATGACAAGTAATTTTCACTTCCTTCTTTATGCTGTTATTTTTCAGTATAAACATGTAGTTTTTTTATAATTAGAAAAAAGCAAAGCTATTTTCCTTTTGTTAAAAAAAAAAGAAAAAGAAAAAAAGTGGTAGATGGCCGGGCGCGGTGGCTGACGCCTGTAATCCCAACATTTTGGGAGGCCAAGGCGGGCAAATCACGAGGTCAGGAGATCGAGACCATCCTGGCTAACAAGGTGAAATCCCATCTCTACTAAAAATACAAAAAATTAGCCGGGTGTGGTGGCAGGCGCCTGTAGTCCCAGCTACTCGGGAGGCTAAGGTAGGAGAATCGCTTGAACCCAAGAGGCGGAGGTTGCAGTGAGCCGAAATCGCACCACTGCACTCCAGCATGGGCAACAGAGTGAGACTCTGTCTCAAAAACATTAAAAAAAAAAAGTGGTAGATGATAAAGGGTAAAGACAAAACAAGGGTAGGGCCATCACACTGAGCTAGAAATAAAGGTAATGGATGAAGTCTGATAAATCTGCTAAGGGTCACCACACATTTAACTCTAAGTTCCTCAGGAGCCATTCCAGAAAAGAAACCTAATAATTTACACAAATCACTGAGTCTATTCGACAAAAATAAACCATGTGCTCTGCTCAGCGTCCCGCTTCAGCAGAATTACTTGGCCCTGATATTTCCAGCGAACTGTGCGAGCAGCAAACATGCCTTTATTCTTTCCTAACAACACTTGGACCAGAAACTTCAGGGCAGTTTCCAACGAGAATGATGGCATCTTCCCAAAGTAAAAGTCAACCCAAAGACTGGTCTGGCCATTGCTACCTCCCTGACCTCTTCACCTTCGTGCTCTCTCTGGCTCACTCTGCTCCAGCCATACTAGCTTCCTTACTATTTCTTGAACAAGCCAGGCATGCCCCTGCCTCAGGGCCTTTACACCTGCTGTTCGCACTATTCACACTGCCAGGAACACTTCCCTCAGACACCTCCATGGCTCACTCTCCTCCTTCTTTCAGCTCTTTAATGCCTCCTTCTCAGTGAAGTCTTCTAACTGGATCCCCATCTAAAATCTCTATCCTACTGCAACATCCTCTAGTCCCCTTCCTTATCCTATTGCTATGTAATAAACTGTGTATTTTATTAAAAAAACAAAAACAAAGAAAGTCAACCAAAAGAGAATATTCATTCACACCTATTTACACACTCATTCAATATCTACTTATTTAGTGCCTACTCCATTCCAAATTCTGTGTATTCTTCCAGTTCGGATACTAAGAGGGATGGCTGTGTAACCATCAGTGTACCACAGCATCTGTCCTCCCCACAATGTACCACGGCATCTTTCCTCAATTCCCCAAATAGATGGGCACCCCTCCACCACCACCTGTGATACCCAAAGGACTATAACATTGTGTTTACTCTCACAGCATTTCACATATAAAGCTGGTACTTGTGTATGTAGTTTATCTCCCTTTTCAAAATATAAGCTCCCCAAGGGCAGGAACTAACTAGTGGGTCTGCTCATCTCTGGATCCCTACAGCACTTGCCAACTGCCTTACCAATGTACAGACTGAAGGAATATTAGAAAGTGAAGTTTAACAAACCCACAGGACCAAGAGAAGACAAACTCACCTCAACATATCTGAAAGACTGTATCTATTGCAGTCAACTCAAACCCCAAAGAACAGCCCTATAATTTGTTGGAACTACAGAGTCTGGTGTGATTCAGAGGGAATGGAAAATTAAAGAAGGAATGAATGAACATCAAAAGAAAGTAAATCGGTATAGAGTACCAAAAGGCAGCCTGAGGTGTTAGATAACCAAGATTGTGGCACCTGTACATGGCAAGGTAATCTTGGCTGAACAAAATAAGTGAGTGTAAAATGAAGCCAAACAGTAATACAGTAGATCTTATTTGTAAACACTGACAAAATCAGCTAAAAGTCACAACAGTAGACAAGCTGGCTTTTCTGTTAGTCTTTTGCAGGAGAGTAAAAAGGTAATTTACAACTCCAGTACTCAAATGACAGCAGACGGCCCGAAAATTAACCCACATCACAATGAAAGCTAAATGGCTTGCTTTAATGTTAAAAGAAAGCTGCATCCAAATGTGATCTCTTTCTCTCTTGGCCCTTGCAACTCCCAATTAAGCAAGCTATATAAAAGTTAACCCAAAAATTATCACAGCTTCCAGGCCAGCATCCAAGCAAGGCTGCCCACAACATTCAAGCATTAACTCAATTAAAAATTATTTACTGGAGGCCTATTTGGTGCCAGGCACTGTGCTAGGTGTTGGAATACACTGGTGAAAAAGATAAGGTCCTATCCTTTTGGGATGCTACTGGGGGAAGACGGATTATAAATAAGTAAATAACACCTGCATGCTTACTGGCATGCTGTGGTGAGCAATTATAGGAAACAAAGGTAGGGCTGGGGCCCAGCACTTTGGGAGGCTGAGGTGGGCAGATCATTTGAGGCCAAGGGTTCAAGACCAGCCAGGCCAACATGGTAAAACCCCATCTCTACTAAAAATACAAAAGAATTAGCTGGGTGTGGCCGGGCATGGTGGCTGATGCCTGTAATCCCAGCACTTTGGGAGGCCGGGGCAGGCGAATCATGAGGTCAGGAGATTGAGATCATCCTGGCTAACACGATGAAACCCCGTCTCTACTAAAAATACAAAAAATTAGCTGGGCGTGGTGGCGGGCGCCTGTAGTCCCAGCTATTCGGGAGGCTGAGGCAGGAGAATGGCGTGAACCCGGGAGGCGGAGCTTGCAGTGAGCCAAGATCGCGCCACTGCACTCCAGCCTGGGCGACAGACAGAGACTCCATCTCAAAAAAAAAAAAAAAAAAAAGAATTAGCTGGGTGTGATGGCACATGCCTATAATACCAGCTACTCAGGAAGCTGAGGCATGAGAATCGCTTGAACCTGGGAGGCAGAGGTTGCAGTGAGCAGAGACCGTGCCACTGCACTCCTGCCTGGGTGACAGAGGGAGACTCTGTCTCAACAAAAGAAAAAAGAAAAGGGGCTGGGTTAGATAGTTCTGGAGGTGGGTGCTCTAGACAGGATGGCAGGAAAGACCCTGAAGGGGTGACCCTGAGGCCAAAGTCTGAAAGGAAAGAGGAAGGTAAGAGAATTCCAGGCAGGGGAAACAGCAAGTGCAAGGATCTCAGGTAAGGCAAGAAAAGGAAAGGAGATCTATGTTAGCAGAACACAGTGAGGGGCACAGCAGCATGGCAGGGGGAGCTGCGCCCAGCGCCTGGTCAGTGGGAGGTATTTAAAAAGGGGAATGACATGATCTGATTTATGATTTTAAAAGCTGGTCACTTAGGCTTCTGTGTGAAAAATGGACTGCAGACAACCCAGAGTGGATACTGGGGGGCCTGTTAGGAAAGAGGTGATGGTGGCTAGAGTGGGAACTATGGCTATGGGGTGAGGTGAATGCACTCCAGATATATCCCGGAAGTAGAATGCACAGGACAAACTGATAGCCTGCATGTGAGAGGTTGGGAAGAGGACTCAAACATGACTCTTGGCAAATGAGTGCATGGTAGGGCCACTGACTTGGATGGGGAAGACGGAAGGCAGGTGAGAGCTGGAAGGCATATCAAGAGCTCCATGTATTGACGAGAGTCAGAAGCTCCAAGAAAGATCTGAGCTAGAAATTAAAGTGTGGGCATCATGGGCATATCGATGGCATTTGAAGCCATGGGAGGGTGGGGAGGAGTTGCAGGTGGGACAGTATTACCTAGGAAGACAGTGTGGACAGAGAAAAGGAACCAGGACCAGTCCCTGGGCAACCCCATGATTAGGAGTAAGAAGAAAAGCAGGAAACAGTGGGGCCAGAGGAGCTGAGAGGGGTGTTGTTTTGAGGAGAGGGAGTGGTCATTTGTTAGGAATGCTGCTGAGAGAGGTGAAGTGAGGTGAGGCTGAGATCTGGCAACCCCCTGGTCACCCAAGACCCTGGCAGTTTTGGTGCAGAGGTGAGGCAGAAGCAAGACTGTAGAGTATGGAGAGTGAACAAATGGCAGGAGAAAGTGAATGGAGCCAGTGGGTTTGGATGTATCTTCTGAGGTGTTTTCAGGTGAAGAAGAGCAAAGAAGTGAAACAGGAGAGGGATGTAGGAGGGAGGGAGATCTCCTTTTTAAGATGAGAGCAACTAAAGCTATGCTATCCAATATGGTGGCCACTAGCTACATGTGGCTATTTAAATTTAGATTAAGTTAAAAATTCAGGTCCTCAGTCTCAACAACCACATTTCAAGTGTCCAATAACCACATGTGCTGGTGGCTGCCACGCAGATACAGAACATTTCCAGCAGTGCAGAAAGTTCTGTTGGTCAGATGTATGCTCCTATACTGATGGAGAAGACCCCGGAGAGAAAGGTGGTTAGGAAGGAGAGACAATCTCTGAAAAGATGGGAGGAGGAAGGGATGGAATGGAGGCTACCCCAGAAGAAGGGGCCCCTAGTAGGAAGAGATGAGGGACAGGTCATCCAGCACAGCAGGCAGGTAGGAGAAGGTAGCAGCAGCTGCATACTAGACTAGGTGGTGGCAAAATGAAGACATTCCCTTGGTCAAAGGTGCCTATCTTGTCAATTGAAAGGGAAGCCACGGGGTGTGCCTAGGAAGGGGAGAGGTCTGGAAAGGGGAATAGGTATGAAATAGTTGCCTTAGGGAGTAAGAACACAAACTCACTGGAGAGGCCACACTTAACACAGAACACTTCGCAGAAGAGAAGTGGAAAATGGTAGTGAACATTTGAGGGAGGAGAAGCATCTCAAGTTGGGGGGAGGTAAACTCAGATAGTTTGTTTTTTTTTCCCTTAAATCCTAGTCCTGTCTACACAGCAGAGCCATGACGAAGCTGTAGGATCGCAGCAAGGTTTTCTACTAGCTGCCCTTTCAAAAAGTTCTTCCCCCTCCATCCTACACAACTCTCAGAAAGGATGACATTGGTTCTATTTTCAGTTAAAACGGCTCCCTCCACCCTCCTGTCTGAATTGCTTCCCCAGCCCTTAGCTGCATCTCAATTTACGACCATGGCTTGTATTTTCACATAAATAATAGAAGACATGGATCTATTAAAAATGGCAGAGGTAGGTAGGAGTTACAAACCAGCCTTTATCTACGAGAAGTGAGTAATATATACATTTATCGAATGATGTTAAAATTACATGAAAGACATATTCTGTGTTTAAACAAAATCCCCAAGCGTCTCCTCCCTGCTTCTCCACAAACAAAAATTATTTTTTGACATTTTCTTTAAGGTTTTATGAGTGAGTAAACATTTTCATTTCCACAGAACTATTTGATCTCAACCACAGAGTTTCAGTACTTGTTTTTGATCACACAAGTACGGTGGATTGGTTTTGTGTTGGCCAGGGGGAGGGAGGGCCAGAAAGAGAGTTAAAATTACCGGATCCCTTTTATCTTCCATTCTGAGACCTTACATTTGCCAACTCCTTTTTCCCTGTACATTTTTTTAAAGTATGAAATCTGAGAACCTCAAAGGCTCTCACTGCTCAAAGATCAGCCTTTTCACAGTCCACTGAGGACTCACTGGAAATGTTACAGAAATACGGCCTGCCAACTTGGGTGCCTCTGGGTAAAATCACCCACAGTTGCTGTTCATGTGAAATCTCCTAAATGTAAGCACACTTCTTCAGCCCTCGCTGCTCATCTCGCCTCCTCCTCTCTGTCACCCACCTCTGTCATGTCCAGTTCATGTTGGCCCACAGCCCTCACACTTCCATTCCTCAAAATTCCTCTTGGCCTGCCTCTGATCCCCTCACACACTCTGCAGCTCCCATGGCTAAGACTCACCAGGCAAAATGACTCCAGAAACTTAACCTGGAGTACGGTGCAAGAAAGCCACTGACCCAGGGGGGCTGAGCCAGGGCACCAGGACAATCTTGCTCCTTCCACTGCACTCTTGCCTTCCCAGGCCCCACCCATCCCAAACAGGAAAGCAAGATCTCTAGACCCTTGGAGCAGAAGCATTTGAGTCCTGCGAAGGGCTGTTGGAAGAATGCTGGGTTCAGCAGCAGGGAACAGAGAGATTTAGGAATTCTGGTTCACTTACCCGCCTCCATGCCCACGTCAGGCAGTGGCAAGGCCACCCCTGCTACACAAATGCTCATCAACTACACAGCCTGGGGGAAGTCACCGAACCACTTTGTGCCTCAGTTTCCTCATCTGTAAAGTGGACATAAGTGTCCCCTGAATACGTATGGCAAACCGTCAACGTGTGCCCAAATAGAGTGAGCAGATGTAAGGAGTTATTGTGCTATTAGCACAGTGGCTCCCAGACTCACAGAGCCTACTGCTCAGAGAGACGCCGAGGGGAAAGCTTAAATTACTTTATATACTCAGAAGCATTAGTCACTTCGACAGAGTATTTCAACTTCCCTCCTGAGCATCTACTCAGTTGTTTCAAAGACTGAAGCCTCACCTAGGTTCCTTATAGACTTCCATCATCTTCAGCATCTCAAAGCAGATCCAAAGTCCACTATTCCTACGCTGGAGGTTTATTATTATTTGATTATTTCCAGGAAAACTTCGATTTCCATTTTGCTTGTAATAAATCCAAACGTGGAGAACGACAAACTGCTTAGACTCACACAGGCCCTGGAGTTGACTGCGCCCAGGGGCGAAGAGACCGCGGAATGGCCGAGGCAGGAGGCCGGCCAGGGCACCGGTCCCCGTCAGGTGCCCCCGTGCCCGGGCTGTATGGGAGGGGAAGGGCCACGGGCTCCGCGCCCAGGCCAGGGTGCCCCTGCTGGGTGTCCGCGTGCCCCGGCGGAGGGCGCGGGTCAGGTGGCCCCAGACTCCCGGGCGCAGAGTGTGCGCTCGCTCCGGCTTGGGGAGGCGGGGGCCGGCCCGCCGGGAGGCTCCGAGCCCGGTTACGCCAGCCGCGGCCCCGCAGTCCCTCCGGAGGGGCGCGCGGAGAGCGCGCGGCGCGGGCTCACTCACCCCATCTCCGGCGCTGCTCCGGCGGCCGCTCCGACGGGGCCTCTCGCGCTCGCTCTCCGCCCGCTCGGCAGCCGCTCCCCGCGCGGCACATGCGGCGGCCCGTGCGCGCCCGGCTCAGCCCCGGCGCCGCTCCATTCCGCGGGGCTGCGCGGCTGCCACTGCTGCCACTGCCGCCACCGCCGCCAGGCGCGGGCGGGCGGGGGCTGGGCGGCCGCGCTGGGGCGGTGCCCGCCCCGCCCTCCCCAGCCGCTACCCCCGCCCGGCTCCTTACGTAACCTCGTGGCCCCCGGGCCGCGGCAGCGAGCCAAGAGGCGGGGGGCGCAGCACTGTGTGCACCGTCCCCCGCGCAGCCGCGCAGTCGCCGCTTTTCTCCCGGGCCACCCAGTCCTCGGTGCCGGCCCCGCGTTGGCGCGCCCCCGCCCCACGCCGACCCGGGGCCCTGGCGCAGTGCCATCAACATCCTGCCTGATGGACTTAAAGTCCCATTCACACCTGGCGGGGACTTTAGGGCTACCTTTACTTTGCAGATAAGGGAACCGAGGCCTGGGGAGGGTAAGTGATTTGCCCAAGGTCACACATTCAGATTAGAGTTCGTTCGGGTCTCCAGAGTCTGAGATGGGCATAGCTGTGCTCCTCCTTAAAGCCCACCTTCATCTTCCTGCCAGTTGCCCGGCCGAGTGGCCTTAAGGTACCCGCCACCGTGAAATTTCGGAAGCCAGCCTGGCAGAGAAGAGCCTACAGGCCGCGGCAGATGCTCTGGGCTCTTTCCTGGATAAAAATGAGATGAGGGCTCCCACTTGAAGGGGCAGTTTTAAGGCGGCTTCATCAAGCTTGGTTTTATCCTTAGAGCGAGGGGAATTAGGATGGCAAAAGTAGAACTTGAAGAAGAGCAGGCTCTCTTCGTCGCCTTTCTACCTATCAGGTCCTGAGTTTCTACCAAAGGCTGGCACTGGGACTAACCTAACCTTCATCCCCCGGGACTTCCACGGGATCATCTTCTGCTGGGAACACACCGCCCACATAAGCCTGGCATCTCAGGACAGTAAAAAAGTCAAGGGACAGGTCGGGCGCGGTGGCTCACGCCTGTAATCCCAGCACTTTGGGAGGCCGAGGCGGGCGAATCACGAGGTCTGGAGATCGAGGCCATCCTGGCTAACACGGTGAAACCCCGTCTCTACTAAAAATACACACACACAAAAAAAATTAGCCGGGCGTGGAGACAGGCGCCTGTAGTCCCAGCTACTCCGGAGGCTGACGCACAAGAATCGCGTGAACCTGGAAGGCGGATCTTGTAGTGAGCCGAGATCGCACCACTGCACTCCAGCCTGGGCAACAGAGCGAGACTCCGTCTCAAAAAATAAATAAATTAATTAATTAAATACATAAATAGCCGGGTGTGGTGGCGTGCTCCTGTAGTCCCAGCTACTCCCAGCTACTCGGGAGGCTTGATGCAGGAGAATCGCTTGAACCCAGGAGGCAGGGGTTGCAGCGAGCCGAGATCATGCCACTGCACTCTAGCCTGGTGAAAAGAGCCAGACTGTCTCAAAAAAATAAATAAATAAATACAAAATAAGTTTGTAAAAAATAAAATAATCTTGGGAGTTTCCAAATCCTCCATGCATAGTAATCAGCAATATCAGGAAAGTGAGCTTGTAGAACACTGAACAAGTCATTTATCAGGTAATACCTGAGGATTCTGAAGTGTTCGAATAACTTCAAAGGCAAGCCACTGAAATCAGAGTTTTTCATTTTTATTTTATTTTTATTATTTTTTTTTTGAGACGGAGTCTCACTCTGCTCACCCAGGCTAGAGTGCAGTGGCAGTGGCGTGATCTCGGCTCACTGCAACCCCCACCTCCCAGATTCAAGCGATTCTACTGCCTCAGCCTCCCCAGTAGCTGCGACTGCAGGCGCATGCCACCACGCCCAGTTTTTTTTTTTTTTTGTATTTTTAGTAGAGACAGGGTTTCACCATGTTTCGATCTCCTGACCTCGTGATCCACCCGCCTCGGCCTCCCAAAGGGCTGGGACTACAGGCATGAGCCACCGTGCCTGGCCGAGTTTTTCATTTTTTTAAACTACAATCCACAGTAAGAAATATATTTTACACTACAACCTGCAACCTGGTACATACTTCAGCACATACATACTATGTCTATAGGTATATCGATATAAAATAGAAACAAAAAGTTATATAAAACAATGTTTATCCTCTCACTTGCCAGGCAGGCATTCAGACATCATTCTGTTTTGTTGTTGTTGTTGTTGAGACAGAGTGTTGCTCTGTCACCAGGCTGGAGTGCAGTGGCATGATCTCAGGGCACCACAACCTCCGCCTCCCAGGTTCAAGCGATTCTCCTGCCTCAGCCTCCCAAGTAGCTGGGACTACAGGCGCGCACCACCACCCCAGCTAATTTTTGTATTTTTAGTAGAGACAGGATTTCACCATGTTGGCCAGGATGGTCTCCATCTCTTGACCTCGTGATCGGCCCACCTCAGCCTCCCAAAGTGCTGGGATTACAGGCGTGTGCCACCGTGCCCGGCCCATTCTGTTCTATTTTTAAAAGCAGTACTGCTCATAACCTACTAAATTGATTTCAAAACCTATAATCTACGTATTTTTACTTTCTTTTTCTTTTTCTTTTTTTTTTTTTTTTGAGACGGAGTCTCACTCTGTTGCCCAGGCTGGAGTGCAGTGGCGCAATCTTGGCTCACTGCAACTTCTGCCTCCTGGGTTCATGCAATTCTCCTGCCTCAGCCTCCCGAGTAGCTGGGGCTACAAGCGCATGCCACCACACCTGGCTACTTTTTTGTAGTTTTAGTAGAGATGGGGTTTCACCATGTTAGCTAGGATGGTCTCGATCTCCAGACCTTGTGATCCGCCTGCCTCGGCCTCCCAAAGTGCTGGGATTATAGGCGTGAGCCACCATGCCCGGCCTGTATTTTTACTTTCAACAGCAAAATTAGGCTCACCATGTACATGCATAATGTTGTTATTAGTGTGCTCAGATTTCTGGTATGGCTGGTCCAGGGACTTCAAACATTTTTTTTTCTAACCATAAAAGGTCAGTTCTTTCAACTGCATATGAAACAAATGTATTATTAAAGCCATTAATTAAAGGGATAACTGTCGGGTATTATGCAGCTATTACATTATATTTGTGAAGCCTATATAGTAACATAGAAATATATTTATTCTTTCAATAAATGTTGATCACCTGCTGTGTATCTGGTACTGTGTTGGGCATAAAGTGCTCAGCAAAACAGACGTCCTTCTGTCATAGGACTATAAGATTGTGTGAATGGTATTAATCAAATAATCACACAAATATATAAGCTACGATCTGTGTGAATAGGAGACCTAATTTAGGTTGAGGAGGATGGTCAGGAATGGCCTGTTGAAGAGACATTTAAAAAGAGGCCTGATGGCTGGGTGTGGTGGCTCATGACTGTAGTCCCAGCACTTTGGGAGGCCAAGGCAGGCAGATCACTTGAGGCCAGGAGTTCAAGACCAGCCTGGCCAACATGGCAAAACCCCATCTTTACTAAAAATACAAAACCTAGCCAGGCATGGTGGTACATGCCTGTAATCCCAGCTAATTAGGAGGCTGAGGCAGGAGAATCACTTGAACTCAGGAGGCAGAGGTTGCAGTGAGCTGAGATTGCATCACTGCACTCCAGCCTGGGTGACAGATTGAGACTCCATCTCAAAAAAAAAAAAAAAAAAGAAGAGGCTTGAAGACAAAGAAGCATCAGTCATGGGGAGCATGAGGGGAGGGTTCCAAGCAGAGGAAACTGCAACGGCCCTGAGGTGGTAGAGAATCATGCTGTTCTGAAGAGCTGGGAGAAGGCCAGTGTGGTTAGAGTGCAGTGAGCTTAGCAAAGCATGGGTGAAGTATGCAGGGCCCTTTGGCTGGATTAAGGATTTGCAATTTATTCAAATGCAGTGAGAACCCACTGATGGGTTGGGGAATGCCGTGATCTGGTTTATATTGTTAAAATATCACTCACTCCTGGGAGAAGAGGGGATAAGAAGGGGACAAGAGTAAAACATGGAGACTGGTTAAGAGGCTCTAGACAAAAGATAAGGGTGGAGATGAAGGGAAGTGGATTACAGATTATAGATATTTTAGAGGTAGACTCAATAAGACTTGGTGGATGGGATGTGTATTAGGATATAAAGTTAAGTTTGTAAAATAATCTGAATTACAGCTGTGCTATGAGTATAATTATGTAAAATTAGAAAATATGGACAAGGCCTGGAGTATAGAAAATGAAAAAGTTTATTAGGATGGCAGAAGGAATATAGGGTAAAGGCATCAGTATTAGACTCAGACCTGCATTAAGTCCTGGATCTACCATTGACTATCTGTGACCACGGGCAAGTTTTTAACTTCTCTGAGCCTCAGCGCTCTAATCTACGAAGTGGCGATATCTCTTTGGACTATTAAGAAGAGTGAATGAGAACAGGTGTGGTGGCACACACCTGTAATCCTAGCACTTTGGGAGGCTGAGCCGGGTAGATCACCTGAGGTCAGGAGTTCAAGACCAGCCTGACCAACATGGTGAAACCCTGTCTCTACTGAAAATATAAAAATTAGCTGGGCATGGTGGCACATGCCTGTAATCCCAGCTACTCGGGAGGCTGAGGCAGGAGAATCACTTGAACCCAGGAGGCAGAGGTTGCAGTGAGCCAAGATACTGTGTCACTGCACTCTAGCACGGGCAACAGAAGTGAGACTCCGTCTCAAAAAAAAAAAAAAACAGAGTGAATGAGATCATATCTGTAAAGTGCTTAGCTCAGTCCCTAGTATAGTACATCTTCAATACATTACAGGTATTATTATTATTATTACTGGCTATAATGGTGGAACTAGGGTGAAATTTTCATTTATTGTGACTGAATTAATATTGTCAAAATGGTTCTTATATAATCAACATTTTAAAATTTAGTACAGTTTGAGGATTCTCAATCTGCCCCCACCATGGAAACAGCTTGTGTACTTCCTGCCAGATAACACTTTGCCAATCTGTATCCAGAGCCCTCCATAGATTCAGGACCCCTCTACAGGGCACCTAAGGATCAGAGAAGACTATGGGCTGTCTCTTTAAGATGACACCAGATCAGTATGGGACCACCAGCCCTAGCCCCTGCTGTTTCCAATCAGGCCAAGGGCCTGCCCTTAGGAAGGTGAGCTATAAACGATTTCCAACAGTCCCATCTGTCCTCTGCCTCTCCCATCCAGGGCTCTCCTAAGTCTATGTGTCCTGGATGCCTCCAGAGATTTTGATAGCATCTACCCATTTTTCTTTATTTATTTATTTAAGACGGAGTCTCACACTGTCACCCAGGCTGGAGTGCAGTGGCGCGACCTCCACTCACTGCAACCTCTGCCTCCCGGGTTCAAGCGATTCTTCTGCCTCAGCCTCCCAAGTAGCTCGGATTAGAGGCATGCGCCACCATGCCCGGCTACTTTTTTGTATTTTTAGTAGAGACGGGGTTTCACCATGTTGGCCAGGCTGGTCTCGAACTCCTGACCTCATGATCCGCCTGCCTCGGCCTCCCAAAGTGCTGGAATTATAGGCGTGAGCCACCGAGCCCGGCCTACCCATTTATTTAATCTTAACTGAGCACCTATTTTGAGCCAGTCTGTGTCCTTAAACAATAAGCTAAATATAATGTAACCGAGGTATGAATAAGGTAGTTCCTGCAGAAGACTTCAAAAAGGGGATGTGTGAGTTGGGTCCTCAAGGATGTACAGGAGGGAAGATCATTTCTATGTCCAGCAACGAGACCAGCACATGCTGAGACACGGAGGCATTAAAGGCCATGACTTAAACAGGAAACGACAAGAATGTCCATGTGCTTGGCTCAACAGTGTGGTAGGAAGTGGCCAGGAACAAGAGGTAAGTTGGGACCACTCTGTGAAAGACCTCCGGGTCATGTTAGGAGTTTGGACTTGATTCTGAGGCCTCAGGGAGTTAGTGGAGATTTTGAAGTAGGAGGGTGGCATGATCAGACTTGTGTCTTAGCTTCTCTGGCAGCAGATGGGAGAAGGTTGTGGAAAGGCAGGCTGGAGGCAGGAGAAGCTTGTCAGGAGGATCTTAGCAAGACTCCAAGATTGGGGAAGGACAGGAAATGTCTTAATCAGCCCCCAGTGAGGCTGGGAGCCTGATTAGAGAGAAGAGCCAGGGAGCTCTGGCAATGCAAGGGCCTGGGAAGCTGCAGCTGCTGGGAACGGGTGGGGAGTCAATCATCAAACAATCCAACAACCTTGAGGAGAGGACTTTGGACCTCACTGGCTGCCTCCCAGCAGAATTCAATTCCAAGAGGCAAAAATAGAAATGACCAGATGAATAGCCCAGCCAGCTGCAAGTGCCCCCAGGGGCATCCTGATTATGCTGCCCCATGCTCTGAGCTATCACACTCATTGTCACCCTTACCCCTATCAAAAGGTGTCTCCTCCACTAGACTATGGTCTTCAAGGGCAGGGTCCCTCCTGGGTTTTTCTTGTTCTGTTTGGCTCCATCCTCAGGTAAGCTCTCTTCTGGACTCCCAACTCACATTCAAGTCTAGCAAATTCCCAAACAGGTCAAGCCAAAGTCTCCGAACTAAGCCTCGCCGTGTCTGACTGCCCTGCCTTGGGGCACAGGCCGATTCCTGAGCCCATCACTGTGGCCAGGGGAATGGAATGTCCTGATTGGCTCAGTCTGGGCTGAGGTGTGGAGGCAGCTTCTCACAGAAGGCATGAAGTGGGTGTAGGACTGGGGCGGACACCTAGAGGAAAATCAAGGTAAATAGATTCAGGGTGGTGGCCAAAACATAACACTGCCCACTGTCAGCATATAGTTATACTTGTTTCCCATTGGCATGCACAGAGTGGCTGTTGGATAATAGGTAGTTGAAGGCAGAGCACAGTCATTGCAGGTTAAGCAATTCCTGGAGAAGAACTTGAAAGGGCCGGTCTGGAGAGTGGGCACAGTTCTGAGGATCCAAGGCATAGATGGTGGAAGTATACGCATTAAGCCAGTCATTCTCAACCTTGGCTGAACATTAAAATCACTTCTGGAGACTTGACAAAATACCAGTGCCAGGGCCCCACCTCCAGTAAGAATGATTTAATTGGTTTGAGTGGTGCCCAGGCATCGGCAATCCTTTAAACTGATTATGATTCCGATGCGCAGCCAGGGTTGAGAACCACTGCCCAAGTCTTGGTGTTCAAAGAGAAGTAGGTGTGATACCCAGAGCCCCAAGAGTTTAGGAACTGGTGGAACAAAAAGGAGGACACCCAGCTCACTGGCTGGGCTTGTATGAGATTTAGGGTTCCGGAGAAGAACGAAGAAATCCAAAGAATTTGTAAGGCCAGGGAGGTGCAGTACCTCCTGTGAACACATAGCAGAAGGAATTAATTCTGAAGTCGCCTAACTTTCTCTGAGAGAGCCTGGAGTTCTAAGGATTATTTGCCTCCGATTGGCAGCAGCACAACGAGAAGGTGCCTGTGTGTATATCTGGAAAGCTGGCATGGGTCAGGTTCAGATGGGTGAGGCTGGAATTGACAGCCATGCCTGAGGGAGACTCAGCAACACTAGGGATGAGTTAAGAAAATGATGGAGTCATATATAGCTGAGGCTTCCAACCGGAGACGTTGGGTAGAGGGTGATACCTCTCAAGAGGGGGAGAAGCAGCAGCAGCAAGTCAGAGAAGTGAGATAATGAGTGCAATTTTGGACATGCTGAGATGCAGGAATCTGAGGAACAAATAAGAGGAGATGTCCAGTGGGCAGTTAGATATTATAGGTACACAGCTTGGAAGGGAGACTTGGGAGCCATCAGCAAGTCAGTATCTGAACCTGGGAAGTGTGTGTTGAACAGAGGTGGGGCTGAGGGTGATATTGAGGGAATCACCAGGGAGGAAAGTGAGCCTGTGAGGATGACAAAGTGGCCGTTAGTATCCAAGGGGCCATTCTGTTCTAATGTGGATCAATTCCCCTTCAGCATGATTTCACTGAATTAAATATCAACTTTTTAAAAAGCGAGATAACTCCTTGCCAGTATACTAAGAGCAAACAAAAACAAACAAAAAGCAATTAATACAAAATAGAAACAAGTGGGTTTTCAATTCAAATGTAGCAAATATTTACTGAACACCTACTATGCGCCAGCCTAGCTACAGATGGTGTGGCTGGCATGGTTAGCTTATCAGGCACCCGGCTCCACTCCTACTCTCTTCTCCAGCCCCATCTGGGAGGCCTCGGTGGTAGTTCTGGTTCCTAGAATCTTTGCTTCAGCTGATCCACCAGTTGCTCTATGTGAGGTCTTCTGGAAATCTGGGGTCCTCATAGTGAGGAACACCTTTGCAGGAAGCTACCTTCACCTCAGCTGCCCAGCAGGCTTTAGACTTTGTCTGTTCCACAAAGCCCTGGCCTGTGCTGGGCTCCCTGTAAGACCTGGCTTCTGCTCCAAGGTCCACCTCCAGCTCTTTCCCAGCTTCTGTGTAGGGCAGAGATGCCTTATCTGGCTGTTGGCCCCAAATGAGCAGACCAGTGAGGTGGCATTTCCACCATCTCTCCAACTGCTTGCCCCGCAGGGTCTCCAGGAGTTTCCTTTCTGTCACTTCCGAGCTACAATACCACAACAGTTTCCAGAAAGTCACTTGGAATCAAGACAATACACTTCTACTCACACAAAGCAAGAGGCTGGTTAATCTCTCACAGTCCCCACTTACTCATACAGATTTCCTCTTTCACCATTTTCTTTGGGTTCCTCATCCCCTCATCTACCCAGCAAACACTTCCCGTGCGCAGGTTGGGGGGTACTATGAGGGTTGCCTCTGTGACAGACCCCTCCTTTTAGAAATTTGCTTTCAATTACATATGACTTATTGTTCTCTTGGCACATGCCATCTCTCCATTTGCATAATTCTCCAATCTACTGATTCTTTACCTTCTTCAAAACTATCACAAAAGCTGAGTGTTCAATCTACTTTACTCAAGTATCCCTTTAAATTCCTGTGCTTCACTGGTTTATCACTTTGTAAAAATGTCTTCCTCAGTTGGTTCTTGGATATACTGTCTCCTAAACAAGTTTTTTTTTTAATTGTGGCAAAATATACATAACAATAAAACTTACCATTTTAATCCTTTTTAAGTGTAGATTTAAGTGGCACTAAGTATATTCACATTATTGTGCAATCCTCACCACTATCCATCTCCAGAACTTCTCCATTATCCCAAACCAACATAAGTTTTTGTTTTTTATTTTGAGATAGAGTGGCCCAGCCTGGAGTGCAGAGGCGTGATCTTGGCTCACTGCAACCTCTGCCTCCCTGGCTCAAGCGATTCTCCTGCCTCAGCCTCCCAAGTAGCTGGGATTACAGGTGCCTGCCACCAAACCTGGCTAATTTTTGTATTTTTAGTAGAGATGGGGTTTCACCATGTTGGCCAGGCTGGTCTCAAACCTGTGACCTCAGGTGATCCACCCACCTCGGCCTCCCAAAGTGCTGGAATTACAGATGTGAGCCACTGCACCCAGCCCACACAAACTTTTAAAAAATGTCCAGGCCGGGTGCGGTGACTCACACCCGTAATGCCAGCACTTTGGGAGTCCGAGGCGGGCGGATCACGAGGTCAGGAGATCGAGACCATCCTGGCTAACACGGTGAAACCCCGTCTCTACTAAAAATACGAAAAATTAGCCGGGTGCAGTGGCAGGCTAGTCCCAGCTACTCGGGAGGCTGAGGCAGGAGAATGGCTCGAACCTGGGAGGTGGAGCTTGCAGTGAGCTGAGATTGCGCCACTGCACTCCAGCCTGGGCGACAGAGCGAGACTCCGTCTCAAAAAAAAAAAAAAAAAAAAAATGTCCAGAGGCCGGGCATGGTGGCTCACACCTGTAATTGCAGCACCGTGGGAGGCTGACGCAGGCAGATCACCTGAAGTCAGGACTTTGAGACCAGCCTGACCAACACGGCGAAATGCTGTCTCTACTAAAAATATAAAAATTAGCCGGGTTTGGTGGCGTGCGCCTATAATCCCAGCTACTCAGGAGGCTGAGGTAGGAGAATTGCTTGAACCCGGGAGGTGGAGGTTGCAGCAAGCCGATATTGTGCTATTGCACTCCAGCCTGGGCAACAGAGTGAGACTCTGTCTCAAAAAAAAAAGTCCGGGAAGTGGGGACATGCCTAGTTCACTTTTTGTTCCTAATTCTGAACATAGTATATGCCTCATACTCTTGGCTAATTAAAGCAGATAAGAGGTTTAATATAAAAGGTACCACAGTGACACCAATATCAGTCCATCAAACCACTTCTAAACTACTTTTTATTAAAACAAGAGGGGTAAAGCTAACCAAGAGAAAAGGGAGAAAACATAAACTTAGTCTAGCTGGGACCCAACATCAGGCTAGACTTGACCTTGCCCAGAGGGGCTAAAAGCCCAAAGACCCTAAAGAAAATAAGAATGAGGCCTTGCCGGCTGGGCACAGTAGCTCACACCTGTAATCCTAGCACTTTGGGAGGCTGAGGCAGGCAGATCACGAGGTCAAGAGATTGAGACCATCCTGGCCAACATGGTGAAACCTTGTCTTCTTGTTGTTGTTGCCCAGGCTAGCGTGTAGTGGTGCAATCATAGCTCACTGCAGCCTTGAACACCTGGGCTCAGGCAATCCTCCTGCCTTAGCCTCCCGAATAGCTGGGATTACAGGTGCATGCCACCAAGCCTAGCTAATTTTTTTTTTTAAGTTTTTGTAGATATGGGATCTCCCTATGTTGCCCACGATGGTCTCAAACACCTAGGCTCAAGTGATCCTCCTGCCTCAGCCCCTCGAAGTGCTGGGATTACAGGCATGAGCCACCGCACTGGGTCTGCCATCTCTTCTGAAATGACATGGACCCTTGTGGAGTCCCCAGTCAGGCTAAAAAATTAGCTGATAGGAAACAAAAGCACTAGAAGGAATAGACTGAGCCCATTACTACTGAGTAAGAGCCTTTGAGCAACTAGAAAGAACAGTGTTTCCCCAAACTTGCCTCATCGTATGAATCACACAGGCATCCATTAAACATTCCGATTCAATACTTCTGGGATGGGGTGTGGGAATATGCATGTTTAATAAGCACCTGGAGTGATTCTTACAAAAGGCAAATTTGGGAAAGAATGAACTGGAGTGTTCCATTAGCAAAGAGGGGCTGACCTAGCTGCCTGGAGCTGTGAAGGTAAAGGCTCCCAGGCAGTCTTATCATGGGATCTTGGGAGCTCCTCAGACCACTGGCTGCTTTTACCAACCCTCAAAACTCCCATGGGCCTGCTGCTTCTGCAAATTTGGCCTTTCCTCCTCCAACATCCTCCATGCAGGGCCTCTTACTTCCACCTCTGCTGCCAAAAGCCTTGGATGATCCCAAGTTCTGGCAGCCCCATGCCCTGGCTGCTTCCCTACAACTGAGCACTGACGATGAGATGTAGTCCTAATTTAGAACTAAAGAACCAGGTATTCTTTGGCCAGATATTAATTAGGAAATGACTACAGAGAGCTGGTGACATTAGATTCTACCTTTAGATCCAGCTGGGTCATTTTATAGAAATAACTTGGGCAATTTATATCTACCAAATCTGAGATCAGTGTTTACAGAGGAAGACACTGGACACCAACTATAATTGTCAGAGCTGAAATTTAACCTTGGGGCCCTCCTGATACAGGCTTGCCGAATGAAGCCTGGGAGGTTCATTCACGTTCAGGCTGCTCCAGCGCGTCCCCCTGCCTACATATGGCACAATTGTATCATCACCACTCCCTTCCTAAAACTCCTCCAGATCAGAAAGGGTTACAATAAAACAGGCTGGTGAATGCCATTTGGCTAGAGAGTCAGATGTTTTAATTAAGCAACTGCTTATTTCTTACAGGTCAAGCTGGACCTATAATTAATTTAGCCAGTTAGGCTTTGTTTTAATTAAAACACAATTTCTGCTAGGCATGGTGGCTCACGCCTGTAATCCCAACACTTTGGGAGGCCAAGGTGGGCAGATCACTTGAGGTCAGGAGTTCGAGACCAGCCTGGCCAACATGGTAAAACCCCGTGTCTACTAAAAATATGAAAATTAACCGGGCGCAGTGGTTTGCACCTGTAATCCCAGCTACTCGAGAGGCTAAGGCAGGAGAATTGCTTGAACTGGGGAGGCAGAGGTTGCACCACTGGAGCCAAGATCACACCACTGCACTCCGGCCTGGGTGACAAAGTGAGACTCCATCTCAAAAAAACAAAACAAAACAAAACAAAATTTCTGAAATAATCCCTATTTATCTTCACTTCAGAAAGTTTACAGAAAGCAGTGTTTCCATGGGAAGTCAACAAGTGTTATGCAGCAGGAAAAGGTTCCGTGCTCCATAGGTTTGGGAAATACTATGCTAAACAAAGTGAAATAAGTTTCTTTATTCTTTGTTTTTAGGACCTTTAATATGTCAATGTAGACTTAGGAAATTCCAATAAATGAACACAATTTACTATATTTTCTTTTTTTTGAGACAGGGTCTCACTGCATTGTCCAGGCTGGAGTGCAGTGGTGCCATCCTAGCTCACCGCAGTCCTGAACTCCTGGGCTCAAGGGATCCTCCTGCCTCAGCTTCTCTATTAGCTGGGACTACAGGCACACACCACTACACCCGCTAACTTTTGTATTTTTTGTAGAGACGAGGTCTCACTATGTTGCCCAGGCTCGTCTCTAACTGCTAGCCTCAAGTGATCCTCCCATCTCAGCCTCCCAAAGTACTGATGTTACAGGCATGAGCCACTGTGCCCAGCCTATATTTTCTAAATTAGATGAATTTATTCGCAATTAAACCTTAGGTAGTTTTCCAGAGAACATTTTAGGAAATGCTGAAATAAAAGATACTGTTACCCAAAGCCAATCTGACCTAATAGAAGTAAGCAGTTGCTACTTTGCTTGATCTCAGGTAAATATCTCCTACCTCTGAGGTACTATTCTCTAAAACCATAAAAATCACTTATTGGGGTTAAGGGGTAGAGCATAGTGGTTAAGTGAGAAGGTTGTCTGGATTTGTATTTGGCCTCCCATACTTATTAACCTCAGACGTGTTACCTAACTTCCCTGTACCTCAAGTTCCCTAGCTGTAAAATGGGCAATATTGGTACCTCCTCTCAAAGGCTGTGGTGAGAATTAAAGGCACACATTGGGCTATTATCAAGCAGCAGAGTGCATTGGCTCCTGAAGAGAAGTGGGTCCTCAAAGCCCTTTTTTTTTTTTTTATTTTCCAGCAGATAAAAGAGGGGTCATGGGGCCAGTTGTGGTAGCTCAGGCCTGTAATTCCAGCACTTTTGGAGGCCGAGATGGGAGGATCGCTTGAGCCCAGGAGTTCAAGGCCAACCTGGGCAATATGGCGAAACCCATCATTACAAAAAATACAAAAATTAGCCAGCCATGGTGGCATGCACCTGTAGTCCCTGCTATTGGGGGATGAGGAGGTTAAGGCAGGAGTACGGCTTCAGCCCAGCAGGTCGAGGCTGTGGTGAGCCAAGATTGTGCCATTGCACTCCAGCCTGGGTGACAGAGTGAGACCCTGTCCCCTAAAAAAGAGGGGTCACTTTAGAGGGTATAACAAAGTTGGCATTGGGAGTATGGTAGAATTGAGGGGTGAATGCAAGGAGTAAGCATAAGCTGAAGGGAGCCATTGTGCTGGAGCTCAAAGTATGTGGGAGGAAAAGTGGAGGTACAGGTGAGAGTAACAGGCCCAAGATGAAGGGGAAAGTTCACTAAAACACGGAGAAAGAGGAAAATAAAAGAATCAAGTCAACCTTGTAACAGATTATATAGAAATACATGCCTATGTGGGTCAGTAAGTATATTATAAAAACAGAATAAAAGGGGGGGAAAGAAAACAGTCAAACTTCACAATTTCTTTAAGACAGCCTTAGCTGCAGCCTATGACTCCAGTGCACACCCTGTTGCTCCCTGACTCTTAGGGAGGTTGACAACCTAGGATACTAGTTTGGACAGTGTGCAAAAGTGAATTTTACTAGGAGCCTCCAGCAGAAAAAGGAGTCACCCAGAATTGCATAAAACAAAGGCGGGAAAATGTTAAGATACTAATAGCCAAGAGGTAGAATAGAGAGGTTCCTCCTGGTGACTTGCAGGGTTAACCTGGGACCTCTCGGATTAGGATTTCAGTGGTCTCACTGGCATTTCATGACTGACATCTACTGCCACACAGCATTGTGGGTTACAGTGAGCAAAGTTGTTTCTCAGAAACTCTTTAGAAAACGTGAGTGTGAATGAAACTAATAGCATCTTGTCCAACTTCAGTCATCTTCAGATAAGAAACTTTAACTTCCTCAAGATTTCATGATGGCTGAGAATGAACTTACTAGGTCAGTTCTGAGAAAAGTAGTTTGGTCTCTTTAAAACCACAAAGCAACAAGTCAACTCTAAAAAGGATGTTTGTGGCTGGATACGGTGGCTCACACCTGTAATCCCAGTACTTTAGGAGGCCAAGGTGGGAGGATTGCTCGAGTTCAACAACAGCCTGAGCAACATAGTGAGACCCTGTCTCTACAAAAATAAAAATTAGCTGGGTATGATGGCACACATCTGTGGTCCCAGCTACTTGGGAGGCTGAGGCAGGAGGATCAACTGAGCCCAGGAGTTAGTTCAAGGCTGTAGTGAGCTATGACTGCCCCACTCCACTCCAGCCTGGGTGACAGAGGGAGACCCTGTCTCAATAAATAACTAAATAATAAAAATAAAAAAGGTGTTTGTGAGATGTTCAAATCTGTGAAAATTGAACACCATTCTTTGCTTATATTAAGGAATAATTTTTTAGGTATGATAACGTAAGTTTTAAAAAAAAAGAGCTCTTAGTGTTGAGAGATACATGCTGAAATACATACAGTTTGCTACAAAACAATCCAGTGGGTGTGGGGAAGTGGGTCAGGGTATAAATGGAGTTAGTGTGGCCATGAGTTGCTAATTGTTGAAGGTAGGTGGTAGGTATGTGATGGTTTATTATGCTGTTCTACTTCTGCATATGTTTGGAATTTTCCATTAAAAACTCCACAAAGCAGGCCAGGCACGGGGGCTCATGCCTGTAATCCCAGCACTTTCGGAGGCTGAGGTGGGTGGATCACGAGGTCAGGAGTTCGAGACCAGCCTGGCCAATATGGTGAAACCCCACCTCTACTACTAAAAATACAAAAATTAGCTGGGCGTTGTGGCGGGCATCTGTAGTCTCAGTTACTCAGGAGGCTGAGGCAGGAGAATCACTTGCACCCGGAAAGCGGAGGTTGCAGTGAGCCAAGATCGCACCACTGCACTCCAGCCTGGGTGACAGAGCAAGACTCTGTCTCAGGAAAAAAAAAACCAAACAAACAAAAAACCACTCCACAAAGCAGAGATATCTCACTGCACAGGCAGGCCATTTAATGTATATGTGTAAATATAATAGGTATTTTATTCACATATTCACTCATTCAAAAATATATATAACATATTGTAACAAAATTCACATAAAATTTACCATTTTAATCATTTTTAAATTTTTTATTTCTTTTTTGTAGAGGTAGAGTCTCACTGTGTTGCCCAGTCTGGTCTCAAACTCCTGGGCTCAAGTGATCCTCCCGCCTCAGCTTCCCAAAGTGCTGGGATTACAGGCATGAGCCACCATGGCCGGCCATTTTAACCACAGCGGAATTTAGTACTTTCACAATGTTGTGCAACTATCACCACTATACAGTTCCAGAATATTTTATCGCCCCACAAGGAAACCTCAAACCCAGTTAGTCAGTCAGTCCTCATTCCTCCCCTAGCCCTTGGCTACCACTAATTTGCTTTCTGTCTGTATGGATTTGCCTATTCTGGATATTTCAAATACATTCAACACATTTGTTTAGATTTAAATTTTATTTATTTTTATCACTAAAACATTCACAGGTTTAAGGTTTAAAAGGGTCTGCAGTGAAAAGTCTCCGTCTCACCCCTCTTCCCCAGCAACACAGTTCCCTATCCAGAGGCATCTTTCCAGAAATTAAAAATTCCTCTTTCTTTACCCAGATGGTAGTATTCTATACACACTGTTCTGCAGTTGGTCTTACTTCACTTATCTCAGAGATCACCCTATAACAGAACAAAAAGAGCTTTCCTTTTACAGGTGCATAGTATTCCATCATTTCAGACTGTGTTTCACACACTGTTAAGTGCTTTGGGGCTATAGAAATTAACAAAATATGGTCCTTTTCCTAGGCAGCTCAAAGTCTAAAAAGTACTTTATTTTGAGAGGGAGTGTGGAGACAAACTATAGGTTTCAGCTTCGAGGCTGATCATAATCTCAGCTGCCTTCACAGCCAGACTATCTGGAAGGAAAAAAAGAGATCTAAGGTAAAGTGGTCTGAGAAATACTGGGGGATTGGCTAGCAGATGTTGGCAAAGGTGACAGCAAACTGCTGCCTCTCTTCCACCTTATTCTCTAAGACATAATTGATCACATCACTTATGTCCTCTCATGTTTTTTCTGATTAGAAAAGGGATTCTCATTGAGGAAATTCAGAAAGTGGATAGAGAAGCAGAAGAATTATCCATAGTTGTTTGTAAGCATGTTAAATAGCTGCTTAAAACTGCACTGCATCGATACACCATAACTTAATAGCTTCCTGTAGGAAAACAGCCTACTGCATGGCAAGAGTCACACCATCTTGGGGCGAAACTGCCATGATGTTTGATCTCCACACACAAAGGTATTCTGCAGTAAGGTCTTGAAGCAACGCTGTACACAGATAAACCCTCATAAAGATGCTTACCTAACCTCCCCAGTGGTCATGAATCTTGGAAGAAAGTCTGAAGACATGACTAGCTGCACGTCTTTACCCTAAAAGCTTGCTATTTATAAAGGGCGGATGCGGGGATCTACGATTCTTATGGCTGCCTAGACATCACTTCTGTTCATAAGTCCCTATGAAATGTTTCCCTCTGAGAAGCTGGGTTTGTCAGCCTCTTTCTTCGTCCTCTAAGCTCCCTCAGCCTTTGTGGGTAGGTTCACATACACCTACTGACCAAGGAACACTCCTCATTCACTTCTGCATTTTAGAGATCCAGGAACTAAAGCTACAATAAATGTTTACTTAAAGAGACGAAGAGACATCTAAGTGCATACAGTAAATGAGATAGGTAAGACATGGAGCCAGACGTTTTATTTGAAAATTATCTTTATGAAATTGAAACCATAGTAATAAACTTAGGGAAGATGCAGGGATAGAAAGAGAACAGTAACTGAAAGTTAACACTTTAGAAATTCCAACAATTACTGGATAGTAAAAATAAAAATAAAAAACTCTATAAATGAAATAGAGGAAAATTAACTTAAATAGAACCTTTGTATCCTCAACAACTACAGAAGATGCCTGCCACACCCATGGAATAAATGTTTGTTTAACTGAAACGAACACAACAGCTGGATGAAAAGAGACCTAGGATATCTGATGGCGGTGAAAGAGGATTATCATGTGGAAAATAACTCATGCCTAAACACTGTGAGGATCATACATGGTAAGTGAGGGGCAAAGGCTCCATCCAGCTTATAGGTGGTAGCTGAAGCCATAGGAATAGATACAATTGCACATGCAGAGTATGCAGAATGAGAAGAATTTTGAGCAAGACCTCCTCAACCTGACCAGAAACTTTTCTTGCCTGAGGCAGGGGGAGGACAGAGCTGTCAGCAGGGCTTGGGGACTATTAGGAGTATCTAGATCAGCAGATAATTTGAGAGGGCCCAAGAGAAGGAGAGGCCTATGTTTTGGGGCCTGAGAGAGGTTTCTTATCGCCAGTGATTTTATCACCAGGGCTCTGAAAAATGGATAGGACACTTCCTTCCAAACAATGTAATCTTCCCTGAAAATGGACCTAATAACATGCCTCACATTACCATCAAGGCTAAATTGGACTCCACTGACTCATAATTCTTTTTTTATCTTTGGTTTTGATCCTTACTTCCCATACAACTCAGTAAATGACAGCACTGCTCTTCTTCTACTGAATAATCTATTTCAAGGATGGGCAGTGGAGACTCTATAGTTGTGTTTGCTATTATTACCTGTGCCATAGTAGAATCCTTTATAGCATTCATGTCGAATGTAAAGGAAAAGAGAACAAACAAAACGAAGTAGATTGATATCTTGCTAGGTAAATCCTCTGAGATAAAATTTCTTTCAAATGGAGTCAGCTGTGTAAGAAAAAAAATGGCCTCTTCTTGCCATGCTGTGTTTTGCATGGATGTTGTGGCTAAGAAACAGCCTTTGACTACAATAATATGTGGGTAAAAATATCTCCAGCTCCTGTTTGTCTAAAAATGGCCCAAGATAAATAAGCCTTATCGCTGGCAAAATTCAATTCCCTTTGGCAGATATTTGTTAATCACCAGCTGTGTTCCAGAGCCTGTGCTGAGGACACAGAGGTGAAAAGCCATAGTCCATGGCCCCTGGTAACTCCTGGATACCCAGACATAAGGAAGGGACTCCCTGAATTATTGATGGGAAGAAAACAGTCCATTCAAAGGGAAGATGTATTCCTCATTGTAAATTAATACACGGGCACCTGTTTACTGAGAACATCATGAGCTTGGTTAACGTAACCCAATTCTTGATAATGAGCAGCTCTGGATTTCTGGATGTTTTCAGCTAAAGATTGGGCTCTGGATCGTGCCATAGGTGCAGGTAAGTAAAATTATGGGGGGTAGGGAAGAGGAAGCTCATGTGCTCCTTCCTGTAGTCCTAACTTCCACAGGGCACTGGGGCATGGCTCGTTTCTAACATTGGTGATTCCTATCCTTTCTCAAGAATTCTGAATCAGGTGAGAGAGAGAGAGATAGCGAGAGAGAGAGCAAGAGAGACAGATACATACACACACACACACACACACAGACACAGAGAAAGATAAACAGAAGCTGTTGAGGAGGCAGAGCTGCTAAGGGTATCATTTTTTTTTCTACTTTGACACCATTTTCAAATAAATTTTAGTAATTGTGTCACTATCCAGCCTGGATGGATAGCCAGCTTCACTTTGACATTTCTCTTTAGATGCAACAACCTTACAGTGGAGAATTTATTTAAAATTTTAAATAGATTTTAGAGGATTCTTGGAAGCAAGAAACTATGGCTCTTGCCATTAATCTCTGACTGTGCTAAAATCAGTCCAGTTCTGGGCCAGTGCTTCAAAACCCTTCCTTTACTGTGCAAGGACAGAACAGAACTGATATGGGGGTGGGGGAGGGAACTAGCTATTTCTGCCACAGCCAATAGTAATATTATGACTGTCATCTTTCCAAGAGGTACATCAGGACACAGACTACTCAAAGGTAGATGTCTGGACACTAAGATTTTAATCATTAACTCCTGCCCTTAAGGTTTTCCAGGCCTAAATCTCCTCTTCTATTCTCTGTGCCATATTATCCTGGGGTTTCAACCAAGTGCTTCAAGGTTGTATATTCGAGCTAGCTTGCTAGCGTCCTCCCTTCCTTCTTTTGCTCTTAGGTATAATTTACCTACCATAAAATTCACCCATTGTAAGTGTACAATTCATGATTTGTAGCACATTTATGGAGTGTGCAGCCATCACCCCTATGTAGTTTCAGAATGTTTCCATTAGCCCAAAAAGATCCTTAATGCTCATTTGTAGTCAATCCCTATCCTACCCTAACCCAGGCAATCACAAATCTGCTTTATGTCTCTATCAGAGCTTCTTTTTTGAAGAAAATTTTGGCCTTAACCATCCAAGAACTCCTGCACCTCTACCTGAAGGTGGGGTGCCCTTCTGGCTAAGAATACAAATTATGTTCTTAAAGTTTTACAATAGAATGCAACTTTATGCTGGTGTGTCTGTTGCAGGCCATGGCCACGTCGGCCATGGAAAGCACCCGAGTGGAAATAAATAGAAAATTCTTCTCCTGCCTCAGCCTCCTGAGTAGCTGGATTACAGGCATGTGCCACCACACCTGGCTAATATTTTGTATTTTTAGTAGAGATGTGGTTTGTCCATGTTGGTCAGGCTGGTCTCCAACTCCTGACCTCAGGTGATCTGCCCACCTGGGCCTCCCAGGTGGAGGTTGCAGTGAGCTGAGATGGCGCCACTGCACTCCAGCCTAGGCAACGAGAGCAAAACTCTGCCTTAAAAAAAAAAGAAAGAAAGAAAATTCTTAGGCACTGCAGTAGAGGTACAAGAAAATGGAGATTGCCTCAAGTGCTGGCACAGCAGGAATTTCAAAGCCTCAGATATGGATAATAACCGCAGGTGACGTGGCCTTCTGAGTAACAAAATGCTTTATATGGAGGTAAAAGTTGTATCTGGGTGCTAAGCAGTGAGCCCACAGTTCTACATGCTTTGGATCTGGTGGACATCTTACTCTCTGTGAGTTCTCAAGAATCATTAAATTCGGAGTATACCTCCATGAGGTACAAAAGAGGCAGGCAACAGGGAGCCTCCCTGCCTCCTTGTCTCATTTATATCTTGCACTGCTCTACTCCAGCTTCAGGAATAAGTCAAAGTAAAAGGAACTATAAACTGTGTCCAGGTTGTCTCTTGAACCCTGACAGGCTCCAACTTCTGGCTACAGCAGTGTCTAATATGAAAGCAAACAGACCTTGCTTCAATCAAAACCACAAAACATCTGCATTCTAGTCTCTCACCACAGAGCAATCTTGACCACCCTGCCATCCAGCTCCTATGTCTCAGAAATATGCCTCAAATATGTTTTTCTGTAGGTTCCTGAGTTATCCCTTCCATGGGCAGGGCACAGGCTTTGAAAAAAGAACTGGCTTTAAATCTCATTTCTCCTGCTTGCTTATCATAACTGCCCGTCATCTGTAAGCCTGGATTGTAAGAGAGGGATAATATGTAGCCAGGTAGGTTGTTGTGAGAATGAGTAAATATAAATATAAAGCTCTGCCCAGTGCCTGGCATGTAGTAAATGCTCGGTATTTACTACATAATGGTAGCGCTAGTAGTCTTCATATTTTAACATGGTTGTTTTCATAGGACAATGACAAAATGTTTGTATTAGAACCTCTCCCTTCTCAAGCCAAGTTAGAGTGTTTTATTTTGGTTTGGAAAACAGTGCAACTGTTTGTTAATGCTTATCATCTAGGCTATAGAAAACACATCATAGTTCATAAAATCATTATAATCTCATTTTGGAATCAGGAAACTGAGGCTCAGAGAAGAATCTCAGCAAAGTCACTCAGGTCATCTGCATCCATCTAAAGCCAATGTCTGGCCAGGCATGGTGGCTCATGCCTGTAATTCCAGCACTTTGGGAGGCTGAGGTGGGCGGATCACATGAGGCCAGAAGTTCAAGACCAGCGTGGTCAACATGCTGAAACACTGTCTCTACTAAAAATACAAAAATTAGCCAGGCATGGTGGTGCACACCTGTAATCCCAGCTACTCGGGAGGCTGAGGCAGGAGAATCACTTGAGCCCAGGAGTCTGAGGCACGAGGGTCACTTGAACCCAGGATGCAGAGGTTGCAGTGCACAGAGATCGTGCCACTGCACTCCAGCCTGGGTGAAAAAATTAAGCCAATGTCCTTCCCACTTAAAAATACTAAAGATCAGCCAGCCGTGGTAGCTCACACCTGTAATCCCAGCACTTTGGGAGGCAGAGGCGGGTGGATCACCTGAGGTCAGGAGTTCGAGACCAGCATGACCAACATGGAGAAAACCCATCTCTACTAAAAATACAAAATTAGCCAGCCGTGGTGGCACGTGTCTGTAGTCCCAGCCACTCGGGAGGCTGAGGCAGGAGAACAGCTTGAACCCGGGAGGTGGAGGTTGCAGTGAGCCGAGATCGCGCCATTGCACTCCCGCCTGGGCAACAAGAGCAAAACTCTATCTCAAAAAAAAAAAAAAATACTAAAGGTCTCCATAGAGCAAAGGTTCTCCACTCACCTATGGGAGGGGCAGACTTCTACCTACCATGGTGAAAACAGAGTCAATACACGACAATGTCTAATTAGAATGAATATGCTCTAATCTGAGGAGAGAGACATATTTCCCTAGGTAAGGGTCACAGTTCATATTCCAAATATGACTGGGATGATATTGCACAGGGGCTCCCTGGGGGCACTTGGGAGAGAAGACTAGTAAAGAGCTCTGTGAGTCACCCCACAGGGAAATGCAGCAGTCTTGGAGTCTGTCTCTGAAGAGTATTCTACAAGAGAATTAGGACCCACTGTGAGCCACTGTGCCTAGCCGACATTTCTTAAAAGAAGACATACAGGCCAGGCGTGGTGGCTCATACCAGTAATCCCAGCACTTCGGGAGGCCGAGGCAGGTGGATCGCCTGAGGTCAGGAGTTCGACACCAGCCTGGCCAACATGGTGAAACCCTGTCTCTACTAAACATACAAAAATTAGCTGGGCGTGGTGGTGGGCGCCTGTAATCCCAGCTACTCGGGAGGCTGAGGCAGGAGAATCACGTGAACCCAGGTGGCAGAGATTGCAGTGAGCCAAGATTGCACCACTGCACTCCAGCCTGGGCAACAGAGAGACTGTCTCAAAAAGAAAAAAAAGACACACAAATGGCAAACAGGCATATGAAAAGGTGCTCAACATCACTGATCACCAGAGAAATGCAGATCAGAACTACAATGAGGTATCATCTCACCCCAGTTAAAATGGTTTATATCCAAAAGACAGGCAATAAATGCTGGTGAGGATGTGGAGAAAAGGGAAGCCTCATACATTGTTGGTGGGAAGGTAAATTAGTACAACCACTATAGAGAACATTTTGGAGGTTCCTCAAAAAACTAAAAACAGAGCTACCATATGATCCAGCAATCCCACTGCTAGGTATATACCCAAAAGAAAGGAAATCAGCATATCAGAGATATCTACACTCTCATGTTTGCTGCAGCACGGTTCACAATAGCTAAAATTTGGAAGCAATCTAAGTGTCTATCAACAGACAATTGGATAAACAAAGTGTGGTACATATACACAATGGAGTACTATTCAGCCGTAAAAAAAGAATGAGGTCCTGTCATTTGCAACACCATAGATGGAACAGGAGGTCATTACATTAAGTGAAATAAGCCAGGCACAGAAAGACAAACATTGCATGTTCTCACTTACTTGTAGGATCTAAAAATCACAACAATTGAACTCATGGAGATAAAGAGTAGAAGGATGATTACCAGAGGCTAAGAAGGGTAGTGGCATGGTAGGAAGGTGGGGATAGTTAAATAGTACAACAAAAATAGAATGAGTAAGACCTACTATTTGATAGCACAACAGAGTGACTACAGTAAATAATAACTTAATCATACATTTGAAAATAACTAAGAGTGTAATTGGATTGTTTGTAACACAAAGGATAAATGCTTGAGGGGATAGATACCCCATTCTCCATGATGTTCTTATTTCGCATTGTGTGCCGGTATCAAAGCATCTCCTGTGTCCCATAAATATATACACCATGAACCCATATAAATTAAAATTAAAAAAATTTTAAATAAAATAAATTTAAAAAGAATGGTCAGTCTGCATCCTCTGCACCCAAGAATCCATATTCCTCACAGGAGCTCACTTCTGGCAATCCACATAGTGTGTGTGTGCACGCACTCCGTGTATATGCTTGTTGCAGAATCACCTTCTTCAGTAAATTTCTCAGGGTTAATTTCACTTTCCTCTTATTCTTCCTTTACCCTGAAGTACCTCTATACTTATATATCTAGTTGCAATTATCTCTCCCTGCATCCCATTAGATTATCATGCACTATTTATTTATTTATTTATTTATTTATTTTTGAGACGGAGTCCGCTCTGTCGCCCAGGCTGGAGTGCAGTGGTGCAATCTCAGCTCATTGCAACCTCCGCACCCCGGGTTCAAGCGATGCTCCTGCCTTAGCCTCCCAAGTAGTTGGGATTACAGTCACCCACCACCACACCCAGCTAATTTTTGTATTTTTGGTAGACACAGGGTTTTGCCATTGTTGGCCAGGCTGGTCTCGAACTCCTGACCTCAGGTGATCCACCCGCCTCGGCTTCCCAAAGTGCTAGGATTACAGGCATGAGGCCACACTATTTTATATACTGCATATATTACCATCATAACTATCTTCTGGTTGACTCTACAATTAGTACGATTAGATCTTAAGATTTGTGTGTGGTTTTTTTTTTTTTTTTTTGAGACAGAGTTTTGCTCTTGTTGCCCAGGCTGGAGTACAATGGCGTGATCTTGGCTTACTGCAACCTCTGCCTCCAGGGTTCAAGCAATTCTGCCTCAGCCTCCCAAGTAGCTGGGATTACAGGCATGCGCCACCATGCCTGGCTGATTTTGTACTTTTAGTAGAGACGGGGTTTCACCATGTTGCCCAGGCTGGTCTCAAGCTCCTGACCTCAGGTGATCTGCCCCCCTCGGCCTCCCAAAGTGCTGGGATTACAGGCGTGAGCTACCGTGCCCAGCTGTGTTCCACATTTTTTTTTAACTCTCCTCACTCCTCCAACACTAAGCCCAGAAATATATTGTATAGCAATGTTTGTGGGGTGAAAAAAAATCCTAAGAATCTTTAGATTAGGATTATACCTGAACACAAATATTACATAAATGATCTTACTTTGCATTAACAAAAATCAAGCAAATTATAGCAAAATGCTGAAAAAAAAAGTAATTTTTGCTGCAGAGAAATAAATGCTTGCAGCTCATTTCTAGCCAATGGTGGTTTAGTCATAGGGAGGTTGTTAAACACCTTTCTGAGAAGCTCCCAAGGCACATGTGTTATCTGAGGGAACATATGGAACCCACCATGGGTGCAAACGGGGTGCCTGGGACTACTTGGATATACAGTTTTGTTAATTTTCCAGTCTTGTTGAAGGATTCACCTTCATTCTGATTAACTTTCTTAAATGTTTACCTTCATATTTGCCAACTGCTTAAATTGGTGCTTCAACTGTTGTGACCATCTGCTCAGAGAAAACTTTTAGATTACGTCACAATTTTCAGAGCCTCAAATCAGTTTTAGAGCTGGAGGAGACCTTAGAAATTGGAAAGTCTAAGTCCTTCACTCTTATGTTAATAAACATCTCTTCACTGCCTGATGTGTGTCAGCCTCAGTGCTAGGTGCTGGAGATGAAGAGACATCACACATGGCCCCTGGACTCTTAGCACTTACACTCTAGCAGGAAAGAGGAACATCAAAACAGATTCAATAAGGTAATGTGAATGGTTATCTGATAAAAGGGAGTCCAGGAAACAAATGTGTTATGTACAAGAGGTGGGCTGAGTCTTTATATATGGTTGAATGTTGACTGAGGGGAGAGGAAGTGGGAAAAAATTAGTCAAAAATAAAACTGGAAGGCCGGGCACGGTGGATCACACCTATAATCCCAGCACTTTGCGAGGCTGAAGCAGGTGGATCCTGACTTGAGGTCAGGATTTCAAGACCAGCCTGGCAAACATGGTGAAACCCCGTCTCTACTAAAAATACAAAAATTAGCTGGGCATGGAAGCAGGCACCTGTAGTCTCAGCTACTCTGGAGGCTGAGGCAGGAAAATCGCTTGAACCCGGGAGGCAGAGGTTATGGCGAGTCGAGATCGTGCCTCTGCACTCCAGCCTGGGCAACAGAGGGAGACCCCATATTGAAATAAACAAACAAACCTGGAGAGGAAGGCAGGGGCAAGATCAATAAATATTAACCGAGCACCAACTATGTATCAGATTGCCAGACTCAATGCTCATTGCTAAAGATGTGAAAGACATGGCCTTACCCTCAAGGAGTTTATAATTTAGGTGGATGTAAACAAATTACAATTCCTCACAGGAATTCACTTCCTGTGATAAATGCATGACTAGGTATATGAAAGACATAAAGAATAATCCGTTCTACTTGGAGGTGGGGACAATAGTGGGATGATTATGGAAGCTCACCTGAAAAGGCTGTTTACCAGGTAGACCAGAGTGGGGAGGGCACTGCAAACAGAAGGGACAGCATGTGTACAACATAGTACGAAGTCTTCCAATAACTTTAAACAGTTTGATATGGGTATGCATTTAGTTCATTTAGGCAGTGATATGGTTTGGCTGTGCCACCACCCAAATCTCATTTCGCAGTTCCAACAAACCCCGTGTGTTGTGGGAGGGAGGTAAATGAATCATGGGGGTAGTTTCCCCCATGCTATTCTTGTGATAGTGGGTAAGTTCTCATGAGATCTGACAGTTTTTTATTTTTTTGAGAGGGAGTCTCACTCTGTCGCCAGACTGAAGTTCAGTGGCACAATCTCAGCTCACTGCAACCTCTGCCTCCTGGGTTCAAGCGATTCTCCTGCCTCAGCCTCCTGAGTAGCTGGGACTACAGGTGTGTGCCACCACACCCAGCTAATTTTTGTATTTTTAGTAGAGACCGGGTTTCACCGTGTTGGCCAGAATGGTCTCGATCTCTTGACCTCGTGATCCACCCGCCTTGGCCTCCCAAAGTGCTGGGATTACAGGCGTAAGCCACTGCACCTGGCCACGATCTGACAGTTTTATAAGGGGCTTCCCCCTTTACTTGGTTCTCACTTTTCTCTCTCCTGCCACCATATAAAGAAGGACGTGTTTGCTTCCCTTTCTGCCATAATTGTAAGTTTCCTGAGGCCTCCCCAGCCGTGCTGCACTGTGAGTCAATTAAACCTCTTCCCTTTATAAATTACCTAGTCTTGGGTATATCTTTATTAATAAAGCAGCATAAGAACAGACTAATACAGGGAGAGTGGCAAGAGATGAGACTGGACCGATAAGACAGAGTTGAATCTCGATCAGCTGCACATTCCAAACTAAGGAGCTTGGATTGTATCCTAGAAGAAATTAGGAATCACTGAAAGGTAAATGGATCCAGGCCTAGATATAATCAAGCTACTCTGAGCTAGCCGATAGATATACAATTAATTATATTATTATCAATTATTTTCTGTATGTTTCACAATGATAAAGGATGCTCTACTAGCAGAGTGGAGAAGGGTCTGGAGGGGAGCAAGGCTAGATACAGGGACTGACCAGTTAGAGACTGTCACCTTGGTTTGTGTGAAAAATGATGAGGGCTGTAACTAAGAGGGTGACATGAAGGAATGAAGAGGAGTGAACAAACAGAAGAGAAAGTTCAGTCAGAAGCTGAAGTTCACAGGACTTAGGGAGACACTGAGTATCTGGAGTAAGAGAGATGGAAGAGTCCAGGATGGCTGCTAGGTTTCTGGCAAGGGAAACTGCGAGGAAGCATTCTCTGAAAATGGAAAGAGAGGTAGATAAACAGGTTCAGGAAGAAAGATGAATTCCCATTTAGACACATGTTGCAGATGCCTGTTGGACATCCAGATGGAAATTTCTCACAAGCAGGAGTATTTATGAGTCTAGAGCTCATATGTGATGGATGGCTGGAGATATCCATTGAGTCATCAGAACAGAAATGGAAGCTGAAGCCACAAAAGTGATAGTCTGCATAGGCAACACAAGGAGAGTATAGGCAAGGTTATGGGGATACCAACTTTTAAGTGGCAGGCAGAGGAAGAGGGAATCAGCCAAAGAGACAGAGATAGAGAAGTGTATTATATATATGTATGCATGTTTATATATATACACATATATATATTTAAATTTCTGTACATCATGTTTTTTTGTTATATACCACTAAGAGTTATATATTATGATGTTTTGATGTCTTAAAAAAGGGCCCAGCCAAGAGCATGCCTGTGATACACAAACCAACCAATCAAGAGCCATACCCCCTCTATATGGTCCATACACCCCACAAGACAATATTCCTGTCTCAGTCACCCCAGGGCCAGGTACCAGGCAACTAGGGACCATCCCTATAGTTCAGAGCCCTCTGAAATTATTCAAACTAGCCAATCCTAAAATGTTTACCCTGACCTGCCTTTTCTTTCCTAATGAAACTCCAATAAAGGCTCCGGCCTAACGCTTTCCCCTTGCTCCTGTGTTCTGCCTCTGACCACCCTGGTGTCTTTCCCATGTGGCTCTGCGTGGCGTGTTGTGCTTCCTATCTCCAGGACCTGTGAGTGTAATGAACTTTGTTTTTCGGAGCCTCTCCTGTATCTCCTTTTGTGGCCACCCCTGACTGACCATCACATAAAATAATACAGAACAATAAGAAAACAGTGACCCAGGGAAGTGGACAATCATGAGAAACTTGGAAACAAAGTGAGAAGGTTTAAAGGAGGAAGGAGATAAAAGCATCAAATACTGCACAGATATGAAATATGCCGACAATTTTAGAGTCTTGAATTTGGCCCTGGGACAACTTTTCCCTAGTGAACTTTGCCAGGGTGGTTTTATTAGAGTGGTTTCAGTGGAGTACTCAAGGGCAGAAACTTGACTGAATTGAACAGAAAAGATAGAGAAGTATAAACTGCAGATGTGGAGTATTCTTTGTAAAATACGCATGTCGGGGGGAAAGGAGATCCGAGATAGTCTGAAGAGGATACAGGATTGAGGGCAGGGTATCAGTTTTGTTTTGAGACTGAAGAAATTTGAGCAAGTGTGGGGGTGGAAGCAGCCAGTAAAGACGGAGAGTTGAAAACAGAGAAGAGAGAAGGAATAATTGCAGGCACAACTTGCAAGAGCAGAGGATGCACTGGCCAAAGACACAGGGAACTGCAAGCTGCCCAATATCTCCCTCTTCCTGTCCCATTTGACAGGCTCATTTATCAGCTGTGCCCCTGGATAAACTGCATAACCTCTTGACCCTCAGCTTTAGTCTTTAAAGTGGTTATTGTCCAAGATCACGAATGGCCTCTGAAAGCAGAGCTCTTTTGATGCCAGCATTCCCCAGGACTTTCTGCTGGTGTGTTTTGCCTGTAGATCATTGGGTCAAACTAAGGTTTAAAGTTATGAGTAATTGTGCACTGCTATTGGGAATGTAAAATGGCACAGCCATTATGGAAAACACTACAGTGGTTCCTCAGAAAATTAATAATAAAATTATCATATGATCCAGCAATTCCACTTCTGGGTATGCACCCAAAAGAATAGAAAGCAGGGACTTGAATAGATATTTGTGTATCTATAATCACAGATGCATTATTCACAATAGCCAAAAGGAGGAAGAAACTCAAGTGTCCATTAATAGATGAATGGATAACAAAATATGGTGTAAACATACAATGCAATATTATTCATTAAAAGGGAAGGAAATTCTGACACATGCTACAATGTGGATGAACCTTGAAGACCTTATGCTAAGTAAAGCCAGTCACAAAACAGCATATAATGTATTTCACTTGCATGAGGTACCTAGAGTAGTCAAATTCATAAAGATAAAGTAGAATGGTGGTTGCTAGGGGCAGAGGGGAGAGGAAAATACAGTTATGGTTTAATGGGCACAGAATTTCAGTGTGAGAAGATGAAAAAATCTCGAGATGGATGGCGGTGATAGTTGCACAACAATGTGAATGTACTTACTGTCAATGACCTGTGCACTTACAAATGGTTAAAATGGTAATTTTTATGTTACATATATTTTACCACAATTTAAAAAATATATCTGCTTAAGTAAAACAAAATGTCTACAATGAGTAGAAAAAAACACTATAAATTTCATGATGTAACCTTTCTCATGCACATCAACAGGCCCAAGGATATTACTATCCAGAAGAATATAACTGATGCTTTAACAGGGACTTTTAGTTGCCAGCAAAGATTAAATTATGGCCCATATATTCTGGTTATACCAGATAGGTAAGAGCCACATTTTGCAAACATTTCCATCAAAAATGGTTTCAATAAAAAATTTCTGATGCTTAAAGTCTAAGTGTCAGTTATCTAGAAAATTCCCCTTCATGAAACAGATTTCCTGTTGTCAGAAAATGAGACATAATAATCGATAACATATCAGAGAATGAAAAGACATTGGTGGGCAGAAAAAAATTTCATTTGAAAATTTGAAAATCTGCTGGAATACCTAGAGTTCTTCACAGAAACTCTCAGAGGCCTAGAGGCCCCTAAGTGTCACACACAAATTTACAGGAAAGAAAATACCAGTTGAGTATCCCTACTATGAAAATCTGAAATCCAAAATGCTCCAATGAGCATTTCCTTTGAGTGTCATGTTGGCACTCAAAAAGTTTTGGATTTGGGGACATTTTGTATTTTGTATTTGGGGATTAGGGATGCCCAATCTCTATATTCTTTTCTGGGTAAGTCCTCAATACTTACAAATAATGTCAATAATAGTCACAAGGAAACAACCAAACTAGCCTACAAGAAGCCCCTTTTCCAAATATCCTTCTTGATTCCCGATACTAGGTGAGGAAGCATTTTTCTTAGTTTTTCAATTGTCACACTGCCCCTCTTCAAGTTTTCTATTTCCTGTTCTTGTCTCCTAAATATGGGTATTTCCTGAGGGATAGGCCTTGGTCGCCTTCTCTTCTCTATGAATACTTTCCCTGTTGAAAAGATCATATACAGCTGCTCCTTGATTTTTGACGGGGTTATGTCCAGATAAACCCATCACAAGTTGAAAACATCATTAAGTCAAAAATGCAGTTAGTACACCTAATCTACCAAACATCATAGCTTAGCTTAGCCTACCTTAAACATGCTCAGAACACTTACATTAGCCTATAGTTGGGCAAGCTCATTTAACACAAAGCTTATTTTATAATAAAATGTTGAATATCTCATATAATTTATTGACTACTGTACGGAAAGTGAAAAACAGAATGTTTGTATAGGTATTCAAAGTACCCTGCCACTGAATGCACATGGTACCATTGTAAAGTACAACAATCGTTAAGTCAAACAGTCCTGTCGGGGAGCAACTGTACACCAGTGATTTCAACTATTGTTTCTTCATGAATTACTCACACATTTACATATCTGGGTAGAGCCTCTCTTTCCTGAGATTTAGTCTTGTATTTCTAACAACTCCCTGGAAATTTTCTCTTGAATATTTCACCAGTGTTTCAAATTTTACAAATGTATTTGGGCTCTGAGTTCATTTTTCCCTTAAAGCCACTTTACCTTATGGATATTCCTTTTCAGCCCCAATTTCCCAGGCTTAAAGAATTGGAGCCTTTCCTGATTTCTTTCTTTTCTTTCTTTTTTTTTTTAGATGGAGTCTCACTCTGTCGCCCAGGCTGGAGGGCAGTGGTGCAATCTCGGCTCACTGCAACCTCTGCCTCCCAAGTTCAAGCAATCCTCCCTGCCTCAGCTTCCCGAGTAGCTGGGATTACAGGCGCCCCTGACCACGCCCGGCTAATTTTTTTGATTTTTTAGTAGAGACAGGATTTCACCATGTTGGTCAGGCTGGTCTTGAACTCCTGACCTCAAGTGATCCGCCTGCCTCGGCCTCTCAAAGTGCAGGGATTACAGGAGTAAGCCACCGCACCCAGCTCCTTCCCTGATTTCTACCAATCTTTTTCTCTCGTAATCCACTCAGTAACTAAGTATAGTACTATTTACTATTTAGCGCACTATAGCGCGCTAACCAATTGCACTACTGGAGCTCCAGAATAGTACTATTCAATTATTATTATTATTTTTTTTTTTTTTTGAGACGGAGTCTTGCTCTGTCACCCAGGCTGGAGTGCAGTGGCGCAATCTCTGCTCACTGCAAGCTCCGCCTCCTGGGTTCACGCCATTCTCCTGCCTCAGCCTCCCGAGTAGCTAGGACTACAGGCGCCGGCCACCACGCCCAGCTAATTTTATGTATACTTAGTAGAGACAGGGTTTCACCGTGTTAGCCAGGATGGTCTTGATCTCCTGACCTCATGATCCACCCGCCTCGACCTCCCAAAGTGCTGGGATTACAGGCGTGAGCCACCGCACCCGGCCTTTTATTCAATTATTGTAACCTTGGTTGTTACACCTCTTACCTTTACTACCCAACACCAAGACTATCCTATTCCCTCATCCATACTATCCTATATACTTTTGCTAGGTTAATGTTTCTAAAACATTACTTGGAATATTCATAGTTCTATCATTCATTCCACAAACATTTATTCAGTGCTAACGTCATGGAAAAAGCACAATGTGGGGCTGGGCTCCACGGCTCAGGCCTGTAATCCCAGCCCTTTGGGAGGCTGAGGTGGGTGGACTGCTTGAGCCCAGAGTTCGAGACCAGACTGGGCAATACTGCAAAATTCCATCTCTACAAAAAATACAAAAAATTAGCAGGGTGGTGGTGTGCACCTGTAGTCCCAGCTCTCCGGAGGCTGAGCTGAGAGGATCGCCTGAGCCCAGGAAGTCGAGGCTGCAGTATGCCATGACCACGTCACTGCACTCCAGCCTGGGCAACAGAATGAGACCCTGTGTCAAAGAAACAAACAAACAAACAAACAAAAAAAGCACAATGTTATACACTCCAGAATGTAGAAATGCATTAGATAAAGGCCTGTTTACAGTTTAATAGGGGGAAAGACTTGCAAGTAAATAATTTTAGTTCGAAGTTAGAAAGTGGTAATAACTAAATACATGAAATTCCAGAAATATGATGGACTCTCAATAGAAAGAAAAATTATTTCTAGGTAGAGATGTCACTTTCTAAAGCTTTAAATAATGGAAAGAATTTCAACATTTGGAGATGAGGGGGAGAGACAGGTATTTCATGCAAGGGACATGAGCAATCTATAAAAATGTAATAATTTATGCATGACGTACTTCACAGGGTCTGGTTTACCACTGACTGAGGGAGAATGGAAGGGGAACAGCAGAAAATAAAAAAAGTTTTGAATCCAAGTTAATAAACTTGACCTTTAATCTACAGGCAACAGAGAGCCATTGGATCAGCTATTTTGGATCACGGTGGTGCTTGAAGATGGCTACACCTATAGCAGGTATATGTAAGATAGGCTAGTAGCAGAGTGATGCTAGAGGCAGGACATCAATGAGAAAGGTACTGCACTGACACCGTGCAGGGGATGGTAATGAGAACGTTGATTAGGTGGGGGCAGTGGGTAAGAAGATGCAAGAATTACTGTAGGGGTACAATCGACAGGACTTGGCAAGTGATTGGAGCATGGAAAGGCAAGAAAGGGCATCAAATCTGACATCAAAGTTTCCAAGTTGGTTGTATTAACAAAAACGGGTGCATAGCCTGGGAAGTAATTTGGGAGGGAAGAGGCCAAGCTTTGTCGGGATATTAAGTGTTTATACATTTGCTGAACATCCCACAAGACATGGGCAAGACTCTTGGAAGTAGCTGGATACTGACGACTGAAGCTGGAGCAGAGAGGGGGTATGTTTCTGCAAAACCACATACAAAACGGACTACGGAAATCTTACTACCGAGGCTTGCCCAGGCAGGAGAGAAAGGTGTAGCATCCCTGAAGTCATCAGTCGTGTCTACTCTTCACCGCCTGCTCTCACCTCACGTTCCCCACGAAGACTCCGGGAGCAGGCGGCCGGAAGGAGCCCTTCCCTCCCTTCTCCGGTGATTCCCAGAACTTCCGTCTCTACCCGTCACCTGCTCCCAATCAAAGGAGCTTAATAGACGGCGACGTTTTCGACTGCCCAGCCACCAGGCAGGCTGAAAGTGCATGGAGGGCATCATCCACCTTTAGACAGCTACTTGCCCACACCTCATCGAGCTCTGGGCGTTGTGCCAGCATTTGAAGAAGCGATCTGTTGCAAAGCGATCCACACGGAGAGCCTTAGTTATCGCGAGACTTGACAGGCACCCTCAACTTTAGCCCGCCGGAAGCGGAAGTCAGGTGGTTGTCGGATTTTAGAGGAAGGCGCTCGGTTACATTGGAGAACTGGAGTGGTCTGGAGTTCCACGGTGTAGTGGACCAGAGGCCACCTCTCCTGGGCTTCTCAGTGTCTCGCCGGCGGGGTTCGGCCTGAGCTGGATTGACATAGCCCTTGGCGGGTGAGTCGCCCCGGACGCCCGGGAGGAGGGAGCGGGGCGGCCGAGCTGGGTGGCCAGCGAGGTGTCCTCCCCCTGTGCGGTGATCTGTACTCTTTGCTAGACCGAAGCCCGTTTACTTCTCACGGCCCATAATTTCCCTCACTTCTGGAGGTATAAGGTGCTTCGGAAGGGAGCAAATCTGCCAGAACCTTGGTAAGCAAGCTGTGATGTGCCTTGAGGACGGACTGGAAAACGCAGTTGTTTTCAGTCTGCATCTTCGTCTGTTCCCCGGGCTCACCTCCCAGGGCAGCGAAACCCCATTCTGGTTGGTTATTTCCAGGGTTAGTCGCCCGCAGCCAAAGTTCTTTGTGGTTTTATTTGTGGTGAATAAATTAGCAGTATTCAAGTACAAATCTGAAAGGCTTACCCTAAAAGAACATACATACTTTATGAAGTTTGTATTCATACTTGAACTATTTTGCTTTTGAAGGCCCAGAGGACAAATCTTGTAGCTTCTTGCTCTTGAGAACCAGTTCCCTCTTTGGAATATTAGCTTTGGAAGTCTTTAGAGCGTTTTTTTGGTTTGTTTTTTGTTTTTTTTTTGAGACGGAGTCTCGCTCTGTCGCCCAGGCTGGAGTGCAGTGGCGCGATCTCCGCCTCCCAAGTTCAAGCGATTCTCCTGCCTCAGCCTCCCGAGTAGCTGGGACTACAGGCACATGCCACCACGCCTGGCTAATTTTTTCTATTTTTAGGAGAGACGAGGTTTCACCGTGTTAGCCAGGCTGGTCTCGATCTCTTGACTTCGTGATCTGCCCGCCTCGGCCTCCCAAAGTGTTGGGATTACAGAGGTGAGCCACCGCGCCTGGCCTTAGAGCACTTTTACTCCAATTCTTTCCTTGAATAAGACTCTTATGCGCCACCCTCCCCTACAAACACCTTTTGAGAGTTTCCTTAAATAAAGTCAAGTTTGTTTTTTTCCTCCCACAGATTTAAACAACCTAAACATTAAGCAGTACAGCTGCCTCAAACCTTTGGGGTAAGTAAAGCTTGGGTCGATTAACATTCTATTTAAATTTCGTTCTCAGTAATAATACAGTTGATATTTGTTTACATGAGTATGGGTGGGGAGTCGTGGGAGAACATATGAGAACATAAAAATGGAGTAGCACCTTTTCCTTGCCTTATGATTTTTACTGCCCATCTGGATTAGGTATGGGTCATCTTTTTAGTGATTTCTGTGATCCCACTAGAATTCTAGACATGATTTTTAATTAGCTGAATTTATTTAAAACTCATTCCTTGGATTTGAGAATTTGATATAGTTTGCCAATCCCAGACACATTGAAAGTCTGATATTTGGTATTTGATAAAGCATACTAAGAGCAATAGCCTGAAAGATAAGAGTGTCAGGCTGGGCGCGGTGGCTTATGCCTGTTATCCCAGTACTTTGGGAGGCTGAGGCAGGCAGATCACCTGAGGTCAGGAGTTCAAGATCAGCCTGGCCAACATGATGAAACCCTGTCTCTACTAAAAATACAAAAATTAGCGAGCGGGCGTGCACCTGTAATCCCAGCTATTCGGGAGGCAGAGACAGGAGAATCACTTGAATTCGAGAGGCAGAGATTGCAGTGAGCCGAGATCGCGCCATTGCACTCTAGCCTGGGCAACAAGAGTGAAACTCCGTCTCAAAAAAAAAAAAAAAAAAAGGCTGGGCGCAGTGGCTCATACCTGTAATCCCAGGACTTTGGGAGGCCAAAGCGGGCGGATTATGAGGTCAGGAGTTCAAGACCCGCCTGGCCAACAAAACCCCATCTCTACTAAAAATGCAAAAATTAGCTGGGTGTGGTGGCGCGTGCCTGTAATCCCAGCTACTTGGGAGGCTGAGGCAGGAGAATTGCTTGAACCTGGGAGGCAGAGGTTGCAGTGTGCTGAGATCGCGCCATTGCACTCCAACTCTGGGTGACAGAGCAAGACTCCGTCTGGGGGAAAAGGAAAAAGAAAAAATCTACATATTGTTTCTTGCAATGCAACAATAATTTCCGTTTAATTTTGTTGGGGTTAAAGTAGGTAGTATAAATGTTACAAATATTTGCATATGTTTGGAGGAAAGGCAGACTAATGAAGAAGTTATCACAATAGCTTCCATTGTCACATCTTTTTGTCCCAAACCTTTTATTGGAAGTTAATAAAGTAAGAAAAATAATTCGGGCCAGGCACAGTGGCTCATGCCTGTAATCCCAGCACTTTGGGAAGCCAAGGCAGGAGGATCACCGAAGCCCAAGACTTCCAGCCTAGGCAACATGGCGAGATCCCGTCTCTTCAAAAAATACGAAAATTAGCCGGGTGTGGGTGGCATGCACCTGTAGTTCCAGCAACTTGGGAGGCTGAGGTGGGAGGATTGTTTGAGCCAGGGAAGTCAAGGCTGCAGTGACCCGAGGTTGTGCCGCTGTGCTCCAGCCTGGGTGACAAAGTGAGAGACCCTGTCTCAAAAAAAAAAAAAAAATGTTGAATTCAATATCTAAAATATGACATGTCTGAAAGCACACAAAGACTTCCATGAATACCCCGCCTAAAAATTGCTTACTTCTTGGTTTTTCATTATTTGGAGAGAGTGTTAATTTTTAAATTTTTTTTAATGGAAATGTCTTTAAAATTGTACAGATTTTCAGAATGACTGACACTGCCGAAGCTGTTCCAAAGTTTGAAGAGATGTTTGCTAGTAGATTCACAGAAAATGACAAGGAGTATCAGGAATACCTGAAACGCCCTCCTGAGTCTCCTCCAATTGTTGAGGAATGGAATAGCAGAGCTGGTGGGAACCAAAGAAACAGAGGCAATCGGTGTGTATTCAAAAGAATAAATGCAGATAGTTGATCTGGCAGAGGATAGCTTTAATCTGCTAGACTGGAAGGCCAGTGAGGGCAGGGACCAGTGTTTTTGGTATGGCATACCTAGTACCTAATAACAGTACCTGGTACATCATTTCTGATAAATATTTGCTTTAATATTTTTTCAGCACCATGTATTTTTTCCTTGCTGTTCAAGTGCGTGTGTTTTTTTGTTTTTAGATGTTTTTTCTGTAGACTAATATTTTCAATGCAAATCTACTTTAAAAACCTAGAGTTTTCTACAGCTTGTTCAATTCCATAAAGAAAACATTGTTTCGATTTTACTTTAGGAAGAAGTTTACAAATGGAAGTTACTTTTACTTAATAATTCAAAATAGTCAAAGGAATAAATTACCATACCATTTTTGTACAATTGAATAGATTTCACTTTAATTTGGAACTATTCTATTGGTTATATAGTCTGCCTATGTCTCTGTAAAGTGTACCTAGTATAATACTGGAAGAATGATTTCAATCTTAGGAAAGTTTTGAATAACTGGCACTATAACATTCTATTGTGAAAAATGTTTTTTAGTCTTATTTATTGTGTATTAGAATGAGAAACCAGAAGCACTGCTATGGGTTTGTCATATGTTTTTTTTAACAAGGGAAGTTTAAAGATCTTTTTTGTTTTATTGTTGTAGGTTGCAAGACAACAGACAGTTCAGAGGCAGGGACAACAGATGGGGGTGGCCAAGTGACAATCGATCCAATCAGTGGCATGGACGATCCTGGGGTAACAACTACCCGCAACACAGACAAGAACCTTACTATCCCCAGCAATATGGACATTATGGTTACAACCAGCGGCCTCCTTACGGTTACTACTGATAGAAATGTTGGCAGCTTTTAGTAAAAGCATTTACTCTGTTACCATGAGAAAAGTTTGGGTGTCTTCTGTTGGTCATAGTTTTACATCTGATTTTACAGAATGGATTATTGATTTTTTGGAAGTTGAGACTTTAAAAAAAATAGATCTTACTTGCGAAATGCGATGGTTGCTGGGAATACCTGAAACTGTGGATTATATTGCTTGACTTCTACCTCAGAATCTTCTTTGTTTCATGACTTAATAGTGCTTTAAGTTTGGTATATTATTTGACCTCTAGGAATTCTTTGTTTTACACAGAAATAAAAATTTTAAAATAGAAAATGCTTTTACTTTGTAAGGTAAGAGAGTATCCATATGCTTAGATGTGCTCGTTTCTAAAATTCTAGAGGTTGATATAATCAGCTCATGAATGCACAGCTATGCTTTTTGTGATAGATTGTACATAACATCAGCAGTTGAAAGGTAAAACAATTGCTTTTTTTTTTTTTTGCATTTGTTAAGTGACTATGGTACTTTGTGATTCCTTAATCTATAGATGAGTCAGCTCCACACTTGAGTCTCTTTTTAGAGGGAAATCAGTAATAAAGCTGTAAAATAAGGAAGGAATCATTGTCAGTTTGTGTCTTGATCTGGTGGTGGTTGGGATAAGGGTACACATCATTTTATACAAACACTAAAGCTTTTTGCTAACAACATAGCAGGTCAAAATTCACACATAAGAAAGTTTAACTCTGTACTGTTCACACTTTTTAATCCTGTAAATAATGCTGCATTTTGATGGTTCTTACTTTTTTGGTATTTAATGTGGGCTGATTTTACAATGTTATATTCACTTCCAGATGCATACCTCTGCTGCTTTCTCTCCTATAAATAGTGATGCTATAAACTTCCTTTCACAGAGATCATTCTATTTCAAATCACTTTAATGATTATTACAATGATTTCATTCAAATAAAAATTTTAAAATATTTAAGCATCTTCACTCCCAAGTTCTGGCAGTTAGCCCATTTATTAATATGGTGAAATGAGATTTTTGGGTTTTTTTATGCTGTCCTTCATATCTGTTGAAAAGGGCTTATTTGGTTTAACAGTAACATTAAGAGTGCAAATTTCAACATAGGTCAAAGGAATTAACAGGCACCTTCCTGACTTTATTAGAGTGACAAAAAAATATATATATTTAAAAAGGCGTCTTCCAGCCAGGCATGGTGGCTCATGCCTGTAGTCCCAGCACTTTGGGAGGCTGTGGGCGGATCACTTGGGGTCAGGAGTTCGAGACCAGCCTGACCAACATGATGAGACCCCGTCTCTACTAAAAATACAAAAATTAGCCGGGTGTGGTGGCACATGCCTGTAATCCCAGCTACTCGGGAGGCTGAGGCAGGACAATTGTTTGAAGCCCAGAGGCGGAAGTTGCAGTGAGCCAAGATCGTGCCACTGCACTCCAGCCTGGGCAACAGAGCAAGACTTCATCTCATAAAAAAAACGGGGGCATCTTCGTAAACCTATTTTTAATGCCTTCTCTCTTAGCACCCCACTCTAGGCCCTCGAGGTTGACTTCTCCAGGTACTTCATGCTCTCCATCTACCTCTCCCTTTTATTCTCCCTTCCTGAAGAGCCATCCTCTCGGGTAACTGTTTTATTGGAAATGACCTAATAAGTCGGGCAGTCACACTAAGATGCAAATACAATTTTAATAGTAAGGGTTTTCCCTGTAACCTCCCTAATTACATCAGTAGGCAAGAAGCCAGTGCTGTTATATAAAGATAGGATTTGATACTACAGATATTTAGTCTAGATAGTAATGTCCTGACTACACCCCAGAATCTTCTCTGAAAGCAGAAGTGTTATCAAAAATATCACCTGGTTGGGTATGGTGGCTCACACCTGTTATCCCAGCACTCTGGGAGGCCGAGGCGGGAAGATCACTTGAAGCCAGGAGTTCGAGGCCAGCCTGGGCAATGTAGCAAGATCCTGTCTCTACAGAAAATTTTAAAATTAGCTGGGTGTGGTGGTGCACGCCTGTAGTCCTAGCTACTCAGGAGGCTGAGGCAGGAGGCTCCCTTGAGTCCGGGAAGAGTTCAAGACTACAGTGAGCTAGGATCATGGCACTGTACTCCAGTTTGGGCTAGATAGATGCTGTCTCTTAAAAGTAATGATTTATAGGCTGGGCACGGTGGCTCACAGTTGTAATCGCAGCACTTTGGGGGGCTGAGATGGGCAGATCACCCCAGGTGAGGAGTTCGAGACCAGCCTGGCCAATATGGTGAAATCCTGTCTCTATTAAAAATACGAAAATTAGCCAGGCATGGTGGCGGATGCCTGTAATCCCAGTTACTCGGGAGACTGAGTTAAGAGAATCACTTGAACCTGGGAGGTGGAGGTGGCAGTGACCTGAGACCATGCCATTGCACTCCAGCCTGGGCAACAAGAGCGAAACTCTCTCAAAGAAAAAAAAAAAGATTTATAAAATCATCTCCTGAGAAAGCACAGGCACTGACCAGTAGTTGGGACAGTATAGCTGACTGTAGCTTTAGGTCAGGATTCTGTGCTGTGCCAGCTGTTGACACAAAGGGAGATGTATGGGTCCAAGGCCAGCGCTGGAGGAGTACTTCTCAGGAAGCTCAGAAGAGAGGTGGTTTTCCAACAGTATTTAAATGTTTTAACACCCAACACAGCTAGGCTGCTTGTGTCCTGAGTATCAGCCGTGCTTGAAAAAATGGGAGGAAACCTTTTAACATGAGTAAATTCTGCATGCTGCATGAATAATCTATGTTGTTATGGTTTTTGTTTTTTAACAGCAGTTACTATCAGACTGTACCCCTGCCCCTGATCTGCTTAAAACCAGGAAGAAATAAAAGGTACAGTTTCTGCTTCATAAGACAGAAAATAACATGAAAAAAAGCTTAAAGATAATTTAAGAGTGAGAGCAAATAAAATAGTGTCAAATAGAATTAATTTCAAGTAGTCTGTTGTAATAACATATGGCATTAGGTATAAGGAATCCTAGCTTCCAGTTCTGTGCTTAAAACATATGTGACCGTGAGAAAATCATGTAAACACTGAGCTTATTGGCTCAGCTGTAAAAATGGGGACAATACCCACCCTGCCACCCTCACAGAATTATAAAAATAAATAATCAAAGGAAGAACTTGAGAATATAGAGTTGTGACCATTAAATCCCTAGTAGGACACAATAGGTGCTGCATAAACATTTGTTGAATCAACGGGAGGGAAGTATTTGGTAAATTGTAAAGCGTAGTGTTGACATAAAGGATGTAGAGTAACGGGCAGAAGATGAGGTAGGGCAGAAGACGTTGAGAATTAAGGATTTGTGATTGTTTCCTTATGTTAATTCATATGTGAATTAGCAAAGGAAAGCAAGTTATCTCATTCAGAAAATAAACACTTCAAATGTGGAAGATGGTTTGTATAAAAGTTGAGCTAAAATTAGTAGCATTTGGCCAGGCTCAGTGGCTCATGCTAGTAATCTCAGCACTTTGGGTGGCCAAGGAGGTGGACCATCTGAGGTCAGGAGTTCGAGACCAGCCTAGCCAACATGGCAAAAACCCCGTCTCTATGAAAAATACAAAAATTAGCCAAGCATGGTGGTGCAGTCCCAGCTACTAGGGAGGCTGAGGCTGGAGAATCGCTTGAACCTGGGAGGTGGAGGTTACAGTGAGCCGAGATTGTGCCACTGCACTCCAGCCTAAGTGACAGGGCAAGACTCCATCTCAAAAATAAATAAATACATAAATTAAAATAAAATTACTAACATTTGCCATTTGGAAATTAGTAGTGAATTTAGAATGTCAAATGTTAATTACTGAACACATCAGATTAATGTCCTTTTGAGAACAGGATGCTGGGGACTTTTAGAGTTTTTTGTTTGTGTTTTGTTTTTGAGTGCTAGGTGGACTTGGGGTTATACAGAATGTAATAAACTTGAGTCACTGCTCTGAGAATAGTTTTGGGGTTCTTGAAACCACATAGGAAAAAGACATCTGGGGAGATTTCTAGCATGGTTTTTGTTTCCAAAGCCACTTTCCTTATAATGCTCAACAGACAAATAGGTAATTATCCCTTGTATTTTATTCACCTAAAGAAAAATGTAGGACTTTATAATAGAATTAAGGGTAATAAAATGTCAGCTTTAAGTTTAGAATGTTAAAATTGAAGGAAATAATCATTTACCCTGAATCAGGTTATTGACAGCACTAATTTTGAACTCTCATAAAAGAACTCTACTTGTTTCCTAAATATAATGTTTTTTAAAAATTTTATTTATTTTAAACAAGTTCAAGCCAAACCGAAATACAATTTTTTATACCTTAAAAATTTCCCTAGACTTCCTATTTCATTTGATTCATTCAATCCAAACACAGATCTGGCTGTGTATGGAAAACTATGCCGTAGACTGTTGACTTCTTCTAATTAGCACAATAATCTACAGTGAAAAGGATTTTTTTTAAATTAGGCAATATAGGAAATAAATACTCCCAGTTTAAGGTGGCCTCTATTATTATTGGACTTTAGTTAGCTGGAAATGTTAGTTGTGAAAGTACTTACTTTGTAATGTCAGACAAATTAGATATTATATGTAAACTATTCACTGAAATGCCTATTTGAATTTTTCTTTCAGTATCTTGCATTTTAACCAGAGACACATATTTAATATATATAAATGAGGATTTTGAAATATTAAATAAGGCTTTGGTTAATTCTGTGTGAAAAATTATATAAGGTACTCAAAGAATCTTCGTTCTGTTTATTTATGAACACAGAAAGATATGCTTTTAAAACTCTCAAATTTTAAAATTGATTTAAGCCCAGTAGCAGAAAATACTCTTGACATTGGCAGAAGTGAATATTGTTAATATTTAGATTAATCATTCAGGATTCAGATATATCCAGATATGACATAATATCTAAACAAAGATTTCTCCTGACATCTGCTGTATTAAATTATTATAGAATGAAATAAACAACTAGATTCAAGTAGTAGATTACAACACTGGAGCCCACAGCAGCCTTGAGAGCAGATTATCTCCTCTTTTCTAGAAGTCTGGTTGATTACTGCTGGCACCAGCTTTTGAGGAAAATAAGGATGGAAGTAGAGATCCCTTGACTTGTGCACATTCTGGGAGAGAGAGTGGCCCTGGGCCAGGCTGGCTGCATGGGTCCCAATCAGTGGGGCTGCACTCCATCATGGTGTGCCCAGGATGAGGAATAAGTGACACTTCAGCTGTCGTGACACTGCTGAGGCCTCTGGGTGCCAGAGAAACATCTTGCTTCTGAGGAATTCAATTATCAGTGCTGTCAGATTAGAAAAGTGGAGATGAGCTGTGGATAATACCCCTCAGATTTAAACATTTGCAGGATGAAACAGGAGGAGCAGGTTAACGAAGAAGACAAGTCTTCAGTCAGAACAGCTGGCCAGGCACGGTGGCTCACGCCTGTAATCCCATCACTTTGGGAGGCCAAGGTGGAAGGATCACCTGAGGTCAGGAGTTCCAGACCAGCCTGGCCAACATGGCAAAACCCCATCTCTACTAAAAATACAAAAATTAGCTGGGTGTGGTGGTACATGACTGTAATCCCAGCTACTCCGGAGGCTGAGGCAGGAGAATCGCTTGAACCCAGGAGGCGGAGGTTGCAGTGAGCCAAGATTGCACCACTGCACTCCAGCCTGGGTGACCGAGCGAGACTCCGTCTCAAAAACAAACAGGCAACAAAAACAGCTAATATGTGATTCGACTGCCCCATTGCAGGATTAAGAGAGAGCATAAAGCATGCAGCACTAAGCTAGGCACATAATGGCTACCCAGTCAGTCAGGTTCGTATATAAGAGTGAGTTATCTGTGGGCTGCTTAGGTGCAAGAAGGACAAGTCGCATAATTTTCACCAGTGTCTTCATGGGCTGATGGGCTGATTTCAGTTGTTTTCACTCCTCTCCCTAAAGGGCACAGACAGCCCCATGTATGGGCTAATTCAGTTGGTGTTTTCACTCCTTTCCCTCAGGGACACGAGAGCCCTATGTATTAATTACCAGTTAGATTTTCTCTGGGTTTCAGTGACTCCTCCTGAGACAGCTTCAGGGGATGATGTGATGATGATCTCATGGTTTTTTTCCACTGCTCGTGCCTTTAACTCCCTAAAGAATCTCCAGTCTCTTTGTCTGAATTAGGTAAATAAAGCTGTTCTAATTGCTAATGGCTAGAGCTTTGTTGTTTGTGTGTGTATTTTTCTCATTTTAAAATTTCCTCAACTTGTGTGTTTACAAAATAATAAAGCTGGCGCGGTGGCTCACGCCTGTAATCCCAGTACTTTGGGAGGCCGAGGCAGGCGGATCACGAGGTCAGGAGATCGAGACCATTCTGGCTAACACGGTGAAACCCCGTCTCTACTAAAAATACAAAAAGAAATTAGCCGGGCGTGGTGGCGGGCACCTGCAGTCCCAGCTACTCAGGAGGCTGAGGCAGGAGAATGGCGTGAACCCAGGACGCAGAACTTGCAGTAGGCCGAGACTGCGACACTGCACTCCAGCCTGGGTGACAGAGTGAGACTCCGTCTCAAAATAAAATTAAAATAAAATAAAATAATAAAATAAAATAAAAAATATAAAAAGTGAAACAATACAAAAATGAATAATTTTGGCTGGATGCAGTGGTTCACGCCTGTAATCCCAGTAATTTGGGAGGCCAAGGCGGATGGATCGCCTGAGGTCAGGAGTCTGAGACCAGCCTGGCCAACATGGTGAAACCCCGTCTCTACTAAAAATACAACAACAAGAAAAAAATTTAGCCAGGCATGGTGGCTCAGGCCTGTAATCCCAGCTACTTGGAAGGCTGAGGCAGGAGAATCGCTTGAACCTGGGAGGCGGAGGTTGCAGTGAGCCAAGATTGAACCACTGCACTCCAGCCTAGGCAACAAGAGCGAAACTTCGTCTCAAATAATAATAATAATAATAATAATTATTATTATTATTTTTAACTGACTTCTATAGCTGTTATTTTCCTGTCTTTATTCACTGTTCTCTATCTTGCCTTCTAAATTTCATACCGTTTTCAGCCTCTTCTCTGTTGCACTGTTTCCAACATGGTCTTTATTTCTATTATGCTTTTGTTTTTCATTTTTATTTATTTATTTTTATTTTTTTTTAATTTATTTTTTTATTGATAATTCTTGGGTGTTTCTCACAGAGGGGGATTTGGCAGGGAAGGTCAGCAGATAAACAAGTGAACAAAGGTCTCTGGTTTTCCTAGGCAGAGGACCCTGCGGCCTTCCGCAGTGTTTGTGTCCCTGATTACTTGAGATTAGGGAGTGGTGATGACTCTTAACGAGCATGCTGCCTTCAAGCATCTGTTTAACAAAGCACATCTTGCACCGCCCTTAATCCATTTAACCCTGAGTGGACACAGCGCATGTTTCAGAGAGCACAGGGTTGGGGGCAAGGTCACAGATCAACAGGATCCCAAGGCAGAGGAATTTTTCTTAGTGCAGAACAAAATGAAAAGTCTCCCATGTCTACTTCTTTCCACACAGACACAGCAACCATCCGATCTCTCAATCTTTTCCCCACCTTTCCCGCCTTTCTATTCCACAAAGCCGCCATTGTCATCCTGGCCCGTTCTCAATGAGCTGTTGGGCACACCTCCCAGACGGGGTGGTGGCCGGGCAGAGGGGCTCCTCACTTCCCAGTAGGGGCGGCCGGGCAGAGGCGCCCCTCACCTCCCAGACGGGGCGGCTGGCAGGGCAGGGGGGCTGACCCCCCCCCACCTCCCTCCCGGACGGGGCGGCTGGCCGGGCAGAGGGGCTCCTCACTTCCCAGTAGGGGCGGCCGGGCAGAGGCGCCCCTCACCTCCCAGACGGGGCGGCTGGCCGGGCGGAGGGCTGACCCCCCCACCTCCCTCCCGGACGGGGCGGCTGGCCAGGCGGGGGGCTGACCCCCCCACCTCCCTCCCGGACGGGGCGGCTGACCCCCCATCTCCCTCCCGGACGGGGTGGCTGGCCGGGCTGAGGGGCTCCTCACTTCCCAGTAGGGGCGGCCGGGCAGAGGCGCCCCTCACCTCCCGGACGGGGCGGCTGGCCGGGCGGGGGGCTGACCCCCCACCTCCCTCCCGGACGGCACGGCTGGCCAGGCGGGGGGCTGACCCCCCCACCTCCCTCCCGGATGGGGTGGCTGGCCGGGCGGGGGACTGACCCCCCCCCACCTCCCTCCCGGACGGGGTGGCTGCCGGGCGGAGACGCTCCTCACTTCCCAGATGGGGTGGCTGCCGGGCGGAGAGGCTCCTCACTTCTCAGATGGGGCAGCTGCCGGGCGGAGGGGCTCCTCACTTCTCAGACGGGGTGGTTGCCAGGCAGAGGGTCTCCTCACTTCTCAGACGGGGCGGCCGGGCAGAGACGCTCCTCACCTCCCAGACGGGGTCTCGGCCGGGCAGAGGCGCTCCTCACATCCCAGATGGGGCGGCGGGGCAGAGGCGCTCCCCACATCTCAGATGATGGGCGGCCGGGCAGAGACGCTCCTCACTTCCTAGATGTGATGGCGGCTGGGAAGAGGCGCTCCTCACTTCCTAGATGGGATGGCGGCCGGGCGGAGACGCTCCTCACTTTCCAGACTGGGCAGCCAGGCAGAGGGGCTCCTCACATCCCAGACGATGGGCGGCCAGGCAGAGACACTCCTCACTTCCCAGACGGGGTGGCGGCCGGGCAGAGGCTGCAATCTCGGCACTTTGGGAGGCCAAGGCAGGCGGCTGGGAGGTGTAGGTTGTAGTGAGCCGAGATCACGCCACTGCACTCCAGCCTGGGCACCATTGAGCACTGAGTGAACGAGACTCCGTCTGCAATCCCGGCACCTCGGGAGGCCGAGGTTGGCGGATCACTCGTGGTTAGGGGCTGGAGACCGGCCCGGCCAACACAGCGAAACCCCGTCTCCACCAAAACCAGTCAGGCGTGGCGGCGCGCGCCTGCAATCACAGGCACTGGGCAGGCTGAGGCAGGAGAATCAGGCAGGGAGGTTGCAGTGAGCCGAGATGGCAGCAGTACAGTCCAGCTTTGGCTTGGCATCAGAGGGAGACCGTGGGGAGAGGGAGAGGGTGAGGGAGAGGGGGAGGGGGAGGGGGAGGGGGCTCATTTTTATTTATTTGAGACAGCGTCTTGCCCTCTCACCCAAGCTGGAGTGCAGTGGCGCAATCATGGCTCACTACGTCGAACTCCTGAGCTCAAGTGATCCTCCTGCCTCAGCCTCGCAAGTAGCTGAGACTACAGGCACACACCACCATGCCTAGTTAATTTTTTTAATTTTTTTTGGAGAAATGGGGTCTTACCACGTCGCCCAAGCTGGTCTCAAACTCCTGGCCACAAACTATCCTCCTACCTCAGCTTCCCAAAGTGCTGGGATTACAAGCGTGAGCCAACATGGCCAGCCTTACCTTTTACTTTTAAATTATGTTAGCCACATTTCAAGTGCTCAATAGCCACATGTGGTGTGAGCAGCTATCACGTGTACATGCCACCCAGTACGGCTGTAGAAGAGAACTAAAGGCTAGCTAGCATTTCTGTTGACTTGACTCACTCCCTTATTGTCCACAGTGCCCCAATCCCCCTAGGCATCTCTGGGGAAACCTAAGGCTTTGAAACAGTTTGAACGTCACTGCGATAGTAAAAACACATCACAGATTAGTTTTCTGTAGAAATGACCAGGGAGTACGTAACTTGTGGCTGCAAAGTTTGGGGATTCTTCCCTCCCCAAACTCTATCTAGGGGACCGATGGACCCTGAGGCAGACAGGATTATAAAATGCAAAAACCCTTAATAACTAAATTATGAGGATTGTCTGAGGAATGCCTATGTGGGTAGAAATAGGTGGTCTTCCTGCAACCTAGAAAAAGGGAGTTCCTGTACTATGAAGGATCATTATCTCCAGTGTTGTCCCAAAAGACCTTCTGTGGCTGGCTGATACCATAGGTCCATCCCTGCAGCAGAAATGGGAGCTATAGATGGTCATAGCTCCCTTACCCTGGCCCCTAATTTCCCTGGCTCTGATTCCAGGCTCTCCAAGCAGCCTTCAAATGATGATTCTCTTAAAGAGATTTCCCAAAGGGACAGAATGTTCTCACTAGCAGATCCCACTATACAGTCTATTTGGCAGTTGTGTTCTTCACTCAAGTTAATAAGCTGGCATCTTGATAAGAAATTAGCTCCTTGCCAATTGCCCAGCCTAGATCCATTTTCAGAAACACTGGCTACGTGGATTTCTGAAACCTGCAGAGTTAAGGAAGGAACTCAAGACCATGCTGACTCCACCATGGCAATGGGCTGAGACTCTCACGAACCCAGCTGGCCCCAAGTTAACAACACTCCGACCTGAGCTAAATTTAAGATACAAGGGGACTAAGCTTAAGGAATGGCTCTGAGAAAACGAGAAGGATCACAGCATGTGAGCCCGTAGTCAGGCACTGCAGACTACCTAATAGTGCTGTTCACTACAAAAGGAAACGAGTTTCAGTTTGTGTGGCTTTTTGCTGTTGTGTTATGGTGCCACCTCTTGGATGTAAATTGAAATTCTAAGTTTTTAGTCACTAGTTACATGCATTAAAACAATTTGAATTTGGGGCCATGTGGGTTCTAAAATTTATACTCTGCATTACAGCTAAAGAACTATGTAACCAAATCCCTGGAATCTAGGAGGGGGATGCTGACAGCCCACAGCCCAGAGAGCTGCCTCCTAAAGTTTGAGCATTTAGGTATTTGGAACTTTATTTTTCAAGATGGAATCTCTGTCGCCCAGGCTGGAATGCAGTGGCATGATCTTGGCTCACTGCAACCTCTGCCTCCTGGGTTCAAGCAATTCTCAGGCCTCAGCCTCCCAAGTAGCTGGGACTACAGGCATGCATTGCCATGCCCAGCGAATATTTGTATTTGTAGTAGAAACAGGGTTTCGCCATATTGGTCAGGCTGGTCTTAAACTCCTGACTTCAAGTGATCCACCCGCCTCAGCCTCCCAAAGTGCTGGGATTACAGGCATAAGCCACTGCACTGGCCTAGGTGTGCACTGCAAAGGTTCCACCTTCATCCTCTGGTTATTGCTGTCCCTCCCCTAACCGAGAGGAAAGTGTGGAATGGCTCACAGAAATCAGAAGTCTGAAATCTCTGCTCCTGCCTCCAGGGCATAATGAGCCAGGCTGTTCTTTCCCAGGATCTGTCGAAGTACAGCATAGGCAAACCACCTAGCAGTGTCTGTCAAGTAAGCAACCAAGTTAATAAGTGATTAATACATCATGTTTGCACAAGTAATTATCATTTATTAAGGTGCGGGTGATAGATGACAGATGCAGTGCTAGAACATCATATGTCGGCATAGTTGGATAAATATTTTTCAAACCTTATTCATAGGCTGCTTCAAATCCAGGATTCTCAGGACAGCACAGGACAAGAAAGACAGTGTAATCAAGTCACTATAGACTGCCTAGCCAGTACTCACTTGAAATTAATGGGAGTGAGCAAAGCTAGAACCATGTCATTAGACAAATGTTACGGAGGCTGAATATTTTGTGTCTTGGGCACTAGGTCACTGGGTCTACTTCAGTATTTACAGGGGAATACCAGGGCCCAGATGATGAAAAGTACATTAACTGAGCTTCTACAGCAGGTCAAGGTGCCCAAGCCTTAGCTGTGATCTCTTAACAGTAGGAATAGTCCTGTGTGAGACAATTAAGTTGTGAGGCTGCTGTAGACTATCTTGTTTGCAGTGGGGAAAAGGGAATCGTGTTCTGGGAATACAGCCCCTGGGCCAGTTCCTACCTCCAACAGTAGTTTGTTTTGTTTTGTTTGTTTCTGTTTTTTTGTTGTTGTTATTGAGACAGAGCCTTGCTCTGTCACCCAGGCTGGAGTGCAGTGGTGTGATCCCGGCTCACTGCAGCTTCTGATTCCCGGGTTCAAGCAATTCTCCTGCTTCAGCCTCCCAAGTAGCTGAGATTACAGTCATGTACCACCACGCCCAGCTAATTTTTGTAATTTTTAGTAGAGGTGGGGTTTCACCATGGTGGCCAGGCTGGTCTTGAACTCCTGACCTCAGGTGATCCACCCACCTTGGCCTCCCAAAGTGCTGGGATTACAGGTGTGAGCCACCATGCCCGGCCCCAAAGTAGTTTTTGATGACAGAGTGTCCCCATATCTTCTTTGTTACAAGATACTGCTACGTTTCTCAAAGAAAAAAACTCACTAGGCAAAATGTTCCCACGTTTAAAATATCACCGTTTAAAATGAAGTAAATAGGTTATCGTAGTAGAAACTGGTGGTTCCTCTCCAGCATCCATTCCTCTCTTTGTAACTTTTCCCAATTTTATTCAGGTATCCAACTCTCTCTACTTCTTTGCTTCTGAGTATGCTGACCCCATTTCCACCTCTAGGATGGGCCTTAATTGGCCTGAAACAATTAGGGTAATTCTTTCTTCTATAGTTACTGCTTTAGGGAACTTGTGTTATAGAATGGCATTCCCTGATCACAGGGGCTGGCTTAGAAATTTCATGTGACTTGATTTGGGCTGATACAAGGGAAGGCTGACTGAAAGCTTCTGGAAAATACCAGAGCTCCTAGGAGTGGCCTTTTCTCCTACTGCAGGGGTTGATACGTGAATATGAAACCTGGTTGGCCTTTTGTCTACATGAAACAAGTGGGCCTGAGGATGAAACTGGCACTGCAGAAGATTCAGGGGAAGGAAAGAAAGCTGATTTTTTTTTTTCTTGAGACGGAGTCTGCCTCTGCAGCCCACGCTGGAGCGCAGTTCGCAGTTGTGCGATCTTGGCTCACTGCAACCTCTGCCTCCAGGGTCCCGGTTCACAAGCAATTCTCCTGCCTCAGCCTCCCGAGTAGCTGGGATTACAAGCATCTGCCACTATGCCCAGGTAACTTTTGTATTTTTAGTAGAGACGGGGTTTCACCATGTTGGCCAGGGTGATCTTGAACTCCTGACCTCGTGATCTGCCTGCCTCGGCCTCCCAAAGCGCTGGAATTACAGGCGTAAGCCAACACGCCTGACCAAAAGTTGATCCTTTTTTTTTTTTTTTTTTTTTGAGATGGAGTTTCGCTCCTTTTGCCCAGGCTAGAGTGCAATGGCACGATCTCAGCTCACCGCAACCTCCAACTCCCGGGTTCAAGCGATTCTCCTACCTCAGCCTCCCGAGTAGCTGCAATTACAGGCATGTGCCACCACGCCCAGCTAATTTTTTGTATTTTTAGTAGAGATGGGGTTTCTCCATGTTGGTCAGGCTGGTCTCGAATTCCCGACCTCAGGTGATCCACCTGCCTTGGCCTCCCAAAGTGCTGGGATTACAGGTGTGAGCTACCATGCCCGGCCAGGAAAGTTGATCTTTTATGATATCATTTTATGACATTCTAACAGTGATCCATGTAAAATCCACAAGTAAAACGGCTTTACAGCACACATGGCAATGGTCTTGAGAAAGAGTGGGAAAAGCTCTTAAGACCATGTAAAACAGAAGCACATTTGCAGGCAGTATATGGCACAGTTTAGAAGACAAAGCAGCTGGGCTTAAACCAAGCTCTGCCATTAATGTGCACTGTGATCTCACATAAGCCACCTTTTCTTGCCCTTGATACCTATTTGGTACAAGTTAAGAGTTGTACTAGACGAGTAGCTTCTCTTTCACTGTCTGGGATTTTTTCTTTCTTTTTGAGACGGAGTCTCACTCTTGTCGCCGAGGCTGGAGTGCAGTGGCACCGTGTGGGCTCACTGCAACTTCCGTCTCCTGGGTTCAAGCAATTCTCCTGCCTCAGCCTCCCGAGTAGCTGAGATTACAGGCACCCACCACCATGCCTGGCTAGTTTTTATATTTTTAGTAGAGATGGGGTTTTACTATGTTGGCCGGGCTGGTCTCAAACTCCTAACCTCAGGTGATCCACCCGCCTCGACCTCCCAAAGTGCTGGGATTACAGGCATGAGCCACCACACCCGGCCTGGACTTCTTATATATGAGGTCTTATATATAATCTTACATATAAATATATATATCTATGTATAAAATCTATCTATGTATATCTATCTATCTATAAAGAAAGAGACAGAGACAGATACAGGGTCTCACTTCGTTGCCCAGGCTGGTCTCAAACTCCTGGGCTCAAGTGTTCCTCCTGCCTCAACCTTCCAAAGCGCTGGGATTACAGGCGTGAGCCACCAAGCCCAGCTACCATCAGCAATTTTTATTATTGTTCTTCCTTGTGGATTTTGTTTTTAATGATTTGGTCCATCAATACATCTTTCTCATGTACTTGCTGGACAAAGCGCACAACTGCAGATCAGCTCTCCTGATCAGCAAAGGAAATTAATTTTATTTTCTTTAATAAATTACTATAACTTGACCTGAAGATGTAAAAATATATTATTAGCTTTTGAAACTTTAATATAGATGTAATTTCTGACAAGCTTTTACAAATACTGAAAATAGCTTCCAAGTCCTCTTTCTTCTTTTAAGGATCTTTGGAGATTCATAAAAACTACTGAATTTGCTGATTATTTAAGTTATTAGAGGAAGATGAAAATTCAGTGACTTCTCAAAAATTATAATTCACATTTAATTACAAGTCATGATTTTTCTTTACTTTTTCAACAAAATGGTAAATATAGTCTTTAAAAGATGTAAAAAAAAAATTTTTTTTACATTTAAATAAGCATTTAAAAATCTAAGGTAAGACTACAAAGCAGCATAACAGGTTTTCTGTCACTTGTAAACTGGATTAGAAGGCAATCCCCAGAATTCCAGAACCGTTGTGGAGATATGATTTTTAATTTACAATCTAGAAAAACTGCATTCAACAAGTAGTCCAAGGATTTGGGTTCTAGTTGCCAGCTTGCATGGTACAATCTTGAGTAAGTCTCTCAACTTCTGGATATAGGAAATCAAAGGCCCCCCAACAGAATGAAAGGTGTTAAATCAGGTCATCTTGAATATTCTTCCCAGCTCTGTTATTTTACAACGCCATGAAATCAGAGTAACATGTTCCAGGCTGTTTGGGGTTTGGGATTTTAGAACCTGATGCAATGTATAGCACTTTTTAAATTTCTACTTTTTGGAGTCTTATTCGAATATATACATATATATATGTCCCCCATGTTCTTCTGTGCATGTAGTATATTTTTCTATTTAACAGCCTCTTCACCATTAGCAATAAAAAAGTTTCTCAAGGATGTATTTTTTATTTCTTTTTTTTCGGGGGGAGAGAGTTTCACTCTTGTTGCCCAGGCTGGAGTGCAACGGCGCGATCTCGGCTTACTGCAACCTCCGCCCCCCAGGTTCAAGTGATTCTCCTGCCTCAGCCTCCTGAGTAACTGGGATTACAGGCATGCGCCATCACATCTGGCTAATTTTGTATTTTTCGTAGAGATGGGGTTTCACCATGTTGGTCAGGCTGGTCTCGAACTCCTGACCTCAGGTGATCCGCCCACCACGGCCTCCCAAAGTGCTGGGATTACAGGCATGAGCCACTGCGCCCGGCCTCATTTCTTGCTTTTATGTTTTTTTGGCTTCCTTTTTTAATTTCTCCAAGATCTCTTCTGGAGTTGTAGAAGCCAAAAGCTTCACCACCTTTTCACGAGATTTACCACCCTGGACCAAAAGAGAAAAAGCATACTTTACTGTTTAGCACATTCTAATGCTATTAGAGATAGCAGACCTCCGTTGTATAATGGGCTCTCCTGATGGCTTTCTCTTGGTTACTTCTGGTCTAACCAAAGACTATCTCTTAGATTCTTCCTTACTACCATTTGTTACTAAACATTTGTTAGTACTAACAACTCTCCAGGGTTTTTACCTTCATACATCAATTTCTATAATAAAAGCTGGACATTAAAATCTCAAAAATGGGCCAGGCGCGGTGGCTCACGCCTGTAATCCCAGCACTTTAGGAGGCCAAGGTGGGTAGATCACGAGGTCAGGAGTTCAAGACCAGCCTGACCAACATGGTGAAACCCCGTCTGTACTAAAAATACAAAAAATTAGCCGGGCATGGTGGCATGTGCCTGTAATCCCAGCTACTCAGGAGACTGAGGCAGGAAAATCGCTGGAACCCAGGAGGCAGAGGCTGCAGTGAGCTGAGATCGCGCCACTGCACTCCAGCCTGGGCAACAGAGCAAGACTCCATCTCAAAAAAAAAAAAAATCTAAAAAATGATATTCTAGTCTCAAGCAATTAAGTTAAAAATGAAAATCATCTTTAAAATACCAAAATAAATATTGCAATTTTATATAAACTTTGTAGTAAAATAATTATAAATATAAACAAATTGCTATTCTCTATGTTGTTAAACATTTCTGAAAATTCCAAACAAAAAGTAGCCACATATCCAAGTGCCACGATTTCACAACCACTTAAAACTTTAAAAAGGATTTGTTGGCCAGGTGTGGTGGCTCACACCTGTAATCCTAGCACTCTGGGAGGCTGAGGCGGGTGGATCACCTGAGGTCAGGAGTTCGAGACCAGCCTGGCCAATGTGGCAAAACCCTGTCTCTACTAAAAATTAGCCAGACGTGTTGGCGCGCGCCTCCAATCCCAGCTACTCGGGAGGCTGAAGCAGGAGAATCACTTGAACCGGGGAGGGGCGGGGCGCGGGGCGGATGTTGCAGTGAGCCGAGATTGCGCCATCGCACCCTAGCCTGGGCAACAAGAGCGAAAACACCGTCCCAAAAGAAAAAGAAAGGATTTGTTTTCAAACACAGCCTTTAAAGAAGATAAAATTTGAGAAGGGGTTTATTTAGATGAGTGGAATTTGAACAGGCAGAAGAATGAGGAACATCTTTCAGGCAAACGTCAGCGCATGAGCACTAGCCAAAAATCAGAAATGACCTGCCACAGGTGGGGAGCATTCAAATGGATTTTTAGGTGCAGTCTGTTAATCAATGACTGTGAATGCCAGCTGGAACCTGGATAGGAGCTATATAGTATAGCACTGGAAAACAAGCAGAGCTTTAAGAAATATAAACATGGCTGGGCCCCCCTCCTGCAGATTCTATTTCAAGAAGCCTAGAGTGATACCCAGGGATCTGTATTTAGAAATCATTCCCAGGTGACTTTGATCTCCACCCCTAGTGCAAAACCATATTAATGACATCATATGAACCTTCTATCTTCCCAATGAGCTTCTCCTAGCAAGCAAGGACAAAGTACTTGACGGAGTCCCTCATGGAGATGACTAACAATAGGAATTGCTTTAGATTGTTTAGCGTGGTGATGACTTAAAGGATGAGAGAGCTAAGCAAGATTAATCTGACAGCAGGTTCAGGAATGAATTCAGAAAGGAGAAAACACTGGCAACAGCGGCAGTGAAGAAGCATAGGCACACAGTGTGGATAGTCTCAGTAAGGATTAAGGCAGCAGGCATGAAGGAGACTAAATAGGAAGAATTGACAGATTTATGCAATTAAGTAAATATAAAAGTTATAAACAACTAGTTTCCCAATTATTTGAAAAAGACAAAGAAAAATCAGTATTTTATGAATCATCATTAATATGTAATAATCAAACATGGCTGGGCATGGTGGTTCACGTTTGTAATCCCAGCACTTTGGGAGGCTGAGGTGGGCAGATCAGTTGAGGTCAGGAGTTCAAGACCAGCCTGGCCAACATGATGAAACCCCGTCTCTACTAAAAATACAAAAATTAGCTGGGTGTGGTGGTGGGCACCTGTAATCCCAGCTACTTGGGAGGCCTGAGGCTGAAGAATCACTTGAACCTGGGAGGCAGAGGTTGCAGTGAGCCAAGATCACGCCACTGCATTCCAGCCTGGGCAACAGAGCAAGACTCCATCTCAAAAAAGAAATAAAATAAGGCCAGGCGCAGTGGCTCACGCCTGTAATCCCAGCACTTTGGGAGGCCGGGGTGGGTGAATCACCTGAGGTCAGGCGTTCAAGACCAGCCTGTCCAACATGGTGAAACCCTGTCTCTACTACAAATACAAAAATTAGGTGGGCCTGGTGGTGGGTGCCTGTAATCCCAACTACTCAGGAGGCTGAGGCAGGAGAATCGCTTGAATCCAGGAGTGAGAGGTAGCAGTGCGTCAAGATTGCACCACTGCACTCCAGGCTGGACAACAGAGCGAGACTCCGTCTCAAAAAAAAAAAGAAAATAATTAAAGAAGTTTAAAAAGAGAGAGACCTCCGGGCATGGTGGCTCATACCTCTAATCCCAGCGCTTCGGGAGGAGAAGGCAGGTGGATCATTTGAGGTCAGGAGTTCAAGACCAGCCTGACCAACATGGTGAAACTCCGTCTCTATTAAAAATACAAAAATTAGCCAGGCATGGTGGCATGCGCCTATAATCCCAGCTACTCAGGAAGCTGAGGCAGGAGAATAGCTTGAACCCAGGAGGTGGAGGTTGCAGTGAGCCAAGACTACGCCACTGCACTCCAGCTTGGGCGACAGAGCAAGATTTTGTCTCAAAAAAAAAAAAAAGAGAGCGAGACCTACCTTATCCAAAACCACATCACTCTTCCTGAGTTCTAGGACCTTGGAAAGATACCGACAGAGCTCAGCATTAGCCTCTCCCTCTGATGGAGGTGCTGCAATAGCTACATTTACAGCCTCTGCTGTCAAATCTGGAATGAAAATAGTGTGGACTTTATCCTTAAGGAGTTCTTTTTCTTCATGAAGCAAGGACATTTTGTAAAAGAGTTTTTGCATTTGCCTGGCACACAGATTTTCAATTAAAAACTGTTGAATGAAGAAATGAATGATTAAACTAATCACATTTAAGGAACATGAACATGATAAAAATGGCCCTACCATTACAGGAAATAAATCCAGAGAAGAAAAGTTATTGACCCAATCTTGCCGACCAAGATGGGCTTACAGAGCCCTGGGGAATATCCTGGATTTAGGCAACTGGAAATTGCCCTTGGTATGTGAAGAGCCCCAGGCAGGGAGTCATAGATGGCCTTCAGCCTCATCAATGTCACTGAAGAAGTGTATGGACAGGGCAGCTTACTAGATTGTACAAGGTTGTGCAGGGTTTCCTCAACAGGAAAATGAGAGCCCCGGACTAGGTTCACCTCTTATGTGACACATATCTTGAGTGTTTTTAAAATTTAATAATGTTTACTTAACAAATATTTACAGAGCACTTACTATACACCAATTTTAAGCACACACAAATGTGTTAAAGGCTTTACAAATACTAACTTCTTTAATCCTTATAATAACTTTATGAAGATATTAGTACCATTATTATCTCCATTTTACAAATGAGCCATGGCATCCAGCCTCCCATTTTAGATCTAATGAAACATAATACTCCAACGTAGACAGTGTCCACACCCACTACTTAGAAAATGCTGGCCAAGGAGGGTATGGCTAAGTTAACTTGGTCATCAGCATAAACCAGGTCTAGCACGTCAATGTTGTGGTTTTCCTTTCAAAATCTAAAAATGGTTTGAAATACAGAGCTTTAGAGGTGAAAAAGACCTTCAAAAGAATTTAGAGCAATGGTTTTTGAACTTTTTTTCCTTTAGAATCCCTTCCCCCAATTTTCTCCAGAATCCCAATATGTAAAACAAATGTAAACAGAGCTAGTCAGGAGCCCTGTCTGCCTGGCCTCCTCCTTGCCCAAAGCTGATTCCTGAGGCACCTCCAGCACTCCAGAGAATAGCCTGAAAGCCTCTAACTTAGTCCAACGATCTCATCTGACAGATGAAAAAACTGGACCCATGAATGTTTTATACTGTTTTGATTTAAAACAAATTCGCACAGGAACTGATCACGGGTCTCAGATCTCAAGTTTTCTCCCTCTCCTTAGGCCAGTGATCATTAAACTACACTAAAATGTCTCTTCTTTCTCTGGCCAATGTCTCCAGTTTTGGAACAGGACAAACTAAGAATAATCCAGACTACACACAAGTTTCCATAACTGTCCTTTCTAAAATACTGTATTTTTAAAGAGGAAAATATACAATGGTTTTCGTGTAACTTGGCATGATTTAAAGATATATTCACTTTAAGACACCTTTACATTAGAATCTAGAATTTTAAAATGGAGAAGCCTCTAACTGCAGATGTGAAAAATCAACTGTCATAGAATAAGCTTTCAGCTAACCAAAGCAAAGGAGGGCTGTAGGAGACACCTGATTCACACTTGAATCCCACCCCAGTGTCCAGGTATACCTGTTACAGCATTTTGTTTGGAGCCAGGTTTTGCATGGATGGCTATGGTGACGCATCCTTTAGGATCAACTGCCACAGGACCTAAGGGAGGAAGTGGTCTCTCTGGTTCCTTGCTCTGGCTTTTACCCTAAAATGACAACCACACAACTTTACAGGTTACAAAATATTTTCCCACACATTTAATTTGATTCTTCCACTACCCCCTTTCACCCTTAACAGACAAACTAGGCTCATCAGTGGTGTCCAGGGACTTCTGGCCACCTAGAAAGCTTTTCCCACAACCTTCAAGGCTCTACTCAATTTTCCCACGAAGGGTTCCCATCAACCCAACAGTGTTTTTTCCCCCCTTGCAAGAAAACCTAACTCTGGCTTCTAAACCTTAATGCTTGCTCCTCCCTCTGCTTTGTATTTCCAATTCCTTGGGGGCAGGGATCATTTATTATTCATCATTGTATCTCATGCAGTCGGAGCTAATAAATGTTGGTGAAAGTGTGTATGTCTGCATGTTGCGGGAAAGGGAGGAAAAAAAAATAGTGCTTGATATTTAAAGGCCTGTTATGGGACAGGGGCTGTGCTAGGAACTTTCGTTCAACAAATATGTAGGCAATGGATATGTAAAGATGAAAAGGTACATGGTCCTTGCTCTCAAGGAGCTCGGACTGCTGCGAGGGAGAAAGAACATACAAAATTATAATACACTGTGCTAAGTGCACCGATGAGATAGGCACAGAACATTACCCCACAGGCAAATCAGCATTGGGGCACTGGAGAATGCTGCCAGCAGGAGGCAGTGCTTGAGCTGAGTCTGAGAAACGGACTGGGGTTGGCCAAACAAAGATGGTGGAAATGGGAGTGCTGTATTCTTGACAGAAGGGGTGCGATCAGCCAAAGCAAGGGAGGAGAAAGCAGAATACAGCCTCCTGGGGAAACGCAGGTCATGCCGCTGCGGGAACATGAATTGCTGGACTGGGAGTGCGGGTAGGAGGCCAAAGGTCAGCACACGCAGCCCAAGGAGAGCTCGGCTGCCGCCGGGCCCAGCGCTCAGAAATCACCAGGTGGACGGCAGCGCAGCCTACTGAGGCGGGGCGACGGCAGCAGGCCGCAGCTCTGGGGGTGGCGGCGGCTGTCCTGAGCCCCGGAACTGAGAGACGGCAAGCCGCTGGCAGTGCCTCCACTCACTCCCGGGCCCCGCTTCTCCCGCGCTCTTCAACAAGTACCCCTGAGGCCCACCCCTCTGCCGCCACGGGACCTGCTACTGGCCTTGGTCGTCGCACCAGCCTTCTTAGGCATCTCGGCGCAAAGAAGCCGAGCGGAGCCCCGAGTATTGGGTGTTGCCCGAAGGTGCCTCAGCCCGCTGCGGAGCCGCAGCATCCCCGCCTGGGAAGGCGCCGGAAGAGCCCTCTGCGCTTGCGCAGGTAGCCGGCAGGAGCGGCCCCACCGCCCGGCGCATCCGCTCTGGCCAGAGGGCGACACCTTAAGGCCGGCGGGAGCGAGTCTCGTGGCCGCAGAACATGCGCGAGTCTCTTTTGTTCTGGAACGGGCCGAGCCCCAGGAAGTGGAGCTGCGGAGCTGAGGCCTCACCGTGTCTTGGCCCACCCTGCTCAGCTGATAGGAAGGTGTGTCACCTCTTTCCTAATCGGGGAAAGAAAGGTATTGTCACTTCTCAGAATTGGAGAGCGCGGCAAGGAGTGCACAGGGCCAGGTGTCTTCTCGCTCCCACAGCCAAGCAGCAGATGCAGAGTCCCACGCGCTGCCTGTGGCCATCAAGTCGATATAGAGCCTCGTGGCGGCTTGGCCCTTGTGAATCTTCCACGTATCGATGGCGCACCTACCTTGTGCCAGGCGCAGCGGATCCCACAATGTAAAAGAAGAGGAAATACACTGCGACATGTGATATGGAGAGACATGAAACAAATCAGCAGAGGCAAGATCATGGAGTCACTGAAGGCTTTCAAGCAAGGGATTATTAGCAGCCCAATTTGCTGGGTTTTAGAAAGACACCGGCTGCACTGTGGCCGACAGAGGAAAAGCCAGAGACAGGGAGATCCGCCCCCTAAATGGGAGAGGGTGGCCTGAACTAGAGTAACCGCAGGGAGGGTGGAGCGCTGATCATTTCAAGGATCTTCAGGAACTGAAATGATCAGAACTTGGGAATGACTGCATGTGCGAATAAGGGGGAAAAGTCAAGGAAATGCCCAGGTTTGGGGCCCAAGGAACAGGTTTGGGAGGCCGAGGTGAGGAGTTCAGCTTTGGACATAATGAGTTTGAGATGCCCACAGGACATCCAAATACAAATGTTAAAGGGGTAACTGAATATATGTGACTGGAGTTTGCGAAATCAAGGCTGGTGATAGAGATTCTGGAATCTTCTGAAAGCAGATGGCAATTGAAGCTATGGAAATGGATGAGAGAGTGTGTAAAGAGCACGAGGGCCCAGGTTAGAACAGCAAGGGCAGGTAGAGAAGTCACCAAAGGACACTGACCAGGTAGGAGTACGGTGTAACGGCAGCTAAAGAAGGGCGCTTCAAGAGGGAACATCAACAGTGATGAACACTCTGGAGAGAACATGTCACATGTAACGACTGAGAAGTGGCCACAAGATTTAGAAATCAGGGTGGTGGTGGTGACCCGGGCTACAGCAGTTTTAGTGGAGAGAAGGAAATGGAGATAATTGTAGAGAATAATCCAGTGACTTCACTGTGAAGGAGCAATTGGTATCTGGAGGGGCACATGACATTCAGAGACTTATTTTTATCATATTTGAAGATTGGTAGGAAAGAGCCAGGAGAAGAGAGGTTACAGCAGAGGACGGTTCCTGAAGAGGTAGGATCTGAGCTCAAGTAGAGATTGAGTTCTCTACAGGAGGCCTTAGACACTCCTTCCTTCCTAAGGGAAAGCTTAGGTGGACATGTAGCTGTGTTTGTAGGTTTGGTGATGGGAGGTGGAATTTCTTTCATTAACTAAGGCGGGGGAGGTGTTGAAGGTATATTGGGACTCTTGAGAATGGCAAAGGGCTGACTATTGCAACTCACCCAGCGGTAGACAGTTAAGGGAGACCGTGAAATCATCTATGATCCCAATCTATAGTTACCTTATTTTATTTTTGTTTATTTTTGAGACAGGGGGATGGGAAGAGCCTGTCGCCCAGGCTGGAGTGCAGTGGCGGGATCTCGGCTCACTGCAACCTCCGCCTCCTAGGTTCAAGCAATTCTCCCTGCCTCAGCCTCCAGAGTAGCTGGGACTACAGGCGCGCGCCACCACACCCATTTTTTGTATTTTTAGTAGAGACGGGCGTTTCGCCATTTCGCCCAGGCTGGTCTCGAACTCCTGAGCTCAGGCAATCCACCCACTTCGGCCTCCCAAAGTGCTAGGATTACAGGCGTGAGCTAGCGCCTGGCCTATAGTTACGTTACTTTAGATGCCTGGATTCACCAGCTAAGAAGTTTTTTTTTTAATTAAATTTTTTTTTGGCCCCAGTGCTACTACCAAAGCAGTCAGGAAGTTGAAGATAAGGCAGACAACTGGATTGATTCAGGTATATTTAAGTGGGTTGAGGGTTATTGATGAAATGGTTAAAGTTATTAAAGACCAAAGGTGGAGAGGGGTTGAGGGAGACCAAAAGTAGAGTCTAACTGGGTAAAGAAGGAAGTAAAGAAGAAAAGAACAGAGAGGACAAGGGGCTGCAGTCTTAGGTTCAATAACGGGTGTAACTGGAATGTGAGTGAGAGCTGGAAGAAACACCAAAGGTTGTGGCCAGAGAGTGGGATGTCTGAATTTCCTATTTCAGATGTAGAGCAATTCCACATCATGATAGGGTATATGGTGTGGCCATGATAAGGAATGGTGAAGGTTGCTGGAGGTAAAGAAGAAACTGGAAACCTAGGTGTAGCTGGGTTGTCCACATGGCCACTGAGGCCATGCAGTATAAAGGCTTGAGCAGAAGAAAGTGAGCCAGGTGTTAAACCAAAACCATATTTCCCTTCTTTGAAATCAGTTAAGAATTGAGGCACAAAAGCTGAACCAGCATTATATAGCAGTCATTTGTAGAATCTGCTTTGGGTGAAGTCACGTCAGCCTCAATTAGAGGTTTGGCAGTTGTCATGGAAATAAAGGGGACGTCTGTGAAGGTGAGTTACGATGGCATCTGGCTAGATGGGTGAGGAGAGCTAAGAGGTGCTCTGCTGTGAACCATTCAGCCTTTCCCACACGTGACTCAGGAGTAGGGGATATGAGGACTTCATTGCACCAGTGGGGAGGAGAAAAGCCATCCGCCCCATGTGCCACCAAACTGTGCACCTGACTTGTTGCTCCTGCCCACATCCCTGCCTCCTGAAGGGAGAGAGAGGCAGAGTGGGAAGACATATTGCCTAATGGTGAGGGAAAACACAGGGACTGATTCAAATGGCAGGAAACCCCTTGTAAATGTTTGTGGTGGTTCACATTTTATTGAGACAGGATCTCGCCATGTTGCTCAGGCTGGTCTCAAGCTCTTGGATTCAAGCAATGCTCCTGCCTCAGCTTCCTCAGTAGCTGCGCAACTACAGGCCTCATTTTATCTTGTTTTAAATAGAGTCCCACTTAAAAACTCGCAATGGAGAAACAGGAAAAGGGATTTTTAAAAGCATATAAACTAGGTGTATGTGAATAAATACACAGTGTAGCTCTGGGGCTGGTTGTTGGGGCTGGGATTGCGATGGTACCATCCTTCTTGTGAAGGATGTGTTTTTTCTAATTGGGGGATAATTCCAGGTCTCGAATCTGGATGACTAGAACAGGAAGTAGAAAGTGGTTTGAAGAAGCACTAAAAAGTGGGACAATGTTTCAAACACATTGCGCATATCACATTGAAGACCTTGCTCTCTTTAATGTCTTACAAGTTTATTCCCAGGTTAAAAATAATTTAAAAAAAAAACTAGTTACTACTATCAATACTCTGATAATGCAAGTAATCTCGATTTGTTGGGTAGATACTGGAATATCACACTTTCTTAAAATAGTATATTTTACAGTAAATATAGATTAGTCAAGTATCTTTCTGGGTCTCAATGCAAAGTTTGAGAATAGTGACATGTTATTTTTGGACCCAGCAAAATATTTTCTCAACTCTGTAAATGGGTTTAAATTCCACCTCCCACCACTTAATAAACTTTTTTTTTCCTGCCCCGACAGGATCTTGCTTTATCGCCCAGGCTGGAGTACAGTGGTGCAATCATAACTCACTGTAATCTTGGACCCCTGGGCTCAAGCAATCCTCCCCTCAACCTCCCAAGCAGCTACAACTATAGGCACGTGCCACCACAACCCAGCTAATTTTCTTATTTTTCAGAGACAGGGTCTATGTTGCCCAGGCTGGTCTTGAACTCCTGGCCTCAAGTGATCCTTCTGTCTCAGCCTCTCAAAGTGCTGGGATTACAGGTGTGAGCCACCGTGCCCAGCCTAGCTGACCTTTTAATTTCTTTGCCTGTGAAATGGGTACTTCCCTCATACTGATGCTGTGAGAAACAAGTAAGAATGTAGTAAAGTACTCATTGCAGAGCCTAGTAGTCACTTGGGTAGTTATTAATAAACAGCTGTAAGATGATAGTCACACTCTTAACAGTAAATAAGATTATTTATTGGATTCTCCCACATTCAACCTCCACCTCCTGATTAGAACAGGAGAAAAACCTGAGGCCACAAGAAATGATCAAGAAACAAAAGGCTGCGGCAGTTATCACTGCAGTTCCTATGAACTGGTTTAAATCAGCAATGAGGTATTTGTATTTTGTATTGCATTACTCCCATTAAGTTAAACCTCAATTAACTAGAACCTTTGTTCCAAAATGGTGTTGACAGCCAGGCGTGGTGGCTCACGCCTGTAATCAATCCCAGCACTCTGGGAGGCCAAGGCAGCTGAGGTCAGGAGTTCGAGACCAGCCTGGCCAACATAGTGAAACCCCATCTCTACTAAAAATACAAAAATTAGCTGGGCGTGGTGGTGGGCACCTGTAATCCCAGCTACTCTGGAGGCTGAGGCCGCATAATAGCTTGAATCCAGGAGGTGGAGGATGCAGTGAGCCGAGATTGCACCACTGCCCTCCAGCCTTGGCAACAGAGCGAGGCTTCATCTCAAAAAACAAACAAAAAACAAATCAAAATTCTGTTTATATTCACTTTTAGAAGAAAAAGGCAAATGACATAAAAGAGTTTTTTTTATATATATATATATTTATTTATTTTTAAAAACTCCAGGGGATGTCCCAAAGTTAGTAAACAGTTCTGTTTCTTGTCCCTTTTATGGCTGCATGCAGTTTCAATTGTTCAGTACAACAGATGAGGCATTTAAAAGGTCTCCAACGTCAAGAAACACTAACTCATCTCTGGCATATCATATTTTTTAAGGCAGAAGTATTTTCTGTAATGGTTACTACAGAGTGTTTACTGGTTAATTTTTAGTTAACCAGAACCACACATCCCATAGATAATTCCATTTAACTGAGGTTTATATCCGTAAGAGCATTACCATAGAAAAATTTCCCTTTAGCAATTTCAAGAGACCTCAGCCACCAATATACCTACCTTCTTTACAATATAAAGTGAAATATTACTTTAGATGAAAATTTTTTGTATCTTACTTAGAAAAAATTAAGTTGATATTTAAAAGAATTTTGATTTTTAATCACCTTCCACAACGATTTGATATACCTTAAACTCCACTTTCATTTTTTATAAGAGAATCACTTTCAAGGGAAAAAAATGGATGTTACTATATTTTAAAATCTGCTTTATAAAAAAGTGTATAAATATCAATCTGCCAGATATACTTCCTATCCCCAACACAGCTGTAACACTGACTAATGGGGTCATGACCATGAAGCAAATTTTACTTCCTAAATAGAAATGTGTAGGTGGCAGAAAGCGTATTTTTCAGCAGGAGTGATTCTGTTGGATCTCTTTACAATGTCAGAGCAGTTGTTAGAAATGTTAGTATTTTATTCGGTTTCTTGCTGTGAAGGATTATCACAATGTTGAAGTGATGGCTGTTCACCCAGTCGTCATCACCGTCATCATCTCAATCTTGGGAATCATCAGCAGTGTCCCCCACACAGAGAGACAGGTATAGTGGTGCAGTTTAGTGACAGGGAATCCAGTCTTAGATCCTGTTTATATCACATTTTTGTGAATTTACACAAAATTCCATTTATAGCTTTAAAACTGTACTACATAACACATTACTATACTACTACAAAATATCCTTCTCTATAAATGCACTGAATATTTTCTTGGGCATTTTATTAGGCCTTTTTTAGCATTATTACAAATGCTAACAACAAGATACTTCAAACCACCAAATATAAAGTCAGCTTCTTAATTTTCTGAAATTTAGTTATTTGAGTTAATAAGAATTCTGTAGGAATACTGACCCATCTCTTTTCATCCAACCTTCAAAATAGTTAAGCCTATTTGCCCATCTCACCTAACCTTCAAAATAGTTAAAACAAAAACAAACCCAAACTAGCTATATATAACAAGAATCTTTCAATTCCCAAACTATTGAAAGACCCTAAGTCAGCCAATCTATGAAATTATACAAGATGAAGGTGAAAAAGCTGTGCTTTTTTTTAAACCATTAAACCCAGTTCTTTTCTCTTAAAGTTGTAAGAAAATGGAAAATCTGTTTTTAAATCATGCAAAGATTTAAATAAGCATTTTTCTATCTGCTCTAAGAAACTGTTTCTTATCTTACAATTTTAAATATTCATAACACTCAAACTACTTTTTTGTGGCCATTTATGTTTTTGACACTAGATTGTATGGTATTATTTAGCCAAGATGTATTATAATGCTAAATTATGTATAAAATATGATTTCTGGAATTTGTCCATCTTCTATTGAAGTGCCATTATTATTGCCAGGGGAACTAAAAAAGAAAAAAACAGTCTTGCTTGCAGCAGGTGTCTCATGCACTACTTTCTTCAATCCTTTTGTGCCATAGTGGGAATCTGGACCCTAAATGAGAACAAAAGGTTCCTTAGTAATTTTCATTTAATAAGCACTCAGTTTAATGTGGTGTTTTAATTAGATTAATGTTCCATTATATTTCACTATCATTCCTATATAAAATTTTATGCTGTCATTTAGAGAAAAATGAAGTTTTTACCAAAAAACTAATTAATGAATAAAAATACTGAATGTACAGCCCAGCTATTAGAGAATAGTGAAAAGATTTTACAAAAATAACTTTTATTTTCTGCCAAACATTCAACTGCTTACTGAAACAAAGGGCTACTTCTTAAGAAGAGCTATTTCTTTCAGAACAGAGCTGTGGGGAGAAGTACTTCTTTTCGGAAGGCAGTGGAATATTTTAGCTCCCAGCTTCTTTTCCCCCCTCTTTATAAATGGCTCAGCTGTCAGTGACTCTCAGCTTCTAAAACACACATTCTGCAACATTCAAGAGGAAACCATCTGGAACATAGTGCATGACTCTTACTTTGAGTGTTGCACATGCTGTGTAGCACACATTGGGCAGGATCTCTATGGGTTCCTTGAACATGACCCTGAATGTGTTAGCTGTCCCATCACAACTAAAGCCGGTATCATTCTGTCCCAGGGTTTGCTTTTTCTCATATTCAATGATCTGTAATTTTTAAGAGACAAGTTACATTTAAGTTAAACCAAATAAAGCAAACTATAGAAAATAATATAAAGCCCTTAGCAATGTGTGCGTGTGTGTTTTGAGACAGACTCTCACTCTGTTGCCTAGCCTTGGGGGTGGGGGGGTGGGGGGTGGTGTGTGTGTGTGTGTGTTTGAGACAGACTCTCTCACTCTGTTGGTGGGTGTGTGTGTGTGTGTGTTTTTGAGACAGACTCTCTCACTCTGTTGCCTAGCCTGGGGTGCAGTGTTGGGGTCTCGGCTCACTGAAACCTCCACTTCCCAAGCTGAAGCAATTTTCGTGCCTCAGCCTCCTGAGTAGCTGGGATTACAGATGTGCGCGACCACACCTGGCTAATTTTTTTGTATTTTTAGTAGAGACAGGGTTTCATCATGTTGGCCAGGCTGATCTCCAACTCTTGGTCTCAAGCGATCTGCCCACCTCAGCCTCCCAAAGTGCTGGTGTGAGCCACTGCGCCCAGCCCTAATTTTTCATTTTTTTTGTAGAGATGGGATCGTGTTCTGTTGCCCAGGCTGGTCTGGAACTCCTGGGCTCAAGCAATCCTTCCACATCGGCCTCCCAAAGTACTGGGATTATAGATCTGAGCCACTGCGCCCAGACTGTTTCTATTATTTTACTCACAGTATTTATACTTCATAATTTTAATGTACCTATAATCCTGATGCCCTCCCACAGTTTGTACACAAGAAGCCTGGTGTCTTTTTTTTTTTTTTTTTGAGACGGAGTCTCACTCTGTAGCCCTGGCTGGAAGGCAGTGGCATGACCTTGGCTCACTGCAACATCTGCCTCCCAGGTCCCAGTTCAAGCAATTCTCCTATCTCAGCCTCCCGAGTAGCTGGGATTACAGGCATGCACCACCATGCCCAGCTAATTTTTTTGTATTTTTAGTAGAGACAGGGTTTCACCATGTTGGCCAGGCTGGTCTCAAACTCCTGACCTCGTGATCCACCTTCCTTGGCCTCCCAAAGTGCTAGGAGGCCGAGGCAGGAGAATTGTGTGAACCCGGGAGGCGGAGCTTGCAATGAGCCAAGATCGCGCCACTGCACTCCAGCCTGGGCAACAGAGCAAGACTCCATCTCAAAAAAAAAAAAAAAAAAAAAAAAAAAGAAGCAGGGGCCTAATGCCTGTAATCCCAATGCCTTGGGAGGCCAAGGCAGGAAGATCACTTGAGCCCTGGAGTTCAAGACCACCCTGGGCAACACAGCGAGACAAAAAAAAAAAGAAAGAAAAATTAGTTGGGCATGGTGGCACATACCTGTGGTCCTAGCTACTTGGGAGGCTGAGGTGGGAGGATTGCTTGAGCCTGGGTGATTAAGGCTGAAGTGAGCTGTGATCGCACCACTGCTCTTCAGCCTGGGCGACCAAGTGAGACCCTGTCTCAAAAAAAAGTAACCAAGAATAAAGCAGGGTCTGCTCAGCCCCTTGGAAGTCACAGGATGCTCACACCAGTTACAAGAAATTTAGTTTCAGTCCTAGAGTTGAAAGGGCCATGAAAAAGGCAGGAGGATGTTTTAAGACTGCACAGCAGGAAGTACTAATAGAAGGGATTCCTGGACAAAGAAGAGCTCCTTATATGCTACTGCTTTTGTGAAGGACCCCAATTTTCTGCAACCAGACTTTTTAGATCAACTCTAAAACAGAACTCTTTATGCTTACAATGCTACTAAGGGGCCTTCTGATTGCTTTGACAATTATATTGAAATTTGGATTCTGTCAAAACAATATCTTAAAGTTACCTGTTTGTGTTATTTCAAAATGATATATGGTGGGGGAGGAAACTGTACCTGTATATTCACTTGATAATCTGTAGGGCCATGAATAGATCCATACAAGCCAAATCCAACTATAGAGATCCTTCTATTAACTGTGAATCTGAGAGAAAGAAGCCAAAAATAAAATATAATTAATCCCATGTGTTCATATTCTGAAGGGTTATAATTTTTTTTAAGTGTAACCTGGAACATCCAGTTTTGCTTATAAAAAGGAAAACAAATTAGATATCCTTGGAAATGTCATCTGTTTGCTTACCAAAAAGCTTTCTAGAGCAGATTTGAACTTAAGAGGAACCTAAGAATTGGTTTTGTAAAAGAATTTAACCTAAATACCCACTTTTGTTGTAATGATAATTTTAGTGCTATACGAGTCCAAATATTTGTACATCTTTTTCATGAACGCAGACATCTCAGCCATTAGGACTGAAGCCCAGCATCTCAAACTACGACAATTATCAATTCAACAAATACTTACTAAGGGCTTATCATATTTAGGTACTAGGCTTGGCACTGCGGAAGTAATGGTCAACAAGACAGTTTCTACCTGCATTGTGCATACAGTCTAATGGAGGACACTGATAATGCAAGAAAGGAATAAATAAATAATTACAAATTGTAACAAGAGCTGTGAAGGAAGTAGGCTACTCTAACAGAATACTGGTAGCAGAGGGATGGGACAGGATTCGAATGCAGTTTCCTAACTAGAATAATTAACAAGTCCAGTTTGGTCATAATAGTTAAGAAATATTGACCCATCTTACTCCATTTTGTAAATGAATAAAAACTGACATTAAATACATATGGAACTGAGGCTGGGTGTGGTGGCTCACACTGCAATCCCAGCACTTTGGGAGGCTGAGCCAGGTGGATTACCTGAGGTCAGGAGTTTCAGACCAGCCTGGCCAACATGGCAAATCCCTGTCTTTACTAAAAATATAACAGTTAGCTGGGCATGATAGCAGGCACCTGTAATCCCAGCTACTAGAGAAACTGAGGCAGGAGAATCGTTTGAACCTGGGAGAAGGAAGCTGCAGGTGACCCGGCACTCCATCCTGGGTGACAGAGCGAGACTCCTTCTCAAATAATAATAATAATAATAATAATAATACATATGGAACTAAAAGCCTGTAAAATCTGACATAATTATAATGTCTTACATTGCAAAATTACATTGAGTAACTCTCAACATTGTCAGCAACACCTTCAATTATTAGTAATACTAACTCATCAATACCACTTCATGAGTACTTCCTAGTGTGCCAGGCACTGAACTTCAGTTCTTTACAGAATTATTTCCTTTAGTCATCGTAACAGCCCTATAAGCTAGATAACAGTACTATTTTGAACATCTGGTACAGTAAGATCACCTTAAACGCTTACAAACATGTAATTTTTTTTAAAGAGATGGAGTCTTGCTCTATTGCCGAGGCTGGGGTACAGTGGTACAATCATGGCTCACCACAGGCTTGAACTCCTGGGCTCAAGTGATCCTTCCACCTCAGCCTCCCAAGTAGCTGGGCTGCAGACACACTCCACCATTCCTTGCTAGTTTAATTTTTTTTTTTTTTTTTTTTACAGATGGAGTCTAACTAAGTTGCCCAGGCTGGTCTAGAACTGGTCTCAGATGATACTCCCAACTCATTGTCCTGAGTTGCTGGGATTATACCCATGAGCTACCACTCCTGGCTCTAAAATATGTTATTTATAATTTTTTATTATAAAAAAGTAGGGCAGGCACAGTGCCTCATGACTGTAACCCAGCACTTTGGGAGGCTGAGGTGGGTGGATCACCTGAGGTCAGGAGTTCGAGACCAGCCTGGCCAACATGGTGAAGCCTCACCTCTACTAAAAATACAAAATTAGCCAGGCATGGTGGCACACCCCTGTAATCCCAGCTATTCGGGAGGCTGAGGCAGGAGAATTGCTTAGAACCCGGGAGGCGGAGGTTGCAGTGAGCTGAGATGGTGCCAGCCTGGGCAACAGAGCGGGACTCCATCTCAAAAAGAAAAAAAAAAAATAGACCAGGCACAGTGGCTCACGCCTGTAATCCCAGCACTTTGGGAGGCTGAGGCAGGTGGATCATGAGGTCAGGGGATCGAGACCATTCTGGCCAACATGGTGAAACCCTGTCTTTACTAAAAATACAAAAATTAACTGAGTGTGGTGGTGTGCACCGTAGTCCCAGCTACTCAGGAGGCTGAAGCAGGAGAATCGCTTGAACCTGGAGGCAGAGATTGCAGTGAGCCAAGACTGCACCACTGCACTCCAGCCTGGGCAACAGAGCGAGACTCCACCTCAATCAATAAATAAATAATACATTGTGCTTAAAAAAAAACAGAAAATGCAGCTAAATAAGAGGAAAATTTTAAAGCTTCCATAAATCCAGACAGCCCTTGCTAACCCCTTACAATTTTTAATCCTTTATATTTCTTTTTCAGTTACATTTCTATGAACATATATGTAATTTAAAAAATCATATCAGAATATATATATATTTGTAACCTCTTTTTCATGTAAAATGGTTAAAAAAACTACCAATTCACTATATTTAACTAATGCCTTGTTGGATAATCTAGATTATTTGCAGTTTTTGTTATTATATAATAATGCCATGAGGAACAATCCTATAGCTAAATCATTTTATGAAGCCTTAATTATTTTCCTTGGAATAAATTCCTAGAACTGCTGGTGAAAATAAAAGGCACATTCTTTAAAAAATTTTTATTTTTTTTATTTAGACAGGGTCTTGCTCTGTCACCCGAACTGGAGAGCAGTGGTGCAATCATGGCTCACTGCAGCCTCAACCTCTTGGGCTCAGGCGACCCTCCTGCCTCAGCCTCCTGAGTATCTGGGACCACAGGTGCATGCCACTACATGCTGCTAATTTTTTAAAAATTATTATTTGTAGATGCGGGGTCTCACTATGTTGCCAAGGCTGATCTTGAACTCCTGGGCTCAAGTAAGTGATCCTCCTGCCTTGGCCTCCCAAAATGTTTTGATTACAGGTGTGAGCCACCACACCCAGTCAAAAGGCACAGTCTTAAGGCTTTAGGTAAACATTGTCAAGTTGCTTTCTGGAAAGATAACATTTTATACCCCATAAGGTATAACGATCATTTTTCTCTCACTCTTATCAACCAGGAATATTTTTCATTTTCTTTTGCCTTTGAGAAACTGATAGTGACAAACTCCATTTATATTTTGATTATTACTGTTACTATTTGACACAGGATCTCACTTTGTCAACCAGTCTGGAGTGCAATGGCACGATCTCGGCTCATTGCAGCCTCAACCTCCCAGGTTCAAGCGATCCTCCCAACTCAGCCCCCACAAGTAGCTGGGACTACAGGCACACGCTACCATGCTCAGCTAATTTTTATATTTTTTTGTAGAGATGGGGGTTTCACCATGTTGCCCAGGCTGGTCTGGAACTCCTGAGCGCAACAGATCCACCCGCCTCAGCCTCCCAAAGTGCGTGGATTTCAGGTGTGACTCACCATGCCCAGCCTATTTATTTGATTATTAATGAGGTAAAACATTTGCTCATATGCTTACTGCCCACTGGATTTTCTCTCTAATGAAATACCCAACTCATGTTCTTTTCTCATTTTTCTCTACAGATGTGTTTGTCTTTTTAATGTAGATTCAAAAGATCACATTATATAGAGATGATAGTTATTTATGCTTTGTTGGTAATATCCACTGTAATAAGTTTCCCATTTGTCACTCATCTTTTAACTTTATGGTGATTTTGTACTTAAAACTTTTCAATTATCTGTTTTCAAAATTATGATACATGCCAAGTTTAGAGAGGTCTACCTCATCCTCATAGTACATAAACATTCACCTGTTCCAGCACTTTCATGGTTTCAGTTTTGTTTAATGTTAAAATTTTAATTTACATCAATACAGGTACATGGGATCAGTAAGGATCTAACTTAATTTTCCCAGTGGTTAATCCTTCCCTCACCTTTATCATATTCTTTTTTGTTTTTGAGACAGGGTTTTGCTCTGTTGCCCAGGCTGGAGTGCAGTGGTGAGATCACAGCCTCCTTCCTCAGCCTCTTAAGTAGCTGAGATTACAGGTGCATGCCACCATGCTGAATTTTTGAATTTTTTTGTAGAGATGGAGTTTCACCATGTTGTGCAGGCTGCTCTCAAACCCCTGGGCTCAAGTGAGCCACCCACTTCAGCCTCCCAAAGTGCTGGGATTACAGGCGTGAGCCAGTACACCTGGCCATATCATTTTCTAAATGTTCATTTATGTTAGGTTAGTTTCTGACATCTATAGTCTGTTCCATACAACACTAACTTCCTATAGCTTTACAATACTTTGTCTTGTCATCTGTATTACTCTTATTAAAAGAGAAACATATACTCTTCCAAATTAACTGTTAAGAATTTTGCCAGCCGGGTGTGGTTGCTCACACCTGTAATCCCAGTACTTTGAGAGGCTGGAGGTGGGCAGATCACCTGAGGTCAGGAGTTCATGACCAGCCTGACCAACATGGTGAAACCCAGTCTCTATTAAAAATACAAAAACTAGCCAGGCATGGTGGCAGACGCCTGTAATCCCAGCTACTCGGGAGGCTGAGGCAGGGAGAATAATTACTTGAACTCAGGAGGCGGAGGTTGCAGTGAGCCCAGATCTCACCATTGCACTCCAGCCTGGGCAACAAAACAAGACTCCATCACAAAAAAAAAAAAAAAAAAAAAAAGAATTTTGCCAAGCCATTCTCCACTACCTTAAAATAGTATGTGACTTCTGAAAGAAATTCTCTAACATACATAGGTTAATTTGGAAGACACTGTCCTTATTAAAGTCTGATTCTACTCAAACTTTTCCAGTTCTTCATAAAGCTAATGTACTTTATAGTTCTTACTGGGTTTAATCCTACTACTTAATATTATGTTACTGTTATGAATGGGATTATTCACAATACTACAGTAATATTCAACATATATAGTGATATATAAAATTACTACAATACAGTAACATATTGTAATAGTAACATAATACTCAAAATATTTAATGATATTTACTCAATTATAACTAAATTCTTTTACATTATAATTTTTTTGTGGTAAAGTTATGTACCATTTTAACCATTTTTTCTTTTTTTTTGAGATGGAGTCTCACTCTGTCACCCAGCCTGGAGTGCAGTGGCGTGGTCTTGGCTCACTGCCAGCTCCGCCTCCCGGGTTCACGCAATTCTCCTGTCTCAGCCTCCCGAGTAGCTGGGACTACAGGTGCCCACCACCACGCCCGGCTAATTTTTTGTATTCTTAGTAGAGACGGGGTTTCACCGTGTTAGCCAGGATGGTCTCGATCTCTTGACCTTGTGATCCGCCCGCCTCAGCCTCCCAAAGTGCTGGGATTACAGGCATGAGCCACCACGCCTGGCCCATTTTAACCATTTTTAAGTGTACAGTTCAATGGCACTAAATACATTCATATCATTGTACAACTGTCACCATTATTCATCTCTGTAACTGAATTTTGATGACATACAGGAACACCAATGGTTTTTAAATATACTTTTTATAAGTGGCCACTATTCTCTTTTATTGGTTCTAGTAGTTTTTTAGCTTGATACTGAGGTTACCTAGGTGGACCAGTTGTTCTCAAAACGAGTTCCACCCCCAAGGAGGCATACTCGATTTCACAAAGGTTTAGGGGGGCACTACTGGCAAGGAACTAGGGAAACTGGATTTCCTGAAATGCACAGAACAGTCTCCCATAACTCAATCAACTTTTAAGTGTCTTGCCAGAATTCATGTAGGTAAAAAATCTGTTTATAACTACAAGCCTTGAACCTCATTCCATTTTGTTTATAAACCAGATTTTTTAGTGCTTTTTTTTTTTTTTTTTTTTTTGAGACGGAGTTTTGCTCTTGTTGCCCAGGCTGGAGTGCAATGGTGCAATATTGGCTCACCACAACCTCCACCTCCCAGGTTCAAGCAATTCTCCTGCCTCAGCCTCCCAAGTAGCTGGTATTACAGGCATGTGCCCCCACACCTGGCTAATTTTGTATTTTTAGTAGAGACGGGGTTTCTCCATGTTGGTCAGACTGGTCTCGAGCTCCCGACCTGAGGTGATCCGCCCGCCTCGGCCTCCCAAAGTGTGGGGATTACAGGCATGAGCCACTGTGCCCAGCCTTTTAGTGCAATTTTAATATTCAGACTTTTACAAGAGGCAACTACCATATAAACAGAAGGAATATACAGTCAATTCTCATTATCTGTGGAAGTTATATTTAATATACAGAATTAGCAAATACTAAACCACTGCTCCTAGGGGAAATACGTGTGTGTGTGTGTGTGTGTGTGTATGTATGTATGTCTACATATACACACATATACACGCCTCGCATAGATTATAATCTTAAGTCCTAAAAACAATTCATCCAGCCAGGCGTGGTGGGTCACACCTGTAACCCAGCACTTTGGGAGGCCAATGCTGGTGAATCACCTGAGGTCAGGAGTTCGGGACCAGCCTGGCCAACATGGTGAAACCCCGTCTCTATTAAAAATACAAAATTAGCCAGGTGTGGTGGCACATGCCTGTAATCCCAGCTACCTGGGAGCCTGAGGCAGGAGAATCGCTTGAACCTGGGAGGTGGACGTTGCAGTGAGCCGGGATCGCACCACTGCACTCCAGCCTGGGCAACAAGAGCGAAACTCTATCTCAAAACAAACAAACAAACACCTCGTCCTAGTATATTCTATTTTCTTTATTCCACAAAAGAGAAAACAGAGTTTGGAAGTGTTAAGTGACTTGTCTGAGGCTGCCCCACTAAGAGGTGCCAGAGCTGGCCTTCAAGCCCCATTCAACCTGCCCAAGAGCCAGAGTTTCTTGCACTCCACTGCACTGCCCCTCCCCTTCTCCACCTCTGTAGGAGAGCTGAACCAGGAAAGTAGAGCCTTGCCTTGTTCAGCCACAGCTGGAAACGTGCTGGTCTGGCAACTAAAGTCTTTGCTGAAAACGATTAAGAAAGTGCCCCGAATATTGACTTTACAGGTTACAGATAAATTTCAGCCAGTAGGCAAGTTCAGAAATAGACACTATGAGTAGGACCAACTATATATACTCTTTTACCTGGAACCTTTAAAGAAAACGTAAGTGGCAGCAATGCTGCTCATGATATTTAAGACATAACACGCCTGTACTGTGCAGCTGAAACTGTCTCATCATGGTGATGCATATATGTACAGCAACTAACTACTTCAGTTTGCCTTCCAGTGTTGTCCTGCCCAAAGTCTATGTATTGAACTACATATTTTACTATCAATTACATTTATTCCCCTTTATATTATAACTAGATCACTTATCAATTAAAAAATGTATAAAGCATATTATCTATGAATTTTATTTCAGGTTAGTAAAGTGGGAATTACAAAATATTTATTAAAAAAAGAGAGAACTGGGTTTGATAGAGTTGTGAACTACTAATGTACATAATGCCATTAGCAAATAATCAATCAGAATTATAATAACACTGCTTTAAACAGCAAGGATATCTCTATCTTGAGGTTTCAATAGTTTATCATGTCAAACAAGTATTCTTCTAGGCCTAATCTAGTAAGAATTATATCTGGAAGGAAGGTGAAATTTTATCAAAAGCCTTTCTGACATCTATTGAAATTAAATTGTTTTTCTTCTTTGATCTGTTGTGAGAATTATACTAATACATTTCCTAACACTGAGCCATTCTTTCAATCTCCAAATAAACTCTGTTTGGTCATACAGTGTTATTCTTCGAAGGTACAGATTCAATATCCTAATGTTTTACACAAAATTTCTTCTTTATATTGAGATTGATCTAGAATTTTTTTTGTCTAGTCTGATGCCTATATAAGGGTTATGCTTCCTTCAATAATTAACCAAGTAGTACTTTATTCTTTTAATGCTCAAGGAAACTAACTGTTCCTTGAGGATTTGACAAAACTCACCTGTAAAAACCACCTTGTGAAGGGACAGTTCTTTGATAACTTTTAATTCCTTCCATGGTAATTGGTCTATTCAGGCTTTTCTTCTTCAGTCAATTTTGATAATTTATATTTGCCTATAAAATGATCCATTCCATCAACATGTTCAATTTATTAGCACAGAATAAACCCAGAATTAAAATAAAAATGTCAGCATATAATTATATTCCCATTTTTGCTTCTAAATGTGAATGTTTATTACCTTTGCCAGAGGTTTATTTATTTTATTGGTCTTTTAAAGGAACCAGCTTATGGATTTATGAATTCTACTATTTCTAATTCATTAATTTCTACATTTATCTATTTACTTTCTCTTTTCTTATAGTTCTTTTGCTATTTGTTTTCTAGCTACTTGGGCTGAATGCTTAAATCATTTATTTCTACTCTATTTACTACAAGTAGTTAATTATTACTTTTTCTTTGTGTGCAGCTTTGGCCTCATCCCATAATTTTTGCATATAGTTATTGTGAATTATTATTAAATAGTCTACAAGTACATTTTTAATTTCCATGTTAACTTAAGATTTATAATAGTCCCACATCCAACCAGATTTTTCTGTTTTAACAAACTTGTTAATTTCCAGTTTTATACTGAAGTGCTATTAAATAAATGAAAATCCAAAAGTCATGTTTTGTGAAAACCGGCACTGATTCTATTTTGACATTCAACCTAAAGAAACACAGTACAGCAAAGACAATTTCTTCAACAGGATTATACGCATGCATTTTTCAAGATTCTTGATTTTTTTCTCAAGGCTTTTATAAATGTATACTGAGATACTTTCCCTGCAACATCTATGCAAAGAAAAAACTCACACTAAACATAGTAAGGTTACATTTATTAATTGTAGCCCTAAGCCTGTAAAAATAACGTTTGATCAATTAAGGTCTAGAACTCAGCCCACTGGCAGTGGTGATCCAAACAAAAATCATGTAACAGCTGGGCGTGGTGGCTCACCCCTGTAACCCCAGCACTTTGGAAGGCTGAAGCAGGTGGATCACTTGAGGTCAGTAGTTCGAGACCAGCCTGGACAACATGGTGAAACCCCGTCTCTACTAAAAATCCAAAAAGATTAGCTGGGCGTGGTGATGCATGCCTTACAGGTTACTCAGGAGGCTGAGGTGGGAGGATCGCTTGAACCCAGAAGGCGGAGGTTGCAGTGTGAGAGATCCCACCACTGCACTCCAGCCTGAGTGACAGAGCGACTCCATCTTGGGGAAAAACAAAAAAATCACGTAACAGAAGGTCCAACCCAATCCTTTCTTACTCTATTTTTTTCTTAAGAAGTCACCCTCACTCATAAATCAGTGAGGAGGGCAGGATGCCTCAGTGACTTCTTGACTCCTATATTAACTTAACTTAAAAGTGTATTAAATGAAGTATAAAATGAAATGTTGGTTAATTATCTCCCATAATATATAAAAAAGGCCAAATGGTAACTGCTACCCCCACTCTACCCCCGCATCCCCAATATAACAGATACCTGATTCGATCACTCGTCCCACTGTAACCCCAGCGGCTTTCTACTTGCTGGAATCTATTGATGCAGCATTCCTTTCCCCTGAGACAGCATCTTGGTCGGTCAATGTATTCAACTCGGGGTTTAGGGTTGACAGTAAAATGAAGAAAGAGGTTTACCACTTCACGATCTGACAAAATTCCAGATTGAGCAGGACCTGTGGAAATAAAAACATAAGCCTAAAAAAAGGAATTTGATTTCAATTCCTAACTTTGGAATTCACTTAACGTAAATTCAAATCTAGAGGACGTAACATAAAAATAGGGGAAAAAAATCTTAGCATATATAATTTTTGCATATATTTTAAGGTTTCAATAAATCCATTTGAGGTTAAACACATTAATTAAAATGTTAAAAGCATTAATTAGTCAAAACTTAGATCCAGGAATAAATGCTATTCCTCATGGATGCCAGGAATCCTCCTTTCTCACCTTATACAAAAATCAACTCAAGATGGATCAAAGACTTAAATCTAAGAAACCATAAAAATTCTAGAAGATAGCATCAAAAAAACTCTTCAAGACATTGGCTTAGGTAAAGAATTCATGACTAAGAACCCAAAAGCAAATGCAACAAAAACAAAAACAAATGAATGAGACCTAATTAAACTAAAAAGCTTCTGCATAGCAAAATAAATAATCAGCAGAGCAAACAGACAACCCACAGAGTGGGAGAAAATATTTGCAAACTATGCATCCAACAAAGGACTAATATCCAGAATCTACAACTCAAATCAGCAAGAAAAAAAAAACAAATAATCCCAGCACAAAGTGGGCAAAGGACATGAAGAGACAATTCTCAAAGGAAGCTATACATACGTGTGCATGTGTCTTTATAGCAGCATGATTTATAATCCTTTGGGTATATACTCAGTAATGGGACGGCTGGGTCAAATGGTATTTCTAGTTCTAGATCCTTGAGGAATCGCCACACTATCTTCCACAATGGTTGAACTAGTTTACAGCCCCACCAACAGTGTAAAAGTGTTCCTATTTCTCCACATCCTCTCCAGCATCTGTTGTTTTCTGACTTTTTAATGATCACCATTCTAACTGGTGTGAGACGGTATCTCATTGTGGTTTTGATTTGCATTTTGCTGATGGCCAGTGATGATGAGCACTTTTTCATGTGTCTGTTGGCTGCATAAATGTCTTCTTTTGAGAAGTGTCTGTTCATATCCTTCGCCCAGCAGACTTGGAACCAACCCAAATGTCCATCAATGATAGACTGGATTAAGAAAATGTGGTACATATACACCATGGAATACTATGCAGCCATAAAAAATGATGAGTTCGTGTCCTTTATAGGGACATGGATGGAGGTGGAGACCATCATTCTCAGTAAACTATCACAAGGACAAAATACCAAACACCGCATGTTCTCACTCATAGGTGCGAACTGAACAGTGAGAACACTTGGACACAGGAAGGGGAACATCACATACCGGGGCCTGCTGTGGGGCAGCGGGAGGGGGAAGGGATAGCATTAGGAGATATACCTAATGTAAATGACAAGTTAATGGGTGTAGCATACTAACATGGCACACGTATACGTATGTAACAAACCTGCACGTTGTGCACATGTACCCTAGAACTTAAAGTATAATTAAAAAAAAAAAGAAGATATACAAGCGGCCAATACACATAAGAAAAAATGCTCATCACTGATTATCATACATAGGCAAATTAAAACCACAATAAGGTACCACCTTACTCCTGCAAGAATGGCCATAATTAAAAAATAAAAAAAGAAAAATAGATGTTGGCGTGAATATGGTGAAAAGGGAACTCTTTTACACTGCTGGTGGGAATGTAAACTAGTACAACCACTAAGGAAAACAGTATGGAGATTCCTTAAAGAACTAAAAAGGACTGGGGGTGGTGGCTCATGCCTGTAATCCCAGCACTTTGGGAGGCCGAGGCAGGCAGATCCCAAGGTCAGGAGTTTGAAACCAGCCTGACCAACATGGTGAAACCCCATCTCTAACAAAAATACAAAAATTAGTTGGGTGCAGTGATGTGCGCCTGTAGTCCCAGCTACTCGGGAGGCTGAGGCAGGAGAATCACTGGAACCTGCGAGGCAGAAGTTACAGTGAGCCGAGATCGCACTACTGCACTCCAGCCTGGGCAACACAGCGAGACTCTGTCTCCAAAAAAAAAAAAGAACTAAAATTAGAACTACCATTTGATCCAGCAATTCCACCACTGGATACCTACCCAAAGGAAAATAAGTCATTACATGAAAAAGATACTTGCACGTACATGTTTATAGCAGCACTACCAACTGCAAAAATATGGAGCCAACCTAAATGCCCATCAACCAACAACTGGATGAAGAAAATGTGGTATACATACACCATGGAATACTACTCAGCCATAAAATGGAACGAAACAAAGGCTTTTGCAGCAACTTGGATGAACTTGGAGGCCATTATTCTAAGTGAAGTAACTCAGGAATGGAAAACCAAATACCATATGGTCTTACTTATAAGTGGGAGCTAAGAAACTATGAGGAGGCAAAGGCCTAAGAATGATATAATGAACTTTGGGGACTTGGGGGGAATGGTAGGAGGGAGGTGAGCGATAAAAGCCTACATGTTTGGTACCATTCCCCAACATGGTGAAACCCCATCTCTACTAAAAACACAAAATTTAGCCAAGGGCGGTGGTGGGTGCCTGTGATCCTAGCTACTAAGGAGGCTGAGGCAGGAGAATCACTTGAACCTGGAAGGTGGAGGTTGCACTGAGATGAAATTGTGCCACTGCACTCCAGGCTGGGTGACAGTCTTACTCTGTCTCAAAAAAAAAAAAAAAAAAACAGAATAGAATTGCATTCAAATGATAGATGGGAATAACTGTCAACCTTGAGCTTTCTACCCAGAAAAATATCCTTCAAAAATGAAGGCAAGCTGGGCTCAGCAGTGTGCCCCTCTAGTCCCAGCTACTCAGGAGGCTGGGGTGGGAGGATTGTTTGAGGCCAGAATTTTGAAGCTGTGAATAGCCACTGCACTCCAGCCAGGGAAACACAGCAGGGCCCCATCTCTTTTTTTAAAAAAAATGGTAAGATAAAGATGTTTTTAGACAAAAGAAAAAAAGAGTTGAGAGAATCTGGTTAGTATCCTACCTGTTTTAAAAGAAATATTGAAGAGAATTCTTCAAGCTAACAGAAATGTGCCCAGATAGAAGCACACATCTGGTCATACAGAAAAAAATGAAGATAACTGAAAGGGCAAATATATAGGCAAATCAAAAGGATTATTGACTTTAAAAATAATGTTTTGTGGGCTTTATAACATATGAAACATTAAAATACATGAAATAGTAGCACCAAAGGCTAGAGAAGGTTAAATATAGCAAAAGTATCAATAATGCCTTTATATTGTGTAGAAAATTTTAATTTAAAAATTTTAATTTTATTTATTTATTTAGAGACAGGGTCTCACTGTTGCCCAGGTATGGAGTGCAGTGGTGTGATCACGGCTAACTGCAGCCTTGAACTCCTGGGCTCAAGTGATCCCCACCTCAGCCCCCCAGGTAGCTGGGACTACAGGTGTGTACCACCACTCCAGGCTAATTTTTAAATTTTTTTTTGTAAAGACAGGGTTTCGCCATTTTGCCGAGGCTGGTCTTGAACTCGACTCAAACAATCTACCTGCCTCAGCCTCCCAAAGTGCTGGGACTAAAGGCATGAGCCACTGTGCCCCATCTAAAAAATTTAATTTTTAAGATTTAATTTAAAAATCAATAAGGATATATTCTTGTAATAACAAGGGCAACCCACTAAAATAATAATAAAAGAATCTTTAATACGGGAGGCTGAGGTGGGAGGATAACCTGAGCCCAGGAGGTTGACGCTGGAGTAAGCTGAGATCATGCCACTGCATTCCAGCCTGGGTGACAGAGGAGACACTGTCTACACCAAAAAAAAAAAAAAAAAGAAAAAGAAAAAGAAAGTTTAATAGACTATTAATCATATTAAATATAAAGTGAACCAAATATTCCAAATAAAAGGCAAAGTCTGTCAGACTGAATTTTTTAAAAATGAAGCTTACAAGAGACATGGTCAAAATAATGTAAGGCTAAAAGTAAAAGGATGAGAAAGATATAGAATTTAAAAAACCTTGAGAAACTATACCAATATCAGACAAAGACTTTAAAACAAGAAGTTTAGGCCAGGCGTGGTGGCTCATGCCAGAATGTTGGGTGACTGAGGCAAGCTGATCATTTGAGGCCAGGAGTTCGAGACTAGCCTGGCCAACATGGCAAAACCCCATCTCTACTAAAAATACAAAATTTAGCAGGGTGTGGTGGTGCACACATGTAGTCCCAGCTACTAAGGAGGCTGAGGCATGAGAATTGCCTGAACCCAGAAGGTGGACGTTGCAGTGAGCCAAGATTGTGCCACTGAACTCCGGCCTGGGTGACAGAGGGAGACTGTCTCAAAAAATAAAATAAAAAACAAAAACCCACAATAAGTTTAGATTTAAGATGAGATAGACTGTAAAGATAAAGAAGCAAATTCAATATAAAAAAAAATCCTAAATTTGAAGGTACCTAAAATAAAGAAGAAAATAAAGAAGAAAACTGATGGAACCAAAAGGAAACACATTCTCAATCATACCCTGAGATTTAAATCTACTTCTTTTAGTAACTGATAGAACAAAAAGCAAATCAATAGATAGATACATAGAAAATTTGAAGATCATTAGTATATATTCCTTTCATAGATATAGTATTCAATCTGTTGAACAGATACAGGACTATTCAGGTTTTTCTGCACATAACAAAGAAGAATACATTCTTCTCAAGTATACATGGATACTTATTACAACTACCGTATGGGCCAGGCACGGTGGCTCATGCCTGTAATCCTAGCATTTTGGGAGGCCATGATGGGTGGATCACCTGAGGTCAGGAGTTTGAGACCAGTCTGGCCAACATGGTGAAACCCTGTCTCTACTAAAAATATAAAAATTAGCCGAGCGTGGCACCGCATGCCTGTAATCCCAGCTACCGGGGAGGCTGAGGCAGGAGAATCGTTGGACCCCAGGAGGCGGAGGTTACAGTGAGCCAAGATCATGCCACTGCACTCCAGCCTGGGTGACAGAGTGAGACATTGTCTCAAAAATAAATAAAACAAAATAATAAAAAATAAATAAAACTACCATATGCTGGGCCAAAGCAGATATCAACAAATTTCAAAGCATTGAAATGATATAGAATATATTTTCTGACTATACTGGAATTAAGACAGAAATCAGCAAGAGCAAGATAAGAAGAAATCTCAAATATTTGGAAATTAAGTTATCTATAATTTATGAGTCAAAGAAAAAAAAAGCAAAAATTAAAAATTCTTAATCGAATGCTAATGAAAATACACATATTAAAAACTGTGGGGGGGAAGGATGCTGAGAGAAAAAATATACACTTAAATATATGCATTCAAAAAGAATATAGGTTGACCTTCTAAGTATCTCAAAAAGTCACAAAGACTAATAAAATAAATAACCCCAGCAAATTAAAAGCAAAGAAAGGAAAGAAAGTAATAAAGAAAAAGGCAGAAAGTAATGAAATGGAAAACATACTGTAATAGAGAAAATTAATAAAGCTAGAAGTTGGTTCCAGGAGAAAATTAATAATACAAACTCTTGAACACTGGGGGAAAAAAAGGAAATATTTCTAACTTTTGTATGAGGACAATTTTGACAATTTCATTGCAAGAAAAAAAAATATATATAGACTAATTTCTCTCATTCAGTAGTCATAAAAATACATTAAAAATTCAGCAAATTAAATCCAGTAATATATAAAAAGGATAATGCATAACAACCAAGTCTGATTTACGTAAGGAATCCAAAATAGGTTTAAATTGGGAAATCAATTAATGTAGTTCACTATATTCACAGAATAAGGGGGAAAACTGTATCATTACCAAAAAAAAAAAAAAAAAAGAATAATAGCTTGATTCCTCTAAAAGAAAGCAAGAAAGGAAAAAAAAAAAAAAGATGTGACAAGTAGAAAACAAATTGCAAGATGGTAAACATAAACCCAAATATATCTGTAATTACATTAAGTGCAAGTGAACCAAAACAGTTCAGATAAAAGACAAAGTCTGTCAGACTGGATTAAAAAATTATTGGCATATTCAACATCATTAATCATCCGTGATATGAAATTTAAAACCAAAATGAAATACGTCCTCACATCCACACAAATGGCTAGAACTACAAAAACTGACAATACCAAGTATTGGAGAGGATGTGGGCAACCAAAACAAACTCTTATGTCTCTTCACTTTGTTGATGAGTGTAAACTGTTACAACCACTTTAAGGGACTGTTTGGCAGGATGGCAGGATCTACTAAAGCCGACCATATGCACACTCCATGACTTAGCAATTCCACTCGTATATATCCAACAGAAATGTTTACGTATGTATACCAAATCACACGTACAAGAATGGCCTCAATGGTCCCCAAACAGAAATAATCCATATATCCAACAACAGTAAAATGGATAAATCATGGCACAGTTGTATAACAGAATATTATAAAGCAATGAAAAAGAATGAACTACTGCCACACTCAACCACATGGATGAATCTAACAGGCGTAATGTTAAGAGAAAGAAGCCACACAAAAATGAATACACACCATATATATGATTTCCTTTATATAAAGTTTACATATGGACACAACTAATTTATAGAAGACAGAAAGTAGTCACCTTTCAGAGGGAGATTAGTGACTTAGAGGGTCATGACAAAGGCTTCTGGGGTACTAGTACAGTAGGATAAATTGGTTAAATAAGTATGTTCACTTTATTTGTTAATTTTACTATATGGATGTTAAACTTTAATTTCAAAAGTTTATTTAAAAAAAACCCAAACACTGATTCTTATCAGCAAAAACAAAAACAATCTTGGAGAAAATTGGAACAAGTATAAGTCAGAAAAAAAAATTTGGTATAATAATAAATATACAAAGAATCAATGTAAGATAAACCAGTAAAACAAAATTTGAACACACCAACAGAACAACAAAAGACATGAATAATGTAAAGGAAAATAAATAGGCCAATAAGCATAATGAAATACAATTCAGCCAGGCACACTGGCTAAGAGGTGAAGGTGGAAGAATCACTTGAGCCCAGAAGCTCATGGCCAGCCTGAGCAACATGGCAAGACTTCATCTTTAAAACTAAAATAAAATCGAAAAATAAAAAGTAATACAATTCAAAACAATCATGAAATAGTGTTAAAAATAAAAACCATATGACTGTCTCAATAGACATGAAAAAGCATTCAATAAAATCCAGCATCTCTTCATGATAAAAGCCCTCAACAAACTAGGCATCAAAACAATATCCCCAAAATAACAAGAGCCATCTATGATAAATCCACAACTAACATCATGCTGAAAGGGCAAAAGCTAGAGGCATTCACCTTGAAATTAGAAAAAGACAAGGATGCTCACTCTAACCACTCCTATTCAACATAGTACTGGTAGTCCCAGCCAGAGCAATCAGGAAAGGAAAAGAAATAAAATGCACCCAAATAAGAAAAGAAGTCAAACTATCTCTCTTCACAGATGATATGCTTCTATACCTACAGAACCCTAAAGATTCCACCAGGCCAGGTGCGGTGGCTCACGCCTGTAATCCCAGCGCTTTGGGAGGCCAAGACAGGGTGGATCACCTGAGGTCAGGAGTTTGAGACCAGCCTGGCCAACATGGTGAAACCCCATCTCTACTAAAAATACAAAAATTAGCTAGGCACGGTGGCAGGCACCTGTAATCCCAGCTACTCGGGAGGCTGAGGCAGGAGAATCTCTTGAACCCGGGAGGCAGAGGTTGCAGTGAGCTGAGCTCGTGCCAGTGCACTCCAGCCTAGGCAACAAACAAGAAAACTCCATCTCAAAAAAATAAAAAAAGTTCCACCAAAGGCGCCTGGAACTGATAAAGAACTTCAATAAAGCCTCAGAATATAAAATTAATGTACAAAAGTCAGCAGCATTTCTATACGCCAGTAACGTTCAAGCTGAGAGCCAAATCATGAATGCAATCCCATTTACCATGTCCACACAAAAAATAAAATACCTAGAAATACATCTAACTAAGATGTATTTCTACCAGGTATTTTTACATCCATACATCTTGGTTAGATATATTTTTACCAAGTAAAAGATCTCTACAAGGAGAACTATAAAACACTGCTGGAGGAAATCACAGATGACACAAACAAATGGAAAAACATTATATGCTCGTGGATTGGAAGACTCAATATCGTTCAAATGACCATATTGCCCAAAGCAATCTACAGATTTAATGCTATTTCTATCAAACTACCAACATCATTTTTCACAGAACTAGAAAAATATTCTAAAATATGCATGGAACAAAAAAAAAGCCTAAATAGCCAAAGCAATCCTAAGCAGAAAGAACAAAATTGGAGGCATCACATTACCACTGGATTTCAAACTATACTATAAGGCTACAGTAACCAAAACAGCATGTTACTGGTACAAAAACAGACACATACACCAATGGAACAGAAAAGAGAACCCAGAAATAAAGCTGCAGACCTACAGCACCTCATCTTTGACAAAATGGGGAAAGATCCCTCTATTCAGTAAAGGGTGCTGGGAAAGTTGGCTAGCCATATGCTGAAGAATGAAACTGGACCCCTACCTTTCACCATACATAAAAATTAACTCAAGATGGATTAAAGATTTAAAGTAAGACCTCAAACTATAAGAATCCTAGAAAAAAACCTAGGAAATACTTTTCTGGACACTGGCCTTGGGAGAGAATTTATGACAAAGTCCTCAAAAGCAATTGCAACAAAAACAAAAACTGACAAGTAGGACCTAATTAAACTAAAGAGCTTCTGCACAGTAAAAGAAACTATCAACCCAACAAATGGACAACCTATAGAATGGGAGAAAATATTCACAAACTATGTGTTGGACAAAGGTCTAATATCCAGGATCTACAGGGAATTTTAACAATTCAATAAGAAAAAAAAAACTCATAAAAAGTGGGCCAAAAAATATGAACAGACATTTCTCAAAAGAAGATATACAAGCAGCCAACAAACATGAAAAAAATCCTCAACATCACTAATCATCAGAGAAATGCAAATCCAAACTACAATGAGATACCACCTCATACTCCTCAGAATGCCTATTAAAATAAAAAAAACAGTTGCTGGCAAGGCTACAGAGAAAAGGGAATTCGTGTTCACTGATGGTGGGAATGTAGATAAGGTTAGCCATTGTGGGAAGCAGTTTGGAGATTTTTTAAAGAACTCAGAACTACCAAGGTTGGGCACAGTGGCTCATGTCTGTAATCCCAGCACTCTGGGAGGCTGAGGCAGGTGGATCACTTCAGGTCAACAGTTCAAGACCAGCCTGCACAACATGGTGAAACCCCATCTCTACCAAAAAATACAAAAATTAGCTAAGCTTGGTGGCGGGCGGGCGTATGTAGTCCCAGTTACTCAGGAGGCTGAGGTGGGAGAATTGCCTGAACCCAGGAGGTGGAAGTTGCAGTGAGCTAAGATTGTACCACTGTACTCCAGCCTGGGTGACAGAGTGAGGCTCTGTCTCAAAAAAAAAAAAAAAAACCACAAACAACCTCCCAAAAAAACCAAAAAACATAGAACTACCAGTCAACCCAGCAATCCCATTACTGGTTATATATCCAAAAGAAAAGAAAATGTTCCACCAAAAGACACATGCACTCATATGTTCATCACAGCAACGACACTGACTCAACCTGGGTGCCCATCAGTGGTAGACTGGGTAGAGAATGTGACACACACACACACACACACACACACACACACGGACACACACACACCACAGAATACTATAAAGCCATAAAAAAGAACAAAATCATGCCTTTCGCAGCAACATGGATGCAGCTAGAAGCCATTATCTTAAGTGAGTTAATGCAGAAACAGTAAACCAAATACCGTATGTTCTCACTTGTGGAAGCTAAACATTGGATACACATGGACATAAAGATGGAAACAATAAGCACTGAGGACTGTTAAAAAGGGGAAAAGAGGAAGGGACAGAAGGGGGAAAAGAGTTAAAAAACTAACTACTGGACACTATGCTCACTGCCTAAGTGATGCAATCAACTGTACCTCAAACTTCAGCATCACACAATATACACATGAAACAAATCTGCACGTTACCCCGAATTTAAAATAAAAGTTGAAATTATTTTTTAAAAAATCATGAGAGCTAGGCACAGTGGCTCATGCCTATAATCCCAGCACTTTGGGAGCCCGAGGTGGGCAGATCACCTGAGGTCAGGAGTTCAAGACCAGCTTGACAAATATGGTGAAACTCTGTCTCTACTAAAAATACAAAAATTAGTTTGTGGCGGTGCACGCCTGTAATCCCAGCTACTCAGGAGGCTGAGGTGTGAGAATCGCTTGAACCCAGGAGATGGACGTTGCGGTGAGCTGAGATCGCACGACCGCACTCCAGCCTGAGCAACAGAGGGAGACCCTGTCTCAAAAAAAAAAAAAAAAAAAAAACCATGAGACTTTTCTTTCTTTTGAATCAATCTGGCCGTGATTTAAAGGCAGATAATAGTCAATTATGACCTGGGTAATGAAAACAGGTCAGAAGTGGTCATGGAGACTCAAAACAGATCTGTCTGATTTTAATCAGAAGCATCGACCTTAAGAGTCAAACAGAGGCTGGGCGTGGTGGCTTACACCTGTAATCCCAGCACTTTGGGAGGCTTGAGCCCAGGAGTTCAAGACCAGCCCTGACAGGATGGTGAAATCCTGTCTCTATAAAAAAAATTAAAAAATTAGCTGAGCATGGTAGTGTGCACCTATAGTCCCTGCTATTTGGGAGGCTGAGGTGGGAGGATTGATTGAGCCTGGGAGGTGGAGGCTTCAGTGAAATGCGTTTGTGCCACGGCACTCCAGCCTGGGTAACAGAGGAAGACTCTGTCTCAAAAAAAGAAAAAAAAGAAAAAAAAAAAAAGCCAAAAAGATCTGTCATAACCTGGGGTAAGGCACTCAACCTCTCCCAACTTTACTTCTCTAACCTATACAATGTGGATAATATAATTTTGAAGGGCTTAAAATCATACACTCGCATATATGTTTGTCATGTGATTAGTACTGAATAAAAGCTTCTTTTCCTCTCTGGCGCAGGGAGACTGATAGAATTTTTTTTTTTTTTTGAGATGGAGTCTCGTGGAATCTCGCTCTGTCGCCCGGGCTGGAATGCAACGGCATGATCTCGGCTCACTGCAACCTCCGTCTCCTGGGTTCAAGCGATTCTCCTGCCTCAGCCTCCTGAGTAGCTGAGATTACAGGTGCCCACCACCATGCCTAATTTTTTGTACTTTTAGTAGAGACGGGGTTTTACCATGTTGACAAGGCTGGTGTCGAACTCCTGTCCTCAAGTGATCCACCTGCCTTGGCCTCTCGAAAGTGCTGGGATTATAGGTGTGAGCCACCAGGCCCAGCCCTGACAGACTATTAAAACAGTTTCAAATAGATTTTGGTGAATTTATACCCTTACCTGCTGCAAATTCCTCAATTGTCATCAGTGGGAACCGGATTAAGGAAAGTGCTTTTCCTAGAACTTTTTGTTTATTCCCAAAAGTCACAGGTAATTGTTGTCTCTGACATTCTGCTTCTGCCCAGCGTACAACAGCTCCAAAAAGTCGACTTTCTCGAATACTGAGTGTGTCTCTCTCTAAAACTGCACAGAGTGTATCTATAGGCAAAATACAAAATAAACCCAATTAGAAATATTTTAGCTCTCTAACCAAGCAATACCAACAGACACACTTATATTAAGTTTTCAGATCTCAACAAAAAATAGGTTAGACACTTAAAACTACAGACTTTATACTTTAAAATACTAAATAATTAAAGGACTTAAACTCCAAAGTGTTCCATAAAAATCAGTTTAACAATCAATTTATTACTTACCATACATGCAATATTAAGATACAGTACTCTCCTTATATATTTATGCCATTTATCAAGTAAACTCAACTATCCAGAATAAGATTAACAAGCCACAGAAAAAGGTTCCAATTACATAAATTCTTAAAGTCTACAGATTATAATTCATTCGTTCATTCAGTAAATATTTATTATTAAGCACTACGTGCCAGGTACTATTAGGCAATTTTATATATATATATATATATATATATATATGTATGTATATATTTTGGATATAGAGTCATAGAGTCTCATTCTGTTGCTCAGGCTGGAGTGCAGAGGCACAATCTCGGCTCAATGCAACCTCTGCCTCCTAGGTTCAAGCAATTCTCCTGCCTCAGCCTCCTGGGTAGCTTGGATTACTGGCACGGGCCACCACACCTGGCTAATTTTTATATTTTTAGTAGAGACAGGGTTTCACCATGTTGGCCAGCCTGGTCTCAAACTTCCGACCTGAAGTGATCTGCCTGCCTCGGCCTTCCAAAGTGCTGGGATTACAGGCGTGAGCCACCGCGCCCAGCCAGCACTGATATATCACTGAACAAAAAGTTAAAAATTCCTGCCCTCATGGAGCTTACATTCTAATGAGGAGAAACAGATTAAATAAACACAAGTAAATTCGAGTATCTTAGATGATATACATGGGCAAATATGTCAGGTTAAGGAGAATCAGAAATGCAGTTTAAAATAGGAAGGGGCCAGGCATGGTGACCCATGCCAGTAGTCCCAGCAATTTAAGAGGCTGAGACAGGAGCATGGCTTGAGCCCAGGAGTTTCAGGCCAGCCTGGGCAATATAGTGAGACCCCATCTCTACAAAAAAGTTTTTAAAAATTAGCCAGGCATGGTGGCATGCACTTGTAGTCTCAGCTACTCAGGAGGCTGAGACAGCAGGATCACTCGAGCCTGGGAGGTTGCAGGCTGCAGTGAGCCATGATCATGCCATTGTACTCCAGCCCAGGCAACAGAGTGAGACTGTGCCAAAAAATAATAAAATAAAATAAAATCGGGTGGTTTAGGCAGGCTTCACTTATGCCAAGACATGAAGGAAGTGGGGGAGTAAGCCAAATAGATACCTAGAGGAATAGTATTCCAGGACTAAAAGTACAAAGGCTCTCATATTAAAGTGTGCCTGGCATATCTGAGGAATGGTAAGGAGGCCAACGTGGTGGAGTGGAGTGAGCAGGAGGGAAGAGTAGCAGGCAAGGAGGCCAGAGGCTGTGGGGAGAGGGGGCAATCATGCAGCACCCTGTAGATCATTTGGCTTTTACTCTAAGTGACATGGAGAATGCCTGGAGGATTCTGAGTTGTCACATTTTATGTTCTGAAAGGATCACCCTGGCTTCTGTGTTGAGAAGAGGCTATAGTGAAGACAATATCAGTTGGAGGCTCTTGCATCGATCCAGGTCAGGGATGGTGGCCTGGACAAGGAGGGTAGCAGTGGAAGTGGTGAAAATTGATCATATTTGGAACATATTCTGAAGGAAGACTCAATTAGATTTCCTAACAGATTGGATGTGAGGTGTGATTTAAAGAGAGGAGTCAAGAATAACTGCAAGGTTTATATAGCTTATGCACTGGAGGGATGAGGGTGGCATCAACCAAGATGGGAAAGACCACAGGAGGTGCAGGTTTGGGGTGGGGAAAGAGCTGAAGTTTCATTTTAGACATACTAAGTTTGAAATTCCTATTTGACATCCAAGTATAAACGTCATGCCTGTACCTCAGGTCCTCACTCAGAACCCTTTTCCTCTTATGATAGGCAAAATTAAAATAAGCTCAGTTACTTTTAAGTTCTAACAGCCCAGAAGCAATAAGTTCAGAAGAGAAAGGGGCTTTAGAGGCTAATATACTAGAATGAAATGATAAACTGCAATCTAACAGGGATAGAGAAAAGAGGAAATTTGTGAAAAGAAGACGTTAAGCACTTGAAAAGAATAGCTATCAAGGGTCTTATAGAGTTTTTTAAAAAAACAACACTTCACAGACCTGAGGGCTTCACTGTACAATAATAATGTAACTGATACTTAGTGAGCATTAATAATCACAAGAATCCTAAATTATATCCAGTACATATTGTTTAATATAGGCAGGTAAAATAAAACATTTTAGATTTCTCAAAGGGTCAAAATAAATACCCCAGTTCGACAGCAAGCTGCCCACGCCGACGGCAACCCTGCTCTGCATGCCCGCCCGCCCGTGCCCACCATGGCCACAGTTCAGCAGCTGGGAGGAAGATGGCGCCTGGTGGACAGCAAACGCTTTGATGAATACATGAAGGAGGAGGAGTGGGAACTGCTTTGCGAAAAATGGACGCAATGGCCAAGCCAGATTGTATCATCACTTGTGATGGCAAAAACCTCACCATAAAAACCGAGAGCACTTTGAAAACACAGTTTTCTTGTACCCTGGGAGAGAAGTTTGAAGAAACCACAGCTGATGGCAGAAAAACTCAGACTGTGTGCAGCTTTGCAGATGGTGCATTGGTTCAGCATCAGGAGTGGGATGGGAAGGAAAACACAATAACAAGAAAACTGAAAGATGGGAAATTAGTGGTGTACTGTGTCATGAACAATGTCGCCTGTACTCGGATCTATGAAAAAGTAGAATAAAAATTCCATCATCACTTTGGACAGGAGTTAACTAATAGAATGATCAAGCTCAGTTCAATGAGCAAATCTCCATAGTGTTTTTTTTCATTACTGTGTTCAATTATCTTTATCACAAACGTTTCACATGCAGCTATTTCAAAGTGTCTTGGATTAATTAGGATCATCCCTTTGGTTAATAAATAAATGTGTTTGTGCTAATAAAAAAATAATAAATACCCCAGTTCCTAAAAAACGACACTTCTAGATGGATAGGAAAATCTCTAAAGAACCTAGATAAAACAGGCACTTCTATGAAATATCTAATAGTTATACTTTAAATTAAATTTAAATAAAAATGAGTATGCTATAGTTACAGCAGAAATCAATTAAAGCATTAAATATGATTACATTATCCATAAATACATATCAGATAAACATTTCTTTAAATACTATTCTACAATATGGGCAGGCACAGTGGCTCACTCTTGTAATCCCAGCACTTTGGGAGGCCGAGGAGAGTGATCACCTGAGGTCAGGAGTTCGAGACCACCCTGGCCAACAGGATGAAACCCCATCGCCACAAAAAATACAAAAGTTAGCAGGGCGTGGTGGCAGGTGCCTGTGTAATCCCAGCTACTCGGGATGCTGGGGTCAGGAGAATCGCTTGAACCCGGGAGGCGGAGGCTGCAGTGAGTCAAGATCACGCCACTGCACTCCAGCCTGGGTGACAAGAGCAAAACTCTGCCTCAAAAAAACAAACAAACAAACAAAAAAAAACTTTTCTGCAATGGTCTACACATGCTAAGAGCCAAATATTTGCTTAATATCAAACATAAGTAATATCCTAGCAAAGGTATCATAGTCCCAAGAACACAGGAGAGGCTTAATACCATGTTAAAAATAAACTGGTTACACATAATTTTTTTTAAAAATCAAACTTTAGTATCTCTTATTGTAGCTGAGCAGATGAGTATAAACTATGGCACCACGAAGCCCTTTCATAAGTAAATTAAATGCAATCAATATGACACAACCATTTGATGGAAAACCAGAAGACTTTGAACCTACATGTCTCCACTTGGTATGCTAATAACTTCCGCAGAGATAAACACATAAACTTTATTACTAAAAAAAAAAGCACATCATACTACCCTTGGTGTAAATTCATTTTGTTCTATCAACATGATAAATTATCTTCTTCCTTTAGCAAAAGGCTGTAAGAAACAGTATCTCTTCCTCCAGAACACATATTCAAATCCCGGAGGAGAAAAAACATCCTGAGAATATAAGACAGCTATAAAAAGCTCCTGAAGCCAGCCCTTTCTTTCAGCTCCCAGTCTTCTCTTGAATTACCAATTTTTGGGGCTAGGCATAATAGTTCACACCTGTAATCCCAGCACTTTGGGAGGCTGAGGCGGGCAGATGGCTTGAGCACAGGAGTTCGAGACCTACCTAGGCAACATGGCGAAACCCCGTCTCTACCAAAAAAAACAAAAATAATAATAATAACTGATAAAAAATGTTTTTTAATTAATTACCAATTTTTAACAAGTACATTTGAAACAAACTAGTCTATGGGGTAGAAAGACAAACACATAGGTCTTCTACTGGCAGATGTGTTAAAGTACGAAGTTAAAGCTGAGAACCAAATAAAGATCAGAAAAACACAGCAGATTGTTTCATAAATATTAACACAATACTGAGTTTTCAAATAAACAACTGTGAGTCAAATCAAATGACCAAATATTTATTGGCTTCTACCCTGTACAAGGCACATACTTCAAGATTCCCAGGCTCCAACGGCATGCATAATTTAAGAGCAATTTATAAGGTGTAAGTTACCCAGATGCAGGCAGTAATGCTTCAAATGAGAACACACTGAAGAACAAATGAAGCATCTGACAGCTACCCTAACAGGGAGGAAATCTTAGGATTAAGCAATGTTTCATTAACAACTTGGGCAGTGTTTAGGGCTCTCAAATATCCAGTACTCAACAGACACCACATGCAGGTGCTGGGGAGGAATCTGATTTACTCCCCGTCCTTCAGTATATTATAAGCAGTGTATTATTTGTTCCCAAGGTACTGTGCAATACATCAACTAACAACAGGATGTTAGAACAGAGGAATATAACAAGTATCATGGACGAGGGTGGGGTATCAGCTCCCAAAAAATGAGTCATATGGAAGTGTTATTTTAGCCAAGATCTTAAGACTATGTGAGAGCCAGCCAAGATGGGAAGAAAAAGCATTATTCTAGACACAGCCAGTCAGTCCAGTTAATCAACAAATATCAGCTGAACATGTACTATATTCTTCTGTCTTTGGTGCTAGTGATAGAGTTGTACACGAGACAAAGTCCCTGCCTTCAAGGAGTTTACAATTTAGGAGAGAAAAGTAAACAATCAACATATATATACAGAGACAAATACCTAGATAAGACTTTCAGAGAGCAATGTGTATTACAAGGAAAATAAATCAGAGCAAGAGTAATGGAACAGGGATTGCTTAGGGGAACACGGTATCTAATTAAGTAGGTCTGAAGTCTCAGGTCTTCTTTAATCTGAGATGCCAAGATTCAGGGGAAGAAGGATCCTAATCAGAAGGAATAGCAAATACAAAAGAATGGAATATAAATAATCCTGGCCAGCGCATATGGGAATTGAATTAGGGGGAGAATGGTAGGAGACAAAGTCAGATGTAGGTAGTGGCTTCTACCTATTTACCAAAGATGTTTTCTCTTCTTCCTGGGATGTGACTAGTCTGCATCTCCTGGCTTCTCCAAAGTTAGGTGAGATCTTGCAACTGAATGGGACCAATAAAATAACAGCCAAAATGTAGGTGCTATATCAGGGTCAATGCTTTTAATCTGTGGGTATTTTCCCCATCCACACTTTCTCCCATCTGCCAGCAAAACACAGATAATAGCTAGGCTCTAGGGCATGACAGAACAACAAGAACGAACTACCTATTGACTATAATACTCCCTTGGTCTGTTATATGAGCGTGAAATAAACTTCTGTGTTTGAGCCAGTCTGCATTTTTGGGTCTATTTCTTACCACAGCCTGACAAATACAAGGCCTGACTCCACAGGCCTTGTATTACTGTGAGCTTTTATAAGGAATTTAAATTTTATGCAAATGGATGTGGGAAGACACTGGAAGCAAGGAAGTTATATGGGCTGATTTTTTATTTATAAAGATCATTCTGGCTGCCATGTAGAGAATGGAGTGTATGGGAGCAAGACTGCATGAAAGGAGAGACTACAAGAGACCACTGCAATTATCCAGGTGAAAGAGAATGGTGGCTTAGACTAGGTGGTAGCCACGGATATGGTTAAGTAGTGGTCAGATTCAGGATACATATTCAAAGTAGAGCCATGAGCACCTGCTGATAAGACTGCATGTGGGGTATGAGAGAAAGAATAACCAAGAATAACAGGAGTTTTTAGCCCAAGCAATCAGGTTCATGGTGGTGTTGTTAAGGAAGACTGAAAACAGTTGGAAAGGAACAGAAGAGTCCTCACAGACAGCGAGAGGAATCAATGGTTCTCCTTTAGCTGTTCTGTTTCAAATGCCTATAAAATCTCCAAATGAGAATGTCAAGTAGACAGTTGGGTATATGAGTTTGTAGCCCAGAAGACGACAGGGACTGAAGATACGTATTTTGGGTTATCATCATAAAGATAGTATTTAAAGCCACGGGCCTGGATTAGATCTCTCTACTCTCCTACAAGACAAAAGGTACATTGTTAGCCTATCATTAGATGGTCCTCTATCACCTGGCTTTAACCTGCTTTGCACCTCCTTCCTCTTATACACTTCTTCCTGAGGTTCCACTTGCCGCTAATGCCCTCCCCTCTCCACTATCCAAACACAGTAAGTCCTCAACGTATGGGTTCTTGGAAACTGTGACTTCAAATGAAAGTGTCTAACGAAAGCAATTTTACCATGAGCTAACTGATAGAAACAAGAGTTAAGTTCCTATGGCATATTTCTGGTCACAAAAATACCACCAAGCTTCTAAATAAAGACTCAAAGCACTTCTAAATTGAACAGTGAAATAAATGTGAGCTATACATACATTTAAGAAAGATTAATACAGACAAGAAAGAGAATCATTTACCCAATTTTTGGTGAATCAGTGAGTGACAGTGGTCATAGTGGTGGTGGGTTAAATCCAGGAATAAACGTTTACAAAGTGAAAATTTTGAGGAGGACCTCCCACACAACGCAGTTCAAAAGCAAATAACATAGTGGACTTGCCGAGCGCTTTCATACTATGTCATTTATCATCAAACATTTGTATGATTATCATATACTTTACAAATTTTTACTTGATAAATCATTTTCCAATCCACTTATTCCAGTTCAGAGTCTCAGGTGGCCAGAGCTTATCCCAGTGGCTTGGTATAGGCAGGAACCAATCCCACACAGTACATCATTTCATCACAGGGCACACTCACACACACTCTCATTCAGACTGAGGCCATTTCGACACACCAAAGAACCTAAATGCACATCTTTGGGATGTGAGAGGAAACTAGAGTGCCTGGAGAAAACCACGAAGATACAGGAGAACATGTAAACCCTACAGATCGTGGCCCCCGCCAGGCGTCCATTTTTTTCTTATCAACATTATAATGAAACGACATTATTCAAGGACCTACTGTGCTATCCATTCTTTAAGGCTCATATCAGAACCTCCTCTGTCAAAATTTTCCTAACACTACTGCAATTTGAAGTAATCGCACCATTTTCCGGATTTGCATAGTAATTACTTTCTACATATCTAATTTAGAAAAGATAGAAATCACATTTTACCATATGTCCTCTCTTTTTTTTTAATTTTTATTTTAAGTTCAGGGGTACATGTGCAGGTTTGTCACAGAGGTAAACTTGTGTCATCGGGGTTTGCTGTACCGACTATTTCATCACCCAGGTATTAATGCCCTCTCTTCTATTAGCGTTTTAAATCTTAATTTTCAAATATTTGTTCTTTGATTCTCCAATTAGACGTTTCCTTAACAAGACAACTCATCTCTTACTATTTTTTATATTTCCTATGGACCCTAGAATAATGCCATGCATATGATGGGCATTCAATGAATATTTATTTGATTTGAAATCTTTTAACAGGCAATGAGCTAGTTAAGACTTTTAGAAATATTTTCACCAAAACAAAAAAAAGCAAAACTCTTAGAGAGACTTCAATCATTTGGGAAAGCCACTGATTTAAAAATAGCCCCTTCTCCAACAAGGCTGACAAGTAAGGCATTAACTGTACTTAAAATGTAACAATTTACTTCATAGCGAACTTACCTATATCAATATCAGTAAACCCTTCTGCACTTATTGCATCCATTGTGCTTTTGTCTATTGTATCTAGACAAAGACTAGCAAGCTGAGGTTCATCAAATAATCGAGCCTAAACATATAAAGAGATAGTTATTTAACTTTCATAGTTATTTTACCTTCAGACTGTACATATTTGAAATTAATATTGTCAACAGTTATAATTGCTAATTATGTAAAAATATCTACTTAAAATACACGCAATAATGTCTACATATTCTTAAAACTTTTCATTCTACAATCAGAAATGAAAAGCTAAAAATACAAATGCCCTGCTAAGAACAAATTGACATTACCAATACCAATCCTGTTATTTTTATGTGCTTGTGTGTGTGTGTGTGTGTGTGTGTGTGTGTGTGTACAGCCTATATTCTTATACATTACTTATTCTGATCCTTAATGAACCCTTTATGTTAGATAAGGCTTACATTATTATCCCATTTTCAGAGGTTTGGAGAGGTACAGTGACTTGCCTAAGATCATCTAGTTAAGTATGTTGCACAGCTAGTACTTAAATCTTATAGTCTTTTCACTAATTATAATATCAATTGTCAAGCACAACAGTGCAAATATCAGATTTTCTCTTCCATTGCCTGTTTTGATTTTGAGGAGAGAATAGGGTACTAGAATTTTAGAGCATGACAGCTCTGGAAACCTAAGCAAAATTAGGTCTAACAACACAAGAACAAATACATAAAATTCACATGACGGAATATTATACAACAATGAGAATGAACAATCTACAACTACACAAACCAATATAAATGAACCACACAAACCTAATGATGAGCAAAAAAGCCAGAATATATAATGAGCAAGAATATGTACTGTAGAATTCCAGAAGAACTAATTTTGGCTTTAAGATGTTAGAAGTCAAGCTTACAATATGTGCTTTATCAATACATATGTTATAACCCTCCCCCACAAAAAAAAAAAAAACAGTTTATAAGCAGGGGGAGTCCAAGTTAAACTCAAGCAAGATTTTTAAAAAGCTGAAACACTGAAAAAGGAGGTATGATGATAGGCATGCCAATGACCAACCTTTCATTCTGGCCTGGGGTTAGTTCTCTTCACATTTTAGAGGATGGGCAAACACTAAATGCCCAAAGGTATTATGTTGGCTTGGGCAGAAACTTTCTGAGAATACTGCCAATTAGTTAACCATATCATAAATGACACTAATTATTTGGCATGATGATGACTCTTCATTTAATTTTAAAGTAAAATTCATTTTAAAGTATTCAATAATTCAGATACTACTGAACAACTGATAAATATCTAAACAATTATCATGTGTTTTATGGGGGAGAAAAGAAAACATTAAACACACTGGCTTTAAATTTTTTAAATTTAAGTATATTTTAAAAATTATATATATATATATTTTAAGTTTAAAACATTTACATATAACATAAAATATGTATAGAATACTCGAATGTTTGAAAATGCACTTCCTAGATTATACACTGAGCCTGTTTACAATAATTTGCTTTGTCAAATTTTAAATAAATTTTAGCACTAAATAAAAAATTTGTATTAATAAATATTAAATCTATCTCATGCAATTTTCCCTCAAACTATTTTTCATTTGGAATTTCCTTATTTTTTTTTAACTGCACCTTTTTTGTTTAGACACACAAATACTTTGGAATTTCAAATTTATAGAAAAGTTGAAAAGATAGTGCAATGAAAACCCATATACCCTTTATCCAGATTTATCTAAATATTATTTAACATTTTGCCTCATTTATTAATTTTTTTTCCATATATATACACACACACACACACACACACACACATCTATCTGGGAGGAGAGACTAAACTATTTGAGAGTAAGTTGCACACATCATGGCCTTTTACTCTCTTTTTTAGTGACAAGGTCTCACTGTCACCTAGGCTGGAGTGCAGTGGCACAATCTCGGCTTACTGCAACCTCTACCTCCCAGGTTCAAGGGATTCACCTGCCTCAGCCTCCTGAGTAGCTGGGACCACAGGCGCCTGCCACCACACCCACCTAATCTTTGAATTTTTAATAGAGACAGGGTTTCGCCATGTTGGCCAGGCTGGTCTCCAACTCCTGACCTCAAGCGATCCACCTGCCCAAAGTGTTGGGATTACAAGCATGGGCCACCGTGCTTGGTTTTTGTATTTTTTAATAGAGACAAGGTTTCACCATGTTGTGCAGGCTGGTCTCCAACTTCTGGGCTCAAGCAATCCACCCACCTCGGCCTCCCAAAGTGCTGGGATTTTTGGTGTGAGCCATCAGGTTTGAAGGGCTTTTACTCTTAAATTTCCTAAGATTAAGGATATTCTCTTACATAATCATAGTAATTAATTTTGATAAATTTAACATCAATACAATATCTTTACCTAATCCACTGGCTGTATTTCAGTTTTGTCACTTGCCCCAACGTTTTTTAATAACATTTTTCCTTCTACTACGGCATCTAGTCTAGGATCACAGTTATACATTTTCAAGTTATGAAGTAGTACATTTTTATAAAGTGAAATTCTAATATCAACAGATTTTTTTTTTTTTTTTTGAGATGGAGTCTCGCTCTGTCGCCCAGGCTGGAGTGCAGTGGCGTGATCTCGGCTCATTGCAAGCTCTGCCTCCCGGGTTCACACCATTCTACTGCCTCAGCCTCCCGAGTAGCTGGGACTACAGGCGCCCACCACCTCGCCCGGCTAATTTTTTTTTTTTTTTTTTTTTTTTAGTAGAGACGGGGTTTCACTGTGTTAGCCAGGATGGTCTCGATCTCCTGACCCCGTGATCTGCCCACCTTCGCCTTCCAAAGTGCTGGGAGGTGTGAGCCACCACTCCCAGCCTCAAAAGACATTTTAATTGGCCAACTCAACTATATTTTTAGTTGGTGTTCATATAAAAATTGATCTTTCACTCTAGGAAAAACAATTTTCTATAAAAATTATCTTATTCAGGGTAGCAAATGTCTGTCACTCCTTACACAGGCAATATCAAATTTCCTATGGAATCTACTGCTGCTATTTAGGGTAAAATAAATTTTCTCAAAACGGACTTTGACTTTGGCATTCTCTTTGATAACACTTCATAAAAAGTGTTTTTCCCTCTATAAATCATGCTGGTACAGTATACTGGCACTTTGCTTTAGAGAGAAGCTGGCAAAGGCCCTCTTAAGTAAATGAACATGCTCAGTTCAAATGACTCACTTAGCAGGAACAAGAAGTTTCACATGACAATTTATGGGCTAATTCACATGACCCCACCAGTGAAAAATGTAATACTGGAATCTCAGACCAATAAGATACTGAAAAGTTTTTTTTTTCTCATAGTGACACCTGTTAATCCTTGCTACCCAACATGTACTCCAGAAACACTGGTGTCATCTGAATGCCTGTTAGAAATGTACTCTGAGGCCCTATTCTGGTCCTACTGAACCAGTATCTGCATTTTAATTGCCAAAGTTTAGTTTATTGGTTTCTGAATTTATATCTCACCTTTAAAATAAAAGTAGTTAAGTGATCGTCTCTACATGCATTAAAACTCCTTGGACAATAAAGAATCTTATGAATATCAACTTATTTATTAGATTTTAATGACAAATTCAAAAGAGGAAAAAATACGGAGATATCACTTATTAGTTATATGACTTTGGTCAAGTTACTTCACCTCTCTGTGCCTCAATTTCCTTACTTAAAAATGGTGATAATAAGAAAACCTTTACTTTGAAAACCTACACCTCATAAAGTTATTGTGAGGATTAAATGAATTAATGTACACAAAGTGCTGAGAAAGGTGCCTGGCATACAATCAGCTCCCAGTACATTCTGCTATTATCAGTATCACTAAACCTTCACAACTATCGATTTTAGGTGAGACCTTAGTTTTACCCACTGCTGTCTAGTGTAATAAGACGTTAACTTCTGTAAGCTTCCATTTTTCATCTTTAAAAAGAGAATAAGGAGATAATAGGCGAGGCACGGTGGCTCACGCCTATAATCCCACCACTTTGGGAGGCCAAGGCAGGTGGATCACTTGAGGTCAGGAGTTTGAGACCAGCTTGGCCAACATGGGGAAACCCCGTTCCTACCAAAATAAAAAAATTAGCCAGGCGTGGTGGTACGCACTGGTAATCCCAGCTACTCGGGTGGCTGAGGCAGGAGAATCACTTGAACCCAAGAGGTGGAGGTTGCAGTGAGCCGAACTGCACCACTGCACTCCAGGCTGGGCAACAGAGTTAGAATCTGCCTCAAAAAAAAGAGAAAAAAGAAAAAAAGGGACAATAATATTAAACTACATCACAGCATCATAGTGAGGAGTAAGTGCCATAATATATGTAAAGGGGATAGCTTGGGGTCTGGCATACGTGGAGTTCTGTAATTATGTCCAAGAAGAGGTGACATCAGAATGTTCTTTCTTCTGTAACTACAAATACCTCATGAGAGAAGATGTTTTTAAAAGGTACCAAACATTTTTTCTTTTTTTTTTTTTTTTTGAGACAGAGTTTCGCTCTGTCGCCAGGCTGGAAGGCAGTGGTGTGATCTATGCTCACTGCAAACTCTGCCTCCCGGGTTCAAGCGATTCTCCTGCCTCAGCCTCCTGAGTAGCTGGGACTACAGGCACGTGCCATCACGCCCAGCTAATTTTTGTATTTTTAGTAGAGACGGGGTTTCACCATGTTGGCCAGGATGGTCTCGATCTCTTGGCCTCATGATCTGCCCGCCTCGGCCTCCCAAAGTGCTGGGATTACAGGCATGAGCCACCGCGCCCGGCTGGTACCAAACATTTTCTAAATGATAGAATGAACACTGAACTGGAAAACAAGAGCTCTGGGCCATGGCCCTACCTAGCCTATGAGGGTTTGGAAAGGCAGTTAATTACCCCAGGTTTTAATTTTCCCGTTTGTAAAATGAGAGGGTTGAGCTAGGGGCCATCAATAATTATTTCCAGTACTAATGTCAAATGGGATATTTTATCACCTTAGAATTTTAAAAACAATTTTTACACAGGATTACAACACTGTCTAAAAAGAAAAAAACTGTTGATATACAAAGTATAAAGCTCAGATTACACACATATAACAAATGCTAAATACTATATGTTAAGGACTGGTTAAAGGTTCCACAGTTGTGTTCGGTTTGTAAAAATTCATTAGACTATACACTTAGAATACGTGTACTTTCTTTTTTTGAGACAGCGTTTCCCTCTGTCACCCAAGCTGGACTGCAATGGCGCAATCTCGGCTCACTGCAACCTCCACCTCCCAAGCTCAAACTATTCTCCTGCCTCAGCCTCCCAAGTAGCCAGGGTTACAGGCATGTGCCACCATGCTCGGCTAATTTTTTTATTTTTAGTAGAGACTGGGTTTTGCCTTGTTGGCCAGGCTGGTCTCTAACTATTGGCCTCAAGTGATCCGCCCACCTGGCCTCCCAAAGTGCTGGGATTACAGGCTTGAGCCATCTTGCCCAGCCACAATCTATGTAGTTTTCTATATGGATCCTATACTTAGTGAAAACTTAAAAATGTCAGAAAAAGAATATTTCACATAAACCTAAAACTTTAACTCCTCCAGCAGTAGATCAGCAAGTTTCCAGATTACAGGTCCAAAGATCGTTAATTTTAGAACTTTTCAGAACTTGAAATATTCCATCTTTATTCCAGATCCAGCAAAATTTGAGAACAAAGACATTCATAAAATTTCATGCTGTCATACTCTCAATCATAAGTAGAAACAATACTGGATCTCAATCTCAACTCCAATTCTAAATAGTTATCTAACCTTGAGTCACAACACCCCACTTATATGTATAAGGCTTTAGCTTCTTCACCTATATGATTCAGCACCGTATTAACTCTAACATGCTTTTTTTTGTGATGGAGTCTCGCTCTGTCTCCCAGGGTGTCTGCCCCGCCACCCCAATTCAAGCGATTCTTCTGCCTCAGCCTCTTGAGTAGCTGGGATTACAAGCCCGCGCCACCACAGCCGGCTAATTTTTATATTTTTAGTAGAGACGGGGTCATGCTGGCCAGGCTGGTCTTGAACTCCTGACCTCAAGTGATCTACCCGCTTCAGCATTCCAGAGTCTTGGAATTACAGGCGTGAACCACCATCCATGGCCTCTAATACACTTTTCAATTCTAAAATCTTACATATCTGACATGTTTCCCTGATTTGTATTATAAAAATCATTTTATATACTTTAAAATTATAATCTAGAATTCTCCAGGAAATATTAAATGCCCATATATAGTTTACTCAATTTTAAAACTACAATGATACATACCTTAGCTACATTTACTTACCTGAGTAAGTAACATAAAGGCATTATCTGCCCTAAGATGTTTGGTGAGAAATTCTACACAGTGTGCTTCCAAGGCTGGGACTGCGTATTTCTTGGCAGTATAAAGAGTGGTCATAACTGTTTCTGGACCAATTTGAACTTCATCTGAATATAGAAATCTGGAAAACAATTGGCATATTTGCAGAGATGGTCAGTAATGTTTTAGATAAGCAATCCATCACAGTTAAATTTCTGAGGAGTATTTACTTATATTTTTATTTTATGTTTTCATCCATCCATCCACCCACCCACCCACCCACCCAGCCATCCATTCATCTATCCATCCATCCATCCATCCATCCATCGACAGGGTCTTGATCGATTCCAGGCTGGAGTGCATGGCTCACTGCAGCTTCAACCTCTCTGGCTCAAGCCATCCTCCCACCTCAGCTCCCTAAGTAGCTGGCACTACAAGTTTGCACTATCACACCTGGCTAATTTTTTATTTTTTGTAGAGACAGGTTTCACCATATTGCCCAGACTGGTCTTGAACTCCTAGGCTCAAGCTATCCTCCCACCTCAGCCTCAACTGTATCACCCTCATAATGCTCACTTGACATTATGTAGCAAACTCTGTGATGAATACAGGGAATTAAAAGCTAAGTAAGGCACAGTCCCTCATGGCCAAAGAGAGGGGAATGAATAAAACCAGAGAGAAAGCTACCATTTGTTGAGTGTCTGCCGTATGACAAATGCCAATTCATTTAATCCTCTCACATAGAAGGAAGGTGCTATTCCCTGCATTTTAATAAGAAAACCAAGGCTGAGGAAACAGGAGAGCTGTTTACCATAACACACCATTTCAGGGCTTCTGACTGTTTTCAGTGCCATACAGTAAGGCCAAGAGGAAATAGACTGCTTGGGTTTGAGCTTGTTTTGTCACTTGCTAGCCATGTGACTTATTATCAATGCCTGCCTCTCTAAAAAGATGAGAATAAGAGCACCTACTTCATAATGTGGTTGTGAGGATTAACATAAATTAAAACACAAAGCATTTTGAATAACGCCTGACAAAAAAAATTGCCTCAGTAAATATTAGCTATTTATCTGTATGTTGTCTCATATTTTTTATCATTATTTCCCTCTGCATTTTGGAAGATTTCCTTGCCATTATCTTCTGGTGCCTTCCTATTTTTCTCTACAGCAATCACATTTAAATTTCTAAGAATGCTTGCTTCTTTCTTGATCGTTCCTTTTTTCTCCACAGCACCATGTGCTGGTTTTATGAACGCAAAAACTTTCTGAAGTCTCCAAGATGACATTAACCAAAGTTTTAAAAGTTCTCGTCTGTTTCCTTGAGGATCCGCTGTTGTGTTTCTCTTGGTCTCTGTCATTCACGTTCTGCTTTTCCTTATATGTCAGATGATTAAACTCCGTCTCCAACTTCACTATTCTAAGCAGCTGGTCTGTTTTCAAGATAATACTATCTCCAAAACAGAAATGTTGGCTGGGAGCTCTGTGTATGTGGGAGGCTTGCTGACTGGCACCTGGCATTAGAGTGGGAAGCCAGCCCTAGGGCAGGGACCCCTCAAAGCCATTGGAAGAGAGCTTAACCCTGGGGTCCCAAAGCCATACCCAGCAGTCCCAGTTCTTCTCAGGCAGTTTGTTCAATTTATCTCAAAAAGCCTGTCCATTGTCATGGACAGCTGGCTAAGGGGATGGTCTATACACAGGCTTTAAATTAATTTCCATGTTTTAGCACTACCTTCTCATTTCCACCCTCCTTACTTCCAACTGCTAGCCAAGAACTTTGTTGGGGTTCTGCCAGGAAAGGCGCTCCAGCTCCGCTGCGGCTTTGAAAGCTCTGGATTCTGGGCTCCAGATTCATCTACTCTAGTTCATCCATCAATCAGCTTCCAACTTCTCTGTCCCTTTCTACTCTGTTGGCCCTTCCAACCTCTCTTTTTCTCTTCATTGTAATGGACTTACTATTTTTTAAAAATTTCTTAATAGTCATTTTAATTGAGAGAGAGAGAATGCTAACAGCATGCTCAATTCCCTTCTTAAACTAGAAAACTATGAAATTTTTGTTTTAGGCCAGGCACGGTGGCTCATGCCTGTCATCCCAGCTATCTGGGAGGTTGAGGCAGGAGACTCACTTGAATCTGGGAGGTGGAGGCTGCAGGGAGCGGAGATCGCAACACTGCACTCTAGCCCGGCCAACAAAGTGAGACTTAAAAAAATTTTTTTTTAATTAAAAAAAAAAAGAAATTTTTGTTTGAAGGACAAGGTAGCAGTCTAGAAGTCTTTACATGCCTGCCTTGATGTATTTTTGTCAGGTAAAAATTACTAGAGTTGTAAAACAGAGCAGCAATGTGAGGCCTTTATCACCATTTGCCCTTGATTAGATTCACACTTAACAGGACAAGTGCCGCAAACCTATACATGGTTCTATGAGAATCTATAAATGCGGGCTTTGACTTAGGAAGATGTGGAAAAGGTTTGTAGAGAAATTTCTGCTTGAGATTAGATCTAAAGATTAAAAGGACGGTGGGAAGTACACTCCAGGAACAAGAGAGAATCAAGTTTGTAGATTATTTTGTGTGAGATCTCCCATTCAAATTGCTTTTATCAAATTATACTTCAGTAATATACTTTTGCTTTCTATCAAGGAACATTTTTTAAAACAAGTATGTATCTGAAGACACAGACTGAAGACACTTCATTACAGCAATGTCTTCTGTATGAGGGGATCTCATCAGGATTTTTTTAAAAACTCATCTAATTATCAGATTTGTGCATCTCCTAAGCAGTTGCCTTGTTTTTAATCTATAAATAATTACGTCCACCCAGGTTTCTCTTTTTGCACTAGCTGCTCAGATAATTAAAACAAAGTTGGCCGGGCATGGTGGCTCACGCCTGTAATCCCAGCACTTTGGGAGGCAAAGGCAGGTGGATCACCTGAGGTCAGGAGTTCAAGATCAGCCTGCCCAACCTGGTGAAACCCCGACTCTACTAAAAACACAAAAATTAGCCGGCATGGTGGCGGGCGCCTGTAATCCCAGCTACTCAGGAGGCTGAGGCAGGAGAATCACTTGAACCCGGGCAGCAGGGGTTGCAGTTAGCTGAGATCACGCCATTGTACTCCAGCCTGGGCGACAGAGCAAGACTCCGTCTCAAAAACAACAACAACAACAACAACAAAAGTTTATAGCTTATACATTTTGTTTGTTTTTGAGACAGGGTCTCATTGTCACTCCGGGTGGAGAGTGGTGGCACGATCATAGCTCACTGTATCCTGAAATTCCTGGGCTCAGGTGAATCTCCTGCTTCAGCCTCCAGAGTAACTAACACTACAGGCACATGCCACTAGGCTCAGCTCATTTTTTTTTATGCTTTATGTTTTTGTAGAGACAGGTCTTGCTATATTTCCCAGGCTAGTTTCAAACTCCTGGCCTCAAGCAATCCTCCCGCCTCAGCCTCCCCAAGTGCTGGGATTATAGGCCTGAGCCACTGTACCCAGCTTGACAGCATACATTTTTCTATTAGCTTCACCCTTGACTCTAGTTTATTTCTTACCCTTGTGTTTCTTATAAGACATTTTAAGTTCTTTTGGGTGCACTGCAAATTAAAAATAAATACTGGACAATAAACAGTAAGAAAAGGATCTCTGTGTATCTTATATTTTTAATTTATTTCTTAAACAGTACCAGGCACATTATGGGCATGTGTTTAAGTCTCAATAAATACACGTTAATTGACTAGACAATTCAGCACAGGTTTCTATGTAACGTCAAAAGGGAAAATATTTTCATTTCTAATAAAAAAAGTTACTTAAAAATCCAAGAATCCTCTTGATTCATATGTATACATTTCCTTTACATTCTATTTAATTATTAGAGTTTTTATAATATTTAAAAAAAAACTAAGCCAAGGTTTTTAAAATGTAAAGATTAAACATGACATTACCACAATTCTTCGTATTTTAAAGTGATCATTTAAGCTCTCATATACAACCTCTAAGGACGAGAGCACAGAAAAATTATTACATGTCCTCAAATTAGTCCTATTTTCCCCCCAAATTAATAATTTTCAAAAAAAAAAAAAAACAACTTAGGTTATATTTAATCTAACTAAAAATTTAAAGCCGGGCACGGTAGCTCACACCTGTAATCCCAGCACTTTGGGAGGCCGAGGCAGGCGGATCACCTGGGGTCAGGAGTTTGAGACCAGCCTGGCCAATATGGTAAAACCCCATCTCTACTAAAAATACAAAAATTAGCCAGGCGTGGTGGCACACACCTGTAATCCCAGCTATTCGGGAGGCTAAGCCAGGAGAATTGCTTGAACCCAGCAAGCGGAGATTGGGTAAGCCAAGATCGCGCCACTGTACTCCAGCCTGGGCGACAGAGTGAAACTCTATCTCAAAAAATAAAATAAAATAAAATAAAGTAAATTTTAAAAGCCTAAGGTGAATACTTGATTTTATATAAGAATGATCACAAGATATGTGTAAGAAACTTTGTATCACTACTTATCTGTTCATTTTACTCAAAAACATTTATTGAGGGACTATATAGCAGGCACTGTAATAGTGCTAGAGATAAAAATATGGGTAAGATAGCTTTGCCCATAAAAACCTTACACAGTCAGTCATGCATTACTTAAAGATGGAGATACATTCTAAGAAAGGCATTGTTCGGCAATTTCATCATCATGCAAACATCATAGACTGCACTCACATAAATCTCAATGGTATAGCCTACTACGCACCTAAGCTATGTGGTATAGACTATTGCTTCAGGGCTACAAACCAGTACAGGATGTTACTGTACTGAATACTATAGGCAACTTTAAAACAATGGTGAGTATTGTGTATCTAAACATGGAAAATGCACAGTAAAAATACCGTATTATAATCTTATGGGTCCACCATCTTATTTGCAGTCCACTGTTCACCAAAATGCCATTATGCAGCACGCAACTATAGTCTGGTACTGAAATGATTAAAAAGTAATGTCCTAATAACAGAAGTATATATTAGGCACTCATATCTAATAACTAATCTCTAATGATGGCCCCAAGAAATCATACTTTCTTGTGTTCATGTCCTTACATAGATCTGTCCCATGATGAATCTGGGTTGTCCCTGTGTGAGCCCCTTGAACCAACAGATTGTGGCAGAGTGACATTGCACCAGTCTGAGACCTACACCTTAAGGATGCCTGGCAGCTCCTGCTTTTGTGTTCCTCGGAGTCATGAGCCACGAAGTCAAGCTACCCTGCTGGAGAGACCAGCTGAAGAAGCCTCTTGAAGAGGACCTGAGACTTAAGGCTCAGCCATCCCAGACTGTGAGTTAAACCTCCAGATGAGTCCAACCCCACCTGCTATCTGACTACAGCTACATAGACGACAAACCACCTAAGTGATTCCAGTCAACCCACACAACTGTAAAAGATAATAAAAGTTGTTTAAGTCACTACGCATTCCAGTGATTTGTTCCACAGCAACAGATAACCAAAACATGCTGTGAGAGATTAATTAGATGAGCCAGTGTGCAATTTTGCCTGTGGGTGGAATTTTTACAGAGGAAGTAAAGCCTGAAGATTATCTGAAGAGTAGTAATTAAGTGTGGAGCCCTGGCAGAAAGACTGAGGAGTACAAAGGTAAGGAGGCCTTAGAAGCAGGCACTAAAACAAGAAAAAGGCCATTAGTAATTAGGGTTGAAACACTGAGTGGATGGAGAGGAGATGAAGAAAGAGAGATCAAATCACAAAGGTTTCATGTACCTGCTAAAGTGTTTAAACATCCTGTAGGTAAAAAGAAGTCATTAAAAGATTCAGGGGAATTATATGACCATATACCAATATTGGAGAGATCACTGTTAACAGGATGAATGGAGAGAGTTAAGTCTAAACGCAGTAGTTTGGTTGAAGCAATGCAGAAAAAAATGGAGAGGCAGGTAAAATTTTCAGGAATGGTCTAAAATGGACAAGAAATGTGTAGAATGGAGTGAAACGAAACTACAATTTGGAGCTAGGCCCATGAAGTCATTTCCTAGCTGACCTACAGAATCATAAGCAAGAATAAATTATTGCTTTTTGGGGGTTGCTTTATTTATAGCATTAATATGGCAAAAGCTATTGCAGGGGGATAAGAAGTATGCCTGTCTCAAAGGATTTTCCTGAAATTTAAGTGAGATCACAAAGGGGCTTAGGAACAATCTATGGCACACAGTAAAAGTACTCATTAAATGTCAGATATTTTCATTAATAACATGTCCATCTGCATGGGTATAAAACATTACTTCACGATGGTCCAGTTGGAAATGAGGGTCTGGAGCTAAGTAGAGCTTTGGAGACACATGTGGGGGAATGAGTGCGTAAAGCTCTCACTTTGGTTGATGGGAGAAAGGATGAGAGCTGAGGACTGAATACTGAAGAACACTTACCTCGTGCCCCTTCCAGCCATCACGTCATTCTCTGTTCCCCTTTGCAACAAAACTCCTGAGAGGACTGTTTATACTGTCTCCAGCTCCTCACTTCCCATTTTCTGCCTAACCTACTCTAATCAGCTGAAATCACTCTTGGCAGGGTTATCGATAGCTTCCACCTTGTCAAGATTAAAAATCAACTCAAAGTCTTCATTATACCTGACTCTCAATAGCATTGAGCATAACTGACCACTTTCCACTTTCCATAGTTGACATTTCCCACTTCTTCTTTCTTGAAATGTTTTGACTTGACTTTCAGAATATAATGCTCCTTCTTTCTCTTCTAATTCCACTGACAGCTGCTTCTCAGTTTCATTTTATGCTTTTTCTCTGCTACATCTCTACATATTTGAAGATTCCAGAGCTCATCCTTGTACCTCTCTTCACAGTCTACATGCCTTCCTAGGTAATCTCACTTGATCTCTCGATTTAAATACCATTCACTCTTAACTTGCAAATTTATGTTCAGCAAGCTGTTCCCTCACCTCCAAATTCATATTTCTGTCTACTCTATGACACTACTTGGATGTCTTGGAAGTCCTCTTGGTTGTACCTTCAAAAATATATCCAGAATTTGACCATGTCTCATCATGTCCTTTGCTACCTCCCTGGTACAAGGTACAATTCACCATCGCCTCTTGCCTGGACTACTGCAAAAGCCTCTTCATCTATCACCTTGCTGCCTATTTTACTCCAACCACTGCCAGAAAGAGTTTGTTTTTTTAAAATGTAAATCAGATCACAACCTCCTGCCACCACCTCCGCCTCCCCAATCTCATTCAAAACTCTCCAAAGGCTTTCCATCAAATACCAGCTGAAAAAGTCTTCGCTCAGTCTCTAAAGCCCTGCACCATCCTGTCTGGCCTATCTTTTTGACCTCATTTTCTACCACTTCCCTCTACTGTGCTTAAGGCACACTGGTTCACTCTTGTGTTCCTCCAACAGGAGATACTTAGTGCCGAAAACAATGCGTTCCCTTGCTGAGAATGTTCCTTCTCTCATAACTTGATTATTTTTCTTCAAAACATTCATCAGTACTTGACATTGTATCTTTAGTTTCCCTTTACTAGATTATGTGCTTCATGAGGGCAAGGACTTTTTCTTGTTTATTGCTGTGTCCCAAACACCTACAACAGCCATTCGCTGTTTCACAAGCGCCCCAAAAGGGAGGCATATAGTATTTGTCAAACAACTGAAGAACATCATTTAAAGGTCAGGCAGTTCAAAGTGCACAGTTTCTTTAAGGGCTTCAAACTTAAGTTCATGAGCCTGTAAGTAATGTTAACTAATTCAGGATGTTTACAAGTATGCCCAAACTAACCTGCTCTTCCAACTTAGCAAGTACTATCAGGCATCTTTTTGTCACGTATTAGCTAACAACAACATCTACGTTACACAGCCAGCCAAAATTAAATTTAGAAATCAGTCCAGATATCAATTTCAAAATAGAACAATGACCAGAACCTGAAGGATAAATACAATGCTAGGAAAATAAAACACACTGAAAATGTAAAAATGAAAAAAAAGTTTAAAAATGTAAAAAATGTTTTACAATGTGAAAAAAAAAATTGCACTGTCCTACATTTCAAACACTCTAAAATTAACTTACTTTCTATTGATGGGAAAGCACTAATTAGCAGCTTCGGTGAAAATATTAAAATATGTATTTTTCCTCTACATTCTTATCCTAGTAATCTCAATATTTTTTCAAAGTAAAAAATTGCCCCAAAATAGTTTTAGATTTGTGGTTCTTAAATTTAGTTTGTATAAGTATCACTTAGGGAGAGTGTTAAAAATGCTACCAAGGTCTCACCTCCAAATATTACGGTATATAATGAGGATGAGATCTACACATTTCATAAGCACCCCAGAAGATTATAATGCAGACGGCCCACAGATCATTTTGAAAACTACTTCTAGTCTAGAAAATCCAAATGAACTATACCCAATCCTCCTGGTGAACTTTAAACTAAAATGACCTGGATTTTAGCTTTTGAGGTCCCCCCCCTTTATAAATGTAACTGAACTAAATTACAGAAAATATCAGAAACAAAGAATAAAGAAGAAAAAAAGGTACTTTCATCTCACTACTCCAGGTGACTTTGCTTAGCATTTTGGTATGTTTCCTTTTATCCCGGTCTCTAGGTATATGTTTGTTCCATGTCTTTTCACGTTGTAACCATGGTGCAGTTTCAAGTGCTATCCGTCATATTTAGTGACTGCATTATATCTCATCAAGTGAACCTACCACTGTTTAACCATTCCCTACAGCTGACTACTTCCTCACTACTATAAATAAAGCTGTAAATATTTTTGTATGCAATTTGCAATACTTGAATGCTTCTTACGTGTGGAAAGAAAATCTATAGCACCAAACTGTTTTCCAAAAGGGTTTTTACCACCATCTTTGTCAGAAAATGCTGTTCAGATGTTACCTTTAAATTTTTTGGTGGGATTAATGGAAGGAAAAAATACCACTGTCTTTTAATTTGCACTTCCTAATTACCAGCCAGGTAAAACATTCGTTAATTAGTTGTATTTTTTCTTTCTCTAAGTTATCTATCCTGTCCTTTATCCATTCGTCAATGGAATCTTATTATTTGTTTCTAGTTGTGTGAACTTTACATTCATTTTCTTGTTCATCTTTCTGATTCAACTGTGAACCTTTGTATCTAATTCTGTCCCACTGACCTGCCTGTTTTTGCTTCAGTACTACCCAAGACTCTGCCATTTTAATAACAACACGTTCTACTCAGGCAGCTATTTAAAACCATCTTAGTATAATGAAACAGACATGGTCTTCAGTGTGAGTTAGCTGTTTGTTACCTTGGGCAAGATACTTGACTCTTCTGGGCCTCAGTCCCATTTGTGAAATTGGGGTAAACAATTCTTACGCCTCCCTAACAGGATGGCTGTGATTAAAAGCTAGTAATGCCAAACAATCACCTTTTCATTAGATGTCAATCTACTATCCTCAAATAACCAACAAGCAAATTCTAACATCAAGGGAGGGATTCATTTATAAGCAAATGTGACCTTGTGTGTAGAAACACAAAGCAGGTAAAGCCTCACTTGTCTGTTTTCGTATTTACTTTCCTGGGTCTTGACAACTAATACGTTAATGAAAAACAAAAACAAAAACAAAAAAGTGGCCAGGCGCGGTGGTTCACGCCTGTAATCCCAGCACTTTGGGAGGCCGAGGTGGACGGATCGCTTGACCCCAGGAGTCCGAGACCAGCCTGGGCAACATAGTGAAACCCTCTCTCTACCAAAAATAAAAATAAAAAAAATTAGCCGGGCGTGGTGGCGCGTGCCTGTAGTCCCAAATACTCGGGAGGCTGAGGTCGGAGCATCACCTGAGCCCGGAGAGGTCGAGGCTGCAGTGAGCCATGATCGCGCTACAGCATTCCAGCCTGGGCAACAGAGCAAGACCTTGTCTCAAAAAAAGCGGGGGGAAGGGGGTGACAATAACCCCAAAACATCAGTCCTGCAAGATTTTTCAACTACTCTCTTCCCCCAAACAAAAACATAAAACTTCGCAAATGGGCAATCAGGACAACCTGATCTGCCCCTCTATCCTTGCCACTTGTCTAATTCTGAAGTCTGAGCGACAATCCATAATTGGAATGCGAAACGCCTTTCAATGGTAAAACGCACGCTTGCCTAATGAAGACACTAACGTTTAGTTGGCGACTGAGCCGTCCTGGTTCACAGATTTCGATTTCGACCCTCCGGAGCATCAACGGCTCGGGAGGAAACTGAGGCCCCGGGCGGGTCAGAAGAGCCCAGCCCAAGGTCATCCGGGAGTCCGGGTAGGCCGGGCCCCGGGGATCTCCCAGCCCGGCCCGGCCCGGCCCGGCCCGGCCCGGCCCGGCCCGCGCTGCCGCTCACCTCAGCAGCGCCAGGAAGGCTGCGGGCTCCACGTCCGGCAGCTCGATCTCGGCCGACGTGGTGGCCATGCCGCCGTTGAACATGGCGTCAAAGACGGCGCTGCCGGCCGCCAGCACGAAGCGGTGGGCGGGGATGCGCTGCGGGCCCCCAGCGGCGGCGGCGCCGCGACCCTTGCCCAGTACGAAGCGCACATCGCTCAGCAGCTCCGAGTTGAAGAGGAAGGCGAAGCGCTCCTTCAGCGACGCCTTGGTCGCCTGCCAGTTGTAGAGAGGTTCCCGCTGCAGGGGGAGCAGGGGCCCCAGAGAGGACGGTGAGGGCGGCGGCGGCGGCCCCGCGGGGCCCGGCTCCGCCTCAGCCCCCGACGCCTGCTCCCCAGCTGCGGCAGGCCCGAGTGAGGCCATCCTCCAGCTGCGCGGTTGCCCACGTTATGGACAAAACTCCGCCGCCATCGCCCAGGCCGCCTCCGGAGGCCGGCGCTGCCTCCCTGCCTTCCGGGAAAGGCGCTTCCGGGGGCCTCGCGCCTCCGCAGGCCCCTCCCTGACCGCGCGCGCCCCCGCACGCCCGGGTTGCCGCTGTGCGCGGCCGCGGGAGGTGTAACAGGACTGGACTCCCGGCAGCCCCAGGGCAGGGGCGTGGGGAGCTGGTCCTAGCTCAGCGCTCCCGGAGGTGGAGCTTCTGCAGGCTGGGTGCTGCCGGGCCTACGGGCACCCACCCCCTGGCTCAGTGCCCTGGGTATTCTGACTCAGTAGGTCTGGGGTAGGGCCTGAGAATTTGTAATTTTAAGATGCATCGTGGATCTGCAGGCGGCTCTCACGGCTGCCTTTTTCTTCCTGCAGGCCCCTTATCACCAAGTCCAGCGCCCCCATTGTGTATCTGGGACATGTCCCAAGGCCTGTCCCGAGGAGTGTTTTGCCTGGAAGTGGAGGGGCAGGAAAGTATGGCCAAGGGAACACGTGAGGGAGGGGATGACATGACTTCCCACAACCCTGTACCCCAAGCGTGGCCAAGTCGCCGCTCCAGAAGGCCGCGAAACCCGTGGAAATTCCGGAAGCAGAGGTGGAAGGCTTAGAACCCCAGTGACCTCTCCCCAGGTCCGCAGGTCCCTTTCCCTTCTAATTGACCCTTTGGTTCCGTCCTCTGGGCCTAAGAGACATTTCCTTCTACTGCTTCCACCCCTGTATTTGAAACCCCTCGTGCTTGCCCACCTTCTCTTGTAGCGCTTTTCAGTCCTTGCACTGAACCACTGCCTAAGCTTGAAATTTAAAAAATTAAAAACTAAAACACACACACAATGGAAAAGGCTGTATTATCCCTTCCCAGGCAGTATTTACAACCCGGTCATCATGATTGGGGGACCGAGGCCTTCCTTTTTCTCCCTTCAGTGAGGCAGGCCCTGAGTTAAGTCAGCTGTCAAAAGCAGAACGTAGAAAACCCAAGAAATAGTCCTTGACCAGGCACGTATAGTTGGAAACACCTGTTCTTTGCAGGAAGAGCCTTACAGATTACAAATGCCGTCAAGTAAATAGTAAACCCCAAACCTGGGTTTCTCCTGTAAAATCACTCCACTTGTGAAACCACCAGAGGGGACTTCCAGCTGTTAGGCATTTAGAATGGTAACTTCTTTGGGAGAGGAACGTGCTTGGGAAGAGACTTAAAGTAGTAGGGGCTGAAATAGTGGATGCACAACCCCTTCCCCATTGCCAGCCGGCAATTCCTAAAGACAAAGGGACATCATGCTACTAATGATACCATTATCACACCTAACAAAATTAACCATATCATCAAATCATCTATATATGATTTTTTTTTTTTTGAGACGGAGTCTCGCTCTGTTGCCAAAGCTGGAGTGCAATGGCATGAAGTCTGCCTTCCGGGCTCAAGCGATTCTCCTCCTCAGCCTCCCGAGTAGCTGGGGTTACAGGTGCGTGTCACCACATCCAGCTAATTATTTGTATTTTTAGTAGAGACGGGGTTTCACCATATTGGCCAGGCTCCTCTCCAAGTCCTGACCTCGTGATCTACCCGCCTCGGCCTCCCAAAGTGCTGGGATTACAGGCATGAGCCACCAGGCCTGGTCCTATGTATAATATTTAATGTACAGTTAATATTTGTTTCTCCACTTGTCTCTAAAAAAATTTTTTTTTGAGACGGAGTCTTGCTCTGTTGCCCAGGCTGGAGGGCAGTGGCATGATCTCCGCTCACTGCAAGCTCTGCCTCCCACGTTCACGCCATTCTCCTGTCTCAGCCTCCCGAGTAGCTGGGACTACAGGCACCTGCCACCAAGCCTGCTGATTTTTTTTTTTTTTTGTATTTTTAGTGTGTCCAGAGTTCGTTCCTTCTGGTGGGTTCGTGGTCTTGCTGACTTCAAGAATGGAGCTGTGGACCTTCCTGATGAGTTTTATAGCTCTTAAGATGGCAGGGACCCAAAGACTTCTTCTGAAGAGCAAAAGAACAAAGCCCTTATGTCATGGAAAGGAACCCCAACGGGTGGTTGCAGTCTCTGGGCGTGGGGGCAGGAGGGGAGGGGCCGGCGGGGGTGGGGGGGGTGGAGTCAGCTTTTACTTCCTTATTTGTCCCCGCCCATGTCCTGCTGATTGGTCCATTTTACAGAATGCTGATTGGTGCACTTTACAGAGTGCTGATTGGTCTATTTTACAGGGTGCTGATTGGTCCATTTTACGGAATGCTGATTGGTCCATTTTACAGAGTGCTGATTGGTCCACTTTACAGAGTGCTGATTGGTCCATTTTACAAACCTCTAGCTAGCCACAGAGTGCTGATTGGTGTGTTTTTACAGAGCACTGACTGGCACATTTTACAAACCACTTGTAAGACAGAAAAGTTCTTCAAGTCCTCACCCTACCCAGAAGTCCAGTTGGCTTCACCTGTCATTAGTAGAGACGGGGTTTCACCGTGTTAGCCAGGATGGTCTCAATCTACTGACCTTATGATCTGCCCACCTTGGCCTCCCAAAGTGCTGGGATTACAGGCATGAGCCACTGTGCCTGGCCAAAAATATCTTTCACAGATGACTTTTTTTCCAATCCAGGATCAAATCAATGTTCACATATTATTGACTGTGTTGACTTCTTTGAAGGTCCGGGGAATTGTGGAGTATAATGCTCCACAATCTGGATTTGTCTGGTGGATTCTGTATGATTCATGGTTAGATTCCAGGTTAAACATTTTAGGCAAGAATATGCTGGTGATGTTAAGTACTTCATTGCCTCACTTCAGAAAGCGTATGTTGGTGATGCTAAGCTTGATGACCTGGTGAGGCTGTGACTGTCAGATCCCTCCATTATGAAGGTGTATGATTCTTATGTAATAAGTAATCCATGAGGGTGATGCTCTGAGACTGTTTGACCAGTCTGTTTCCCCAAAAAGCTTTCACCTACTGATTTCAGTATCCATTGATGATTCAGAAAATTAATTCACTTACTACTTTTAAGTGTCATCCCAGGTATTCTAATGCAGGCCTTTCATAGATCACACTCTATAGTATACTATACTAGCTAGTTTAAAAGGAAAGAGATTAAAAAACATAGAATTGGACATAAGAAAGGATATATAAACATAATTGTGGAGTTTAAAAATATGAGTAATTCTATTAGTGGCTTTGAAAATATCAAAGGAATGTACTCGTCTAGAAAACCTGGACAATTCAATTATCTATACAGGACATTAAAACTTTCAAAATAATAACCTTCAGGGAAGACTGGTTCCAGATGAGCTCGTTAAACATGTTATTATTGTTTTAAAGGAAATGTTTAAAATAATACATGTTTGTTATAGAAGTAAGTAGACTTCCAGTTTCAGCCATAATGTACCAACTTGTCTAACCCTCCCACCAAAAACAACTATACAAGCTGGAGTGTGTGTGTGTGTGTGTGTGTGTGTGTGTGTGTGTAAACAACTGTTTGAAGGCATTGTTAAAGAAAAAAATTATTCTGGGCTGTTGCAGTGGCGCACGCCTGTAATCCCAGCACTTTGGAAGGACAAGGCAGGCAGATCACCTGAGGTTAGGGTTTGAGACCAGCCTGGCTAACATGGTGAAACCCCATGTCTACTAAAAATACAAAAATTAACCGGGTGTGGTGACATACGCCTGTAATCCCAGCTACTTGGGAGGCTGAGGCAGGAGAATCGTTTGAACCTGGGAGGCAGAGGTTGCAGGGAGCCAAGATCGTGCCGCTGCACTCCAGCCTGGGCAACAGAGCAAGACTCCATCTCAAAAAAAAAAAAAGAAGAAAGAAAAAAATTATTCTGACACTAGTTAAAATGGTAAGAAAGATTTTATTCAAGATGATTGCAGTGGAAGCATTGCAACAGGAGAGAGAGATCAGGCACAGTTCTGAAAACAACATCAACAGCTGGGCATTTATAGCCAATGAACAAAGTGAAGGGGGGTCAATGGGTGGAAAATTACTAAGATGATGCGTTAAGGGTGGGGAGATTCTTTCTAAGACTGGGTTGGGCAGGCCAAAGACAGGATATGGGCCAAGGTAGAGGCCTAGTTGAGAAAAAAGTCCTAAGGAGCCTGAATAAAAAGTTTGGTCAAGGGAGTTTTTGTCAATATTAAAGAATAACAGATGCTGGCCAGGCCCAGTGGCTCATGCCTGTAATTGCAGCACTTTGGGAGACCGAGGTGGGCAGATCACCTGAGGTTAGGAGTTTGAGACCAGCCTAGCCAACATGGTGAAACCCCATGTCTACTAAAAATACAAAAAAATTAGCCAGGCGTGGTGGGGGGCGCCTATAATCTCAGCTACTTGGGAGGCTGAGGCAGGAGAATTGCATGACCCCGGGAGGTGGAGGTTGTAGTGAGCTGAGACTGTGCCATTACACTCCAGCCTGGGCAACAAGAATGAAACTCCATCTCAAAAAATATATAAATAAATGAATTTTTTAAAAAAGAATAAAAGATGGCCGGGCACAGTGGCTCATACCTGTAATCCCAGCACTTTGGGAGGCTGAGGCAAGTGGATCATGAGGTCAGCCATTTAAGACCAGCCTGACCACGATGGTGAAACCCCGTCTCTACTAAAAATACAAAAATTAGCTGGGTGTGGTGGCAGGCGCCTGTAATCCCAGCTACTTGGGAAGCTGAGGCAGGAGAATTGCTTGAACCCGGGGGGTGGAGGTTGCAGTGAGCTGAGATTGCGCCACTGCTCTCCAGCCTAGGTGACAGAGTGAGACTCTGTCTCAAAAATAAAAAATAAAAAAAAAAATAAAGGATACAGATAAGACTTGAGGGATCAGGATCCTTAAAAGAAGTGTGTGAGATTCACTCCAACTTTTCCTCTGAAGGCATTTTCTAATTTGTTGCTTGTTTCCCAAGCAGAAAGAAATAAGGAGACAGAGTATGAGGCTGCCCAAGTAACTGGGGGAAAGTCCTGGAAATGAGGAAACTGCAGAGACATAAATCTAAAACTCTGCAAACAAATTCACTTCATGCTATTGGATAACTTCTAAGCTGCCCTGTGCAGGGAGAAACAATGGCAGCTGAGAGACTAAGAGTTAAGTAGAGACTTCTATGTGCTGCACAGTGCTGGAGAGATGGAGGCTATGGTTCAAGCTCCACCAGGATGGGAGAGCCTTGGCAAACACGAAACTTTTGGCTGAAATCCCATAGGGACATGCCCTAGAAAAAAGAATTATACTTTACTAGTAAGAACAAAATTCAATAGCTTAAAACTAATCCTTGACAGGTTCAAGGTGATCTGTTTGAAGACATATGTGTTGTCCTACACTTTTTCATCTACAATGTTGTCAAGAAAATTAAAAATTATGAGGCATATTGAAAACATGAGAGAGAGGGAGAGAGAGAGAAGATAATGGAATCAGTTCTATAGGATTCAGGTATTGAATTTATCAGACAAGGACTTTAAAATAACTATGATTGCACTTTGGGAGTCTGAGGGCAGGTGGATCACCTGAGGTAGGGAGTTTGAGACCAGCCTGGCCGGTATGGTAAAACCTTATCTCTACTAAAAATACAAAAAATTAGCTGGGCGTGGTAGTGGGTGCCTATAATCCCAGCTATTTGGGAGACTGAGGTGGGAGAATCGCTTGAACCTGGGAGGCGGAGGTCGCAGTAAGCCAAGATTGCACCACTGCACTCCAGCCTGGGCCTGACAGAGCGAGATCCCATCTCAAAAAAAAAAAAAATAAAAATAATAATAATAATAATAATAATAAATAAAATAACTATAATTACTGTATGAAAAAAATAGAAAAAAGATGAAGAATTTTACCAGAGAATTGGAATCTGTGCAGAAGGGTCAAATGGAGATCCTTGACCTGAAAAAGTACTATAACAAATTAATAACTAATTTGTGTTTAATAGAAAATTAGATATAGCAGAACAGAGAATTAATGTAACTGGAAGACAAGCCTGTAGAAAATGTTTAAATTGAAACACAGAGAGAAAAAAGCATAGAAAATACAGAAAACAGGCCAGGCACAGCAGCTCACACCTGTAATCCCAGCACTTTAGGAGCCCAAGACAGGCAGATTGCTTAAGGCCAGGAGTTTGAGACCAGCCTGGGCAACATGGCAAAGCTCCACCTTTACAAAAAATACAAAAATTAGCTGGGCATAGTGGTGTCCAACTGTAATCCCAGATACTCAGCTGGCTGATGCAGGAGAATCACTTGAACCCTGGAGGTGGAGGCTGCAGTGAGCCATGATCATGCCACTGCACTCCAGCCTGGGCAACAGAATGAGATCCTGTCTCAATAAAATAAATAAATAAATAGGAAACAACATATGTCTGTTAATTCTGTTAATCATGAGACAAAGTGAAAAGGACTAACATATGTATAATGGAGTCATAGAAGGATGATAGAGAATGAGGCAGAAGAGCATTTGAAAAAAATACTGGCTGGAAAATTTCCATACTGATGAAATATATCAAACTACAAGGAAATGTAAGCCTTTGCTACTCTTGCATTCTGCATATCTGCAGACTTAACACCACGTGGATGCCACCAAGGCTTATGGCTTGCATCCTCTGGATAGGCAGCCTGAGCAGCACCCAGGGCTGGAATGTAGGAAGCAGAGTCCAAAGGTGGCTGCAGGGCAGCAGCACCCCAGGCCTGGCCCCCAAAACATTCTGTCCTCCTAGACCCCTGGCCTGTGATGGGAGAGACAGACTTGAAGATTTCTGAAATGCCTTCAGGGACTTTTTCCATTGTCTTGACTATTAGCACCTGCCTCCCTTTTTTTTTTTTTTTTTTTTTTTTTTTTTTTTTTTTTTTTTTTTTTTTTTGTTAAAGACTGTCTCGCTCTGTTGCCAGGCTGGAGTGCAGTGGCATGGTCTTGGCTCACTGCAACCTCCACCTCCTGGGTTCAGGTTATTCTCTTGCCTCAGCCTACCAAGTAGCTGGGATTATAGGCATGTGCCACCATGCCCAGCTAATTTTTGTATTTTTAGTAGAGACGGGGTTTCACCATGTTGGCCAGGCTGGTCTTGAACTCCTGACCTTGTGATCTGCCCACCTTGGCCTCCCAAAGTGCTGAGATTACAGGCGTGAGCCACCACGCCTGGCCCGAGCACCTGCCTCCCTTTTATCTGTGATAATCTCTCTAACAAGTGGTGGCTCAGCTGTGCTCTTGGATTCCTCACCTGAAAATGTTCTTTCCTTCTGTACCACATGGCCAGGCTGAGAATTTTCCAAAGTTTTACTCTCTGCTTCCCTTTTAAGTTCCAATTTTAGATCATGCCTTGACTCCTATATCTGCTCATAATCTGTTAAAAGTAGCCACACCATGTCTTGGATGCTTTGCTGCTTAGAAATTTCTTCTACCAGATACCCTAGGTCATCACTCTGAAGTTCAGCCTTCCACAAAGTCCTAGTGCATGGACACAATGCAGCCACGTTATTTGCTATAGTTTAACAAGGGTGACCTTTGCTCCAGTTCCCAATAAGTGCCTCATTTCCAACTGAGACCTCATCAGCCTGGCCTTCATTGTTCATGTTTCTATCAGCATTTTGCCCACAACCACTTAACCAGTCTCAAAGTTTCAAACTTTCCCTTGTCTTCCTGTCTTCTTCTGAGCCCTCCAAACTCTTCCAACATCTTCCCATTACTCAGTTTTAAAACCACTTCCACATTTTCAGGTATCTTCCTAGTAACCCCCGACCCTTGGTACAAATTTTCTGTCCTAGTCCATTTGTGATGCTATAAAGGAGTACCTGATGCTACATAATTTATAAAGAAAAGAGGTTTATTTGGCTCACAGTTTTGCAGGCTGCTTCTACTCATGGTGGAAGGCAAAGGGGGCAGCTGGCATGTACAGATCACATGGTGAGAGAAGAAGCAAGAGAGAGGGGAGGAGGTGCCAGGCTCTTTCAATAATCAGTTCTAATGAGAACTAAGAGTGAGAATTCACTTACTCCCATGAGAATAGCACCAAGACATTTATGTCGGACCTGCCCTGTGATCCAAACACTTCCCATCAGGCCTCACCTCCAACACTGGGGATCACATTTCAACACGAGATTTGGTGGGGCCAAACAAACCACATCCAAACCACAGCAGATAACAGTGCAGGATTATTTGTGATAATAGAACATTGGAATAGGCTGAGTGCAGTGGTTCATGCTTGTAATTCCAGCACTTTGGAAGGCCGAGGTGGGCAGATCGCCTGAGGTCAGGTGTTTCTTTTCTGTCTGAGCTGTATCAGACATTCAGAGAACTGCTACAAATTTGTGCCCTATAGGCCAGGTGTGGTGGCTCACGCCTGTAATCCTAGCACTTTGGGAGGCCGAGGCGGGTGGATCATGAGGTCAGGAGATCAAGACCATCCTGGCTAACACGGTGAAACCCCGTCTCTACTAAAAATACAAAAAAAATTAGCCAGGCTTGGTGGCGGGTGCCTGTAGTCCCAGCTACTCGGGAGGCTGAGGCAGGAGAATGGCATGAACCCAGGAGGCGGAGCTTGCAGTGAGCAGAGATCGTGCCACTGCACTCCAGCCTGGGTGACAGAGCAAGACTCTGTCTCAAAAAAAAAAAAAAAAAAATATTGTGCCCTACAAACAAGGAATCTGATAAGTTCTATTTTGTGTGATTCCTGTCACACAAGGGTATGGTTATAATCAATAAATTATCAAGAATGTTCCTGAAAGGAGAAGACTTCTGTTTTCACCAAGTGTTAATGAGAATCAAATCTTTTGTTTACAACTTTATACTTTGAAGGATTTTCCATAGACTAGCTTCTGGTGCTATGTATTTTTATTTTTATTTTATATATTTTTGCAGAAAGAGTCTCGATCTGTCACCCAGGCTGGAGTGCAGTGGTGTAATCTCAGCTCACTGCAACCTCTGCCTCCCGGGTTCAAGCAATTCTTGTGCCTCAGCCTCCCGAATAGCTGGGACTACAGGCATGTGCCACCACACCTGGTTAATTTTTTGTATTTTTGTAGAGACAGGTTTCACCATGTTGCCCAGGCTGGTCTCAAACTCCTGAGCTCAGGCAGTCCGCCCTCCTCAGCCTCCTAAAGTGCTGGGATTAGAAAAACATAAAGTAAAAATAAAAATAAAACAAAATAAAATTAAAAAGAAACACAAACTGAGAAGAATGTTTGCATGATTTATGACAAAGGCATGATATCCTTAATATATAAAGAGCCTTTACAAATCAATAGGACAAATACTCTTTCTTTTTTAATGGACAAAAGACACAAACAGGGAACTCACAGAAGTATAACCTCTCTGAAGAGCAATTCATAAATGTGCCCACAGTTTAAAACCTACATATCTTTTGTTCCAGTAATTCTACCTATGGTATCCTAAAGAAATAAGAGCTGGGTGTAGAGTTAAAAGCAACAATAACAAAGATATCAAAGCATTATAATATTTTTTAAAATAGAAACAACTTAGATCAGTGGTTAACTAAATTATGGTATAATCAATCATATGATGGAATGATAAATATCTGTTGAAAAAATTCTATTGATGTGAAAAAATATTCTCAACCCATAATGCTAAGTAAAAACAGGCTACAGAACGAGACGTGTAGCATATCATTTTGTCTTTTGGGCTCAGAGTATACCATTTTGTTTTAAATGCCACATACACACACACATATATGTGTATAAAGAGACAAAGTAGGACCACTGTTATCAATTTGATATATTGCAGGATAATGGGAATGTGGGTGATTTCCCCCACTTTCTATTACTTTTCTTTTCTTTTTTTTTTTGTGAGATGGAGTCTCGCACTGTTGCACGGGCTGGAGCGCAATGGTGCAATCTCCGCTCACTGCAACCTCCGCCTCCTGGGTTCAAGCGATTCTCCTGCCTCAGCCTCCTGAGTAGCTGGGATTACAGGTGACTGCCACCACACCCGGCTAATTTTTTGTATTTTTAGTAGAGACGGGGTTTCACTATGTTGGCCAGGCTGGTCTCGAATTCCTGACTTTGTGATCTGCCCATCTCAGCCTCCAAATCTATTACCTTTCTTATTTTAGAGAAAGAGGTTTTTTTTTTCTTTTTTAAATAAAAACACTGTGAGATTTGACTATATACAAATTTTGAATTATCCAACTGGTCAACTATAGCAGGGACTCTAGGCATGTCTATGCCATAGAATGCAGTTTGTTTCCTTGACTTCCTCTGAAATGCTGTTAGGTTTCACCTTTCATTTGATTAAATGCAATTTAATTCAGTTCGATGCTCATTGCAAGGCAGTTAGAGGTGAGATTCCAAAGATGACTAGAAAATGTTACTCACCCTGAAGAAGCTTATAATTTAGTAGAAAAGGGGGAAGCCCACTGAAGCCTGCTCAGCTAGAAATAAAACTCTTGATGTTTGGTGGATTTGAAAAAATAAAAATGCAGCAGCAAAGGCAATTTGTCATACCCTAGACTAAATTCAGCTTACGTTGGAGCTCTTCTTTCTTTGCTTGTCATTGCTTTCTGGAATCCAGCCTAGGAAAGTAATATATGTCACCATGTGTGCTAGTTTATAATTAGAACAAATGTGAGGACTTATAAGAAAAAGACCTATTGGCAAAAAACATTGAGTAAAATTCTAGAAAAGGCAGTCAGGAGAAAGAAGAAGGAAGAAATCTATTTTGGAAAATAATTTAATGCCAAAGAAAGATAAGACATTTAAAAAGCATAAAAGGCAATTATTATGCCCTTAGGATTTTTATATTTCAGCGAGTGCATGAAAATATAGCTGCTATTGAATTACCCTCTATTTGAAAGGATGAGTATTGTAGGTATAAATAGAAGCTAAGGTCAAGAAGCCAAAGGCAGAAAAAGACTCACACATCCAGCAGAGACCGATAAGCATGTAAAATAATATCCTCTATTCATAAGGCTGCGATTATGCCCATGACCCGACTTTGAGCTCCAGGAAAGAAGTGCAGGATAAAAGCCAGGGGTCCCAACATTGCCCTTCCTACAAATCTTTTTTTGTTTTGTTTTGTTTTGAGATGGAGTCTCACTCTGTTACCCAGGCTGGAGTACAGTGGCACGACCTCAGCTCACTGCAACCTCTACCTCCCAGGTTCAAGCGATTCTCCTGCCTCAGCCTCCCAAGTAGCTGGGACCACCAGTGCCGGTGCGCGTCACCAAGCCTGGCTAATTTTTGTATTTTTAGTAGAGACGGGGTTTCACCATGTTGCCCAGACTGGTCTTGAACTCCTGACCTGAGGTGATCTGCCCACCTCAGCCTCCCAAAGTGCTGGGATTATAGATGTGAGCCACTGTGCCCGGCTCCTTCCTATAAATCTAAAACCCGCTCCAGCATTCAACACACTTTACTGTAACACTAACACACAGTAGAGTCTGATTTCTAAGATCTCTGAGCCCATAGGGTTAATTTCTCCCAATACTTCCCCTTTTTTCAACTGAGAATTCACACTTTTCAGAAAGATGTGTTTGACCTAAGCCCCAAAACCCAACACTCCCTCTTTCTCCAAGATCTAGAGTTTCTGAGAAGCCTTTCCCAGAGGCATGGCCCTAGGAATTAAACAAGCGAACAAACAGAAAAAGGGTCACCCCTAGTGTGAAGCAGCTTGATCCCCCCATCTTTCCACCCCGTCTCCCCATGGTGCAGACCGCCCCCATCTCAGATTTCCCACCATCTGCCTGCCACGCTCAGCACAGAGCCGCTCAGCCTTCCTTCTCTGCTGTCCTGTCTTCGACCATCCCCTTGCCCATCCCCTCTGTCTCAGGCTCCTATCCCAGCTGTCTGTGCCCAGCCACATTCACTGATGGCTCCCCCACTGTGCCACACTCCATTGAGTGGCAGTGCTAAGTGAGTTTGCTGCCTCTTCTTCATCCTTCTCTGAGAGGTTCTCTTCTTTATACGTCACTCCCATGACTCAATGGTCAGACCTTTTCTTCAAGAAGAGGATAAAAAAGGGACCAGGTGTGGTGACTCACGCCTGTAATCCCAGCGCTTTGGGAGGCAGAGGCAGGTGGATCACTGGAGGTCAGGAGTTCGAGATCAGCCTGGCCAACATGGCGAAACCCCGTCTCTACTAAAAATACAAAAATTAGCTGGACATGGTGGTGCACACCTGTAGTCCCAGCTACTCAGGAGGCTGAGGGAGGAGAATTGCTTTAACCTGGGGGCGGAGGTTGCAGTGAGCCAAAATTGTGCCACTACACTCTAGGCTGGGCGACAGAGGAGACTCCGTCTCAAGAAAAAGATGAGTGGAAAGAAGGACCTGTCAGTTCCCCAGGTCCACTCAGGTTCTCTCAGTTCGCTAGCTCTTTTTCAGACACGCCTCATCTGCATGTTAGAGTAAATATCTCTGTTCTGCCTCACCTGGGAGCCACTCTTCTGGGCTTGAGTAAGAATTTATTTAATAGCTGATACACAATTTTAGTCTGTGACCCATCTGAGGGATGGGCGACACGTCTACCCATCCTAAACAGATTCTTGGCACCTTTTCCCTGATGAATTCGACATGTGGGTGGGAACAGGAGATACTGTCTATCTGTGCCCTTTATCTTTTTGGATTGAAGAGGTGGAAAATTCCTGTTCCTAGGTTCCTTGAGGCAATAACGTTCCTTCGGATCCAGTTTTCTTGGGATGACTGGAGGAAGCTGAGGTTTGTAGCTTCCAAAGAGCCTTGGTTTCTTAACCCAAGCATCTGTTGCACTGGCTGGCACCAGGGTTCTAGGCATGGTTTATATTTACTTCCATCCCACCATTTTTCTTACAAACTCCAGATCCCACGATGCTCTCATGGACTCCCTGAATGTGTCATCTTATATCAAAATTTCTCCTCCTTTCTTCTGGCCCTGTGAGAGTATGCCTCTGCTTGGACCAGTAGAACTGAACTAAATGTTGGTTCGTATTTAAGTAAATTATGTCCAGCGGCTTGTTACATAAAGAGGAGTGTGGAGGGGAGATTGATTTGTTAATGAAATGGAAATAGAAGGCAGGACAGCTTATTTAGAAGCAACAATAATACCAATAAGCATATTTACTTAACGTATTGAGGTCATTATTTTTGGTCATCCCTCCTCCTCCTCCTCCTCTTCTTCCTCCTCCTCCTTTTGACATTACACTTATTTTTTTACACATTTCTCTTTCAAAAATTCCATTTTTTTTTTTGAGACGGAGTCTTGCTCTGTCACCCAGGCTGGAGTGCAGCTGTGCGATCTCAGCTCACTGCAACCTCCGCCTCCCAGGTTCAAGCAATTCTGCCTCAGCCTCCGGAGTAGCTGGGATTACAGGTGCATGCCACCACACCGGCTAATTTTGTATTTTTAGTAGAGACAGGATTTCACCATGTTGCTCAGGCTGGTCTTGAACGCCTGGCCTCAAGTGATCCGCCCACTTCAGCCTCCCAAAGCACTGGGATTCCAGGCATGAGCTACCGTGCCCAGCCCAGGAGGCTGAGGTGAAAAGATTGCTTGAGCCTGGGAGGTGGAGGTTGTAATAAGCTGAGATCATGCCACTGCACTCCAGTCTGAGAGACAGAGCAAAATCCTGTCTCAAAAAAAAAAAAAAAGATTCATTCAAATTTCAGAGATGTTAAAATGTAAAGAAATATACATTTATAATTCATAAAATACACTACACGTAAGCTATTCTGCACACTATAGTATTTTTTAATTTTTCTTGTTTTACTGTATGTTTTTCTTTGTAGATTTCTTTCATTTTCTGAATGTTTCTCAAATTAGACTTGTTTTGCTGATTGATTTTCTACCATGTCAATTTTGATTTCCACTTCTAATGATGACTTTAAAGAGTCTATCATAGATTTTTTTATAACAAATTTTTTTTAAATCTTGGCCTTCTTGCTCTTGGGTGTATGCTCCCTTTATCTCTTTTATAAATGATGAACCTCACACAAGAAATCCAAATGTGAAAGGCATAAAAAAATCTTATAGGTGAAATCATAGGACACATTGGAGTAGGCAAAAATTTCTTAAAAAGGAAATAAAAAGCTTTAACTGTAAAAGAAAAAAACTATAAATTAGGCTATATTAAAATGAAGAACCTCTGTTTATCAAAGATGTCAATCAAGAGAAGGAAAAGGCATACCATCGTCTTGGAAAAGATCTTTATCGATAAAGGTCTGGCAACCAGAATGTTTAAATTGTTAAAAGAAAGGAAGCCAATCAAGCAGAAAATGGGCAAAAGACAAGCACTTCATTAAAGAGGTATTCAAATAGCCAATAAGTACACAAAAAGATCTTCAACATAATGAGTCATCAAGGAAATGCAAATTAAAGCCACAATGAGATACCACTACACCAGAACCACAATAGCTAAAAATTAAATGGCTGACAATAACGAGTGTTGTCAAAGACATAGAACAATCAGGACACTCATACTCTCCTGGTGGGAGTATAAATTTGTGCAACCATTTTGGAAAATTGTTTGGCATTATCACCTATAGATGAACATAAATATAATCTGTGACCTAGGGATATTCCCAAAAGAAATATGCACCTGTGTTCACCAAAAGACATGTCCAAATATGTTCACAAGAGTATCATTTGTAATAAAAACTAAAAACTATTGAAGTGTTCATCTTCAGTAGAAAATAGAAATTGTGGTATATTCACACAGAGGAATACTAAACAGCCATGAAAATGAGCCATGAAATGCAACATCACAGATGAATATCACAAACATAATATTGGATAACAGGAGCCAGATCCCAAAGAGTGTGTACTATATATATAAAGTGCAAAAACAAGAACCTAATCTATGGTGTCAGAAGGCAAGGTATGGAAACGACAAGAGGTGGGCTTCTGGGTGCTGTCACTGTTCTATTTCGGGGTCTGAATATCGCTACTGAGGCAGCTCCTTATGTCCAACATCTCTTTGTGTGTTTTCAAGAGCTATCCACTTTTGCAAATTGACTGAGCTATACACTTCAGGATTCATGCACCTTTCTGTGTATATGTTAGACTTTATTGAAGTTTCAAAAAAAGAACTGGAGATTTGTTCTTTAAATTCTTGCATTTCTTCTGGAAGATTTAGTTAAGAGATATTCCTTAGGCTCTTATTGCTTTTTGCTGTCAATGTCCTTAAATTACTTTTTGCTTGCTTGAGTAACGATGACAATATTTGTGCACACAATAAAGTGATGTATTTGATTTCCCTCTTTTTTTTTTTTTTGAGACGGAGTTTCACTCTTGTTGCCCAGGCTGGAGTGCAATGGCACAATCTCAGCTCACCTCAACCTCTGCCTCCTGGGTTCAAGCGATTCTTCTGCCTCAGCCTCCCGAGTAGCGGGGATTACAGGCATGCGCCACCACGCCCGGCTAATTTTATATTTTTAGTAGAGACAGGGTTTCTCCATGTTGGTCAGGCAGGTCTCAAACTCCTGACCTCAGGTGATCCGCCCACCTTGGCCTCCCAAAGTGCTGGGATTACAGGCGTGAGCCACCGCGCCCAGCCTTGATTTCCCTCTTAATATTCCTGTGCAGCTTTCCTCCTATAAGACAGAAGGCTTATCTTGCCAGAGCAGGAAAGAGTGAATATTTGGCTTCCTTATCAAGGTGATTGGTTTAACATTAGGGTGGCCAGGGAGAAGGGCTGGTGTTTGCTCCCAAGCCTCTTTTAGCTCCCAGGAATGCAGAATGAAGAGCCATGGACCTGCTGGGAGAGGGTGAGGTGACCCTATTGCTCGACCTCCTGGTCAGGGGCCAGATGGACAATGTGGCAGTGATTCAGTGGAGCTCATGGGGTCAGTGAAAGCCAAGGTGAGGCTGAGCCAGCTGGAGAGTGGCCCTTTGGCTCTGACCGAGAGGAACAAAGCTGGTTAGACCAACTGCAGAGATTAGCTGTGGACCCCAGAACACCAGGGCCAGGTCCAACTGCCCCTCAGTGATCACCAGGCTGCACATACCAAAGGGCCAACACGAGGCCAAGGGAGGCTTCTAAACCCACAATATCTCAAAGTGACATCGGCCCCTTCTCTGTAGACCCAGATGCTACCTTAGAGATAAGCTGGAAGTGGAGAGAGGAATCAGGCTGAGACATTTTGCTTATGGGGTAGCCTTACTTAAATGGATTGGTTACATTCTTGTCTTTGACTAATTGCAGTGGGATAGACTGAAATACATTTTTTCCCTGTTACCTAGTGGGTGGGACCTGGTAAGATCAGATCACTTGGCCAGGCACAGTGGCTCACGCCTGTAATCCCAGCACTTTGGGAGGCCGATGCCGGCAGATCCCGAGGTGAGGAGATTGAGACCATCCTGGCTAACATGGCAAAACCCCATCTCTACTAAAAATACAAAAAATTAGCCGGGCGTAGTGGCCAGTGCCTGTAGTCCCAGCTACTCAGGAGGCCAAGGCAGGAGAATGGCATGAACCCAGGAGGCAGAACTTGCAGTGAGCAGAGATCGTGCCACTGCACTCCAGCCTGGGCAATAGAGCAAGACTCCGTCTCAAAAAAAAAAAAAAAAAAAAGAAAAGATCAATCACTTAACAGAGAAATAAAACATTTCTTCAGCACTTCTGAGTATGGCGTGAATAAATTTGCAGCCTTCTTTCTTTCTCTTGTTTATTTTTCCTTGATTTTCCCACCTTGCAGACTTTTGTTACTGTTGAAAGTAGTTTATGATAGAAAGTTTTGTATATATTTGAATAGAATAACTTGAGAAGAAAGCTCCTGGCGTTGGAACTCCCCACAATATTTTATTTAGTAGTTAAACAATTTTTATAATTTCTCTTACTTTTTCACTCTATTCATTGTCTAATCATCTATCCACCCACCCAAGCAATAGCCATTTTGTTGGAGCTATGCATCGGGTATTCAGCTAGAAGATGAGTAAGACCGTCCTTGCCATAAGATTTTGAATACAGAGAATGAGCAGGTAGCAAACACTGTTCCCTATTCCCTCCTGCACACATCCACATGGGCTTATTTTCAATGTCAGTGTCTAGGCATTTTAATTACCAGGCATTGTTCTAGGTCCTGGGTTTCTGAGTCTTTTGACACAACGGCAGTGGTCTTTGAGCACTTCCTTGATTTGTAGTATGCCAAGAGGTATATCTCCTCCCCCAGACCTGGAATCAGCCCTTTCTCCCAGGACCATTTGTTCCCTTCAGTGGGAAATATATCTAGAAACCAGAATGTGGCCCCAGGGGAGCTCATTTCTTCTGTGCTCATGATTTTTTTCTAGGACTTCTCAATGGATAAGAGCTGAGATGGTGAATATTAGGGGAGGAGATATAGTAGGAGATGAAGAAAAAACTACTTTCTCTAGGTCATTTTTCTATTTTCAATAGAAAAAATTTTCTATTATCAATCATTTAGTGTATATATATATATTTTTTGAGACAGAGTCTCTCTCTGTTGCTCATGCTGGAGTGCAGTGGCATGATCTCGGCTCACTGTAACCTCCACCTCCTGGGTTCAAGCAATTCTCCTGCCTCAGCCTCCCGAGTAGCTGGGTCTACAGGCGTGCACCACCATGCCCAATTGATTTTTGTATTTTTAGTAGAGACGAGGTTTCACCATGTTGGCCAGGATGGTCTCTATCTCTTGACCTTATGATCCGCCCGCCTTGGCCTCCCAAAGTTCTGGGATTATAGGTATGAGCCACCACGCCCAGCCTAGTTTATATTTTTGATTTTAATAACTAATACATCTGTTAAAATACCTTTATAGTTACTATAGATGTATAATACATCTGTTAAAATACCTTTATAGTTGCTACAGATGTATAGTACATCTGTTAAAATACCTTAAGAGTTGCTACTGAACGCATCGTGGCATTGCCAGTCTGGGTGAGGTAGGTTGCTGCCATACCTTCCCATGAGTTACAACCTGGGTGCCCGTGCCTAACTCTGATCTTCTGGTTCCTGTGCCAAGGTTCCCACCAGAGATGGAGGGTGACAGTGGTTGCTGGGCAGGAGTTGGGGAGACGGGCCAAGTGAGGCCCAAGGCACCAGGGGGTAGGAAGCAAGTGGCTTGGGTTGGTCCCTGGGAAGTGGGGAGGCAGCAGGAGGTGGGACCCTCCATGAGCCAGGGTGCAAGCTCCAGTGCATGCCCTGTTGTTTCATCAGACTTCACTTACAACACACAGATTCAAAGATCAAATTACTAAGGGCCAGGCACAGTGGCCCACACCTGTAATCCTGCACTTTGGGAGGCCAAGGTGGGCGGATCACTTGAGGTCAGAAGTTCGAGACCAGCCTGGCCAATGTGGGGAAACCCCGTTTCTACTAAAAATACTAAAATTAGCCAGGTGTGGTGGCACACACCTGTAGCCCCAGCTACTTGGGAGACTGAGGCAGGAGAATCACTTGAACCTGGGAGGCAGAGGTTGCAGTGAGCCAAGATCACACCATTGCACTCCAGCCTGGTGACAGAGCGAGACTCCGTCTCAAAAAAAAAGAAGATAAAATGAGTAAGAATTTTTCAAGATGGCAACTGCAAAGCACTAAACCTCAAATAGGGGGCTCTCCAGAGCACAGGGCCCTGTGAGACTGCACCTGTCCTATGTCCATGAAGCAGTCCCTGTCTATACAGTACGTGGTAGAAGTTTTTAGAATATGGTCTGGGGTCCTGAGGATCATGGAGACCCTTCAAGTGATTTGTGAGATCAAAAGCATTTTCATAAAAATACTAAGACATTTTTGCCTTTTTTACTCTCATTGTCTCAGGAGCGTGCAGTGGGGTTTTCCAAAGGCTACTTGACTTGCGATACTGAAACAGATGGAATGCAGAAGCAGAGAATCCTGCTGTCTCCTATTAAGCCAGACATTGAAGAGTTTGTTTTTTTGTGTGTTTTTTGTTTTCATTTTTTTTGTTTGTTTTTTGAGACGGAGTCTCACTCTGTTGCCCAGGCTGGAGTACAGTGGTGCAATCTCAGCTCACTGTAACCTCTGCCTCCCAGGTTCAAGCAATTCTCCTGCCTCAGCTTCCTGAGTAGCTGGGATTATAGGCGCATGCCACCACACCCAGCTAATTTTTGTATTTTCAGTAGAGACGGGGTTTCACCATGTTGGCCAGACTGGTCTCGAACTCCTGACTTTAGGTAATCTGCTCGCCTTGGGCTCCCAAAGTGTTGGGATTACAAGCGTGAGCCACTGCACCCAGCCTTTTTGTAGGGCTTTTTTGTGTGTGTGTGTGTGTGTGTATTCTTTGTGGTTTTCTATATATAGGATCATGTCATCTGTTAATAAAGATAATTTTACTTCCTCCCTTCCAATTTGGATGCTTTTTTTTTTTTCTTTTTCTTGGCTAATTGCTCCATCTAGGAGTTCTAGTACAGTGTTGAATAGCAGTGGTGAAAACAGGCATCCTTGTCTTATCCCTGATCTTAAGAGAAAAGTTGGCCGGGCACAGTGGCTCATGCCTGTAATCCCAGCACTTTGGGAGGCCGAGATAGGTGGATCACCTGAGGTTGGGAGTTCGACACTAGCTTGACCAACATGTAGAAACCCCCGTCTGTACTAAAAATACAAAATTAGCCAGGTGTTGTGGCACATGCCTGTAATACCAGCTACTTGGGAGGCTGAGGCAGGAGAATCACTTGAACCCAGGAGACAGAGGTTGCGATGAGCCGAGATCGCGCCATTGCACTCTATCCTAGGCAACAAGAATGAAACTCCACCTGAAAAAAAAAAAAGAGGAAAATTTTGCTTTTTACCATTGAGTATGATGTTAGCTGTGTTTTTCATCAGGTTGAGGATAGTCTCCTTCTATTCCTAGTTTGCTGAATGTTTTATCAAGAAAGCCTCAATAATTTTTAAGAACGTGGAGTGTCCGTGAGACCCGTTTGAGAACTGCAGATCTAGAGTATTAGTTAAGAGCAAGGGCTGTAAAGTTAGTCTACCTGGTTTTGAACTGCAGCTGGGCCACTTATTTGCTATAAGACCTTGGCCAATTTACTTAACCTTTCTGTGCCCTAGTTTCCTTACTTGGAAAATAGGAATGACGATAATAGTAACATGATCTACCTCAGAGGGTTAAATTAAAATGAGATGAATACATATTAGAACGGTGCCCAATGTAGGATAAGTGCTCAACAAATGTTAGCAAGTATTCAAAGAACCAAACCAATTTCAATACTGGCTGACAATTTCTGTATTACTCTTTTCCTAAAGTCTACCCTACAAGGATTTAATAATTTGACTTCACTTTTGATTAACACAAGATGCCTCATTTTTCAAATTTACATTTCTGTAATTGTTATTGTTTACATTTTTGTCATAGTTGTTTTTCTTCTTAATCCATTTTAACTGTCCAATTGTGCTTTTATTATTAGCTGTCTTACCCACTGCTTTGATACAGTCAAATATAAGATAAATAACTAAATTTAGGCCAGTTTATACCACATTATCAAGGCTGTTGTTGTGTCAATAAAAATAATAATAGGGCTCCAAGGACTGAAATTATCTGTCCCACATGTTCTGAATCTTTTAAATAATCTATGAAGACTAGGCACAGTTGCTGTGATTCTACTGCAGTGATATAAATATGACCTTCCACGAAAAAGCATGTCATGGCCAGAAGTAAAATTCAAAGCAGCAGGTTGGGTTTCAGAGTCTACGATGCTAGAATATGCTGCCTCTCTGGTTACAGGGAAATAAATATAGACCAGACTGATTATGTGAACACATTTTATTTAACTTTGCCCATCTTTACTCATTTCCCAGCCAACAGAAACTAAATCAACCCAGCTATAAGTAGGTCTGCTTATCTCTTTCCTTCCAGCCTCAGAAATTTCCCTTCTTTTCAAGGCTAAATTTTCCATCTTTGCTGTTGAGTTTATTCCCTTGCTGTCTTGCTAAATTACCTGTCCATTTTTTTTTCTTTTTTTTTTTTGAGACGGAGTTTTGCTTTTGTTGGCCAGACTGCAGTGCAGTGTTGCGATCTTGGCTCACCACAACCTCCATCTCCCGAGTTCAAGCAATTCTCCTGCCTCAGCCTCCTAGGTAGCTGCAATTACAGGCATGCGCCACCATGCCCGGCTAATTTTGTATTTTTAGTAGAGATGGGGTTTCTCCACGTTGGCCAGGTTGGTCTCGAACTCCTGACCTCAGGTGATCCACCCGCCTCAGCCTCCCAGAGTGATGGGATTACAGGCGTGAACCACCGTGCCTGGCCTGTCCATTTCCTTTCTGGTGACTTTGATGTCTCCATTTCCACTGGTTCCTTTCCTTGATATCCACAAATACATAACTAATTTCCCTAACAGAAAAACATCTCCTCAAAGCCTCTGCTTCAGCTTCTGAGTGTCTTCCTTTCTTCTTCCTTCCTATCAAAGTTTCTTCACTCCACATTTTCATCTCCTCACAGTCTTCATGCCGCTGTGGTCTGGCTCTGGCCACCACTCCCCTGAGTGGCTCTAAGGCCACTGGCTGGTGATCTCCTACCTGCCAAGTCCATGAGTCTTTTTCTGTCATGTTATTTGACCTCACTGGGCTTGGTGGTTGACCATTCACTCCTTGAAACTCTCCTTACCTGGAATTTGTAACACAGTTTTATAATTTTTCACACTTGTCTTTCTCTAATGTTTTCTTTTCAGTTTGCTGTATCACAACCTCCTCTTCTGCCCCACCGTGGGCACTGGTATTACCCATGCTTCCATCCTTGGCTGTCTACTTCCTACTCTCAACCCACTTTCTGCTTAATCTCATGGATTCCCATGATTTCAGCTAGTGCTGGTGATCTCCAAAGCTGTATCTCCAGCCCTGATCATTCTTAGCATAATACTTGTTTTGAATATTCAAACATCTAGAAATCTGTTGGTGTCCTACAGACATGTCAAACTGAACTGACTACATCTCCTTCCCTGGAGCCTCTTTCAATTCCTTGTAAGTAAATTTCTGCTACCTTAAAAAAAATCCAGCCAAAATCCTGGTAGTGAAGCGGGAAGAATGTCTGGCTGTCTGACGATAGCCTGTGGCCTCAACAGATCATTTATATAAGAATGTGACAGAAATGTGCTAGCTATGTCATACAGTTGTGTCCAGAGATGAGGGGAAAGAGTTCATCACATTCCTATTTCAGGGAATAACACCACCAACCAGTTAGCCACATGCTGTGGTAGAAACTAGCTAAGCCCCAGTTGCTATCCTGCTATCCTGGTCTACTCATCAATAGCTAGGTGAATTTGGGCAAGGATTTTTGTTTGTTTGTTTGTTTGTTTGTTTGTTTTTAATTGAGACAGAGTTTCTCTCTTGTTGCCCAGGCTGGAGTGCAGTGGCGCAATCTCAGCTCACTGCAATCTCTGCCTGCTGGGTTCAAGTGATTCTCCTGCCTCAGCTTCCTGAGGAGCTGGGATTACAGGTGCGCGCCACCACGCCCAGCTAATTTTGTATTTTTAGTAGAGACGGAGTTTCACCATGTTGGCCAGGCTGGTCTCAAACTCTTGACCTCAGGATATCTGGCTGCCTTGGCCTCCCAAAGTGCTAGGATTACAGGCGTGAGCCACTGTGCCCGGCCTGGGCAAGGTTTTAAACCTTGCTAGGTTTCTATTTCTTCTTCTGTCAAATGGGGATAATAACATTGTTGTTTACCTACCTAGGATAACATAAAAGATCAGATTGTTCAATTAGACTCACAGGACTCAGTAATCTTATCCAGTATTGGCCTTTACTGAGAATTCGAAAGATACACATGATATTGAGACTTGGGCCAAGCACAGAGATGCTGAGGACCACCAGTGCAGCTCCCGGTCCTCTCTCGCCATATTAGGATGCACCCTGGCACAAAATGGACATAGGAGGTTTTTAAGTGATGCATGCAGGATATAACTTACACAAAGAGGTCAGGAAACACCTTCGTTTTATACTTCAGTAATTACACAGCTGACAGATCAGCTATATCCTGGTAAATTATTGCATAAATAAGGGCTTTTTGTTATCTTTCTGATTGTAAATGCCATCAATAAGTATTTAGGAGATTGGGCCAGGTGTGGTGGCTCACGCCTGTAATCCCAGCACTTTGGGAGGCTGAGGTGGGCGGATCACAAGGTCAGGAGATTGAGACCATCCTGGCCAACATGGTGAAACCCTATCTCTACTAAAAATTAGCTGGGCGTGGTGGTGCCTGCCTGTAGTCCCAGCAACTCAGGAGGCTGAGGCAGGAGAATCGCTTGAACCTGGGAGGTGGAGGTTGTAGTGAGCCGAGATTGTGCCACTGCACTCCAGCCTGGCAATAGAGTGAAACTCTGTCTCAAAAAAAAAAAAAGCATTTAGGAGATTGACCTGGGTCAATTCTTTTTTCTTTTTGTCCCCTTTCCTCAGATGTTCTGAAGGTTGGAAATATGACTTACTACCATTACCTAACAGTTATTTCTTCTTCTTTCCTAGTTAATACAACCTGATTTCATTTGGGCCACAACATGTACAAAGAAGGAATACCTGTCCCCAGGCCTCAGAGAAAAGTCATGATTGATTGAAGCTTAGCCCGTTCCCCTGCTAGAGATTGCTTCTGAACTCAGCATGTGGCCAATTATGGCCAATGAGATGGAAGAGTCTGGAAGCAGGCTTTTGGAAAGATTCTTGTAGCCTAGTTAAAGATAAAATCCCGGAAAGGGAAAAGCCTTGTGTTGACAAGCTTAAGAGTGAAAAACCAACGTGTTGAGGAGGAGGATTAGGAAGACATAAAGAGGCCGGGTTCTTAATGACATCCTTGAGCCACTGCAGCTAAAAAGGAAACTTCTTTCTCCAGGATTCTTATGTCAGATTTTCAAATGTCTTCATGGCTTAAACCAGATTTATGCATTCTGTTACCTGTAACTTCATGTGTTCCCAGTGAAAACAGTACCTTGTAGAGTTGCTTGAGAATCAAGACAGGCACTGAAAGTAATGCGTCAAGCATACAACAAGTTTCTATCTTATAAGCACTACCCAACATCTTTTTCTCCTTTCTTCCCTGGTTTATAAAACTTGATTTTATTTGGGCAGCCACAAGCACAAGGAAGGAGGACCTTGTTTCCAGGCCTCAGAGAAGAACCCAAATAGGTCTCAGCATCTCTCAGTATACCTTAGTCCTTTTAGTTCCCTTTCCTTTTCCTTCTCCCAGCCAGCTGTCATCCCTAAATTCTTCTGTGGTCCATGTTTCTCAACATCCATTTAATCATCAAACTCTTAGATTTGATTCCTAATTAACCTTTCCTTTCTCCTTTCGTTGCAGCCGCCATAGTCAAGACCCGTTCATTTGTAGCTTAGATTACTGCTCTTCTCAGCTCTTTGCTGCCTAGTTCATACCCCCTCACCTCATTCTCTGTATATCTACCAGACTAAGCTACTAAAATGGCCAAGCTGAGCATGTCACTCCTCTGCTTAAAAGTTTCACTAGGATGGGCGCAGTGGCTCACACCTGTAATCCCAGAAATTTGGGAGGCTGAGGCGGGCAGATCACCTGAGGTCAGGAGTTCGAGACCAGCCTGGACAACATGGAGAAACTCCATCTCTACTAAAAATACAAAATTAGGCCGGGCGCAGTGGCTCATGCCTGTAATCCCCGCACTTTTGGAGGCCAAGACGGGCAGCTCACAAGGTCAGGAGTTCAAGACCAGCCTGGCCAGCATGGTGTAACCCCGTTTCTACTAAAAATACAAAAATTAGCCAGGCATGGTGGTGTGTGCCTGTAGTCCTCAGGAGGCTGAGGCAGGAGAATCGCTTGAACCTGGGAGGCGGAGCTTGCAGTGAGCCGAGATCAGGCTACTGCACTCCAGCTTGGGCAACAGAGTGAGACTCCATCTCAAAAACAAACAAACAAACAAACAAAACACAACAAAATTAGCTGGGCATGGTGGCAGGTGCCTGTAATCCCAGCTACTCAGCTACTCAGGAGGCTGAGGCAGGAGAGTCACTTGAACCTGGGAGGCAGAGGTTGCAGTGAGCCAAGATCACGCCATTGCACTCCAGCCTGGGCAACAAGAGGGAAATTACATCTCAAAAAAAAAAAAAAAAAAAAAAAGGTTTCACTAACCTTCCTCCCCCGGCCAGGTGGCTGGGAGTTCCTAGATTATGCTGTGGGATTATAGCGTCTGGGCCATTCTACCTGCTCTAACTACCTTTCTTCTGAAAGGCACTCTCTGCCCTGGTCTTTCAGGGTTCACAGTCTCTATCTAACTAGCCTGCCTCCCTAGCTGAATTAATCACTCTCTCCTGATGAGGTTCAGGACATGTTACCCCAAAAGATAGCATCTTGGCATTTGAGAAACAGCAGAATTAGTAAGGTCACTCTCACCTCCCTCTTGCCCTTCTTTGGAGTGAATCATAAAACCCTCACTCCAGAAGTACCCTTCCTATGTGCAGAGGAAAGGGGCATTAGGAACATCCTAATCCTGAAGAGACACCAAGAAGAATCTGAACAAACAGGACTTGCTGAGTTCCCCTCAGTTTCTTTCCATTAGATCACATCCTCTTTGTCTAATCATACTTCCTCATGACTACCCACTGGCTGGGGCTGGTCCTGGACTGATAAGTACACACTTGATCTCAGCCAAAGAGCAGAGAAGCGACGGACTGACCAAGTATAAGGAGGCTCCAGACAACATGCAGACACCCAGCAGCTGGCCCTTTTGCTTTTACACATCATTGCCCCAGAGAAACTCCTGAGCATGTACACAAGGCAAGCAGTACAAGGATGTTCACTACAACATGGTTTGTAGTAGTGAAAAATTTAAACCTAGCACAAAAATGTGCAAGTTTCTTTGTTTCTTTTTTTTTTCTTTTTCTTTTTTTTTTATTTTTTTATTTTTTAAGACGGAGTCTTGCTCTGTCACCCAGGCTGGAGTGCAGTGGCGTGATCTTGGCTCACTGCAACCTCTGCCTCCCGGGTTCAAGCGATTCTCCTGCCTCAGCCTCTCAAGTGGCTGGGACTACAGGCCCACGCCACCATGCCCAGCTAATTTTTGTATTTTTAGTAGAGATGAGGTTTCACCATGTTGGCCCAGATGATCTCGATCTCCTGACCTCATGATCTGCCCGTCTCAGCCTCCCAAAGTTTTGGGATTACAGGCGTGAGCCATCGCACTCGGCCAAGTTTCCTTGTTTCTTTGGGTCTTCATTTGGAATATAAGCCTGTTTGCTTAGTTTTTTATTTCCTCTCACTACTTCTGCCTCAAATCCTCTGGTGAAAAAGTTTTTGTCTCTAAGACCTTCAAACATACTAGATAACCTAATAATTTCATCTTTCTTTAAGGCAGCCCTCCTGCCCTAAGCAGGACTGTTTGTCATCCAGGCTTGCTGTACAGCTGTCACCCCATCAATGCTAGGGGACCCCTCAGCCTCACTCCTGGGCTGCAGCTCCTGTTTCCTGAACCCCACGTCTTCCTCTGCATCGTGTACTGCCTGGTTTTGGTGGAGTAAAGACCCTTGGGAGGTAGATTTTTTTTGAAATCTTGCATCTCTGAAAATGCTTCTTTTTTTGCTCCTCTTACCTGATAGTTTAATTTTTCAAGTTCAAATCTCAAACTATCTTCATTAGATAATCTGAGAACACTTCCACTACAAAACACCTAAAAATGCTGGATACAGGCTGGGTGCGGTGGCTCACACCTATAATCCCAGCACTTTGGGAGGCCGAGGCAGGAGGATCACAAGGTCAGGAGATCGAGACCATCCTGGCTAACACGGTGAAACCCTGTCTCTACTGAAAATACAAAAAATTAGCCGGGCGTGGCAGCGTGTGCCTGTAGTCCCAGCTACTCAGGAGGCTGAGGCAGGAGGATGGCGTGAACCCAGGAGGCAGAGCTTGCAGTGAGCCGAGATTGCGCCACTGCACTCCAGCCTGGGTGACAGAGTGAGACTCTGTCTCAAAAAAAAAAAAAAAAAAAGCTGGATAAAATAGAACAAAATCATTTAAACACACATCCAAGCATCCAAGAAAATAGGTAAAAGCCCCAGAGGCTAGGAGAAAACTAAACTCTGGGACCTAGAGTCTATGAGCAACGTGGCACAGCTCTAGGGAGGTTGCCAGCTCAGTAACCTGGAAGCTTGGTTTTTGTTTACACCAAGTTAGAAGAGCAGGCTTTGAGTTTACTGGATGCAGAAAATGGATACTGACATCTCTGCAGAGAGCTGGGGCTTTTAAAGGTGATGTGGGGATAAAAGGGTGAACTAGCAAAAAAATGTCCCTGCACACAGGGAGACAAGAATGAAGACTATACGTCTTGGCCTGGACTCAAAGTAGGGTGAAAACTCTTGCTTGTTAATTTGTGGCCATTGTATACCATTGTTTGAGATTTGAGTTTCTGCTACCAGCACATTCTGGAAGCAATGACTCCCCTTACCCATCTGATTCTTCTGGCAACACATAGCACCTTTTGTGGATGTCTGGTTTAGGTTAAAAGGTGTTGTCTGTAGCTGTGGATTAGGAGAATGTTTCTCAGAGTGTAGGCTGCAGACTACTTGTATTGGAATCTCTGGGGAACTTGTTAAAGATTCAGATTCTTAGGCCTCACCCTAGAGCTAACAAATCAGAGTATCTGGGAGACTACATTTTTAACAAGCTTCCCAAGCAGTCCTTGGACACACTAAAACTTGAGGCCACTTGATTAAAGCCAAGCTGAGTGACTCTTAAAGGGCCTTTGCTTTCAGAGCTCAGCAGGTTAGTAAAGGAACCGGCTGGAGCTGGTCCTGGACTGATCAAGTACACACTTGATCTCAGCCAAATCACAGAGAAGCGATGGACCGACCAAGTATAAAGAGGCTCCAAATAACGTGCACACACCCAGCACCTGGCCATTTCACTTTTAGGCATTGGTGCCCTGGAGAAACTCCTGAGCATGTGCACAAGGCGAACAGTACAAGGATATTCACTACAACGTGGTTTAGAGTAGTGAAACAACTCAGTGGCCCATTAGTGAGGGGAATGAAAAATTGTGGTATAGTCAATACTCTAACAGTGAAAATGAGTGACCAAATGTATAAAAATCAGTGGATTTCAAAAACTTAAGTGAAAAAAACATGTAAGGATATTATTTACATAAACTTTAAATTTTTATAAAATAACTATATATTGTTTATAGGTAAAGTATATAAATATGGGTTGATCATGCCCCAATTTCAGGAGAGTGATTGCTTCTACAGATGGAGAGAGAGGACCAGGACTGCAGAGGGGATTTCAATTTTGTTTTTTTTTAAAAGAAGCATATTTTCTGCTCACCCCCTGCCCTCACCTCAATTTTTGTCAGTTACTGTTCTTACAGGGTAAACGTTTATAAAATTTACATTTTATTTTGTAACTCCAAGTAAGTTTTCTATGTTTTGCCTATAATTGTTTCAAAAATTAAAAACTTTTAAATAGCATTTCAGCTTTGTGACTATGTAAATATTATTAACTAAATAACCAATTGTTACAGCTCTTTTAGAATTTGTCTAGCAGGTTTTCTTTTTTTTGTTTGTTTGTTTTTTGTTTTTTTTTACTGGAAAACCCCCATTAAAAAAAGAACCAATTAATATGACTGGAGCCAGGGAATATTAATAAATGTAAATCCTCATGCCATTTGAAATGTTGGTCCAAGGAAATCCTTTTGGGCATCTGAAAATGATGAATCCTCTTAATCTCTTGCTGGCTTCTTTCACTTCTTTGGGGTTTCAATTTCTTGTATCCCATGTTGTCCTTTTTCTTGGACCCTCCTTTAATTTTTGCTGGAAAATATGTTTGAATAATTTTGTCATCCAAGGAATATGAACAGTAAATGTTCCAAGTTCTTGTATGTCTGAAAATGCCCTACGATTGCCTTTACAAATAACTGGTACTTCGGCAGGGTTTAGATTGTACCAAGCTTTTCTTCCTTGCTAACTATGAAGATGTTATGTTATTCATTGTTGTCCAGGATCCAATGTTGTTCATGTCAGGTGAAAGTTCTGTTTCTTTTTCTTTCTAGGAAATCCCCAAGATTTTAAGATTTCCCATTTATATTTGGAGTTGTGAAATTGTACCAAGATGTGTCTGGATTTTAATTCAATTTGACGTATCTTTACTGATGGCTCCAGGGTGCAAGGCACTGTTCAAGGTGCTGGGCTTCATTAGGGAACAAATCAAAGATTCCTGCCCTCCTGGAACTTACATTCTAGCAGGGGAGACAGGTCATAAATAATATGCATAATGCATAAGACAATTATGTAGTGTGCTAGTATTATATAGTGCTATCAAAAAAAGGAATAAATAGAGTAAGGAGAACTGAGAATGCTAGTGAGGGAGGTTTAATCTTATTTTTTTCTTTTTATTGAGGCAGGGTCTCACTGTGTTGCCCCAGGCTGGAGTGCAGTGGTGCAATCATAGTTCACTGCAGCCTCCACCTCCCAGATTTGAGTGATCCTCCCACCTCAGCCTTCTGAGTAACTGGGACTACAGGTGTGCGACATCACGCCTGGCTAATTTTTAAATTTTTTGTACAGATGGGGTCTCACCATATTGCCCAGGCTAGTCTTGAAATTCTGGGCTCAAGTGATCCTCCTGCCTTAGCCTCCCAAAGTGCTGGGATTATAGGCATGAGCCACCATGCCTAAGAGTTTAACCCTTTTACCTTAATTTTGTTCAGTGAACACTTTCAGTCTTAAAGACTCACATATTTCTTGAGCTTAAGAAAATGTTGTTCTGTGACTTCTTTGGGTATTCTCTCTCTTTCATTTTCTCTGTTCTTTCCTAATCAGACAGATGCTGGATCTCTGTGTCTGTCCTTGGCACTCTCTTATGTTTGCTGTCTCTTTGTTTTTCTTGCTCTACATTCTGAGATTCCTTGATTCCAGATCAACTGCTTGGTCTTTCGCTGCATCCAATTTATTATTTGGCGCACTTATTGAGTGTTCCCTATTGCAATCCCACTTTTAATTCCCAAGAATCTTTTCTTGTTCTTTGCTTGTTCCTTTCCCATAGCCACCTCTTCTCAGTTCTTGAATGCAGCATCTTCTCAAATTATTCTGAAGATAGTGACCACAATTTTTATAAAATCTTTCTTTCCTAAATTATCTCTGTTTCCTCCAAGGTCAATTTTTCTATTGGTCCAACTTGGATCTTCTCTTCCATGCTGTTGGTTTTCCTAATATATTTGCAATCTTTGGTTTTCTGTTTACGTTGATGAATAAAGGACTATGTTCATTAGTATGGTAGTTTCCATGAGTGTCTTTGCAGAGATGTGTAAGTCACTGTTAGGCCCCTTCCTTGGCTGACAGAATCATCTGAGGGTTCTTTGTAAGTAGGTGGGGCCTATCAAAAGATAGAAACCCTTTTAGGTTGTCTGAAGGAGAAGCAAACAGTCAGGTTAGAGACATTCACAGTAGTTCAAGTGGGCTTTACCCTCCACTGAGGGGTAGATCTCTTTAGTATTTCAAACTGGGGTCTACTTCATTCTCAAGCCCTATACCCCGCTTCAAACACTCCATGAGCCACCCTGGGCAACATAACAAGATCTCGTCTCTACAAAAAATTAGCCAGGTGTGGTGGTGCAAGTCTGTAGTCCAAGACCCTGGAGGCTGAAGTGGGAGGATCACTTCAACTCAGAAATCTGAAGCTGCAGTGAGCTATGACTGCACAACTGTACTCCAGCCTGGGTGACAGAGCAAGACCCTGTCTCTAAAACAACAAAAAACACTCCTTAGGAAGTTTGCCCACTTTCTTTAAAAAGCAGTTTTCCTGATTAATCTTGAGTGTGAAAGCCATTGCTTCTAGTTACTACATGTTCATGCACAGAAGAGGGTAAGAGCTGACTATCTGAGCTATTCTCAGTGCTGTTCCTGAATGATCATCCAAAGTCTCCGTCTACTCTTTGCATTTGTTGATTCTGAGCTTGGACCTATCTCCCCTAGGAAGAATTCTGGTGCTTCAGTCTTAATCCTCTATTCTTTCTCCATTGCTGTTTTGTATTTTTCAGTTATCTACTGCTGCATAACCACCCCAAAATTTAGTGGCTTAAAACATTTAAAAAAGTATCATTTCTCATGTGGGTTGATTATGCAGTTGTTTTGCTTTATTTGGTGTTGAAAGGTTCATGACATCCTCCCATGGCTAATTTTTAGTGATACCTACTGGCTGGGATCTCAATTCAGGTTGTCAGCCAGGGACCTTAGTTCTTCTCCATGTTAGCCTTTCTACATGGCTGGTTGAGCTTCCTGACAGCATGGTGGCTTAGGTTCCAAGAAGGTGCATTCTAAGAGGATTAAACCCTAATGTACAAGCAGTTTTATAAGCCTCTGCTTACATTTCCTAATGTCTCACTGGCCAAAACAAACTACATAGCCAAGTTCACAGTCAAGTGGTAGGAGAGATGCTGTTTATTAGGGGCACCCAAAGTAACAGCACAATATTCTATGTATCCTTCACATTTTCTGGTTCACTAGTAGAACCCTTTCCTGTTTTCAAGTACTGTGTTTTTTCTTCTTTAAAAAATAAAACAGAGCTGAGATTGGTGGTGCACACTTGTAGTCCCAGATACTCAGGAGGCTGAGATAGGAGCATTGCTTGAGCCCAAGAGATCAAGGTCAGCCTGGTAAACATAGCAAGACCCTGTCTCTAAAAGAAAAAAAAAAATGTGTGTGTGCATGTATGTGTATGTATGAGAGATACATACCCAGGAACAGTCTAGATACTACAACAACACTGGGTTTTGATTTAGTTCTTACTCTAATTCACCTTTTCCATACAGAATGTCAAATTATCCATTTCTTTGCTTATCAAACCATTACATTTTATCCTTACTTATCAATACATAATATTTCTTCTTTCTTGCCAGCCACTGTAACTGCACACTTCCTCTTGCCTCATTTGTATTCAAGCTTTATTATATGAAATAATATTCATAGAGCATTGCTTGAAGGATATTCACCAATTCCCTTTGATCAGAGCTGGCAGATAGATTCAAGTTGGCATGGGAGAAGAACCCTATTAATGAGTACGGTTGGAAAGGATTATGAGGCAACGTCCAGTCTCAACGGGAAAAAGTTCAGTGATCATTTGGTGACGTTTGTCCTGGGCTTGGACTAGAAATGATGGTGTGGGTGCCAGGAAGGCATTTTCATCCCTTTTCCCAGATATTGTAAAATGTATCACTGAAAACAAGCCAGAACTTCAGAAAGTTGCTTTTCTGTATGTAATTGTTTTGACCACTTGAGTGTCCTGAGTGGCACTTGACAATATGCCAATCACCTGCCTTGAGGATGTTCTGGGAGACAATTGTTCAGAGTTTGATTCTATATTTATTGCAGAAATGTTGCTGAGGATAAACTATATGACATGGTGTTCCCTTTAAGAAGAGCCAGGGAAGAGTTTTTCTGAGCAACAGATCTGTTTTTATCTTATGGACACTGTGAATGTTACAACTGATTATGTTTCCCTCCTTGCTTTGGTTGCTAGGAAACCCAGGACAAAATTGCAGACCTCCTCTGGCAACTGCACAAGACCTTTGAAAAACATTTGACATGCTAACTTTACCTCTCCTGTCATTTTATTTTCATATCACTTTTTCTTTAGAACTCCTTCCTTCCCTCTCGATTTCCTTCCATCCTTTCCCCCGTTTTCTTTCTTCATCTCTCCTTTCCCCTCCTCAGTTAACATTAATTGTGCATCTGCTGTATGCCTGGCACCATGTTTAGGGGTTGGACGCACAGCCACCTTTACCCCCACCCCCCTTCAAACCCACGTTAATAATTGCAGCCCTAGTCACAGCACTCGGGGTTGCTGGAAAGACTTAGGGAGATACATGCACCGAGGGATTCTTCCAGAGTTTTTTTTCAGGTGGGCTGGGCCCTCCCTGGTTTCTTCTTCAGAGAGGATTCTAGTGACCTACACACTAAGCACATCACCCTTGCCCTGGTCTCTCTCAGATCATTTGTTCTGTCCCTATACACCCCATAGATCAATCTGTTTAATTGCCTCTTGCACATTCATCTAGAGTGGGTAGCCTTTCATGAGTACACAAATACAACTTTTATCAAAAAGATTTTTTGAAAAAGGAGAATGGAAGCATGTGATGAAGGGAAGAGAATGAATGTTCAGGAGCTGGGGGCTAAAGCATGAAAGCTGACTTCCACTTAACTTTTCCTGAAGATCATTAATCTGCCCAGCCCCACTCTTCCATTGTTCCTGCTTCCAATGTGACCAAGCTCCTCAAAGTTCTGCTTTCACTTCCCCTCTGTGGCAGAAACAGGCATGGTAAGGTGGGGGCTTTGCATTTAATTCCTGATTAGTCAGTTAAGTCAGTGATTTTGAATCTGCATTACAAAACACTGTGTGTTTCTCAGGTAATTGGCATTGTACAGCCTCTATGTTTCTATTTTTGCTTCCAGGAAGCTTGGAGTCAAATTCGATGCTTCGTCACAGCTGCAATATTAGCCTTCATGGCTTGCAAGATTGATGCTCCTTAAAAAGCAGAAAACAAAAATCAAAAAACATCTTTATTGTTTGAATGACTTTTTTTTTTCTTTTGAGATGGAGTCTTTCTTGCTCTGTTGCCCAGTTTGGTGTGCAGTGGGTATGATCTTGGCTCACTGCAACCTCGGCTTCCAGGGTTCAAGCAATTTTCATGCCTCAGCCTCCCAAGTAGCTGGGATTACAGGGTGTGTGCCACCATGCCCAGCTAATATTTGTATTTTTAGTAGAGATAGGATTTCACCATGTTGGCCAGGCTGGTCTCGAACTCCTGACCTCAACTGATCTGCCCACCTGGGCCTTCCAAAGTGCTGGGGTTACAGGCGTGAGCCACCACACCCAGCCTGAATGCCTTTTTAAAAAGCCATATACAACCCTTTTTCAAACAATGATTTTGAAATTGACCTACACTGAGCAGAACTTCAGACCTTAATCTCCTGGGCAATGAGTCAAATGATCAAATCAAAGCGTGTCCAAACACCATTGTCTAAGGTGCTGGGCATGGAGCTTTGCTGGGGGTCAGCTGTGATATCATGAGTCTAGCTACTTTAAGTCAGAAGATGTGAATTCAAGTTTGCCCTGTGTCTTCTTAGACACTTGAATTTGGCAAGTCATCTAACTTCTTTCAGCCCCAGTTTCTTCATCCATAAATGGCTCTATGTTCTTCAGACAGCTGTTGTGAGGATTACAGGAGATAGAATTGATGGAATTACTGTTTAATCTACAGAATACTATATTGTCACAAAATCGGATTATATTTGTTGGGTTTATGACTTACCCCAAAACCCAGGGAAGTTTCCTGTAAAACTGAAAACTTCTTCCCAACTGCAAGCCTTCCGACCACTCATATTTTCAGCGTTAAGAGAAACTTGTCAACAAAAATCATGTAGTCTCCAATACGCACATCACAATACCTCAAACACTGCCATGTCACTTGGGTCCCTTGTGGGCTGTAAGGGAGCAGCTCTCAGTGTTGGGCTGTTGGATGTTTCTGTTATTGAGTTCAGATGCCCATGGCTGTTCTGCTGGTGGCAAGGCTCACCGACCCCTCTGAAGTGGCTTCTGTTCACCATTCTCTTTGGCTCTCTCCTTTTCCTGGGACATTGATTCATTTCCTTTGTTTTAAGCCCCACCTCTTGCTAATGACCCCCAAACTCTCTGTAGCTTGTGCCTCTCTTGGTGCCACAGATGAGTATCCAAACAGTTGACAGCTCTTCCTGGGAGCCCCTGGGTACTGAAAAACCCACATGTCCACAACCAAAATCACCTCTAGTGCCCTCCTCCCAGCCGTCTCCAATTCCTATCTAGATCTTTCACACCTGTGTCCTCCTCTTCTCCTCTTCCCTCTCACTGCCATTGCCTTGGTTCAGGGCCCATCCTCTCTTGCCAGGACAATTGTAGGAGCCTCCTAATTGTTCTTTCTGCCTCCTATCCCTCTTCCTTGTAAACCATGGTCCATGCCAGCTACCAGACAGAGCTTTAAAGATGCTACTCTGATCAAGTCCATCCCTCCTCCCACTTATACGGTTTATTTTTTATTTTTCAGAGATGAGGTCTCATTCTGTTGCCCAAGCTGGAATGCAGTAGCACAATCATGGTTCACTGCAGCCTCGACCTCCTGGGCTCAAGTAATCCTCCCACCTCAGCCTCCAGAGTAGCTGGGACTATAGATGTGTGCCACCACACCTGGCTAATTTTTTGGCGGGGGGGTAAAGATGGGGTCTCATTATGTTGCCCAGGCTAGTCTCCAACTCCTGGCCTCAAGTGATCCTCCCCCCTCAGCCTCCCAAAGTACTGGCCACCATGCCCAGCCTCATATACAAATAATTTAAGATTCATAATCTTTTCTGATATTGAGCCCCTGATCCCTCTCCATCTTCACCTCCTGCCAGCCCCACTCACACACGACATCCCAGTATTTCCAACCAGCGCAAATTACTTGCACTTCATAAAGTGGCAAGCTCTCCCACACATTTCTTTCTGCCTTTAACATGTTTTGGCTCTGTTGCCTGGAAAGCCCAACCTCTTCTGTGTCTGTTTGGCCAGCTTCTACTTGTTCTTCAAGGCTAGTCTAAAGCCTCACTTCCTTCTGAGGCTTTTCTTGGATCCTTCAGACCAAATTTGCTGTTTCCTATAGCAATTGGCTTATATATTTTTTATTGCATTATATGGTAATTGTTTACATGTCTTTCTCATACTAGTCTGTGGTCCTCTTGGGCAATTTGTAATTCATCTTTGTATGCTCACTTCTTAGAATAATGACGGAAACACAGCAGACTGTCTGAGGATGTTTGTTGATAAAATGAATTGATTAGTGATGTAATTATCATATCTATTTTTACAATAGTAGCGAGCACAACTGAAGCCAGGTCAGTATGACAGGAGGGGTAAGTCTAGAGCTGCCATGTCCAGTACAGAAGCCACTAGCCACATGTGGCTGTTGGGCACTTGAAATAAGACTAGTCTGAGTTGAGATGTGCTATGTCAAATACACATGGGATTTTGAAGACTCAGAATGAAAAAGATTATAAACTATCTCATTAATATATTTCATGTTGATAACTTGTTGAAATGATAATCTTTTGGATATACTGGGCTAAATAAAATATATTATAAATTAATTTTACTGTTTCTTTAAAACTTTTTGATGTGGCTACAAGAATATTTAAAATTATACATGTGGCTGGGCGCGGTGGCTCACGCCTGTAATCCCAGCACTTTGGGAGGCCGAGTTGGGCAGATCACTTGAGGTCAGGAATTCAAGACCAGCCTGGGCAACATAGAGAAACCCCATCTCACTAAAAATACAAAAAATTAGCTGGGTGTGGTGGCGCACACCTGTAATCCCAGTTACTTGGGAGGCTGATGCACGAGAATTGCTTGAACCAGGGAGGCGGAGGCTGCAGTGAGCCGAGATCGCACCACTGCGCTCTAGCCTGGGCAGCAGAGTGAGATTAGGTCTTGAAAAAAAATTAATAAATAAAAATAAAATAATACATGCGGCTCACATTTGGGCTCACAGTATATTTCTGTTGAGCAATAATGATCTAGAGCATTCAATCACTGAACAAATATTTCTTTCTTTTTCTTTTTTTTTTTTTTTTGAGGCAGAGTCTTGCTCTATCACCCACGCTGGAGTGCAGTGGCATGATCTCTGCTCACTGCAACCTCTGCCTCCTGGGTTCAAGTGATTCTTGTGCCTCAGCCTTCTGAGTAGCTGGGACTACAGGCACACATCACCATGCCCGACTAATTTTTGTATTTTTAGTAGAGATAGGGTTTCACCATGTTGCCTAGGCTGGTCTCAAACTCCTGACCTCAAGTGATCTGTCTGCCTCGGCCTCCCAACGTGCTGAGATTACAGGCTGAAGCACTGTGCCTGGCTTGCAAATATTTCTTGAGCACCTCCTATGTACTGGGCATTAATCTAGATGATGGGAATGGAACAATGAACGAGCCAGAGAAGGTTCCCAACCTCGAGGAGCTTCCATTATCATGGAGGAGAGATCCAGACCAGTAAACAAAGGCGTAAGCCAGATAATTTTAGATAGTAAAAGTACTCTGAATCAAATAAAGCAGGGCGCTTGATAGGCGAAAGTTCAGGAGGGTGGTCAGGTAAGGCCTTCTACAGCAGCTGAGTCAACTGAGGTCAGAGGCAGGAATCAGAGGGAGGAGACTAGGACATGTTTAGATGAGAGGCAGTATAGACCAAAACTAAGAGGAGGTGCGGATGGGGAGGAGCAAACAGACTTGAGTGATATTTGGAAAGTCACACTGGGAGAATTGTGTAACAAAAGGAATTCCGGAGAGGTGGGAACTGATGGCTCCCAGGCTTCTGGCTTGGGTGAGTGGGCGAATTGTGGTGCCACCAGATAAAATAAAGCAGGAGTGTGTCTTGAGGAAATGAGGAATTCTGTTTTGACATTGTGAGGTGCCACCGGGATGCCCAGGCAGCCATGCTAAGGGAATAACAGGTCAGGGCTTGTTATTTGGGATCTAGCATCATAGATGTGGCCATTAAAACCAAGTGTGTCTGAGAAAGAAACAAGAGAAGATGGTAGGCAAAAGAGGACACTCAGGGCCAGGTGTGGTGGTTCACACCTGTAATCCCAGCACTTTGGGAGATGGAGGCGGGTGGATCACCTGAGTTCAGGAGTTTGAGACCAGCCCGGCCAACATGATGAAACCCCATCTATACTAAAAATACAAAAATTAGCCGGGTATGGTGGCGGGCACCTGTAATCCTAGTTCCTTGGGAGGCTGAGGCAGAATTGCTTGAACCCGGCGGGGGGCAGGGCAGAGGTTGCAGTGAGCTGAGATTGTGCCACTTCACTCCAGCCTGAGTGAAAGAGCGAGACTTTGTCTCAAAAACAAACAAACAAACAAAAAACAAACAAACAAAAAAAACCCAGGACACTCAGGTTCAGGGAGCAGATTTCTAAATTGGAAGCTACTTGAGCCTGTGTCTAGGTTGAGCGGAAGGATCCAGGGCAGCCAGAGGGGTTCACTTATCCCAAAAGCCAGGGAAGGTTCCTGCGAAAAACTCTTCCCAACTACAAGCATTCTGACCACTCATATTTTCAGCATTAAGAGAGAAACTGGCCGGGCGCGGTGGCTCACGCCTGTAATCCCAGCACTTTGGGAGGCCGAGGCGGGCGGATCACGAGGTCAGGAGATCGAGACCATCCCGGCTAAAACGGTGAAACCCCGTCTCTACTAAAAATACAAAAAATTAGCCGGGCGTAGTGGCGGGCGCCTGTAGTCCCAGCTACTTGGGAGGCTGAGGCAGGAGAATGGCGTGAACCCGGGAGGCGGAGCTTGCAGTGAGCCGAGATCCCGCCACTGCACTCCAGCCTGGGTGACAGAGCGAGACTCCATCTCAAAAAAAAAAAAAAAAAAAAAAAAAAAAAAAAAAAAAAAAGAGAAACTGTTGTCAACAAAAAAATCATGTAATTCCCAATATGTATATCACAATACCTTGAAACTTTGCCATGTCACTTGGGTCCCTTGTGGGCTCTGAGGGAGCAGCTCTGAGACTGATGCAACAAGGTTGGGTGTTGATGGAAGGGATGGGCTGGCTTGGGAGCCTGGCTGGGAGCTCAGAGGTATAGGAGGAAGTGTCTCTTGTCAGGGAGGAAGTAGGAGTTTAAGGAGAGTGGTGAAGGTTAGGGGTGGAAGAGGGTGATGTGCAGGTGACAGGTGAGGACACCTCTTGGAGAAACTTTGGATATGTCACAGTGTGGGCCAAGGCTTAAACGTTATGCACTCAGAGCTGGAGAAGCCTTCAAGAAGAACTAGGATGAAGGATTAGGAGAACTGGCATTTGAAAAGTGGAGTGGCCCTGGAGCAGGCCATACCTCCTCGTAGCTCATTTTCCTCATGTCTAAAATGAGCCAAATGGTCTTTTAGAGGCTAGGTGCGGTGGCTCACACCTGTAATCCCAGCACTTTGGGAGGCCGAGGAGGGAGGATCACTTGAGCCCAGGAGTTTGAGACCAGCTTGGGCAACATAGTGAGACCCTGCCTCTACAAAGAAGTGGTGCGAGACTGTAGTCCCAGGAGCTAAGGAGGCTAAGCTGGGAGGATGGCTTGGCGTGGGAAAGTGGGGACTGCAGTGAGCCCTCATCTCTCCACTGCCTCTAGCCTGGTTTGCAGAGTGAGACCCTGTCTTAAAAAAATAAAAATAAAAATAGGCTGGGCGCGGTGGCTCACGCCTGTAATCCCAGCACTTTGGGAGGCCGAGGCGGGCGGATCACGAGGTCAGGAGATCAAGACCACGGTGAAACCCCGTCTCTACTAAAAATACAAAAAATTAGCCCGGCGCGGTGGCGGGCACCTGTAGTCCCAGCTACTCTGGAGGCTGAGGCAGAATGGCGTGAACCCCGGGAGGTGGAGCTTGCAGTGAGCCAAGATTGCACCACTGCACTCCAGCCTGGGTGACAGAGCGAGACTCTGTCTCAAAAAAAAAAAAAAATAAAAATAATAAATAAATAAATAAATAAATAAATAAAATAAACCCCTCAAATGGCAACAGCAAAAACACATAAATGGTCTCTTAAATTCCCTGGAAGTTGTAAAGACAGTAAGTACATGCCGGTACCTCCCTCAGTTGCTTGAGCTGTTCTCCTGGAACTCACTGCCCTTCAGATAGCCACAACACTTGACACACAATATTTTCCATACCCGTAGGCATCTATCATTCAGAGGAAGAGGCTTATCTTCCAGTCTTTGTACCCTGCAGGGCCCAATGCAGGCTGGCTGGTGGGCACCTGGCCTCCAGGAATGCTTCCTGGAATAGCAATGAATGGCGCTCTAGTCTCTTAGAGTCTCAGCATTTATGTCCATTTCAATTAAAGAAAAAAAAAAAAAAAGAATCGCAGGAGGTGGTGTAGTGAGCAGCACAGGATAACGCGCTTCGTAGGTATGAACTCAGTTAACCCCACAGTCACACTATGAAGTGTGTTATCCCCATTTCCCAGATAAGGGAAAAGACAGAGAGGTTAAGTAATTTGACCAAAGTCAACAGCTGGTGACTGGAGAGCCAGGTTTAAAAACCGGATGCCGGCTCCGTGCAGCAGCCCGCCGATGGCTACTGGAGCGGAGAGGTTCCGAGGTTTCAGGGGCATTTTGTCCTTTCCCACTTCTGGGCCGTGGGCTCCCCCATAGACGATCCCGCGGGCCCTTCCTCCTCTGACACCCTCGGATCTGGTTCCACCTTTCCCGGACCGCAGCTCAGCCCCGCGCCTCTCCAGCTCTTCGATGACCGGTTCCCGGCCGTGCCCCGGGCCCTCCCTCGGAGCGCGCGCCGCCAGGGGCACCTGTCCCTGCGCGGGGGTGTCGCCGCCCCTCGGCGCCGCCGGGCGCTTGCCGCTGAGCCGTGGCGCCCCTGGCAGGAGCACTGCAAGGACGCCTCCCGGGACTGCACCGCGGCCCTGCGCACTTGGGGCGACGGGGCCAGGCGCGGGGGACGGCTGCGGGCTGGGAGGGCGCGCGGAGGAGACACCGCTGAGGGGACGCCGCTGAGGGCGCCACGCGGGGGGCGCGGCTGAGGCGCCTCGAAGGGCAAGCGCCAAGGGGGCGCGGGCGCCGCCGGAAGCTGGGGCGGGGCGCCCAGCGGGATGCGGTGAAGGGCGAGCGGCGCGGCGGCTGCGATGAGTGCCTCTGCGGCCACCGGGGTCTTCGTGCTGTCCCTCTCGGCCATCCCGGTCACCTATGTCTTCAACCACCTGGCGGCCCAGCATGAGTGAGTGAGCCGGCGCGGCGGGGGTCGCGCCGAGGGGCGGCGGGAGTTGGCTCGCCGCGACGGGAGCCTCGCAACTTTTCCGAGGGGGCTGGGACCGTCCGCCGCGGGACAGAGGTTCGTGGCCGCAGGGGCTCCCCGCGCCTGGCCAGACTAGGGGGGCGCCCCAGGGGTCGCACGGGCCGGGTCTTGGAGCCGGGCCCTGAGGTGCCCAGGCTGGCGCATTTCGGGATGTTGGTGCCAGCACCGCGCCAGGTGCCCGGGGTCACAGGCGTCAATACGGCCATGCCCCTGCCCTGGAGGGGCCCAGGGGCCGGTGGGGAGCGGAACAAACACGGACACTACGAACCTGGCCGTGTCAGCTCGTTTGTGCCTTGTTCTTTTTGCATCTCACGGGAACGTTTCCATGTATGGACTTTCGCATACTTATCATTTCTTATTAATTTTAGAAACTGTTGTGAATGACTAGCAGAAATAGCCCGGAACCAACAGGCAGAGACGTGGGTTCTAGGCCTGGCTTTGGCACTGACGGTGTCTGGCCTGACGGTGTTTGGCACTGACGGTGTGGTCTGGCCTCGGTTTTCCGGTCAAGTGGACTTTGTGTGCGTCCTATTGTAAGGTTCCACCGAGACCTCTTTGTGAAGGGGCGTTGTGAATGGAGAAGTGCTTCCCAGTGCCTGCGCTGGGGTAGGATGGGGACAGGCAGCAGAGGCAGAACACTTCAATGTGAAGGAAATGGGTGGGGCTGATGGAGGGGGACAGGGCTTGGGTTCGAAGCCCTGCCTCCCACTCCACTGCAGGGATCACGGACTAACCTGCAGCCGGCAGCTGAAGGCCTGAGGGTCGCCGGGTGTTGGGACAGGCGCCAGCCTCTGTTCCTGCTGATGTTGGTTGCTGTCTGGAGGGAGGAGGAAGTAACCTGCTATGTCTCTCAGCTGTTGGTGCTAAGGAAATTGCATCAGTCTGTAGGCTGCAAACCCCCTTCAGCTGGTCAGGCCGTGGAGTGTCTGTACATAGGGTGGTAACTTCCTCCTCTCCAGCTGCCTGGCCGCCTGATACAGGCAGCACCCACACTGAGTGCTCACCAGGCACCAGCAGTGTCTACCCTTGGTCTGGCCCAGTCTCTGGAGGCATCCCCTGGAGGCAGCTGCTCTGGGCCACCGAATATTACATGCCTGTCAATATAGTGCATGGGGGACCCTGTGCTCCAAAAAATGGCATTACGGGTAGTTCAGTGAAGATATACTGAGTGCCTACTGTGTGTTTGGCACTGTTCCAAGTGTTGGTGACATAGCTATGAACAAGCCAGAAGAGGCTGTGGAGGCAGGTAATGAGATAGACATCAACAAACATTAATACATCGATAGTGACATGCTATGAAGATAATAAAATAGGGTGACTGGGGAGGGGGCTGGTGGCCAGGGAAGGCTTCTAGGAGGAGGTAACACTTGAGCTATGGGAAGATCTGGGAATGGAGCCTGTCGGGCAGGAAAATGGAGCAGTGCAGGGGAAGGAATTGGATGGGCGTAGTAGGTATTTTGGAAGGTGAACAGATGGGGCTTACTGAAGAGGGTTGCATGGCAGCAGAGGATTTGAGGATGAGCCCTAGGTTTTGGCCTCAGCCACTGGGAAGATGGTGATGGCATTTACTGAATACAGACTGAACTATGTATTGCTGTGCATGATGGAGCGCACTGGCAAGCACTACAGCATTTTGAATAATTAGTGTCAGCCATTCTTCCTGTCCTCTTGCAGGTTAAAACCCCCGTGGCCTTTGATTCCTCTCTTCTTTCTCCACTCCCTTCCTCCTACTGTCTGCTTCCCCATAAGTCCTGGGGCTCTAGTGTCTGTTCCCTCCTTTCAGTTCTCCCTGGCACTGGCCCTTTCTGACCTGGACTGTGGCAAAGGCTCCGGTGCAAGTCTCGCTGCCCAGCCCCGCTGCGTGTTTCTCGGCCTCGGCCCCCCAGTCCCAGCCCACGCACTAGTGCTCCTGCCGCACCAGCCTGCCTTTGCTCCTTGACCATTCCTCCTCCTCTCCAGCCTCTAGCCCGGACTCCTGCTGCTCCCTGACAGGGATGCTGCCTTCCTCCTATCGCAGACTGTTGAAGCCGCACCTGGACTTTATGGCCACTTCTACCTTCTGCAGACCCTCCCTCTCTCTCCTTTGAGCTCCCTCAGTCCCTTGTTTGCACCTTTCTCCCGAGAGTTACTTTCCTGTGGTAAGAACTTACCTGCCCCGGCTATAGCTCACCCCTCTGTACTGTCCTGCCCAGGCCAGCGCCGTGTGCATCGTAGGCACTCAGGTATGTTTGACTTTGTTGAATCGAGTTTCCTTCCCACCAAACCTTTTATGCAACTCTGAAAACCAGAAAAAGAAAATTAGATTGAGAGGTCAGGAAAGGATTGAGCGTGTTCTGTCTCCCTCTCTCACTGAGAGAGACACACTGCTCACACTCATCCTTGCATGTCCCCTCTCAGTAGGTGTCTGTTCATAGAAGGGCATCAGCAGCCCTTCCCACCCCCCAAGACTAGCAACTTTCTCATCCTGGGGTTAGTCGCAGCCCTTACCTGTCCCTGAGTCCCTGCAGGACCTGTTTCTTCCTGTGGTGAGCAGGTCCTGCACTTGGCTGTTGTAGGAGGGTCTCTGGGGACAGTGCCAAGAGTCAGAGACAATCTGCTGCCCTAGTTTCCCTTCATTCTTCCCTCCTCTCCTGGAGCTAAGAGCATGAGAGGACGCTGTGAACCAGTTCACACTGCTCTGTCCTGCTCCAGAAGAGCACCAACCACGCGATCCTGCTGGCAGTGAGTGCAGGCCCTTGGTAGGAGTGAAGACTGGAGTTGTCACCTGACCACCACCTGCCTCAGGCTGTTCACCATTAAAATGCCTGTCAGCTGACCCAGCACACCCACCTCTTCCCTCATGGGATTCTTCAGCCCAGCATCATACTCTTGACCCACACTGGCTTCCTCCTTCTTCAGCTCATCCCCACAGGAGGAGCCTGGAGCAACCACTGAAGTGCAATCACCAGAAACCTCCTATTTTTCAGTTTCTCACCTGGACATTGAAACAGCCACCCTCATTCTTTTTTAAAAAATGTAATTAATTGTTATTATTTTTTGAGACGGACTCTTGCTCTGTCATCCAAGCGGGACTGCAGTGGTGCAATCTTGGCTCACTGCAGCCTCCAACCCCCAGGTTCAAGCAATTCTACTGCCTCAGCCTCCCAAGTAGCGGGGATTACAGGCATCCGCCACCTCGCCTGGCTAATTTTTTGTATTTTTAGTAGAGACGGGGTTTCACCATGTTGGCCAGGCTGGTCTCCAACTCCTGACCTCGGGTGATCCACCCGCCTCGACCTCCCAAAGTGCTTGGATTACAGGTGTGAGCCACTGCGCCCGGCCTCATTCTTATCATAGAATTGATCCATCTATCATTTATCCATCCATCCTCCATACATTCACCCATACTCCATCCATCCACTCATCATCATCTATCCATCCATTTATCCATCATCCTCCATCATCCATCAATTCATCCATCATCCATCCATCCATTTATCCATCATCCTCCATCATCCATCAATTCATCCATCATCCATCCATCTATTCACCCATCATCCACCCATTCACCCATCATCCATCCATCCATTCATCCATCATCTATCCATTCATCCATCATCTATCCATCCTTTCATCCATCATCCATCCAACCATTCACCCATCATCCATCCATCTATCCATCCACTCATCGTCTATTTGTTCCCCCCTTCCCTCCCTCCTTCTATTCTTATCTTTCTCTCTCCTAGGGGACGGTGATAGTTATCCAAAGGTCCCGATGTTGGGCTGTGGTGGTGTGGAGGGGTCTCAGTTGAGGAGTGGTGCTTGTAGCTGCTCCAATCTGAAGAGGTCCTGGTGTAGCAGGCCATTGGAGTGGGCCAGGTAGTATTTTGTCTAGAATTGGAAGCCCTGTCAGTGCTGGAGGTGTGAGAGGGAGAGTATTGCTGTTGGACTGCAGGAGAACTCCTAGTGGGTAGAGCTCAGAGTCCATTGAGATAGGTTCCTCCATGTAGGCAGGGACTTCTCTTATTTATCCAGTCTCCTAGGGCCTGCAACAATGGCTACCACATAGGGGTGCAGAATACATTTTTTTGCTTGCTATGTTTTTGAATTAATTAATAAACAGATAGATGCAATGATGTGACTTTCCTAGGGTGACACAGTTAGCAACAGAATGGGTACCAGGATCCCGGTTTCCTGACTGATAACTCTACCAAGCCTCGTGCCCTATCGCTGCCCCACTGAGTAGCGGCTTTGGCCCCTGCTGTCCTTGGTGCCACTCCCTTTCCTGTAGAACATCCAGGGGATGTACTCAACTAAGCTTCACCTTGGTTTCTATGGTTTGGGGTTGGATGCTGGTCTGTTGGCCCTGGTTCTGGGGTGTTGGGCTATCTTCATTCTGGCCTCAGGTCTAGTCCAGACTCCTTCTCCATGGATTTCCTGGCCTCATTCTCTGGCCCATTTGACTATACACATAACATAAGGTCTTTCTTGTCCCCTGGAAGGCATGTTTAGTTGTAATGCCTATATATTCCTTGGAGCTCAGTCTGAGGGTTTCTGACTGGCCCTGAGGGAGGTGGCAGAGTCAGTGGTGAGGCCTGTCAGCTGCTAGGGAGCAGGGGTTAGAGGAACGTGTAAGTGGAGGCAGTGGGGCAGTGGCCATAGGTGCAGCAGGGTGGGGTGAGGCAGAGGGAGCTCCAGACGTGTCATCTGTGCACATGAGACAGGATAAGAGGAGAATGAGGAGGACCTGATGGCTTCGGTCCCTGAAAGTCATGGGCTGCAGCCCAGATGGGCCAAAGAGCTGCAGATAAACTTCACTAACTCTACAGTGCTGGGAGCTGCAGGCAGAGGCAGAATTATGGATGAATTATGCAGCACTAGGAGGGAATGCATTCAATAGTCAGGAAATTCCAGGCACCAATGTGTTTATTTTGATAGTGACCACCTCCCTGTTCTGGTCGTTGCAGTTCCTGGACTATTGTAGGGGTTGCTGCCCTCATCCTGTTCCTGGTAGCACTGCTGGCTCGTGTCCTCGTCAAAAGAAAACCACCCCGGGACCCACTGTTCTATGGTACGTCTCCACAAAGGGAAATCTTTTGTATCTGATTAATAACACAATACTTTCAGCCTCAGTCACATATTCCTCCTTGGTTGTGAATACTCTGAGCCCTTTGGTAACAGTGGCTGCAAGTGTAGGGGTGTTTCAGGACAATCTGGCCCTCGCCTCTGGCTATTGCCTCTCAGGCAGTGGACTCCACCCTCTCCCAGGTGGCATCCCGGTGGAGAGTTACTGCCAGGCCAGGCAGGGCACCCTGCCAACCCCAGCATGCTTTGACCTCTGACCTCTGACCTCGACTCTCATGCTAGCTCCTTCCTGGGCTTCCTGTCTTCAGCCTGCTACTAGCAGTCCCCCCCACTTAGTGCAGAACTTAACTGTGTGGTGTCTGGGTCTGCACATATGCATGAAGAGGAAAATAATGGAACCTGCCATAGAGACAAGCACCTATAGTGCACCTTGTATGACCCTGAGCACTTTAGCAGCAGGCTTTCACCTAATCCTCACCATCCCTCCACTTGAAAGTGAAGCAGCTGGCTTGGAGATGCTAAGAAATGTGGCAAAGGTCGTGTGGCTGTTGACCCCTAAAGCCCATGCCCTTCCATCATGCATGCTGCCCCAGCCAAGCTGCTACCGGCCTTTGAGCACTTCCTGTGCCAGGTACCTTGCTGGGCATTTTGTTCTGTAGTTTCTGCTTCAGTAATGCTGCATATCAAATGCACCCCAAGTCCTACAGCAACAAACATTTATTTTTCTTGCTCACAGGTCTGTGGGTTGGGGCCACTCTGCATCAGGCTGTGGGTTGATTTCAGGGCTGTTCTCTGACTCCTTGTTCTTGGACCAGCAGCTCCCAGGCATGCCCTTCTCATGGCAGATACAGAGGCACAGTGGGGCTAGAAGGAAGAAAGTGGTGGCTCTTAAGGCCTTGGCTTGGAGCTGCCCCATCTTACTCCCACCCATATTCCAATGGCTGAGATGAGGCATAGGGCCAAGCCCATCAGCAACAGCATAGGGAGCATTCTCTGCCTACAGTGGGCCTTGGGAAAGGTGGGGTGGGAAGGAAGAATTGTGAGTAACTAGTTTCTCCCAATCCACATATAAGAAGCTCTGAAGCTTCAGAAATGATGTAATTTGCCTAAGGTTTTACAGCCAGTCATTAGATGAGCTGGGTCCGTCTGCTTTCAAGGCCCACATGCCTTTTCCTGGCTCTCTCCACTAGCCTGTGCTCTGACCCTTGCACACCTTTCCAGATGAGTTTCCTGCTGCTGTCTGTCCCTCCTGTTCCTCCCCACTCCATGGAGCCTGTATTAACTGTACTGATGTCTCTCCTGACTCTTCAAGGCTGGGCACCCTTTCTCCTGTACCCTCAGCCCTCTGTCCTGGTCTGTTACAACTTTGAGTACACTGCAGCCTCAGGGTGAGGCTCAAGGCCAGACTCCTCACGTACTAGAAGGCAGAGACCATGTCCTTGTCATTGCTAACACAGTGTCTGACACTTGTGTTGTCATCAGCAATCATTGGCAGATTATGTGCCGAACACTTCCTTTCTTGGAGACATATGATGGCTAATCACCTGGGAGGCTTCTGGAAAATGAGTATCAGGAAGTGACACTGCCAATGAGAACTGGGCCAAAGGCCCCCATGGAGGCGTGGGGAAGGCACATCTGCAAAACAGGGCACATGTGGCCTTTTGTTCCTTCTGGGGAGAATGTGAATGCTGGACTCCTGGCTGCTGACTCCAGGCAAGGCCGGCTTCCCTTCTCTGTGAATTAACCATCCCCACACTCCTCTCCATTTCTTTTTTCACAGCTTTTCTTATATTCACCATCAGATTTTTCTTCTGTCCATGTCCATCCCATAGTCTAAGGCACCAATCTGTTACAACTTGAAAATGCAGCTTTGACAAACTAACATGCACTAAATTTGATCACCTGCTGTTTAAAAAGTATTATTTCTTAGTTATTTGTGCTAGTAGTTTTAAGCCCATTTAGGAGATGCTCACAACTCTGGTAAGATTCTCTGACAGGTATAGCTTTCCTTCTGTCATATTCAATTATACCCTCTTGTATTCATTTTTAACATCACTAGTCTTTTTTCTGAAAGCCATTGTCACTTGCACATCAGCCACCTGTCTGTCTCTAGGATACGCCATGTGGAATAGGGTAACCACACTGGACACGCTGTGAGGTGGCCTGCTTGGGAATCATTGAGATGAATCACTTCGTCAAGTCATTGTCTTTTTTTTTTTTTGAGACAGAGTCTTGTTCTGTCGCCCAGGCTGGAGTGCAGTGGTGTGATCTCGGCTCACTGCAACCTCCGCCTCCTGGGTTCAAGCAATTCACTTGTCTCAGCCTCTGGAGTAGCTGGGATTACAGGCGTGCACCACCACACCCAGAAAATTTTTGTATTTTTAGTAGAGACGGGGTTTCAATATGTTGGCCAGGCTGGTCTTGAACTCCTGACCTCAGGTGATCTGCCTGCTTCAGCCTCCCAAAGTGCTGGGATTACAGACTTGAGCCACCATGCCCAGCCTGAATCATTGTCTTAAACTTAGTGGTCACTTCTATGCTTCCTTGGCCACTCAGTTACTGGCTTTGCTCCCACTGCCCATGTGGGATGTGGGTTTGATTCTGGGCAGCCACTTGTAGGGGAGTGGAGGATGGGTGGAGTTGGCCTGCTAGAATCTTCTGTGACTGAGCCGGCAGTGACCATCATTCTCCACTCCTGTGATGAGTGTTCCCTTGATGAGAGTACTTAGGCAGGGATGGGGAGAGCTGCGAACACAGGTGGAGGTCCAGCTGGGTGTGTAGAAGGGGTATTCTGTTAGTCTATCTCGATAATTGTCCACAGCATCTTCTGGAAAACATGAAAAACATTCCATTATTATTAGCTGATGCCAAGCTTGTAGTAATTGTCTCCTGAGCTATTGCTTTTTAAACTGCTGCTTTCTTTGCTCTAGTGTATGCAGTTTTTGGATTTACCAGCGTGGTGAACCTCATCATAGGACTGGAGCAAGATGGAATCATTGACGGGTTCATGACACACTACTTGAGAGAGGTATGGGATCACTTAGTGATTATGAGGTTTCAACCAAAAGGCCACAACCCAGATCACATTACTCAGAGACAGAAATCCTCTCATTTAGTGTGAACAGGTACGCTACGCAGGCTTTCATTTCCTATAATAGCCTTAGGTCGCTTAGTCACATGGAAAGTGGAGCAGAAAGGACGGTTAGATCACGAGAGGCAATTCTCTCCAACATTCAGCTCTCACGGCTTCTCTCACTCATGACCGCACACATGACCTGCTTTTCCCCTTTATCTGTATTTAATATAAATAAGGTACCTTAAATGGATTTAGTATTTATGTGTCTGTTAATACATGACTATCTCAGAAACCCCAAGTCAGTCTTAAATTTGTAAAGTACCCAACACAGAGGCACTTGATGAAGTCATTTGATTGTGATGGCTTGCACTCTCCACCATGCTGCCCAAATCATAGCTTTGATACTACCTGGTACTCGAGAGAGCTAGTCCTATTTTCTTATTTTATGGTGGGCTGAACCCAGCCCCAGAGAGGTTAAGTGACTTATTCAAGGTGACACAGGAAATGAGGAAAAGGGCTCAAAGCAGATTCTTCATCCATGTTCAGATAATGGGGAGCTTTGTATGTACGCTGTGGGAGTTTGGGTTTTATCCTGTCTGTGAGGGAAGATTTTAAGTCAGTGAAGAATACAGGCAGCTCTGGGAAGGATGGGCTTGCAGGGAAGGGTCCGTGCCATGAGCTGGGGCACCAGTCAGGAGGCTTCCTCGGGACCAGCAGGGGCATAAACGTGGCTGGATGGAGGCAGCGCATGGGAAGTAGAGAGAGGGATGAACTTTAGAGAATCGGAGTGGCTGGAATGAATAAGACTTGGGGACAAATTGGGAGTGATGGGAAGGATGAGGCCTAAGACAGTGTCCTGATTCCTGCTTTGGAATTTGGAAGAATGCTGCTGTTTTTACACCAGAGAGGGATGACAGGAGGAATTTATTTCTGCAGACATTTGTTGAAGGGGACTCTGTGGTCAGAAGACCTGCTCCCTGCCCCCTGGGAGCTCCCTGCCTGAAAGGGTGGGGAGATGGAATTGTCCCAGGCACAGTGAGAGACTCACTCCAGGCACAGAAGTACTCAGAGGAGGAATTAAGTCTGGGTGCAGTCGGGGAAGGCTTATTGAGTTGGTGACACTGCTGTAGCATTTTAAAAATGGTCATGGCAGTGGAAGATGGACATTTCCAGATGGACCAGGGAGGTAGGGGGAATTCCGGAGAGAAGGGACAGCTTGGGCAAAGGCTTGGAGAGGAGAAAGAGCATGTGCCTCTCCCTGGGGCACCAATCTGCAAGGATGAGGCTGAGTTTCTATGGGGAGGTGGAGTTTCAGATGCTGGCAGGGCTTTGCAGGTCTTGAGCTCTGAGGAGCAGTCCTGGAAGAGAGAGTCACGGGCCATCGGAGTGCAGTTGGTACCTGAATGTCTGAGAGGAGAAGGGCTTGCCTATGAGAAGGTAGAGAGAGAAAAGGGCTGAGCTTGGGACTTTAGAGACCATGGCCAGAAGAAGAGAAGCCCCTGAAGTGGACCATGGGGGGCAGGCCAAGAGGCAGAAGGAAAACCTGGAGAGTGGGGGCCATGGAGCCCAGAGGAGGGAGGTTTTAGGAAGGAGGCGGCTGACGAGAGGGCTGGAGGCTGAGTTGGCAAGGGTGGTAAGCATTGGGGCAGACGGGGTATCAGAAGGGGGACTGGGGTGTAACTGTGGTGGCAAGGTCTGCAGGGCCAGGCTCTGGGGACCCAGCTGTGATAGAGAGGAGATGGGGCTTGGTCCAGCAGGCTGTGACAAGTTTTGGGGAGTTTTAGAGTAGAGGAACAACATGCCAAGAGCCAGGCCTTGAGAATCTTTATCTGGCAGGAGGAGTGTCATGGGTTGGAAGGAGGGGACAAAGGTAGGGAGACCATTTGGGAACATAGCTGTGGTCCAGTGAGGGACACTGAGGGCTAGACCTAATGCTGTGAAGAAGAGGGAGAATTGCCGGGGTGACATCGTAGCAATAAAGTTGATAGATTTGCTGAGAGACTGCATAGGAGAATGAGGAATGAAAAAATGACCATGTGGTTTTGACCTTGGTAAGCCGAATGGTTTCACCATTAATATAGAGAGGCCATGGCTGGCCTGGTGGCTCATGCCTGTAATCTCAGTGCTTTGGAAGACAAAGGCGGGAGGATCGCTTGACGCCAGGAGTTGAGACTGCAGTGAGCAATGATCACCACTGCACTCTAGACCGGGTGACAGAGTGAGACCCTGTCTCTGTACGTACACACACACACACACACACACACACACACACACATACAGAGAGAGCAAGAGAGAGAGAGGCAAGATGGAAGGCTGGTTGAGGGGAGAAGCTGATGAATTAAGAGTTCAGGCGAGTTGAAAGGACCTGTGGCCTGTGCACCATGCAGTTAAAGATGCTCATCAAGCTACCAGGAGAGGCCAGCACTGGCTCAGAGAGCCAGGTGTGTTAGCAATGGAAGTCTGAAACCATAAATCGGATGTATTCTTCAGTCAGAGCAAGTCCAAGAGAAGGGACGTGGGCCTGGCATGGGTGTAGAAGCAGAACCTTGATTCTGTTTCCTGCTTCTCTGATTTTAATTTGATTTGATCTGTGGGAGAGATGACAGAGCAGTCCTTGCCCCAGGGGAGCATGAAGCTTAAGAGAAAGCCCTGCTTGCTTGGCTGATTGATGGGCTGGTTGATCTGCACTCTTCCTTGTTGTAGAAAGGACTTAAGGCATCTTACAGCGTGAAACAAGCCAGGACAGCATGAACGTGGGAGAAAGAGGAAAGGAAAACAAGGTGGGGCCAAAACAACAGTAAAAATGCACGGAAAATTGATGACAGTGATTTTCTAGAAGCCACCTGGAAATGTAACCACCTAGAAAAGGGAAATGTAGTTCGTCATATAATCTTGTGTTCATAACATTAACATTTGCCCAGGAGAAGTATGGCTCTTCTTGGTCTCTGCTAGGTATACTAGCTACGTGACCTTAGGAAAGTCTTGTAATCTCAGAGCATCTGTTTCCTCATCTGTAAAATGGACTCAATCCTGTCCATCCCACTGGGTTGTTGGGAAGGTAGAAGGAGGGGTTGGGTGTGAAGCTCCGAGTTCGGTGCCTGCCTGCCTATGTGTCAGTATGTGGGGAATGAGTGTTGTGCCATGCCCAGCCCAGCAAGCCACGGGATCAGCATGAATTATTAAGGCCAGCCACTGGTTCTGGAAAGCAGGGTCATCCCTGGCCACCTCTCTGGTCACTGCCAAGCACCTTGTGTCAAAGATTTGGCTTGGTCTCCATGAGTTTGCCATACAGCCAGGATTGCCTATCATGCCATCTGCCTTCGCATCACAGTACAAACCTATGTTGATGCATCATGGGCCAATTGGCCAGGCATTCTCTAATTCCATCCTCTGTGGCCAGACCCTGGTTTTGGCAGCTCCAGCGTAAAGTTGTATTTTCATGTTCCTACCAATTTTGAAGAAATAGTTTCATCTTAGCAGATGAACACAAGTTAGTTCTGCTGTTTTATTTTACTTGCAATACAGGTCTGATGTTCTGCATTTACAGGTCTTATTTAAAGTGGACTTCTTTTTAATGCTTTCTTTAGGGTGAACCGTATCTGAACACCGCATATGGGCACATGATCTGCTACTGGGATGGCTCTGCTCATTATCTGATGTACCTGGTGATGGTGGCAGCCATAGCATGGGAGTAAGTCAGTTCACCTGGTGTGTGCCTTTGCCACCTTAGCAACCGATAAGCGGGTATGTAAGGAAACGTTATGCATAGAGGCAAATACACAAGCAGGTATACTGGACATGAATATAAGTTCCATGGGTGCACGTCAGACGTGGCTTTATCCTCCTTGTACCACTGCCTTTTGAATATGTCCTTCTGAATTGCTCCCTAGCATGGTGACAGCTCGGGCAGACCCTTTAAGCTTTCTGATTATGTTGTCTTACAAGAATAATTTTTATTTTCAGCAATTAAAGCTAAGCACATCTTAAACTTCATTTCAAAACTTCAAAATTTCCAAACAGCAATCTCATTTCGGTTCAAAGCTTCTGTCCTTCCCCAGATCAGGCACAGCTCTGCGGCTTGGCTCGCACTAAGGCTTGGCTACATGGCTTGTCCGTTCACTCCTCCTGTCTCACTCTGCGGCTGGCCCCTTGGCAGTGGATGTGTATGTACAAGGGATTAAAGGAACAGGAGCCGAGTCTGATGTGAAAGGTGCTGGTTTTTGGGTATTGGTACCCCCATCATGATATGCTAGCTTGGTCTTGGGAGGCACACATGTGAGTTCTTTAGAGACCCCAACCACAGGAGCTTCTGCATTGCACTAATCCCTGAAGTGAACGACGTGCTCTTGGGCTGAATTTCTGCCCATGGTGGCACACCCACAGCTTTTTTTCTGCTGGGGCCCCTGTAACCCAGAAGGTACACCCTTTGGGGAGGGGTCTTTTCAAAACATTTCAAGTCCGGCCATCTTCTCAGGCCTCCACTTGCTTCTGGGTTACAGAAAGTCATGCATTCTTGCCCCATACAAGGTTGAAATGTAGTTTACCCAAGTATCTCCCTCACTCCCAACATGCACTCAAGGTCAGCTCCAGCTAATTCTTTTTTTTTTTTTTTTTTTTTGAGACAGGCTGGAGTGCAATGGCACAATCTCAGCTCACTGCAATCTCCGCCTCCCAGGTTCAAGCGATTCTCAGGCCTCAGCTGGGACTACAGGCGTGTGTCACTATACCCGCAAATTTTGTATTTTTAGTACACAAATCTAAACATTTTTTTCACCATGTTGGCCAGGCTGGTCTCAAACTCCTGACCTCTGGTGATCTGCCCGCCTCAGCCTCCCAAAGTGCTGGGATTACAGGCGTGAACCACCGTGCCCGGCTCCAGCTCATTCTTATCTGTTCTCCTGCTTATAATCCCAGTCATTATGAATGGGCCTCTTGGGGTCTGGTTACATTTGGCTTGAGGGCGGGGGTGGGGCAGGACGCACACAGTATTCTCGTTTCCCTTCAGAGAATTTCCTTTTGAATTTCTCATAGCCTGTTACATAGTGTGGAGTTTGGGTTATTGGGGTTATCAATTGAAGGAACTTTTTTTTTTTATTTTGAGACGGAGTCTCGCTCTGTCACCCAGGCTGGAGTGCAGTGGTGCGATCTTGGCTCGCTGTAACCTCTGCCTCCCAGGTTCAACCATTTCTCCTGCCTCAGCCTCCCAAGTAGCTGGAATTACAGGTGCATGCCACCATGCCCAGCTAATTTTTTTTTTTTTTTTGTACTTTTAGTAGAGATGGCGTTTCACCATGTTGGCCAGGCTGGTTTCAAACTCCTGACCTCAAGTGATCTGCCCACCTCAGCTTCTCAAAGTGCTGGGATTACAGGCATGAGCCACCATGCTCGGCCTGAAGGAAGTTTTTGTCAGCATTGAAGATTTGGGGTATATGTCTAGCAGCTCCTTTGCAACATGGGGTACATGTCACTTGTCTTCACCTTTGGGGCTTTGGCCAAAATTCTGTGACCCCAGAAAAAGTCCATTTAACATTATCATTGTAAGTATAACTCATACTTATAATGATTAAAAATATGGATCCAATTTCATTTCTTCTTTCAACTTTCTTTTTCCTTTCATGCTGTTGAGTTTCACACACAATAGGGAAATGCAGGAGTCCTGTGGCAGGGATGATCATGTTGTAGTTTAACAGAAGACATAGCAGGCGTAATTTCCTATTTAAAAGGACACGAAGAAGGTTCTATAGTATATCACATGGCAATGAAGTTACATAACCAGGGCTCCTTGTGTTTGATTTATTCCTCTCAATTCAATATGTTTTGATTGATGTACTTTACTAGTTTGAATACAAAATAATATTGAAGATCATTTTTTGCTTAGTATTCTAAGACAAACATACCAAGTCAAGATTTTTTTGTTGTTGTTGTTACAGGGAAACTTATAGAACCATTGGCCTATATTGGGTTGGATCTATTATTATGAGTGTTGTTGTTTTTGTGCCAGGAAACATTGTAGGTAAGAAACTTTATCTTAAAGTTCACTTTCCTTTTCTAAAACAATGGGGCTTGTTTTTAAATAGAGAAGCTCTTTTAGTTATAATAGAACCAAGTGATTCCAAGCTTACTAAAAACCTGTTTTGCAGAATAATTCCTTTTTCTCACCTTTAAAAAAAGTACTTTTTAAGAAGTGCTTTGAGCAATTTTCAGATGTGTGCATTGAACAATTTGGCAGTCAAGTTATCAGGGATTCCTGTTTTTTTAGAAGGATCTTGAGGGAGTGAGTATGGTGTTTATGGCTATATTTAGTGTGCAAATATGTTAACTCCTGACACACTATGAGAACTCCAAAAATGTACTTGGAAATTACAAGTACATTATTAATGTATGCAGGAAATCAGGATATATAGGTAGATAGATAGATAGATAGATATAGATATAGGGAGATAGATATATACAAACATATATAGATACCTATCTAGATGTATTTTTTGAGACAGGATCTCACTCTGTTGCCCAGGCTGGCTTGCAGTGGTACAGCCATAGCTCACTGCAGCCTTGATCTCCTGGGCTCAAGCAGATTACTGTAGATAGGACATGCCTGTTAATACACATCTAGTATTTTAAATTGACCTTTTTAATTTGGCCTCATTAAAAATATTGTCTGGCCCATAGCAAAATTTTAGATGACCTGAGATGGGGAGGTATCCTAAATATTACTTGTGTTAGATATGCTTTTGGTAACTTCTTTCTCTTTCTCTCTTTTAAATAGGGAAGTATGGAACACGAATTTGCCCTGCTTTTTTCTTAAGCATACCATATACTTGTCTTCCTGTCTGGGCTGGTTTCAGAATCTATAATCAGCCATCAGAAAATTATAATTACCCCTCAAAGGTGATTTTATTAAGCTTTGATGTACCCTGTTCTCAAACTCATAGGGTTCTTTCGCATCCACTGGCCACTGAATTGAACCATGCCTCTGTGGACTGGAGCATTTGGGGCATCCAAACAGTGCGACTGTTTTGATTATGTAGCATTAGCTTACGTATTAATTAATGTAGGCAAGAAGGTCTGTTTCTGTCTGAATACATCTGCTTCTGTTGGCAAGGCCATACTTTGGGGAGCTTCCTGTGCCAGTGGTCACACTGGCTCTAACTATCAGATTCTGCATTAGTGTGTCAAGTGAAGTCCATAGTGTGTGGTTCATCTAGGATTGTTAATGGCCTGGACGTTGAACACCTGGGTTCCTCTGTGACACCTATGCATTTACTACCCCAAGAGGACACTGGAGGGATACTGCTCCTCAAGGTAGTCTACACAGCCATACAATCTTGACTCCAGAGATCCAGGCCCATAGAGACTGGCTACAGGACATCTGAGACACCTCCCTTCCATTCACAGCCAAGGTAGTCAAGGTGAAACAGCACTGGCCTGGCAGATACTCTGTTAAGGCCTTCATTTCTAAGCTAGTTTCTCTCTGTTTCTTTTACTTTTCTAGGTATTAGATCATTTAGCAAGATCTTTTAAGCAAAACTGATATATGAAAATATGAATTACTAGAGATAATCAGAATACGACTATTCATTTTACAAAAGATTTTCAGTATAATTCATTAAAATACATTTTAATTGACAAATACTTCATTTGTAAACATTTAGACACCTTCTATGTAAACTCAGGCTGGCACACTGACAGCTGGTACTAACTTCCCTCTGAGGAAAGAGGTGGCTGTTAAAAAGAAAAAGCAAATAGTCAGTCCACCCTTAGTCCCAGCTCCACTGCTTTTAAAGGTTCCATGTCAGTGTGTCAACAGAGTAGGTATGCCATGAGGCATGCAGAATTACTTATCATTATTTTTAATGTGAAAACACAGTGACAGCCAGGGCCAAGCAGGCATTGTCATACAGTGCTGACAGAAACATAAATTCAGAATTGCTCTGCAAAGCAATTTGGCAATGTTATCAACCTTAATAATTCTGGAACCCAATAATTCTGCTCCTAGAGCCCTATCTTCAGGAAATCATCACACAGATACCACCAAAGATTTACAAAGTTGTTCATCATTACATTAAGTATAACAGTGAAAAATGCCTAAATATCCAACAGTGGGAGAATGGCTAAAGTGTGGTGTTTCCATATGGTATTCAGTTTGAGAAAATTTTTAAACATGTGGGAAAGTGCTTATAATATAGGCAGATGTTGAGAGCAAAAAGAACAAATACAGAATTGTTTATATACAGGAATAATTTTATATATAAAATTGTTCCTAATTTTGTGAAAAATGTAGATATATGTGTGTGTATATATGTATGTTGTGTGTATGTAACTATATCTATTTACATGTATTACTGGAAAAGTATACCAACGGTTAATAGTGGTGTGGCAGGTTTATGGTTTACCTTTAAAATTTATTATCATTAAAATGTCATTTCAAGAAAAAAAGTGGACTCATAGAGCTACAAGAGCCCTTCGAGAGATCATTTAGCCCAAATTCTTCATTTCACAGATAAGGAAATTGAGACTTGAGGAAGGAAATGATTTTCCTAAAGTTCCATGGCCAGTGATTTATGATATAAATTGTGCATCTTCAAAATTCTCTTATCCATCATCATGACATTTAATGTTTCAGATTTCAGATTCTTCTTTGGCACTTTGGGCCTGCTCTTTAGGTACAAACTCTATTTTAGGTTATTCAAGAAGCCCAAGCGAAAGACCTGCTGAGAAGACCATTTGATTTAATGTTGGTTGTGTGTCTCCTCCTGGCAACTGGATTTTGCCTGTTCAGAGGTTTGGTAAGCATAACAGATCATAATAACGTAACATTGTGATACTACTCACATTTCCAAATGGAAAAAAACTTAGAAATATGTTTTTGTTTTTCCATCAGACTTCTTAGCAAACTAACAAACCATTCCTCCCATCAAAGCCTGGAGCCCTGGACCTGCTTCCTGCTGCTCCCAACCCCAGCCTCCTGCTGTCACCTCCTCCTGTCCTTAGATCAAGCTCTACTCAGAAGCATCTTCCTCCCCGTTTTAGGGCATCTAAAAAATCAGCCATCAGAGTCTCTCTTTTTTATTCTTTTGATGTTTCTGATTTAAATGTAAATATCTTTGGTAAGGATGGCACCCTAGGACTGCAACACAACTGTGGCACAGAGCATCCCTGTGTTCTCAGGAGTAGGGGCAATGGGGTTGAGGAAGGCGTACCAGTTCAACAATTCACGTGTATGTAGGGTCATGGGAATGTCTCACTGGTAAGAGTAGTGTTGAGTAAATTCATCTCACGCCTGGAGTCTTTGTATTGATGTGACTGAAATACATTAAGGGCACATGGGCATTTCATGTTTTCTATTTTCTCTTTATTAATATTTTACTGCAGAGGTTAGGAAAAAGACTCACAGGCTTTGTAGTTAGAATCCTGGCCACTTACTAGCTGTGTGGCCTTGGAAAAACTACTTAACCTCTTGGACTCTGTTTTCCTCTCTGTAAAATAACACTACCTACCTTAACAGTATTGTTTTGGAGATTAAATAATGTACATCAAACACTTGGTAGAGGCTCTTATACATAGTAAATGATTACTGTTAGGATTTTTATTGATCAGTGATCCTTCACAATGCCCCAATTTGATGATTTCTTCTTAGTAGAAATGAATTTGGGAAGTTTAGAATTATATTGTTAATTATATTCAGCTTCAGTGACAATTTCTATTCGAAGCCTGTTGGCGCGCGTAACAGTTGGACAGTAGAGTGGCAAGTGTAAGCCCATGCAGGTGACTTTTATCATTTCAGGGTCTTGGGCTACTGGGGGCCTGTGCAGCAGGCTGGGTTCAGGGTGAGAAGCTGTTTTAAGAGTTATCTTTATCTGTGAAATGTCAAGAAACTTTCTGGAGGAGAGCTGGCTAACAGGAGGAGGGGCATGGGGAAGAGAAGTAAAGAAGGCAAGGCCATAGCTTTGCTTAGACCACAGGGCCACTGAAACTGTTCTTTGGTTAGTTTGTTGTAATTCTTAAAGTTCAAACAACAAAAAATAGTGGGCCCCACCTGTATTCTTGCACGGCCATATCCCCTTCCCTGTGCACGAGAAAAATGTGTGCATGTGTGGGGGTGCATGCAAGGTGGGTAGGGCTTTTGGATTGGGGCCATTTTTACCAACTCTGTCATTGGCCTGTGTTCATATATGCCATCTAGGTGGGACAACATTTATGGCCAAAGACATGAGGAATGGTGCCTGAGGGGAGGAAGGTGACTCAGAGGGGACCTAGTAAAGTGCCAAAAAGACTTTCCAGCAAGAGGACCCTGCTTTCAAATCATCTTTTACTGCCTCCAAAGGCCATATACGCTATGATGCACTGGAGACAGGAAGGTGCTATTTTCAAATCTTGCAATGCATAGTAAGATGAATTTGGTGTAGAAATATACTTTTCTTCCTGTAGGGAATAGGGGGCTAGTTATTTCCAAGAAAAGTGAAACTCATAATTTAAAGCAAGCTGTGCTTTGGCTAGCCAAACCTAGATACTTAAACTCTGAATATCTGAAAAATACCCAAGAATAGGGCATTAGTTTCCATTTCCTGCACCATAATTAACCTTTGCTTAGTCTCCTTAGAACAAATCTGCAAAATATTTCCATCATTGATGAGCCTCTACAATGCATACGTTTTGTTAAACAGCAAAGCAGCTTGTGACTAAACCTGGCACATTTAGCCTTATCAGCAAACCTAAGAACCAGATGTGATTGTATTTTTATAATGAGTTTATTTTTGTCCTTAGATTGCTTTGGATTGCCCATCTGAGCTCTGCCGATTATATACGCAATTTCAAGAGCCCTATCTAAAGGATCCTGCTGCTTATCCTAAAATTCAGGTCAAGTAGTTATGAAGCCTAAGATTTTTCTAAAATTAATTTTCTTTTTAAAAAATGGGTCCCAGCTGGGTGCGGTGGCTCACGCCTGTAATCCCAGCACTTTGGGAGGCCGAGGCAGGTTGATCACGAGGTCAGGAGTTTGAAACCAGCCTGGCCAGCATGGTGAAACCCCATCTCTACTGAAAAAATACAAAAAACTAGCCGGGCATGGTGGCACATGCCTGTAATCCCAGCTACTCAGGAGGCTGAGGCAGGAGAATTGCTTGAACCCGGGAGGTGGAGGTTGCAGTGAGCCGAGATTGCGCCACTGCACTCCAGCCTGAGTGACAGAGTGAGACTCCACCTAAAAAAATAAATAAATAAAAATAAAAGTAAAAAAAAAAAAAGAGTCCCATATAGGAAATAGGAATTAATATTTTCAAAGATGAAAATGTTTACTTTTTTGTACTTTTTAGTCAGGCCAAGTTAACTGCCAATTTGCTGATGATGTTATTTCTCTGTTCAATACAGATGCTGGCATATATGTTCTATTCTGTTCCTTACTTTGTGACTGCACTGTATGGCTTAGTGGTTCCTGGATGTTCCTGGATGCCTGACATCACATTGATACATGCTGGAGGTCTGGCTCAGGTACTAAGAATATTCTGTTGAGAAGGTTTACTTGTGGTCTAGGTGTCAATTGTTGAATATATGAAAAACTTCTCTGCTCAGTGTTTTAGACTAGGAGATAGCTATTAGACATGTCACCTTTTGTTTTGCAGTTCTTCAGAAGACATTTCTGCAAGTACATTTTATTTCAATCTCACAATAACTATATGGTAGATGTGCCATCCAGTTACACAGATGAGGAAGTTATCTGTGGTCCAGTGAAGTTAAATGATTTGCCCAAGGTTACACACCCAGCATGTGGCATTGTTGTTTTATTGGACTGTTTCACAATCTCTGAATACCATGGCTACTAAAAAAGGATTGAGAGCTGTCACCTTCAAAATGTCCATCCAAATTTAAGACTTCAGAATTCCACTACGCTATGCTATACAGAACCAGGGAAACTGGTTTAAAAAATGTTCTGGGCCTGTCATTTCATTCCTTTTCCGCTGGCACCTTGCCAAATATTTGGCCTAGAGTAGGTGTTCAGTGAATGCTTACTGCGTTTAACTGAAAATGAAATTATCTATGGAGAACTTCACACATAACATAAAGCACATTTTTACAAGATAATTAGCAAAACAAATCAATCTTCTGAACAAGGAAGAAAATTAATTTTTCTTACTAGAAATAAAACAAATGAACTTATCATTTAAAAACATTAGCTTCATCTTGTTCTTTTCAAGCAGTTATAAGAATGAGGTTCATCTAGAAACTGTAGGCTTGTACAGTCAATTATATGCATGGTATAATAATCATGATCGTAAGACATACTAGAATTCACACGGTTGAAAAATATAGTATTTAAGGGGTCAATGCATTAAATCCTTTCAGTTTGAGGTAATTCTTAATTATAAAATTAGCATAGTAGTATCGAAAAAGTTGATGTAGCATCCAGAAGTAATGGTTCCTGTCCTTTCCTTGAGGGGCTTAAGAAGGAAGAGAACTAACATTTATTGCTCTTTGCTGGTTGTTTTTCCTTTGCAGACCTCTAAATACCTGATTCCTCAGTCCTTGGGGTTTATTTCTGTATTTTAGGTCTTTATCTTTGTATCTTTCAATACCAACTATAAGCTGATAACTTCCAGTTTTCTACCTTCGGCCCACACCGTTCCCAGACTCCTGTATTTCATTCCAAACTCAGTCTTTTTACTTGCATGCCTCACTAGCACCTCAGATTTAATATATAAAATAGGACCTGATCCTCCCCACAACCTCTCTTCCATTTTTTCATTATCTGTTTAAATAGTCCAATTGCATCCAGCAACTCAAGCCAGAAACTTGGAGTAATTATTTACACTCCTCATCCTCTACATCTAGACCACCACTAAGTCCTTTTTTTTTTCTTTTAAAGAGACAGGGTCTTGCTCCATCTCCCAGGCTGGAGTGTGATGGCACAGTCATAGCTCACCGCAGCCTCGGACTCCTAGGCTCAAGCAATCCTCCTGCCTCTGTCTCCAGAGTAGCTGGGACTACAGACATACACCACCGCACACAGCTAATTTTTAAATTTTTTAAAGAGATGGGATCTTATTTTGTTGCCCAGCTTATTCTCAAATGCCTGCTTCAAGTAATCCTCCTGCCTCAGCCTCCCAAAGTGGTAGGATTACAGGTGTGAGCCACCACACCCAACCAGGTCCAGTTAGTTTTACTCCAGTGATTCTCCAACCCATTTTTTTTTTCCAGCTCCGCTGCCCCTACACTAGTCTGAGCTCTCATTACCTTACTTCATGCCAGGCAAACCACGTTAAAAGTTTTACTTACCTATTTGTCTAAGGATAGGCTATGTGCTCTGCTGCTGTAACAAATACTCAGAGTAGCTTAACACAATTAAAATTTTAATTCTTTTTTATGCAAAGATCATGTGGGATATTTTCAAGGTCCAGGCCTGGCACCAGGTCAACTGAGGGGAGGCTGGTGACTGTGGTCTTCCTGCCTGCCTCAGAATAAACAGCACAATGGACACATAATAATATCTTTTGTAATAGCTCTGGGAAAAAAACCCCAATTTAAAGATGAGGAGGCTGAGGCTCAGTCCACCTGAAATTATTTGCCTAAGATTACAGTTATTAAATGGCAGAATAGGTTTATGAAATCCTGTCTGACTCCAAAGCTCATATTCTTCTCCATTGTGTTATCTCACCCACCCCATGCAAACAATGAACTATGGCACAGAGTCCTACAGCACAAAAGACTGTATGTAGTACGAGGTGCTGGAGAACCTTGTGGGTGGAAGGCAGTGACATTCCGAGTTGGACTCTGAGGGCCAAGTGGGGCTTTATTAGGCTGAGCCTCTCCAGGGAATAACCCAGGGAAACACTGAGGTGTGGGCATATGCAGCAGGTCTGAGGGCAGAGTAAGCCTTGCCTTTTTTTTTGGCCTGGTTCCTCTGCCTTATTCTCCTGTATCCTTCAGAACAGATGGCCGCATACCCACTTCACTCTTGCCAGCCCTTTCTTTAGAGGATTAGACTGTTCAGTTTGACAGCTGTTCAGTTTGACACCTATTACCTGTGTCAATTGTGCTTTGCCTGCACAATCAGGCCTCCTCTGCCTGCCATGTGCCTGGTCGGCCTGGTACCAGTCCCTGATGCAGGAATGCTAAGTGTCATCAGCCAGCAGGCTGGTTAAAGAGACCAGATGTTGGACCTGGTCAAGTCTCAGGAGACAAATGGAAACAGCAGGAAAACCTAGGCAAAAGCCTAGTCACATGGCCAGGGTCAACAGTCAGGAAGCTTAGGAAGGTCATAGCTTAGAGGAAAATGGGTGTGGTAAGCCTGTAGCAATAAGACAAACCCTAATCTGTTGGTGAAGCTAAGCTTGCAGGTGGGCACTTATTACTCCAGCCAAGTGGTTCTGAGAAGGGCAGTGTGGACTACAGAGCAGCTGGCAGCCGCAGGGGCATTACCTCATTCATGTCAGACGTCAGGCATCCTGGGGCTTATCCATCACTGCCCAGTTGATAAGGCAGCCTGAAGCCCCTCTCTTGATGGTGAATGCCCAGATCCAGAGCCTAAGGCTAAGGACCAGATCCTGTAAATGTCAGAAGGATGTTTCTCCCAGCCCAGCAGGTGAAGACAGACTGAGTAAAGAATTATGGGTCTGATTCCCACAGCTCTTGGCTGAGCTTTAATATCTACCCACTTATAGTGTGTAGGCTAAGGAAAAGTTAGAAGCCATGCCGCAACAAAACAATAGATATGACCAGAATACTGAATTACGTTATTTGTTTTGTACTTAGCAAATACTCGCTTATGAAATGGAGTCTCATCTTATGGGAGTATCTGACACATTCATCACAGAAAGCACTCTCCAGCAAGGCACGGTGGCTCACACCTGTAATCCCAGCACTTTGGGAGCCCGAGGTGGGTGGACTGCTTGAAGTCAGGAGTTTGAAACCAGCCTGGGCAACATGGTAAAACCCCATCTCTACAAAAAATACAAAAATTAGGCTGGCGTGATGGCATATGCCTGCAGTCCCAGCTACTAGGAAGGCTGAGGTGGGAGGATCACTTGAACCAGGAGGCAGAGGTTGCAGTGAGCCGAGACTGTGTCACTGCACTCTCCAGCCCAGGTGACAGAGAGAGACCCTGTCTCTCCCACCACCACAAAAAAACAAAACAAAACAAAAATAGGCATTTTTCTGTAACTTTAATCAGCATCTTTGCTTGCTAAAATTGCCATTCTTATTTAGAAACCTTATGCATTCATGATCCCACTAACTTTACTAAAACTTACTTTTACTGAAACATCTAGTAAACTCTCAAGAATCTATGCAACTTAGTAAGGGAAAAAAAAACCACCTTTGAAAAGTTCTAGATCAGTATAGGCCAATGGAAGAAATATTGAGTAGTGGCCAGGCGCAGTGGCTCACACATGTAACCCTAGCACTTTGGGAGGACCAGGCAGGTGGATCACCTGAGGTCAGGAGTTTGAGACCAGCCTGGCCAACATGACGAAACCCCGTCTCTACTAAAAATACAAAAAATTAGCTGGGTGTGGTGGTGGGCATCTATAATCCCAGCTACTTGGGAGGCTGAGGCAGGAGAATCGCTTGAACCTGGGAGGCAGAGGCTGCAGTGTGCCAAGATCACGCCCACTACACTGCAGCCTGGGTGACAGAGCAAGACTGTCTCAAAAAAAAGAAAGAAAAAAGAGTGAGTAGTTATTGGGGCCTTGATTTCAGACCATGTAGGAGTCTGCCAAATCTGCTGCCTTCAGAAATCAAAAGATCAAGGAAAGAGTAAAAGAAGATTGAATAAAATGAAACCAGGACACATTTTAGACCAAAGAGTTCCACTGGGGACTTACTCATAACCCAGGTATCTTTTCATATAAAATGCTAACCATAGGATTAAAGCTGCAAGTGTAATCTGAAAGGCATTATAGGCTGCTTAGATCCACTTATTAGCATTTCCTATCAATTGAAGCATTTTCTCTGCTAAAATATCAATGAAAATGAAAAAAAGCCAAAGCCAGTAGAGTTCATATAGTTAGGAACATAAGCTCTGGAGGTGAACTGGTTCAGATTCTAGCCTGTTGCTGATGAGCACAATGACCTTGGCTACTTTACCTCTCTGATCCTCAGTTTCCTCTTCTGTAAAGTGAGGATAATAACAGTAGCTTTCTCATGGAATTGCTGTTAGGGTTGGATGAGGTAATACATGTAAAGGGCTTAAAACAGTGTCTGGCACATAACAGCTATGTAACCCTTTGTTGCTACTATTACTGGTAGAAGATTCCCAGTAAGAATTTGGAGATATGCCTTATGTTGTTCCGAAGATTAACCTGAAGACAAACTAATTAAATTAAGTGTATTGTATATAATTACCAAGAAAACAAAGAAACTGGGTGAAAGCTTTGGGACAGACTCACCATGGGCTTGGTAAGGAGCCTGCCATCCCACAGCCAGCGAAGGAGGTTCAGTTACTTCAGTCAGGTGCTGCCCTCAGACTCTCTAACTCCCTGGCTATGTAGGTGCTATGTCATGTCTTTTTCTCACAAAGAGATATGGAAACTTACGTGTGAATAATTTGGTTGTGAAGAGTTTACTGAAGTAAATTTATCATTTTTTTTTTAACTTGAGACAGGGTCTTGCTATGTTGCCCAGGCTGGTCTCAAACTCCTGGACTCAAGTGACCCTCCCGCCTTGGCATCCCAAAGTGCTGGGATTATAGGTATGAGCCACCACGCTCAGCCTGGAAGTAAATTTCATACGGTTTTTCCCTCATGGAGACGTTAAGAAAAATCTGAAAGTAACAGTTTAGGAAGAACACGGATAGTTGGGATACTAATGCAAATCTTGTTTTCTTCATTTGCTTCTGGTGTGATTCATTGCTAAACATCTTTATTTAGTATTAAATTATACTGATTTAACATCTTTTATGTACTTATCCTTTCATGGAGACACTCACAGTAAAAAGGTCAAAAGGTCAAGAGAATCTAAAAACAAAGGGCCCAGATTTTCTACAGTCGAGCACCAGATCATGAATGGGTATTTCAGTTTTGTACTTGTGTCTACAGAATAGCCCCAAGTGCTTGACACTGTCTAAGCATGTCACAAACATCACCTCACTGAACCCTCATAACAACCTATGAGGTGGGTTCCACACCTCACCCGAGGCCATACGGCTGGTTTGTGGTGGAGCTGTGATTTGACTCTGGATGTCTAGTTCCAAAGTCAGTGTTCTGAACCAATGAACTATGTTGCTCAGAAAACTCTAAGAAAAGATAACACAGTTCTAGATTAGCTATTTATACTGTATTAGCAAAAGACCCTGGCTATCATCCCAATGGTCACCTAAGTTTTCTGCCTATAACATTCACATGGACATATAACACTCTTTCAGTTCCTCCTTGTGGAACCACGATTAACTTTTTTAGTTATCCTTTACAGATTGTCTCTATACATGTAAGAAAACAGCTCTTAAAATTTAACCTTTGTTCACCTTATTGTCTCATTTGCCATTCCAATCATCCATTCTTAAAAAAAAATCAGAGTATATCTCTTAATTATTTCTGTAAGGTGAAAATGATTTAGAATGAAGTGGAAGAAAAATTATTAGGGACTCAACCTCACATTGCTAAATTCTGGAGAAATTTCTAGGATCAACAACTCATATCTGTAATCCTGGGCCTCCTGTTAATTCAGCAGCATTGAGTTCACTGAGCCACCTGACCCCAGCACAGGCTCAGGCTGAGCTCTTCAGGTCCTGCCATGAGAGGCCTTGTGCTGCTGGGAACATCACCCAGGAGAAAACCTGCAGCCCTTTATTAGCTATGTGCTTGGGAAGAGAAACCTCCTCAGGTGAGACTGTTTTTCTGAACTTCAGAACCCTGAACACTTAACATCCTATGCCTTAGGAGAAAGCTATGGTCAGGTGCTCACTCAGCTGGAAGTGTGGCCACCATAAGTACATCCATTAGGACTATGAGCAGTACTGGGAGCTGCACACCACTGGCCTTAGAGTTCTTCTCTCACATACAAATGCCTCTTTTGATTATGAATGTTAAAATTTTTGTGCCTTGTTTAATAATTCTGAATAAAGAGGCCTACTAAAATACATACAAAACTAGAGAAATGCTTTGTAGACCCTTTTTGTATTTTGACAGTCACAAGTCCATTGTTGTTGAACGTTTATTGAGCTCTAACAATGTGACAGGTGCCACACAAAACATTAGACACAGTACCTGCCCAGTGGGCTTACAATCTAATCTAAGGACATGAATCTTTTTTTTTTTTTAAAGACAGAGTCTCACTCTGTCACCCAGGCTGGAGTGCAGTGGCACAATCTTGGCTCACTGCAACCTCCACTCCCCGGGTTCAAGCAATTCTCCTGCCTCAGCCTCCCGAGCAGCTGAGATTACAGGCGTCTGCCACCACGCCCGGCTAATTTTTTGTATTTTTTAGTAGAGATGGGGTTTCACTATGTTGGCCAGGCTCGTCTTGAACTCCTGACCTCAGGTGATCCACCCGCCTTGGCCTCCCAAAGTACTGGGATTACAGGCGTGAGCCACTGCGCCCGGCCATGATTCACTTAATGTTGCCATGAGTTTGCTGTTCATGAAAGTGAGGTATTAACTGCACTGGTTAGTGCAGGAAAAGAGCCTACGGAATCACTGACTTTTTACACAGGCTCCCCTATGCAAGTAGGCACAACTGCTCATATTTATTCTCTCAAAGTATGGTTGGCATTTCCCCAAATTTGGTGATTTTGTGATGTGTACAAGTATCTATAAAGACAGAACCACCAAACCCAGATTTCTGAGAACCAGGGATCAAATGTGGCTTCCAGTCCAGAGAAAATGCTTGGTTATATATTCAGAAAAACACTATTATTCAAAACAGGCCCTAAGGAAAAACAGTATGGGAGCCATGCTCCTGCTCAGAGTTCCTAGAATGTCCAGAAAGCACCTCCTCAGGGCAGCCCTGAAAGTGCCCTTTACTCTCAAGGCATTTTGTCCTCAGAGCCCAGAGATGCATATACATTTGCTGGGTTCTGCCTGGGCATCTACCCAGGGGAGTTGTATCTGAGGGCCGAGTCCTCTCAGTGCCTCATGGATCACAATGTAGACAATCCACGTGCTGGTCCTTGGCAATACATCATGCTAATTTAATTTATATCTCCAGAGTAGCAAAAATGTACCACAGGTCTCCAGAATATATCAGGAATTTGTAAAAATGCAGCCCATTAAAATATCTGCCACTGATAAAAAATTCATAAAGATGCTGCTTAAAAAAACTTGTCCTTTTCTTGTCATGGTGAAGTCAAGTAAGTAACACCTTTATCTGTGAAATCACTCAGCAGAATAAATTGGTTTCATATGGAAGAAATGTAAAATAACTTATATGTATTTAAAGCAAATTATCTAGTTCTTCATTCTTGTTACTTCTATGCCTTCTCTATAGTGCAGTCTTTTGTCTCTTTGATCCTGATGAACTGATAATTTACTACTTATTACATTTAGATTCCCAATCCTTTATTCATGTGTATCTTGAATTTCAGCAAGATATGAAAATGCAGACTCCAGGGGTACATTTTGTAATGATACAAGCCTTCTGAGGAAATTTTCTGACAGGAGCTTTTAATCCTGCTGTGGTCTGTTTTACCCTTTCCAATACGGTTTTCCTCTGTGCTTGCGAAAAATATCAAAAAAGACCAATTGGCACATTCTGAATGTGTTTTCTGAATAAGTATATAAGTAGAGAGGGAGGCCATTTTGCAAATGCGGATAATGCTGACATGTCGTACTTCTAAATAAATTATAATTTGATTTAAAAAGGTTGCCTGCATGTACATTTGCCATTTTACAAAGAGCAACCGTACTCCTACCTCCACCCAAGTTGGTAACAACCTTATCTTACAAACAACCCTTAATATTTTAAAAGCTGCAGAAAAAACAAATACATGAATAAATGAATAAACAAAAAACACATAGGGAAAGGGTATGAGCTCTTGCTGCAAGGAGTAGATGAAAGACTGATAAATGAAGCTGAGGTCCCCCCAGTGCTTCCCTTTCAATAGTTTATGCTAAAAATATTTGTTTTTTAAAACTCTGCGCTTTCTTCATTTTTATTGGAACGCAATTTGTGAACCACAACTGAGTCTGTATGCAGGATCTCCAGAACGCAAATCAGAAAAAAATTTGAGATTTTATTCAGATTTTTCTATTAGATTGAGCCACTAATGTTCGGTAAGGGGCACTTGATGGTTAAAAAACACAACTGGCATGATAAAACTACACTAAATAATATCTACTTTATTTGAACAGTCATATCAAGAATGGCCCTAAATTTAATCAAGGACTAAATTTAATGAAAGACTCTGACATTAAAGACTCTGGATTGTTTGAAGGTATTTTGCCTGCAGGTGAGACTGGTTTTGAGGGCACAGAAACGTAGCCTGAATGAACCATTCAGAACTCATCATGCATCCAACTGAACACGTTTCATGCTTACTCAATTTTTTTTTTTTAAATGCAACAGGCTCAGTTTTCTCACATTGGTGCATCTCTTCATGCTAGAACTGCTTATGTCTACAGAGTCCCTGAAGAAGCAAAAATCCTTTTTTTAGCATTAAACATAGCATATGGAGTTCTTCCTCAGCTCTTGGCCTATCGTTGTATCTACAAACCAGAGTTCTTCATAAAAACAAAGGCAGAAGAAAAAGTGGAATAAAAATATTACTTCATGTTCCTCCTTTCTAAATTACTAACTTTTGTTATACTGGTACTGATATTTTGTCCCATTTCACTCTCTTCTCATACGTGAGTACTTAAGAATATGTACATTCTTGCTCTGCACTGTATGTGTGAGCTATATGGTATTGTGTAAATTTTTTTTGAAGGAAAATGGAAATTCTTGAGAAACAGTTTGTTTAAAGAAATATATTCAAAATCATTTGTGAATAAACTTGATCATCCATCTCAATATTGTTTGACATATAAAATAATTATAAGTGTAAAAAATTACAATTTAGTGCCAACAGTAGTGAGCATGAAATGAAACTATTCAAAAGAGAATATGGCCTGTGCATATTAAAAAATTCAAAACAGTGAATGCAGACTGGAGGAGTAACTTTTGCAAATAAGATGAATATGCTTCATTATTAAACTCAATATAAAAGGCAAATCATCAGAATATTTTTAAATGTTGTTTGAAAAATGTTTTCCCAAGGAAAGTTTATTATTTGCTGCTGTTTCAAGAAAATTACTTTTACTAAATTTTTTTGTGTGAATTTAAACAGCTAAATAGGGATCAGTAACTTTATCTCTATCCTTAATGAACATTTGTTTTATTGGTGGCTGGAAATATTTCTATTGTATTTCTGTGTATATTTTTAATAAAATTATTTTTGGCCTCTTATAAAGACAAATCTTATTAAATTTGAAACATTTCATATATACACATAAAACGCTTTTAAAGAAAATTTGTGAGTTGTATATTCCAATTCAAAATGCCATCTACATTCCCCTTATGTTTCAGTGTGAGCAATGAAGAGGTCTTTTGATGAATTAAATTTCATTAATTAAAAAATACATTCAAATATTCAAAATTAAAAAGGACCTTTTAAGGAAGAAGTATTAGATCGACATCCCTACTATCTTTTTATGAACTTTTCATGTTTGGGATTGTATGTTGAGTATACTAGAGAAAATCAGTATTCACTAAATGAAAGAAACACACCAAAAATACAAACAGCCACCTCCTCACTGTGCCCTGGAATGATAAATGGACTGGTGCTTTCATACCCTTAGCTGCCATCATCACCATCATCATTATTAACGGCCCTAGGCTTTTAGGTCTGCTCACATTTTCTCATGTTTTTATTAGCTCTCATCAAGAAAACCAAAAGAAAATGGGATACAAATCAATGCATGGATAATATCAAATTACAAAATCTAGGGTCCACTGGGCTGGTAAATATGTAAGTGTAAGCAAATCATGTAGTCATCTCCCCATCATCCCCTACAGTGTTTTCAAATAATCTAAAACCCAGAGAGTGTTTAAAAAAAAAAAAAGAAAGAAAAAGAAAAACCCTCACCTGCACTTGATTCTATTGTCAGCTTGCTGTGAACAATTTTTGCTTTAATATATGAATTACATTAATACCTCACGTTACATATATGAAGCCAAATTACACTAACTTAGTTTGCTTACAACCTCAAATCTTACTCCCAGTACACATTCCAATAAATTTATTCTGTAAAAACAATACATTTTTTTGTTTTTGATTTTTTTACAGTAAACTTTTCAACTACAAACCGTGAATACGCGAAAGATGTTCCAAGGACAAGCATTAACAGGATTGATAAAACCCAAACTGACTAAATGTGTTCTCACAATATAAGCTGGCATAAAAATAAATAAAATTCTCTATTATCACAATAGCAACAATAATGTACACATAATAATGGTTTAAGGATGAATATTAACTATTCTAATTGTAGTTCCAAAAGAAAACAGTTTATTTTAAAAGTCTACATTTAAAAGTCAATGCTTTGTCTGGTTTCCCATAGGGCTGTTGCTGATTCCAGCTTTAAAATGTAAAGTATCCACCTTGAGTGCTTAGCTCAAAATTGTATTGGCACTGGGAAAAAAATAAATCATTGCCTTTATTTTGGAGTAACACAAAAAGACTCACTAACTTCACATATAGAAACTTAGTTTGTGTACATAACAATATGAATTTTGAGAAGTATAAGCTGTCAACTAGCTATTTCTAATACGGAATAGATATTTTACAATATGGTTAAACTTTACACATGGCCTCAAAACTGAAGGACAATTTTAATTTCGTCTTCAATATACCAACGTTATGTATTTAGGAATTAATTCCTGGGTTCTGTCACAGAGAGGAAATTCCATTCTTAAGCATTATGTTGAGTGGTCATCTAAAAAATGTTAATTTATATTTAACTGAGTGTTTGATGATGGTGGGGTCAAGGCAGGAAAACGATGATCATAACTGCCTTGATAAAAGGATCCTAGACATGTATAAGTCTGCGCAAAAATCTTGATAATCCTTAGTGGTTAAGGGCAACTTCATGCAACCAAATAACATGAAATTAAATCAGTAACTTTTAAAAAAGGCTAAAATGTCTTTTCCCCCCGAAACACAACAGAGAGGAATATGAATAATGTACATACAAACTGGGGTTCTGTCAATGACAACAAGGACTATGTGTTGGTTCATATCAAATCCAAGAATATTAGACAACCAAACATATAACCTTCTTGTGGTTTCTCTTAATATGCAGCATTCATTATGGTAGTTAGGTCTGTAAAAAAAAAAAAAAGAAAGAAAACAAGCCTTTAGATGATTTAGGATACTAACAATGAGAGCTATCCACACCTAGATAGTACATAATTGGGTTTTCTGAAATTTTAATATGCACTGCAGCATTAACAATACTTACTGAGCAAGAGCAGCTTCTGTGGCTTTGCTTTAGACCTGTCAGTGCAAAAAGTTAAAGGAAATCCTAGGGTATTTTTAGTGTCCCATAGAAAAAAATTATAAACCTTGTCTACTGTCTGTTAGGACAGAGTGCAGCAGTGCACATTCTACAATTCTAGGACTATGTTTATTGCTGGAATACATCATCAGTGGAGAAATTGATATAATCTATCTTTGTGAGGACATTCTTCAGAAAGAAAGGTAAGCTGTGTAAAATTTAAAAAGCACTTAGAGTGTGCACCAATTAATCTTCAGAATATTTATAACTTAATTACTTGTGACACATAGCTCAAACAAATGTAGAAGTTAATCATGATGTACAAAGTCTCTGACTTCTTGCTTTTAAAAAAAACATAAAGAATAAGAGGAAGCCTAGATTTCTTTTAAAATTTAGATGGCATCCGTGTGACAAACAGAAAATAAAACATTTGTTTCATAAAAGAATTATGTTTCTATTTGGGTCCCACTTTAAATTGTGTCTGGTTCTATTTCCCCAAAAGGATGCTATTTTTTCCCCCTCATCATTAACCCAAATATATTAAACCCCCTAGTAATACCCTCATGGGATGAATGAAAGAGGGAACTCAGCCCTCAAATATTTTTTCTGAAAACAGCCTGCTTCCACTCTTAATTTCACTAAATGAATGAACATGTTTGTAAGCACATGTGCACACTGATGGGTATGTTCTCATTCAGACAGCCCAACATGTATACTAAATGGTATATATTATAATAAACGATTCCAGGACCTTCAAAGGAGAGAGAGTTACCAAAACTTCCATCCCCCTAAGATGGCAGAAATATACTTTTTATCCTTCTGTCCCTATTAAAATGAGGAAGTAAATCTTTAAAAAAAAAGTTTGAAATTTGTGAACTTAAAAAATGGAGTGCCTGGTGACTCCTAATTATTTCTTAACAAAAACACCAGTTATAAGATTATACTCACAGATACTTTGGAGGATCTTCCTCCCTTGTGAAGGAGGAAGACACCCATTAGAACAATGAAAAATTGTTAGTCAACCAAAGAAAGTTTTTTTTTTTTTTTTTTGAGACAGAGTCTCGCTCTGTCACCTAGGCTGGAGTACAGTGGCGTGATGTGAGCTCACTGCAACCTCCACCTCCCCGGTTCAAGTGATTCTCCTGCCTCAGCCTCCTGAGTAGCTGGGATTACAGGTGTGTGCTACCATGCCCGGCTAATTTTTGTATTTTTAGTAGAGATGGGATTTCACCACGTTGGTCAGGCTGGTCTCAAACTCCTGACCTTGTGATCTGCCTGGCTCGGCGGCCTCCCAAAGTGCTGGGATTACAGGCGTGAGCCACCGTGCCTGGCCGAAACCTTCTTTAACAATGTTTTCTTATTATTACTGTGAAAGGCAATAAATTCTATGTTTATCTTGGTAGAATAATCACAGTAAAAACTACTCAATCCACATCAAAGAATATTTTTGGAACAGGTGGTCCCATGGCAGCCTCAGAGTAGTATTAATACCCCAAACAAAGTGAAGGGAGCACCAAGAATGTGACTATAGTTTTAAGGACATGCTTTTTGTGGTCTTTAAACAAGGTGCTGTCAAATGGGTGCTTTGTAAAAGCAAATTACAAAATCTGAGATTAAAAAATTCTCATACCATAATCACTTTGCATCTATGTATTGAAAACTGCATCTTGCTAATTCATCATGGTATATATTCTGGACATGGTACTCTGACTGTCTCCTAGATCTGAAGTCTCCTCTGAGTAAGTAGCCACAAGTGGTTCCTTATGCACTGGTTGCCATGCACCCCTATATTAGATAATGGCTGAAGAATCCAATCGGATTCTCTCTGGAGGTATCTAAATGTGAGGCACACTGAGAGGCTATAGGGTGGTAGCAAAACTGAAGGATACCCAGAACACTGTAAGCAGAAGCTATGAAACAACAGAAGCCGTAAGGATCTTTTCAAGGAGTACCATTTTGATATGAAGGAATGATAATATTCAATATGGCTATGCAGACTGGGCAATTTGGCACGTTATAACAAATAAGTAACTTATTACTTGCAGAAAAACAACTGTTTTTTGCCAATGATAAAATTTGAGTGTTCAGTGAAAACTAGAATTTCAAATCCTCCATGACTGACAGTTTTCCAATATTTAAAGACTTTTTTTTTAGAGACAGGGTCTTGCTCTTGTGCCCATGCTAAGTGTAGCGGTGTGATCACAGCTCACTGCAGCCTTGAACTCCTGGCCTCAAGCTATCCTCCTGCCTCAGCCTATCAAAGTGCTGGGGTTACAGGTGTGAGCCACCAAACTTGGCCCCAATACTTAAAGACTTTTCTGATGAGATAGGTAGTGATATTAAAAATGTGATTAAAAACATTTTGTACTGAAATGAGTGAATATTTGGAAGACCCAAGTAATTCAGAAAACCTATATTTTCTAACTGGGGGAAAGCTATTCAGAGCGCTAGACAAACAGGCATATGAAGAAAAGCTCAGTATCGCTGATCATTAGAGAAATGCAAATCAAAACTGCAGTGACATACCATTTCACACAACTCAATGGCTATTACTAAAAAGTCAAAAAATAACAGATGCTGGCAAGGTTGCAGAGAAAAGGGAACGCTTATATGCTGTTGGTGGGAGTGTAAATTAGTTCAACCATTGTGGAAATCAGTAGGGCAATTCCTCAAAGAGCTAAAAATAGAACTACCATTCAACCCAGCAATCCCATTACTGCTTATATACCCAAAGTAATATAAATCATTCTACCATAAAGACACATGCATGAGAATGTTCACTGCAGCACTCGCTATATACAATAGTAAAGAAATGGAATCAACCTAAATGCCCATCAATGACAGATTGGATAAAGAAAATGTGGTACATATATACCATGGAATACTATGCAGCCATTAAAAAGAGTGAGAGCATGTCTTTTGTGGGAACATGCATAGAGCTAGAGGCCATTATCCTTAACAAACTAACACAGGAACAGAAAACCAGATACCGCGTGTTCTTGCTTATAAGTGGAAGCTAAATAATGAGAACTCATGGACACAAAGAGGGGAACAATGGACACTAGGGCCTACTGGAGGGTAAAGGAGAGGAGGAAGAGGATCAGAAAAAGTAACTATTGGATACTAGGCTTAGAACCCAGGGTAACAACAAACACCTGTGACATGAGTTAACCTTTAATAATAAATCTGCACATGTACTCCCTGAAGTTTAAAAAAAAAGCAAGACGATTAAGATACTCATATCACCATTTTTCAATTAAATATCTGTATAATACCAGATTTTCTTCATATACCTTCAACCACAATTACATATTACAATAAAGAGAATGCAGAAATAGATATGAGGATCTAGTTGTCTTCTATCAAATCAGACATTAAAAAGATTTGCAAAAATGTAAAAATGTCTTTCTGCAAACTTTTCTGTGAAATGTTATTTTCATAAAAATGCTATTTAAGTAATGGATTTATTATATTAAATGAATTAAGTATTTTTAAAATTTGTTTTTATTTCTAATTAAATAAATATCATTAACGATCACATATATAAACAAAGCTCTTTGGGGCCCTTAATAACTTTTTTTTTTGAGACGGAGTCTTGCTCTGTCACCCAGGCTGGAGTACAGTGGCACAATCTCAGCTCACTGCAATCTCCGCCTCCCAGGTTTAATCAATTCTGCCTCAGCTTCCTGAGTAGCTGGGATTACGGGCACATGCCACCACGCCCAGCTAATTTTGTATTTTTTGTAGAGATGGGGTTTCACCATGTTGGCCAGGCTGGTGTTGAACTCCTGACCTCAGGTGACCCACCCACCTTGGCCTCCCAAAGTGTTGAGATTACAGGCCCCTTAAAGGGGGCCAGGTGCAGTGACTCACGCCTGTAATCGAAGCACTTTGGGAGGTTGAGGCGGGCGAATCACTTGAGGTCTGGAGTTCGAGACCAGCCTGGCCAACGTGGTGAAATCCTAACTACGAAAAACACAAAATTGGCCAGGCGTGGTGGCACGTGCCTGCAATCCCAGCTACTCAGGAGGCTGAGGCAGGAGGATCGCTTGAACCCAGGAGGCGGAGGTTGCAGTGAGCTAAGATCGTGCCACTGCACTCCAGCCTGGGCGACAGAGCGAAACTCCATCTCAAACAAACAAACTTTTAATGGTATTAAGGAGGTCCTGAGACCAAGAATAAATGAGAGTAAACGGTGAGAGGTAAGACTGCAAAGATAAACTGGGGTCAGCTGTGAAAGGCATTGTATGACGGAATAAGGAACGCAGACTTAATCTTGTGGGGCACTGGGGAGATATAAGGCAGCAGCCACTATACTGTAGAAAGAACGGGTTCAGGGTCAGAAGAATAAAGGCATGGCCACATGGTAAATCGTTACAGTAAACATTGTAGCTATCATTCCAATGTTTATCCTCTGTCCCTCCCTCCAGTTGTGTGGTAGCCTTGTGTTTTTTTTGTTTGTTTGTTTTTAATGATATAAGACTTTATTGTCATTTGAGGGTCTGTTTTCCAAATAATCTCTAGTAAATATATTGGAATAATTACAAATTTTAAGTCCCAACTTACCGATACGGCACGATTCTCAGACCTTCCCCTCCACTGACTGCCAGGCAATCGTCAGCACCAGACAAGGCTGCCCACCACTAGTATCTTTCACTGCAGCCCTCCTGGACTCAAGCAATTCTCCCGCCTCAGCCCCCCAGGTAGTTGGGACTACAGGCGGATGCCATAGCTGTGTGGTAACCTTGTGATTTAGCGACCTGAATCCAGCTCCAGGGGTGTGGAGAACCTGAATGGTGTGAGCCAGTTCTAATCCTCTTGTATCAGTAGTTGGTTTAGGGATAGGTAGCCTTCTGATATAGTCTCCAATGATTCCTGCCTCCGGTATCTCTACATCACATTCTTGTGTAATCACCGCCCCTTTAGTGTGGGCTGGACCTAGTGACTTGCTTGTAATAAACAGAATGAAGCAAAAGTGATGGGATGTCACTTCTGAGATTAGGTTACAAAAGACTGACTTCTGTTTGCCAGCACTCTCTCTTACTGACACTTTACTGCTTACTCTGATGAAGCCAGCTGCCATGCTGTGAGCTGCCTCATGGTGAGATCCATGGGGCAAGGCATCAGAGGAGGCCTCTGGGAAACAACTCATGAGGAACTGAGGCCTCCAGTCCAACAACCGTGAGGAGCTGAATCCTGCCAGGAACAATTTGAGTGATCTTAGAAGAGGATCCATCCCCAGTTGAGCCTTAAGATGATCTGAGTTCCTGCTGACACCTGGACTGCATTTTGGTATCTCAGTTCCTTTTGCAAGAGACCCAGAGCCAGAGGATTTAGCAAGTTGCACCTGAATGGACTGTTGATGAGTCTTGAAAAGATGAGATAATAAATGCTGCTTTAAGTCACTAGTTTTCAGTTACATGGCAATAGATAACTAATACAGTAGGTGTAAGCCAATCAGTGCATGGTGTCCTCCTGGCCACAGATGAGTAACTTTCACCTTCTATCCATATGAATCGAAGGAACTCCAAGCATTCTAGATAAGGGCGCCTGCTCCTTTCTGTCTCCTTCTGCTAGTGGCAGAAGGGAGGAAGTACTCAGAGAGCCTCTGGGAGCAAAAAGGGACCCTCGTAAAAATCTCTTCTTTCTTTCCCTTAACAATATGCATAACATCAACCCATCATCTGCTTTGAGACCATCAGGCTTTTTATCATTATGCCCTTTATCCTAGCTTACTCTGGATACTATAAGATGGGCTCCAGAGCACCCATCACTTCCTGAACTCATATCCCCAGTCAGCTTTGCACAGGTCCTTTTACGGCCTCATTTCTTAACAGAACCCCCAACCCCATTCTTTAATCTCTTCTACTGGGCCCCCTGAAAACCACGGTTAGCCATTAGCAAAACTCCTATATTCTCAATTTGAATTTCCAAGAAATTCCACTCAACAACTTGTTCTAACTAAAACCTGTTTTCTTCTAAGGGCAGTGCTGCCTCTTTCCCTGTAACCCTCTCAAATGGTAGCTCTGTTCTCTCCCACAGCTCTTGTACTACTACTTGCCCTGGAGGTGGAGAAGGTGTCCTTCTTGCTCCTCCCTACTATTTATAAGCTATTCATTCTCTCCCCTGTGCCCTACCTTCCCTGAAAATAAAAGCCTCCCAGTTTTGAATCTCAGTGTAAGCTACTCCCCTCCTTCCTGCAATCATCTACAGACTCCCTGGATTATTCTCCTTACTCTTTAAAGATTTCACTTCTGGCCCTCTGTCATTCATCATAATTCCTGTGATTTCAATATCCACATAGATTATCTTTCTAACATTCTGGTATCTCAGTTCCTTGGTGTCCTCTCTGCCAAAGATCTTGTCTTCTAAGACCCTACCTCAGTCACTCGCTCCCATGGTTTGTTCTTTCTTTTTTTTTTTTCTCTCTCTCTCCCTTTCTTCTTCCTTTTTTTTTTTTTTTTTTTTTTTTTTTTTTTGAGATGGAGTCTCACTCTGTCGCCCAGGTTGGAATGCAGTGGCTCGATCTTGGCTCACTGCAACCTCTGCCTCCCGGGTTCAAGCGATTTTCATGCCTCAGCCTCCCGAGTACCTGTGACTACAAGTGTGCACCACCATGCCCAGCTAATTTTTGCATTTTTAGTAGAGACAGGTTTCACCATATTGGCCAGGCTGCTCTCAAACTCCTGACCTCAGGTGATCGGCCCACCTCAGCCTCCCAAAGTCCATGGTTCTTTCTTAAAACAAGTGATTCACAACCACTGGGAGTAACTGTAAATACTGTCTTAAGCCACTGTTTTGAAAGCAAAATTATGTAGGCATTTTAGGTTATTATTAAGAACTCTGGGGTTCTACTGGCATTTAACACACAGGGCCATGGGTACTAAATGTCTTGTGATGTAGACAGTGCTCGTACAATGAAGAATTAAGTGTCCCACTGGAAATACTAGTAGCACCTGCACTGTCATCGGCAACTACTGCAACCTTTCCATGATTCTATTCAAATACCTCACTCTTCTATCACCATTTATATTTCCAGGTCATACTCAAACTCTGTTGACTCTCTCCCTTTCTCATTTACATCTTTCCTCTTAAGATATGTTGGATTCCATGGTCCATTGTTATAATCCTTGTACACATCCTTGATTCCCTGGCCTCTAATCTTCTTTACCCTACTCTCTGCGAAAACCTTAATTCTAGTTAAATTCAATTATCTGTCCTCTCTGTGACTGAATAATTGAATATGCCTGGAGAAAAACACACAACCATTGTGACCCCTCTCACTTTAAATTCAAGACCACTGGTCTCAAGCAAGCCTTTAGTATTACCTGGCAATTCAACTTCATTTCCCAAGTTCATTCATTCTCTTATTCTTCTAAATGACTATTTTGTACCTTTTTCTCTCTCTTGAATCTTCCAACATTTTTTCCTATTCTCAGTCTCAAATGCTAACCTTGTTCCTTAAGAAAATAGAAGCAATCAGGTAAGAATTTCTACAAGCTCTCACCCCAAGTATCTACTTACCTGTATCCGTGCCCAAATACTCTGCCTTTCCTTCCAATTTAATGGATGAACCAAGGTAGCCCCTCCAGATGTGCACCAGATCTTATACCTTCTTTCTTTTTTTTTTTTGAGACAGAATCTCGCTCTGTCACCAGGCTGGAGTGCAGTGATGTAATCTCAGCTCACTGCAACCTCCACCTCCCGGGTTCAAGTGACTTTAGTGCCTCAGCCTCCCGAGTAGTTGGGACTACAGGCACGCACCACAACACTCAGCCAATTTTTGTATTTTTAGTATGGTGTATTTTCACCATGTTGGCCAGGATGGTCTCGATCTCTTGATCTCGTGATCCATCTGCCTCGGCCTCCCAAAGTGCTGGGACTACAGGTGTGAGCCACCGCACCTGGCCCTACCTTCTTGCTTTCTAAAGGACACTGCTTCAGCAATTCTTTCTTACATTATCATTTTGTGATCATTTCTGACTTGGATCATTCTTACTAGCATATGTAAATTCTCCCATCAAGAAAAAAAAAGACCTTCCTTGAACTTCTATCCCAGACCATGACTATTAAATATTTGAAAACTAAAACTATTCAATTAGCCCTACATGATATCAGGACTCATTATAAAGCTACTATAATTAAGAGAGTGTGGTATTGACCAACAGAACAGAATAGAGAACCCAGAGAGAGACCTATGAATATACGACAGATGCACTGCGGATCAGAGAAAAAAGGAAGGACTATGCAATAAATGGTGCTGGTTCAAATGGTTATGCTTAAACAAGACAGAAAAATGCTAGCCATAAAAGGAAAGTCTGATAAAGCTGACTACAATACAATAAAATTTAAAAAGTCTGATTGCTAAAAATATCAGAAAGAAATTGAATAGACAAGCCATAAACTTGGAGAGGATATCTGCAAGAAATATGATGATCCATGTTAGTTAGAATCTAGAGTATGTAGAGAAGTCCTACAAATCAGTAAGAAATGAAATCCAATAAGAAAATGGGCAAAACCCAAAACACGCGCTGTACAGAAGAGAAAACATGGGTGGTCAATAAACATGAAAGGCAGCTCAACCTTATCATTAATCAGAGAACTATAAATTAACACTATAATGACCATTTTATACTCACTATATTGGCAATAATTAAAAAGCCTGACTATGCCAAGTTAATCACAGGGAACTCTTCCACACCTCTGGTGAGAATGTCCAACTACTACGGAAAATAATTTGGCATTATCTTGTAAAGTTAAAATCCATCAACTCACGGCTCAGTATTTTCAGTTCTAGTTACATATCCTAAATAAACTCTTGTACACGTATACTAGGAGACAGGCATGAGAATGCTCACAGCCACACAGTTCATAATAATTGCAAAAAGCTGGCCGGGCACAGTGGCTCACACCTGTAATCCCAGCACTTTGGGAGGCTGAGGCAGGCAGATCACGAGGTCAGGAGATCGAGACCACCCTGGCTAACACGGTGAAACCCCGTCTCTACTAAAAATACAAAAAAATTAGCCAGGTGTGGTGGTGGGTGCCTGTAGTCCCAGCTACTTGGGAGGCTGAGGCAGGAGAATGGTGTGAACCTGGGATGCAGAGCTTGCAGTGAGCCAAGATCGCACCACTGTACTCCAGCCTGGGCGACAGAGTGAGACTCCGTCTCGAAAAAAAAAAAATAATAATAATAATTGCAAAAAGCTGGAAACAACCCAACTGCCCATCAATAGGAGACTGGATAAATAAGTTGTGGTATACCCATAAAACTGAATATTATACAGTAGTTAAAATAGACTACTGCTACACATAACCACATGAAGGAATCTTGGGAAAACAGTGCTGAGTGAATGTTATAAGTTTTTAAAAAGCTAAAAATAAGTAATACTAAACAATATACTGTTTATACACCTATATGTTAGGCATGGGCAAACATTTCAAAAAGAAAAGGAAATAATACAACATTAGTGCTCATCTCTGGGTAGGAAGAGGGACTGGAAAGAATACGTAAATAGATACAAGTTAATTGTGATGTTCTAGTTTTTAGGTTCGGTGGTAGGGTCACTTTATAGCTTTATAACCTTATATTTATATATATTATTTTGTATATAACAAATATATCATTAAAAATAGGCTCTTGCTTCCCACTTGAGCTCTTACTAGCTGTGTGATCCTAGGCCAATTCTTTCAGTCTCAGTTTCCCCAACTAAAAAGCAAAAGCAATACCTGCACCTACCTCCTGAAGTTTGTATGAGGATTAAATGAGATAATGAATGCAGACCACGCACAATATGTGGCACACAGGATACTAGTGCTAGCTGTAGCAGCTATTATGTTCTAAGGTGCTTTCAAGAAGAAATGGTTTTATTAGTGGTTAGAACAATGAATCTACAATGCATAGGATATATAGAATGAAAACGTAATCAGTAAAGTTGAAATCATATGTATGGATAAGATGAACACAAGATGTTTTCAGAGTAGAAGTGTGCCAAGTCAGACTGAAGGAAGGAGCTCTAGAAAGAGACTAAGAAGGAACAGGGAGAGGAAGCAGAACAGATTGGTAACCTGGAGGAAAAGTCAGGAGGAGAAATGTCTGATAGTATTAAATTTTGCAGAGGTGAAAACGAAGACTAAATGAGACGTTGGATCGGGCAAGGAGAGGATCACTAGGAACCTTTACAAGAGCAATTTCAATGAAGTGGTCAAAGAAGAAATAAGAGTGCAATGGGTTAAGTCATCAGGAGGAGGAGAGGAAATGGAGACTGGGAGAAAAGATCATTCTTTTTACGAAGTTAGAGATGAAGGGAAAAGTGAAAAGGGTAAAATATAAGATGGAAGGGAGGTATCATCAAGATTAAGGGAGACCTTAGGCTGTTTATAGGCAGAGGGGAAGGAGCCAGTGGAAAAGAAGATGTGGTATAGAAGAAGGGGACGAATGACTGGGTGTGCTTTGGAGAAAACAGGAGGAGATAATATTCTGAACCATGACAATAGAAAGATGTAAATTAGTGCTTCTCAGACTTTCATGTGCATATGAATTACTTGGGGTTGAGTTAAAATGCAGATTCCGATTCAGAATCTGGAGTTTCGGGCAGGTCTGAGATTCTCCATTTCTAACAAGCTCCTACCTAATGTTGATGCTACTGGTTCACTGACCACATTCTGAGTATTAAGGGGGTAGGACAACTCTTCCTTTGTCATGAGAAGTGCATCTAGAAATAAGTTTGGTAGTAAAGGGAAGAGAAATTGTTGGAGTTGTTGCTACTTGCATATTGAAGCGACCTGACATAAAGGTAGCAGGTCGAATAGAAAGAAAATCAAGTGAGCCAGGTGTTCAAGTTCTCAGTGACTGTTAGCAGGTATATGTCCCTGGGAAGGCTGCTGGCAAAAGTAATGATAGAGGACTACTTATTAAAGAAAAGTCAAGAGGATGAAGATAAGCAGAGGATAGAGTAGGGCTGAGCTGGGTGAGAGGAATAAGAGAACAATCAGAATCATAATACTTTGGGAGTAATTATAGATAACTGGGATGAAGGAAGAAAAGAGTTGAGAGGTAAACAGGACTGACATGAACAGGCAAGAACTCTGCTGAAACCAGATAAATTTCTTAGGTCATTATTTTTAAATGATTTGACATTGTCTAACTAGTCTTCATAGAGGAAAGACTCATGGAAAATGCATGGGGGCAAAATTTGCCTTCATCAAGTTTTTTACAAAGGTGGACTTACCTGTGCTTTGAAGTTAACAAAGGTTAACAAAAGTTATGAAGAGTCATCATAGACAAATTTGTCCCTAGGGGTACTTTAAATATCAATATTCAAACATTGCTTGCATATTTAAAGTCCTCATGGGTACAATGAATTACACACTGCTTCTGGGAAAGAAGCAGCAGTATGTAATACTCTATTTTGAACATGCCATTGATTTTGTGATAACAGAAATACAACTGTTGAATTTTGGGGTGGCATTTCATAATTTCAGTATTTCACATTGTACTTTAAAAAGACTCTAAAGTTAGTATAAAGAAAAATAAACCTGTTCATAGAGATCCAAATTGACAGGCAGGTATAATTCTCACTTGGCTCTTTTGTTCAGACTCTAAGAATTTGATTATATTAAAGGGCTGAGTGGATGCATATAATAGGCTGAGAATACTTCTCCATTTATCAACACAATGTTTACTAATGCTGACATATGGATGCTGAATCTGAAGCAAAATGTCTTCTAATAGAAGGTAAGAGAAATTATAAGCACATCCTTACCCCTTCACTGGTTTTCTGCAAGTCTGAAGTTGTGTTTCTTGTGTCGTTGCCCGCATCTCCACCCTCAGAGCTGCTTTTGTTTTCCTCTTCTTTGCAGTCTTTGTCATCTTCATCTCCTGGAGATTTCCGGGACTGTTTAGAGGATTTCTAAATGTTTAGACAAGTTAAATATTATAGTCAAAAGCAGAAATCCAAATGTACAAGTAAGAGATGCAGAAATAGCTGACTTGCATCTATCTAGTTTTAGTGGTTGATAGAGGATATACTGACACAACATGTAGTATGCCAAGGCTGAGCTAGGTGACATTGGACAAATCATTTCACCTCATTGGACCTCAGTTTAACTAGCTGGAAAGGAAGCAGAAGTGGGCTAGGTGACCTCTTAGTTATTTCCAGCAATGTGATATTAAAAGCACAAAATGAAGATTAATGTACCTAGAACACTGTCAATGAATAAATACAGCTGGATGGACACCACCTTAAGAAGGCTACAGAAGTGGAAGGTACCCTAAAGGTCATCTTGTCCTCCCCATCATTTTATAGTAGTGGAAATTGAAAGAAGTGAGGTGAACTATCCAAGAGAATATATAGATATTCATGCTGGAACACCTCTTGAAGCTGTTTGGCTAATGGGATACCCAGAATCATCTTGATAAAACTGTTTGATATAAACTAATCTTTTCAATTGTGGAGCATTATTTAAGAACTCAAGGCCATACTGTGAACCAGTCCTTTTTCCTCGTCATCTTGCATTTGAAAACAAGATGAACTCTAGAGGAAGATGAAAATACAATTAGTTTGCCTCAAGAGTTGCTTGGCAGCATTGCATTAAAATTATAGAAAGCTGGCCCCAATTGTGCGCCTTAAGAAAGTAAAATATAGTGTTTTTCTACACTTCCTCTTTGAGACATTTTAAGAGTCTTCAAGCACGTTGCAAGTAAGAGGTAAGGCAAAACTGATTTTGCCAAGTTACTTCTGGTCTTCCAGAAATGAATGAGCAAACTGAAGCTTCTTCAGATAATCAGTTTTTAAAAATGCAACTTTCAAAGAGAAAACATAGGCCAGGCATGGTGGCTCACGCCTGTAATCCCAGCACTTTGGGAGGCTGAGGCGGGTGGATCACCTAAGTAAGGTCAGGAGTTTGAGATCAGCTTGGCCAACATGGCAAAACCCTGTCTCTACTAAAACTACAAAAATTACCTGGGGCTGGGCGCAGTGGCTCACGCCTTTAATCTCAGCACTTTGGGAGGCTGTGGTGGACAGATCACCTAAGGTCAGGGGTTTGAGACCATCCTGGCCAACATGGTGAAACCCTGTCTCTACTAAAAATACAAAATTAGCTGGGTGTGGTGGCGAGAGGCCTGTAATCCCAGCTACTTGGGAGGCTGAGGCAGGAGAATCACTTGAACCTGGGAGGTGGAGGTTGCAGTGACACTCAAGCCTGGGTGACAGAGTTAGACTCTGTCTCGAAAAAAAAAAAAAAAACAAAAAAAGAGAAAACGTCCTCTAGCTGTGTGGCAGAATATATAATTAAACTGTTTCTATTTTACTTAACTGAAACTACCAGCCAAGCCCAAAATGTCAGTTTAAAATGTGATTTTTACTTTTTACATGAAGGGAAACAGGGATTTAATAATACAAATGTGGAGTATTTCAAGTGACGATCAAGAATGACAATAGTAAAAGTGAAACACTTTCTCTTTATAGTATAATTATTAAAATGTAGCAACTGCTTTATATAGTGATTTTCAAATAACAGTCCTCGATACGCAGTTCTTTTTTTTTTTTTTTTTTTTTTAAGACGGAGTCTCGCTCTGTTGCCCAGGCTGGAGTGCCGTGGGGCTATCTCGGCTCACTGCAAGCTCCGCCTCCTGGGTTCACACCATGCCATTCTCCTGCCTTAGCCTCCCGAGTAGCTGGGACTATAGGTACCTGCCACCACGCCCGGCTAACTTTTTTGTATTTTTAGTAGAGATGGGGTTTCACTGTGTTAGCCAGGATGGTCTCGTTAGCCAGGATGGTCTCGATCTCCTGACCTCATGATCTGCCCGCCTCGGCCTCCCAAAGTGCTGGGATTACAGGCGTGAGCCACCATGCCTGGCCCCTGGCAGTTCTCATAATAATGAACAACTCCCTAAAATTTCTAATGCTCATAAAGGATCTTTATGAGTAACCTTATAAATTAGTTTATAAGTATTACAATTTGGCATGTATTTGGGATATACAGAATAGAATTAGGGCATTACTAGTGTTTTATTAATGAGTCACAACATTTGGTATTCTATGAAGAAATCTGGTTGCCAAGCTCTATTTGGTAATCTTGAAAAGCTTTTCAGATTACTGAAACTCCTGTAATTTTGGAGAAGGACTCAGTTTTATCAGTGTGGTCCTAAATTGGTTATGTGTTTGATTTTTGCTATCTTTGTTTTTTTAAACTAAAATTACTGGTGGTTTATCAACATCAGTTTAGTTTGTTGTGAGGCTCTCATTAGTCCTATTGTAAATAGTAAATAATTTGTATGCAAAATATTTTTGACCTATGATTTTCCAGTATCTGCTATGACTCAAATATGAATAATCCATAGCCTTACTGCTAAAGAGAGAAGACATATAATCTCCCTCAAATCTACTATAGCATGACTTTTCATTGTGATTACTGAGCGTTTTCCTTAGAAAACTGAAATTAGGTGAGGTAGAGGAGACAGGTGTGGGGCCTTTTCCTCTACCCAACTGGAATGTAGTAAAAAAAAGTTTGTGAGCCACTAATTTTCCATGCAAAGGAAGACCATTCAACTCTTAAGAAATAGACATAAAAACAGGCCGGGCACAGTGGCTCACACCTGTAATCCCAGCACTCTGGGAGGTTGAGGCGGGCAGACTGTTTGAGCTCAGGAGTTTGAGACCAGCCTGGGCAACATGATAAAATCCGGTCTCTACTGGAAAAAAAAAAAAAGCAAAAATAAAAAAGCAAAAAAGCAGCGTGTGGTGATGTACGCCCGTGGTCCCAGCTACTGGGGAGGCTGAGGTGGGAGGGCAGCTTGAGCCCAGGGGGCAGAGGTTGCAGTGAGCTGAGATTGCACCACTGCACACCAGCCTGGGTGACAGAGCAAGACCCTGTCTCAAGACAAAGAAAAAAAAAAAAAAGGAAAAATCACCATATTTGTTTTTTAAAAAGCATTTGGGAAGCAAAAGAGAACAATGAAGTTATGCTAGGCAAGCGGTTCTCTAAATGTGGTTCCCAGATCAGCAGGATAAGCCTCACCTGGAAATTTGATTCCTAGACCCCACCCTAGACCTTCTGAAATAGAAATTCTGGGGATGGGGTTCAACAATGTTTCTATTTTACTTAACTGAAACTACCAACCAAACCTAAAATGTCATGTTATAATGTGGTGATTTTTACTTTTTACAAGAAGGGAAAACAGGGATTTAATGATACAAATGTGGAGTGTTTCCAGTTAAGATCAAGAATGATAGTAAAAGTGAAAAACTTTTTGTTCTCCTAGTAAATACAGTATAACTATTCAATGTGGCAAGCTTGTCAAACAATGTAAGCTTGTCTTTATAAGTCTTCCATGTAATTCTAAAACATGTAACAGTTTGAGAACCATTATGCTAGGTTATTTCATTGATATTAAAAATAAAAAGCTATTCTTTTTTTTCCCCCCTTTTGAGACAGGGTCTCACTCTGTTTCCCAGGCTGGAGGGCCGTGGCATGATCATGGCTCAGTACTCGCCTGGACTCCTGGGCTCATGCAATCCTTCCACCTCAGCCTCCCAAGTAGCTGGACTACAGGTGTGAGCAATCACTCCTGGCTAATTTTATTATTTGTGGAGATGAGGTCTCACTATGTTGCCCAGGCTGGTCTCAAACTCCTGGGCTCAAGAGATCCACTTGTCTCAGCCACTCAAAGTGTTGGGATTATAGGTATGAGCCATTGTGACCAGCCAAAAGGCTATTAAATGATCATGAAGTTGTAATCTTCAAGGAAAGCAAAGGAAATGATCCCTTAATTTAAAATAGATAAACATTAGTAAGCTAAGTGTGTCTTTACCCTTTCTCTGCTTTAAATTTTAAGTCCACCCAGGTGGAGCCCCATTACTTTTGGTCTTTGTAACAAGCAATAAAATAATGGCATTTAAAAGCCACATATCCACACTATTAAATGCCTAGGCAACATTAGGTAGCTTAGATAATTTAGGGTTGCACAACACATTAGGTGGAAGCTCAGCAGGCAATCACAAATTAAGTAAAATCAATTCAAGTAGGTGTTTAAATGAAGTCCAAAATGCTAAAAGAAATTCAGCTTAAAAAAGTAATTACAATGGAAGATAAAGTCTGACAAGAAAAATTCTAATTACTTTGTCGTCATTTGCAAACTTTATCCCCATCCAAGGCAATCACATGTTTTTCATTAGGTACACAGGAAACAATGCTGCATTCACACAATTCTGCCTGTATGCCAGTTGGGTAAGATTTTATATACTGCCAAAATAAATGCTGATAATCTAATAAACTCTAGGTACTTGTTTTTAGAGTTTCCTAAGTGTATTCAGTCACTAAACACCAGAATTTAAATAGAAGTAATTTATCCAGGTATTCAATCATGTGACAGACCAATTATAGTGAAACCTGTACCAATCTTTGGTCTTCAAGGATCCATTTATCTTGCTTTCAGTTTCTAAAAGGTGAATAATTTTCACAATCTCAGAGTTCTTTCCATTGTATTTCTGAATTACCATATGAAAAAACCTAGACTTTCAATTTGTAAATCTAGGATCATGTCATTCCTCTGTTTAAAATCTTCAAGTATTGTTAGATTTGGAATAAAATCCAAATTTCTCATTATGGCCTACAAGTCTGCATAATTAGGCCTTTGCCAGCCTTTCCCCCTTGGTCATGATTCTCCAGCCACACCTTCTTTCAATACAGGAAAAACATGCTAAACTCTTCCCTGCCTCAGAGCTTTGATGCTACATTCCTTTCCCTCTGCCATATATGGCTTCTCCTCCTACTCTCTTCTTTGAGGTCTCAGCATAAACTACACGTTTTCAGAAAGCCCTGGCCACCCTATCTAAAATAGGGGACCTATTTTAGGTCCCCCTGCTCCCATTCAATTCCTTCACACCCTTTCACAATTTATTATTTACGTGATTACTGTGTGCTACCCCCACTCTCTGTTGTACTATAATTTATGTGAAGGCAGGAATGGAGTTGCTCACCGCTGTATACCTAGTCTGGTGTCTGGAATAGACTAGGTGATCAGGAAATAAAAGAACTGAATAAATAAACAGCCAAAGCACATTCTTTGAAGCAGAATGACAAGTAAAAATATATCTTTTTACAGTCATGTCACATAGTAATGTTTGGTCAGTGACAGACCACATATACGAAGCCTTGACGTGTGGTAGGCTGTACCACCTACATTTGTGTAAGTATACTCTATGTTGTTTGTACAATGACAAAATTGCCTAATGATGCATTTCTTTTTTTTTTGAGATGGAGTCTCGCTCTGTCACCCAGGCTGGAGTGCAGTGGCACGATTTTGGCTCACTGTAAGCTCCGCCTCCTGGGTTCATGCCATTCTCCCACCTCAGCCTCATGAGTAGCTGGGACTACAGGCGCCCGCCACCATGCCCAGCTAATTTTGCTTTTACATTGTTAGTAGAGATGGGGTTTCACCATGTTAGTCATGATGGTCTCGATCTCCTGACCTTGTGATCCGCCTGCCTCAGCCTCCCAAACTGCTGAGATTACAGGTGTGAGCCACCGCGCCCAGCCATGATGCATTTCTTAGAACCCCATAGTTAAGTTACATGTGATGCATTTACACATATAGTACATAGACATAGTCTTGAATTATATTGTGTTTCCTACATTTCTCAATTCTTTAGAGCTCGTCTGGAGGTTACTGTAGGAGGCAAAGCTACTCATATATCCTTAACTAAAGAACAGTCAGTCCTCCTCCAACTAAAAAGGTGGTATTTTCAGGGCCAAATCAGCCCTAAAGAGTCAATAGTCAGATTGCTCTAATATCTAAGGTTACCTGACTTCCCTCTGCTGTATTTTGTCCCTAAAGGCAGAGGCTCCATAGAATTTAGTATATTTCTATGTACCCAATAAACACATGGAAAATAATCTAAAAATGTTTAATGGATATGCATATAACATTAATAACAATGAGAAGTTTCTTAGTAACCTTTGAAGTATATGACTTTTTCCGTTTTGAGCCTGCTTTTTCATTCTTTCTTTTGCCTTTTCCATCTTCTTCTACTCTATCACCTTCTTCCTCACTGCTTGCATCTGCAGTATTTCCACCTTCTCCCTCAGTTTCTGAAGAGCTCTGTTGCTGAATTGCCTAAGAAATAATAAAATATTAGCTGATTACATTTTTGAAAAAATAGCAAAGAACAAACACTGAAAAGAACTACTCTGTTTTCATTTGAAAGGGTTCCGCTTACTCGGAAGATTTTCAAAAACAAAGGGCTGTCAAACTGAATTTTCCAATGGACACTTGATTTGAACCCTTCTGATTAAGAATTACATTTAATCCAAAATGCTACTGGAGTCAAAAAGAATTGTGACTTCAAGGTAACTATTAGTAGAAAGGACATATAAGAAAGATTTGAAAAAGCGTTAAAACCAAAGAAATGAGATATAGCAAGTGACAAGGAAGTAAACCATTACCTGGTAGCCAGTAAACTTTACTCCTGGGTTATTTTCTATTTCCCACAATCCTTCGTTAAATCCTTTCCGTTTGTTTGACTTTCCAAACTTGTCTTTGTACTCCTTATATGGAAAAAGGTCTTTGGGACCTAGAAATGCACTGCAGAGACATATTAGAAATAGAATTGACACACTGACCTTCAAAGGTAAGATATTTTAAATATCAGTATCAGTGAAGATGTCAGAGCATACTATAGCAAACAAATCTAAAGTACATATAAACCCTTCAAGTTAGGCACATATTACGAGGTGTTTCAGACACATACTTCAAGGCAGAAAAAATGGATAGCTGAGCATACAAGCCAGCCACCTGGATTGTGCTACTTTGATTTTACTTTTAAATTATCAATATCTTCATTTAAAAACTGATTTTTAGTTACATAAGTAGAATTAAATATGTCTACTTTGGCCACTTAAATCATCATCTTAAACTAAGATTTATCTATGTTAATCTTACCACAGGTAAGGGTTTTGTGAAATTCACAGTAAAAATATAAATGCTAGAATAAAAAAAAGATTTTAACTCTCTATATAGTAATTCCCCACTTAACTGTGGTTTTGCCTTCTGTGGTTTTAGTTACCCATGGTCAACTGTGGTCCAATGGAAAATGAACAATTCATAGGTTTTAAATATTACACCCCTCTGAACAGGTGATAAAATCTCACACCCACTCCATCCTGCCTGGGACATGAATCATCCCTTTGTCCAGCATATCCATCATATTTGCACTACCTTCCCACTAGTTACTTAATAGCTATCTCTGTTATCAGATGGAAAAATCATAGTATATATAGGTTTCATACTATCCACGGTTTTAGGCATCCACTGGAGGTCTTGGAATGTATCCCCTACAGATAAAGGGGGCACTACTGTACCACGTTAGTATATTTATTCACTATTATTTCTTTCTTTTTTTTTCAGATAGAGTTTTGCTCTTGTTGCCCAGGCTGGAGTGCAATGGTATGATCTCGGTTTACTGCAACCTCCATCTCCCGGGTTCAAGGGATTCTCCTGCCTCAGCCTTCCAAGTAGGGGATTACAGGCATGCTCCATCACATCTGACTAATTTTGTATTTTTAGTAGAGACGGGGTTTCGCCACATTGGTCAGGCTGGTCTCGAACTCCTGACTTCAGGTGATCCACCTGCCTCGGCCTCCCAAAGTGTTGGGATTACAGGCATAAGCCACCGTGCCCAGCCTATTATTTCTATAAATTAAAAAATCATTTTAGTGTTTAATGAGGCACTAAGAAAAAAATTAGAAGTGACAAAGCAGATAGACTTTTATCCAATTTAAACCACATCCTAAATTAATCACAACCAAGAAAAAAAAAGAAGTTAGAACAAATTCTGAGCCTGGCTAATAGATCAGAGTCTTTAGCATTAGGCCACAGTTCTGGCTGACACCCCTAGAGCTTACTTCTCAAACTGAGATTCACACATTCCTTCATTCAACAAACATTGATTGAACATTTGTTAATACAATGTGCCAGGCACTATTCCAGAGGAGCTACAGGGAACAAAGAGACAAACATCTCTGTTTTCTTGGAGCACATGTTCTAGTGGCAGGGGTGGGGGTTTGGACAATAAAAAGATAAAATATATAGTATGTGTGCTAAAAAAAATAAAGCAGAGAAGGATGGGAAGAATAGGAGATGGATTTTATAATTATAGATATACAGATCAAGGAAGGCAAAGGGAATAGCTAAGTAAAGAACAAAGAAAGTGAAGGAATAACTCATGCAGTTACCTGGAGAAGAAAAGAACAAGTTGAAGAAAGAGCAAGTACAAGGTCCCTCAGGTGGGAGAGGAAGAGTGCCTCATAAGTTTGAGAAACAGAAGAGGTCAGTGTGGCTAGAGTGAAATGAGTGAAGGACGACTGGTGTGAGACAGGTTAACAGAGTAGGGGCACAGATTATTTAGGGCCTTGAAGGCCACTATAAAGGCTTTGAGTGAGATGGGAAGCCATTAAAGGTTCTGAGAAGAGAAGTGGCAATTTATGTCTTAATAGGATAACTTTGGCTGCTGTACTGAAAACAGACTGAAGACTTAGTTACTACAGTAGAAGCAGGGAGACTAATTAGAAGGCTTCTGAAGTAATGATGGTGACTTGAACCAGGGTGTAAGCAGTACTGTTGGTAAGAAGTGGTCAGATCCTGAATTCATTCTCAAGAAAGAGCATCAAGATTTGTTGATGGGCTGCATATGGCATATGTGAGAAAGGGTAGAGGAGTTGAGGATATCTCTAAGGTTTTTTTTTTTTTTGAGACGGAGTCTCACTTTGTCGCCAGGCTGGAGTGCACTGGCACGATCTCGGCTCACTGCAACTTCCGACTCCCTGGTTCAAGCGATTCTTCTGCCTCAGCCTCCTGAGGACCTGGGATTATAGGCACATGCCACCATACCCAGTTAATTTTTGTATTTTTGATAGAGACGGGGTTTCACCATGTTGGCCAGGATGGTTTTGATCTCCTGACCTTGTGATCCGCCCACCTCAGCCTCCCAAAGTGCTGGGATTACAGCCATGAGCCACCACACCTGGCCATCTCCAAGGTTTTGGACTGAGAAATAAGAAGGAGTTGGTATTTACCGAAATGGAAATATTTTGGGGGGGGAACAATATTTGGGGGCAAAAAACTCAGTTTTGAATGCTACATTTAAAATCCAGTTTAGACATCCAAGTGGAGATGTCAGGTAGCTGGAGAGAGGACTCTGGAGTAGAGGGGAAATGTGTAAGCTGGAGATGTAAATTTGGAAATTATCAGTAAAGAGAAGATACTGAAAGCTTTCAGACGAGAGGTTAACAGTTTACTATTGATCTCTGTAAATTCCATTTTCTGCCTGGGTCTCAGGGTTGATCCCTCGCATTGTGCAGCTGATCAAAAACTTCAAGTTCATTAAAACTCCTGGGTAAGCTTTCTGACCCCAGAGCGGTTTAAGAAGCACCAAACTTTTAAGAAGCACCAACCTTTTCCTTATTGTTCACCTTTAATTGCTCAGTCAGCATGATTCTACCTCATTGAATCCAGAAATAATTTATTACATTACTGGACATCTTAATAAAAAAAAGTCAAAGTCTTGCTTGATAAACTGAACACAATAAATGGACTTTGTGTATGGCAACTTCACTTTTAGAAGAATTTGTCGTGAATTATTAGACTCTAGCTTTTGACCTTCCCCAGTCTTTGACTCTATGCTTAAGAAATAACTGTGGGCTAAGCTGCCTGGTATTCACATCAGCTACTTGATGCTAATCAGGGCTTGCCTATACTTATTTTTTTGGGCAGGGGAGAAAGGGTCTCTCACTGTAGCTTTGGCTTCCAGGCTCAAGTGATCCTCCCACCTCAGCCTCCTGAGTAGCTAGGACTACAGCCACCATGCCTGGCTAATGTTATTTTTTTGTAGAGACGGGATCTCACTATATTGCCCAGGCTAGTCTCGAACTCCTGAGCTAAAGTGATCCTCCAGCCTTGGCCTCCCAAAGTGCTGGTATTACAGGCATGAACCACTGCACTCAGCTGCCTATACTGTAATAATGCCAGAAGAGTCAGGGCTAATGGTCATTATTTTTTGATGAAAGAGTTAACAATTTTTGCCCTCTTTATTTTTATCTTGTCCCACTTTTGGATGTATGAGATGGACGTCTTCCTGCTACAGGAAGCATTCTTTTATGAATAAATGATACATTTTTACTAGCATTCCGCAGGAATGACTTTAACTGACAACTGGCCATGTTAGCTACTGCCGGCAAGAGGGAGCCTGAATGAACTGTTCTAAAACAAGTTGTAATTTTTTGATAAACAACCCTGTTTTTTTCTGGATTATAGATAATTGTGTAAATCAAATCCCCTCTCAATTGGTTAATTGCTATATGTTTTAAAATTTTTTAAGCATAGAAAAGAAAATACATTTTTTCAAAGCTAAATGCACTGAGGATGATATATTTTTCCATGTTAAGGGTTCCTTGAAAATTGTCTAGACTAAAACTACTGGGTTTATGTTAGAAGCAGAAGAACTTGAGGCTCCAGTCACCTACATCAGAATTAGAACAGATTCAAAGTCATGTTCTGAGGAAAATTCTGGTCGTGCCTAGGGTACTCCTTTAGCTGAACCAAACGTAGCCTTCTTGTTAAGCTCACCTCACTTTTCACATACCTCCCCTGCATCATTTAACTAATTTTAATTTAATTGATAGCTATTTTTTAAACACCTACCATGGGCCAGGCACTGTGTTAAGCACTGTGTAAGTAGAGTAAGAAACACTGACATAATTTCTGCCTTCAGAGAGGGTGAACATTCATACTTGCCAGGGCAAGTATAATCTCAGGTTCAGGGACACCCAATACTTAGTAACTAAGTTCAGTAGAATCAATGTTATGACAGGTTTTTTGAAGTTAATTCTCCCCCAGGTATTTTTAAATCTGCCTCTGGATGATCAAACCAGCAAAAAAATCACATATAGACTACTGTACAACCAGATCATTTGGAGATGGGTTCTAAAAAAATCAAACCAATGGTACAAAAATAAAATGGGGGCGGGAATAAGGAAAATGCAAAAATATGCATCATAAAGCCCTATACATTTATTATAGGTAAAACTTATTTCTAAGCTTTCTAGCAACCTCTCTTAAGGAGGAAAACATGATCAGTTGCATAGTCCATAATGTCTATTACATAAAAATAATACAAAAGTAAATAAAACTTCCTGAGAGAAATTACAATTATTTCTCTCACGAAAAAAAGTCTGTCTTGAGAGGCTTCTCCTAACTCTCTTTCAAGACAAGAATGAGGAAGATGTTGGGTGGCAGAGACAACAAGCTAAGAAAGTTCATGCTAGGCTCTACTAACGTTCAAATGAACATAAGTGATGACCCTGAATTTGAAGACTTAAAAATTTTGTGACAGTTTTTAGCTTTTCTCCACATTTCCAATTTGTTCCATTTGTTTTTTGTTGTAAATAACCATATCCGTTCCTAGTGTGTCAAAGATTGCCAACTATTCCACAGTATTCATGCTCTTCTTTTTTCCTATACTGAATATTCCTTCCAATTTTTAAAGCAGGATACAGAGTTGCCCAGCTAGAGACTGTTTCTCAGCTTCCCTTGTAGCTAGATGTGGCCACATCACCAAGTTCTTGTCACTGGAATGAATGCCAGTGTAAATGATGTACAGTAAGTCCACACTTAATGTCGATAGGTTTTTGGAAACTGTGACAACACTGAACAAAAAGAAGTTAGTTGACAGCCTGCTGTCTGATGTTTCCTTTAAAGTCGCAGTTGCCAGGAACCTATCAACTTAAGTGAAGATCTACTGTATGTAACTTCCTGTCATTTCCTTACAAGGAACTACTTGTTCTTCACCTCTTCTCTTTCCTCCTTCCCACTGCCTGCAAGATGCACATGTGCTGCTGAGCCAGTTTTTTTGTTTTAGCGGTTAATGACAGGACAAGAAACAGAAGCAGCTCCGGTCCCTAGGGCAAAGTAGTCTACCCACCCCAATCTACCTGCCTACCTCTGAATTATTTCAAAAGAAAGAAATAAACTTCTATATTATTTGAGACATTGTATTTTTAGGTTCCTTTATTACATCAGTGTAGTCAGTACACCAACAAATACAGTTAGAAAACCTAAAAAAGGTGGTATATTTCCTTGAGGGCCCAACAAGGTGAAAGAGCCAGAGAGAACATAACTTTGTTCTGTGAAATATGAATGGAAAAAACTTCTCTGGAAGGGAAATATATAAGAGCAATAGAAGAAATTACTGGGAGTGGTACAGAAACCACTCTAGGACTTAAAAGTGTCCTAGAGGAGACTTGTGGGTGATGACCAACATTTAAGCAGAAACACAAATGACATTCAAAAGCAAAGATACGCTTTTAGTCATAAAGACTTCTATCATGAAAACTATTTACATTAACAAAAATACATTATTAACTTTGGCAATTTTATATAACTGATTATAATGATTTTAATAAGACGTAAGATGTCAGAGATCATCCATAACAATGTAGCATAGCAGAGTCAAGCTAGAGCTGTTGAAACTATTTTTGCTAACTTACGTTTCATGGGTGCCAAAAAAGAAGATAGGATACTTGTTTGCTGGAGGCTTCACAGCGCCCTCTGGGAGTTCATCAATCTATGAAAGATACATTTAGTTACTGAGTGAGTGGTTATCATAAATACAATGTGAGCATTGTTCTGATAATTTACTGCTAATTTCAAAATAAAATCAATCAAAACTCAGATAGTTTTTTAGAACTTTACAAAATGATTCTAAAGTTCCTATTTGGCCCACCACATGGAAGTCAACTCTAGGAATGGATTACAACCATTATAATAATTTATAAGCAGGAGCCAAAACTACTCATTTCCTTTGACTCAACAGAATTATTCCGGGGAATCTGTCCTAGTGAAAAATTAGAGTAACCAAAAAAAAAAAAAAAAAAAAAAAAAAAGAATACAAAAAGATGTACTTCTTTTGAGTAACAGTGAATACATATACATCCCTAGAAACATAAATAATGCATAACAGAATTATAAAAACTTAACTTGATGAACTATTATGCAGTCATTAAAAGACATCATCTCTTGCCTGGACTACTACAAGTCTCTCCTCCCATCCATTTAAAGTAGAATTCCCTTTGAAAATGCACATCTGATTATGTCACTTCCTTACTTCAAATCTGTCTATAGCTTCTCATTGCTTACAGCATTCCTAGCTGTACATCTGACTCACTTATGGAGCTTTAAAAAAATAAAGATATTTCAGCCCTTCCTTCCTCAGATCTACCAATTCTTATTTATAGCTGAAGTTGAGAATCTCTAATAGGATAAAGTCAAAATTCCTTAGAATACTATATAATTACACATACATTATTCCTTAGAATGTTTCAAGAAAGGTTTTGACCAGTCTAAACTCCTGTCACTTTTCTCTCCTCATGCCATGATTCGGCAGTGTGAAACTGCATGGAGTTGTTTATAAGCATGCTATTTTATTTCATGTAGCCTTCTCTGATGGTTGAACTTCTCATCTTTCAGACATACAATGTTCAATTACAAAAGTGAGTATTTACAAGAAGAAAATAAACCACAACAAAACTGCCAGAACTTTTCTTCTGAGACGGCATCAGGCAAGTTCCCAGAAATGCTTACATAGAAATGCTTTCTGGTTATACGCCAGCTTCCCCTCTCTACCTCAAACATGACAACTCCCAGCATTCACAGGTGTCTAGCAAGTGGGGAACCCTGAAATTTACGTTTCATTAGCTTCATTGTAAATCCACCTCTGTATGTCACTCTCTCAAAGCAAGATCTATGTACAAGTCTTGGGTACAACTCTGTCACTTATTGGCTGTGTGATCTTGGGCCAGTCACTCAACTGCAGTTTCTTTATCTCTTCACATATAACTACAGACACTCAGCATACAGAGTTGCTGTGAGCAAATGAATGGTAGTTTAGAATCTCTAGCACATACCAGTTGCTTAATAAATGCCAGGTAGTTGTTAACTGTTATTATTAGCTATCAGAGCCCCTAGAGAAAGAGCAGCTCTCCCCATGTGGCTTACAAAACCCTCCACTACCCACCTCTTATCAACTGACTTCTCTGAATTTCCCCCATTGTTCCTGTCTGCCCTGTAAAGCCACATGACATGGCTGTGTGCAGACACATTTTAAAAATCACTTCTTTTACTAAAAATGCAAAAAAGTAGCCAGACATGGTGATGGGCACCTGTAGTCCCAGCTACTCAGGAGGCTGAGGCAGGAGAATGGTGTGAACCTGGGAGGCGGAGCTTACAGTGAGCCGAGATTGTGCCACTGCACTCCAGCCTGGATGACAGAGCAAGAATCCATCTCAAAAAAAAAAAAAAAAAAAAAAAAAAAGAAATAGACTGACCAAGCAGATGGAAGAATTCCAGAGCTTGAAGACCGGTCTTTTGAACTAGTCCAGGCAGACAAAAATAAAGGAAAAAGAATTATAAAAAATGAACAGTCTTTGAGAAATACAGAATTATATAAAATGACCAAAACAAAGAATTACTGACATTTCTAAGAGAGAAGAAGAAAAAGGAAACAACCAGGAAAATATATTTGAGGAAATAATTCAAGAAAATTTCCCAAATCTTAGTAAAGAAATAGACATCCAGATGCAAGAAATCCAGAGAATACTGGTAAAATACTATACAAAATGAACATCACCAAGGCATATAGTCACTAGACTGTCCAACATCAACTCTAAAGAAAAAAATATTGAAGGCAGCTAGAGAAAAAGGGCAGATTATGTAAAAAGGGAATCCCAGCAGGCTAACAGCAGATGTCTCAGCAGAAACCTTACAAGCCAGGAGAGACTGGTGGCCTATTTCCAGCATTCTAAAAAGAAAATAAATTCCAAACAAAAATTTCATATCCTGCCAAACTAAATTTCATGAGCAGAAATAAAGGAGAAATAAAATATTTTCCAGACAAGCAAGTGCTAAAGGAATTCGTTACTACTAGACCAGCCTTAGAAGAGATCCTTAAGGAAGTTCTAAATACGGAAACAAAAGAATAATACCTGTTATCAAAAAAACACACTTGGGTACAGAGCCTGCAGACCCTATAAAGTAACCACACAATAGAAAGTACAAAACAACTGTATTAGTCTGTTCCTACATTGCTATAAAGAAGAACCCGAGACAGGGTAATTTATAAAGAACAGAGGTTTAACTGGCTCATGGTTCTGCAGGCTGTACAGCAAGCATGGCTTCAGGGGACCTCAGGAAACTTACAATGCCTCAGGAAACTTACAATCATGGTGGAAGGTGAAGAGGAAGGAGGCACATCTTACATGTCCAGAGCAGGAGGAAGAGAGAAAAGGGGGAAGGTGCTACACACTTTTAAAGAAGATCTCATGAAAACTCACTCACTATCACAAGAACAGCAAAGAGGAAATCTAACCCCATGATCCAATCACCTCCCACCAGGCTCCTCCTCCAACACTGGGATTATAATTTGACATGAGACAAATCAACATATGGGCAGGGACACAAATCAAACCATATCAGCAACCAACAACTTCATGACAGAATCAAAACCTTGCATATCAATAGCAACATTGAATGTAAATGGTCTAAATGACCCACTTAAAAGGCACAGAGTGGCAGCTTGGATAAGAAAACAAGACTTATCTGTCACCTGTCTTCCAGAGACCCATCTTAGATGTAACGACACCCATAAGCTCGAACTAAAGGTTTGGAAAAAGATCTACCATGTGAATGGAAAACATAAAAGAGCAGGAGTTGCTGTACTTAGATAAAACAGACTTTACGTCAACAACAGTAAAAAAAGGACAAAGAAGGCTGAGCGTGGTGGCTCACCCCTGTAATCTCAACACTTTGGGAAGCCGAGGCAGGGGGATCACCCGAGGTCAGGAGATCGAAGCCAGCCTGGCCAAGATGGTGAAACCCTGTCTCTACTAAAAATCCAAAAAAATTAGCTGGGCGTGGTGGCGGATGCCTGTAATCCCAGCTACCTGGAAGGCTGAGGCAGGAGAATTGCTTGAGCCCAGGAGGCGGAGATTGCAGTCAGCCAAGACTGCACCACTGCACCTCCAGGCCTGGGTGGCAAAGTGAGACTCCATCTCAAGAAAAAAAAAAAAAAAAGTACAAAGAAGGGCAGTACATCATGAAGAATTCAACTCAACAAGAAGGTTTAACCATTCGAAATATGTACATGCCCAACATTGGAGCACCCAGATTCGTAAAATAAGTACTTCCAGACCAATGAAAAGACAGCCACACAATAATAGTGGGAAACTTCAACATCCCACTGACAGCATGACAGCATTAGATAGATCATCAAGGTAGAAAACTAACAAAGAAATTCTGGATTTAAACTCAACACTTGGACCTAATAGACAACCACAGAATATTCATCCTTCTCATCTGCACACAGAACATACTCCAAGATAGACCACATGCTTGGCCATAAAGCAAGTCTCAATAAACTAAAAAATAAAAGACAAAAAATCATATCAACTATACTCTCAGGCCACAGTGGAATAAAAACAGAAATCAATACCAAGAAGATCTCTCAAAATCACAAATTACATGGAAATTAAACAAATTGCTCCTGAATGACTTTTAGGTAAACAATGAAATCAAGGCAGAAATAAAATAATTCTTTGAAATAAATAAAAACAGAGATGTAACATACCAAAATCTCAGGGATACAGCAAAAGCAGTGTTAAGAGGAAAGTTCACAGTGCTAAACACCAACCTTAAAATACTAGAAAGATCTCAAAATAATGATCTAACATCTTCCCCGGAGGAACTAGAAAAACAAGAACAAACTAACCCCAAAGCTGAAAGAAGAAAAGAAATACCAAAATCAGAGTGGAATTGAACGAAATTGGACCCAAAAATCCATGCAAGGATCAATGAAACCAAAAGCTGGTTCTTTGAAAGGATAAACAAGATCCATAGATCGTTAATAAAATTAACAAAGAAAAGAGAAGATCCAAATAAGCACAATCGGAAGTGACTAAGGTGACATTATAACCAATTCCACAGAAATGCAAAAGATCCTCAGACTATTATGAACACCTCTATGCACACAAACAAGAAAATCTAGAAGAAACACGTACATTCCTGGAAAGATTCAATCAGGAAGAAATTGAAACACGGAACAGACCAATATTGAATCCTTAGGTTGAATCAGTAATAAAAACCTACCCCAAAAAAGTCTCAGCCTAGATGGATTCACAGCCAAATTCTACCAGAGGTACAAAGAAGAACTGTACCAATTCTATTGAAACTATCACAGAAATTGAGGAGGGATGCCTCTTCCACTCATTGTACAAAGCCAGCATCATCCTAATACCAAAACCTGGCAAAGACACAACAAAAGGAAAAAACTACAGGCCAATATCCCTGATGAAAGCAGATGCAAAATCCTCAACAAAATACTAGCAAACTGAATTCAACAGCACATCAAAAAGTTAATTCACCATGATCAAGCAGGTTTCATTTCTAGGACGCAAAGTTGGTTCAACATATAAAAATCAATAAATGTGATTCACCACATAAACAGAATTAAAAACAAAAGCCACATGATCAACTCAAAAGACTCAGAAAGAGCTTTTGATAAAATCCCTTCATGATCAAAACCCTCAAGAAACTAGGTATTGAAGGAACATATCTCAAAATAAGAGCCATATATGATAAACCCACAGCCAATATCATACCAAACAGGCAAAAACTGGAAGCATGCCCCTCGAGAATTGAAACAAGACAAGGATGTCTACCTTCACCACTCCTATTCAACATAGTACTGGAATGCCAGTCAGAACAATCAGGCAAGAGAAAGAATTTCAAGAAATAAGGCAAATAAGAAAAGAAGTCGCAGGAGAATGGCGTGAACCCGGGAGGCGGAGCTTGCAGTGAGCCGAGATCGCGCCACTGCACTCCAGCCTGGGCGACAGAGCGAGACTCCGTCTCAAAAAAAAAAAAAAAAAAAAAAAAAAAAAAAAAGAAAGAAAAGAAAAGAAGAAGTCAAAATTATCTCTCTTCGCTGATGATAGAGTCTGTATCTTAAAAACCCTAGGCCAGGCACGGTGGCTCACGCCTGTAATCCCAGCACTTTGGGAGGCCGAGGCGGGAGGGTAACTTGAGGTCAGGAGTTCGAGACCAGTCTGGCCAACATGCTAAACCCCGTCTCTACTAAAAATACCAAAATTAGCTGGGAGTGGTGGCTCGTGCCTGTAATCCCAGCTACTTGGGAGGCTGAGACACGAGAATCACTTGAACCCAGGAGGCAAGGTTGCAGTAAGCCGAGATTGCATCACTGTACTCCAGCCTGGGTGACAGAGCAAGAGTCCATCTCAAAACAAACAAACAAAAATCCCTAAAGACTTTGTCAAAAGGCTCCTGGTAACTGACAAATGACTTCAGTAAAGTTTCTGGATACAAAATCAATGTACAAAAATCAGTAGCACTTCTATATACCAATAACATCCAAGCTGAGAGCCAAATCAAGAATGCAATCCAGTTTACAATAGCCGCACAAAAAATAAAACACCTAGGAATACATCTAACCAAGGAGGTGAAAGATCTCTACAAGGAGAACTACAAACACTGCTAAAAGAAATCACCGATGACACAAACAAATGGGAAAACATTCCATGTTCCTGCACTGGAATAATCAGTATTGTTCAAATGTCCAGACTACCCAAAGCACTAAAGATTCAATGCTGTTCCTATCAAACTACCAAGATCATTTTTCACAGAACTAGAAAAAACTACTCTAAAATTCATATGGAACCAAAAAGGAACCTGAATAACCAAAGCAATCCTAAGCAAAAAGAACAAAGCCACGGGCATCACATTACCTGACTTCAAACTATACTGTAAGGCCACATTAACCAAAACAGCATGGTACTGGTACAAAAACAGACACATAGACCAATAGAATAGAAAAGAGAACCCAGAAATAAAGCCATATACCTACAGCCATCTGATCTTTGACAAAGTGGACAAAAATAAGCAATGGAGAAAGAACTCCCTATTTGATACATGGTGCTGGGATAGCTGGCTACCCAAATGCAGAAGAATGAAACTGGACCTGTAACTTTCACCACATAAGAAAACCTAACTCAAGACGAATTAAAGTTCTAAATGTAAGACCTCAAACTATAAGAATCGTAGAAGGAAACCTAAGAAACACCATTTTGGACACAGGCCTTGGGAAAGAATTTATGACTAAGTCCTTAAAAGCATTTGCAGCACAAACAAAAACTGACCAGTGAACCTAATTAAACTAAAGAGCTTCTGCACAGCAAAAGAAACTATCAACAGAGCAAACTGACAACCTACATTGAATGGGAGAATATATCTGCAAACTATGCATCCAACAAAGGTGTAATATCCAGAATCTATAAGGAATTTAAAGAATTCAACAAGCAAAAAAAAAAAAAAACAAATAATCTCATTAAAAAATGGGCAAAATATATGAAGAAACACTTCTCAAAAGAAGACATACAAGCCAAGAAACACGAAAAAACTTGTCATTAATCATCAGAGAAATGCAAATCAAAACCACAATGAGATACTATCTCACACCAGTCATAATGGCTACTATTTTCTTTTTATTATACTTTAAGTTCTAGGGTACATGTGCACAACGTGCAGGTTTGTTACATATGTATACATGTGCCATGTTGGTGTGCTGTGCCCATTAACTTGTCATTTACATTAGGTCTATCTCCTACTGCTATCCCTCCCCCCTCCCCCCACCTCATAATGGCTACTATTAAAAAATTAAAAAACAATGGATGTTTCATGAGGTTGTGGAAAAAACAATGTTCACACACTGTTAGTGGGACTGTAAATTAGTTCAGCCACTGTGGAAAGCAGTTTGGAGATTTCTCAAAGAACTTATGAATAGAACTACCATTTGACCCAGCAATCCCATTACTGTGTATATATCCAAAAGAAAACAAATTGTTCTACCAAAAAGATACCTGCTCCCTCATGTTCACTGCAGCACTATTTATAATAGCAAAGATGTGGAATCAACCTAGGTGCCTATCAGTGGTGGAATAAATAAAATGTGGTACATATACACCAAGGAATACTACATAGTCATACAAAAGAACAAAATCATGTCCTCTGCAGCAACATGGATGCAGCTGGAGGCCATTATCTTAAGCAAATTAATGCAGGAACGAAAAACAAAATACCGCATGTTCTTACTTGTAAGTGGGAGCTAAGTAATGAGTATGCATGAATGCAAAGATGAGAACAGTAGACACTGTGGACTCCAAAAGGGGATGGGAGGGAGGGGGACAAGGGATGAAAACCTAACCATTGGATACCTGGGTAATGGGATCATTCATACCTAATACCTCAGCATCACACAATACACTAAGATAACAAACCTGCACGTTTTCCTGAATCTAAAATAAAAGTTGAAAATAAAATTAAAAGAAAAAAAGAACACTGTATGAACATGGTGGTTTCCTCTTTTTATCTCCCCTTTTCTCCTCATCCATGGCAATTTAAATTTATCAACAAAATACTAAAGTAATTATCTCAAAGGCCACCAGTAACATTCCCCTTCCCAGTCTATATCCTCTTGCCCTCTCTATGGCTCTGCTATGGCTTGAAGGGCTCCCCTCCAAAATTCAGGTGCTGTTAATGTAATAGTATTAAGAGGTGGGACTTTTCAGAGGTGATTAGGCCTTGAGGGCTTCTCTGTCATGAATGAATTTCGATGCTTATAAATAAAGGGGGCTGGACAGAGACAGAAAGAAGTTGGTTCTCTCTTGCCCTTCTGTCTTTGGCCATGTAACGATACACCAAGAATGCCCTCATAAGATGCCAGTGCCTTCCTCTTGGACTTAGCCTCCAGCACTGTGAAGAAATAAATTTCACAATTCATCCTTGAACAACAGGGATTGGGGCACTCACCTCCTGCACAGTTGAAAATCCATATATACCTTTTGACTCCCCCAAAACTTAATTACTAATAGCCTATGAAGCCTTACCAATAACAAACAGTAGATTAACAAATATTTTATATATGTATTATATATTATTACAGTAAAGTAAGCTAGAGAGTAAATGTTACTAAGAAAATCAGCCCAGGTGTGGTGGCTCACGCCTGTAATCCCAACACTTTGGGAGGCCAAGGTGGGTGGATCACCTGAGGTCAGGAGTTCAACACCAGCCTGGCCAACATGGTGAAACTCCGTCTCTACTAAAAATACAAAACCTCATGCCTGTAATCCAAGCTACTGAGAAGGCTGAGGCAGAAGAATCGCTTGAATCCAGGAGGCGGAGGCTGCAGTGAGCTGAGATCGCGCCACTGCACTCCAGCCTGGGTGACAGAGCAATAGACTCCAGCTCAAAAAAAAAAAAAAAAGGAAAAGAAACTGTATTTACTATTCATCAAGCGGGAGTGGATCATCATAAAGGTATTCATCTTGGTAGTCTTCACAATGAGTAGACTGAGGAGGAGGAGTAAAAGAAGGGGTTGTCTTGCTGTCTCAGGATTGGCAGAGGTGGAAGAAAATTCACGTAGAAGTGGACCCACAAACTTCAATCCTGTGTTGTTCAAGAGTCAACTGTATTGTTTCATGTATTTTGTCGTAGCAAAACAAAACAGCCTAAAACAAACCTTATCATTCTTGACAACCTTCTTTTCTCTTGGTTTCCACAGTACTACAGATGGTTTCTGACTTATAATGGTTTGACTTAAAATTTTTCAACTTTATAATGTTGCTAAATTCATACACATTTAGTAGAAACCATACTTCAAATACCCTTACAACCATTCTATTTCTTGCTTTCAGCACAGAATTATTCAATAGATTACGTGAGATACTCAATACTATTATAAAATAGGCTTTGTGTTAGACGACTTTGTCCAGCTATAGGCTAATGTAAGTGTTCTCAGCACATTTAAGGCAGGCTAGGCTAAGCTATGAAGTTTGGTAGCTTAGGTGTATTAAAAGCATTTTTGACCTAAAATACTTTCAACTTAAGATGGGTTTATCCGGACATAATCCCTTGTAAGTTGAGGAACATCTGTACTCTTGTCTGGTTCTCTTATTTTCTAGCTACTTTTACCAATATGTTTCTCTGGTTTTTCTCTTTCTAATCTAGCGATTTTTTATGTTTCTCTAGATTTCATTTCCAGATCTCATCTACTCTGAAATTATGTTCTCTTTCCAAGCAACCCCATTCACTTAGATGATTTTAACTTTTGCCATTATTTTTATGGACTCCCAAATCTCTACCTCTAGCCTCAAATTTTCCTTTGAACTCTAGGGATGAAATTACAAACATCTACAAACCATCTCCTTTACAGGTCCCATAAGTAACTTAAACCCAAGAAAAGACTACAAATAGGAAAGGAGGCACACTTATAGTTTAAAGAATAAGAAAAAGGCTCTGGTATCCATTCTCTTGAAGAAGTCTGCAGGCCTTCTTAACTAACATACGGCAACAGCCTGAGGATTACAGTACCATCCCAAAGTCATCTTTGAACTGAATGAACCATCTGTCACAGAGCAAAGATGCTCTGGTGTACTAAGAAAAGATGGACTTTCAGTCTAGAAACTTATTATTAAAGTAAGCCTACTTTTGATTTAAATTGTGATACTGAAGGTATCAATCTCTTGGGGCCCTGAGTTTCAAATCTGTAAAATAAGATGGTTGGATTAGGTAACCTCTAGATTTCCTTCAAGTCCTGAAATTCCATGGTTTGTCTACAATTGAATTAATTTCCTCTGAATCTGTTTTTCTTCCTACTTTAATTATTGTCATACTCTGATCTTCTGAGTATTTTCTCGAGCCCCACATTCAGCTGTTCCCTGAATCCTGTCAATTTAACCCCTGAAATGTCTCTCAAAGTGAGCACCATTCCCATTACTAAATTTAGTTATCTAAATCAAGTTCTTATCTTTTGGCAAGGCTATTGTAACAGTTTTTCACAATGTCTCCTTGTTCCCAGGATTTCCCATTACCTACTATAAAACTTCTGTAAAAACCTTGTATATGTTACATTGAGCACCACCCTAAAAAAAAAAAAAACCTCAAAATGAATCTGTATAATATGAATTGTAGTAAAAAACACGACATAAAATGTATCAACTTAACCATTTTTAAATGTATAGTTTAGTAGTATTAAGTATATTCACATTACTGTGAAACAGATCTCCAGAAAATGATCATGCTTTAAATGGCCAAAAATAAAACTTAAAATGTATGTATATGGTTATGTGATAGGCACTGAATTACTAGTTGATAAAACATTATCACATAATGTACTTATTTTACTCTTGTGAGAAACAAAGTGAAAGGTTTAAAATAATCTTTTGAAACTTCTTTCAAACAAAAACAACCTTTGGTTAAGCTCTTCCTCTGCTATATAACTAATATCTACTGCAGAGGTTGCAAATTGGTGGCCCTCAAGCCATTTACAGCCTGAAGATATGTTCTGTTTGGCTCATACAGTGTTTTTAAACATTTGAATTAGTTACAAACACCTAAAAACTAGAAGATTCAGATTAAAATCCAGCTTAATGACTTCTGTGAAAAGAATATGAAAGTGAAAAAATCTAGCAACACTAAGCTTGCATTCCCACATGGTAACAATTAGCTGAAGATGGTCAACCATAGTTGCCCACTTTAGACAAAGAATGTGCTCTCAAGTTTGTCACACTCTCTACCATTCTCTAACACTGTAAATGTCTTCTTTCCTTATTTATATGGCTTGCTTAGCCCCTTTGAGTATTTGAGTTTGTACCCCCTGGAACAAATATTGTAAAAAACAGAAGCCAGCCTTAACATTACGTTGGTTCCCTCATGAATTTAATGTTTTGACATGCACTCACTTTATATTTTTATGAGTCTTGTTTTTAACTTTTTTGAAAATTATACTTTGACAACTTTGGAAATACACCAAGATGTTCAAGTATCTACACTTTCCTAAGCCATTTAAAGTGTACACCTCCCAGGCACAGTTTTTCTTAGCTTCTGGAGTGATTATCAAGTGGCAACAGAACTTTACTTTTATTGACTTTCTGTTTCTCTGCTATTTCTGTTTTCCTGACTTTGTATTTTTACTTTTGTTCTGATGCAACAAAACTTCATGGCTGGCTGGGCGCGGTGGCTCATGCCTGTAATCCCAGCGCTTTGGAAGGCCGAGGTGGGTGGATCACGAGGTCAGGAGATCGAGACCATCCTGGCTAACACGGTGAAACCCTGTCTCTACTAAAAAATACAAAAAATTAGCCCGGTGTGGTGGCGGGCACCTGTAGTCCCAGCTACTCGGGAGGCTGAGGCAGGAGAATGGTGTGAACCCGGGAGGCAGAGCTTTCAGTGACCTGAGATCAAGCCACTGTACTCCAGTCTGGGCGACAGAGCGAGACTTCGTCTCAAAAACAAAAAACAAAAAAAAACACACATTAAAACATTCATGGCTGAACACACAACACCCAACACTGGACAGATGAGACAGATTCTTAGCCACGTTTGGTTGTGATTCTGGTTCTGCACAGACAGTAAGTTTATTCCCTATAATGGGATGATAGGTACCTAATCTCTGTTGGATGCAGCATGGCAAAGAATCTGATACACTAGTCTTTTGCCTTGTAGAGGAACACGTCTTGCTTCAACTGGGAAGAAAAGCCCTTTGAGATCTAGATTGCTATGTGTGTCCTGTGTTTTCTTTCACTTGTATATGAAGTTGCACACCTGAAGGTAAGCCTCAATGTGTGACTGTACTTGAGAAAGCCTTTACCCCTTTTTGAGTTTGAAACATTGTCCTACCTCTGGAAAGGGTATTAACAAATTAGATATAAATCTCTTAAAATAAAAGCTGTTTTTAATTGGTTTATAGATGTCGGTAAGACTTAAGAAATCTAACATAAAATGAATATAAGAATTTTCAGGAAATAAAAAACTGAATTTTGAATACTTAAAATGTGGTGGCATTTTTGTTGTTTGCTTGCTTTGCTCACTGCAGAGATACTAAGGGGATATACAGATTAGAAATTTAGGCTCTTCCCTTACAGCCTGCAAATCTGCAGCCCCATGGACTGGAGCCCGTGGGGAGGCAGCCTCATTTTCCATAGAAAACTTATTATCAGAGTTTCATCCCTGGACCTTCACCATTAGTGTCACTGGGACTCATTAGAAATGCTTATTCTCAGTCCAAAACAAAGGCTTATAGACTTTGGGGAAGAATCAGTGTTTTTAGGAGCCTCCAGGTCATTTTGATGCATATTTTAAGAGATTTCATCCTCTTGCTGTGGTTCCTGCGGATGGGTTGCTTTCATTTCTTGTAATTAACATGCATCTCCTCAAACTCGGCAGGATTTTTGCACTGAGATTGCAAAAATGCATTGGTGCAAGTTGGTTTCCCTAATTCTTAAAAAAAAAAAGTACAAAATGTCAAATTTCCTATTTTTTATTAAAGGAGAACTACACTATATTAAATGTGGTATCCTAAAAACCCCAGAGTCTTGCTCTGTCACCCAGGCTCGAGTACAGTGGTGCAATCTCAGCTCACTGCAACCTCCGGCTCCTGGGTCCAAGCAATTCTCCTGCCTCAGCCGCCTGTGTAGCTGGGATTACAGGCACGTGTCACTATGCCTGGCTAATTTTTTGTATTTTTAGTAGAGACAGGATTTCACCATGTTGGCCAGGCTGGTCTTGAACTCCTGACCTCAAATGATCCATCCGCCTCGGCCTCCCGAAGTGCTGGGATTACAGGCGTGAGCCATTTTGCATTTTTATATAAGAATCAAAATTCAAATAATCCAAGTGAATCCTTGAACAAATCAGACTGGTTTGATGAATTTTTGGTTTTAAAACACCTATTTGTCCTTGTCTGAATTTAATTGCCATGGAGTGTGTAATATAAGCAAATGTTTTATTTTTCAAATAAGATTTGGGTTGTTTGCTCATAAAGACGCAAATAACATTTTTGAACTTCTTATATAAGGTCCACTGTTAAGCTAGTATTACTTCCATTTAATGATTAAGAAAAATATAAACTTGAATTACAAAATATAAACTTCAAATTGACACACTTTTAAAAAATTTCAACAGCAATTATGTTCTGTAGTTTGTTAGATTAAACATCATTTCTAATATTCCTAGTTAGCTTCAAGACCCTACACTAACATTGTCATGTTAATCAATGGATAATCTTTGCATATTTGAATTTTTAAGATAGAAATATAAAAACATTGGTCACTGAGTGTGTGTGTGTGTATCTGCTTTTAATTTTTATATGTTATGTAGTGGCTATTTTTGCACTTTAGGAAGATATAGAAAGGATGTATAATATGTATATTATGCACGTTCATGAACTTTACTGGTTTGCTACAACAATTTCATATGACATAATTTCTCAGTTACTTAACTCTGTGAAACAGAAACTAGTTGCTTTGGTTGTTATAATTAACATGAAGATTGAGATAATATTAAAAACAATAGTGGTACAGAAATCAACTGCATATGCAAGATGATGGATATATTTTTGTTTATTAATGGGAAAAGATTAGTTTTGTTCATCAAGTATCTGGGTTTCTTTCAAAATGCGCAAGAGGATAATGAAGGACAAAACCTGGATGAATACTGAAAGCTGTGAAGGTTTGTGGAAAGGAAAATGTATTTGCTTTGAACTATAATAACTGCAAATAACAGTCCGAAAACACACAATGAAATATTAAAATTGCTGAAGTTGGCTCAGTTTTAATGAATTTCTTCATAAGATTAAAAAGGGAAAGTTTCTGAATCTACTAATGTCAAATATTTGTTAATACAAAGCTAGAATTTTGTTTTCTGTGTCAAAATAATGAATTGGTCTTGGAGAATTCTGTCTGATCTTAAAAAGATATAGTAAGAGTTACTCTTCACCCTCTAAATAATCTAAGTAGCAGAGATGATATATTTCACTAGAATAACCTCCTGAACTTTGTGTTGACTCTTGTCATACTCTTAAGTTTGTTTTTAAATAAACAAAAGTTCCTCGCTTCTACCCCGGGCAACACAGGCAGACCCCATCTCTACAACAACAATAAAATTAGCCAGGTGTGGTGGTGCATGCCTGTGGTCCCAGATACACAGGAGGCTTCAGTGGGAGGATTGCCTGAGCCCAGGAGGTCAAGGCTGCAGTAAGCCATGCCTGCATTCCAGCCTGGGTGACAGAGTGAGACCCTGTCTCAAAAAATAAAGAAGAAAAAAAAAGTTCCTCACTTCTCATAGAGCTAAGTTTCTTTTAGAAAAATTGGGTTACCATTTTCTATGTCTATTTAAAACATTATATTGTTGTTTCAATTAATTCATTATTTATTATTCTCAGATGTCTATGCTCCTACGTTAAATCAGTGATTAATTCTTCTCTGATAACTCTTCCAATGTCACTGAGTTCACAGTATTCACTGCGAAATGGATCAGGCTTCTACTGTGGTGTAAGACCTAAAGCTTGATATTAGTGTTGTCTTGTCAGGAGAGCCTATCTGCAAGTTCTCCTCCCTACTCTTATTTATCTCCTATAGATAAAGACCCCTAGCCAAAAACCCTCCTTATCAAACAGAACAGGCACAGTTCCTACTTATCCCCAAGTAGCAGGCTTCAGTTTCCTGCCAGTCTGTAGAATTATTCAAATAAGCCAATCACATTCTCCTGTAGGAACCAGGTGGTACCTTACCCTCTTGATACTACAAAACCTGCCTCCCACTGCCCCTGGTGGGGCATTCTGTTTCGGAGTGCAATTTCCATGTGGCCCATGTAGCGTGCAGTGCCCTCCTCTCCTGAGCTGTGAGTATATGTAACTAATAAACTGCTGTCTGTCTCATCTGTCCAGTGTTGGGTGTTGTGTGTTCAGCCATGCCTATAACCACAGGGTGGGAATCCCTCCTTTACCAATAGAGTAAATAGGAGGTGATTAAAACACAGATAGGTACCAACATGACGATAATCTAATTAGGAAACAGAGGCAAGGAAATTCCACATGGCTCAAACTTGTATGTGTGGTAGCTTAGTGGTTTTGTTCATTGTAGGAGTCCAGATGGTAGTTGGGGGTGAGAAGTCCTAAGAACCAGAGGGCTAGGCAAGGATACCAAGGTTCTCCATAGGCAAAGCCTCTTCTCTCGAAAGTGCTCAAGGCCTACTTCCTTAGTCCAATCAAATCTCTGCTTAAATATCATCTCATCAGAGATACTTCCTTTATAACCTAACTTGAAGCAGCACCTCCTTCCCTATTATTTTCTATTCCCTTATTCTGATGGATTTTTATTTTTAGCATTTCTCTAATATTCAGTATATGTTTGTCTCTTGACATTAGAGTAATCTCCATGAGGGGAAGACTTGTTCATCCCTGTAGCACTACTGCCTAAAGCAGTACCTGACAAAATGGTAGGTGCATAATAAATATCCCTTGAATGCATGATGTTATAAGTCTAGTCCTATGGGCCTGGCCAGCTCTTTGTGTGTGTTGTGTGTGAAGGGAAAGAGAGAAAGGGAGAAAGTAAGGAGTGAAGTATAAGGATTGTCACTTGGGGTGTGTATGTGTGTGGCGGGGGGCAGAGGGAGGTGGTGGGTGGAAATCCAAGACTACAGCTGAAACAGTAGATGCCAAACCTAGCCTGAGGAATTTATTTCAGGATTCAATAGTGGAAAAGGAAAAAAAAAAATAGGGAAGACCAAAGTGTCCTGATTGACTCCGGATCTGACGATGCCCACATTTACACATGGAGGGAATCCATAATCCCTGCTGTGGTGGGGAATAGAAAGGAGAGTTGTGGAATAACGTTCAATAACAAATTACTAAGAAAAATTATTATGAGGTTATAGAATAAAGGAGTCTCTATGCATAAGAAAAGAATGGAAGAAGGGCAAGCAAACTTGTCTCTGAGCATGCCAATGAGAAGAATTTTTTGGGCTAGCTGACAAAAAACGTAGAGAAAAAAACATTTTAGCTATTAAAAAGTTTATGAGGTGTGGTAAATTAGAAAAGGGGAAAAAACCCTAACATGTGATGTTGTTATAAAAATGGATTTGGATAAAGAGAAGTCTGCAAATCAGTCAACAAATTTACCATAGGGGCAGAAGGGAAAATCACAGTATGAAAAAGGAAATGCATACAGGAGAAAGGGGAAAGAATTTTAAAAATAAGAGTCTGTTTGGTTTAATAAACATGTAACTTATCAATTTTTTTTTTTTTTTTTTTTGAGACGGAGTCTCACTCTGCTGCCCAGGCTGGAATGGAGTGGCATGATGTCGGCTCACTGCAACCTCTACTTCCCAGGTTCAAGCGATTCTCCTGCTTTAACCTCCCAAGTAGCTGGGCCTACAAGCACACACCACCATGGCCGGCTAATTTTAGTAGAGACAGGGTTTTGCCATGTTGGCTAGGCTGGTCTCGAACTCCTGACCTCAAGTGATCCACCCACCTTGGCCTCCGAGAGTGCTGGGATTACAGGCGTGAATCACCATGCCCGGCAATTTAATATTTGAAAAGAACACTGTTAAAAGAACTGCAAGCATGATGATATGGAAACACCTTCCAAAATACTAGTTTGAAAAAATGTATGAAATATCAGGCTGAGTTATCTTCAAATATATAAAAACGACCATCTACTAGTGATAGAACAATCTTATAGCTACAGACATTTTTTCACCCAATAAAACCCTAAAAACATTGTCATTTTAATCTTTAAAATAATTATAAATAATTTTGAGAGGTCATGATATACCTAGAACTTAGTGCTTTTAACTAAGTTGTATATAGCAGATGTACAGGGGATGTATGCAGGCTGTATAAAGGGGATGGGCCAGATGATTTACTGAGGTTTCTCATTAGCATGTTACACTGCTGATTCTGGAGGAAGAATATATGTGGGGCATTAACTCAGCCTCATAGTATACCTGGGGAGAGGCGTAGTCTCTGACAACTGAAAGAACACAGCTCGAATAGTTAAAAGTGAGGCATTTCGATTTATGATCTTCATTTAAACCTCCAGGGTTTATCCTTTTCAATTCTTGTAGTCACTTTTTTTTTGAGATGGAGTCTCACTCTGTTGCCCAGGCTGAAGTGCAGAGGTGCGATCTCAGCTCACTGCAGCCTCCGCCTCCTGGGTTCAAGTGGTTCTCCTGCCTCAGCCTTCCGAGTAGCTGGGATTACAGACATGTGCCACCACGCCCGGCTAATTTTTGTATTTTTAGTAGAGAAAGGGTTTCACTATGTTGGCCAGGCTGGTCTTGAACGCCTGACCCCAAGTGATCTGCCCGCCTCAGCCTCCTGAAGTACTGGGATTACAGGCGTGAGCCACCATGCCTGGCCCTTATAGTCACATTTTAAATTGAGTTGTCTGATCTGGCTTATTCCCCCAACGCTGCACCCTCCTCCTCCACAATCCTCCTTGGTCTTCAAAGCTATTGTCCACATAGATTCTATTTTGAACAGGCATAAAATAAAACACACTTGCTTTTAGGGTTTATTTTTACTTTTGTTGAGGTAAAACTTAAATGCAGTAAAATACATTGATCTTAAATGTGTATTTCATTATTTGGTAATGTGATAAATGCATATACCTATATAACAAATACCTAAATCAAGTATAGAACATTTAAGTCATCTCAGACATTTTCCCTGTACTCTCTACCAGATATTTCCCTTTTCTCATAGTCTTTTTATGGCTTTTTATGGCTAGTCTTTTAAATTTTAGTCATTCTAGTAGGCATGAAGTAGTATCTTCTGTGGATATCTTTTAACAAACTAAAGTGTTATAATGCTTTATGTATTTACTTTAAATTTTAGTCATTTTAGTAGGCATGAAGTAGTATCTTCTGTGGATATCTTTTAACAAACTAAAGTGTTATAATGCTTTATGTATTTACTCAAAATAAATGAAAAGGTATGTCCACACAAAGATTTGTACAAGGTTGTTCATAGCAACTTTATTCCTAATAGCCTAAATCTGGAAATAGCCCAGGTGTCCTAATGAAAGTGGCCAAACCAACTATGGCATATTCATACAAGGGAACACTACTAATATATACAATAACATGAATGAATCTTTAAAACACTATGCTAAATGAAAGAAGACTTACACAAGAGTACGTATTGGATGATTCCACTTATATTAAGTTCTAGAAAAGGAAAAGCAAATCTATGGTGAAAAAAAATCTGAGTATGATTACCTCTGGAGATTGGGAAGGGTATTAGAGAATTTTCTGGGGTAATGGTAATATTTTATACAGGTCTCATGAAATTTAACACTTAAGATCTATGCATTCACTGTATGTAAATTTTACCTCAAAAGTTTAAATAAATATTAAACTCTAGTTAGTTATATGCATGCTGAAGTATTTAGGGATGAAGTAAATTAATGTCTGCAATTTACACTTTAAAATACATAAAAAATAAGATAGCTTGATGGATGAACAGAGATTGTTAGATGGACAGAAATGTGATAAAACAAATTTAGCAAAATGCTAACTATAGAATGTAGGTCTTGGGTGTATGGGTGTTCACCGTGATATTCAACTTTTGTGTATATTTGAGTATTTTCAAAATAATACGTTGATATAAATAGAGAGGGAAGAAGAGGATGAGACTAGTGTTAACAAATTGGCTATATCCTTTTCTCTTAAAATGTAAAGTCAACAGATATTATCTAGTCAATAAATCAGGAGACTACTGTGCTTCATTACAAGCCGAGGTTGATTTTTAAAACCCTGTACAGATTGAAACCACAGTAGTAGCTATTGGGTACTATGTTTATTACCTGGGTGACAAAACAATCTGTACACCAAACCCCCATGACATAAAAATCAAAAAGAAACCAATAATAATATACATGCACAAGGCCTGCCCCAGAAAAAAGTGTCATTCAAAAAAACAAAAATCGTAGAGTGAAATTATTGCTAAATAATTGGACAATTAAATTTATTGTGCCCTGCTGTCTACAACTTCTCCTTTAACAGGCCCTCAAAAAACTGAACCAACAAGAACCTTGTCTGATTGAATATAAAGAGCACCTTGGCTGGGCATGGTGGCTCACACCTGTAATCCCTGCACTTCGGGAGGCCAAGGCAGGCAGATCACTAGAGGTCAGGAAGTCGAGAACAGCCTGGCCAACATGGTGAAACCTCATCTCCACTAAAAATACAAAAATTAGCTGACTGTGGTGGCACGCACCTGTAATCAGAGGTTGAGGCAGAATTGCTTGAACTCAGGAGGCGGAGGCGGAGGTTGCAGTGCAGTAAGCAGAGATTGTGCCAATGCACTCCAGCCTGGGCGACAGAGTGAGACTCCATCTCAAAAAAAAGAAAAAAAAAAAAAAAGTATCTTTTCCCACTGCAAAGAGAGTTTGGTAAGGGTTTCCAGTTCTAAACCTGGTTTAAATTTCTAGGAACCTTTATTTGCAGAACTTTAACCTTACCTTTGCCATCTCCCCAATAATGACTCTTAGCTGGCCCTCCTCCAGCAAAATTTCCCTAGTTATATGCAAGATTTTATATATTTCATTTTAATGGGAAAAGAATTCACTGCTTTACTCAGATCTTCCAAGCCTTGCCTCTCCCACCAAAAAATTTAAAGAAAGATAATCATGTACAAAAAGCTAAATTCAGATACATGTAAATCCAGTTCATAACAGTTGTGCCAATTTGGGCACATCTTTTATTTTTGGTGTCAATTTCAGAGGGCTTTAAGTTGTTAACACAAAAATGATATGCGATATCAACTTTTTTACCCTTGAATTCTGTTTTCTCTTACATAAATACTGCCAACTCTTTGTTTTATTCAAGTCTGATAAATAGGGCTTTCCAATTTGGAGGTAATTTTTGCCTTCTGCTATCTGTGTTAAGTCAGTGTTTTATAAGCAACATATTGTTGGATTTTATTTATCAGTCCAAAAGGAAACCATTTATGCTTGTACTATGATGTCTGGCTTTTTATGCTTGTTTTCTCTCTTCATGTTTATCTTTATTCTATGAATAAGGTATTCAGACACCTCATTCTTAATTCTATAATTAGATATTTCAAGAACACTATCAAAACAACTTATAAAATATAATCACTGTTAATAATATAATTACTGTTATAAAATATTTTATCTATTCTAATCTGAAATAAGGTACTTAGTGCTTTCCTCTCTTCCTTTCCCTTTCCCATTCTTTATGAATCTTTCCTCCGTCTTCTCTACTAGGTTCCACTGTTTGGTTTAATATATTAGGTAGTACTGTAATCACTTTTATTGCTACAATAACTTCAGGAAACTACCCAGGGCAGATGTCTTCAAAAAAAGAGCAGGAAGAAGGCAAATGGCAGATGAAATGAGATGTCAATATGGAACTACTCGAGCGTCAGTTGCAAGGGAAAATCCAAGACAACAGATAATACATTTCCATTAAGAGGTGGGTAACCATTACCAGACTTGCAAAGAATGTGGTAAAGACCCTTGTAAACTTTCACTCTCGTACAACAACAAACAGTTTTGGAGAAGGCAAGAGGAGAGTTGGAGGTTATTAGGAGATAATTTTTAGTAAAAGCTATGTGTATGCTGTGGGTCTCAGCACCCTTTTTTTAAATTTTTATTTTTTGAGACGGAGTCTCACTCTGTAGCCCAGGCTGGAGTGCAGTGGCACAATCTCGGCTCACTGCAACCTCTGCCTCCCGGGTTCAAGCAATTCTCCTGCCTCAGCCTCCCGAGTAGCTGGGATTACTGGCGCCCACCACCACGCCCAGCTAACTTTTGTATTTTTAGTAGAGACAGGGTTTCACCATGTTGGCCAGGCTGGTCTCGAACTCCTGACCTCAGGCAATCTGCCCGTCTCAGCCTCCCAAAGTGTGCCCGGCCTAGAAGCTTTAAGAAGACTGCTTGGAGAGCTTAAGATAAGTCTTCAAGAGCCTAGAAGTCATAGAATGCTGGTATTTGACTCAAGCCCAAGAAATCTTAAGAGCACAGAACTTTCTGGTTAGTTGGTCTGATGGCACAGTGAAATGGGTGACTGCACTGGGATTGGCTTGCACTCTCAGAGTTTCTTGTGGTAAAGAAGTTTTCCACAGACCATCAGCTAGAGACTGTGTGAGGTTGTCTTAAATCCCGTCAAAGAGGCTACCCGGAGGCGAGAGGATCATAGCAGAAAAAAGCTGAAAATATACCATGAGATGTCCTGGGAAGAGGGAGTTTTAGTGACCACTTCAAGAGAGATGCATTTGCCTGTATTGAGAAGTGAAGATGAGATAATCCCAGGAACACTGGTGATGGAGGTGGCAGGTTGTTTCTAAAATGGCTTGTGTGATCCCCACTCTTGATATTCATATCCTTACATAAAATCCCCTGTCCTTGAGTATGTGCTGGATCTAGTTACTTACTTATAATGAATGGAACATGGCAAAGGGGATTGGATGCCACTTCTAAGATTAGGTTACAAAAAACTATGACTTCTATATTGCTGACTCTTGCTCTCTTGCTTGTCCGCTCTGAGGAAGCCAGCTGCCATGTTGTCAGTTATTCTATGAAGCCTACATGGCAAGAAGCCTAAGGCAGGCTCTGGCCAACATCTCATGAAGAAATGAGGCCCTTAGGCCAACAACCCATGAAGAACTGAATCCCATCAACAACTACTTAAGTGAGCTTGAAGATGGATCTACTCTCTAGACAAGCCTTAAGATGACTGCCCTTGTGGGAGACCCAGAGCCAGAGGATCCAGGTCGGCCATGCCTGGATTCCAGAAACACAGAAATCGTGACTAAATGTGTATTGTTTTAAGCCATTAAATTTTAGAGCAACTTGTTATACAGCAAAATATAATTAATATGGAGTAGCTCTGAAGAAACTACAAAAAGAGTTCAAGAACAAAGCAGGAGATACCAGACAAGTGTGTTCATGATTCAGATATTCAGTTAGACTTATCGCTCAACTGAACACTACTAGCTGCTTATGGATTTGATATTAACCTATTGTAATTTCCATTCTAAGTCTCATTTAGTTTATACTCAAACTACTGGTTAAAGATGGAAGGCTAAGACAGCAAAAGAACATAGATGTTCAAATAGAAGTTAATGAAGAGCACAAAATAGTAATCCGGTAAATTTATTTCAAAATTTTCTGTATTCTGAAATAATATCTTCTACAGCAACCTGGATGAAACCGAAGGCCATTATTTTAAGTGAAGTAACTCAAGAATAAAAAACCAAATACTACATGTTCTTACTTATGAGTGAGAGCTAAACTATGAGTACGCAAAGGCATACAGAGTGGTATAATGGACACTGGAGATTCAGAAGGGAAGAGGGTGGGAGGGGGGCGAGGGATGAAAAACTACCTGCTGGGTACAATGCATACTCAGGTGATGGTGCACTAAAATCCCAGACTTTACCGCAATATAATGCATCCATGTAACCAACAACCACTTGTACCCCATAAAGATATTGAAAAATAAGTAAATAAATACATTTTTTAAAAACAAAATTATCTTTATTCTATCTGTAAATTGGATTTATCTGATCAATATTAGCATTCTCCATCTGAACCAGCAATGAAAGGAGAAAAAAAATGGTGATGAATATATCCCAAATTAGCATTTTACTTTAAAAAATTAGTTATACTTTAGGATTCTCATTTTGGTGACTATCTTTTCATGTCATATATATACACACATATATTTTACATAAATGGGCTGTATGTCACAGAAGCTACTTTTCTTGGAAATTCTTTTTTTTTTTTTTTAAACAGAGACATTGTTTGTTTGTTAATTGAGTAAGTGGAGGCTTACCGCTAAATCTTCCCCCAGACTTACTCTTCCTCAGGTAATCACTACTTATAACAAAGTATGCTTTTCTCCATGTTCATATACATAATCATATACAAATGTTACACGGGCAGAGTTTTTTTTTTGTGTGTGTGTGTGGAGAACTACTCTCTGTGTGTGTCTCTCTCTCAAACACACACCACCACAAATACACACACAGGAATCATACTTTATAAAATTCTCTGCACCATGAAAAGTCCTTGCAGTCAATTGCCATAAATTTAATTAATTTGTTTTTAATGGCCGCATAATAATACAGCAATTGGATAACCTATAATTTATTTAACCTTTCCCCAGGGATGGGCATTTACCTTGTTTTCAGTGCTTTTCTCCTTAGAAAAAGGCTGCAGTGGCCGGGCGTGGTGGCTCACGCCTGTAATCCCAGCACTTTGGGAGGCTGAGGCGGGCGGATCACCTAAGGTCCGGAGTTCGAGACCAGCCTGACCAACATGGAGAAACCCCGTCTCCAATAAAAATACAAAATTAGCCCGACATGGTGGCACATGCCTGTAATCCCAGCTACTCGGGAGGCTGAGGCAGGAGAACTGATTGACCTGGGAGGCTGAGGTTGCAGTGAGCTGAGATTGTGCCAGTGCACTCTGGCCTGGGCAACAAGAGCGAAACTCTGTCTCAAAAAAAAAAAAAAAAAAAAGGAAAAGGTTGCAGTAAACACACATTTTTATGCACTGGTGCTTCTATTTACATGGGATAGACTTTGAGGAGATTGTTGGATCATAGATTAGAGGTATTTTCCATTTTAGCAGATATTACCAGAACATATTTTTTAAAGGCTATAATAATTTACATTTCAACCAAAGTATGAAAATGACTTCCCTTCCAATCTTTGACAGCATTAGACATTATTGCTCTTTTAAATTTGTATTTCCCTCATTAATGGTGAGGTTAAGCATCTTTTCATAAGTTTACTGGCCATCAAGATTTGCCTTTCAGTGAACTGCCTATTAATATCATTTCTGCATTTCCCTACAGGGTTATTTATTTTTATTTAATTTTTTGAGACAGGGTTTCACTCTGTCGCCCAGGCTGGAGGGCAGTGGTGATCTCAGCACACTGCAACCTCTGCCTGCTGGTTCAAGCAATTCTCGCGCCTCAGCCTCCTGAGTAGCTGGGACTACAGGTGTGCACCACCACTATACCCAGCTAATTTTTGTATGTTTTGGTAGAGATGGGGTTTCACCATTGTTGGCCAGGTTGAACTCCTGACCTCAGATGATCCGCCTACCTTGGCCTCCCAAAACCTGGGATTACAGTATTTTTTAAAAACAACTATTAATGTATAATATACTCATCTGATATGTACAATTTCCACTGCATATTTATTCATTATGTAATGTATCCATTGACGTATTTTCTTCTCGGATTCCAGGATGCCATAGTCTCGTAATATACTTTTTCCCTATCTTACCATCCACTTCTTATGAGTCTCCTTTCATAGCCCCTCTTCTCTTCTCTACCTACCTACACTTACTTACTCCCTTGGTGATTTCATCTGGTTCTATGGTTTTAAATGCCACCTGTATGTTGATGAGTCTCATATTTCTATCTTCAAACTCCAGACCTCTCATATGAGCTTCAGACTCACATATTGGGTGTCTCACTGGCATTTCTAAAATGAACTCTTAACATCTTGTGGCCTAATCTACTTAGCTTTCAAGATTCTCCATGTGAGTAAAGGGCGTCACCATCCACCCAGATGCCCTTACCAGAACCTGGAATTCATTATTGATTTATTCCTCCCCCTCACAGACATATCTCATTCATCACTGTGTCCTTCAATTATACCCCAAAACATGTCACCAAACTAACCACTTCTTTCTACATCCACTGCTACTCTACCCCATCCCTATCTACTCCACTATCATCCAAACTTCTATGAAAGCCTACCAACTGGGCCCTTTGAATCTACCTTCCCCTACTCCACCCCTCCCTTTGCCCCCAACAATCAATTCTTCAGTCCCTGAATATAAATCAGATCATGTAATTCCCCTGCTTAAAACTCTCCTATGACTTTCCATCCTACTTTAAAAACTCTAAACTTGTTACTAAACTATAAGGCCTTACATGATATGGCTTTGTCTACCTACCTGAATTCATCTTCTGTCCTTCTCCCCCAGGTCCTAGCTCGCTCACTCTGCGCCTCATTTGCCTTCTTGCTTTTCCTTGATTATGCTGAGCTCATTCCTACTTTTTCCTCAGAACATCCAACTCTGCTGAAGTGTCACATTTTCACAGAAGTCTTCCTTTATTATACAGAAACACACACATCACATACATGCTAGCCTCTTACTTTGCTTCATCTTTTTCCATACCTTTCCTGGCTACATTAAATTACATATTACTCTGCTTGCTTACTAATTCATATCTCCCCCTCTAAACTAAAATATAAGCTTCATGAAGACAGAAGATGTGTCCTTCTTGTTCACTGTTAAATCCCTGGCACTCAGAACAGTAATCTGGCATACAGTGGGAATTCAATCATTTTTTTTAAAATAATGGGTAAATATTGCTTTATTATTTTTGACACTGATAATTGCAAAGGTACTCTGATTAACTACATTGAAAGCAACCAATGTATAGCTGTAGCTCATTCATATTTAATGCGGCATAATATCCTGTTATGTCAATACACTACAATTTAACTTTTCATCCTCCATCAAAAAGCTTGGGTTCTATGATTCCAGCACTTTGGGAGGCCAATGTGGGATCATTGCTTGAGCCCAGGAGCTCAAGACCAGCCTGGGCAACATAGTGAGACCTCATCTCTACAAAACAAAACAAAAAAATTAGCTGGGTGTGGTGGTGTGTGCCTGTAGTCCTAGCTACTTAGGCACAGAGTCTGCGGTAAGAGGATTGCTTGAGCTTGGGAGCCTGCAGTGAGCCATGATTGTGCCACTATACTCCAGCCTGGGCAACAGAGCTGAACTCTGTCTCAAAAAAAAAAAAAAAAAAGCTTGCTCATTTCCAAATTTTGTTCACCATTATGAATCCTGTTGTTGTAAAATTCTTGTACATATCTTCTGTTATATGTATTTCTCTAGAGTGTACAACTAGGATTAGAGATGCTAAGTCAGAAAGTATGCAAAATCCAACTTTACAACATAAAGTGAAATTGTTTTCCAAAGGGGTTGGACCAGTATATACTTCTTCAGTATTGTATAAGAGTTTCTGTTCACCCATATCCTCTTTAACATATGATACTGGCAAACCTTTTAATTTTTGGCAGTCTCATATTGATCTTACTTTGCATTTCCCGATTACTTATGAGGCAGAGCATCTTTTCATATATTTATAGGCCTTATGTATTTTTTCTATGAAATGGCTGTTCATGTCTTTTGCCCATTTTCCCATTGAGCTTTTGTCTTTTTCTTACTGACTCATTTTGTATACTAAAGCTTTATTGGTTCTATGTATGGTAAGCATCTTCTCCCATTTTGTGGCTTATCTTTTCAATTTCATTATAGAGTTTTTCAGTGAACAAAAGCACTTGATTTTAATGTACACAATTTTATTAATCTTTCCTGTTATGGCTAGTTCTTTCTATGTCTTGTCAGGAAATTCTTCCTTACTCCAGGGACACAATGATATTTTCCCACAGGCCCTGAAAGCCTTCCACACTTTTATCTATGTAGAAACGATTTTTGTACATGGTGTGAATTAAGGATCTAATTTCATATGGATACTATGAAAGTTAACCCATATGGATATTTAACCTATATGGATAACTAATCATATCAGTGTTTTTAAAAAAGTTTCTCCTTTCCTCCCCTTGATCTTGAATTCCATATCAAGAATTCCATCTATCTGTGGGCCGGTTTCTGTATTCACTTTCTATTCTGCTGGTTAATACATCTCTCCCTGAGCCAAAAGCGGTCTTAATTTACTGTTAATTACTATTTGAACAATTCTGTGTGTTGATAACTGATAGGACAAGTCTCACCACCTTATTCTCCTTGTTCAGAAATGTCTTGTTTTGGCTGTCTTTATACATGCATTTGAAAGAACAGAAATAAAAAGAAAACACAATTAAACACGCATTTATAAAATCAGCAAGGACTAAAAGATACCTAAGAATATACCTAAAATATATGTACAGAAAATTACAAAACAATTTTAAAACATTTAAGAAGGCCTAAATAAATATAAAAATAAGCCACAGTCATGGATTAGAAGCCTCAATATTCTAAGATGTCAATTCTTCCCATACTAATCCAAAGATATAATCCAAATTCCAACAGTTAATTGTGAATCTCAACAAGCTAATTCTGTTTGTCCCAATTTTTTATTGGAAACATATAAAATTGTAAGTTTAAGACTTTAACTAAAGTATGTCTTGGAATCTAACATGTTATAAACCTTGTCAATTTCCAACTATGTCTGTTATTAAGGTGAGGAAAACTTTCTTTTATTATACTCTGGATATGTTCCTCAAAGTCTGTCATTTATTTGGCTAACTTATTTTCAGTAACATTGATTCTTCTGCTTGTTATCTTTGGATGTATATCCTAGACTGATACCAGACAAAAGGCAAAAATCACCGAATCCAAGCACAAGCATGATAATCCATCAAATGTCTCAAAAACTTAACCTATGGTAGCATTAATAACATTGTAAGGATTTTGAACCATCTGTTAAATGCATCCTATTGTAACTTATCTCTCCTTTTTTTTTTTTTTTTTTTTTTTGAGACAGAGTTTCGCTCTTGTCACCCAGGCTGGAATGCAATAGTGCAATCCCAGCTCACTGCAACCCCTGTCTCCCAGGTTCAAGCAATTCTCCTGCCTCAGCCTCCCAAGTAGCTGGGGTTAGAGATGCCTGCCACCACGCCTGGCTAATTTTTTGTATTTTTGTAGAGGTGGGGTTTCACCATGTTGGCCAGGCTGGTCTCGAACTCCTGACCTCAGGTGATCCACCTGCCTCGGCCTCCCAAAGTGCTGGGATTACAGGCATGAGCCACAGTGCCTGACCTGTAACTCACCTCTTTCTAAGGATACAGATATGAAGACAGTTTTGACTTTCTGCCAAAAGTTCCAATCTAAAAATAAAAAACAAAACAAAACAAATTTTGATAGACATGCACTCCTGACAGGGTTGCTAAACAAACATTTAATTATGGAAAGCAAACAGTAGGAAGAAAATACCAATATATGCCACAGTTAAGAGAGCAGACATGGTGAGTACTTTGATTAGGAAGCTAACATTAATTTTTGATGAGTCAATGTAGTTCCCAATAAAATAAGAAAAAAGGCACGATGAATGAGCTAATTGTAATATTTCCATAAGTACAGGTTAAGACTTGGTTGTGGGAACATAAATGTCCAGAAAAGACAGCATTTTTTGGATAATTTTTTCAGAAATAATCTCCTTCAGTTTATGTCTCAAGGATGAAATTCATCACAGGAAAATTTGAAAAATCCTAGGCATAAAACAAAATCTTAAGTTTTGGGTTTTTTGAGTCTTAAGATATGCCTGTTTTAAAAACAAATAAAAGTGGTAGCACAACCAATCCATCTTGACCACCCTATATGTACAACATCTGATTCAATCATTTAAATAATCAAACACAGGCATTTTCTGAACACTATCTTACTTTCTTTGTTCTCAATTCTAACCAATTGCCTCATTTAAGGACAGGCCTGGGCAAACTTCTGAGGTTTGTCTTTAGTCTTAGCTCTTTATCTTCCAGTAACTTCCTCTCCTGTTCTATTCCATGTAACGCCATGTCACCACAGGACCTTACTTCATTGCTCCTGCCTTTACCACATATGGACTTCCATAAAAACTCACTGTCATGGGACATCTCTTCCAGAGTCCCGTTCTCTGCTTATTTGAATAAATTACAATAAGCACAAAAATCAAGAGTAAAAAAAAGCAATCCGTGCAATGGGAGAAAATTATTTGCAAATCATAGATCTCCTAAGAAGCTAACAACCAGAACATATGATTAAGTCCTACAACTCAACAACAACCACCATTTTTTGCTGATTAAAAAATGGGTGAAGGACAATAGACATTATTCCAAAGAAGACATACAAATGGCCAATAAGCACACGAAAAGATGCCCAACATTACTGCTCATTAAGGAAGTGCAAGTCAAAACCATAAGATACCACCTCACACCCATTAGGATTCCTACTTTGAAAAAAAACAGAAAATAAGCATCGGCGAGGAAGTAAAGAAATTGGAACCCTTGTGCATTGTTGGTGAGAATGTAAAATGGTGCAGTCCCTATGGAAAACAGTACGGTGTTTCCTCAAAATATTACAAATACAATTACCATATTGAAGTAGAAGGCAGGGCTTAGACCCTGGACCAGATTGAAGACTAGCAGAAACAGGAAAAATATGAAAGCAACTCTCCGTAGGACACACCTACCAGTGCCATGTCAATTTACCGTTGCCAGCACAACATCTGGAAGTTATTGCCCCTTTCCATGGCAAGGACACAATGACCCAGAAGTTACAATCCTTTTTCTAGGAATTTCTGCATAATCTGTCCCTTAATTTCCATGTAATTAAAAGTGGATATAAACATGACTGCAGAACTGCCCCTGAACTGCTACTCTGGGTACACTGCCTACAGGGTAGCCTATAGTGTAGCTGCACTCTGCATGGGGCAGTACCTGTGCTGCTGCTGCTATACGCTGCCACGTTAATAAGAGTTGCTGACTCACACCACCACCACCCCACCCATGAATTCTTTCCTGGGCAAAGCCAAGAACCCTCCCAAGCTAAGCCCCAATTTGGGGGCTCACCTGTCCTGCATCAATATGAACAAGGAATTCAACTTCTGGCTACCTACTCCAAAGAACAGAATGTAGGGTCTTTAAGAGATAGTTGTACATTCATGTTCATAACAGCATCATTCACAATAACCAAAAGGTGAAAAAAACTCAGGTATCCATCAGTGGATGAATAAACAAAATGTTTTACATATACACAATGGGATGTTATTCAGTCTCAAAAAGGAAGAAAATTTGGACATACATGAGCCTCAAGGATATTATGCTAAGTGAAATAAGCCAGTCACAAAAAAACACATACCGTATAATTCCATCTGTATGAGGTACCCAGAGTAGCCCACTCATAGAGACACAAAGTGGAGAGGTGATTGCCAGGGACTAGGAGGCAGGGAATGTAGAGTTATTTTTTAATGGGTATAGTTTGTTTTGCAAGATGAAAAGAGTTCTGGAGATAGAGAGTGGTGATGGTTACAAAACAATGTACTTAATATTACATAAACTATACACTTAAAATGATTATTAAGATGGTATAAATTACATTCTATGTATTTTTACAATTAAAATTTTTTTTTAATTACAATGAGCACATAAAAAGCTTATTCCAAGTCTGGTTTTCACCTTTTCTTTACCTAAAATAAATTCAGGGTTTCTGCCTAATTGTCAAAGTGGTTAGTGTGAATTCCTTATCTCCTTTCACTTCCTCCTGGCATCCTATGGAGATGGGTGCAGACGGCAATGAATTTTAGTGCAGCTCCCTTCCACTTACTTGCTCTGTAACTGAGCAAGTCAGTTGGTAAAAGAGATTAATGCATTTTAGCTTTCTCATCCCTTCGAAAACAACACTGAAAATCATCTTAAATCTTATGTCTCAGAAGGTACTATCATTTAAATTTTCATTAAAGACTTTGAAATTGCCTGCAGGGAAGGAAAAAGCAATAGAACAAAATGTAAAGGAGGGCTCACTCAGGATGCAGTGTTATCTCTTTCTAATGGTAAGACTATATAGTTGTATTACAAATAATGTAGACAGTTCCAAAAACTACATTTCAATATCGTATGACAAAAAAAGCTGAAACCCAGTCTTTTTGTAATAAATTGCCAATTAAAAATGTCTCCATGTATTCTCTTTTCCACGCTCTTTCTTAGTCAGTTTTGGCTCATTCTTGTTCATTTAGTCTAATTGCAAAGATAGAAAAATCCTGTCATCATGTTTCAGACAAATATTGGGCAAAAAACTTGAGGATTGTATTTGTGACTAATTGTATAACAGGTTATTTTAGTTTCTGTTATGTGGAAAGTGTAAAACATTCCAACAAAGGTTTTTTAATGTAGATTTTTTTTTGCACCCATGCTGTTGATTGCTAAATGTAATAGTCTGATCATGATACTGAATAAATGTGTCTTTTTAAAAAAATAAAAGAAAAATATTGTCATCGAGATCTACATATATTGCACTTGTATTCCTCTATGTACATGTTTCTGTTCCTTAATCTATCTCAAGCTCTTTAATGTTAAAATCATGTCTTATTAATTTTTATAATGCTAAGTCTATCACAGTTACTAACCCAGAAGAGATACTCAATAAACACCTAATGAGATTATAATGGTAGAACATTAATGTTACCCAATTCACGTAGTTCTACCTTCACATGGAAATAACTGAAAATTTAAAAAGTAAAAGTTTCAATGACAGAAATTAAGAATGTTATATGCTTAAATGCTGAAAACCAGGTTCTTACAAAATTTGGCAAAGAATGAAAAAAGGGAAAAAAATCTCCTAGGAATGGTTAAAAAAATTAAGTTACATATACTTATATCTTAAAACAAAACAGAAAAGTTTTGAGTAAAATTCTGGATAAAGATGTATTAGTGAAATAAAAGCAAAAATGAAAACAGGTTACAAAACTAATATCCAACGAAGTACTATAACTTATGTGCTAGAAAGTATGAAATAGCAGATCACTATATTTTGACTCCATCCTGAAGTTACAAGTTATACACATTTATGTGCCAAATAAAGCCCTGACATTTATTAAATAAACGGTCAAAAAAAGGGACAGATATGTAGAAATATAATAGATATGTTAGATTTATATACCTCTTCATTTTGGAGAGAGTAGTTGACAAAAAATAAACATTAAGAATTTTAAAAAATATATTAGTAAATATCAATATATTTATATTTGTCCATTATATTTATTGACTTATTTATTAAGTCAATATACTTATTGACTCATTTATTAAGTCAATATACTTATTGACTCCTAAAGAAGCTTTCTTTTCAGGAATACAAAAACCATTTTTTAAAAGTTGATCACATATGAAAAGAACACTAAATGAATTAAAATAGTTAAAAAGGATACATAATCTGACTACAAGATAACCATATTAAAAAACAATAAAGCATTACATACAAACTCTTTAGCCAGTTATAATTCCTAAAATTCTCTCCTAAATATCTCTTGGGCCAACTCAGAAATGAAAATCACAAAACCTATTTTGAAAATGACTATAAAACACCAATTATTCAAATCTACATCATGAAGCCAAATATGACCTGAGGAAAACTAGCTTTAAAAGTTTTCATTTTCAAAAAGATTTCAAAAAAATTAAATAAGACTTTATTTCATTAAGTTTGAAATAGAAGAAAAGAAAAATATACTTGGGGAAAGGTAGTGAAGATGAGATCAGAAATTAATGATTTAGAGAAAAAAATAGAATTGATTAACAAAAAAGGGGGAAACAAAAATCCAAGAGGATTAGAGAAGGTTAGAGAGAGATGATTTTCATTTATAAGCAAAAGATAGGAAGGTGCAGTTAAAGCCTGTTGGCATCTATTTTCTCTATGAAGTATGAAGGTAAAACAATTTGCTGAAAATGAGGGGGAAAGGCTGGAAGAGAATAGTAAATGTATCTACTAACATCTGAGGAAGATGTACAAGGAGCTGACCTAGGGCATGCCCACTCTTGTTAAGCTGCACTACTTTTGTCATTTGCTTTTACAATATAAAAATAAGGGACACATTTGTTCTGGGTTACCTGATCCTTTGTAGTTAAATAAATCTTTATCCCAGGAGTGTACTCAAAACGAAGAATGGAGACCATGATATTTCATAACTCTACCAAAGGCTTTGTCCTTCCCCTGACATCACACATAGCATAAGATAGGGTCAGTGCTGAGCTGGAGAACAGCCAGAGTTCTTGAACACCTGGCATATCATAAAATTTAATCTAATCTTATTTCTTTTACTTCAAAATATTTCCATTTATAATAGTATAGTGGGTCTGTTTCTAATAACATTTTACATATTTTATGTGAGTCAGTGAGCCAGATGTAAGACATAAAACTGTGCTTACAGTAACTTTTCAGAAATGTTTCTTTTAAAAAATTGAAGAATGCCTTCCTATCATCAATACCAGGTTCTCTCTACTCAGATTGCTATATCTCACAGTAGCAAGGCAATCTCTTTTTGATAGGACAAAATAATTAAAAAGGAAATACAAAACCATTAGAAACATGTTAATCGCAAAAACTTTACATCCACTTTAAAGGGTACCACAAACCTGCCCTATCTTCAAGTTTCTGAACTTCACAAAAGCTCATCATCTTCAGTCATAGCTTGATACCTCCACAGTCTAGTCCCACAAACCAGGAAAACTCCACAGCCTCAATATCATCAGCCACGGAACACTAGTTTGTCAAACACTGTATATAACTCGGTAGTCAGCAAACGTGTGGAACTTACTACCTTTAAGAAGTCAATTATAGGCCGGGCACGGTGGCTCACGCCTGTAATCCCAGCACTTTGGGAGTTCGAGACCAGCCTGCCCAACATGGCAAAACCCCATCTCTACTAAACATCTAAAAAATTAGCCGGGTGTGGTGGTGTGCGCCTGTAATCCCAGCTAATTGGGAGGCTGAGGCAGGAGAACCTGGGGGCGGCGGGGAGGGGGTGATGAGGAGGGTGGTAGAGCTTGCAGTGAGCCAAGAACACACTACTGCACTCCAGCCTGGGGTGACAGAGAGAGACTCCGTCTCAAAAAAAAAAAAAAAAAAAAGAAGCCAATTAATTATATATATAGTTGTTGATACATTTGCAGTTGAAAGATTAAAAGGAAGATGAGAATTAAAATCTATATAACTAACCTTTTGGGATCAGGGGACATATTGGCCTGGATAGTTCAATGACCTAATACACTATTGCTTTAATTTATGTTCGTGTGACCTTCATGTAAGACTGTGGCTACAGCAGAATAAAAAGCTCAGGACTGTTAACAAATCATCCTCTCAAAAATCCAACTTCTGTTCTATATAAACGCATACAACTCACAGAGATTACTTTCCCTTTGGCCTACTGACCAGACCAGTGTTTTTCAAACTGTAGGTAATGAAACTCATTTAGCAGGTTGCAACCTGACTTTACATAAAATGAAATATAAAAATATCAGAATGTATCACATATAGTAAGTACAACTTGAAAATTTTTTTGTTATAGGTGCATCTTAGTCCATTTTGGGTTGCTGTAACAGAATAAATGAGGCTGGGTAATTTATAAAGAAAACAGGCTTTATTTAGCTCATGGTTCTGCAGGCTGGAAAGTATAAGCATGGTACCAGCATCTGCTCAGCTTCTGGTAAGGGCCACGTGCTAACTCAAAACATGGCAAAGAAGGTCAAAGGGAAAGTGGACACGTGAAAAGCAACCAAACAGGAGGAAGAAACTTGCTTTATAACTCACTCTTGCAAGAACTAATCTATTCTCAGAGAACTAATCTAGTCTCCAGAGAGGGAGAACTCACTACCACAGGACCAGCAACAGTACCCAAACACCTCTCGCTAGAACCCACCTCCCAACACCACCACACTGGGGATAAAATTTCAACATGAGTTTTGGAGGGGACAAACGGATCATATAAAAATCTCAGCAGTGTGTGTGTGCATGCATGTGCACGTACTGGGATGGGAATTAATATTTATTTCTCACTGTAGGTTACAGTCAAAAAACCTGAAAGCCGTTAGACTGCAATCAATCAGCAACAACAACTCATTTCCAAAGTCTAAATATTTTTTTCAAAATTATTGACTTCATCATCATGTAGTAGTCCAGGGAAGGAGATAAGAGAAGTTATAACTTGTTTTAAATTAGTTGGTTTCATTTGGAACATCAAATAGTGGTCTAGAGGGAATTTTCAATCCATTCAACATATGGTAACTCTAAAAGCATTAACTGAGAATTTATACTACTACTCCCTCTGAACAAGCATTTCCTCCAAGATCAAACATGTTATTAATAATAAAGTACTACTTCAGTGTCAAAGGAAAAGGAAATAGAGATCTGAAGTTGAGTTTATTTTCTGACCTGTCTACATCATAAAAAATCCTTAATCTTCTGTGAAACTCATTTTTATATGTGCTAACCACTACTGAAACTATCACTTAAAACCACTCTCATCTCGTATTTTGCAATAGAAACTGAGAAGTTATTACTATGTGATCAGAAATTTTCCAGTCCCCATACAGGCAACCTGGCAGCTACCACTGACTCCCCTACACTGACACCTCTACTTCTGGGTAGCTGTATAGACTCTATATTCAGACTTAGAGAATCTATTCAGAATATGAGTTTCAATGATCAAATGAGAAGAATAGTTTATTCTTAGACCCTTTTTGTATGTTAATGTGGTCCAGTTTATCTTGTCCCCAAATCCTGAAGCTCTGTGGAACTTCCAGAAATGGCCTATCACAAGCCAGGTGCAGGGGCTCACACCTGTAATCCCAGCACTTTGGGAGGCCGAGGCGGGTGGATCACGAGGTCAGGAGTTCAAGATCAGCCTGGCCTAGATAGTAAAACCCAGTCTCTACTAAAAATACAAAAAAAAAATTAGCCGGGCATGGTGGTGGGCACCTGTAATCTCAGCTACTCAGGAGACTGAGGCAGAGAATTGCTTAAACTCAGGAGGCAGAGGATGCAGTGAGCCGAGATCGCCCCACTGCACTCCAGCCTGGGCGACAAAGCGAAACTCCATCTCAAAAAAAAAAAAAAAAAGGCCAGGTGTGGTGGCTTACACCTGTAATCCCAGCACTTTGAGAGGCCGAGGCAGGCAGATCACGAGGTCAGGAGATTGAGACCATCCTGGCTAACACAGTGAAACCCCATCTCTACTAAAAAAATACAAAAAAATCAGCCCAGCGTGGTGGTGGGCACCTGTAGTCCTAGCTACTCGGGAGGCTGAGGCAGGAACCCGGGAGGCGGAGCTTGCAGTGAGCGGAGATCCCGCCACTGCACTCCAGCCTTCATGACAGAGCAAGACTCCATCTCAAAAAAAAAAAAGAAAGAAAAAAAAGAAATGGCCTATCACACTCAGAAATCAAGATGGGTAACAATGGGAAGTCCCCAAATTCCCAGAGTCTAGAGCCAACTCACTATTATAAAGCCACAAAGCAGCTGCTGAAAAACATACCTTCCAAACCACAGAAGCATTTACTGAGACTTTACTACGTTCCCTGCATTGTATAAGTAAGAAGCTTTGTGTTCTTGGGAGATAATTATTTAGTAACTTAATTGGAACTTAATTAGCAAATAGTTCTTTCATATACATTTTAACATTTGATCCTTAGGAAAAAGAAGGGAAAGAGTAAGAATTATCATCCATCCTATTTTACAAAGAGGTTCACAATAAAAAAGATGCCCAGCCTAACAAACCAAGATAGTAGTGGAATGAAGTACTTGTCTTTTAACCCCTGGTCTGATTCTCTTTCTCTTCATTGCAGGACTTCCTCAGAAATCTGGAGGATGTCATTCTGAAGGCTTGTGCTCACCAATCATTAGATTACTTTATTCTTTTTTTTTTTTTTTTTTTCACTTCTGTGTGGCTCTCTGTGACCATACAGATGGTTATTTACCAGACTAAATGTGGTAAATTCTTATCTAGGTAAAAAGAAGACAGAAAAAAATAATTTATAATCTCTATCCTCTATTTCAATGAGGGTACTTTTATGCAGGAGAAATTAATATTTGTAACATGAAGGTCAACCCATTCCCCCTTTTACATAGTTGCCAATAGTTTAAATACACCATATGAGCAAATTATTTTACGTATTAGGACCACTATTGACCTTTAAAGATCCTTCATAGTCAGTACTTCTACTCTACCTAGAGTGAATGACTAGTTTTTTTTTTTAAAGTTCTAATGAGTTGCAAACAGACATGTTTATAAAATAAAAATAAATTATGAGAAAAATAAAGACATACAAAATGTAAGCCTCAATTATTAGATTCACAAAGCTACTCCATCAAACGGCTCTAAAAATTTCTAAACTCTTATTTCAATTTCTGTACCTATTTTGTCACTGACAAGTAACATTCACAGGACATGCTTTCAGTAGCACTGCAAGTGATTAGAACACCTTTTTGTAGTGGATGAATAACTACATCAAGTGGGATGGATTCTGATCTAACATCTGAGACTTTTGAAACAGAAAGCTTTCTCCAATAAATAAATATATTCGGGCTAGTCTCCTACTATATTTATTATACTTACAAGCCTATAATACTTTTCTAATGCAAACAGGCTTTTCAATGAAGTTGTACATAATTTTAAACCATCAGTCATTTCCCAAAAGAATCAAATACAATCTCTAATAGTAGAAAACTGACTTCCGAGAATTAATATTATTTTCCAAATCATGGAGGAACAGTAGTCATTAGAGAATTCCAAAGGGGATGTGCCAGGAATAGAGACTCATCTGGTTGAAACGGGAGCATCGGAAAATGAACATATTGGTATCAAAAGTTTAAAGTTCCTATGAGCTCCCAGATTAAGTGGGAGAAAATGAGACAATTTGCCAAATCCTTGGCAAAGTGAAAGTAGTCCCTGGGAAAAAGACTGAGTGAGCTTGTGCCAGGACTGAACAACTGATGTACTTCTTAGGCCAAAGTAATGAAGATTATAAACACCTTACTTTATGTTGAGATTAAAAAGAACTTAAGTCCCAAATGATTCTCTGAAAATAATGTGGCCTGGTCTCCAGAAATAAATTTATCACCTTCTTAGTAGATCATTGTCAAATGCAAAAAACCTGAAAGTGCTATGGATCAGAAAAGGAAGATTCCCAACAAATATTTATATTAATAAAGGGTATGGAAACACTTCATAATCATGTTTTAGAATTGCTGCAAATTTAATCTATTGCTAGAGATATGAAAAAACTATACCCCTGTGCCTTACATACAGTAGGTGCTCAACAAAAGTTCAGTAAGAGCTCAGCTCTTGAAGCTATATAAATAGGAAGGTCAAATGCTTTATTCTTATGCTTTACAAAGTGAGAGGTTAAAGAAAGCTAGATCAAAAATATGATAAGCAGTGATTTAATATTAAAGGAAGAGAAAGACACTGATGCAGGTAAACAAACCAGACAGGCTGAAACCAGAACTCAAAGAAAGTCTAAAGAGAATGCTCTAAAGTAGAAAATGAAGTTTCTATAATAAGTCAAAAGGGAATAGGAAGATGCAGCTTGGTAGGAGTGAGGACTCGAAGGAAAAAAAACAACTCACTGAAAGCTAAAAATAGTGAAATTTAATCCATGTAGAAGTATTAGTTCTCCTTTCTCCCTAACTCATATAAAATGTGTTTTTTAAATTGAGGTATAACTTTCATACAGTATAGTGCACAAATCTTAAATGTACAGCTTGATACATTTTTACATATGTACACATCCATGTAACACCATCCAGATCAAGACAGGGAACATTTCCAGTGCCTTCTCCTATTCAATAACTCCTTTCTACCCACTACAAACCAGTGACCACTGTATCAGTAATTTATTCCTTTTTATTGTCAAATAGTACTCCACTATGTGAATATACTACAAATTTGTTTACTCATTCTCCTGCTGATGGACATTTGGGTTGTTTCCTGTTCTATCATGAAGAAAGTTGTTATGTATGAGCATTCTTGTACAGTATTTTGGTGAATATAAACACTCATTTCTCTTGGGTATATGCCTAGAAGAGACTGCTAGGTCACAAGGTAAGCATATGTAGATTAAGTCAGTTTTCTTAAGTAACTATCAATACACTCTACTAGCAATATTTGATAATTCTCATATAAAGTTTTTAAGTGTAAAAAAGTGCTTTAGTTAAAGCACAATAATTTTGAGGCTTTTCGTTTACATTGTTTTCTGACCTTTTAGAGTAGGGGGTAACATAAGCAGAGTGCTCACATCTCAGCGGAAGGTTTGGGTGGGGTATGGGAAGAAAACAGAATTTTGATTTCAGTTTCTTACTCTTTTAGCTAAAAAGTAAATTTTACTAGTATTTTATATGCAAGTTGACACTATTAATAGTATTCTTATTCAGATGGTTATGTTTATTCACGTTGAGTATACTGTGATTTACTGCCATTTGGTGTGTGCCCGGTTGAGCAGGATTATGGAATATCTACTTCTAACTGAACTAGCTCTCACCAAATGAACAGGTGGCTAAAAAAAAGAAAGATTCCTACACAAAAATAATATTAGTAATGTAGATGCAAGCAAACAACAAGGTAAATGTCTAAGCTGACACTTCTATTCTAGAAAATCTCTTCGGAAGTTAAGAACAATGACCATCCATCTAGTCAAATCTCACAAGAAGCAGGCAGAAAATATTCCAAAAATTAAGACTTTAAAAAATATGAACTTAACCTATAAGTAATAATAAGTATTATTACTGTTAACGATATTGTGCAATGAAAATTTTAAAACATATTGTTTTCATCATGTCATCCCTTTTAGTTTCTTTTTGTGTTTATTTTATGCTGTATATAGTAGTAACAGAAAGCACATGTATATATAAAGAAAATTTAGATATATTAGTGATGTATGCTCAAATTATTTTACCAACAGGGTACACAAACAAAAGCGATCAGAGACTCGTTTTAGCCTCAGTACTTTTTAACATTAAGCTAGCTAATCCATAACATAGATGAACTTCTAATTTTTAAAGCCACACAAAATTAGGCATACTAGATGAGAAACAGCCAGCTGCTATTTAATGTTAGAATAATACATCTGAACAATGGGGGAGAAGGAAGGAGGAGGACAGGAATCTACCAGAAAGAGGCATGAGAGTACTTTCGTAGGCACTGTTCTATACCTTGGTAGGTATTATGTCAATGTATTTATGTATTTATATTATATATATGTATCACATATACTTATATATATCAGACATATATCATATAGAGAGCTATATTTATATTATACCAATGTATACATTTGTCAAACTCACCGAATGGTACAGTTAAGGTAAGTACATTCCATTCCATGTAAATTTTACCTCAAAAGAGAAAAGGATCCATTCAAAGTATTAACCACTAGGTTAATGGCATGCATGTGTCTAGGAGTAAATTATGGCGATGTGTGCAACTTACCTTGAAATGCATTAAAATAAGAGGAACTATTATGTAGATAGAGGGAGGATATATGAACAGATGCATGAAAGAGCAAGTAGAATGAAATTTAATTGTAGAATCTAGGTGTAGATAAATGGGTCTTCACAGTTCAATTTTTTAAACTTATCTATATATTCGAAATTTTTCAGGATAAAATATTGGAAAAATAAATCTGAGTTGAAAGTTGACAATAATTTAAAATAGTGTAGTGATACAAAGGAAAGTTAGAAATTCAAAAAGGAAAAAGGTAGGAACATACAAGTACCATCACTTGGTGCTTTTAGATACTCTGTATTTGTGAGGTGAGAATTATCTTTATTTTACAGACGAGTAAACAGAAACTTAGAAAGATTACAGAACATGCACAAGGTCACAGTGTGAAGCCCAGCCAAGAGCTGAATCCAACCTGTAGGAATTCTGAATCCTCTTGACCTACATTCCTCACAAAGGGCTGCCTAGGACCAAACATCTTCCCTAGAGCAAGGAAGTTGCTTCTCCATTCCTGTATGAACCAGCTCTAATACAAAGTGCCTTCCTACAACATGTACTCTGAAATCTGTTTCTTCCTGGTTTCCCTCCTAAGTTTGAGTCCTTGGCGCCCCACAGTATCTAATGCCCACATGAATGGCCTTCGTATCAAGTGATAATATTTGAAACTTCAATAAGCAAGACTTTTTTTCCCAGTTAGCATTTTATAACATTATCATCTACACAGCTATACCTAGGTGTAAGATGGGAATAATGCCTCATAGAATTGGGATGAAAAAAATGAAAACATATGTGAAGTATACGCACTGTAAAAAAGGGGACTCAAATCTTTTTCTAACCTTTACCTTTGGAAATTGCAGCATGCCACTAACGAGAAAATAAAACTTCTTTTTTTGAGTCTTAGGTTGTTTCTTGAGGAGCTCGTTAAATGTGAATAGATACAGATTTTTCTTTCTTGTACCTATTTTATCTAAAAACTTAATTTTGTTTCCTCATTTTATTTTCCATTTTGCCTTATTTGGAATTATCACTTCCAGGAATTTTATGTACAATTAGATATACAACTAGGACCACTTCCGTAGGATTTTTCTGTTTCACAAATTACTACAGGTGGCCAACCTGTACAGGCAACATATTAATGAAATTTTAAGTCTATTTTCTTTTTGACTATCAGAAGATATTTTTCAAAGGGAAGATTTTAAAAAGCCATTATGGTACTAGGAAATGACCAACTAGTAACGGTAACCTTTAATTGGCTTTGACTGTGTTTATACACATATGGCCCTAAAGCTATACATTTCTTACTTGGCAAACAGATTCGGGGATTTTCTGAAGTCACAAATATATTCAGGGACTCCTAAAGTCACAAATCTTGCCTCTCTAAGCAATACTGTATTACAGCATAAAAAATAACCAGTTATTCTACCTTAAAAACTTTGCCTTATCTTAAGGACAATCTACAGTTCAGATGCGAAGCTATTTTCAGTCTACTGGAACCTGAATAAGACTGTTTTTTCCTCTTGATATCTGAGGTTGTTAGTGTTGGAAAGGATCCTAGAGATGATTTTATAGTTGCAGCAATGGATATGCAGACAGTTGAAATGATTAGTCCATAACAGAGCCTGAACCAGACACCAGGTCCCCCAATTCCTGGCCTAGTGTTCTTTCCATTTGACAATCATGCCAAACCAAATATTTAAAAAGTGATTATGTCCATCCATTACTTCAACTTCACTAAATTTCAGTCTGGCCACTCGTGATGTCACTTCCTTTTGTGAATGGGTGTATTTTTTTTTCTTGATCTTGCTATCTTCACTTGACTACAATACAACATTTTAGAGCTCACACTATATTTATGCCAATTTTCTCCATGACTGTTTCCGTTCCTAAAGAATACCAATATAATCTCTAGAATGCCTTGACCCTCCTTTTCACAAGATTTCTTATTTCAAGCAATCAACTGCCAACCATACAAAAATAAAAATAAAAAGGATTTCTTCTAAAACACAAAGCACACATGGCAGTGTTGTGTGTCTTCCTCAAAGAGCTTAATAAAAATTGTGAATGCTATGTATTACATGCAGACGCTTTCTAGAAAAAGAGCCCAACGACAACCTTGTTATGTAGGAAGAGAGAGCTATTGTGGACTGTAGCAGGAGGCCAAGAATAAGGTTTGAGATTCTACCTAAAACAAATATGGAGGTGGAAAGGCACAAGAAGCTTGCTGGACCCACCAGTCAGAGGTAGGCTGCAAGCTCTCGGCTATCAGAGGTCGGTTTAAAAGAACGATGGGCACCAGAGAGGCACGTACCCCAGGACAATGATAGGGCAGGCGGGGCACCGGGAATCGCGCTCAGGGAAAACTCAACAAGTCTAGAAGGCAAAGAGATGGATGAATGACTGCCAAGAGGCTCCCGCTGGCCTCTGGATGACCACTACCACTTTCCAGGATTTACTGCCCGCCGGCACTCGCCGGCTCGCGGACAGCCGCTCACCCCGCTGCCGTACCTGCCCCGACGTTCGCCCGGGACCCAGGGTATCCACCAATGACCCTGCCCGGAGCCGAAGCCTCCGTCGCAGGCCCGCTGCCCGGCGGCGTGGCTTCCCGGTCGGCACCGGCTTTCCAGGAGGAAGGCAGCGTCGGGCCTGCGGGGGCCGGACCCGCCTTCGAAAGTGGGCGGAAGGATGGCCGCCCTGGCGGAGTGCGGGCGAGGCCGGGAGCCCTTGCCTCAGCCCCGGCCCGGTCTTCTTCGTGCCGCGCCGCCCTCAGCCCTCACCACAGCCGGCCGCGAGCTGCGGGCTCGGGGCTGAGGCGATGGGGAAAGGGGGCGGGCGCGCCATCATGAAGGGGAAAATGGTGGGCGGGCGGGCCCGCGCGCGGCCGCGGTACTCACCCGGGCCGGCCAGTGCGGGTAGCCCTTCATCTTGGCGAAGACCAGGTCGCCCGCTTTGTACTCGCGGGGCCGCGGACGCGCCATCCCAGCCGCTCCCCTTCCTGGTAGTCCTTGGTCGCCGCGAAGATGCCGGGAGGCCGCCCCCCCGCGGGCCGACGAATTGCGCCGCGCTCCCCGCGGGCCTCAAGCCGGGCGGACGAGCGGCCGCTCCGACGAGGGGAAGCGGCGAGGCGGCGGCTGAGGCAAGGGGTGGGCGGGGGGCGCAGCAGGCCCGGCAAATCACGGCCCGGCAGCGGGGGAGGGGAGCCCCCGGCCGTTCGGCGCTCGCCCGCGTCCGGCCGCGCCAAGGTCCCCGCCGCCGCCGCCGCCGCCGCCGCGCGCGCTGCTCACCAGCGCCGCGTCGCCTGCCTCATGCCGCCGCTGCCGGTCTCCCTCCCGGGCTCCCGGGCGCGGCGCGAGCGCCGGGCCTCGCGTCTGCTCCGAATTCCTTCTCGGGCAGCGACCGCAAACACGATCTTATTATTGTTCTCGCGCGCGCTCAGCATCCCCCCCCCGCCCCGCTTCCCGCTTCCCGCTCCCCTCCCCTTCCCTCCCGCGCGGGCCGGTTAATTCCTAGGTACACGGCCGGCTTTCGCGGAGAAACCGAGCGCGCCAGCCCGGCTTCTCGGCTGGCGGGCGGGCGGTGGGCGCGTCCTCCCCCAGCACCGAAGCCCGCGCCGGGCGGGCGGGAGTGCCTACTCCGGAGGACGCCCGCCGCCTGCTCTCTTTTGTTCTTGGCCCGGAGCTGCCTGCCGCAGCCCAGCCAATCACCACCCGGCCGCCCCCTTCCCCTCCCGTCCGTGCCACTCTGGGGGTTCTCCCCACTCGCGCCCCCCGCTCCCACGCCCACCTCCCGCTGACTCGACCCTCTCCTGGCTACCCCCAGCCAGCCACTTCCGCGGCTGCTCTCTGGTGAGTGGGGGACAAAGGCGCTCCAGGCCTGGGGGACGGCGGCGCGAGGGGACCCTCTGCTGGGCACCAAGCTGCCGGAAAGAGCACCGCTCCGGAGTCAGCGACCTTATTGGATTCTTGCCCCAGGTCTGCCCTTAACAATGCAGTGTGACCCACCTAGGGCGAGCTATTTAATCGGAGTCATGGGAGGTTTTCTCATTTGCTGAGTGGCACAGACGGGATTCGAACCTGTATCCACATGAGTCCAAAGTCCATAAGCGATTATGTTTCTCTCTGTGTGCGTTTTCTAGGCCTGCAGTGTTTGTGAAAAGGACTTGCACTGGCCGGTCACTTGTTTCCAATCCTGGCAACCTTTTGGACAACGTTTTTGAAATTAGCATCCCTTTCTGGAGATGTATGTACATATACAGTTCATTAGCTCTAGAACATGTTCATTTACCACTATTTTACTCTAAATTCCCTAGCTGGCTGCTTTCAAAGACATTTTGAGAGTAGGAATCTTCCTAACACTCTCTTTTGTGAGGAGTAAGTAGAATAATTCAAGGAATCGTTTGGAGTCTGTCCAATGAACGAATGCTGCTTCTTTAATCATGCTGTAACCCACCTCCTTTAAGGGGTCAGCTGGCATAGCTCCTAAATGCTGCTTTCTGTGGCCCTCACCTTGTCACACGGACAGTTCTCATTTGTGTCTGTTCTCTCTCCCTTTTACAGAAGCTACAGTTTTCCCCACCATCCGCCCCCCTCTCTGGCCTTGTAGAATGGTGTGTGTGTGTTTTAACTCCTGCTCTTGTTCTGTGGTGCTGGGCTTCCTATGATGGGGCTTTAAAGTCTCTAGATTTCCTGTGGATTGTTTACTTTGTTAGCAGTGCTTTTACATTACTTTACTAATGCATTTCCTTACTACTTGCATCTCATGATTTTTCTTTTTTTTTTTTTTTTTTGGTATTGACCTGTACTCACCTGTCCTACAGGTTCGTTTTTTTCCTCTTTTCTCACTGTGGAAGATGAGTCTAGGTCCTCTTTGCCTCAGTTGTGATGATCTGCTAACATCTCTCTCTCCTAGAACCTACCGTATGCAGCTGCCATGATGTCACGCATTGCTCATGAAGCTGTAGAATGATTTCTGTATCCTCATATGTCAAACTCACATCCCTCTGACTAGCTGTCAAAGCCCTAGCTGTTGCCTGCTTGCCCCTACAGTCCAGCCTCCCTGTGGGCACGGGGTGGATATAGGGAAGAGGAGAGAAATGAGAGGGGAAAGGTTGTCAGTTGGAAGCCAACCAGGGGAGGGCAGTAAACAATGGAGGGATGCGATCACAGTTCAGGTTTAGACATTACTTTGGTGGCCAGCATGGGACTAGACTTGAGGGTGAGAGGCTTGGGGCAGGACCTGCATTGATATTCTCTCCCCAGGAGAGATAAGACAAGGGCTGAGACAGAGCTTGCCGATTCTTTGGGTGGTAGGTGGGTAGGAAGGAGGAAGAGTAGAAACTGATTCCCTGGTTTCTGGTTGGAGCAACAGGATGATTAGTTTTGACACTCACCAAGGTGCAGAAATCCATGAAGAATGGGCAGGTTTAGAGATGAGATCTTGAGTGGTTTGGGATGTGTTGAGATTTCCATGGGCCATCCAGAGAGCTAGTTAGTGGGCAGCTAAATACACAGCTTAGAGAAAGTGGTCAAGACAGAATGTAGACTTTTGAGTGATATCAGTATATAAGTGGTCACTGAAACCATAACGGAGGATGCCCAGGAAACTGTAGAATGAGAAAAGCAGTGCCCAAGTTTGGAGCCAGGTAACACCAACATCTAAGGGTCAGGTAGAAGAAGAACGTAGTGTCATAGGAGCCAAGGAGTAAAAGATTTTCCAGAAGGAAGGAAATGTCTGGGTAGATGCCACAAGGAGGTCAAGTGAGATATGGAAGGAGATAAGTCTGTTAAACCTGGTGATTGAGAAGTCACTGATGAAACAGTTGGGAACTGTTTCACTGAATGGTATTGGGAAGACACCAGAGTGGTGGATTGAGATGTGAGTAAGAGGTGAAAATGTGGAGGCAGTATAGACAACTCATTGCTCATTGCCAGCAGTGGAGAAGGAGTAGCAAGAAAGGATGAAGGAGCCAGGCATGGTGGAGTGCGCTTGTAGGATTTCTTGAGCCTGGGAGTTCGAAGCTGCTGTGAGCTGTGATCACACCACTGCACTCCAGCCTGGACAACAGAGACCTCATCTCTTAAAAAAACATGAAGGGAGAGTTATTCTGTTGTGATTTCTGGCTGGTTTTTAAAGCTAGGAGAAATTTTAGTTTGTAATGAGGAGAAGTAGCCAGTAGAGTGCATAACTGATGGAGTTTGGTAATTTTGAGAAGGTGGAAATTTCTCCCAATCTAGGCTTTGGTTTCAGGTTTGCTCAGCACACATCATTTGCCTGACTCTCAATCTTTCATCTAACCAAGTCAGACTTAATAATACACCCACATGGGCTCCCTCTGGCTGGTCATCAGGAATCGCCTAATGCTCTTGGCTAAGAGCCCATCTGTCTCTGCAGCCAGGATGGATGCACACCACCTTGTCAACACATTGTGACGGGGGATGAAGCATTGCCCTGTGGCTTTCACTGCAGACAGAGCTTTCAGACTGGTTCTTCCACTTTATGCAAAGGACTAAGCTGTGGCTATTCCAGAACAACGCTCTACTCAAATATTTAACAGATAATATGTAACTTTTTAGAGATATAATTAGGACCATTAAAAGAGTCTGATGTATTTTATTTTAGTCAGTGTGGCCCCAGGAGCTGGTCTATTTGCTATATCAAAATAGCATACATTAATTTTACTTCTGAAACATAGAAGGAAATCCATTCACAAATGGTGATAATACCAACTTTCTTTGATCACTTTTTATTTCAGCATCCTCAAATCCCTGCGGGCTAGTACTTCTCCTTGCCTTTGGCTTCTTGATGTATTTTTGCCATCCTCTTCTCAATCATACACATATATGTATATTGTTGACATGATCCTGTTGTCACTTTCTCCTTTCATATCTTCACTTAGCTTTCTAGTAAAACTCTAACAGTTCCTTCAAATCTTGCCCCCAAATTCACCCATTCCATAATGCTTCAATTGCCTAAAATCTATTCCTTTGTCCAAGTTATATATGAGGTGATACATATAAGATACTTAGAACAGTGCCTGGCACATAGTAAATTCTCATTAAATGTTAGTCGATATTGTTATCTTTGTTGTTTACATGGTGTGGTGAAAAGAACTGTGGAAAGGGATTCAGGAAAATTTGGTGTTACACACACACACACACACTCAGCATGTTAGAAGAGAGCTCCCTGGGCCTTGCATCAGAGTCCATTTCCATTACTTTTGCCACTAGAGGTATCTCTTAAATGTCTTTCACCCCAATCCCAGGGGACTGGTCTCACACTCCTTGAAAGAGAAAGGTCTGTAAGATATTGACACCCTCTTGAGAGTCAAATAAAAGAACTGTAACATACTACTTGTAGTGAGAGAGACAACTCCCATGTTGGTGTGAGCATCAGAGGCAGTTCTAAGTTGGTAAAAGGCACCATAGAGTCAACATGGGCCATGAGGGGAGAGGTCCAGGGTTAAATGTTGGGGTCAACCAGAATTGCCTGAGTAGGGATGGGTAACAGCAGCAACTGCACTTAGGTCACCAAGTAGAGATACAGATAGCACCTCAATCATAACCCCAGAAATGTTAATTGTCTTGGAAGGCACTGCTTGAGCTACCTGGGACCTTATTTGGGGATGGAAATAGGGATTGCTTTAGGTCCTAGGAATTCTCATGAGACTGTGCGCCTAAGGACTATTTCAGTTTAGGTTGTTTTCATTCTTACCCCTTCACTGTTGTGTTGCAGGCTGAGGAGCAAACTGGGTAATTTTACTGAATTACTAGATAATTGGAGAGAGGGGGTTCAAGATGTAGAAGATATTAAAGGCTTGAAGAGTTTTGCAAGTTTTCCTACCATTTATGCTAGTATTGTTTCAATAGTAGTGTATATGCTGCTGAAGGGAGCATTAGATTACAATTATATTATTAGTTAGCATTCATTCATTTATTGAATAAGTATTTGTTGAGTATGGTTATGTATCATCATTGTTCTAGATCTAGGACCCATGGGGAATAATGAAGGAATCAAAACTATGCCAAATGAAGTAGTGTTACAGGAGGCTAGGGTATCTATAGCTAACCGTCTGAAGGGCTACCATGTAGAGTGAACAATGTGGGAGACATGATACTTTGATAGTTTGAGGCTTAGACATGAAGAGGCCTAGGAGCTTTAATTTCACCCTCTTGAAGTGCTGACCTACCGTGTAAAGAATCATAAATACCTTGCTAGTATGGAAGAGGAGTGGGGCACATGGAGAGAGATAGGTCTTGGAGAATGAAAAATGAAAGAGAGGAGAGAGAGGCCCAGCCGGTCCCCAACTCTTCCAGTCTCTCTTGTTGACTGGAAGCCAGACATGTGAGCAAAACCATGTTGGATCCTCCAACCTCAGTTAAGCTATCCTAGCCAACACCATGTGGCAGAGACAAACTATCATCATTGAGCCTCACCCAAATCACAGACCATGAGCAAGTAAATAATGGCAGCTGTTTTAAGCCACAAAATTTGGGGCTGTTTTGTTATGTAGAAACAAATAACAGAAGCAGGGTTTAATAGCAGATTAGATACAGCTGAAGTGAGCTACTGATCTGGAAGATGGATCAAAAGGAAAGATATTCAGACAGAAGCTCAGAGGAAAAAAAAAGGGAGGAAAAAACAGAAAAGAACATAGTATACTCACACCAACTTTCTATTAGCTAGTATTTGTAAGTTAGTATTCTTTTTCTCTGAGATATGGTGAAAAATCTAATATGAAGTCCCAAATGATGATGAGAGGGAGAGAATGGAATAGAAGCAGTATTTGAAGCAGTGATGGTCATGAATTTGCCAAAACTGATTAACAATACAGCTATGGATTGAATATTTGTGTCCTCCCACCCCCGATTCATTTGTTGAAACTCTAATCGCCAGTGTGATGGTATTTGGAGGTGGGGCCTTTGGGAGGTAATTATGTCATGAAAATAGAGTTCTCATGATGAGGTTAGTGCCTTTATAAGAAGAGATACAAAAGAAGTTGCTTCTTTTTTCTTTTTTTGAGATGGAGTTTTGCTCTTTTTGCCCAGGCTGGAGAGCAATGGCATGATCTTGGCTCACTGCCACCTCCGCCTCCTGGGTTCAAGTGATTCTCCTGCCTCAGCCTCCCGAATAGCTGGGATTACAGATGTGCACCACCACACCCAGCTAATTTTGTATTTTTAGTAGAGACAAGGTTTCACCTTATTGGCCAGGCTGGCCTTGAACTCCTGACCTCAGGTGATCTGCCCAACCTCAGCCTCCCTAAGTGCTGGGATTACAGGCATAAGTCACTGTGTCAGGCCAAGAGCTTGCTTCTTTTCTCTGCCTTTACCCTATGAGGATACAGTGAGAAGATGGTGATTTGCAAACCAGGAACTGTGCCCTCACCAGACACCAGCTCTGCTGGTGCATTGATCTTGGATTTCCCAGCTTCCAGAACTGTTAGAAATAAATGCCTGTTTAAACCACTCAGTCTACAGTATTTTTGCTATAGCAGCCCAAATTAAATGAGACAGATATCAAGCCATAGATTAAACAGTATTTTGAACATCAATCATGACATATTTTTTAAAACCACTCCTAAGAACATAATAGTAGTCTGGTTGTGGTGGCTCATGCTTATAATCTCAGCATTTTGGGAGGCCAAGGCAGGAAGATCACTTGAGCCCAGGAGTCTGAGACCAGCCTAGGCAGTATAATGAGCCCCTGTCTCTAACAAAAAAAAACACAAAATCCAGCAGTGGTGGCATGCACCTGTAGTCCCAGCTAATTGGGAGGCTAAGGTAGGAGGATCACGTTAGCTTGGGAGGTTGAGGCAGCAGTGAGCTGTGATTGTGCTACTGCACTTCAGCTTAGGTGACAGAGTGAGACCCTGTCTCAAACAAAACAAAACAAAACAAAACAAAACAAAAACCCAGCAACCATAATAGTAAAATTGTTGAAACCCATAGACAATGAGAATATATAAAAAGAAGACAAAGGCAAAAACACATTATCTTCAAAGGTGCAGCACAAAGAATGATAGCTGATTAATCAGCAGAAAGAAAATAACTAGCAACCTAAAATTCTAAAGCAAACTTCTTTCAAATAAAAGAGAAAGACAATTTTTAGACAAATATAAACCTAGAGAATTTATCAGCAGCAGACTTGCGCTAAATGAAAAACTAAAGGGAGCTAGTCAGGTGGAAAGAAAATGATCCCAGACAAACAGCAAGATGCAGGACAAAATGAAGAACGATAGAATAAATATTTGAGAAAATCTAAAGAAAAATAAAATGAACTATAAAATTACATAATGATCACTTACTTGGGTTATATATATGGGGAATTACAAATTTACAAATAGGGTGTTTTTGTTGTTGTTGTTGTTGTTTGAGACAGTCTCACTGTGTCACCCAGGCTGGAGTGCAGTGGCGCCATCTTGGCTCACTGCAACCTCTGCCTCCTGGGTTCAAGCAATTCTCCTGCCTCAGCCTCCCGAGTAGCTGAGATTACAGGCACATGCCACCATGCCCAGCTAATTTTTGTATTTTTAGTAGAGATGGGATTTCGCCACGTTGGCCAGGGCGGTCTCGAACTCCTGACCTCAGGTGATTGGCCCACCTCCACCTCCCAAAGTGCTGGGATTACAGGCTGTCCCCACTCAAGTAGTGAGATTGAGGTAAGTGAAATAAAAAGGTCTAAGGTCCCAGAATAATACAGAAAGTGACAAAAATATGAACATACTACATTTTAGTTTTTATTATTATTTTCAACTTTTGTTTTAGGTTCAGAGTTTATATGTGCATGTTTGTTACATGAGTAAATTGTGTGTTGCTAAAGTTTGGTATATGAATGATCTCGTCACCCAAGTAGTGACTATAGTACATGGTAGGTAGTTTTCACCCCTTCCTTCCCCCTTCTCTTTTGGAGTCCCAGTGTCTATTGTTTCCATCTTTGTGTCCACATGTACTCAATGTTTAGCTCCCTCTTTTAAGTGAGAACATGCAGTATTTGGTTTTCTGTTTCTGTGTTAATTTGCATAGGATAATGGTCCCCAGCGGCATTCATGTTGCTGGAAGGACATGATTTTGTTCTTTTTTATGGCTGCATAGTATTCCATGGTATATAGGTACCACATTTTCTTTATCCAGTCCACCGCTGCTGGGCATCTGAATTGATTCTCTGTCTTTATTATTGTGAACAGTGGTGCAATGAACATACCAGTGCATGTGTCTTTCTGGTAGAACAAATTATTTTTCTTTGGGTATATACCCAGTAAGGGGATTGCTGGGTTGAGTTGTAGTTCTAATTTACTTGAGAAATCCCCAAACTGAACTAATTTACATTCCTCCCAACAGTGTATAAGCATTCCCTTTTCTCTTCAACATTGCCAACATCTATTGTTTTTTTGACCATTTAGTAATAGCCATTTTGATTGGTGTGAGATGGTATCTCACTGTGGTTTTGATTTGCATTTCTCTAATGATTAGTGATATTGAACATTTTAAAATATATTTGTTGGCCACATGTATGTCTTCTTTTGAGAAGTGTCTGTTCATGTCCTTGGCACATTTTTAAATGGGGATGTTGTTTTTTTCTTGTTAAGTTCCTTATAGATTCTGATATTAGACCTCTGTCAGATGCATAGTTTGTGAGTATTTTCTCCATTCTGTAGGTTGTCCGCTTACTCTGTTGATAGTTTCTTTTGCTGTGCAGAAGCTCTTTAGTTTAATTAGGTCTCATTTGTCAATTTTTATTTTTATTGCATTTATTTTTGAGGACTTAGTCATAAATTATTTGCCTAGGCCGATGTCTAGAATGGTACTTCCCAGGTTTTCTTCTAGGATTTTTATAGTTTTAGGTCTTACATTTAGGTTCCTAGATTTTCTCCTAGGATTTTTATAAGTTTTAGATCCTTTTGCCATAGACAAAACTAACTCTTGGGTTTTGTATATGGCAAAAGGATCTAAAACTTATAAAAGTTATATGGCAAAACAAACGGGTTGTTTCAGTCTTCTGCATGTGGTTAGCCAGTTATTCAAGCACCATTTATTGAATAGAGTGTCCTTTCCCCATTGCTTGTTATTGTTATTGTTGACTTTGTCAAAGATCAGATGGTTGTATTAATAGGTGTGCAGCTTTATTTATGGATTCTCTATCCTATTCCATTCGTGTATGCGTCTGTTTTTGTGCCAGTACCATGATGTTTTGTTTACTGAATATTACGTTTTAATAAGTTAAAGATATATGTCGTGTTCTCTAAGATAACCAGTGGAAGAATAATAAAAGAATGCTCAACTAATGGAGTGATAACAAAATAAGAAAAAAACACATAATCCAAAGTGGCATGAAAGGGGAGAAGAAAGAACATGGAATAATTAATTAAATATGAAATAAATGGTCACATGATAGGGTTAAACCCAAATAAATCAGTGGCTACATTATAGGTAAATGGAAGATATAATCCAATTACAATTAAAAGATTGTCAGGCTGATTAAAAAGACAATTAACTTTATACTGTTTACAAGAGATATATCTTGAGTAACAATTTTGAAAGGTTGAAAGTAAAATGATGGAAAAATAAAAACTTTGGAAATACCGATAGAAAGTGGCTCTGCTAAATCAGATAAAGTAGACTTTATGGTATAAAGCATTACTACAAATCAGTGGTTCTCAACCAGGAGCGATTTTGCCCCCCAATGGACTTCTGGCAATGTCTAGAGATATTTTTGATTGTCACGACTTGTGGTGAGGATGCTACTACCATCTAATGGGTAGAGGACAAAGATGCTGCTAAACATTCTGCAGTACACAGGACAGCACCTCCCACCCAACAAAGAATTCTCCTGCCCATGTCTTAAATGTCAATAGTGCACAGTTGAAAAATGCTGCTATAGATGAAGAAACATTACATAAAAATAAAAGGGTCAATTCACCAGAAAAAATAAAATAATTTATATACACTAATAACATTACCTCAAAATATATAAAGCAAAAAACCTGACAGAATTAAAAGGGGAAAAGAAAAATTCAGTTATGGTGGGAGGTTTCAATACAGTTCTCTCAGGAACTGATAGAACAAGTAGACAAAAAATCAGTAAGAATATAGATGACTCAACACAAATAATAAATACAATCTTATTGATATATTTAGAATAAAGTACTAAACATCTACAGAATACACATTATTTTCAAATACACATGGAACATTTACCAAAATTGTCCATATGCTAGGCAATAGAGTAAGTCCTAGTAGCTTCCAAATTATTAAAATTAGGCATAGTATATTCTCTGACCACCGTGGAATCAAGCTAGAAATCAATAACAAAAAGAAAACTAGGGCCTGGCGCGGTGGCTCATGCCTGTAATCCCAGTACTTTGGGAGGCCAAGGCAAACAGATCACTTCAGGTCAGGAGTTTGTGACCAGCTTGGCCAACACGGTGAAACCCCATTTCTACTAAAACTACAAAAATTAGTCAGGCATGGGGGCGTGTGCTTGTAATCCCAGCTAACTTGGGAGGCTGAGGCAGGAGAATCGCTTGAACCCAGGAGGCAGAGGTTGCAGTGAGCTGAGATCGTGCCATTGCACTCCAGCCTGGGCAGCAGAGCAAGACTCCATCTCAAAAAAAAAAAAAAAAGAAAAAAAGAAAAGAAAGAAAAAAGAAAACTAGGAAATTCCCAAATATTTGGAAATTAAACAATATATTTATTGCCTAACTTAAGATAACCTATGAGTCAAGGAAGAAATCACAATGGGAATTAAAATATATTTTGAATTGAATAATATTGCAGCCAAAGCAATCCTAAGAAAAAAGAACAAGGCCGGGCACAGTGGCTCACGCCTGTAATTCCAGTACTTTGGGAGGCCGAGGTGGGCAGAGCACAAGATCAGGAGTTCGAGACCATCCTGGCTAACACGGTGAAACCCCATCTCTACTAAAAATACAAAAAAAATTAGCCGTTTGTGGTGGCGTGCACCTGTAGTCCCAGCTACTCGGGAGGCTGAGGCAGGAGAATCGCTTGAACCCAGGAGGTGGAGGTTGCAGTGAGCCAAGATTGCGCCACTGCACTCCAACCTGGTGACAGAGCAAGACTCCGTCTCAAGAAAAGAAAAAAAGAACAAAGCCAGAGGCATCACATCACCTGACTTCAAACAATGCTACAATTCTGCAGTAACCAAAGCACCATGGTGCTGGTACAAAAAATAGAAACATACACCAGTGGAACAGAACAGAGAACACAGAAATAAGGTCACACACCTACAACCAACTGATCTTTGACAAAGTCAACAAAAATAAACAATGGGGAAAGGACACCCTATTCATAAATGGTACTGGGGAAACTGGCTAACCATATGCAGAAGAATGAAAGTCGACCCCTACCTCTCACTGTATACAAAAATTAATTCAAGATGGAGTAAAGACTTAAATATAAGACCTAAAACTATAAAAATCCTAGAAGAAAACCTAGGAACTGCTATTCTGGACATTGGCCTTGGCAAATAATTTATAACTAAGTCCTCAAAAGCAAATGCAGTAAAAACAAAAAATTTGACAAGTGGGACCTAATTAAAGAGCTTCTGCACAGGAAAAGAAGCTATCAACAGAGTAAACAGACACCTATAGAATGGAGAAAATATTCATGAACTATGCATCTGACAAAGGTCTAATATCCAGAGTCTATAGGGAACTTAAACAATTCAACAAGAAAAAAACAACCCCATTAAAAAATGGGCAAAGGACATGTCTCAAAAAAAGACATGAGGCCAGAAACATATGAAACAATGCTTATCATCACTAGTCATCAGAGAAATGCAAACCAAAACCACAATGAGACACCATATCACACCAGTCAGAATGGCTGTTATTAAAAAGTCAAAAAACAATAGATGTTGGCAATGTTGCAGAGAAAAGGGAATGCTTATAGGTGCGACTATAAGTTAGTCCATCCCCTGTAAAGGCAATTTGGAGATTCCTCAAGTAACTAAAAATAGAACTACCATTTAATTCGGCAATCTCTTCACTGGTTATATACCCAAAGGAAAATAAATCATTCTACCAAAAAGATACCTGCACTCTCATGTTTATCACAGCAGTATACACAACAGTAAAGGCATAGAATCAACCTAGGTCACCATCAACAGTAGATTGGATAAAGAAAATATGATACATATACACAGAATAGTATGGATCCATAAAAAAGAACAAAATTATGTCATCTACAGCAACATGAATGTAGCTGGAGGCCATTATCCTAAGTGAATTAATGCAGAAACAGAAAATCAAATACCATAAATTCTCACTTATAAGTAGGAGTTAAACATTGGGTACACACAGGCATAAAGATGGGAAAAATAGACTCTGGGGACTGGAAAATGGGGAAGGGAGGGTACAGGGCAAGGGTTGAAAAACTACCTATTGGGTACTATGTTCACTATTTGGGTATCAGGTTCAATTGAATCCCAAACTTCAGAATCATACAATATATCCATGTAAAAAAACCCTGCACAGGTACCCCTAAAACTAAAATTAAAAAAAGGAAAAAATAATAAATTGATCTTAAATACAATTTGTGTGTAGCTTTAAAAAATGAATAATATTTGGAACACAATGTATCTAAACTTGGGGGATGAGCTAAAGCTGTTTAGGGAATCATAAATACATATATTAGAAAAAAAGGATGAAGAACAGAAAGTTAAACCTTACAAAGGAGAACGAAAGAATGAAGAGCAGAAATTAATAAACAATAAAAATATTTCAAAGAGAGAATCAAAAATGCCCGAAGTTGGTTTATAAAAAAAAATAAATTGGACAAGCCTCTGTCAAGTCTGATCAAAAGAAGTACAGAAAGCACACATAACAAATATGAAGGGTGAAAAAGGGCACGTCATTTCAAATCTTACAGATATTTAAAATAACAAAAAGGCCATTGTGGAAAATTTTAAGTTTTGAGTTTCATTAAAAATTTTAAGTTTCATTTGAAAATATACGTGAAATGGACAAGAAAACACATCTTAACTAAATTGACATAAGAAGAAAGAGAAATGTGAACAGTCCTAAAGCTACTAAAGAGATAGGTTTTGGCTGGGTGCAGTGGCTCACATCTGTAGTCCCAGCACCCTGGGAGGCCAAGGTGGGAGGATCACTTGAGCCTAGGAGTTTGAGACCATCCTGGGCAATATAGTGAGACCCTGTCTCTATAAAAAAATTTAAAAAGATAACCAGGTGTGGTGATGTACGCCTGTGTTCCCAGCTACTTGGGAAGCTGAGGCAGAAGGATCACTTGAGCTCAGGAGTTTGAGGCTGCAGTGAGTGAGACCCTTTCTCTTAAAAAGAAAGGAAAATAAATTTCATCCATAATAAAAAAAAATACTCTTCCAAAGAAAATTCCAGGCCCAGATGGCTTCACTAGTAAGTCATAACATTTTAGGAAGAAATAATGCCAATATCACACAAACTCAGAGAATAGAAAAAGAGGGAATACTCCCTGACTTGTTTTATGAGGCTAGCACAATCTTAATACTAAAACATGACAAGTAAAACACAAGAAGGGAAAATACCAATCTCTCTCATAACATAGATTTAAAGAATCTCAACCAAAATATAAGCTAGCCAAATTCTGGTATACATAAAAAAGATAATACATATGGAAAAATTGAATATAATCTAGAAGTTAACATTTAGGAAACAATCAGTGTCATTTACCACATTAATAGATAAAGGGAGAAAAATCTCATGATTAGACATTAAGGAAAAGTGATAAAATGAAGCATACATTAAAAAAACAGTAAACTAGGAATAGATGGGAATTTTCTTAATAAAATAAAGGGTATCTACAAAAACAACATACTTAATGGTGAAATGCTGAAACATTTCTCTAGGCTTGTGAACAAGACAAGGATATCTGCTATCACCTCTTCTATTCAAGATTGTATTAGAGTTCTTAGCCTGGAAAATAAGGTAAGAAAAAAGTGTTCAGATTGGAAAATAATACACCATTATTTACAGATGACATAATTATGTATATAAGACTAAATGATTATAGTTAAGCTATTGCAATCAACAGGTAAATTCAGCAAGTTCATAGGCCAAAAGGTCAGTATAAAAAAATCAATTGTGGAGGTTCCAAGATGGCCGAATAGGAACAGTTCCACTCTACAGCTCCCAGCATGAGCGACACAGAAGATGGGTGATTTCTGCATTTCCAACTGAGGTACCAGGTTCGTCTCACTGGGGCTTGTCAGACAGTGGGTGCAGGACAGTGGATGCAGCCCACCGACTGAGAGCCAAAGCAGGGCGAGGCATCGCCTCACCCGGGAAAAACAAGGGGTCAGGGAATTCCCTTTCCTAGCCAATGGAAGCTGTGACAGACAGCACCTGGAAAATCAGGTCACTCCCACCCTAATACTGTGCTTTTCCAATGGTCTTAGCAAACGGTACACCAGGAGATTATATCCTGTGCCTAGCTCGGAGGGTCCCATGCCCACAGAGCCTTGCTCGTTGCTAGCACAGCAGTCTGAGATCGAACTGCAAGGTGGCAGCGAGGCTGGGGGAGGGGCGTCCGCCATTGCTGAGGCTTCAGTAGGTAAACAAAGAGGCCGGGAAGCTCGAAGTGGGTGGAGCCCACTGCAGCTCAAGGAGGCCTACCTGTCTCTGTAGACTTCACCTCTGGGGGCAGGGCATAGCTGAACAAAAGGCAGCAGAAACTTCTGCAGACTTAAATGTCCATGTCTGACAGCTTTGAAGAGAGTAGTGGTTCTCCCAGCACGGAGTTTGAGATCTGAGAACGGACAGACTGCCTCCTCAAGTGGGTCCCTGACCCCCAAGTAGCCTAACTGGGAGGCATCTCCCAGTAGGGGCTGACTGACACCTCACACGGCTGGGTGCCCCTCTGAGATGAAGCTTCCAGAGGAACGATCAGGCAGCAACATTTGCTGTTCCGCAGTATTCGCTGTTCTGCAGCCTCTGCTGGTGACACCCAGGAAAACAGGGTCTGGAGTGGACCTCCAGCAAACTCCAGCAGACCTGCAGCTGAGGGTCCTGTCTGTTAGAAGGAAAACTAACAGAAAGGACATCCACACCAAAACCCCATCTGTACGTCACCATCATCAAAGACCAAAGGTAGATAAAACCACAAAGATGGGGAGAAACCAGAATAGAAAAGGTGACAATTCTAAAAATCAGAGTGCCTCTTCTCCTCCAAAGGAATGCAGCTGCTTGCCAGTAACAGAACAAAGCTGGACAGAGAATGACTTTGAGAAGTTGAGAGAAGAAGGCTTCAGACAATCAAACTTCTCCGAGCTAAAGGAGGATGTTTGAACCCATCGCAAAGAAGCTAAAAACCTTGAAAAAAGATTAGATGAATGGCTAACTAGAATAACCAGTGTAGAGAAGTCCTTAAATGACCTGATGGAGCTGAAAACCATGGCACGAGAACTACGTGACACATGCACAAGCTTCAGTAGCCAATTCAATCAAGTGGAAGAGAGGGTATCAGTGTTTGAAGATCAAATGAATGAAATGAAGTGAGAAGAGAAGCTTAGAGAAAAAAGGGTAAAAAGAAATGAACAAAGCCTCCAAGAAATATGGGACTATGTGAAAAGACCAAATCTGCGTCTGATTGGTGTACCTGAAAGTGATGGGGAGAATGGAACCAAGTTGGAAAACACTCTGCAGGATATTATCCAGGAGAACTTGCCCAACCTAGAAAGGCAGGCCAACATTCAAATTCAGGAAATACAGAGAATGCCACAAAGATACTCCTCAAGAAGAGCAACCCCAAGACACATAATTGTCAGATTCACCAAAGTTGAAATGAAGGAAAAAATGTTAAGGGCAGCCAGAGAGAAAGGTTGGGTTACCCACAAAGGGAAGCCCATCAGACTAACAGCGGATCTCTCAGCAGAAACTCTACAAGCCAGAAGAGAGTGGGGGCCAAAATTCAGCATTCTTAAAGAAAAGAATTTTCAACCCAGTATTTCATATCCAGCCAAACTAAGCTTCGTAAGTGAAGGAGAAATAAAATCCTTTACAGACAAGCAAATGCTGAGAGATTTTATCACCACCAGGCCTGCCCTAAAAGAGCTCCTGAAGGAAGCACTAAACATGGAAAGGAATAACCAGTACCAGCCACTGCAAAAACATGCCAAGTTGTAAAGACCATTGAGGCTAGGAAGAAACTGCATCAACTGACGAGTAAAATAACCAGCTAACATCATAATGACAGGATCAAATTCACACATAACAATATTAACCTTAAATGTAAATGGGCTAAATGCCCCAATTAAAAGACACAGACTGGCAAATTGGATAAAGAGTCAAGACCCATCTCACATGCAGAGACACACATAGGCTCAAAATAAAGGGGTGGAGGAAGATCTGCCAAGCAAATGGAAAACAAAAAAAAAGCAGGGGATGCAATCCTAGTCTCTGATAAAACAGACTTTAAACCAACAAAGATCAAAAGAGACAAAGAAGGCTATTACATAATGGTAAAGGGATCAATTCAACAAGAAGAGCTAACTATCCTAAATATATATGCATCCAACAAAGGAGCACCCAGATTCATAAGGCAAGTCCTTAGAGACCTACAAAGAGACTTAGGCTCCCACGCAATAATAATGGGAGACTTTAACACCCCACTGTCAACATTAGACAGATCAACAAGACAGAAAGTTAACAAGGACATCCAGGAATTGAACTCAGCTCTGCACCAAGTGGACCTAATAGACATCTACAGAACGCTTCACCCCAAATCAACAGAATATACATTCTTCTCAGCACCACATCACACTTATTCCAAAATTGACCACATAGTTGGAAGTAAAGCACTCCTCAGCAAATGTAAAAGAACAGAAATTATAACAAACTGTCTCTCAGACCACAGTGCAATCAAACTAGAACTCAGGATTAAGAAACTCACTCAAAACTGCTCAACTACATGGAAACTGAACAACCTACTCCTGAATGACTACTGAGTACATAACGAAAAGAAGGCAGAAATAAAGATGTTCTTTGAAACCAGTGAGAACAAAGACACAACATACCAGAATCTCTGGGACACATTTAAAGCGGTGTGTAGAGGGAAATTTATAGCACTAAATGCTCACAAGAGAAAGCAGGAAAGATCTAAAATTGACACCCTAAAATCACAATTAAAAGAACTAGAGAAGCAAGAGCAAACACATTCAAAACCTCGCAGAAGGCAAGAAATAACTAAGATCAGAGCAGAACTGAAGGAGACAGAGACAAAAAACCCTTCGAAAAATCAATGAATCCAGGAGCTGGTTTTTTGAAAAGATCAACAAAATTGATAAACCACTAGCAAGACTAATAAAGAAGAAAAGAGAGAAGAATCAAATAGATGCAATAAAAAATGATAACGAGGTTATCACCACCGATCCCACAGAAATACCAACTACCATCAGAGAATACTATAAACACCTCTATGCAAATAAACTAGAAAATCTAGAAGAAATGGATAAATTCCTGGACACATACACCCTCCCAAGACTAAACCAGAAAGAAGTTGAATCCCTGAATAGACCAATAACAGGCTCTGAAATTGAGGCAATAATTAATAGCCTACCCACCAAAAAAAGTCCAGGACCAGAAGGATTCACAGCCGAATTCTACCAGAGGTATAAAGAGGAGCTGGTACCATTCCTTCTGAAACTATTCCAATTGATAGAAAAATAGGGAATCCTCCCTAACTCATTTTATGAGGCCAGCATCATCCTGATATCAAAGCCTGGCAGAGACACAACAAAAAAAGAGAATTTTAGACCAATATCCCTGATGAACATCAATGCAAAAATCCTCAATAAAATACTGGCAAACCACATCCAGCAGCACATCAAAAAGCTTATCCACCAAGATCAAGTGAGCTTCATCCCTGGGATTCAAGGCTGGTTAAACATACGCAAATCAATAAACATAATCCATCATATAAACAGAACCAAAGACAAAAACCACATGATTATCTCAATAGATGCAGAAAAGCGCAGTATTAGGGTGGGAGTGTCCTGATTTTCCAGGTACTGTCTGTCACAGCTTCCCTTGGCTAGAAAAGGGAATTCCCTGACCCCTTGCACTTCCGAGGTGAGGCAATGCCCCACCCTGCTTCGTGGGCTGCACCTACTGTCTGACAATCCCCAGTGAGATGAACCCGGTACCTCAGTTGGAAATGCAGAAATCACCCGTCTTCTACGTCGCTCACGCTGAATGCTGCAGACTGGAGCTCTTCCTGTTCAGCCATCTTGGAACCTCCCCAGCTCCACGTTTAGCTGTAGTACTTTGATAGTTTCATTTTTAAATACAAGTTTTGATTTCTTTAGAATTGTTTTTTGGTGGCGAGAGTGAATGGATATAACTCCTCTACTTTCCAATAGTTAGGCCATTGTACAGTTTCAATTATTAAGTCATCTCCCCACTGATCTGAAATACTGTTTATCATATCCCAGATTCCTGTCTATTCTTGGGTTTATTTCTGTACTCTTAATTCTCCTCCATTGATTTATCTATTCCTGTACCAATGTTACTCTTCTATTTCTGGATATCTGGGACATTTTTGTGTGTGTGGTTTTTTTTTAGAATAATTTTGCAAACATTTTCAACTTAAATAAAAAAGTGAATGAATATTCATTGATTTTTTTATTACACCACATTTATGAAATTGAGCATCTCTATCTAAGATTAAATCTGTCTTTGTATTGGTTCATGTCTATTTTAAGTTTTTTTTCTTTTCTTTTCTTTTTTATTTTTTGAGACAGAGTCTCACTCTGTCACCTAGGCTGGAGTGCAGTGACGCGATCTCAGTTTACTGCAACCTCTGCCTCTTGGGCTCAAGCAATCCTCCCACCTCAACTTCCTGAGTAGCTGGGATTACAAGCACCCACCACCACACCCGGCTAATTTTTCTATTTTTAGTAGAGATGGGTTTTGCCATGTTGGCCAGGCTGGTCTCCAACTCCTGGCCTCAAGTGATCTGCCCACCTCGGCCTCCCAAAGTGCTGGGATTACAGGCATGAGCCACTACGCCTTGCCATATTTTATGCTGTTTTTTGATAGGTTTTAAAGATTTTATTTATTTACATCCATATGATAGATATATGCTTAGCTTATATAAGTCCTATATATTCACTTTATTCCTAGGATTTTTAAAAACCAGGTATAACTGACATTCAACAAACTGTACATATTTAAGGTATAGAATTTGATAAGTTTTGACAGATGTATGTAACTATGAAAGCACCAACATAGTTAATATGGTGATACATTCATAATACACAAAAGTTTCTAATACTCCTTTGTAATCACCAGTTCCCCAAGCAAACACTGATCTACTCTGTCACTATAGATTAGTTTGCATTTTTTAGAATTTCATGTAAATGGAATCATACAACATGTACTCTTTTTGTCTGGCTTCTTTTACTCGACATAATTATTTTGAGATTCATTCATGTTGTTCTGCGTATCCATCATTCACTTTTTTTCATTGCGGAACTGTATTCCATTGTACGAATATGCCACAATTTGTTTATCCATTCAGCTGCTGAAGGACTTAGGGTGGTATCTAGTTTTTGGCTATTACAAATAAAGCTGCTATGAATATTTCTATATAAATATTTGCATGGACATGTGCTTTCTTTTCTATTTGGCAAATCCCTAGAAGTGAAATGTTTGGGTCATGCGATAGATATATGCTTACCTTATTAAGAACTGCCAAGCTGGCTGGACACGGTGGCTCACGCCTGTAATACCATCACTTTAGGAGGCCGAGGCGGGCGGATCACGAGGTCAGAAGATAGAGACCATCCTGGCTAATCCGGTGAAACCCTGTCTCTACTAAAAATACAAAAATTAGCCAGGTGTGGTGGCACGTGCCTGTAGTCCTAGCTACTGAGGAGGCTGAGGTAAGAGAATCGCTTGAACCTGAGAGGCAGAGGTTGCAGTGAGCCAAGATTGCACCATTGCACTCCAGCCTGGGCGACAGAGCAAGACTCCGTCTCAAAAAAAAAAAAGAACTGCCAAGCTATATTGCACAGTGGCTGTAATCATTTTATATTCCTATCAGCAATGTGTAAGATTGTTTTGGATCCTGCTTTTTAGTTTTACTGTATTATTAAAACACAATGGAGTCAGATTTTATTCTACATTTTGGAATTTATGTAGGTTTTCTTTATGGCCTTACAAAAGATTGATTTTTATAAATGTGTTGGTACTTGAAAGTATTCACTATGCTCAGGATATAGAATTCAAACTTATTGATTATATAATTCAGAGCCTTTATAGGCCTACTTATTGTGTCTATCATGTGCAGAGTAAATGAATTATAGTCTCTTACTGCTATTATGTTTTTGGCAATTTCTTCTTATTTTCTGCAGTTTTGTCTTATGAATTTTATTTATTGCAGAAAGATTCATGACTGCTATTACTTCACTGTGGATTGTTCCCTTTAACATTTTAAAGTCTCTCTCTGTTTTGCAAACTACTTTTAAAATTTAATTTAACCTTACCCAATTTTAATATTACTATCCTTGTATTCTTTTGGCTAAGTTTTTAAAGATTTTTATTATGGAAATTTTCAAACGTGCAAAAATATGAAAAGAAACCAGTATAATGGATATACATTGTATTATACAGTTTTAGCAAATATCAACTGTTGGACAATCTTGTTTGTATTCTGTACACATCCTTTATACCTAGGTTACTTTGAAGCAAATCCCTGATATTATATAATTTCATCTGTAAATATTTCAGTGTGTATCTCTAAAAGATAAAGACCCTTAACAATAACTACAATACCATTATCATCCTTAAAATTGACAATAATTCCCTAATATCATTCAGTAAAATAGCCAGAGTTCAAATTCACCTAATTATTTTATAAATTTGTTAATGGTCTTTTCATTCAAATCATGAACCAGTTAAAGCCCATACGTAGTAATTATGTAATTTAAACTATAGGCTTTCCACTTCATTTATTTCTTTTCCTTGCAATGCATTTGTCAGAGATCAGATTATTTCTCTGCAGTTTCCCATTGCCTTGATTTTGAAGAGTTCATCCCCGTGGTGATGTTGCCCCTTGTTGCCTGGGCAACAAGAGTGAAACTCCATTTCAAAAAATAATAATAATAATAATTGCAAAATAATGAGTTGATTCTCTAGTATTCACCAAAGATAACTACTAATTTCTCTCTTTTTCTTGTGTTATTATAGGAATGCATGGATTTAGAATGTTTGATAGATTTCAATCCATTGAAATCATCATTTTTATTTATTTATTTTTTTATCAGAATGAATTACTTTTTGAGTCATCTTTTTTTATAGGTTATTGGGATGCAGGTGGTATTTGGTTACATGAGTAAGTTTTTTAGTGATGATTTGTGAGATTTTGGTTCATGCATCACCTGAGCAGTGTACACTGCACCCTATTTGTAGTCTTTTATCCTTTGCTCCTCTCACCCTTCTCCCCAAGTCCCTAAAGTCCATTGTATCATTCTTATGCTTTGCATCCTCATAGCTTAGCTCCCACGTATCAGTGAGAACATACGATGTTTGATTTTCTATTCTTGAGTTACTTAGAATAATAGTCTCCAATCTCATTCAGGTTGCTGAAATGCCATTAATTCATTCCTTTTTATGGCAGTAGTATTCCATCATATATGTGTGTATATATATGGTGTATATATATACGGTATATAGTGTATATATATACTATACTATACATGGTATATATACTATATACTATATATACTATATATAGTATGTATACACGCTACTATATATACTATATATGGTATATAGTATATATACACACTACTATATATACTATATATGGCATATAGTATATATACACACTACTATATATACTATGTATGGCATATAGTATATATACACACTACTATATATACTAAGTATGGCATATAGTATATATACACACTACTATATATACTAAGTATGGCATATAGTATATATACACACTACTGTATATACTATGTATGGCATATAGTATATATACACACTACTGTATATACTATGTATGGCATATAGTATATATACACACTACTGTATATACTATGTATGGCATATAGTATATATACACACTACTGTATATACTATGTATGGTATATAGTATATATACACACTACTGTATATACTATGTATGGTATATAGTATATATACACACTACTGTATATACTATGTATGGTATATAGTATATATACACACTACTGTATATACTATGTATGGTATATAGTATATATACACACTACTGTATATACTATGTATGGTATATAGTATATATACACACTACTGTATATACTATGTATGGTATATAGTATATATACACACTACTGTATATACTATGTATGGTATATAGTATATATACACACTACTGTATATACTATGTATGGTATATAGTATATATACACACTACTATATATACTATGTATGGTATATAGTATATATACACACTACTATATATACTATGTATGGTATATAGTATATATACACACTACTATATATACTATGTATGGTATATAGCATATATATACTATATACTATATATGGTATATAATATGTATACACTACTATATATACTATATACCGTATATAGTATATATATACACTACTATATATACTATATACCGTATATAGTATATATATACACTACTATATATATACTATATATGGTATATAGTATATATATACACTACTCTATATACTATATATGGTATATAGTATATATATACACTACTATATATACTATATACCGTGTATAGTATATATACACGGTATATAGTATATATACACTACTATATATACTATATACCGTATATAGTATATATATACACTACTATATATACTATATAAGGTATAGAATATATACCGTATATACTATATACCGTATAGAATATATACCGTATATACTATATACCATATATAGCATATATACTGTATATACTATATGCCGTATATAGCATATATACTGTATATACTATATGCCGTATATAGCGTATATACTGTATATACTATATAGCGTATATAGCATATATACGGTATATACTATATACCGTATATAGCGTATATAGCGTATATACTATAGTATATATACGGTATATATACCGTATATAGCGTATATACGGTATATATACTATATATACGGTATATACCGTATATATACCGTATACATAGTATATATACCGTATATACGGTATATACAGTATATATACCGTATATATACTATAGTATACTATAGCATATATAGTATATATACTATAGTATACTATAGCATATATAGTATATATACTATGTACACTATAGCATATATAGTATACATACTATGTATACTATAGCATATATAGTATATATACTATATATGCTATAGTATACTATAGTATATATACCGTGTATATACAGTATATATGGTATATTGTATACCGTGTATATACAGTATATATACGGTATATTGTGTACCATATATATACTATATACGGTATATAGTATATATGCCGTATATATACTATATACCGTATATATAGTATATACGGTATATAGTATACTGTATATATACTATATACGGCATATAGTATACTGTATATATGGTATATATATTATATATACCATATATAGTATATTGTATATATACCATATATATGGTATATAGTATATATACTACATATACATACCATATATGGTATATAGCGTATATACCATATATATGGTATATAGCGTATATACCATATATATGGTATATAGTGTATATACTACATATACATACTATATATATGGTATATAGTATATATACCATATATAGTGTGTGTGTGTGTGTGTGTGTGTGTGTGTGTGTGTGTGTGTGTATACACCACAGGCTTAGGCAAGGATTTCATGACCAAAACCCAAAAGCAAACGCAATAAAAACAAAGATAAATAGTTGGGACTTCATTAAAGAGCTTTTGCATGGCAAAAGGAACAGTCAGCAGAGTAAACAGACAACCCACGGAGTGGGAGAAAATCTTCACAATCTATACATCTGGCAAAAGACTAATCTCCAGAATCTACAAGGAACTCAAACAAATCAGAAAAAAACAGTTCCATCAAAAATTGGGCTAAGGACATGAATAGACAGTTCTCAAAAGAAGATATACAAATGGCCAACAAACATATGAAAAAATGCTCAACATCACTAATGATCAGGGAAATGCAAATCAAACCGTAATGCAATACCACTTAACTCCTTCAAGAATGGCCATAATAAAAAAAAATTAAAAAACGGTAGATGTTGGTGTGGATGCAGTGATCAGGGAATACTTCTACACTGCTAGTGCGAACGTAAACTAGTACAGCCACTATGGAAAACAGTGTGGAGATTCCTAAAAGAACTGAAAGTAGAACTACCATTTGATCCAGCAATCCCACTACTGGGTATCTACCCAGAGGAAAAGAAGCCATTATACAAAAAACATACTTGCACACGTATGTTTATAGCAGCACAATTTGCAATTCCAAAATTGTGGAATCAACCCAAATGCCCATCAATCAAGAAATGGAAATCATCATTTTAAATTGCTACCAAAATTGTCCCATATTTGGTCTTTGGGTGCTCTTTCAAGTTATATCATGAGTCTTTTTGACATGACAATCATAGTAGTCTTTGGACATTCTTTGCTTTGTGGTACCAGATGTTTCAGATTCACCTTTTAATTTTCTTGTCCCAGATGTGGAATCAGTCATTTATCCTAGAAGCCCTGATTCTTTTTAGTGGGTAAAGGTATATAGAGACCACAATCTGGGCACTAAGGACTGTATTCTTTCTTTGTTTCTTTTTTTTTTTTTTTGAGACAGAGTCTTGCTCTGTGGACCAGGCTGGAGTGCAGTGGTGCAATCTCAGCTCGCTGCAATCTCTGCCTCCCAGGTTCAAACGATTCTCCTGCATCAGCCTCCCAAGTAGCTGGGATTACAGGTGTGAGCCACCTCACCTGGCTAATTTTTGTATTTTTAGTAGAGATGAGGTTTCACTATGTTGGCCAGGCTGGTCTCGAACTCCTGACCTCAGGTAATCCACCCACCTCAGCCTCCCAAAGTGCTGGGATTACAGGCGTGAGCCACCGTGCCCAGCTAGGATTGTATTCTTTATGCTGTCATTTGCCTACTATGTCTATGGCCATACTTTGACTTTCAGCCTTTCAGAGACATTTTATTTTAGATGTGAGTTGTGTTTTGTTCAATAATACATTCTGAAATTAATAGAAAATTAGGTTATTTACACGATTCTTGAATGTATAATTGAAATAGGCCTATTCAGCAACTGTAAGAATCCCTACATTGGCCCTCTGATCTACTGAGTGAGGACTATTATGACAGGAAGAACCAACTGGAAGAAGACCTTGGAACTTTCCTTCCCTACCAGGATGTAAACCAAAAGCATCTCTGGAGGAATTTCAGAGGTCAGTGCCATCATCAAAGATTTAAAAGATACTGCATCCCCATTTACCTTGCTGGTTTGGCCTGCAAGAGAAGGTGGTTTGATCTTGGAAAAAAATACTTGATTCTCATATGCTTAATCAGGTGAAGTTGCCAATTGCTGTTCCAGATCTAATATCCTTCCTGGAGCAAATCAACTCAGCTTCTCATACTTAGTATTAATATAACATATGCTTTTATTTTTATGTCAATTTGCAAAGTCACCTGAAGCAGTTTATGTTCACCTAGCAGAAATAATGGTACACCGTCATTTGCTTCAAGGCCGTGTCAGCTCTCCTGCTCTCTACCATCACCTAATCAGTAGAAATCATGGTTGTCTTAACATTTTACAGAAAATCAAAATAAGGCCAGGCACAGTGGCTCACACTTGTAATCCCAGCACTTTGGGAGGCCGAGGTGGGCGGATCACCTGAGGTCAGGAGTTCGAGAACAGTCTGACCAACACAGTGAAACCCCGTCTCTACTAAAAATACAAAAATTAGCTGGATGTGGTGGCATACACCTGTAATCCCAGCTACTCGGGAGGCTGAGGCAGGAGAATCGCTTGAACCCAGGAGGTGGAGGTTGCGGTGAGCCAAGATCACGCCACTTCACTCCAGCCTGGGTGACAGAGTGAGTCTCCGTCTCAAAAAAAAAAAAAAAATAGCCCACTACATCAATGATACAATGATGACTGGTTCTGATGACCAGGAAGTAGCAAGTATCCTAGATGTCATATTAAGACACATGTGTGCCAAAAGGTGGGAGATAAAAACCACACAAATTCAGGGACTTAGGGAGGTTTTTGGAAGTTCATGAGCCTAAAGCATGTTGGAATATCTCTTCCAAAGGGATTGACATGTTACTCTAATTGCACTTTCTACCATTAAAAAAGAGGTTTCCTTTTTAATGCTTGACTTGCTTCTGGAGGTCAATGTATGGTATATTTGAGTGTGCTCCAACTCAGTACCTTGATAGTTTTGAAGGGGGCTCCAAACACGAAAAGTCTCTGCATCAGGTCCAAGCTGTAGTAACAAGCTGTTTTGCTACTTGGACCTTCTGTGCCAGATGTATTTTATAGGTTTATGGCACAAAGAGATGTTCAGTGAGGCCTCCTGAAAAGCCCTGAAGGAGAATAACAGAGCAGGTCTCTAGGATTTGAAAGCAAAGTCATGCTTCATTCTCCAATTGAGAACTAACTCTGACTGGGTTCCTGTAGAGCTAGATTGTTTAACCATGGAACATCAAGAGACCACGTAATCTTAGTTTCCTCTTATGAACTAGGTGTTATCTGATTCATTAAGCAATAAGGGTGAGCATTCACAGCACCAATTATTAATTAAATAGAAATTGTATAATAGGGATCAAAATTAAGCAAACCTGAAGGCACAAAGAAATTACATATGACACCTACCCCTGCTTCACTGTTCCTCTCCCTCTGTGTAGTCCTATAATTTGCTGGTGAATTCCTTATTACCAATTGGCTTAGGAAGAAAAACTGAAACCTAATGATACTTGTACGAACAGGAAGTAGACTGCTGTAGCATTACAACCTCAGAAGGATTCCTGAAAGACAGTGTTGAAGAGAAATTGTCTCACCTAACAGAACTTCAAGCAGTCCATTTCACTGGCAACTGGGTCAATGTGAAATACTCAGAGGAGAGAATCTGTATTGGCCCATGGGCAGGGGTTAAAGAATTGGCCAGTTGGTCAGGGACATTGGAAAAAATAAGATTGGCAAATCAGTGAGAAGGGATCTAGGGAAGAGATATGGGGATGGACCTATTTAAAAGTGCACAGAGTGTGAGGATATTTGTGTCCAATGTGGATGTTCACCAAGGGCACCTACTATAGAATAATCATGTAGACAGGAAGACATGCTCTGAGGAGGTTAGCCAGCCCCTTTCCCACCCAATGTTTCCTCAATTGCTCATGTTCAAAGTGGCCATGATGGCAGGGATGGGCATAACAGCATAGACTTTCCCTCACCAAAGATGATCCAGCAACCATTGCTACATGTCTCACCTCCCAGCAGCACAGACCAGTGCTGATCCCCAATGTGGAGTGGGTGATAATTTGTTCCCATTGAATAATCAATTGATATGGACATGGACTTATCTTTTCTGTCTGCAATGCTTCTGATAGCACCATCCTCCCTAGACTTATGGAATGCTTTATTCATCACCAAAGTATTTCATACATCACTTTTGACTAAATAATTCATTTTACAGAAATAGAAGAGTCACAGAGGCTCATGCCCATGTCATTTACTGGTTGTACCACATATCCAAACACCCAGAAACCAGTGGCCTGAGAGAACAGTGAAATAGCCTACCAAAGACAATTACAGTATAAATTGGAAGACAACACTCTAGGTTTGGGGTATATTCTACAGGGTGTGTGTGTGTGTGTGTGTGTTTGTGTGTGTGTGTGTGTGTAACCAGTAATCAACATATGTGCTATTTTTTCCACAGCCAGAATACTCAAGTCTGGGGATGCAGGTGCAGAAGTGGGAGCATATCCTAACGCCCCACTCACAGAATTTTTGTTTCCTATCCTTGATAAGGTTCTGCTGGCTTAGAAGTCTTAGTTCTCCACGGAGGAATGCTTCCATGAGGGAACATAATTGATTTACATTTTTTATTTATGAGTTGGGACTACCATTGGCCATTTTGGACTTTGTATGTCTCTCAACTAACAGGCAAAGGAGGTTATTGTATTGGCTGGAGTAATCCCAATTACATAGGGGAATTTAGTTGCTAAGACATAATAAAGCTCAGTAGATTCTCTAGGGTACCTCTTAGTACCATGTCCAGTAGAAAAAAAGCTAATGAAAAACTAAATGAAGACAAATGGGGATCAGACCTTTCAGGAATGAAGGTTTGGGCTACTCCAAAGAATCTGGGTCAGTTGAGATACTGGCTGAGGATAAAGGGGGTTGAAATGTACAGTGAGATAGGAAGCTCTATATAACAACTACAGCTTCAGTACCACGTACAGAAATGGGGTGAAGCAGCTATGTATATTTTTTCCTTGCTTGATATGTACATATACATCTGTATGTATTATTTTTCCTCCCTACTTCTCCCTTGTTTTTTAGATAAGGGTTACTCTTAGTCTAATTAGGTTCCAAATGATTCTCATGGGATTCCAGCTAAACTAGAAGAGAAAGTAGCATCACACAGAGATGGATATGGGGACTGTTATGAGTTTACCTATTATTTTTTGGGGGAAGGGGATGAGAACTTCTTTGTTGTTCTTGGTTGTGTCTTGATAGGTGGAGGCATGGAGTTGTTATTTTTCTTGGAAATTTAAAATATGAGCAGAAGAGTGTGTATGAATGCTTAGTAGAGAGAACTGTTCCAGTTATTTACCTATTGTTTCCTAGCTTCAAATTCCCCTTTCTATGCTTTGCTGTGTGATACTGGGGCTGGCCTCTGCAAACTAGATTTCCCAGATTCTCTGACCAACTGGCTTTTTTTTTTTTTTTTGACAGAGTCTTGCTCTGTTGTCCATGCTGGAGTGCAGTGGCACAATCTTGGCTCACTGTAACCTCTGCCTCCTTGGCTCAAGAGATTCTCTTGCCTTAGCCTCCCAAGTAGCTGAGATTACTGGTGCCCACCACCACGCCTGGTTATTTTTTGTATTTTTAGTAGAGATGGGGTTTCGCCATGTTGGGCAGGCTTGTCTTGAACTCCCGACCTCAGGTGATCTCCCTGCCTTGGCCTCGCAAAGTGCTGGGATTACAGGCATGAGCCACTGTGCCCAGCCACCAACTGGCTTTTAAAAATGATGCTCCACGAGGTCAGGAGATCGCGACCATCCTGATTAACATGGTGAAAACCCATCTCTACTAAAAATACAAAAAATTAGCCAGGCGTGGTGGTGGGCGCCTGTAGTCCCAGCTACTCAGGAGGCTGAGGCAGGAGAATGGCGTGAACCTGGGAGGCGGAGCTTGCAGTGAGCCGAGATCGTGCCACTGCACTCCAGCCTGGGCGACAGAGCGAGACTCCGTCTCAAAAAAAAAAAAAAAAAAAAAAAATTATCCAGGCGTGGTGGTGGGCGCCTGCAGTCCCAGCTACTTGGGAGGCTGAGGAACCTGGGAGGTGGAGTTTGCAGCGAGCCGAGATAGCGCCACTGCAGTCTGGCCTGGGCGAAAGAGCGAGACTCCGTCTCAAAAAAAAAAAACGAAAAAGAAATAAATGAAGCTCCAGTTATGGACATTAAAGAAATGGAGATATATGAAATGACTAAAAAAGAATTCAGAATAATCCTCTTAAAGAAGTTCAGTGAACTACCAGAATATTTGGATAGAAAATTAAATAACATTTGGAAAATAATACATGAAGAAAGTGAGGAGTTTAACCAATAGAAACAATGAAAATTAATCAAATAGAAATCCTGGAGATGAAGCACTGAAAAACTCAATAGAAAGCTACAACAGCAGACTCAATCAAGCAAATGAAAAAATCAGTGAGCTGGAAGACACAGCATTTAAAATTATCCCATTAGAGCTGCAAAAGACAAAAGATTTTAAAAAATGAAGAAAATCTATGGGAATTATGGGACACCATCAAGAGACCAAACCTTTACATAACAGGAATCGTAGAAGTAGAAGAAAGACAAAAAGGGTTAGAAAGCATATTTAAAGAAATAGTGGCTAAAAACTTCCCTAATCTAGGGATAGATGCCAACATATAGGTACAGGAAGCACAGAGGTCTCCAATCTAATTCAACCCAAAGAGGAGTTCATCAAGACATATAATAAACTACCAACAATCAATGGCAAAGAAAAAATTCTAAGAGCAGCAAGAGATAAACACATCATGAAGAAATGCCAATACAACTATCATTTGATTTCTCAGCAGAAATCTTGCAGGCCAGGGGAGAGTGGGATGATATATTCAAAATATCAAAGGAAAGAAAAATGGCAACCAAGAATTCTTTACTCAGCAAATGTGTCTTTCAGAAATGAGGGAGAAATAAAAACTTTCCCAGACAAACAAAATCTAAGAGAGTTCATCACTACTAGACCTATAAATTGTCAAGGGATACAAATTACAAAATGATGTAAATTCTGACATTGAAAACAAAATATGTTTGTGTGGGAGTAAAAGTGTAGAGTTATTATATGTAATCAAAATTAAGTTGTTATAAGTTTGAAATAGGCCGTTATAAGTATAAGATGTGCTATGTAAGCCTCATGGTAACCACAAACAAAAATCTTTAGAAGAAGCACAAAACAAAATGGAAAGGATTCAAAGCATATAACTAAAGAAAACCATCAAACCACAAAGAAAACAGCAAGGGAGGAAGAAAGAAAGAAAGCATCCAGAAAACAACCAGAAAACAATTAACAAAATGGCACTAGGAAGTCCTTACCTATCAATAATTACTTTGAATGTCAATGAATTAAATTCTCCAATAAAAAGACACCCAATGACTGAACAGATATAAAAACAAGACCCAACTATGTGGTACCTATATAATACTTACTTCACTCTTAAGGACATACATAGACTGAAAGTAAAGGGATGGAAAAAAATATTCTATGCAAATGAAAACCAAAAGAGGCCGGCACAGTGGCTCATGCCTGTAATCCCAGCACTTTGGGAGGCCAAGGCGGGCGGATTACGAGGTCAGGAGATAGAGACCATCCTGGCTAACACAGTGAAACCCCATCTCTACTAAAACTACAAAAAATTAGCCTGGGGTGGTGGCGGCACCTGTAGTCCCAGCTACTTGGGAGGCTGAGGCAGGAGAATGGCAAGAACTCGGGAGGCAGAGCTTGCAGTGAGCCGAGATCGCGCCACTGCACTCCAGCCTGGGCAACAGAGTGAGACTCCATCTCAAAAAACAACGACGACGACAACAACAACAACAAAAAAACGAGAGCAGGGGTAACTACTTTTATCAGATAAAATAGGCTTTAAGTAAAAAATTTGTGAAAAGAGACAAAGAAGGACATTATATAATAATAAGGGGTCAATTCATCAACAGGATATAACAATTATAAATGTATATGCAGCCAACATCAGAGCACCTAAATATATTTTAAAAAATTAAAGCAAGCTTGGCCGTATGTGGTGGCTCATGCCTGTAATCCTAGCACTTTGGGAGGCCGAGGTGGGCAGGTCATTTGCGGTCAGGAGTTCAAAACCAGTCTGGCCAACATGGTGAAAACCTGTCTCTACTAGAAATACTATATAATATTAGCCAGGTTTGGTGGCTGGCGCCTGTAATCCCAGCTACTTGGGAGGCTGAGGCAGAAGAATCGCTTGAACTCGGGAGGCGGAGGTTGCAGTGAGCCGAGATCATGCCACTGCACTCTAGCCTGGGCGACAGAGAGAAACTGTCTCAAAAAAAAAAAAAATCAAACTTGTCTAACCCACACCCTGTAGGCCACATGTGGCCCAAGACAGCTTTGAATCCTGAATGCTGCCTAGCGCAAATTTGTAAACTTTCTTAAAACATTATAAGATTTTTTTGTGATTTTTTTTTTAGCTCATCAGCTAGCACTAGTGTTAGTGTATTTTACGTGGCCCAAGACAATTCTTCTTCCAGTGTGGTCCAGAGAAGCCAAAAGATTGGATACCTCTAAAAGATCTGAAGGGAGAGATAGATTGTAGTCCAATAATAGTAGGGGACTTTAATATCCCACCTTCAACAACAGACAGATCATCCAGACAGAAAATATTGGACTTGACATCACTTTAGACCAAATGAACCTAACAGACATAACAGAACACTCCACCCAATAGCAACAGAATATACATTCTTCTCAAGCACACATGGAACATTCTCTAGGATAGATCACATGTTAGGGCACAAAACAAGCCTTAGAAAATTTAAGAAGATTGAAATCATATAAAGTATCTTTTCTGACCACAATCATATGAAACTAGAAATCAATAACAGGAGGAATTTTGGAAAATTCACAAATACATGGAAATTAAACATGCTCCTGAACAACCAATGGGTCAATAAAGAAATTACAAGAGAAAACTTAAAAGATCTTGAGATAATTTTATCTTAATAAAAAGACACCATACCAAAATCTTATGGGATATAGCAAAAGCAGTTCCAAGAGGAAAGTTAATAGCAATAAATGCCTACATCAGAAAAAAAAAAACTCAAACAAGTTAATGTTAAGGAACTAGAAAAAGAACAAACTAAGCCCAAAGGCAGCAGAATAAAGGAAAGAAACACATCCTTGTTCATTCTTGATGAACACAGATGCAAAAATTATCAGCAAAACACTAGCAAACTGAATTCAATAACACGTTAAAAGGTTCATCCACCATGATCAAATGGAATTTATTCCTGGGATGCAAGATTGGTTCAATATATGCAAATTAATAAACGTGGTACATCACATTAACAGAATGAAGAACAAAAACTATATGATTATCTCTTAGATGCAGAAAAAGGCTTAGACAAAATTCAACATCTTTTCATGGATAAAAACTCTCATTAAATTAGGTATAGAGGAATGTACCTCAACACAATAAAAGCCACGTACAAGAAGCCCACATCTAACTTTATACTCAATGGGGAAAAATTGAAAGTCTCTCCTCTAAAACATGGAATAAGACAAGGATGTCCACTCTTGCCTTTCCTATTCAACACGGTAGTATAAGTCCTTGACAGAGCAGTTAGGCAAGAGAAAGAAATGAAAGGCATCCAAATAGCAAAGGAAGAAGTGAAATTGTCGTTCTGGGCATGGTGGCTCTTGCTTGTAATCCCAGCACTTTGGGAGGCCGAGGTGGGTGGATCACCTGAGGTCAGGAATTGGAGACCAGCCTGGCCAACATGGTGAAACCCCATCTCTACTAAAAATACAAAAATTAGCCAGGTGTGATGGCAGGTGCCTATTATCCCAGCTACTCAGGAGGCCGAGGCAGGAGAATTGCTTGACCCCAGGAGACAGAGGTTGCAGTGAGCCGAGATCTCACCACTGCACTCCAGCCTGAGTGACAGAGTGAGACTCTGTCTCAAAAAAAAAAAAAAAGAAAAAGAATCAGTAGTATTTCTATACGCTTATAATGAACTATCCAAAAAGAATAGTTTCACTTAAATAGTTATAAAAATAAATAAAATGCTTAGGAATAAATTTACCAAGAAGGTGAAAAACCTATATACAAAAAACTATAAAAGAAATTGGGCTGGGTGCAGTGGCTCACGCCTGTAATCCCAGCACTTTGGGAGGCCAACGTGGGCAGATCACGAAGTCAGGAGATGGAGACCATCCTGGCTAACATGGTGAAACCCCATCTCTATTAAAAATACAAAAAAAAAAAATTAGTCTGGCATGGTGGCGGGTGCCTGTAGTCCCAGCTACTCGGGAGGCTGAGGCAGGAGAATGGCATGAACCCAGGAGGCGGAGCTTGCAGTGAGCCAAGATCGCGCCACTGCACTCCAGCCTGAGCAACAGAGCAAGATTCTGTCTCAAAAAAAAAGAAATTGAAGAGGCTAGGTGCTGTGGCTCAAACCTGTAATCCCTGCACTCTGGGAGGCCAAGGTGGACGAATCACGAGGTCAAGAGATCAAGACAATCCTGGCCAACATGGTGAAACCCCAATTCTATTAAAAATACAAAAATTAGCTGTGCATGGTGGTGCACGCCTGTAGTCCCAGCCACTGGGGAGGCTGAGGCAGGAGAATTGCTTGAATCCAGGAGGCGGAGGTTGAAGTTAGCCAAGACTGTGCCACTGCACTCCAGCCAGGTGACAGAGTGAGACTCTGTCTCAAAAAAAAAAAAAAAAAAAAAGGAAAAAGAAATTGAGGTATACATAAATAAATAGATATCCTGTGTTCATTGAGTGGAAGAATTAATATTGTTCAAATATCCATGCTACCCAAAGCAATCTACAAATTCAATTCAATCTCTATCAACATTCCAATGTCAGTTTTCATAGAAACAAAAAAAGCAACCTAAAATTCATATGGGACCACAAAACCCCCTGAGTAGTCAAGAAAATCATGCACAAAAAGAACAATGCTGGAGAGGTGTCACACTACCCAACTGAAAACTATACTACAGAGCCATAGCAATTAAAACAGTATGGTACTGGCAAAAAATAGGCATATCAACCAATGCAATAGAATAAGGAGCCCAGAAATGAACTTATGCATGTATAGTCAATTGGTTTTAAATAAAGTTGCCAAGAATGCACAACTGGAAAAGGATAGTCTTCAATAAATGGTTTTAGAAAACTTGAAATCCATATGCAGAAGAATGAAATTGGATCCTTATCTCACACCATATATGAAAATCAACTCAAAATGGAATAAAGATTGAAACATAAGATCAGAAACTGTAAAACTACTGAAAGAAAACAGAGGGAAAACTATACAACATTGGTCTGGCCAATGATATTCTGAATTTGGCCTCACAAGGGCAGGCAACAAAAGCAAAAATAGACAATGGGATTATGTCAAATTAAGAAGCTTCTGCACAGCTAAGGAAACAATTGACAGTGTGAAGAGACAACCTACAGAGTGGGAGAAAATATTTTCAAGCCACATATCTGATAAGGGGTTAATATACAAAATATATAAGGGACTCAACTCAATAGCAAGAAAACAAACAAAATAATTTAAAAATGGGCAAGGGACTTAAACAGATATTTCTCAAAAGAAGGCATAGAAATGCCCAACAGTATATGAAAAAATGCTTGATATTGATAATCACTAGGGAAATGCAAGTTGAAACCACAACGTGATATTTCACACCTGTCAGAATGACTATTATCAAAAAGACAAAAGATAGCAAGTATTGGTGAGGATGTGGAGAAAAGGGACCCTTGTACATTGTTGGTGGGGATGTAAATTAGTACAGTCATTATGGAAAACTATATAGATGTTCTTCAAAAAACTAAAAATGGAATTACTATATGATCCAGCAATCCCACTTATGGGTATTTACTTAAAATACTTGAAATCAGTTTGTTGAAGAGATGTCTGGACTTCCATTGTCATTGTAGCACTGTCCACAATGGCCAAGCTATGGAATCAAGCATAACTCCAAATAGTGGGGTAAGGGGAAAATGGAGAAATGATGGTTAAAGGGTACGAAATCTCAATGAGGAGGAATGAGGTTTTTTTTTTTTGAGATCTATTGCATAGCATGGTGAATATAGTTAATAATAGTGTTTTGTACATTTCAAAATTACTAGGAGAGTAAATTTCAAATGTTCTCACTATAAAACATAAGTATTTTAGGTGATGAATATGTTAATTAGCCTTATTTAATTATTCCACTTTGTATTCATAAATCATAACATCACTTTGTTCCCTATAAATGTACACAATTATAAACTTAATTTATACTGGGGTAGGGAGGCAGTGGGGGTCAGGGAATTCCAATTATTGTAAAAGCTTTTTGGTGCTAGTTGACTTTAAAAACTACGTGCATATATTACTTAGATAAAAATGAAAAGTAGATGATTAAACAAACACTTTTTTTCTTTTAACAAAAGAAAGGAAGAAGATGGAAGGATGCTGGCAGGGTGGTAGCATTAGAGTGATCTTTTTTTAATCTTTGTCTTTTACTGTTTCCATGCACCTCCTCCCGCCCTACCTCCAATTAGTTTGTATTACTTTTGCATTCAGGAAAAAATTCCCAATATTTAGGAAAAGCTAACACTTCTTCATATCCTTAGATCTCTACTCTGGTGGCTTGGATATTGGGTCAGAGAAGCGCCTTCCTTCTTTAACAAAAGTCATACTATCATACGTGTTTATTTTTTCACTCAAGCATTGTGCGATAGGTTTTTCTCCCTGTCCTTCGGGAAGCTATTCAGGGTACACCCTACTGCACATCCTGACCTCAGGCTGTCCCTGTCAGCGGCCAGCAGAGTCCTCACTTGACTAGCTTTGGAAGAACCGAGTGGGGTCCGAGCTGTGGGCAATGAAAGTGGAGTTGAGTAAGAGCACCTGGCTGGGTTGAATGCCCATGACCAACCAGCCAAGGAGAACTGCTCACCCAGAAACTCAAGCAAGCCTCCACGTTTTGGTCCATTGACCCAGCTCAGGAAGAGGGAGAGTGGAAAGTGAAGGAGGAAAGGACAGCGGGACTGGTTCTGAAAGCTGAGAGAGCAGAAAGCTGAGGGCTCTCACTTCCCGTGTGTCCTTTTTTTCTGAGCCCAGAGGTCATGTGGTATAGCGGGAGAAACGCTAAGCCTGGGAACTCTCCCAGTTGTTCCTTCCTGACCTGTAAAACAGAGCTGCCCTTGCAGGGCTGATGTGAAAATTAACTACATTAAGTGAACTGTATAGAAACTATATGGTACTTTTCAAGACTACAAGGACTTATTAATCGAGATAGTTTATTGTTAGTAATGAAACAGTGGGGTTGGCTCAGTTTATCCCCGAACTTTTTGCTTGGAATCCTCTCAGGTATTTAACATTGAGATTTGGGTCTTTCATGACTAAGACAATTGGATTTTTCCAGCAGCTACTATTGATTCAATTAAAGAATTTCAATAGGCATAGTGATAACTTTCTAAAAAGTTATTGTTCATAAACAGCAGACTTAAATCGTCATTTTTTAAAGTAGGAAGAAAAAGATGATGCCTAGAATGGAAGATAAAGCAACAAGAAGTAGAGTTGACCCTTAAACAACACAGGGGCTAGGGGCACTGACCCCTTCCACACCATGGAAAATTCACGTGTAACTTTTGACTCCCCAGAACTGAACTTAACTACTAATGGCCTACAATTGACCAGAGGACTTACAGATAACATAAACAGTTGTTAAACACATATTTTGTATGTTACATGTATTAGACACTGTATTCTTATAATAAAGTTAGCTAGAGGTACTAAGCCTAGTACCCAATAGTTATTTTTTTCTGATTCTCTTCCTCCTGCCAACCTCCACCCTCAGATAGGACCTATGTCTGTTGTTTTTCCCCTCTTTGTGTCCACATGTTCTCATCATTTAGCTTCCACTTATGAGTGAGAACATGTGGTATTTGGTTTTCTGTTTCTGCGTTAGTTTGCTAAGGATAATGGCCTCTAGCTCCATCCATGTTGCTGCAAAGGACATGATCTCATTATTTTTTATGGCTGCATAGTATTCCATGGTGCATAGGTACCATATTTTCTTTATCCATTCTACCATTGATGGGCATTTAGGTTGATTCCATGTCTTTGCTGTGGTGACTAGTGCTGCAATGAACATATGCGTGCATGTGTCTTTATAATAGAATGATTTATATTCCTTTGAGTATATACCCAGTAATAGGATTGCTGGGTTGAATGGTAGTTCTGTTTTTAGCTCTTTGAGGAATCGCTGCACTGCTTTCCACAATGGTTGAACTAATTTATACTCTCACCAACAGTGTATAAGCATTCTCTTTTCTCTGCAGCCTTGCCAGCATCTGTGATTTTTTGACTTTTTAAAAATAGCCATTCTGACTGGTGTGAGATGGTATCTCATTGTGGTTTTGATTTGCATTTCTCTAATGATCAGTGATGTTGAGCTTTTTGTCATATGCTTGTCAGCCACATGTATGTCTTCTTTTGAGAAGTGCCTGTTTGTGTCCTTTGCCCACTTTTTAATGGGAACTTTTTCTTGTAAATTTGTTTAAGCTCCTTATAGAGCTGGATATTAGACCTTTGTCAGAGGAATAGTTTGCAAATACATTCTTCCATTCTGTAGGTTTTCTGCTTACTCTGTTGATAGTTTCTTTTGCTGTGCAGAAACTCCTTAGCTTAATTAGGTCCCATTTGTCAATTTTTGCTTTTGTTGCAATTGGTTTTGGCATGTTTATTATGAAATCTTTGCCAGTTTCTGTGTCCAGAATGGTATTGCCTAGGTTGTCTTCTAGGGTTTTGATAGTTTTAGGTTTTACATTTAAGTCTTTAATCAATCTTGAGTTGATTTTGTATATGGTATAAGAAAGGGGTCCAGTTTTAATCTTCTGCTTATGGCTAGCAGTTCTCCCAGCACCATTTGTTGAATAAGGAATCTTCCTCATTGCTTGTTTTTATCAGTTTTGTTGAGGATCAGATGGTTGTAGATGTGTGGTCTTATTTATGAGCTCTCTATTCTGTTGCATTGGTCTTATGTGTCTGGTTTTGTACCAATACCATGCTGTTTTGGTTACTGTAGCCCTGTAATATACTTTGAAGTTGGGTAGCGTGATGCCTACAGCTTTGTTCTTTTTGCTTAGGATTGCCTTGGCGATTCAGGGTCTGTTTTGGTTCCATATGAATTTTAAAATAGTTTTTTCTAGTTGTGTGAAGAATATCATTAGTAGTTTGATAGGGATAGCACTGAATCTGTAAATTGCCTTGGGCAGTATAGCCATTTTAATTATATTGATTCTTCCTGTCCACGAGCATGGATTTTTTTCCATTTGTTTGTGTCATCTCTGATTTCTTTGAGCAATGTTTTAGAATTCCTTTTGTAAAGATCTTTTACCTCCCTGGTTAGCTGTATTCCTAGGTATTTTATTCTTTTAGTGGCAATTGTGAATGGGATTGTGTTTCTGATTTGGCTCTCAGCTTGACTGTTGTTGGTGTATAGGAATGCTGGTGATTTTTGCACATTCATTTTGTATCCTGAGACTTTGCTGAAGTTGTTTATCAGTTCAAGGAGCTTTTGGGCCGAGTGGGGTTTTCTAGATATAGAATCATGTTGTCCGCAAATAGGGATAGTTTGACTTCCTCTCTTGCTATCTGGATGCCCTTTATTTCTTTCTCTTGCCTGATTGCTCTGGCCAGGACTTTCAATATTATGTTGAATAGGAGTGCAAAGAGAAGTCATCCTTGTCTTGAGCCAGTTTTCAAGATGAATGCTTCCAGATTTTGCCCATTCAGTGTGATGTTGGCTGTGGGTTTGTCATAGATGACTCTTATTATTTTGAGGTATGTTTCTTCAATACCCAGTTTGTTGAGAGTTTTTAACATGAAGGGATGTTGAATTTTATTGAGGCTTTTCTGCATTTATTGAGACAATCATGTGGTTTTTGTCTTTAGTTCTGTTTATGTGATGAATCATATTTATTGATTTGCATATTTTGAACCAAACTTGCATCCCAGGGATAAAACCTACTTGATTGTGGTGGGTAAGCTTTTTGATGTGCTGCTGGATTTGGTTTGCTAGTATTTTGTTGATGATTTTTGCATCAATGTTCATCAAGGATATTGGCCTGAAGTTTTCTTTTTTGTTGTGTCTACAAGGTTTGGGTATCAGGATGATTCTGGTGTCACAGAATGAGTTAGGGAGGAGTCCCTCCTCCTCAATTTTTTGGAATAGTTTCAGCAGGAATGGTACCAGCTCTTTTTTGTACATCTGGTAAAATTCAGCTGTGAATCTGTCTAGCCTTGGGGTTTTTTTGGTTGGCAGGCTACCTATTACTGATTCAATTTTGGAGCTTGTTATTGGTCTATTCAGGGATTCAATTTCTTCCTGGTTCAGCTATGGAGGGTGTATATGTCCAGGAATTTCTTCATTACTTCTAGATTTTCCTAGTTTGTTTGCATTGAGGTGTTCATAGTAGTCTCTGACGGTTATTTGTATTTCTGTAAATGACAAAGTTTATTTGGTTCTTCTTTCTTAGTCTAGCTAGCAGTCTACCGTATTAATTTTTTCAAAAAACCAGCTCCTGGATTCGTTGATCTTTTGAATGGTTTTTCATGTCTCAATCTCCTTCAGTTCAGCTCTGATTTTGGTTATTTCTTGTCTTCTGCTAGCTCTGAGGTTGGTTTGCTCTTGCTTCTCTAGTTCCTTCAGTTGTGATGTCAGGTTGTTAATTTGAGATTTTTCTAACTTTTTGATGTGGGCATTTAGGGCTGTAAATTTGAAGGAGCCATTTTTATCACACATACTGAACATTTACTTTGGGCTGGATGCTCTTCAGGAAGAAGACAGAGAACACCCTCAGCCCTTACCATTCTCCTTAACTTGGCTCAAAAAGCAGGGCAGGGTGGTGCAGGTTAGAGCAACAACACACAGACACACCTCCTCACAGAAACACTCATGGTAGGAATCAGAGAAAGTGCTGGAAGAATTCTAGAGGTCACCTACTGCATGGTTTTCAAGAGGAAAGTCTTTTTTAGCCGCAGAACATAGAACAAAATATTAAATGTACATGAAACCAGATGGAAGTGGAAGGAGCTCGTGTGGTGCTTGGGAGCTGTCCAAGCTACTTCTTATCTCCTCTTTAGCTCTCCCTCCAGAACGGCCTGTGAGGCACCTGTGAGGTTCCCTAGAACCCCTCAAAGTACAGTCTGAAACGGCAATTTTACAGATGGGGAAATGAGGGCTCCAGCATTAGAGATGTTTAAGGCCCCACAGCTAGGGATGTGCAGAGGTGGAAGCTGAAGCCAGGACCCTCGAGTCCCCAAACGTGTTCTTTCCACCACATCAGTCCTCTGCGTGTGGTGTGGCTGGTGACCCGGAGGGGCTCTGGATTCAGCTTCTTCTCCCGGAAGGCAAATGCCATCTCGGGAGTTGCGGGGGAAGCCCGTGGGAAACCTACTCCAATCCAATGTTCTAGGCTGAGGCACTCAATTCCTGGAAGCAGGATTAAGACCATTCAGAAAATATGTCCTCTTTTCAGCTAGCCTTGTAACTGGAAGAGGTACATGGGGTCACCAGGGGACTTTCCAAACATAATACATCTCGGAGGTCTGAAAGGACTCAGAAGTAGCGCACAATGCCTATTGCAATAACCAAGTAATTCCAGCAGAGGGCACTATTTCCTAACAATCTGAAATGCTAACCAGCATCACAGATTGGAAAGCTAGGAAGCTCCTTTAAAAAAACAATTTTTTTTTTCAGTAGTCTTAGCTCTCTGCAAAGAACATAAGTATAGCAATTCAGACTAATTAAAATTCCCAATCACACAGATTTCTAGGGTGTAGTTTTAAAAGAATCAGGTGACCAATAGGCATTCTGTTCTTTAAACAGTTTGCCTGTGGCTGCTTTTAAAGTTTCTTGACTAATCTGGCTTTAATGATCAGCCAGAGCATGTCTTGCAGAAGAAAGAGCAAAAGACGTTGAAGCACACTGAGCCAACCACACATTTCAATAAATATGTAGATTTTGAGACACTGTGAACCAACATGCACACATTTCAATAAGTAGATAGAAGCATAGGGACAGGGAACAACCCACACATTTCAATAGATAAACGTGGAGGCATTGTGAACCGACAAATAAAGAAAAAAAAAGAGTTGTGGGTGAGAAGGGGGGTGACAGGCTGGGCTACCTGCTCAGGAATGCACAGCTGGTGTCCAGAGACTCAGTCAGATGCTTCTCTTCTAGCCCCACGATTGCCAGGGAGCTAAGAACAGGCTCTCATTTCCCCAGATGAGGAAATCCTGGTCCAAAGGGGTTTTCCCTCAGGGGTCTCAAGCTCCTCTGTAGATGCCCCAGCATCTGAGGAGGTGGGAGGAGAGGCTGAGAGAGGCTGCCCAAGTCAGGGACTGAGTCTTTTCTTCCCATGAACAGAATGAGTAGCAGGACTTTTCCCTTTTAAGAAGAGTCTAGACCAGTGATTCTCAACTGGGGGCTATTTTGTCACCCACTCCCATCAGGGAATATTTGACAATGCGTGGAGATATTTTTGGTTGTCATAATTTTGGGGGTGCTATGGCATTTAGTGGGTAGAGACCAGGGAAGCAGCTGAACATCTTACAAAACACAGGACAATTCCCTACAAGAAAGAATGATCTGGTCCAAAAATGTCAATAGTGCCAAGTTTGAGAAATTGTGGTCCAGACGAGGGACCAGAAATTCTCAAACTGTAGTCCCCAGTATGGCACATCATCACCACCAGGGATTTATTACAGATGGAAATTCTTGGGCCCCATCTCAGACCTTCTTAATCAGAAGCTCTGGGAGCAACTTGTGTTTTAATGAGCCTTTCGGAGAATCTAAGGCATGCTCAAGTATGAGAACCGCTTGTTTGGGGACTATACTGCTTGAGGCTGGTAGTCTAACACTGTGCTTCTAAGTTATTAATGTGCTTACAGTCACTGCAGAATTGTTAAAATGCAGGTTCTGATTTAGTTGTTGTTAGAATTTGCATTGCTTACAAGCTCCAGGTGATACTGACGATACTGGTCAGGGCCCACATTTTAAGAAACAAGGAGGATCTAAGATATTGCTTAGAAATTTGCCAGATCATAAAATACACCTGAAGTGTATGTTGAACCTTCAGATTCCCAGTACCCTTCTGAGACCCTCTACGTAGGACATTTCCAGAAGAAGGGCCTAGGTTGTTTTTGTTTGTTTGTTTGTTTTGAGACAGGGTCTCACTCTGTTGCCCAGGCTGGAGTGCAGTGGTGTGATCATGGCTCACTGCAGCCTCAACCTCCCAGGCTCAAGTGATTTTCCTACCTCAGCCTCCTGAGTGGCTGGGACTACGGGCATGTGCCACCATGCCCAGCTAATTTTGTTTATTATTTGTAGAGATGAGGTCTCGCTATATTGCCCAGGGTGGTCTCAAACTCCCAGGCTCAAGCAATCCTCCAGCCTTGGCCTCCCAAAGTGCTGGGATTACAAGCATGAGCCACTGCACCTGCCCAGAATACGTATTTTTATTAAGTGTCCCAGAAAATTCTCACAATCAAACAGATCTAAAAACACTGACTTCAGAGGGCAGATTCAAGAGTTATTGATGCATACAACACCTCTGAGTCCCCTTCGTCTATATCAGAAATTCTCAACCCAGGCTGGGGAAAATCACCTGGGAAACTTTGAAACTCCCCCTGCCCAGGCCACAAAGTAGACCAATTACATCAGAACCTCCGAGGGTGGGACCTAGGAAACAGCACTTTCTAAAAGTTGCCCAGGTGATTCCAGTGTGTAGCTATGTTTAAGAATCAGTGACCTTAGGAAAACAGTCTGGCAGTTTCTCAAAAAGTCAAACACACAGTTAACATATGATCCAGCAATTCCACTCCTAGGTATATACCCAGGTGAATTGAAAACATATGTCCACACAAAAACTTGTACATGAATGTTCATAGCAGCATTATTCATAATAGCCAAAAAATGGAAACTATCCAATGTCCATTGGCTGATGAATGGATAAACAAATTAAAATGGATATGTCATATCCACATGATGAAATACTATGTAGCAATAAGAAGGAATGATATATGTTACAACTGGAATGAAGCTTGAAAACATTATACTAAGTAAAAGAAGCCAGTTGCAAAAGGCTGGCTTTTGTGATTCCACTTACAGGAAATATCAAGAATAAGCAAATCCATAGAAGCAGAAAGTAGATTAGTGGTTGTGAGGGGCTGCTGTGAGGGGAAAACTGCTTACTGGGTACAGGGTTTTGTTTTGGGGTGATGGAATGCTTTTTAACTAGATAGAGGTGATGGTTGCACAACATTGTGAATGGACTAAATGCCACTGAACTGTATACTTTAAAATGGTTAAAATGGTAAATTTTATGTTATGCAAATTTTATCATAAAGGAAAAAAAGAATCAGTGGCTTATAAACTTTCCTAATAGAGGTAGATTTTAAGAAATCAGGCAAAATCAGGATGTGAGTGAATCAGGTCACTCAGGAAAAAGACAACCTAAAATAGACAATCTGCCATATCTGTGCCCATATATTCTTGGACCCTTGCTAGGGTAGGGTGTAAATACATTTTCAGAGCCTTGTGGACAAGGGCGGGGACGGTGTATATTATACTTACCACCATAGATTAACAGTGCTAGGCACATAGTAGGTGGGTTCTCAATAGATCTGTTGATTGAAAACTGGAGGCCATGGGTAAAGCCCCTTGTTGAAGGGGGAGTGCTGACAGTAGGACTGCAAATGAGGTTGGGGGGCGGTGGTAAAGCAAGTCTGTAAGCAAACCTCGATCACACGGTGCCATAGGCTCGCCCAGCACTGTGGGGGAAGGAGTTGGCTTCCTGGAAATGATGATACCTGAGCTGAGGCTCAAGGGGAGGCTCAAGGGTTATGGGGGACTGCAAAGGCAGCTCCCGCAGAGCCAGCAATACATGCATGGTCATAGGCAGCTCACCAGCGGAGACTGTGGAGCAAGGGCTGGGGTCAGCCTGCTGAGGCCAGGCATGGTCACAAAGGATTTTCTGTTACTGTAGAACCCCCTGGGGACGTCATCAGAAGGATGGATTTGAGAGTAAGTCAAAAGGCTGTTGAGATAGCCTTAGAGAAGGAAGAGAAAGAAGGAGAGGATTGTCTTGTTGAACTAACATTGATTACGCACATGAAAAGGGGTTTTAGAGTGTTTTTTGGTAGGTAGACTTGTTGGGATTTGGCAACTGATTGCTGGCTATAGGGAATGAAATAAAAGAAGCCTAGGATAGTGATGATGATGAGGATGACGAAGACATTGTAGTTAACATCTGTTGAGTGCTTATGTTCCAGGCATTAAGTGCTTCATAAACACCTTGTCATTTGAGCCTCATCACAAACCACTAAAGTACAGACTATTTTGTTATTGTTGATGGGTGTTTTAATTCTGATCAGTACCTTTTCTTTTTGGGGGGGAGGGGTGAGACTGTTTTTGTTTGTTTGTTTTTTGAGACAGAATCTTGCACTGTTGTCCAGGCTGGAGTGCAGTGGTGTGACCTCGGCTCACTGAAGCCTCCGTCTCCGGGGTTCAAGTGATTCTTGTGCCTCAGCCTCCTGAGTAGCTGGGACTACAGGGGTGCGCCACCACACCCAGCTAATTTTTGTATTTTTAGTAGAGACAGGATTTCACTGTGTTGGCCAGGCTGGTCTCAAAGTCCTGGCCTCAAGTGTTCTGCCTGCCTCGGCATCCCAAAGTGCTGGGATTACAGGCGTTGTTTTTATCCTCATTATACAGACGAAGAAACTGAGACCCAAAAAGCTGTGACTTGGACAAGGCCACTCATTTAGTATGTGGAGTAGCCAAGGTTTGACCCCAGCGACCTGAAGAGCCATGCTCTTAACCATGCCTGGTATTGACCCTGGGTTTTTAGTTTGGGTTGGCTGGGTGGGTGGTGGCACCATTCTTCAATCCAAGGAAACAGGAGGAGGAAAATGGTTGATTGGTGGTGAAATGACAAACTGAGTTTGGGACAAGTTGGGCTGGAGATGCTGTGGATTATTCTGTGATATCCAGTAGGTATTTGCTAGTCAGGAGTGCAGCTATGGAGGGACTCTGTTGGAGGGGTAGACTTAGGAGGCACCAGCCTACAGACAGTAAAGTCATGGGAATGAATGAGACAACCTAGGAGAAAGAATGAGAGGAGAGGAATAGGTCAAGAACAAGACTAGGGGACACTGAAGAACCAAATGTGTCTTTTTGGATGTGGCCATTAGGAAGTCACTGGGAACCTTGGTTTCCTAAATGGTAAGGGACCCTAAAGGGTAAGGGGAAGAAACAAGAGTGCAGTGATTAGGGGAGAGGTAAATCTGCTATTCTAAGGTCCTTGGCTGTAGAAGGAGGAGGAGAGAATATCACTAGAAGGGATCAGTAATCAGGGTCCAGAAGGCTGTCTTTTTCTTTCTTTTAATCATTAAGATGAGAGAGATCTGCAAATGTCATAAACTAGAGAGATGGAGCCATCCTAGAGAGATGGAAAGGATGAGTTTGATAATGAATGGGAAAGAAGGGCTGGCACCACATCCTTGAGGCAGCTAAAGGGGTGAAGTGAGGGCATCAGGCTTCAGAAAGAATAGGGAAACTTCTTTTGAGTCCAGAGAAAAGTTAAGTATTGGTTTGAATGCACCTTTAACAGCATATAGGGGCTTTAGAAAGGTAAGATTTGGCCAAGGGCTCCCCCTACTATACTCTGAAATCCACTGTTAACACTTGCTCTGTGGCACCCTTCCCATGGGCTGCTCAAAGCCAATGACTGATCATGGCAGGAATATAATTGCAGGGAACCCATTCCCCGGAGACGCAGGACTGCTCTGATGGTTGACCTTGGCTCAAGAGCTCCTTATGGCCTTCCTGAACTTCCTCAGACTGTGTCAGCTTTGGATACTTTCACCTGACCTTCCCTCCCTCTCCCCTTCACTGAGAGCCAAAACTCTGTTGCACAGGCTGGCTCTCCCAGCTTTCCTTGGCTCTCTCTCTCTCTCTCTCTCTCCATATATATATATATATATATAATTTTTTTAGACGGAGTCTTGCTCTGTCACCTAGACTGGAGTGCAGTGGCGCGATCTCAGCTCACCGCAAGCTCTGCCTCCCCAGTTCATGCCATTCTCCTGCCTCAGCCTCTCAAGTAGCTGGGACTACAGGCACCTGCCACCACACCCGGCTAATTTTTTTTGTATTTTTAGTAGAGACGGGGTTTCACCATGTTAGCCAGGATGGTCTTGATCTCCTGACTTTGTGATTCACCTGCCTCGGCCTCCCAAAGTGCTGGGATTACAGGCGTGAGCCACTGTGCCCAGCCCGGCTATTTCATCTCAAAGTAATTTATCTTAATAAAATCCATGCACATTTAGCCCTGTTGGCATCGGCATCATGGAGGACCCAAACACAGCCCCTTATAGGCGCAAGTGGATAAAACCAGAAAGGCTGAGCCAGGGAATTTCAGATCCCTCAATGACAGGTGTTGAGCCCAGGGAGATCATGATGGGTCTGAATGTGACAGCAAAATGGGTGGTGGTGGGATCCTGGTAACTTTCTCATAGAGATGTTTGCAGCTTACTGTGACGGCCCACCAGGCATAAGGTGGATTTTCAGGAGGTTGAGGCAGATATGACCACATGAAGATGGGTGTCATTATACACAAACTGAAAAGGAGGTGGTGGGCAATGGGGGAGGAGGTCTCTCAATTATCCGAGAGTAGGCAGTGAGGCCAGCTACTGTGAATATGGAGAGTTGGTGGGGTGGGATCTTGCAAAGTGGTTTTAGAAGAACTGTGGGAGAAGGAAGATAAAGCTGGTGACAGATAAAATGTAAGGAGACTAGTGGGAAAAGGGGATGGAGAAGTAGCAGGGGTGGGAACCTTCCAAATGACAAAGCTGTAGGCCTTGGGAGACTGGATTTTATACTAACTGTTAAGGGAAACCACTGGATGGTTTTGAGATGAGGCACTACATCATCTGTTGTACATCTTAGAAGGACCACTTTGGCCATTGTAGAATGTATGAATGGAAACAACAGATCAGTTAAGAGGCAACTGCAATCATTCAGAAAGGAGACAGGGCTTAGAGTAGGGGGAGAACAGTACAGATGATGGTAGATGTGTTTAGTTTCCCTCTGATAACTTTTCTCCCAGTGAAATATGAAGCAAGAACATCAACTGAGAGTGGGGCTGGATGGGTAGATAGGATCATACTCTTATCTATATATTGGAAGACTAGGAAAAAAGGTGAAAAAATTAAAAGTTACAAAAATCTGTTTTTTTTAAAAACCTGCATTTTTAAGAAGAGGCTTAACATTTTTTTCACTGCACTCTATTTGGAGCATTTGGAGATTTCTCTTTGATAGCACTGTATTTTTTTTTTAATCACTTTTTTTTTTTTGAGATGGAGTCTTGCTCTGTTGCCAGGCAAAAGTGCAGTGGCGCGATCTCAGCTCACCGCAACCTCTGCCTCCTGGGTTCAAGTGATTCTCATGCCTCAGCCTCCCGAGTAGCTGGGATTACAGGAATGCACCACTGTGCCCGGCTAATTTTTTGTATATTTAGTAGAGACAAGGTTTGGCCATGTTGGCCAGGCTAGTCTCAAACTCCTGATGTCAAGTAATCTGCCCGCCTTGGCCTCCCAAGGTGCTGGGATTACGGGCATAAGCCACTGGGACCGGGCTGTATTTTTCTTGATAAAAGATCAGCACACCCAAATCCCCCTCCCAATGAAGTAACCACTTCTTTTCTTTTTGAACTCACTAATTTCTGCAACTTTTGTTTGATGTGTCAGTAGTTACTGACACTCTTCCCTGTCCACCAAACTCTCCCCCACCCTCCAGGGTTTTCAGCTCTGTCAAATTCATAATGCATCTCTGTGTGTGTGCATAAGGATATACACTTGTACAAAACGCAGCCCATATGACAAAACCATTTTTACAAATGTTTGCCTTTTTAAACAAAAGGTGTGCCATATATTTTTATTAAATCATAGAAAACATTTGTATACAAATCTTTTCACTTTGGGAAGACTGGAATATTAAACAGCTGGGTAACTAAACAGTTGAAAGATACATTTCACTTTAAATAGAAACAAGTTTTAAGTTGTCACACTTATTAAAACAAAAAAAGCTGAAATAATTGGTAACAGGTTGTTGGCTTTTTAACCTTTAGACCACAGAAATAATCTCTCTTATAACCCTCAACTTTAAGAATGTTTTTTATTACTTACATCAACCACGAATTTAAAAGATAGTTAACTTGAATTCTGAATACAAAATCAATGTCCTTGTACCTACACAGGCTTTTAGAATGCTGCAAATGCTGAATTTTAGGAGATGGTTTCATTCCACAGGACTGACTGAACTTCCTTTCTACCATGGAAAATGTATGTAACAGTGTGGAATATATTTCCGAATAAGTTAAATATTAAGACATACAATATGGCAATAATGTCCTACTTTTTTTCCTACCAAGTAAATTCAAAAGTTCATCCTAATCTTATACGTTTATAAAACGGTGAAGACTGAGGGATCCAGTGATACTGAAAATACACAACAACCATCAGAACCACATTATCTACGGCAGAATATGTACAAATGTTCCTGCCAAAATCATGCTTGCATTCATTCCACAGGTGACCAAAAAGAACAGAGTTTGAAGTTCACCAAATGAAAACGAGCAGTGATTTTGACATTTAGGTCATCACTTGTTCTGCTTCTGAGCAGAGATCCAGAGGTGACACAGTGCAATATCTGCACTCACACCAAACACCACATAAGCACAAATTAAATATTGTCAAAATATTTTTAAATTAAATTGAAGACCATTATTTAAGTGCATGAGATATTTTTCCCCTAGCTTCTTGAATGCATGTTACAGAACAAGAATTAACAAGGAACATGTTAGAGGCCAACCCAATCCTCTGAGAACTCCCTGGGGTAACATATGAGACCTCTGGTGCAGGGCTGAGGGGAGGGACAATTATCCACTCCAAACACAGGGATGGTCTCAAAAAATCAGTCTTCCAAACTCAGGTCTGGATTTCAAACTAATTGAAGAAGGAACTGAAAATGCTGTTTTGGGGACTGGTATCTTGTCCACAGAGTCTTCTTCCCCAGGACCCTTCTTATCCAAGACCTTTAACACTGCAAGCCTCATTTAAAGCCACCCCCAGGTCCTGGGCCCACTGGTGTCGATCTGCAGACCTGGATCTGTCCCAGGGAACATGTAAACAAATCTGGGAAAAATCACATTTCTGCAAGTTTTCCTTGTATCAGTGAAAGACCTCTTGGGCTAAGAAAAATAATAGGAAGGGCTGCCCCAGTGTCATCTTCCCACGAGGTTTGTCTTTTGCTCATTGTGCTGTGGAAAACTATAAAGTCAAATCAAATACTTTTGCCTGACTCGCCCCAAATGATATGAAACAGAAACATTTCTATGGACTACTTTATTCCTGAATTATGAAAAAAGCTTATCTGAGCATACTTGGTTTGCCATCTTGTTACTGGAGGTGACTTGGAGATGAGGCCAGGCTTTTGTGCAGGTTGGGATTCTGGCTGTGTCTGTTTCGACTGCGAACAGACGAAAACATGGTGTTGCAGCCTGGTACTTTGCATTTGTGGAGCTGCCGGAGGTGCACAGTTTTGTAGTGGGCCCTAAAGGTCCCTTTGTTACTGTATGTCTTTTGGCAGAGATGACAGGTTATGGGCAACCCAGAAGGCAGGCTAGCAAGGCTCTGGTCAGCCTTCTCCATCAGGACACAGATGGGGTACTCATCTTCCCCAGGGACAAGGCTCGACCCTTCACAGTTCCCATCACTGTCCTCCATAAGCACAGTGCCTTCCTCACTCACCCCGTCAGAGTCCCAGGAAGAATGGCTGCTACTCTCTGACTTCATGCTCGAGGTAGTGCTCAAATCCAGGATGGTGCCCTCGCTCAAGGGGCCAGAGTTGTAGCTCTCCAGGCTGGCACTGTGGACTTGCGTTATTGGGTAAACCAGACTGCCCATTCGACTTGTTCCTTTGAAGATGACAGATGTCTGGGAGGCTTGCTGTGTAAAAGCCACATCCTGATAGGCTTCCTTAGCCACATCTTTCAGAAGGTAAGCTGCACGGAAATGATCTTCACTACTCTCCAATGCTTCCTGGCTCAATGCTTTTTGGTGGAGGTTTAGGTTTGAGCTGTGTCTACAAGAGTGAAAAGATGGTTAGTAATGGGTTGGGCTGTTTTAGAAACAGTCATCATTCTGAGTGGAGAGACTTGGTAGATACCAGGAAAAACATGTGGTATGGGAGCACCGATGATAAGGGGGTAGGCCCCCATGGGATGTAACACCTGTCTGGTGGATACAGACCCACTGTTGTTCATTGCTTGCCAGAAGTTAGTGTTCACCAGGAAAGCCGACAGTCTGGATACTGAGAATATGTAGTCTTCTTTGATTTCCAGTGTCTGTTTGATGTACTTTCTGTACCTCATGTCCTTTCTGTAAATGAGCTCACTGTTTCAGAGCTACTGGTTTAGACATACCCCTTCTCCCAGGAAGCTTTCCTTAACTTCTCATGGTGCCCTCCCATGTGCCCACAGCAGCACTTCCCCCATTGTAGAAGTCATCACATTCAACTGTAATTGCCTGTTTCTGGTCTGTCTCCCAGAATGACTAGACTAAATCAACTAGACTAGTTTAACTAGGACACTGGAACCAGGAGATCCCAGGAGAAAACTGGTCACAAACTATAAGGAACTAAGAAAAGGACTTTATTTCAATGAAATCAGGAAACATTACCTTCTGGGGCTGCACTGTCCAATGATAGCCACTAGCCATATATGGATACTGAACACCTGAAATGTGGCTAGTATCATATGTTGAAAGGATAATATTTTGGATATACTGAAGTTAAATGTTATTAAATTTTACTGCATCTGCTTTTTTACAGTGGCTATAATATTTAAAATTTCATATGAAGCTTGCATCGTATTTCTATTGGATAGCACTGGTCAAGAGCATTGACATACACTTCATCCCAAAAATTCTAAAAGTGTGGTTGAGAATCCAATTGGCTAGAATTGTGTGTGTATGTAGTTTAGTTCATATTTGTAACGTTTCACTATCCTATACCAGACAGAAGTTTTGCAAATGCAGCAGAATAAGCATACCACCAATCTTCCACCCAATGATTACTCTCGAAGGACAGATAATGAGTATCCATTATGACACATGCCTTTTAGTCATATGTTATCATTTGGAATTAACTTGTAAATCAATGTTGGTCTTCCTCAGAAATCCTCTGCTAACTTTTGACAAGCAAAAGTCCTTACCAAGGGGGTTACAATCTTAAAGGTGATAGGAGAATTATTCCAAATAGAGAAAACACTCCCCCAATACATATCAGAATGTATGGCAGAGTCAAGTTGGGAAAACACCTTCACCAAAATAACTAAGAATTGAACTTTTTAAATCCCCAAAGACGTGTGTGGGAAGCTTACTTATGTTTTATAAAATGTACAAAATTTACTGTTCAACTTCTGTCTTCTATTCCCTTACACATATATTCTGGACATAATCAGAATTATACTCCCAGATCACCCACTTTGCAAGCAGCCCTTCTTAACTCCAACTCTGCCCTGTGATTATGTCAGCATTCTGGGTTGAAGGGGCTGGTATGTGCCGACAGAAAACCAGACACTGGGTGGACGTACAGGTTCCAGTACATACAAGTGGTTAAAAAGAAAGACAAACACTTTTATTGGAACCTTGTAAAGAAAGGTCCCTACTGGAACAAAGCAAACCTCTGGGACTCATACTCAACTCCTGAGTATTCCATGCATACTAATGGCTAACTTGTGGGCTCTCGCTCCTCTCAAGCCTTAGAGGGTTAGATACATTTCCTGAGGTGCCATGTCCCCTAAGACCAGTAACTACTACAACTGTAAAAACCCTCTGGATCATGTGCCAGGCTTTGGTTTCTAGGACTCTCCTAATCCTGTACTCACTGCCCATGTCTCCATCTCTTCCCTTCAACCCTACAACCTCTACCTCTCCCCTCCAACTCTTCCTCTTGGCTTCTATTTTGATTAGTTGAGACCAGTGGTTCTCAAAGTGTGGTCTGAGCACCCCTAGTGATCTCTGAGGCCCTTTCAGGGGGTTCCTGAAGTCAAAGTTTCATAATACTAAGATATTATTTGCCTTTTTCACTTTCATTGTCTCATGAGTGAACAGTGGAGTTTTTCAGAGGCTACGTAACACAATTTTGCAACAGAGCATATGCAGAAGCAGATATGAGAATCTAGCTGTCTTCTACGAAGTCAGACATTAATGAGATTTACAAAAATGTAAAACAAAGCCACTCATCTCACTAAATTTTTGCTTTGGAAAATGTAGGGTTTTTTTCATAAACATATGTTAATATATAATTTAAAGTTTTACAATTTTTAAATTTTTAATTTCTAATATGATAAATTTTGATAGATATAACCCAAATAGAGAAAAGCTCTTGAGTAACCTTAGGTTTTAAGTATTTGTAAAGGGGTTATAAGACCAAAACGTTTCAGAGTTACTGGTGTAGACATATCCCTTCTTCCAGGAAGCTTTCCTTAACTTCTCAAGGTGCCCTCCCACAACAGCCTACATTTCCTTCACTGCAGAAGTAATCACATTCAACTGTAATTGCCTGTTTCTGGTCTGTCTCCTCCACTACAGAAGGCCTCTATGGGCAGGGATTATGTCCCCAGCACCTAACATAGACAGTTCTTAATATTTGCTGGGTAAATAAGCATCCAGGGTGTTGTCCCAGTCCCTTCCTGATGGGTCTTGGTAACTGTTGCTGGCAGTAGCAGTGGCTCAAAGAGAAGTTAAATGTCCCTACAGGAATGTGGTTCTCAATCTCTGACTGAGAGAAATGGTGTCAGGTCTGGGCCTGCCCACAAAGTCAAATTTAAAATACTGTAACTTAAATCATAGATTCTAGGTAAAATGCATTTCAAGTTCTAGACTAATTAGTGGTTTTAATTTATAACGCAAGATGCTTTCCTGTTGTGGTGGGGGAAGGCTCGGATCTATTAATACAAATAGGTCAGAACATAAGGAAATATTAAATCTATGAAAAAATAAATATCAAATGAAAAAGTATCTTGAATCCAATATGCCTTCCAATTTAGTAGATATTGTAGGATAGAACAGTATCATAAATATCAAAGATAATATGACCAACATGACTGTCTCTGTAGCAACAGCTTATTCATGAACAAACACTCCTCCTCTTGGAGGCTGAAGAAGGACTGGTTCACTAATTAGGGTGCCTTGGTGGTTTGGTTCAACATCCTATCAGTAGAAACACTGATTTAATATAAACATTTAACTAATATCTCCTGTGCTCTATCCTCTTTGCTAAAGACAATAAGTATGTTCTTATGAGCCCTGTCCAGGAATGTGTGTGGGAGTCTGTACATTTTCACCCTCTTAACAAATTAGGCATTACAACTTGGACCAAGTGGTGGTGTTGAACTGCTTCAAGTCAAGCTTGTTTCTGCAAATGTAGCATTTTAATATTCAGTGTACCATTTAACATTTATCATATTCCATTTCATCAGGCAGCTGATCTTTTCCATAAGCCTCCTGGGGCCATCTTTTGGTATGCTTGCTCTTCCATTTATAGGCTAGGGAGGAAGGTGACCTGAAGAGTGGTTAGGTGACTCAAGTTCATGAAGAAAAGCACAAGCAAGACAGTAACACCACTGCTATCCCCACGGTGATGAGATATGCTCTATAGCGGGGGACTTTGTAAACAGTTTGCCTGCGTGTGTGTGTCATGAAAACTCAGGATCTTTCAACCAGAAATCACAGTCCCTGAAACAACCTGCCAATCACCTTTATTCTTTTATAACTTAATATTTAAAAAACCTTCAATCAAGCAGTGATTCTTCCTTTCAAATGTAGCTGGGTAACTAGAAATAAAGGAAAATATTTTATTCTATGGATTTCATATTATCAAATGAAAATGAGTCACGTTTTGGGACGCTATAGTGGCAATTTAAAAAGCTCCCTTCTCACTCTTATTCAAATAGTTGTTTACGCTTTACTCAACCTGCTAATGTGACAACTAGTTCATGTTTTTTTTTTTTTTTTTTTTTGAGACAGAGTCTCGCTCTGTCGCTAGGCTGGAGTGCAGTGGCATGATCTCAGCTCACTGCAATCTCTGCCTCTCGGGTTCAAACGTTTCTCCTGCCTCTGCCTTCCCAGTGGCTGGGACATGACTACAGGTGCATGCCACCACGCCCAGCTAATTTTTCTATTTTTAGTAGAGACAGGATTTCACCATGTTGGCCAGGATGGTCTCGATCTCTTGACCTTGTGATCTGCCCGCCCTGGCCTCCCAAAGTGCTGGGATTACAGGGATGAGCCACCGCGCCTGGCCATAGTTCATGATTTCTTATCCCACACCCTTGTGGCCGGATGTGTTTCTGAGTTCAGAATTTCTCAGACTTCAGACAGGCAGAATGATGCATATAATGAAACATTGTTAATGCCCTATAATAAATCCATTACTATTTGTACTATATATGTATTTATAAATCCACACAAAAGGAGATTAAAGAAGATTACAAGTAGCCTCACATCACTTCAGGTCAGGTTTTGCAGCCAAATTAGGTTAGGTTTTTGGAAGTAAAAATTCATGAATGTTGAAATATGAAAATTCATAGAACGGTTTCTCAAACTGTAGCCCCCAGAATAGTAACATCAGCATCATCTGGGAACTTGTATTCATGAATGTTGAAATATGAAAATTCATACAACAGTGTTTCTCAAACTGTGACCCCCAGAATAGTAACATCAGCATCATCTGGGAACTTGTTAAAAATGCCAACTCTCAGGCCTCACCCTAGATCTAATGAAGTGGAAATTCTAGGGTGGGGCTCAGAAGTCTGTGTTTTAACAATTCTCCGGGTGATTCTGATGCATGTTAAACTTGAAGAGCCACTGCCTTAGAAAAAATGATTGCCTACAGATGCCTTACCTGTCTCTGCTCCTGCGGGAGGGAAAGGTAGCATTACAGCCCTCCACTGTGCATGTGTGCATTTCTTTGACATGCATATTCTTGTGATGAATTTTCACACTACAAGCATTTTTAAAGGTCTTCTTGCAGATGTCACACTGGAAGCGATTTTCTTCTATCTGCCTTGCTAATGCATGCTGACCCACGTGCTCCAGTTCTTTAGAATCTTCAAGACAAGGAAAAGCCATTCCCCTGTTGGACAAAGCACTGAAGAGTCCCCCAGCCAGCAGGCGCTGCTGCAGTTCCATGTAGTCAGAAAAAGGAACTTGGGGTTCCATCCCAGGTGTGAAGTAGTGTTCATGGCCACCATCCTCGACCTCCCTTGGCACCATGATCAATGCTGGTGTCTGCTCAGTCTCCCTCTCTGAATTGTGTGTGGCCTGCTCAGGGGTTTGGCTGATGGCTCCACTGGACTCAATTACTGATTCACGATGGCAGGGCCTCTCCCCTTCAGGGAAAGGCTTCCCTAAGCCTCCTGACTGTACATGCTGCTCCTCAGATACTCTGTGTGACTGAGGACTGCAGGCCTCCTGCTCATCTTCACTGACCACCTGTAGGGGCATGTCTTCATCTGAGCTGAGGTTGTGTCTTTTCTCATTAGCTATTTCCACAGCTTCTTTCTCTATTTTGATAGGCATACTGGACTTCCTGGATTTCTTCTTGGGAAGGGCATCAAATGGCATTTCGTTTGAAATGAGCTGTTCTGGGATTGAAGAGGACAACAGCGGGAGGGAAGGGAGTATCCCAGGCGTGTTTGCTACCTCGGCAGGCGTGGCTGGACTGCGGTAGAAAGGAAGGACTGGCTGGACTGTCTTTAGGTTGGGAAAAAGCACACCATTTTGCCCAATGTTTGGGAAGGCTGGTTGGCCTTTGGAATCCTCTCCTGAACCAGGGTAGCTGGGAGGAGGCCTACAGTCTGGGGACGTCACTGTGAAACCTGGGCACTTGTAGTTCTCAGAGCTGGCCAGGTTCAGGCTGTTCCTGAGGTCTTTGTCCCGGTTATTTCTGTTCATTGGCATGTGCAGCCGAGGGTTGGGGTTGGCGCTATGGCGATTCCGGCTCCTTAGGGAGCTGAACACCATGTTACACCCTTCGATGGTGCACTTATGCTTGATCTTCAAGTGGACGGCATTGTAGTGGATTTTGAGGGTGCCTTTGTCATAGAAGGTCTTCTCACATGCAGTGCAGAACACCCGGCCCTTCTTTGTACCAAGGCTATTCCTCTCAGGCTTCACTTTGGCCTCAGGGGATAACTGTGTCCTTTCAAACTTAGTGACAATGTTGTATGAGCTGGAGTCACTTAAATGGGTGCTGTCTTCTTTTTTAGTAATAGCATCCGGACAGTTTAAACACTGATCTTTTTCAACCTGAAATGGTGTGGAACTGGAAGTTAAGAAGCTGCTGTCAGGGAAGGGCCCATGGACTTCCTGTTTGGGGTCCTGACTTTGGTCATGACCCTGCTCCAACATATATTGTTCGGGCAATGACCCTATCAGTGCAGGAGGCAGAGGGTTGAAGAACTGGAAAGGCAGCATGAAAGTCATGTTGCTTATGAGGTTCTCAAAGGGGTGTATACTGCTGGGGTTTCCTTTGTCCACAGGAGTGGGGAGGCTAGAACTCCTGTGACTGCAGCTCTCGATGAAAGCCCTGATATCTACATTTGCTGTGGAAGGTGGTATGATGATGGATTGCTCTTCTTTCTCTTGAATTGCCATGAGTTCAACTATAGATTTGGTCTCTCCAAAACGAAGGAACTGCTGCAAGGTGGCCACTTCTTCCTCACTGGTCATGATGCTCCAGTGATCCAACACCTTTCCTGATGCATCCTAAACCCAAACCAGATGTTAGAAGTGTGATCAATTTACAACTCCTTACCCTTTCCTCTAAAAATGTAGTCCACTAGACTATGGGATACTTTTGTGCATATAGGAAAAAGATGAATGCAGGGCTTTGGGGAATTTAGTCCCTGCTCACCCTACTCTCCCAGGCCAGAAGCTTTGTGCAGAACATAAGCTGCACAAATATTAGCAGTAGTCCTACAATTGGTGCAAAAGAGACAAATAAAACCATATTACTCAAGTGAAGTCAGGGAAATGTAGTGATTATTTTTCACCTCATTTCAGACCAATTGCTTGTCTAGCATTAGACATAATAATTTTCCCTGCTAAAATTAAAATATGTATCATTTGAACAATAGTAACTTCTTTATCTAAAGAGAATAGATGGAACAATCAGGCCTAGATGCAGCTCAAGTATTCATTTGCTGCAAGTTTAATAATCTTCCTAAGCAACTAACATCAGAAAACAAATGAACTGTATTGATCTACTGCACACATTCACAAAGCAGGGCTGTAATTACACTGGAGTGTTGGAGATCTTTCAAACTCTAGCAAGGCCTAACTTTTCCCAAAACTACAATAAATATTTTATCACAGAACATGTATTTGATGGCCTACTGAGATTTTTCACAGTGCATGTAAGAGTTTTGAAGATGATGAAGAATGTAACATCATAAATTTTTCATGCACTAGAGGTTCAAGGTAATTGATTCCATATTTTTAATCCTAACACTAGAAAGCAAGATTATTAGGATCATTAAATATTGATCTATGTCCTAACGTAAGGTCATAATGCTACTCTACATAAACGGTTGTTTCTAGTCTGCTGGGGGTCCTGCACTAGAGGTGAGCAAACATTTTTACAGGGGAAGATTATGGTCTTTTGAGTTAAAAAGAAGTGAGTACAAATTCTGGGTCTGCCACATACTAGTGAAATGACTTTCAGCATGATTTTGAGGCACTCTAAGTCTCTGGTTTTTTGACTGGAAAATGGGGATAATATGCCTAAGCTTAAGATTATTGGGAGTGGATCTAGGTCTACAAAATTGTTTTTAGTGTTCATTTTAATTACATGGCCTACCTCAGTAAGACTGACATCTATGTTGGTCTTGGAAATATGTTCGCCTCCCATTTCATTGAAATTTTTACCAAACTTTGACATTTTCTAATGTAATGGCAAGAAAATACAATGCTGTAGCTGTTTCATATCTTAAAGGAATGATGCTTCATCTCAGGAAACATGTTCTTTGCTTCTAAAAACACCTTGATAGCCTCTTTGGAAATGAAACATGAAGCCTACACACTCAGCATGATCTGGGAACAGAGGTAAACTACTCTGCAAAATAAAGAGGACAGAGAGGATGAAGGGCTTGGAATACTGGAGAAAAGAAGAGAATATATGAAGATGCCAAAAGAAAACTGGGGTGTGGGGAGGGAGGGAGGGAGGGAGACATACACACACACACACACACATATAGAGAGAGAGATTGAGAATGAGCAAATGCATACATGAACACAGAAATATAAAAAATAGAGCCTAAGAAGGAAGAACATCAGTGAGATGGCAGAAGGCTTTAAAGAACAGGAAGGTGTGCTATGAAATTATAAGTTGTTTGCTGTGTGGTTCATGTAAGTTCCCTTTCTCAATCCCAAACTCTCAGTAAAATCTGATACAGACAGATCTTGTGTCAGTAAGTAGTTTGGGACTAATGAAAGACATGGAGGCAGCACCTGAAATGGGGCAAATGGTTTATTGTGGAAGAGGTAGTTTAGTAAAAGCCAAATCAGAGAATATGTAATGCTCCTAAAGCTTCATAGGTATCTTGGAGGAAAGCCTTGGACTCCCCCCAAGAACATGAGGTAGGGGCTTAGGCCATTAGAAAAGAAGTATTAAAGGGAAAGATGGCCACCAAGGGCTGTAGCATTGGGAGGTAACTGGGTTACGTCAGTTATATGGGCACAAATTTCAGAAAGCACCCTAGGAGGACAATGTTCATGTTTACTGTACCTGCAGTACGTATCCACGGATATAATCCTGAAGTGTCCAGTCCAAGGCATGGAGGATCTGGAGAACCTCATCTTGCTTCAACACACTGAAGAGCCGGTCCAGTAGGATTTTTAGGCGAACGGGGATGGCCTGGGTCCCATAGAGCATGAGGCTGCTAATATCAAACACTACATTGGACTGGACAATCTCCACCTGGCTTGTTGGATACATGGGGGGGATCCTTAGCTTACTTAGAGCTGAAAAATCAAATTGAGGAAATGTCATTTTGAAAAGTTCTAATTGTAAGAGAAACACTGCAAAAAAAAGTAGGTTAGGACCAATTCTTGGTTATTTATTCCACAGAAAATACATGAATATACAAATGATTAAATACCTTAATAGCTATGAAACTTCAAATTATTTACAGGAACTTCTAAAATACATGAACTAGCCTGAGACTTTTCTCCCTTTCTTGTGGCCTTGCTAAGGAAAGAAATAGTCACAAACAAGGAAGGAATAAGGAAAAGGGGTAAAAACTGAGGTGGGAGGTGCATAATCAAGAGAATAGCTAATCAGGAAGCATAGAGTCTGGGGGTAAAGAATCTGGGTTTGGGAATCTGAGAGACCTGAGTTTGAGCGTTAGTTGTGGGGCTTGACATTTTCTAGTTGTGGGGCTTAACAAATTAACCCCCCTAAGGCCACGCTGTCCAATGTAATAGCCATCAGTCACATATGGCTATTTACATTTAGATTAAGTTAAAATTAAACAAAATTTAAAACTCCATTCCTCAGTTACACTAGTCACATTTCAAGTACTCAGTAGCCACAAGTGACTACTGTAGAGTTGTCAGATTTGGCAAATAAAAAAAGATTCCCAGTTAAATCCAAACGTAAATTTGAGATAAACAATGAATGGGTAGGATATACATATACTAAAAATATTCATTGGGATATACCTAGGCTAAAAAACAATCTGTTGTTTATCTGAAATTCAAATTTAACTAAGCGTTCTGTATTTTATCTGGCAATCCTAGCCTAGAGGCTGTAATAGATAGAACAGAATACTTCTATCATTACAGAATGATAGCAATGAAGCACTAGTTTCTACATCTTTAGAATGAGGTTAATAAGACACTTCCCATATAGAGTAGTTAAGATTCAAGACTCTTTGAATCTTAGCCTGTTACCTGGGACATGCTAGTAACTTACTAGTTTACTAGTTAGTTGTCATTCTTAAGATATTAAATCAGTTCCTGAATAACTCTAAGTTACTTAGAGGTAACACTACAGGCCAAGAGAGGGTGAAAAATAAAGTTACCGTGGGCCACCCATCCATGCTTGCATTGGTCACACTGACGGTGGTTTATTTTCCCGGGTTTGAAACTTTGGCAACTACAGTTCAGAGTACAGCTGATAGCCTGAAAAAGAGGAGAAAACAGGTATGTGGAGCATGTAAGTGATGTGTGAAACATTCATTGTATTTCAAACAAAACATATTCCTCCATTCGGCAGCACTTATTGAGCAATATGTGCCCACTGTGTGCCAGGCCCAGAAGTGTATATTGTACTCTGGAAAGATGAGCAGCCACCCCTGCACCTGGAGACCGTGAACACATTACACAGATATTCCACATTCAAGAATGAGTTTAAACATCAGAACTTTTTATAAGAAAAGATTATGGGTTAGAATGAAATCTCCTGCACTGTTATTAAGCTCATAGAAAGGGTAAACATATTTTCACCAAATTTCTAAGTTGACTAAAGCAGCAACCCTGGAAAGTATACAGAAGCTGTCTTGGAACAAGTAAAAGGGAGAATAATATGAACTGAGAGTAATCTACATATAAAATTTATTTCCCCCCACCCACAGATATGGTAGAAGCTGAAAATACAAATAAGATTTGAGAACATGTAATAGCTGACTACACTGAGGATGATTCCCTGACGCCATTCACTGAACTATGTGACTGTCAGAGACAGACACAGGCTGAACAAGCCTTGCATCAATGCCCCTTGCATGTTATGGTGCCATGTTTTATGTGGGGGCATAGAATGTACAAAAATATAGCTGAAATTGAAAATAGAGATGTACATGTCCAACAAAGTTCCAGTATTAAAAACAAAGCTTTGTCTGAGCGTGGTGGCTCACGCCTGTAATCCCAGCACTTTGGAAGGCCAAGGTGGGTGGATCACGAAGTCAGGAGTTCAAGACCAGCCTGGCCAATATGGTGAAACCCTATCTCTACTAAAAATACAAAAATTAGCCGGGCATGGTGGCACATGCCTGTAGTCCCAGCTACTCGGGAGGCTAAGGCCGAAGAATCGCTTAAACCCGGGAGGCTGAGGTTGCAGTGAGCCAAGATCACACCGCTGCACTCCAGCCTGGGCGACAGAGCGAGACTCCCTCTCAAAAAAACAAAAACAACAATGACAAAACCCACAAAGCTTCACGTATATTTTTAAGATGAGTTTCTCAAAGGAGATACAGTACTGAAGAATATAATCTATTATTAAACAGAAAAAGCCCTCAAAGCAGCTTTGTCAGTGAGGTTCCTGGGAAGAGCTGCTGGGTAGAATTTGTATGATTCACAAGAGTCTTGAAACTGGGAAGTGCGTGTGTGTGTGTGTGTGCGCGCGCATCTGGAGGAGGGATAAAAAAGCCTTACAATTAAGGTTTAAACCTCTAATCTGCCAATTGAGGGACTATGTGGCCCTGCATGGGGGAGAGGGAAAGGAGAATCTAGCTGAAGACTTGGGAAATTCATTTTAAGGAGTATATGATCAGTCTCCACTTAAAAATTGGTTGCTGGTGGGATTGTAAAATGGTACAGCCACTTTGGAAAACATTCTGGCAGTTCCTCAAAAAGTTAAACATAGAGTTACTATATGACCCAGAAATTCCACTCCTAGTTGTATACCCAAAATAACCAAAAACATGTCTACAAAAACTTGTATATGAATGTTCATAGCAGATTATTCACAATAGCCAAAAAGTAGAAAAAACCCCAACATCCATCAACTGATGAACAGATAAACAAAATGTGATATATCCACTCAATTGAATACTACTGAACAATAAAAAGTAATGAAATACTGATACATGCTGCAACATGGATGAACTTTGAAAATATTATGTACTAAGTGAGAGAAGCCAGGCACAAAAGTCACAGACTGTGTGATTCTATTTACATGAAATGTCAAGAACAGGCCAATTGATAAAGGCAGAAACCAGATTAGTAGTTACCTGGGGCTGTGGAGAGTAGGGTATGGATAAGAAGTGACTGCTAGTGGGTAGTAGTTGGAGGGAGTGTGTTCTTGTTTGGTTTGTTTTCATCTTTGAGAAAAACAGCTTTATCGAGATACAATTCACACATACCATATAACTCACCCATTTAAGGTGTACAATTCAATGATTTTTAGCATATTCACAGAGTTATGCAACCATCATCACAATCTAATTTTGGAACATTTTCATCTTCCCCAAAAGGAACATGTACAATAATATGGTAGACACATGTTTTCACTTCTCTTGGGTATAGTCCTAGAACTACTGGATTGCATAGTAACTCTTGTTTAATGTTTTAAGAAACTGCCAAACTTTTCCAAAGCAGCTGTATCATTTTACATTCTCACCAGCAACGTATGAGGGTTCCAATTTCTCCACATCCTCATCAACACTTGTTATTGTCTGTTTTTTTCATTAGAGCCATCCTAGTGACTGTGGGTGAGATCTCATTGTGGTTTTGATTTGCATTCCCCTGATGGCGAATGGTGCTCAGCATCTCTTCATGTGCTTATTGGCCATTTGTATGTCTTCCCTGGAGACATGTCTCTTCAGATCTTTTGCCTATTTTTAAATTGGGTTGTTTACCTTTTTAGTATTGAGTTATACAAGACCCCCATATATTTTAGATATACGTGCATTACCAGATATATGATTTGCATACACTTTCTCCCATCCTTGGGTTATCTTCGCTTTCTTGATGGTATCCTTTGAAGCACAGAAGTTTCAAATTTTGACCATGGTTTCTTTTTGAGGTGATGAAAATGTTCTAAAATTAGATAGCAGTGATAGCTGCACAACTCTATGAATATACTGAAAGCCACTCAACTGTACACTCTGTAAGTTAATTTCATGGTATGTCAATTACATCTCAATAAAAATATTATTAAAACACAGGCTGGGTGCAGTGGCTCACGCCTGTAATCCTAGCATTCTGGGAGGCCGAGGTGGGCAGATCACCTGAGGTCAGGAGTTCAAGACCAGCCTGTCCAACATAGTGAAACCCTGTCTCTACCAAAAATACAAAAATTAGCCAGGTGTGGTGGCATGCACCTGTAGACCCAGCTACTCAGGAGGCTGAGACAGGAGAATCGCTTGAACCTGGGAGGTAGGGGTTGCAGCCTGGGAAACAGAGCAAGACTCTGCCTCAAAAAACAAAACAAAAAAACCAGTGACCCTGCTTAAATACAGGTTAAATTTTTCATGATTTGACTGTCTTCTACGATTTATTTTGGACTAGAATGGGTTTGAACACAGCTGCAGCTAGGCATTTTCAGGTGATGCGGAATAGGGCTGTTTAAAACTGAGGTGTACAGTAAATAGCAACAGCATTACCTAATCCATTCAAGAGGCTACCAAAAAACAGGAAATGTGGGAGAAAAGGTTTTGCTCTTGTAAACTGTACAGTATAATACAAAAAACTCCATGTGATTAACACTCACTTTAATAATGCATGCATTCTCAAGGGTGATGCTATCATCCCCAAAGGAATAAAAATTGGTCTTGGGGGGTGAAAGAATTACTCTATGTATAAACACAGATGTACATACATACATAAACCTATATCGCAATGGTGTGATCCTAAAATTTCTTTGGAGAGGCACAATTAAGAAAAAATGTCTAAAATCTCCTTAGGTGTGGAGGTTAATGAAAAAAAATCAAGAAACACTGTTCTAATGACAGAAACTATTTTACTTTTTGGTTACAGAGTTTCTACTTGCATATACACATACAAATGTATTAAATACATGAACAGTATACATCTATGTAAGTATACCTATATACATAATTATATAGTTACCTTGAATGTAAGTTAAAGGATACAAGTGAGTGATGGTTGAATTTACATTACACACTGTCAAAACAAAAATTCTAAAAGGCACGATTAACTTAGTTTGTAATACACCTAAAACGTTGTCCAGCATCTCAAACTTGGCTGCAACCCTCTGAACATCAGCTCACGGATGAACCAATTATTGCTACATTCTCAATAGCACCAGTACACTCAGTACTAAACCTCTGAAATATTTCACAATCTTGATTCTATAAATATGACCATTTTACAGAAAAATTTTAAAAGGGAGAAAAGTTCTTATTTTGGATTATATCCCTCAAAATGCCATTCCTTTTTTTAAAATTTTTATTTATTTTGAGACGGAGTCTCATTCTATTGGCCAGGCTGGAGTGCAGTGGCACAATCTCGGCTCAATGCAACCTCCACCTCCCAGGTTCAAGTGATTCTTGTGCCTCAGCCTCCTGAGTAGTTGGTATTACAGGCATGCACCACCACACCTGGCTTTTTTTTTTTTTTTGTATTTTTAGTAGAGACGGGTTTTGCCATGTTGGCCAGGCTGGTCTCGAACTCTTGACCTTAGATGATCCACCTGCCTCGGCCTCCCAAAGTGCTGGAATTACAGGTGTGAGCCACTGCACCAGGCCCCATTCACTCTTTAAAAACAAGATGTTGGAATTATATGAGTAAATTCACATTTTGCTTATTTGGAAAATAAGACCTGCTTTAACCAGAAGTAGAGATGTCCTTAAGCACATGCTTCCTGAAGACTCTGCTCAAAAGGCTCACGCAACCCAGGAAACCAGGTGACTGTCTCAGGTTCAGCACAGCAAAATCATAGAGGGAACAATTCCAAGCACATTTCATAGATTAATACTGAAACTTATTTTTTGCATCTCGTCACCTAGGTCAGGTTTTCTCAACTTTGGCACTACTGACATTTTGGCTGGATAATGCTTTGTAGTGGGGGGCTGTTCTGTATGTACGACATCTGATCAACATCCCTGACTGCTACAAACCAGATGCCAGTTACACCCTACCCTCCAGTTGTGACCACCAAAAATGTCTCCAGACACTACCAAATGCCCTTGGGGGGGGGCCTATACCACTCCCATGGGCATTTGGGGCCTATAGTTTTAGTTTGGGGGCAATTTTAGCTTCAGTTTCGGGATAATTTTAAATAATTTTGTCTATAATTCAATGAATGAATGCAGCTTTATGAGAAATATTCTTGTGGTTCTCCATGAGCCCATTTGAATAAGGCTTAATAAAGCTCATTAAACATCTATGGAAATAAATCTCAGAGGAATTATTTATGAACTAAAAAAGCTAATTACAGTGTCTAAGAAAACTTCCAATATCAAGGCCCTTGGGTTTTTCCACCCATCTTAGAACTCCACGACATAGTAAAATTACAGCACCATTATCTAAAGATAAATGAAAACTTCTAAAATGAAATTAAATGAAAATATTCTAATTACAGGACAAAAAGTACTCATGTAAATCAAAACGGAAAACTCTTAAAATGTATAGCCTTTGGAATCCATTCTTGTTCCATTCTTCAGAAACATAAAGCAGATGTTTACAACATTCTGAACTCATCAAGACACAATCATTGCTTTTTAATGCACTCATCTTAATCAGACTATTTTCAGAATTGTTATTAATCACTTTGATGTGCTACAAATCAACATTCAAAATCCTGGTTTGCTTTTTCGTAACTATCGTTTTCTCATTTATCTAAAAACTACTGACACACCTAGTATGTGATGGAAGATTGGGTTTTGCAGTCTTGGGATAGAAAGTTATGACCTAGTTTTTAGGCACGCTCCTGGACCCACTTGGTCTCTCGGACACCCTGTTCTACCTTTGGCTTGAGGAGATGCTACCACAGGCCTCTTGTCAGGAGATGCTGAGTTGAATTCCTGGCAGTGATCAGGCTAGGCACATAGTTGGGTATATACATAGATATTCAGTGCCAGACAGAGTAGGTCTCTCATGGGATTTGAATTGAGCTCAGAATAAAAACTGTTTAGTTCAAGGCTGTTTTCATCTCTAGTATGTGCATATACTTTCATTTCACTGAAGATAAACCCAGGGGGATATTCCTGGGGGACTAACTGGTAAGGGGAAGAGGGAATTTTGGGGTTCCCAGATTCACAGCACTGGCCCTTTGAAGGGAGTCATTTGTATTAATTAAAATTAAATAAAATGGCCAGGTGCGGTGGCTCACGCCTGTAATCCCAGCACTTTGGGAGGCCGAGGTGGGTGGACCACGAAGTCAGGAGATTGAGACCATCCTGGCTAACACGGCAAAACCCCGTCTCTACTAAACAATACAAAAAATTTGCCGGGCGTGGTGGCAGGCGCCTGTAGTCCCAGCTACAGGGGAGGCTGAGCCAGGAGAATGGTGTGAACCTGGGAGGCGGAGCTTGCAGTGAGCTGAGATCGCGCCACTGCACTCCAGCCTGGGTGACAGAGTGAGACTCCATCTCAAAATAAATAAATAAATAAAATGTAAAATTCAGCCCCTTGGTCACACTAGCCACATTTCAGGTGCATAGTAGCAACATGTAGATAGTGGCTACTCTATTGGACAGTGGAGATACACAACATTTCCATCATCACAGAAAGCTCTACTGGACAAGGCTGAGTTCAATGGTAGGTAGATTAGCCACCCTTCCAGCATCTGCTTTTTGACGTGGTTTATCATGTGATCTATTTTAAACCTCACTACAGTACTGTGAGGAGAGAATTATTCTCAGAAACTTAAATTTATGGAAGATTTGTAACATGCCCAGGGTCACGCAGTTGGTGAGCCTTATTGAGCATTTATTACATGTGAGATACTGTACTAATCAGTGTACAAGAATTATTTCATTTCTTTCTCACAACTACCCAGGGAGATTAGGTATTACTATCCCGATTTTATAGATGAGGAAGGTAAAGAACTTACAGGCTACTGGGATGGTCTCAAATTTGGATACTAGGGGAGGATTACGCCTTGAAATATCAGTATTTGGTGCTAACTACAGTTATGGTTTCATTTAATTCCTACAACCACTTTCAGAGTTAGGTATTATCATACACATTCTGCAGATGGGGACATTAAAGTTCCACACAGTAAAGACATTTCATTCATTGAATAAGTATTTACTGAGCATTTATGAGCCAGGCATTGTTCTAAATTCTACAGATTAAAATGTTGAACAAAACTGATAAGGTCCCTACCTTCAAGGAGCTTATATTCTAAAGGGCAGAGACAGGAAATGAACAACAAACAGTATCATTTCAGAATAAGGCAAGTGTTATGAAAGAACTAAGAAGAGGCCAGGCGCAGTGGCTCACGCCTATAATCCCAGCACTTTGGAAGGCCGAGGCAGGGAACCTGAAGTCAGGGGTTCAGGACCAGACTGGCCAACATGGCGAAACCCCATCTCTACTAAAAATACAAAAATTAGCCAGGCGTGGTGGCGCATGCCTGTAATCCCAGCTACTTGGGAGGCTGAGGCAGGAGAACTGCTTGAACCCGGGAAGTGGAAGTTGCAGTGAGACGAGATTGTGCCACTGCACTCCAGCCTGGGCGACAGAGACTCCATCTCAAAAAAAAAAAAAAAAAACTAAGAAGAAAGCTATGCTAATGATTTAACTGGGTGGCATGGAGGGATAGGGACAGGAGTAAGAATGTTTTAGATTGAGTCATCATCAAGAGCCTTTGAGGAGGTAACATGTGAATTGAGTCCCAAGGCATGCCAAGGAGTTGGTCATGTGCAGACTGGAGAGAGAGGAAGTATTTAAGGGAGAAGGCATAGCAAGTGCAAAGGCTCTCAGGCACAATAGAGATGGGTGTTCAGGGAAGAGTTAAGGGGCCAATGTAGCTGGAGTGAAGTTGTTGAGGTTATTAGCAGAAAATGAGAATAAGACAGGTGTCAGAGACCACTGTGCATAGGACCTTGTGGGGCAGGTGAAGGAGTCTGGATTTTAACAGTAAGCCTTTTTTTTTTTATGTATGAAATGAATATAATCTCCCTGTTAAAAAGATACCTCTGGCTGCAGGGCTGGGGAGCCCGAGCCCCTTCCCGTTCACCTCACCGGGCACCTTTCACTGAGAGGTAGTAAAACCTAGGATTGGCCTCAACCTATGTCTTACTTCCAGTTAAGCCATGTAAAAACTTCAGCTCCATGCCTTGGTGCCTTTGGCCATCATGTGGGCTGGAAACCTACTCCTGCCTACCTCAGAGGCCTGTTAGCCATATTAATGTGGATACACAGATGGGGAGCTGAAGCAATCAATCAAAACAGTGAGACTGTTACTGCTGCCAGACCCACAACAAGTAAGTTCTTCGGTCTTCTGGGCTCTGGTTGTCCGACTCTGCACAGAGCTACCAAAAATATCTAAGGTAAAAGCCCCTAAAAAAGTTGCTTCACAATGAATCATTCCTGCAAGAGGCAATGAAACAACTAAAACTCCAAACCAACACTTAGCACTGGGCCTGATACTTGGTAAGCCCTCCACTGGTATTATCTGAGAAAGTAAACGAATGATTGAACAAATCAATGAGAGAACTGTACTATGCTTACTGATTATTAATCTTTTTCCCCCAGTTATCTTTTTCCCCAATATGCCTTAGTAAAAATAAATTTAATTTCCAAGTCTCAGTTGGTGGTCAGGTGACTTAAGTACTGACCAATGGTATACAATACAAATTGTTGGGTGAAGTATTGTAGAAAACTCCTCATAAATAGCAGATGACTCTACTGTAAGACCTGTCTGCCTTTCCCTCTTCCTCTTTCTTGGAACAAGAACCTGATGGCAGGAGCTCAGATACCATTTTGTGACTATGAGGCAATACCGAGGTCATGCCCTAAGGATGGCTGAGAAGAAAGAGTAGCAACTATTATTTAGGAATTCTTTTAATTTGCAGCCAAATGCAGTTTCTAGTTTACACACTGATCTTCCAGTTGACTATGGAGAGGGCCATGTA